>NC_000004.12:76421381-77671381 GCF_000001405.40 Homo sapiens | reverse complement strand
GCCACCACACTTTCTAGTATCCTATCTTTTTATAAGAAGGTATATATTTGGATAATTAAGAGTTCAGGCTCTAGGCCCAGCGCAGTGGCTCACGCCTGTAATCTCACTCATATGTAACATAGGGGTGATAATAGTACTTTCCTCTTTGCATTGTTATGGAAATCAAATGGGTTAATGTATGCGAAGCACCTAGAATAGAGTGGCACGTTGTTAAGCTTTGAATAAATATTAACTTGAAAAGAATAGATGCACACTCATGCATCTTCATGAAACTCTAGTGATTACTTGCTGGTGTAAGCAGCTTCTAAAATGGGACCCAGTGATTCCTGCCTCTTTGTATTCACACCTTTGTCTAATCCTGTTTCCTTAGTGTGAGCTGGACCTAACACTTGCTTATAATTAATAGCTTATGGAAAAAATGATAGGATGTCACTTCTGAGATTGGGTTATAAAAAATGGCGACTTCCATCTTGCTTGTACTCTCTCTTTTTGCTTGCTCTCTGATAAAGCAAGCTGCCATATTGTGAGCTGCCATGAAGAGGGCCCCTTGGAGAGGGTTCCTTGCCATGGTGAAGTGGCGTTGTTGTCTGGGTAAATATCCAAGATTCGTTGTCTCACAGCGATGGAAAAACTAGGATGTGGACACACCGGAGTGAGGTTAAGAGCCAAGGTTTAATAGGCAAAAGAAAAAGAAAAGCTCTTTTGCTACAGAGAGGGGTCCCAGAGAAATGGGTTGCCACTTCCCCAGTGAAATGCAGACGATTTTATGGATGAGCTTGAGGAGGCAGTGTTTGATTTACATAGTGCATGAGAGATTGGTCGGACCAGGTGTGCAATTTGCATAATGTTCAAAAATGCAGGTGGCTCCACCCTATTTTTTTATTAGGCAAATGGGTTCTCTACCTGGCAGGCGCCATGTTGCCTGCCTCTTTACTGTACACGTGGTGACAAAGAAAAGGGAAGATGGAGCCTTCACGTTGAACATGCCTGGCTCCCAGGTAGCCCTTTTCTATTGACACAGCTGTTGGCATTCGCCCATGAAAGCTTCCAACTTGCTTATCTATGTTTGCTGCTGAATTTTTCAGGCTGATCTTTGTTAGAAAATAAATGATTTGGGGGCTGCTTTTTATTACAAGAGAAATTTTGCCGATGACTCTGTTGCCCTTACTATCTGCCTGAATACTTTCTATCTCCTGTATCAATGGCAAGAAACTATGGGAGTTCTCTGAACTCCAGTCTGTGCCTCCAGTCCAACAGCCTGCAAGTAATGGAATCCTGCCAACAATCATAAAAGTGAGCTTGAAAGAGGACTTTTCCCTTTCAAGCACTGAGATGATTGCAGCCCCTTCTGACACCTTGATTAGAGCTTGTGAGAACCCCTAAGCTAGACGATCCAGCTAAGTCACATGTGGATTTCTGCTCCACAGAAACTGTGACATGTTTGTTATTTTAATTGACTACATTTTGAATAATTTGTTATGCAGTAACATATAACCAATACATATTTTGGTGCCAGTAGTTGGGTGCTATTGTTAAAAATACCTAAAAATGTTGGAGCTCCTTTAGGACATAGAACAAGGCTGTAAAAAATTTAAGGAGCATGATAAAGAAAGCCTAAATTGCCTCAAAAAACTGTTAATACAATTCTAGACCTTGAAAATGCTGCCTCTGAGAGCTCAAAAGGAAGTGAGACTGGGTTTATATGCAAAATAACTAAAAGCGGGGTCTTGAAGAAATATCTGTACACCCCCATTCATAGCAGCATTATTCACAATAGCTAAAACATGGAAGCAACCCAGTGTCCATCAAGAGATGAATAGATACGCAAAACTTATGCAAAAATGAAATGTTATTCAGCCATAAAAAGAAAGGAAATTTTGACATATGCTAAAACATGGATAAACCTTGAAGACATAATGCTAAGTGAAATAAGCTGGTCACAAAAAGACAAATATGGTATGATTCCATTTATATGAGGTACTCAGAATAGTCAAAATTAGAGATGGAAAGTAGCATAATGGATACCATGGGTTGGGGATGGGGGCAGTGAGGAGTTATTCTTTATAAACTGATACAGAGTTCCAGTTTTACAAGATGAAAAGTGTTATGGAGATGGATGTGATGATGGTTGCACAACATTAAGAATGTATTGGGCCGGGCGCGGTGGCTCACATCTGTAATCCCAGCACTTTGGGAGGTGATGCAGGTGGATCATGAGGTCAAGGAGATCGAGACCATCCTGGCTAACACGGTGAAACCCCGTCTCTACTAAAAATACAAAAAATTAGCCGAGTGTGGTGGCAGGCGCCTGTAGTCCCAGCTACTCGGGAGGCTGAGGCAGGGAGAATGGCTTGAACCAGGAAGTGGAGGTTGCAGTGAGTCGAGATCATGCCACTGCATTCCAGCCTGGGCGACAGAGACTCCATCTCAAAAAAAAAAAAAGAACGTATTTAATACCAATGAATTGTTCACTTAAAAATGATTAAGATGATACATGCTATGTGTATTTCACCACAATTTTTAGACAAAGGAAGTGAAAAATATGTTATTGAAAATGGGAGGAAAGAAAGAAAATGGGAGGAAAGAGAATCCTTGTTATGTATCAACAGACTACTGTCATCTGTACTTGTGTGGAAAGCAGAAAATGTGCCTAATGAATCTGGCAATCTAGCTAAGATGATCTCTAAGAAGAGTGTTGAAGGTGCTGCCTAGATTATTTTTCCTTCTTATAAAAAGCACAATAGACATAAATTGAAGGAATAATTGTTAAACAAAAAGGAGCCAGAACTTGATGGTTGTAAAAATTCTTATCCTCTCCGGACAGCAAAAAATTGCTAAAGAAATAGTTTCCATGTACTGTCAAGAATAGGTGGTCTAGGCCGGGCATGGTGGCTCATGCCTATGATCCCAGCACTTTTGGAGGCTGAGGTGGGTGGATCACTTGAGGCCAGGAGTTCGAGACTGGCCTGGGCAACATGGTGAAACCCTGTCTCTACTAAAAATACAAAAATTAGCAGGGCATGGTGGCATGCACCTGTACTCCCAACTACTCGGGGGGTTGAGGCAGGAGAATTGCTTGAACTCAGGAGGTGGAGGTTGCAGTGAACCGAGGTCGTGCCACTGCACTCCAGCCTGGGTGACAGAGTGAGACCCTGTCTCAAAAAAAAAAAAAAAAAAAAAAAAAAAAAAAGAATAGGTGAATAGGTGATGTAGAAAAAAGCCAAGGAAGTTATTGTACAACATTTTGCTAAGACCTCAGAAAGATCAAAGGACTAGATGATTACTTAGTCTACAAAGAGCCCTTTAAAGAGAGTAAGGATGCATTTCATAGATCTCAAATATTATGGCCTCTGGAAAGTTTGGAATTTTGTCTTCCACAGCCTTCTCAGCAGAAGCCCAATGTAGAGAAGAGCTTGTCTGGAAGAGATTATGGATGTGTCATTTGTCTCCTGTCATCTTGCAGTCATTTCAGTGAGAAGTGATATGGCAGTTGTGGTAGAAATGGAAGAACAGGTACAGATATGAGAAGCTAGGGAGCAGATCCTATAAGACCTGAGGACTAATTGGCTCTGGAAAGTCAGTGCAAGACTCAGATCTGGAATAGGCTTTTACCAGGAATAACAGATGGAGTTCTTGGCTGTAAGCAGTAGATGCAGGGTCTTTCTTAAACCAATAAGAAATTTACTAAAATAACCTTGGTGGTTTGCAGAATCTATAGGAGGGTGGGGAACGAGAGTTGGAGGACAGGCAGCAGTCAAAGAAGCTGTAGAGGTACACAACGTAGGAAGTATGAGATACTGTATTAAGAAGACTGGCCAGGAGGTCACCACTGCTGCTACAGGACTATGCCAACACTCAGTTGTCAACATCTCTTCATCTTTATGTCTTTCATCAGATTCACAGTCCTGGGCAGAGTATCCAGTTGCCTAGTCCTGAATTCAGTGCTCATGATCCATGGCTGCAGGAGTGGAGACTGGAAGGATTTTCTATGTCACATCCCGTAGTAAGGAAGAAGGGCACTCACTGGAATATCGATACTACATACAGTTAGGGGTTTACTGTTTGACCAAGAAAAACTTGGAAGATGTCAAGTTTTAGGCAAAGCTGGAGAACTGGCACTATAGTTGACAAGATGTTTCAGTACCCAGTTGGCAGGGCTCTGTGCCTGTTAACCCAAACCCTGGGCTGACTCTTGACTCCTAGCAACTAAGATCCTTTGTCTGGGCTTGGGTCTCTTTGTTCTGAGTTTCCTGGTCTGGATCCCTGGTCCTCTGCTGATCTTTTTGACTTGCCTCCCTGCCTGTCAACTCTCCACCTGAACTCACCTTTCCGGATGTGGCTTCTTTATCCTCTTAGCTAGAGGGGCCCACTAGCCTGAATTCTTCATCTGTATTTCCTTCAGACTGCCTGGGCTATTTGCTGCTCAAATCTGGAAATAACAGACTTTCTTGGCACTGAGTAACTACCCTCTGTCTTACTTAACATTGTAGAAAATGTTTTCATGATACAACATATTTGTTCATTCTTTCTCTTAAAAGTGGATGCTTTCGGCCCAGCGCGGTGGCTCACGCCTGTAATCCCAGCACTTTGGGAGGCCCAGGCAGGCGGATCACAAGGTCAGGGGATTGAGACCATCCTGGCTAACACGGTGAAACCCCGTCTCTACTAAAAATACAAAAAAATTAGCCGGGCATGGCGGCAGGCCCCTGTAGTCCCAGCTACTTGGGAAGCTGAGGCAGGAGAATGGTGTGAACCCGGGAGGAGGAGCTTTCAGTGAGCCGAGATCAGGGGCCATTGCACTCCAGCCTGGGCGACAGAGTGAGACTCCATCTCCAAAAAAAAAAAAAAAAAAAAAGTGGACGCTTTCAGATCTTGCAAACCTCTACCCAACTTTGAAAAGCTACACACGGGTAGGCATAATCAGTACTTTCCTTAAAGAACTTTATTCTTTTTTAAAAAATTTACTTATTTTTATTATTTATTTTATATTTTATTATTTATTTTATTATACTTTAAGTTCTAGGGTACATGTGCACAACGTGCAGGTTTGTTACATAGGTAAACATGTGTCATGTTTGTTTGCTGCACCCATCAACTCATCATTTACATTAGGTATTTCTCCTAATGCTATCCCTCCCCCAGCCCTCCACCCTCCCGCCCCTCAACAGGCCCCAGTGTGTGATGAAGAACCTTACTCTTAACTGAACACTTAGAAGCAATACAAAAATGTTGTTTACAATATATTACATAATTAATCACACATTTATTCAATGTGCATATGTTATTCAATGATGATACGATTTTCCAAATACTGAGCAGTTCAAAATAATTCAGGACAGATGAATAACAGGTATCTGAGGTGATAATTCTACATTTTCTTAGGAAAGTGGTCTTTTAGAGAATTTCCTATTTTTACTATGGTTAGTATATTTCTTCAGTTCAAGAGACAGAGTACAAAATGTTTTCTCTGTGCCACTATTTCAGTCAAGTCATTAAACCATTTTTCCATGAGGTCAGCATTATAGTCCTCATTTCACAGATAAAGAGGCAGGGACAAAAGACTCCAATTTTAGAGGTTTAAATCAAGGCAGAAAAGCCCAAATGCAATGTCATTGTACAGTCACTAAATCAGAGTCAGACACCTCTGAGGACAAAAAAAAAAAAAAAAATCTTTTGAAATTTTAAAAAGAACTTGAAAGAAATTTCTTTTTAACTAAATTTCTAAATGCCTCATATGGTCCTGGATTGAATCATTCCTGCTCTGCCACTTCACTTCTAAGGAATTCACAGCAAAAACACAACCTTGGCTGGGCGTGGTGGCTCATACCTGTAATCCCAGCACTTTGGGAGGCCAAGTTGGGGGGATCACCTGAAGTCAGAAGTTTGAGGCCAGCTTGGCCAATATGGCGAAACCCCTTCTCTACTAAAAATACAAAAAATTTGCTAGGCATGGTGGCGCACACTTGTAATCCCAGCTACTTGGATGGCTGAGGCACGAGAATCACTTGAACCTGGGAATTGGAGGTTGCAGTTAGCAGGGATAGTGCTACTGTACTCTAGCTTGGGTGACAGAGTAAGACTCTGTCTCAAAAAAAAAAAAAAAAAAGTACAACTTCCCCTTTCTTATGAACAAAGTTAAGAGTGGACTCCATGTTCTCCTGGCACAAGTGAAATCAATGAAAAGCGGTCATCTGCTCACTGGCTGAAAAGCTCTGAGAGGTGTAAGATGGGAGCTGGAGGGAAGTGATTCACCAGGAACAATGATATTCAAGACAATCATTTCGAGTATTAAAATAGAAAAATTGGAAAGATGATGTGCAACTAAAATTTAGTAATGACAGTTAAAATACCTGTCTCCTATGATACTGAATGTAAGAATACTTACTAGAAATGACAATGTGAACAGCAGATGGCTGGGATGGCAACAGCACACAGTTTGTTTATGTGTGTATGTATGTATGTATTTCCATAAGAACATACTTAAATTATGTTAGAAATCCATAAACTTCTACAGAATTAGGTAATAAATAAATAAATAAGTATGTAGTTACCAATTGTAATAGGTGCAGGGAAGAAATGAACAGGGACCAAGCCTATTTTGTGGCTCTACAATACACATGTTACATGTGAGAGTTGCCGTTCTATCCCAGGCTTTTCTCCTCTCTGCGCTTTATCTCTACATAACACACTTTCATGTCTCCAAGCTTTTCCTCAAGTTCTTTCCTCTATTTGAAATGTCTTTCTCCCTTATATTTGCAAGTATGGACATTACATAATCTTTAAAGCACAGCAGGTTTCCCCCTGTCCACCCTTCTCTCTTGATCCTACTGTCACAGTTCTTACTACATTTTGCCTGGCATTCTAGTTACATCCCAGCGAGATGATAATCAACTTATGAATAGGGACTGTGTTTTATTAATTTATGGCTTCCCTATGGTTCTTTAAGTAGGAGCTCAGTAATGCTTGGATATGATTTCCAAGGTTGTTGATTTCAGATGAAATTATGAGTATGCTGAGGAAACTCTGAGTTATACCTGAGTGTGATTTGCTGTCTTTCTCAACCCCCATGGATGTGCTCTCAGCTGCCTCAATATAGGTGAGTCAGGTTTGCTCCCTACACCTTAATGGGGAAAGATGGCAGAAAAAAATGGGCTGGGTGCCTTCAAACACATGGGCATAATGCCTTCAAAATCTTGGAGGAAGCAGAGACATTGGAGGTTGGAAGAAGTAGAGGAGAAGCTAACGTTGCTTAAACCACACATCCCTATTACATCAAATTCCCCAATTTTCAATCCTGGCCGTGGTGGAACTATGAAACCCTAAAAGAGTTGTGAGTCACCATTATACCTCTTCAGTATTAGATATATTTTACTTTCTAACAGTGTCATCATCTGAAACTCAGGATAAAAGCTAAGTCATTGCATTGAGGAAAAGACCAATAAAGGGGAACTTCTGGACCAATAGTAATTACATCAAGGCACAATTTACTTAGTGGTGTGATTTTGAGAGACCCCCAAAAAGTCTTCCTACACCTCTTATCAAGCCCTAAAATTTTAGATTGTTATCTAGTAATAACATATTAATATTCAATACCTGGAAGATAAAGCTTTACACTTTATATTTTTCTATTAATTTGAAAGTGCTTTGGAATGAAGTGGAACAACTTACGTGGAATCTTTCATCAAGAGCACTTTATTTGGTTCAGAAGTTTTTTTTTTTGTTTTTTTTTTTTTGAGACGGAGTCTCGCTCTGTCGCCCAGGCCGGACTGCGGACTGCAGTGGCGCAATCTCGGCTCACTGTAAGCTCCGCTTCCCGGGTTCACGCCATTCTCCTGCCTCAGCCTCCCGAGTAGCTGGGACTACAGGCGCCCGCCACCGCGCCCGGCTAATTTTTTGTATTTTTAGTAGAGACGGGGTTTCACCTTGTTAGCCAGGATGGTCTCGATCTCCTGACCTCATGATCCACCCGCCTCGGCCTCCCAAAGTGCTGGGATTACAGGCGTGAGCCACCGCGCCCGGCCAGAAGTTTTTTTGATAAGCCACTTGGGATAGAAACAGATTTGAAGAAGGCTCAAGTGCAAGCATAGCTTCCCAGTGCAAGACCGGGCGAGAATTCTTTTTAATTGTTCTAAGAATAAAGGGAAGAGTAAAGTGAGTCAGAAGCAGACAGCGGGTGGAGCTAGGTTCAAGTGTGTTGCCTGAGGTTTGGCTACCATGCAGGTCTTAAATGGAACATGCGACTTCTACCCTGAGCTTTAAGTAAATAGGTGCTCAGAAACAATACATCTTTTATAACTACTTTTATGTGCTTCAATCAAATGATGGGATGTGTTTTTGAGCATTTATTAATATTTACTTACTGAAAGGTTTATGTGTAAATATAGCTGTGAAAACTATATGTGAAAAATATATGTGTGAAAACTCTGAGGAATTACATTTTCTATGCCAATGAAACTTTGGAGGCAAGATCAAATAGTTTATATCACCAAAATGGAACTCCATATCAATGAAGAAACACAGAAAAGACTGAACAAGGGAAAAACGGTTGGAGATGAATGAAGCAGCCTATATCTAGTCAAGAAGAAGTCTAGGATGATGACCATCGATGTGGTATAGCAGAATATTGGGAATATACATTACTTTAGTGAACTGGGATTAATTTGGATACTGTGCGCCTAGTCTAATATAAATATTAACAATAAGCTGCCTGTGACGCAAGTCAGCTCAGTGCTCATGATGCCTGTCTGCAATAAGGAAAGAGTGAACACATGTTGTTTATACAACATCTCTCTCTCTGGGGAACCACCTGGATCACACCCCTCTTAAGCACCACTTCAGAGCCTCTCAATCTCACCTGTTTGCTTGGTTCTGGTTCTGCTTGACCTCCAACTGACCTCACACAGGAGCCATCTGACAGTGCCTTCTTTCCACTTGTACCATGCACCTTTTGCCTTCCACCCTCAAGTTACATGACACAAATAAAATTCCCTCTTTAAGCTAAGAAAGTTTTATTACTTATAACTAAGAGTATTAACTAGCACAAGGGAAAAGATGCAGAGTGTCAGGTCCACTAGCAATGGTATCTGAGTCCTCCAAATCCCAGAAGTAGGTATTATTTATTCCATTTTCTAGATGAAGAAACAGGATTCGCAAGGTAAGTGGCTGGCCCAAGGTCACTTGGCTCTTAAATGACAGAACTAGAATTTGAACTAGGTCTAACTCTTAATTCAGTGCCTGTTGCCTCTCAAATACTGATGAGGTAAATGACTGAAATTGAATGCGTAGGTTTTTTTGAACTAGCCTAAAACAATTATCCAATCTAATAAAATTCAATTTTAAAAAGAGCAAAGAGTGACCCAGTAGAAACGAAAAACAGTTGTGTAATAGGAGCAAGAATGGGGAAGATGTGAAAAGGAGACCAAGAGTCAGGAAACATGAGTTTCAACCCTGGTTCTATCACTAATCCGCTGTGTGGCCTCAGTCAAGTCTCATAAAGTCACACAGAATTCAGATAAGAAGGAGACCTCATATTGCATCTTGCTCAATATATTCATTTACCCTCTATGGAAATGGCACCCCAGGAATTTCAGTTGCAGCTTGGCCAACATTGTGACAAACGGTGATAGTGTCACTTGGAAGTATTAGTGCCTGCCATGGTTGATCTTGGGAGACAAAGTTTTTGTCCTCAACCTCTCTGCAACCACACTCCAGTCTTTCCCCGTTAACCTCTTTCTACTCTCAGACTCACTCAATTGTGCAATTCTGTACCACAGGGGAATTTTTTTTCCTAATTCCATCTAAGTAGTAATTCAAACTTCCCCTTCATGCTTTCATTCCCCAAATCGAGTTAAGTTGGATGAGACCTTTTCGGACACATTAACAAGAAGAGTAGCAAACAACTATTTAGTCTCACTGTGTGCCACGTGCTGTTTTTGTTTTTTGAGACAGGGTCTCACTTGGTTACCCAGGCAGGAGTGCAGTGGCATGATCATAGCTCACTGTAGCCTCCAATTCCTGGAGTGATCCTCCTGCCTTAGCCTCTCAAGTAGCTGGGACTACAAACACAAACTTGTCTGTTTTTTTTTTTTTTTTTTTTTTTTTTTTAAGAGATGGAGTGTTGCTTTATTTTCCAGGCTGGACTCAAACTCCTGGCCCCAAGTGATCCTCCTGCCTCAGCTCCCCAAAGTGTTAGGATTACAGATGTGAGCCACTGTGCCCCACCTACTTTTGGATGTATGTATCCACTCTTTTAGTTTTTATGAGGTAGTACTCTTATCACACTCATTTTACAGATTGGAAAGCTGAGGTACAGAGATGTTAAGAGACTTGCCTAAGATGGCATAGCTGGTAGTCAGAGGGCTGGGGTCTTTCTTTTGACCATGCCAAGAATATTCTGTGGGGTTTCGCTTTTTAGAGACTTAATTCTAATCTGTAAAATGGGATGCAAAAAGATTTCTTAACTTCCCTGCCTCCTAGCAATGAGCGCACTCATTGTAGTGTCTGAAATATTTAACTTGCTCTGTATTGTCTCTAATTTTTGTTTTGAATTTTTTATTATACTTTAAGTTCTGGGATACATGTGCAGAACATGCAGGTTTGTTACATGGGTATACATGTGCCATGGTGGTTTGTTGCACCCATCAACCCGTCATCTACATTAGGTATTCCTCCTAATGCTATCCCTCCCCTAGACCCCCCACCCCCCGACAGGCCCGATGAGTGATGTTCCCCTACCTGTGTCCATGTGTTCTCATTGTTCAACTCCCAATTATGAGTGAGAACATGCGATGTTTGGTTTTCTGTTCCTGTTAGTTTGCTGAGAATGATGGTTCCAGCTTCATCCATGTCCCTGCAAAGGACTTGAACTCACCCTTTTTTATGGCTGCATAGTATTCCATGGTGTATACATGCCACATTTTCTTAATCCAGTCTATCATTGATGGACATTTGGGTTGGTTCCAAGTCTTTGATATTGTGAATAGTGCCGCAGTAATCAAACGTGTGCATGTGTCTTTATAGTAGCATGATTTATAATCCTTTGGGTATATACCCAGTAATGGGATTGCTGGGTCAAATGGTATTTCTAGTTCTAGATCCTTGAGGGATCACCACACTGTCTTCCACAATGGTTGAACTAATTTACACTCCCACCAACAGTGTAAAAGCTCTTCTATTTCTCCACATCTCTACAGCATCTGTTGTTTCCTGACTTTTTAATGATTGCCATTCTAACTGGTGTGAGATAGCATCTCATTGTGGTTTTGATTTGCATTTCTGTAATGACCAGTGATGATGAGCTTTTTATTCATACATTTGTTGACTGCATAAATGTCTTCTTTTGAGAAGTGTCTGTTCATATCCTTCACCCACTTTTTGATGGGGTTGTTTTTTTCTTGTAAATTTGTTTAAGTTCCTTGTAGATACTGGATATCAGCTCTATGTCAGATGCATAGATTGCTAAAATTTTCTCCCATTCTGTAGGTTGCCTGTTCACTCTGATGACAGTTTCTTTTGCTGTGCAGAAGCTCTTTAGTTTAATTAGATCCCATTTGTCCATCTTGGCTTTTGTTGCCATTGCTTTTGGTGTTTTAGTCATGAAGTCTTTGCCCATGCCTATGTCCTGAATGGTATTGCCTATGTTTTCTTCTAGGGTTTTTATGGTTTTAGGTCCTACGTTTAAGTCTTTAATCCATCTTGAGTTAATTTTTGTATAAGGTGTAAGGAAGGGGTCCAGTTTCAGTTTTCTGTGTATGGCTAGCCAGTTTTCCCAACACCATTTATTAAGTAGGGAATCCTTTCCCCTTTGCTTGTTTTTGTCAGGTTTGTCAAAGATATCAGATGGTTGTAGATGTGTGGTGTTATTTCTGAGGTCTCTGTTCTGTTCCATTGGTCTATATATCTGTTTTGGTACCAGTACCATGCTGTTTTGGTCACTGTAGCCTTGCAGTACAGTTTGAAGTCAGGTAGCATGATGCCTCCAGCTTTGTTCTTTTTGCTTAGGTCTTGACTATGCAGGCTCTTTTTTGGTTCCATTGAAATTTAAAGTAGTTTTTTCTAATTCTGTGAAGAAAGTCACTGGTAGCTTGATGGGGATAGCATTGAATCTATAAATTACTTTGGGCAATATGGCCATTTTCATGATATTGATTCTTCCTATCCATGAACATGGATTGTTTTTTCATTTGTTTGTGTCCTCTCTTATTTCCTTGAGCAGTGGTTTATAGTTCTCCTTGAAGAGGTCCTTCACATCCCTAGTAAGATGTATTCCTAAGTATTTTATATTCTTTGTAGTAATTGTGAATGGGAGTTCACTCTTGATTTGTCTCTCTGTCTATTATTGGTGTATAGGAGTGCTTGTAATTTTTGCACATTGATTTTGTATCCTGAGACTTTGCTGAAGTTGCTTATCAGCTTAAGGAGATTTTGGGCTGAGATGATGGGGTTTTCTAAATATACAATCATGTCATCTGCAACAGAGACAATTTGACTTCCTCTCTTCCTATTTGAATACCCTTTATTTCTTTCTTTTGCCTGATTGCCCTGGCCAGAACTTTCAATACTATGTTGAATAGGAGTGGTGAGAAAAAGCATCCTTGTCTTGTGCCAGTTTTCAAGGGGAATGCTTCCAGCTTTTGCCCATTCAGTATGATATTGGCTGTGGGTTTGTCATAAATAGCTCTTATTAAGACACATTCCATCAATACTTAGTTTATTGATGGTTTTTAGCATGAAGGAGTGTTGAATTTTATCAAAGGCCTTTTATGCATCTATTGAGATAATCATGTGGTTTTTTTCTTTGATTCTGTTTATGGATTACATTTATTGATTTGCATATGTTGAACCAGCCTTGCAATCCCAGGGATGAAGCCAACCTGATTGTGGTGAATAAGCTTTTTGATGTGCTGCTGGATTTGGTTTGCCAGTATTTTATTGAGGATTTTCGCATTGATGTTCATCAGGGATATTGGCCTAAAATTTTCTTTTTTTGTTGTGTCTCTGCCAGATTTTGGTATCAGATGATGCTGGCCTCATAAATTGAGTTAAGGAAGACTCCCTCTTTTTCTGTTGTTTGGAATAATTTCAGAAGGAATCGTACCAGCTCTTCTGTACCTCTGGTAGAATTCGGCTGTGAATACATCTGGTTCTAGACTTTTTTTGTTGGTAGGCTATTAATTACTCCCTCAATTTCAGAACTTGTTATTGGTCTATTCAGGGATTCAGCTTCTTCCTGGTTTAGTCTTGGGAGGGTGTATGTGTCCAGGAATTTACCTATTTCTTCTAGATTTTCTAGTTTATTTGCGTAGAGGTGTTTATAGTATTCTCTGATGGTAGTTTGTATTTCTGTGGGATCAGTGGTGATATCCCCTTTATCATTTTTGTATTGTGTCTATTTGATTCTTCTCGCTTTTCTTATTTACTAATCTGGCTATCAGTCTATCTATTTTGTTAATCTTTTCAAAAAACCAGCTCCAGGATTCATTGATTTTTTTCAAGGGTTTTTTGTGTCTCTATCTCTTTCAATTCTGCTCTGATCTTAGTTATTTCTTGTCTTCTGCTAGCTTTTGAATTTGTTTGCTCTTGCTTCTCTAGTTCTTTTAATTGTGATCTTAGGGTGTCAATTTTAGATCTTTCCTGCTTTCTCCTGCGGGCATTTAGTGCTATAAATTTCCCTCTAAACACTGCTTTAGCTGTGTCTCAAAGATTCCGGTCCATTGTGTCTTTTTTCTCCTTGATTTCAAAGAATTTATTTATTTCTGCCTTAGTTATTTACCCAGTAGTAATTCAGGAGCAGAGTGTTCAGTTTCCATGTAGGAGCAGTTTTAAGTGAGTTTCTTAATCCTGAGTTCTAATTTAATTGCACTGTGGTCTGAGAGACTGTTTGTTATGATTTCCATTCTTCTGCATTTGCTGAGGAGTGTTTTACTTCCAATTATGTGATCAATTTTAGAATATGTGTGATGGGGTACTGAGAAGAATGTATATTCTGTTAATTTGAGGTGTAGAGCTCTGTAGATGTCTATTAGGCCTGCTTGGTCCAGGGCTGAGTTCAAGTTCTGGATATCCTTTTTAATTTTCTGTCTCATTGATCTGTCTAATATTGACAGTGGGGTATTAAAGTCTCCTACTTTATTGTGTGGGAGTCTAAGTCTCTTTGTAGGTCTCTAAGAACTTGCTTTATGAACCTGGGTGTTCCTGTATTGGGTGCATATATATTTAGGATAGTTAGCTCTTCTTGTTGCATTGATCCCTTTACCATTATGTAATGCTCTTCTTTGTCTTTTTTGATCTTTGTTGATTTAAAGTCTGTTTTATCAGAGACCAGGATTGCAACCCCTGCTTTTTTTTGCTTTCCATTTGCTTGGTAAATCTTCCTCCATCCCTTTATTTTGAGCTTATGTGTATCTTTGCACATCAGACAGATCTCCTGAACATAGCACACCAACGGGTCTTGACCCTTTATCCAATTTGCCAGTCTGTGTCTTTTAATTCTGGCAATTAGCCTGTTTACATTTAAGGTTAATATTGTTATGTGTGAATTTTATCCTGTCATTATGATGCTAGCTGGTTATTTTGCTTGTTAGTTGATGCAGTTTCTTCATAGTGTCCATGGTCTTTACAATTTGGTATGGTTTTGCAGTGGCTGGTACCGTTTTTTCCTTTCCATATTTAGCACTCCCTTCAGGAGCTCTTGTAAGGCAGGCCTAGTGGTAACAAAATCTCTCAGCATTTGCTTGTCTGTAAAGGATTTTATTTCTCCTTCACTTATGAAACTTAGTTTGGCTGGATATGAAATTCTGAGTTGAAAATTCTTTTCTTTAAGAATGTGGAATATTGGCCCCCACTCTCTTCTGGCTTGTAGGATTTATGCTGAGAGATCTGATGTTAGTCTGATGGGCTTCCCTTTGTGGGTAACCCAACCTTTCTCTCTGGCCGTCCTTAACATTTTTTCCTTAATTTCAACCTTGGTGAATCTGAAGATTATGTGTCTTGGGGTTGATCTTCTTGAGGAGTATCTTTGTGATGTTCTCTGTATTTCCTGAATTTGAATGTTGGCCTGTCTTGCTAGGTTGGGGAAGTTCTCCTGGATAATATTCTGAAGAGTGTCTTCCAAGTTGGTTCCCTTCTCCCCATCACTTTGAGGTACACCAATCAAATGTAGGTTTGGTCTTTTCACATGGTCCCATATTTCTTGGATGATTTGTTCATTCCTTTTCATACTTTTTTGTCTAATCTTGTCTTTACACTTTCTTTAAGTTGATCTTCAATCTCTGATATCCTTTCTTCCACTTGATCAATTCAGCTATTGATACATGTGTATGCTTCCCGAAGTTCTCATGCTGTGTTTTTCAGGTCCATCAGGTCATTTATGTTCTTCTCTAAGCTGGTTATTCTAGTTAGCAATTCGTCTAACCTTTTTACAAGGTTCTTAGTTTCCTTGCATTGGGTTAGAACATGTTCCTTTAGCTCAGAGGAGTTTATTACCCACCTTCTAAAGCCTACTTCTGTCAATTTAACAAACTCATTCTCTCTCCAGTTTTGTTCCCTTGCTGGCAAGGAGTTGTGATCCTTTGGAGGAGAAGAGGCATTCTTGTTTTTGGAATTTTCAGCCTTTTTGTGCTGGTTTTACCTCATCTTCGTGGATTTATCTACCTTTGGTCTTTGATGTTGGTGACCTTCAGAAGGGGTTTCTGTGTGGACGTCCTTTTTGTTGATATTGATGCTCTTCCTTTCTGTTTGTTTTCCTTCTAACAGTCAGCCCCCTCCACTGCAGGTCTGCTGGAGTTTGCTGGAGGTCCACTCCATACTCTCTTTGCCTGGGTATCACCCGTGGAAGCTGCAGAAGAGCAAAGATTGCTGCTGCTCCTTCCTCTGGAAGCTTCATCCCAGAGGGGCACCCGCCAGATGCCAGCCAGAGCTCTTCTGTATGAAGTGTCTCCCAGTCAGGTGGCATGGGGTCAGGGACCCCCTTGAGGAGGCAGTCTGTCCCTTAGCAGAGCTTGAGCATTGTGCTGGGAGATCTGCTACTCTCTTCAGAGCTGGCAGGCAGGAACGTTTAAGTCTGCTGAAGCTGTGCCCACAGCTGCCCCTTCCCCGAGGTGCTTTGTCTCAGGGAGATGGGAGTTTTATCTATAAACCCCTGACTGGGGCTGCTGACTTTCTTTCAGAGATGCCCTGCCCAGAGAGGAGGAATCTAGAGTCTGGCTACAGCGGCTTTGCAGAGCTGTGGTGGGCTCCACCGAGTTTGAGCTTCCTGGCGGCTTCGTTTACACTGTGAGGGAAAAACCGCCTACCCAAGCCTCAGTGATGGCAGCTGCCCCTCCCCCCACCAAGCTCCAGCATCCCAGGTCAACTTCAGACTGCTGTGCTGGCAGTGAGAATTTCAAGCCAGTGGATCTTAGATTGCTGGGCTCCATGGGGGTGGGATGTGCTGAGCTGGACCACTTGGCTCCCTGGCTTCAGCCCGCTTTCCAGGGGAGTGAATGGTTAGGTCTCACTGGTGTTCCAGGCACCACTGGGGTTTGAAAAAAAAAAAAAACTCCTGCAGCTAGCTTGGTGTCTGCCCAAACAGCTGCCCGGTTTTGTGATTGAAACCCAGGGCCCTCGTGGTGTAGGCACCCGAGGGAATATCCTTGTCAGTGGGTTGCGAAGACTGTGGGAAAAGTGGAGTATCTGGGCTGGAATGCACTGTTCATCATGGCAGAGTCCCTCACAGCTTCCCTTGGCTAGGGGAGGGAGTTCCCTGACCCCTTGTGCTTCCCAGGTGAGGCAATGCCCCACCCTGTTTCAGCTCGCCCTCCGTGGGATGCACACACTGTCTAACTAGTCCCAGTGAGATGAGCTGGGAACCTCAGTTGGAAATGCAGAAATCACCCACTTTCTGCATTGATCTTGCTGGAAGCTGCAGACTGGAGCTGTTCTTGTTCGGCCATCTTGCCAGCCACTCCTAATGTTGTTTTTTGAATTAAACTTCTGGAACTTCTTTTTTGATGACTCTCTTGTAATGAGCAGAATCCCAGTGGGCAACAGAATGATAGACACTACAAAGACTTGGGTCCAAAACTTATTTATTCCATGACGATCATCTAAGAAACTGTTTTTCTATGAGATCACAGATTTAATTGACTTAAGTATGAAGAATTAGACCAAATTGATTTTGCCATTTTGTGTTTTAGATTTGAAATCTTGACATCAGTCTCCAAGCTATTGGAATGGTGTGAAGGGCAGGAGACAAAGATTTCAAATAGACTTTGAAACTACAGGAAGCCAAGAATGTCTTTGAGTAGGGGAATGTTTCATTTGTATGTATCTTTGGCTCTTAGTTCATTTTGCTTTGAAAATTGTATTCTGTTAATACAATTAGGTCTGGAATTCTGTGTCTTCCTCTTTTTTTCTATATCAAGATTAGGATTGCATGACAAAAAGAACATTGGATAAGGAAGTATGAGCCATCTTGGCTCGGGCTTTACTCTCAGATCTACTAGTTATGTGACCTTGGCAATGCTGTTAGTCAACTTAGATTACTTTTTCCTCATCTGGACAATTAGGTTATTTGGTTAGGTGACTTCTGCTGTCCTTTTCAACTCTGGGAATTCATGATCTCAGAGTTGTACTCAGGTGAAGTAGTGTTTTCTTCACCTCACTTAAGATTAGATATATTTCTGTTTCTAATGATAAAGGTTAATAAGAGGAAGGAAATATTCCTCAGGATAAGGTGAGCCCAAGACCAACGACAATAGCATATTTGAAGTCACACATCTCTGAGCACGCTGGTTTTGTTTACTGTCATTATTCTCTCCTATATAAGGTTCCAGTAAAAAAGATCCTTATCTTAAACCAACAATGTTAGCTGCTCATTTGGATTATGTTGAAACTTAAAGGAAAAAGTCCCTACTGGTTGATTAGAAAGCTGTATTACCATAGTCTCAATAACAGAGAACAGTGCTATATTGTCATGCAAGTTCCTCTGTGGTAGAGGACTTCTGAGATTTCTTTTACTCTCTGTAGGGACAATACAATCAATATTCATTGGCAAGCAGGAGTGGAGTGTTAATAATTACTTTTGAACACACACTAAATATGTGGTGATCAAATCTTTTCAGAGTAGCTTGTTTCTTAAACAGTAAACAAATTTAGAAATGTAATTTCCAGCCAAGTCTCAACCAAGACCATTTTGTTTTTTTCTTTAACATAACCATTTCTCAGATAACAGACATCCCTTTCCCCAAAGGCATAAATATAAAGGATATAACAGTATAACTGCACTGAGTGTTAACTTAAAAATCTCTTATAACCCTTCAAGTAATATTAGTGACTATTCTTACAAAAAAATTGGTTATGCACCTTCCTTCAAAGCAAGAAAGGATGCAATGAGGAAAGGATAGAGAACTATGACTAGTCAGTTGTGCTAGGGATAATCTAGACAAACTGCCATTCAAGGATAAAGGCAAAAGGAAGTTTTGGACATTCAAGAACTCATGAATTACTGCTCTGAAGGCCCCTTCTTAAGAAATCTATCGGAGAGCAAACTTCAGCTAACCAAGAGGTAGCTGGAACAGGACCACCAGAAGTCAAGACAGCTTTTTTCCTATCGTTGCTGCTGCTAAAGGAGTTCATGAGGACTAAGTACTATTCTGAGGTGCATCTTAACAGTCTGTCTGCTGTCACTCTGACAATGTCACTGACAATATCACTGACAGTGTCTGTGCTGTCACAATATTCCTGGTAGCTTATACTTGTCATAGTAAAGTCTATTTTGGCATAGAACAAGAACATAATACTGTGCCCCAAAGTCATAAAGGATGGAAAAAAAAATCAGTCAATGCTATTTGTGCAATGTTCTTTCTATGTGACCCCGTGCTCTGGTTGAGTGTTTGAATAAAATGATTGCTAAAATTCTTTTAAGTGGTGATACTTGATGATTTTATAGCATTTTGGCATGGCATAAAGTACTCAAGACTTTGGACTGCATGTCACCGTTTCCTCCTCAAAACTGTCATGAACAACGAAGTTAGTTAATGCTGGCAAAGTGCCATCTTTAAAACAGAGGAGCTGTGTCACAACTCACAATGAGGGAAACACACTGAAATTTTTCAGCCAGCCAGCTTCCCAGACCATTGAATAGAATCACATTGTAAAGGGTGGCCCTGCCTTGAAGCACTCCTAAAATGAGAATTCTGGGAGAAGCCTTTCCAATGGTTTGGGTTAACTTGAAGGTAGACCCTGTGATTCACATTCTGAAAAGACCTTAGACACCATTTGTTGTAATTCTATCCTTTGACAGAAGATACTGCAACAGAGGATATTCAGATTTGACTAAAGTCCCAGAGGAAGTAACTTACTGAGCCAGAACCATATCAGGTCCCTTTTGCCTCCTGCACTTCAAATCTCCATTTTCTTCAAGCTCCTGAGCACACTAACTTCCCCTTCAAGCTTAACAAATGGATGGGCTTAAGTGAGTTTCTACCTCACAGAAAAAGTAACAACAATAAGACAAAAACTTTCTCAACTTTCTGCCACCAACTTGAATCTTTCTACTGCCCTCTCCTAAGAGAAGAGGAGGACTCCTCTCTTTCCTAGGCTAATCTTTTCCCCAGTGTTCTGTCATACTTTCTCCTCATAACTGTCATGAACCACCAATCACCTTCTAAGGACCTTGATCAACTGATTATCCCCCACATCTTTAAGCTCTTTCTTTCTTTTTTGAGACAAAGTCTCACTCTTGTTGCCCAGGCTGGAGTGCAATGGTGTGATATTGGCTCACTGCAACCTCTGCCTCTTGGGTTCAAGCGATTTTCCTGCCTTAGCCTCCCAAGTAGCTGGGATTACAGATGTGCACCACCAAGCCCGGCTAATTTTTGTATTTTTAGTAGAGATGGGGTTTCACCATGTTGGCCAGGCTGATCTCAAACTCCTAACCTCAAGTGATCTGCCCGCCTCAGCCTCCCAAATTGTTGGCATTACAGGCGTGAGCCACTGCACCTGGCCACCAAGCTTTTTCTATTGACTTTTCCACACTCAAGGACTTTTCAACTTTACTGGTTACATTTCATGCCTTTTAGTAAAAAGAAAAAAAGAGATTTGAAGTAAATATGACTAAATGTTAGCAGTTGTTGATTCTGGAGCTGGGAAAATAGGAATTTATTATTTTAATCTCCATGTCTTCTGTATCACCATTTTTTTTCCTTCCAAAGATAAAAGATTGAGAACAGTGTTATGGGATC
Organism: Homo sapiens; assembly: GCF_000001405.40. NCBI lineage: Eukaryota > Metazoa > Chordata > Mammalia > Primates > Hominidae > Homo > Homo sapiens. The sequence continues at coordinate 77,651,159 of NC_000004.12, read as the reverse complement.
AATCAAGATCAGAGAGCATAAATGCAAAATGGTTTCCATCTATGGAGACCACATAAAGTCACGGCTTCCCTTTAATTTTCACAGAGAGTGAAGGAAGTTTTGAGTCCTGCTGACTGAGCTTAAAAAAAAAAAAAAAAGAAAAAGAAAAGTACATTGGGAGAGTCTTCTGTTTACATTTGAGTAGGGGATTTCCAAACTCCACTTTAGCAGCTGTGAAATGATTTATTTATAGGTGGCCCAAAAGCTAGCTGGAAGTGATCATTTGGAATTTTTAAAACCTTTTCAGCAATTTTACTAAAAACTTTATCAACCATTATAAAAACACAACAAAGGTCAACATTCATTCATTTATTGGATTCTCAAATATATGCTGGCAAGTAGTATACAAGCTAATCAATGAGCAGATAAGTCAGAATTTTACTTTCTACTATTACTTCTAATTTCATAAAGAAAATTGCAGCTGTTTTGGAAAACCCATTTTACTTTCCCATTTCCAGATCTCTATTCCCTGTCAGATTTACATTCATTCTTTCCTCCTTCCTAGTTTTCTTCTTATAGAGTAACTGCCCTCCCTCTGCATCCAAGGCCAATCTCTCCTGCTGTGCCCAGGACCTCCCCCACTCTCCACTTTGGAACTTTATGCCATGTCTTGTCTCTTTTATCTTCTGTCTTCAACGTTTTCCTCTCCATTAGGTCATTTCAATAGCATTCCATTAGTCTTACACACACACACACACACACACACACGCCCCAACTCCAGTGATCTCACATCCATCTCCAGCTGACCCCCAATCTCTTACCATCACAACCAAACCCCTCAAAAGTAAATTTAAAACTTTTTTAAAGGTGAACTTCTGTCCTCTGTTTCCATTTCCTTATTATCTTTCATTCTTCAACCCTGTCCATCTGGCCCCACCACCACACCACTATGTTTATTTCAAGATATTAAAGAGATTTCAAGAAATTGGCTTATATTGATTGTGGGAGTTTGCAGGTCTGAAATCTGTAGGACAGGGTGGCAGGCCCAAAACTCCTAGGCAGGAGCTGATGCTATAATTCATAAGCAAAATTTCTTCTTCCTCAGAGACACCTCAATTTTGCTCATAAGGCCTTTCAATGGATTGGATTCAATCTAGGCCACCCAGATTATTGAAGACAATAATATCTTTATTATTATCTTTATTATATACTTAAGGTCAACTGACAGATGTTAACTGCACCTACAAAATAACTTCACAGCAACATCCAGATTAGTGTTTAATGGAATAATTGGGTACTATAGCCTAGCCATATTGGCATATAAAACTAATCATCACACTCACTCCCACTAAGAGGGTGGGATAGGCATTCACAGTACACTGGTAACTCCACATGAACTGCTAACAGTCTTTCATATAGCCTTGAGGTAGTGGAAGAAGTTGGGCTGGGATGCAGTCACAACAAAGGCCTAGAAACCCCATGGGGTTCTAAAGTTGAGATGGCTTCTGTGATGGCTAATTTTATATATCAACTTGACTGCTCCATGGGGTGCCCATATTAATTAAACACTGTTTCGGGGTGTGCGTGTGAAGGTATTTCTGGATGAGATTAGCATTTGAATTGGTTGACTCAGTCAAACAGATTGCCCTCCTCAATGTGGGTGGGTATCATCAAATCCACTGAGGGGCCTGAATAGAACAGAAACCCAGAGGACACAGGGATTCGGGCCTTTGGATTTGGACTGAAATTACACCACCAGCTTTCCTGGGTCTCCAGCTTGCAGATGGGAATCATGAACCTTCTCAGCCTCCATTATCATGTGAGTCAGTTCCTCATAATCTTTATATTATACATATATGGATTTTGAGAGAGAGAGAGAAAGACAGACAGACAGACACTATTGTTTCTGTTTCTTTGAAGTGCCCTGGTTTATACAGTTTAAGCATTGTTCTGAGGTTGGGCCCTCAATATACCTCTCTTTCTCATAGTGGGTTCTGTAACATTGGTGGTATTCACCTATAGGCTAGCAGCCATTTGGGAGAGATAGAATAGAGGCGATTCAAGAATTTAATGAGTATTAGAATCATGGGTAACATTATTGATGATTTAATAGGTCTTACTCCATCTTTGCCACTTAAAAGCCACCTATAAACAGGGCTCCCAATATCTGTCTTGTCCACTTCACAGGACTGCTTTAAAAGTTTATTGAGGAAAGTTACATGACTCTTTGCCTAGTTGAAATTTGATGTTGTTATCATCATCAAAACATACTTTCCAAGTGCAAAGGATCTGCTAGCAATCATATGCATCCCTTACCTTCAATATTTCTGTTGAGAGTGCGAGGAGGGATCTAAGTTTAAACTAGAGTGGTGATGAAACTACTACAATGACTCTGTCTTACGTACTGAAGCTGAGGTATCACTGCCTTGAGCAAAAGTAGGGAAGTAGTTACTTCTATTTTGTGCAGAAGGTTTCTCAAGCTCTTAAGGTCACAGCCCCTAAAGAAGGTCAGCTCTTCCCGTTTACTATCGTTATTCTTATTTATTTTTTTTATTTGAGATGCAGTCTCACCCTGTTGCCCAGGCTGGAGTGCAGTGGCACGATCTCAGCTCACTGCAACCTCCGCCTCTTGGATTCAAGTGATTTTCAGCCTCCCAATCAGCTAGGATTACAGGTGCCCCCCGCCCTACCACACCCAGCTAATTTTTTTTTTTTGTATTTTTAGTAGATATGGGGTTTCAACATGATGCCCAGACTGGTGTCAAACTCTTGACCTCAAGTGATCCATCTGCCTTGGCCTCCCAAAGCACTGGGATTACAGGTGTGAGCCACTGCGCCTGGCCTCTTATTTTATTTTTAAATTTTTTGTGGGTACATAGTATGTGTATGTATTTATGAGGTACATGAGATGTTTTGATACAGGCATGCAATGTGAAATAAGTACATTATGGAGAATGGGATAACCATCCCCTCAAGCATTTATCATTTGAGTTACAAACAATCCAATTAAACACTCTAAGTTATTTTAAAATGTACAATTAAATTATTCTTGATTATAGTCACCCTATTGTGCTATCAAATACTAAGTCTTATCTATTCTTTCTAAGTATAGTTTTTGGTACCCATGAAGCATCCCCACCTCCCCCCTAGCCCCCTACTATGCTTCCCAGCCTCTGGTAACCATTCTTCTACTTTCTGTGTCAACAAGTTCAATTGTTTTAATTTTTAGATTCCACAAATAATTGAGAACATGCAATGTTTGTCTTTCTGTGCCTGGCTTATTTCATTAACATTCCAGTTCCATCCATGTTGTAGCAAATAACTGGATCTTATTCTTTTTTACGGCTGAATACTACTCCATTGTGTATATGTACCACATTTTCTTTATCCATTCATCTGCTGATGGACACTTAGGTTGCTTCCAAATCTTAGCTATTGTAAAGAGTGCTTCAACAAACATAGGAGTGCAGATATCTCTTTGATATACTGATTTTCTTTCTTTTGGGTATATACCCAGCAGCATTGCTGGATCATATGGTAGCTCAATTGTTAGTTTTGAGGAACCTTCTAACTGCTCCACAGTGGTTGTACTAATTTGTACTTCTACCAACAGTGTAAAAGGGTTACATTTCCTCCACATCCTCGCCAGAGTTATTGCCCGTCTCTCGGATATAAACCATTTTAACTGGAGTGAAATGATATCTCATTATAGTTTTGATTTGCCTTTCTCTGATGATCAATGATGTTGAGCACTTTTTCATATGCCTGTTTGCCATTTGTATGTTTTCTCTTGAGAAATGTATGTTCAAGTCTTTTGCCCCTTTTTTGATTGGATTATTAGATTTTTTCTTATAGAATTGTTGGAGCTCCTTATATTTCTGGTTATTAATCCTTTGTCAGATGGGTAGTTTGCAAATATTTTCTCCTGTTCTATGGATTATCTCTTCACTTTGTTGATTGTATACTTTGCTGTGCAGAAGCTTTTACACTTGATGTGATCCCATTTGTCCACCTTTTTTTTTTTTTTTTTTGCTTTAGTTGCTTGTGCTTGTGGGGGTATTGCTCAATAATTTTTTTGCCCAGACCAATGTACTGGAGATATTCCCTAATGTCTTCTTATAGTAGTTTCACAGTTTGAGGTCTTACATTTAAGTCTTTTAATCCGTTTTGATTTGATTTTTGTATGTGATGATAGGAGTCTAGTTTCATTCTTCTGCATATGGATATCCAGTTTTCCCAGCACCATTTATTGAAGAGACTGTCTTTTCTCCAGTGTATGTTCTTGGCATCTTTGTCAAAAATGAATTCACTGTAGGTGTGTGGATTTGTTTCTGGGTTCTCAATTCTCTTCCATTGGTCCATGTGTCCATTTTATGCCACTGCCATACTGTTTTGGTTACTATAGCTCTGTAGTATAATTTGAAGTCAGGTAATGTGATTCCTCCAGTTTTGTTCTTTTTGCTTAGGATAACTTTGGCTGTTCTGGGTCTTTCATGGTTTCATATAAATTTCAGGATTGTTTTTCCTATTTCTGTGAAGAATGTCATTGGTATTTTGATAGGGATTGCATTAAATCTGTATATTGCTTTGGGTTGTATGAATGTTTTAACAATATTGATTCTTCCAGTCAATGAACATGAAATATTTTGTTATTTTTTGGTGTTCTTTTCAGTTGCTTTCATCAGTGTTTTATAGCTTTCATTATAGAAATCTTTCACTTCTTTGGTTAATTTATATGTATTTAATTTTATGTGTGGTGATCGTAAATGGAATTACTTTTTAAATTTCTTTTTCAGATTGTTTACTGTTGATATATAGAAATGCTACTGATTTTTGTATTTGGATTTTGTATCCTGCAACTTTACTGAATTTGTTTATCAGTTCTAATAGTTTTCTGTGGAGTCTTTAGGTTTTTCCAAATATAAGATCATATCAGCTGCAAACAAGGATAATTTGACTTCTTCCTTTCCAATTTGGATGCCTTTATATCTTTCTCTTGTCTGATTGCTCTAGCTAGGACTTCCAGCAATATGTTGAATAACAGTGGTGACAGTAGTCATTCTTGTCATGTTCCAAATCTTAGAAAAGAGACTTTCAGTTTTTTCCCATTCAGTATGATACTAGCTGTGGGTCTGTTATATATGACTTTTATTATGTTGAGGTATGCTCCTTCTGTCCCCAGTTTTTTGATGGTTATCATGAAGCAATATTGAATTTTATCAAATGCTTTTCAGCATCAATTGAAATGATCATATGGTTTTTATCCTTCATTCTGTTGATATTATGTATCACATTGATTGATTTGCATATGTTGAACCATCCTTGCATCCCAGGAATAAATCCCACTTGGTCATAATGAATGATAATTCTAACGTATTGTTGAATTTGATTTGCTAGTATTTTGCTGAGGATTTTTGTATCAATATTCATCAGAGACATTGGCCTTATTTTTTTGATGTGTCTTTGGTTTTGCTCTCAGGTTAATACTAGCCTTGTAGAATGAGTTTGGTAGTATTCTCTCCTATTCTATGTTTTGGAGTACTTTGAGTAGGTTTAGTATTAGTTCTTTAAATGTTTGGTAGAATTCAGCAGTGAAGCTATCAGGTCCCAGGTTTTTCTTTACTGGGAAACTTTTATTAGGGCTTCAATCTCGTTACTTCTTATTGGGCTGTTAAGGTTTTGGATTTCTTCCTGGTTCAATCTTGGTAGATTGTATGTATCTAGGAATTTGTTCTTCTTCTAGATTTTCAAATTATTGGCATATAGTTGGTCGTAGTAGCCACTAGTGATCCTTTGAATTTCTCCAGTCTTAGTTGTAATGTCTCCTTATTTCTGATATTATTTATTTGGATCATCTCTTTTTTCTTAGTCTAGCTAAAGGTTAATTTTGTTTAACTTTTTAAAAAACAACATTTTATTTCATTGACTTTTTGTATTTTTTTATTTCAAACTCATTTATTTTTGCTCTGACCTTTGCTATTTCTTCTACAAATTTTGGGTTTGGTTTCTCTTGCCTTTCTAGTTCTTTAAGATACATTGTTAGATTGTTCACTGGAAGTTTTTCCTCTTCTTTGATGTAGGCACTTACAGCTATAAATGTTCCTCTTAGTACTGCTTCTGCTGTATCCCATAGGTTTTTGTATGTTGTGTTTCCATTATCAATTGTTTCAAGAAAATTTTCAATTTCCTTCTTATTCATTGACCCACTGGTTATTCAGAAGCATATTGTTTAATTACTATGTATTTTTATAGTTTCCAAAATTCCTCTTGTTATTAATTTCTAGTTTTATTCCATTGTGGTCACAGAAGATGCTTGATATTATTTCATTTTTTTGAATGTGTTAAGACGAGTTTTGTGACCTAACAAATAATCTATCCTTGAGAATGATCCATGTGCTGAGGGAAAGAATGTGTATTCTGCAGCTCTGGGATGAAATGTTCTGTAAATATTAGATCCATTTAGTCTGTAGTGCAGATAGAGTCTGATGTTTCCTTGTTGATTTTCTGCCTAGAAGATCTGTCCAATGCTGAAAGTAGGGTGTTGACATCTCCAGCTATTATTATATTGGGGCCTATCTCCCTCTTTAGCTCTAATGATATTTTCTTTATATATCTGGGTCATCCAGTGTTGGGTGCATATATATTTAAAATTGTTCTATCTTCTTGCTAAATTGACTCATTTATAATTATATGGTGACCTTCTTTGTCTCATATGGTTTTTGTCTTGAAATCTATTTTGTCTGATACAAGTATAGTGACTTGTTCTTTTTTGGTTTCCATTGGCATGGAATATCTTTTTCCACCCTGATATTTTCAGTCTATGTGTCTTTATAGGTGAAGTGTGTTTCTTGTAGGCAACAGATCAATGGGTCTTGTTGTTCCATCCATTCAACTAATCTTGGTCTTTTGATTGGAGAGTTTTGCCCATTTACATTCAATGTTATTGTTGATAAGTAAGGACTTACTCCTGCCATTTTGTTATTTGTTTTCTGCTTGTTTAATGGTCTTCTCTTCCTTCTTTCTTTCCTTACTGTCTTATTCTAGTGAAGGTGATTTTCTCTGGTGATATAATTTTGTTTCGTTTTATTTTTTGTTTATCCATTGTATACTTTTTGGTTTGAGGTTACCACAAAGCTTGCAAATACTATCTTATAACCCATTATTTAAACTTGATAACACTATTTGCATAAACAAACAAGCAAAAAGAAAACAAATACAAATTCTACACCTTAACTCTGTTGCCCCAATTTTTAATTTTTTGTTGTTTCTATCTTGTTGTACTATGTGTTGAAAAGTTATAGTTATTGTTTTTGATTCATTTACCATTTAGTCTTTCTACTTAGGACAAGAGTAGTTTACACACCACAGTTACATATTCTGTGTTTTTCTGGGTAGTTACTATTACCAGTAAGTTGTACCTTTGGGTGATTATTTATTGTTCATTAATGTCCTTTTCTTTTTGATTGAAGTACTCCCTTTGCATTTTTTGTAGGACAGGTCAGGTATTGATGAAATTTCTCCGCTTCTGTCTGGGAAAGTATTTATTCATCCTTCATGTTTGAAGGATATTTTTGCCAGATATGCTATTCTAGGGTAAAGTTTAAATCCCAAGCTGCTGTATAATTATCAAGTGGAGTACAGTGGCATTGGTCCAAAAAGGCATTTTAAACACACTAATAATAAACAGATTTCAAATGATCTAATCAATCACCATTGTGGCTGTCACTTTGTTTCCATCCAAACATACTGTAGTAACTAAATTTAAATACTAAACATGTTGGAGCCTTTGAGAAGCCTTCTTTGATGATGTCACTGAAATCAAAACTTGTAACATTAATTTGGCTCTGAACAATATAATCATGAACTCCATAACAACTTTTGGATTTCTGTAGTATTACTGACATTTTAAAGTAAGTCTAGATATGTTAATTCATTCATCTCAAAACTTTTTGAGGAAGTGGCAATGATATCTCTTGAGCACTGCTCAACAAGATGTGCCAGGTGTTGTGCATTCTTTGACTTCTCTTAACAATATTATTTAATATGTATTTTTGTACCCATTTTATAAGGAAACTGAGATTTAAATGGTTTTAATAACATAGCAAAACCCTTAGTGCTATTAAATGGCAGAGCTGATATGTGAGCCTATTTCTCTCTCTATCACCTCAATCACAACACCTTGCATGGGAAGGCAGAATGACCCTAACCCTATGAAATTCCAGACATCAAAAATGAGTAAGATAGTTCCTGCCCTCAAGAGCGTAGTCTTTCCTTCAAGACAGGAACCAGTGAAATGCTTATAGGTTTGTAAAATATGCTCATGATATATCTTTCCCCCAGAGCAACGCTACTACACCCATCCACACTCTCTTAGTGCTATCTCATATACTTCATGTGGAAAACACATGATAACAGAGCATCATTAGCTGTTTCTCCTCCGCTTAGCCTCTGATTTATGCTACTTTATTCCAGCAATCATCTTGAATCTATTCCTATTATTGTCCCCAAACTTAATTTAGCTTTTCTCTCTCCTCAGTAGAAATATACTACATGGTGCCATATGACCCCTGTTGCAGACGATGTCAATGTTCCTCTTGTAATCCCTATACTCACCTTGGGGACAGTCCCCATATAGGCTGATGGCTTCCTGAGTCTTTCTACTTGATAGTGTTCTCTATCCTCAGGAGCTTCCTCAGCCCATATACAGAGCAGAAAGAAAGTGCCAGAGTGTTAAAACCCCCAGAGGGACTGCTCAGCCAATGAAGGTGTAGAAATTGGTGGATAAATACTCTGACCTCATCCTCCAGTGGGAAAGTTCTGAGAAATGTTCAATGCAGTCTCTGAGAGGGTTCCAGGAGCATCAAGCCCCAGATGCCATTCTCATCAGTGGAATTTTTATTGGCTTTCTTTTCTTCCCTATTTATTGAAGATTGGGATCCCCAGGCAGCTGACTCTGAGAAGGGCATTAGTGTTCAAGAGATTTACTGGAAAGTACTTTCAGGATTAATCCCTGTGTAGGAAAAGGAAGGAAGCAGGGTTGGGATGAGGGAGAAGTTTGAATGTATCAATGTTTGAAGCATCATTTGACTACATAGGGAGATCTGAAGCCAGGATGTCCCTTTAAAATTGTCTGAATTGTGGTAAAGGGGACGGGCCATAATGACCTGCATTGACAACTTATTTTCAGATTTTTAGATTCAGTCTGTCTCCAGGAAAATGAATAACCTTGTGAGGTGGTTCTCTTCAGCTGAGGGAAATTTTTGGAGAGGGCAAACAACTAAGGAGGGCTAGCCAGAACCCCCAGCAGCTTGAGAATAAGCCCTTCAGTCACGAAGAGGGATCTAGGCAGTGCATCAAGGCATCCACTAAAGTCCACTCCTTGCTCCATTCAGATTCACTTCATCTGAGTTTTGGAGAAGCTCCTCTAGAATTCTGGTGGGCCTCCTCTCCTGTGGTAAACTTATAAAAGGAAAGTCAGAGAGATAAACTATAGTCTATACAGCTAGCGCTAATCTCAAGGGTATAACTGATACCCATTATCTCCCTACTTTGCTATCCATTGTGGATTTCCCTCATCCTCAGCTAGCACTTCTGCTGATCTTGGTGGCTTATTTCACTCAAGTGCTCCTAGCCTGGTCAACCTGTGACTGCTGCACTTGTCCATTTACAGGCAAAATTGGGCAAGGGAATATCAAGAGATGCATGAGCAAATTTCTTAGGTGCCAAATGTATTGCTATATGCCGTTTTGCATGTGTAAAGGTAGTCTGACTTCCCCTTGATGATCTACCAAGATAGTGACTCTTATTGATTGCTTGTTCTGTGGAATGAGTATCCAAAGTTCCCAGGGGTTGCCATAACCTAAAGCTTAAGAGGACTTTTACTATATACTCAGGTAGAAACATTTCTCTTTTTGGAAACAATATACCTAAACCACAGGGCCTACCTGGGACCTGTGGTTGAACATACCCATGGCTCAGCTTACATCCTTGCATTCACTTGGCTATATTGACTGAGCTGTATTCCCAGATAGGAATACTCTTATTCCAGAAACCTGAGAGGCCCACCAGGTATCGTGCTCCCTTCTTCATGGTAGGAAGTGCATGATGCAATAATTTAAACTTTCCTTTGAAGGGGATGATCTGGCATGTTCCAGCCCACTGGCTCCTAAAAAATTCCTGGATAGGGATGACTCCTGAATCTTCATAGCTTTCATTTTACCCTTTCTGGAGGACATGTGTCTTCCTAAGGTCATGAACATACTTGCCACTTGTTGCTCAACCAGTCAGATTAGCATGATGCCGTCAATATAGTGGACCAATGTGAAATTATAAGGGCATGTTGGATTATAACAGAACAAGAAAGTAAACCTAGTCCTGGGGCAACACTATAAATATAATATTTGTAGCATGCTGTAGTCAGTTCCAAGTGAATGCAAACTTTTTGATGGGATTGGGAAAGAACATATTTGCCAGGTTAATAACTGTATACCACTGCTCTATCAAAAAAGCCACGCTTGCCCCAGTGATAAAATTAGTACAAATATTTGGTTAGGTTTGCAATAGGTTATTTTCAGGATCCATCTGGATTTTGTATAAGGCATATTGGTGAATTAAATGGAGATATGATGGGGACCAGCACTAAATCTGCTTTGCAAGAAATGCTAAGGGGAGTTCCTTCAAGATGAAGGAAAAGGATGCTAATTAGTAACATGAAAACATAGGAAAGTATAAAACTCACTAGTAAAAACAACTACATTGTGAAATTCAAAACACTATAATACTGTAATGTTGATGGGCAAATTAAGCATATCTCTAGTATAAAGGCTAAAAGGCAAACCTAGTAAAACCACAGCTACAAAAATTTATTAAGAAATACTAATACTTTGAGGGCTCGGGGGAAGGATAGGAAGAGGGTGAGGAATAAAAAACTACACACTGGGTATAGTGTATACTACTTGGGTGATGGATACACCAAAATCTCAGAAATCACCACTAAAAGACTCATCCATGTAACAAAAAACCACCTGTTCCCCAAAAATTACTGAAATAAAAAAATAAGTATTTCCTGTCCATACAAAAAATACAAATAATAAAAAAAATTTATGCTATCAAAAACAAAAATATGGGGGGTGAGGGGAAGTAAAAGAGTATAGTGTTGTGTATGCAATCAAAATTAAGTTGCTATCAGCTTAAAATAGCCTGTTATAAGTATACAAAGTTTTATGTAAGCCTCAAGATAACCACAAAGCAAAACCCTATAAACAGCAAAAGCCTATAAAGTAGATAAAAGATAAAAAGGAGAAGCTTCAAAGAATACTGCTACAGAATACATCATACCACAAAGGGAGAAAATAAGAAAGGAAGAAAAAATAAATAACTTACAAAACAATCAGAAAACAATAAACAAAATGACATTAGTCCTTATCAATAATTACTTTGAATGTAAATGGTTAAATTCTCCAATCAAAAGGCATAGAGTGGCTGAATGGATTAAAAAAAGAAAATACCAAAAACCTCAACTATATCTTGCCTACAAAAGACTTACTTCACTTTAAAGAATACTCATAGACTGAAAATAAATAAATGGAAAAAGATAATTCAAGCCAATGGAAACAAAAAGAAAACATGAGTAGCTAAACTTATATCAAACAAAATAAACTTTAAGTCAAAAAGCTGTAAAAAGAGCTGATAAAAATCATTATATAATGCTAAAGGTGTCAATTCATCAAGAGAGTATAATAATTGTAAGTATATAAGCACCTAAAATTGGAGCCCCTAACTAAAGCAAACATTAAGAGATCAGAAGGGAGAAATAGAGTGCAATACAATAATGGTAGGGAATTTTAATACCCCACTTTTAACAATAGATCATCCAGACAGAAAAATCAATAAGGAAACATTAGACTTGAACAACACTTTAGACCAAATGGGTTAACAGACATATGTAGTTCATTGCATTTCAATAGCAACAGCATACATTGTTCTCAAGTACACATGGAACATTATCCAGGATAGATAATATGTTAGGTTACAAAACAAATCTTAAATTCAAGAAGATGGAAATTATATCAAGTATCTTCTCAGACCATAATGGTATGAAACTAGAAATCAATTAGAGGAAGAATCATGATAAATTCATGAACATGTGGAAATTAAACATATGCTCATGAACAACTATTGGGTCAAAGAAGAAATTAAATATCTTGAGACCAGCAAAAGTGAAAACACAACATTCCAAAACTACTGAGATGCAACAAAAACAGTTTTAAGAGGCAATAAATTGTTACACTAAATGACAAGAAATATCTTAAATAAGCAACTTAATGTTATACCTCAAGGAACTAGCAACAGAAGAACAAACTAAACCCAAAGTTAGTGGAAGGAAGAACATTTTTAATAAAAGATCTTCTTAATAAAGACCAGAACAGAAATAAGGAAAATAGAGACAAACAACCCCCAACAACAAAGAAACAGAAAAAAAACCCAACAAAATGAAGAGTTACTTTTTTGAAAAGATTTTAAAAAATGACAAACCCTAAGCTAAACCAGTTAAAAGAAGACTGAAATAAAATCAGAAATGAAATAAGAGACATTGCAACTGATAACACAGAGGTACAAAACATCATGACAGACTACTATGAACAAGTGCATACAACAAATTGGATTACCTGGAAAAAAGTGGGTGAATTCCTAGAAGCATAACTCACCAAGATTGAATCATGAAGAAATTGGAAATCTTAATAGCCCCAAAATAAGAAGATTGAATAAAAAGTCTCCCATCAAAGAAAAGTCCAGGGCCAGATGACCTCACCGCTGAATTTTACCAAGCATTTGATGAAGAACTAACACCACTCTTTCAAACTCTTCCACAAAATTGAAGAGGAGTGAACACTTCCAAACTCATTTTATAAGGCCACCATTACCCTAATACAAAAACCAGACAAAGACACTACAAGAAAAAACTACAGGCCAATATCCCTGATTAATATAGAGGTAAAAGCCTCAAAAAAATATTGGCCAGCCACATTCGATTGCACGTTAAAAGGATCATTCATCATGATCAAGTGGGATTTATTCCTGGAATGCAAGGAGGGTTCAACATAGGCAACTCAATAAATGTGGTTCACCATATTAACAGAATGAATGACAAAAATCATATGATCATCACAGTAGACGCAGAAAAAGCACTTGAAAAAATTTAACATTCTTTCATGATGAAGACTCTTAACAAAATAGGTGCAGAATGAATGTTTCTCCACACAATAAAGGGTATATATGACAGTTCCAGAGCTAACATCATACTCAATTGTGAAAAGTTGAAGGGTTTTCTTCTAAAATCAAGAACAAGACAAGGGTGCCCATTTTCACCACTCTGTATTTAACATAGTACTGGAAGTCATAGCCAGAGCAATTGGGCTAGAAAAAAAAAATAAAAGGCATCCAAATAGGAAAGGAAGAAGTAAAATTGTCTCTGCTGATGATATGATCTTATATATAGAAAACCCTAAAGACCCTACCAGAAAAGCTTCCAGAATTGATAAATTCAGTAAAATTGCAGGTAACAAAATCAACATACAAAAATCTGTAGAATATTTATACACTAATAACAAACTATCTGAAAAATAAATCAAGAAAAGGACATTTACATCTACATTTACAGAATTTAAAAATACTCAGGAGTAAATTTAACCAAGGAGGTAAAAGATCTGTATGCTGAAAACTATAAAACACTGATGAAGGAAATTAAAGACTCAACTAAATGGAAAAATATTCCCTGTTCATAAATTGGAAGACTTAATATTGTTAAAATGTTCATACTACACAAAGACATCTACAGAGTCAATGCAATCCCTATCAAAATTATGTCATTCTTCACAAAAAAGAAAAAACACTCCGAAAATTCATATGTAACCACAAAAGACTCCTAATAACTAAAGCAAGCTTGAGCAAAAAGAACAAAGATGAGGGCATCACACTGACTTCAAACTACAGGCGTACCTCATTTTATTGTGCTTCACTGTGAGGAACATGGCCACACTGCAGCCAGGCAGGCACAGGCCAAGGTAAACATCCTGCATGACTCAGCAGGATTGGAGCACAGGCACACAATCCAGTGCCTTATATAATCATAGCTATGTAGACATAACATAAAGCAGCTCATCACCTGGCTCTCAGCCACTATTGTTTGTGAGGTGTATAAATATAACACTGATACTGTGAAAGAGCTGCTGAATAAAGCCGTGTCTCATCTACCTGCTGTCTCCCAAGTGTTCTTCCAGCTCCCTGCCCCTCATCAACCCACTCTCCTCAGACCTCAGCTGGGGCTTGAACCTGATAATTGGTGTAGTCATCAGGATGAGGTGAGTGGGTCTTCAGCCCCTGAGGCTCCCAGGTGGGTTATGTGACTGCAGCATGGGCTGTGGTACCTGGTGGCAGAGGTGCTGCTTGAATGGGCCCCAGTGGAAACTTGGGAGGCAGTGGATGGGTCTCCTGTGAGTGTGGAGAAGGCACTGAAGCAGCTGGAGGCACACAGCACCAAGAAGGAACGCACCTTTGCTGGCAGAGTCCAATGGGGCTTTTCCAACTGTACTGCGTGAAGTACATGCTCAGTCCTTATAGGACACGGTGCAGGTAAGGGACCTTCAGGCACAAGCTGAGCAGCTAGGGGCTCAAATTCACAGCTTGGGGCAAAACCTGGAGGTGAAGGACCTCCAGGTACAAGCTGGGCACTTAGAGGCCTAGATAAACAGCCTGGAACAGGAGTTAGCAACACCTGTCAGCACAACCTCCTGGCTGGACACTTCCGTTCAGTCTGATGCTGAGGAGGAAGCGGCTCCTCCACCGTGGGCTCGTCCCGTGATCCCGTCAGAAGGTCGAATATGGGCAGCCAATGGGACTCAGGGGAAGAGCCCAGGGACCCCTCACAGTGGTGGAACACACCTCTTATAGTGCAACTCCCAATGAGTTGCAAGAGTTAGGTAAACAGTGCCGGCAGTGTCTGGGGGAGCCCCTCCCTGCCCAGTTACTCCATATCTGGGATGAAGGAGCTGACATTTCCTGCTCTGCCTCCGAGACGGAGAAGCTGGCTTCTATCACAACTCACCCCTCCCTTCATCAGTGGCTGCAGCCGTGCCAGTGGTTAGCACAGGGGCAAGGTGACCACACTTTAATTGAGTGGCTGATGGTGGCCATACAGACTGTCTGGAATGATGCTGGAGAAATATCAGAAACAGAGTAAATGGCAATCATATACTGATTTGGTACAGATACTCTGGGAGATGGGTATGTGGCAGACTATGTTTGATCCTAATACCCAGGGTCCAGATAATGAACACTTTATCTCCCACATAATGGATGTTTTGCTGGGCTCAGCATCCCCAAATGCTTTTGGCCCCCTGGCTGCTGTCCTCACCCCATATGTGGGGTACCACACACATGAAGTGACTACTGCTATGGCAGCCCTTGGGGAGGCAGAAGGCCTTTGGCAGGACTGGGGAGTCCATGCCATAAAGAAGGGGAAGGTGTCCCCTCCACAGGTAACCACTCCACGAGATAACAAGGGGCCCCAGTGGGTGACTCGCAAGCAGATGCAGTCTGATTTACTTTCAGCTGGGGTTGCTCGAGAGAAAATTGACAGGCAACCCAATGGAATGCCCTTGGCTCTGTGGAGTCAATTGTCCCCAGAGCAAAAATTCTGGAAAATGACCAAGAGGGGGCAAAACAGTGTTGTTCAATCTAATCCTGCCCAGGCGCTGGAGCTCAAGGACTATTTGCAGTTGGGTGGAGATATGGAGCCTTTCTTGTTTGATTAGGGAAATGGCCGAGGTGCCCAACTTGGGGCAGCAGGGGGTGAAGGAGGTGGGAGTGGAGGGAGGCCACATGCGGAGTTGGCAATCCACTGGTTCCCCACTAATGTACAGCAGGTCCTAGCGCTGGTAGATACTGGTGCAGATTGCAGTCTAGTTTATAGAAACCTGGGTAAGTTTCCGGGCAAAGCTGTGTTCATTGACAGTTATGGGGGCCAGTCAGTGAAGGTGAAACCAGTGTCTCTGCATCTTGGCACTGGCCCCTTGGCTCCCTACCTATACTCTGTGTATGTCTCTCCTATATCTGAATTTTCTTGGGGTGGACATTTTGGATAGTCTGGACTTACACACCACGGCCAGATAATTCAGACTCCAAGTTTGGGTAGTAAAGCTGGTGCTGCATGGACATACACATCATCAGCCCAAGTTCTGCCACAACCCCGACGGATTACCTCCACTCATCAATATTGTTTGCCAGGGGGACATGCAGAGATAACTGAAACTATTAAGAAGTTAGAGGGGGTACAAATAGTGCACGGCACCCATAGCCCCTACACTTCCCCAGTATGGCCAGTCAGAAAGCCTAGTGGGACTTGGTGGATATGACAGTGGATTATTGGGAATGGAATAAAGTAACACCCCTTCTGCATGCAGCTGTACCCTTCATCACGAATTTGATGGACTGCTTGACAATGGAACTGGAAGAGTACCACTTTGTGGTGGACTTAGCTAATGCAGTCTTCTCCATTGACATTGCTCCAGAGAGCCAGGAGAAGTTTGTCTTCACGTGGGAAGGATGACAATGGACTTTCACCATGCTGCCACAGGGCTGTGTGCATAGCCCCACCATTTGTCCTGGTCTTGTTGCCATGGATTTAGCTGCCTGGAAATGCCCAAAAGGGGTCTGCCTGTTTCATTACATTGATGATATGTTAACCTCTGATTCTCTCACAGATTTAGAAGTGGTGGTGCCCCTCTTGTGACAGCATTTGGCAGTGTGCAGTTGGGCCATCAATAAATCCAAGGTCCAAGGGCCGGAATTGTCTGCCAAATTCTTGGGAGTTATTTGCTCAGGTAAGACAAAGATCATACCTGAGGCCATCATTGATAAGATCTAGGCATACCTCCGACCTACCACAGTGAGGCAGCTGCAGACTTTTGGGGGCCTCTTGGAGTATTGACAGGCATTTGTGCCCCATTTGGCTCAAACGATAAAACCGTTGTACCAGTTAACAAAAAAAGGGGGCTATTAGGGATTGGGATGATGAGGCTGAAACAGACTTTCTGGCCACAAGTGGGCCATTTGGCAAGCACAGACCTCACAAGTAATTGATCAGGGGCGCCCACTTGAACCTGATGTACATGGAACCACAGATGGTTTTGGTTGGGGCCCATGGCAGTGCATGGAGCACTTTAGAACACCAGTAGGCTTTTGGTCCCAGCTGTGGAAGGGAGCTGAGCTCCAGTATTCATTAAGAGAGAACTAATTAGCTGCTGCATATGCTACTCTTCAGGCCTGTGAGAGCATGATGGGACGGGCTACAGCCATCGTGTGGATGACTTACCCAATAGAGGAGTGGGTATGTTCATGGGTAATGACCCCCTGGACTGGAATGTTACAGACATTCGCTTTACAGAAGTGGGGTGCCTACTTGGAGCGGCAGAGTACAATCCCTTAGCAGCAGATTGTCCTTAGCAGCAGGTAGTCCTAATGCAAGATAAGGCCATGGGGCCTGAGGCACCCCAGACCCTGAGCCATCCCAGTTTAAGGAAGGGCATCCTGCCATTCCTGATGGGGCATGGTATACAGATGGGTCCAGCCAAGGTGCTGCTGCTGCCTGGACTGCTATAGCAGTCCAGCCCAGCACCAACACCATGTGGGTTGATACTAGGTGTGGACAAAGCAGCCAAAGGGCTGAACTCAGAGTGGTGGGGATGGTGATAACCAGGGAGGAGTCACCTATGGTACTTTGCACCAATAGCTGGGCAGTCTATTGAGGTTTAACCTTGTGGTTGACTACCTGGAAATTACAGAATTGGCTTATTTGACCCCAAATCAGCCCATTTGGGGTCAACCATGAGGCAAGACCTCTGGGAAACAGGTAATCAGAATGTGTCAAGCCATATGCCTTTGGCTACCCCTGGTAATGATGAAACAGACTCCTTGACAAAGGTCCGATGATTAGAGTCAGCACCTACACGAGATGTGTCTCCAGAGGTATGTCTCCAGATGGAGACAACTGCCCAATGTAACACAACAAGTGACAGTAGGGCAGGTGCCCTTGACCAGATGGCAATGAGATTACATTGGGCCATTGCCAAAATCGCAGGGCTACACGTATACACTGATGGCTGTAGACACGGCCATTGGCTTATTGTTCACCTACCCTTGCAGGGTGGCTGGCCAGCAACACACCATTTGAGCCCTGCAACACTTATGTGACTTATATGGCCATCCCCTGGCCATTGAAAGTGATAGTGGAACACATTTTACTGGACAGCAGGACTTATATGGCCATCCCTTGGCCATTGAAAGTGATAGTGGAACACATTTTACTGGACAGCAGGTACAACAGTGGGCACAGCAGATGGACATACAATGGGGGTTCCATGTTCCTTATAACCCACAAGCTGCTAGCATGATTGAGCAATATAATGGACTCCTGAAGAACGGGTTACATTTGCATGTTCCCCACCCCTCCTCCCCACCCATCTTTGTGGGGCTGGAGTTCCAGGTTGGACCTGGTGCTTCAAATCTTGAAAATGTGGCCATGGAAAGGTGGCCCGGCCCCGGTGGAGGCACTGTTACACCAGGCCACTGCCCCCATCCAACTACAGATACACACCAAGGATGACCTCCTCTGACCAGGTATGGGGACGAATGGTAATCTATTGTTGCCTGCCCCAATGCCTCTGAAGGCAGGGGAACAGAAAACCTGACATTGGCCATGAACCCTCCAAGCCCCCCATTGCAGATGGTTGGCTATCGTAGCCCCCTCAGGGGAGGGTCTGCAGTATGACTTACATGTTGCTCCTTGGGTATTTAATGTGTGGTCTCCAAACTAACCATTCGTAGGGGAATGACCAGAGAAGGGACCCTCCTCTGGGGGACATATGTACTGTCTATGTGGCCTATTATAAGCTCCCCTATGACTTTGCCATGGATACAAGACCCAAAAGAACCATGGGGAGCTGAGAACGTGTTGTATCATTGCCCAGGGCAGAAGCCCTTGGTAGCTGCATTGTTATCCAGGGATGAAAAGTTAGCCTGTATTCTGCCTGAAGGATGTGATTTACCCCTGTTAGTACCTGTGCCTGCTTTGTTGTTTCAGCCACAGGTTGGCATGCTCCAACAACATTGTGGACTGGGCTCACACCTATGCTGAGGTGGCCAATGTCTCCAACTGTTAGATCTGCACCACCCTTCCAGCAGCAGCTGTGGATGGCTTGCCTTGGCATGTGCATCCAGCTTTTGTGAAGAACTGGACATGGCTAGAAACTTGGGGTCCCACAGACAATGGGCGGGATGCAACATGGTGAGCTTTGGATGGGGGTGTCACAAAACCCATGGCAAGCCTGCCCCCTGGCTGACTCATAGCATCCATGATGAATGGGGCTGGCTAATGGGAGAAAACATGGTGGCCCCATTGCAAGTACCACGATGTATAGAGCAACACTGGGGTAAGGTCACTGTGGGATGGTTGCCTGCTGAGACCTGTGCAAACGTAACACATGCCACCATGCCAAGGATGTGGTGGAACAAGCAGCCCTACCAAGGCTGGGCCCCCATGGACTTTGTGCCTGCTGGGAGTTTATAGGTCTGTGGGGACATAGGATGGCCATATCTGCCAGCCAACTAGACTGGACATTGTACCTGGGAGTGGCCTTCTGTGCCTGCCACTGTGCTTCCCACATTGCTTAGTCACACACATAACTGGGAGGTGCTGTGTTCCCAGTTTTTGTGAGTGCATTGAGCCCCTAGTGGTTCTACCCCTTAGCAATAACTGTCCCTGGAACAGGTGTCATCACTGTAGAAATGCAGGTTACAGCCCTTGCAGAACACAGAGATTGGGCCCATGAATTACACCTGAGCTGCCCTCCTTTTGTTAATTGATGAGTTTGATCAGATCAGGAAGGTGGTGATGCAAAACCGGATGGCCTTAGACATAGTCACAGCTGCTCAAGGTGGCACCTGTGCCCTTGTAGGGACAGAGTGTTGTACATTCATCCCTGACAACCACCAGAACATAGTGGCAGCTTTGCAGGGGGTGTCATGTCATAGGAGATTAAGGCAATTGAATACCTTACTGATGACCGCCTGCAGAGATGGTGGGTGTCTCTGGGCTCTGGCCTACACTGGGCTCTTATAATCATAGGTAGCATAGCAGGAATATTAGTAGTAGGTTGTTGCTCTCTTTATTGTTGCTGTGGCCTCTGGGTCCAGGGTGCTCCCCTATGTGCACGAGTTCCCATTAAGAGGACCCCCTTGGCCTAGGGGGCGGAGTGTAAGGAACATGGCTGTGTTGCTGCCAGGCAGGCATAGGCCGAGGTAAAAATCCTGCATGACACAGTGGGATTAGAGCACACGCGCGCAATCCTGTGCCTGATATAATCACAGCTAGGTAGACATAACACAGAGAAGCTCATCATTTGGCTCTCAGCCACTATCATTTGTGAGGTGTACAAATGTAACACTGACACTGTGAAAGAGCTGCTGAATAAAGCCATGTCTCATCTACCTGCTCTCTCTCGAGTGTTCTTCCAGCTCCCTGCCCCCCGCCCCATCTACCCACACCCCTCTGACCTCAGCTGGGGCTTGAAACTGACATTTGCTTTATTGTACTTTGCAGATACTTAAAAAAAAAACCAAATTAAAGTTTTGTGGCAACCCTGTGTTGAGCAAGCCTATTGGTGCCATTTTGTCCTCACTTCATGTATGTCACATTTTGGTAATTCTTGCAATATTTCAATTTTTGTCATTATTATGACATCTGTTATAGTGGTCTGTGATCAATGATTTTTGATGGTACTATTGTAATACTTTGTGGTGCCACAAACTGTACCCATATAAGATGGAAAACTTAATTGATAAATGCTGTGTGTGTTCTGATTGTCCCAATGACCAGCTGTTCCCTCATCTCTCCCCTCTCTTTGGGCATCTCTACTCCCTGAGACAGAACAATATTGAAATTAGGCCAAGTAATAACCGAACAATGGTCTTTAAGTGTTTAACTGAAAGGAAGAATCACATGTTTCTCACTTTAAATCAAAAGCTAGAAATGACTAAGCTTAGTGAAGAACACATGTCAAAAGCCAAGATAGGCCGAAAGCTAGGCCTCTTGCACCAAACAGCCAAGCTGTGAATGCAAAGAAAAAGATCTCAAAGGAAATTTAAAGTGCCACTCCAATGAACAGATGAATGAAAAGAAAGTGAAACTCCCTTATTGAAATGGAGAAAGTATTAGTGGTCTGGATAGAAGATCAAACCACCTACAACATTCCCTTAAACCAAAGCCTGATCCAGAGAAAGGTCCCAACTCTCTTCAATTCTATGATGGCAGAGAGAGGTGAGGAAGCAGCAGAAGTTGGAAGCTAGCAGATGTTGGTTCATGAGGTTTAAGAAGCCTTCCCTGGAACATAAAAGTGCAAGGTGAAGCAGCAAGTGCTGATGTAGAAGCTGCAGCAAGTTTTCCAGAAGATCTAGCTAAGATAATCAATGAAGGTGGCTACAACTAAAGAACAGATTTTCAAGGTAGACAAAACAGTCTCCTATTGGAAGGAGATGCCATCTAGGACTTTCATAGCTAGAGAGGATAAATCAATACCTGACTTCAAAGCTTCAAATGACAAGCTCACCTCCTTGTTAGGGGCTAATGCAGCTGGTGACTTTAAGTTGGAGCCAATGCTTATTTGCCATTCTGGAAATTCTAGGGCCCTTAGAACTACGCTGAATCTACTCTGGCTGTTCTCTATAAATGCCTGGATGACAGCACATCTGTTTACAGCATAATTTACTGAATATTTTAAGCCCACTGTTGATGTAAAAGGAAAGCTCAGAAAAACAGAAAAAGAATCCTTTCAACATATTACTGCTGATTGACAATGCACCTAGTCACCCAAAAGCTCTGGAGGTATACAAGGAGATTAAAGTTGTTTTTATCTCCTGCTAATCTCCTGTTTTTATCTCCTGCTAATACAACATCTATCCTGCAGT
Organism: Homo sapiens; assembly: GCF_000001405.40. Lineage (NCBI taxonomy): Eukaryota > Metazoa > Chordata > Mammalia > Primates > Hominidae > Homo > Homo sapiens. The sequence goes on along the minus strand of NC_000004.12, from coordinate 77,629,160 downwards.
CCATGGATTAAGGAGAAATTGACTTTTAAGTCTTATCATTTAAGAAATATATTTTGTAAGGCTACAGAAGCCATAGATAATGATTCTTCTGATGGATCTGGGCAAAGTAAATTGAAAATCTGGCGAGGCTACAGCATCCTAGATGCCAGTAAGACCATTTGTGATTCATGGGAGACGGCCAAAATATCAACATTTACAGGAGTTTGGAAGAAGTTGACTCCAACCCTCAAGGATGTCTTTGAGGGGTTCAAAACTTCAGTGGAGGAAGTAACTGCAGAGGTGATAGAAATAAGAGAACTAGAAATGCAGCTTGAAGATGTAACTGAATTGCTGCAACCACCTGATAAAACTTGAATGGATGAAGAGTTGCTTCTTAGAAACGAGCAAAGAAAGTGGATTCTTGAGATAGAATGTACTCTTGGTGAACACAGTTGAAATGACAACAAAGAATTTAGAATATTCCATAGATTTATTTGATAAAGTAGCAGCAGTGTGTGTGAGGACCGACTCCAATTTTGAAAATTCTACTGTGGGTAAAATGTTATCATGTTGCATCACAGGCTACAGAGAAATCTTTCATGAAAGGAAGGGTCAATGGATGCAGCAACATTATTGTTGCCACATGACAACAATGACACCTTCATGGTTGTCTCATTTTAAGAAATCGCCACAGCCATCCCAGCTTTCAGCAACCACCACCCTAATCAGTTAGCAGCCATAAACATTGAGGCAAGCAAGACCCTAACAGCAAAAAGGTTGACTCAAGGAAGGCTCAGATGATCATAAGCATTCTGTTTTGTTTTTTGTTTTTTTGAGTCGGAGACTTGCTCTGTCGCCCAGGCTGGAGTGCAGTGGCACGATCTCTTCTCACTGCAAGCTCCGCCTCCCAGGTTCACGCCATTCTCCTGCCTCAGCCTCCCGAGTAGCTGGGACTACAGGCGCCCGCTACCATGCCCGGCTAATTTTTTCTATTTTTAGTAGAGACGGGGTTTCACCGTGTTAGCCAGGATGGTCTCCGTCTCCTGACCTCGTGATCCGCCCGCCTCGGCCTCCCAAAGTGCTGGGATTACAGGCGTGAGCCACCATGCCCGGCCAATCATCAGCATTTTAAAGCTAAAGTATGTACATAGTTTTTTTAGACATATTTACAGACACATTTTTATATGCACTGGGAAACCAAAAAAATTGGGTCACTGGCTTTTATTGTAATATTTGCCTTTTTGCAGTGGTCTGGAACCAAACTTGCAGTATCTCTGAGGTATGCCTGTATATTACAAAGCTACAGTAATTAAAACAGAATGATATTGGCATAAAGACAGACACACTAACCAATAGAACATGATAGAAAGCCCCAAAATAAACCCACACATCTATAGTCAATTAATTTTCCACAAAGAGGCCAATAACTCACCACAATGAGGATAGGACAGTATTTTCAATAAATGATGTTTAGAAATCAGGACATCACATGTAGAAGATTGAAATTGGACTCTTATCTCACTCCTTATACGATAATCAACTAAAAATAGCTTAAAGATTAAATGTAAGACTTCTGTAAAATTACTAGTAGAAAACATGTGTAAAAACTGTATAACATTGGTCTGTGCAATGATTTCTTGCATATGACCCCAAAAGCACAGGCAACAAAAGCAAAAATAGAAAAATGGGATTGCATCAAACTATAAAGCTTCTAAAAAAACAGTGAAAAGACAACCCATGAACTGGGAGAAAATATTTGCAAATCATACATCAGATAAAGGGTTCATATCAAAAATATATAAGGAACTCCAGCTACCCAAAAACAAAAAAAAAAACTATTAAAAAATGGGCAAAGACTGGGCATAGCGGCTTGTGCCTGTAATCCCAACAGTTTGGGAGGCCAAGGTGGGAGGATGGCTTTAGGCTAGGAGTTCAAGAACAGCCCAGGCAACGAAGTGAGACCCTGTCTCTACCAAAAGAAAAAAAAAAATTGCCAGATGTGGTGGCACACACCTGTAGTACCAGCTAGTTGGGATGCTGAGGCGGGAGGATGTCTTGAGCCCAGGAGGTTGAGGCTACACTGAGCTATAACGTCACTGCTCTGTAACTCCAGCCTGGGTGACAGAGCAAGACCCTGTCTCAAAAAAAGGTGGGGAGGGGGCAAAGGACATGAATAGATCCTTTTTCAAAAGAAGATATACAAAAGGCCAGTAGACATATGAAAAAAAAATTACTAATAATCAGGGGAATACACATTAAAACCACAATGAGATATATAACACCTCTTATCTTAGAATGGCTCTTATCAAATAGATGAAAGATAACAAGTGTTGGTGAGAATGCGGGAAAAAAAGAAACCCTTGTATATTGTTGGTGGGAATGTAAATTAGTACAGCCATTTTGGAAAACAGTATGGAGGTTCCTCAAAAAACTAAAAATAGAATTACCATATGCACCAACAATTCCACTTCTGGGTATATATCCAAAGCAATTGAAATCTGTATATTGACGAGATGTCTGCACTCCCATGTTTATTTCAGCATTATTCATAATAGCCAAAATTTGGAAATAAACTAAGCGCCCACCAATAGACGAGTGGATTAAAAATGTGATACATATACACAATGGAATACTGTTTAGCCTTAGAAGACAACAAAATTCTGTCATTTGTGACAACATGGATGAATTTAGAGGACATTAAGCTAAGTGAAATAAGCCACCCATAGAAATACAAATATTTTATTATCTCACTTATCTGTGAAATCTAAACATTCAAACTCATAGAAGTAGAGAATAGAATGGTGGTTACCAGAGGTGAGGTGGGGGGTAGACTGGGTGGGGAAAGGGGAGAGGTTAGTCAAAGGGTACAAAGTTTCAATTAGACAGAAGGAAAATGTTCTGGTGATCTCTTACCCAGCAAGGTGACTATTAACTTTAGTTAATAACAATGCATTGTAAACTTCAAAATTGCTAAAAGAGTGAATTTTAAATGTTTTCACCAAAAAGAAATAAGTATTTAAGGTGAATAGTTTAATTGCCTGATTTGCTCATCCCACAATGTATACATGTATTGAAGCATCATTGTATCCCAGAAATACATATAATTATTATTTGTCAATAAAAATAAAATCAAAAGAAGCTTGGAGAAAGTGATGGCCCAGACTGAAAGCCATGCCAGAAATGTGTTAGTCTTGTGATCTTAGCCATGTTGTTAAATGCTGTACACCCAGGAATTTTTCCCATATTAATAAACTCTGCCTTATTTCACATTATGTCCTGTCACCCCCTTGATTTGGCACTCTTAGCATTTGCTTTCACATGTTCTCTCGTAGGCTTGCTGGCACATGTTAACTAGGTTCTGCACGTCCTTTGGGGTACGGTCCCTTTCCTCCCTTGGCAGGCCCAGCACTTGTATCGTGAGCTCACTCTTCTTACTGATCTTGTGTCTAAGAGGAGTGCTGGGGTAGAGCCCAAAGGAATGTGTTCTCTTGCAAGGCCAGGGAGAGTGCTGGCTCCAACAGTGCTATTCACTTCTGCAGGGTCAGGGGCTCCAGGGTCTGAGGATCCATTATTTAAGTGCATTAGCATAGATGTCCCCATCCCAATTTTCAGGGTCCCAATCTTTTCCAATCAGGACCCTGATCTTGCTCTGTGGCCGTGGGTAGGTTGAAAATTCAACCTTCTCTGGAGCCATGTTATGATTGTGATTAAGTCCTGAATCTGTCCTCAGATGTCCCTGCTCTTTACCAGCAGGAGAGAAGATTCTCTGACTGTGCTCAAGTAGGGCCCTGGCTTCACACCTTGTCTTAGTCTTTTCAGGCTGCAATAGCAAACTACCACAGACTGAGTGGCTTATAAACAAAAGAAATGTATCTCTCACGGTTCTGGCGGCTGGGAAATCCATGAACAAGGTACCGGCAGTTTTGGTGTCTGGAGAGGGCCCACTTCCTCATAGACGGTCACCGCAGCCTCACAGGGTGGAAGGGGCTGACGTCCTCTCTGAGATCTTTTATAAGAGCACTAATTCACTTCACAAGGGTTCTGCCCTCATGACCTAATCACCTCCCAAAGGCCTCACCTGCTAATACCATCACCTTGGGGATTGGGATTTCAACATAGGAATTTTGAGGGGACACAAACATTCAGACCATAGCACACCTAGTCTTTAATGACTAATTAGTCGTTTTGTGCCTTTTATTATCTTTTTCCATATTATCTAACTCCTCCAGCAGCAGCTTTCCAATTCTATTTTTTTCAGAATTACAATTCCCCCATATTTCTCAAATGCCTGATAAATTGCACCTGCTGGCACATTTTCTTTTACCAATTTACCATCCATCCCAGTTCACAACAGGTGAAAGTATTAACAATTGCACTACCACCTGTGTCAGGGGCCCTGCATGCTCCTTGTAGGACTAGTAATGTGGTTCTCATTGCCAGCTGTCTGGCAGGTGATTCAGATTCAGAATCCCTTTTTAACATCTGCTTTCTTGAACAACTTCTATTGCAGGCCAGGTTCCCTGGTAAGCATACCGATAGGGAGATTAGCAAACAGAAAGTTAATCTGGGAGTGTTTGTAGGATTAATACCTGTCGGTAAAGGGGAGGAAGCAGGATTAAGCAGAGGGAGAAGTTGAACATGAGACAGCCACAGCAAAGGCCTCAGTGAGGCTGCAGGAAGTTCTGAAGCTGGGATGGCTGTCAGATTTGGCCCGAGGTGAGAAGGTGGGATAGAATATTTATACCATTGCATCAACCAGCTTTGGATGCGGGCTGCTCCCAGGAAGGGTGTATAACCTTGAGCGAGGGCAATTTTCAGAGCTCCACAGCTGCTGCCAGCTGCATGGATAGCAGCTGAAAGAAAAGTGCTTCATTCCTTAAAGTGGATCTGATGGCCCAGCACAGCCTCCATCACACTGTATCACTTCCCCCCACCTTCACTGTGTTGCCTGGATCACCTCTAGCATAAAGTACTTTCACCCACATCCTTGGATCAAAGTTGGCTTCAACAGAAGCCTGAACTAAAACAGCCTCCCAGGAGGCTAAGCAGTTTTAAAGTAGACAGGTGTAATAGCAATAAGTGTAATAATTACTAATTATCACAGTGATAGGTGACACTTGCTGCATGTTTTACAGGTAGTGATTCACACCCTCATTTTCTTTACCTCTTAAGTGAGGGTGTTAGATTAGATGACTACTAAGATACCTTCCAACTCAAATGTTGTTCTACAATCTCCTTTTCTGTTCAAACTTAACTCACAACATAAGGTCCCACCTCTCATTTCTCCTGGGGCTCTGCGCCTATTGGCAAAGAATGGGGTAGGAAATATTTACAAAGATTAGCTTTGCTGTTTTATTTATTTAAAAGGCCACTCATTCTTTTAAGCAGAGACCTGGTGAAGAGCTGGGCCCCTGTGCTAAGGTTAAGGGGTTAATAGTGGTCGCTGCCTTCCCTGTTCTTCTGAGGTCCTGCAAATTTTGCAGAAGGTGAGGGAGTTGCTCTTACAGGCGGGGTGTTGGTAACAAACAAAATGCCCCCACAAATTTCCAATGAGTGACAGCATTTGGTGGCTCTGGCCTAGAGATGTGAGAAGCATCCCCTAATGTGCAGGAGAGTCAGGCGCCAGGAATAAAAATGCCCACAGTGTCCTGTTGAGAAGCCACAAGAGGCTATTCCTTGAGTCTTTCCACTTTCCACCTCCTATAAAGGAAAAGCATTATAGGTACATAAAATCATCTATTGAGGGAGGTTGTGTGAGGAGAAAAAGAAACTAGAGATAATCCAAATTGTAGATGTCTATATATGTGGACAAGACACATGCTTAGTTTTTCCATATTTAGTTCCACACATAATTAGAGGACATTATGAAGACTTGGCTCTCCCCGTGAACTTTCCCCCTCCATAAGCTTATGCATGGCTATGAGTCAGAATGTAGCAAATTGTATTTCTTCCAAAATTTCTTAAGGCAAACGAAGAGATAATCTGTAAAGTAGAAGAATCCTTTATTCAGTTCTCACTGCTTGTTTATTTTGAGTTTAAAATAATAAAGCACATTAATTGGAAAGGACAATAAACATTGATGGTGAGGGTGAAGACAGCGAAGTGAGTGTAGAGAAGCCGCTATCCTGCTCTGAGACCTGGCAAGCATCCTTCTCATAGGGTAATTTAGTTTGTTTTTACAGATCGTATCAATCTGTAAAGTCTATGTTTTAGGGAAGATCACCCAACCAGTAACAAATCCCAGCAGGATAAAAAGGGTGCTAAGATGTAGTTATGTAGTTATGTAATTGTAGATCTAGTTATGCAGAACAAGAGACAAATTTTTAGTAAAGCCTAGATCATAGTTTGGAGAACATCAGGTTGCTAAAACATTTTCTCTGTTTTTGGAATACATTTGGCCTGCAAAATCATAAATCATAAAAAATAAATCATGAAAAGTTAGATTGGAATCAGAGATTTGATATGCTCTAGAACTTGGTTTGACTTTGCACTTGTGTATTTAATTAAGAGACAATAGACGCATATTAAGATGTTCCAGACCAAGTCCCTAAATGTGAGCATTTCCATGACTGAAAGAGAACTCTTTTTACAATTGTCAGTGAATTTAAGGTCTGAAGGGAACGTGAGTATAGAAAGGATTGTTAATATTTGCTTGAGTTCAGAATTAATGTTTAGTTTTAAAGTTTAGGTTTATCAATTTTACATTTTCATCAAGCTCAGCCTACTAATCTTACTCTAATGTTTATATAATATTAATAATCACTTTTACATGCTGTTTAATCAATGTTAATGAACTCCACCCAACGAATATAACTGTCTTTAAACAATCAGACTAATTTACAAATTTGCTTTAATACATTCTTTTCAAGATTTTAGAATAAATATCTTATTTCACTTTTGCTAGTTATTTCAAATGCTTATGCAAGACAAAATTACAACCCTAACAAGTCTTCCTGACCACGTATGAAAATCTTGTTAATCAAATACATAATATCATACATTTTTCATGTTGAGTTTTCTTAAACATTCCAATATCCTTAAAATTTATATTAAACTTTTTTGCTTAAACTCACAGTTAAATTAGTGATACACTTCAAACTGAAGTCATGTTTTCCTGAGAGACCAGATTCTTTTACACTTTATAAATACATGAATTTGATTTATTCCATCATCTGTAAATTTAATTCTGAATGACCTTGGCTTGTAAAGTCACTTCCCCAAGTAAGGAGCAGTCATTTACGTGGCCAGATGCAGTGGTGGAAATGAAGTGGATGGATCCCAGAGATATTAAGGAGGTGGGGAAATGAAATCACTCTTGGTGAATGATTTAAAAAGGGAGGTTGTTGTTGGTGGGGGGGTCAAGGATGACACAACAGCTTAATTTTAATGGATGGCAATACCAACATTTGCCTGGACAGGGAGTATTTAGGGGAGGGGAGGCTGTGGGAAGGGTAGGGATGTGAGTTTTAGGACCAGATAGTGCCTTAGCAATTGTCTATATCACTTCTCACCCAAAGGTAAGGGAGTTGAGACTCATAAATGGAGTGATTTCTTTTTAAGTAAGAAACCTTTTAATAAAATAAGCTTCTTTGATGTTACAGAGCTAGAGAGTGACACCAGGTTTCTCCTAGACTCACTTCCTTTTAGTATTTCTGTCTCAGAAATGGACAGGATGAAGTGGGATCCTGCTAGACATCATTCTCCTTGTCTTGCCAGTCCTAGAACACAAAAAAGCAAATAGGAAAAGCAAATAGAAACCTGCCAGTACTGGAACACTGAGAAGTAAACAGAAAAAGCAAACTAAAAAAATTGCTTCCAAGATTTTGCTCACAACCTGAGATGATACAAGAAAAGGACTTAAAAAAAAAAAAACAAAACAAAACAAAACCTAAGCTTATCAATCAAGCAGGTACAGAATATAAACAACAAACAAGTCATCATTTTGCCTTTAGTAAGATGCCACACCAACACACCACCAACTTCCCAGGTTGGATAAGAGCACGGGGCCAGATGTCAAAATTGTAAAGCTTGTCCTAAGGTGGCAGGACACAAGGAAGCATTTTTGTTGTTAATTGATGTTGCCTTTAGCATTGCCAAAAACCCCCTCAGATTTTGGCCAAGGCTTTCCCAGTTACACAAATGACTTACATTAAATGGGCTGGATGATCTTACTAGTCCCAGGTCCACACTGAGGTTGCAGTTCTGTTTTGAGGAAACTCCGGGGTGCAAAGCCAGAGCACGTGGACAATGGAGGGTGCCAACAAAGAGTTGGGATACTTCCTCAATTTTTATCTTCCTTGGAATTTTAGCTTTTGCTAGGAAAATACCTTCGTTCTTTACTTTGTGAAAAAAGAGACTTGGAGGAGACTTCAAGTTCCCTTCCAGTCAGTGGGATTTAGAATTGGCCAGAGTTTCCAGGAATCACAGGCCTTTGTAGAAAGTGGAACTGCCCTACCTGCCTTTCACATGTGCACCACGAGTCGGGGGGACATGGCCCAAGTGGCTGGGTGGGCTCCCTGAGGAATCAGCAGGTCCACATTCAAGAGTCTCCGTAAGAAGTACTTAGAAAAAAGTCTCTCTTTCATTAATTTCATAAGGGTAGTGGGATAATAAAAACAGTATACAAATAAGGAGGTTGTAAAAATGTTTGCTTTTAACAAAGAGGGAAAAAATAATAACTCCAGAGACTTAAATCTAGGTTAGATGAATTGCGGCAACATGAATCCTGCTAACCCCAGTTTACAACCTCATTGCAATTGCAGTTTTCAGATTCTCATTAACTTCAGTGAAAAGTGCATCTGCCTCTGAGTTATCTTAGGTGGGCGAATGTGGGGAGATGCTTTCATTAAAAAAAAAAAAAAAAAGATCTGCTGGATATTTCCAAACCGGAATTCATTGAAGTTGCTCCTAGGCAGGAAATTTATAAGTTGAAATTAGTGATAAAACATACAAGAATTTCCAAAGCTAAGCAAAATGCCCAGCAAAATTAAAAATGTCCTCTGTCCTTGTGGACACCATGATTGCTTATCAGGGATGTCCACCATTCTGCACTGATAAAAAGTGACCACTGCATATGAAATAGCTCCTTAATTGAAAGCGAGAGTCACTGTGCCTTTCTTTGCTTACTGGTATTTTTAATTTCTAGGAGGTGGGAGGTAGAAAGAGCAGAACATGCAAATAAAGCAAATGGAAAGACACAAAGCTGGGGCTCGTGATTCAGGCAAGAACGCTGTGTGAACTAACCTGCCATTTGTGATAAAGTACTTTAGAAATGTCAATTTTATTACTGAATAATGGGTCTCAGCATGACTGAACTCTTGGCAATTATTTTACATCTAATTTGGGATGATGCATAAAAGAAAATCGAGCACAGATTACTTTAGCTTGGCACCTGGCAGCTGATAATGAACTGGTATAGATTGTCTTGCTCAGAACAATAAAGTCTCTATCTGCTGCTAGTTTCAGCTGACATTGGGCTGGTAGCCACATTTCTTCTATTCCTCTCTTTGGTCTGTTCTGGAGGTCATATGATAAGCTGTGTTTGCTGGTTTTAGGTTTCATCTTCCTGGGTCAGTTCTAGGGTACACTGCATTACCATGTTTGATGTTTCCACATTACACCATTCACCACTGGATGCCAGCAGAGCACTGCGGCTTGAAGTCAAAGGGTTGGACATGACCATTTCTAGAAGGCCAGTGGAATGGCATCAGAAATTGAACAATCCTAATTTCCTGGCATTTATGAATCCCAGTAATGACCCCAAGTTAGCTGATTTGAAAATGAGTTTATTCTTAGTTCCATAAGGGCTAGATGTTATTTTCATCTGAACATTTAGAATAATGAGATTCAGAGAATTGAATATGTTAGTGAATCATAGCAGAACCAAATTTTGATTCAAAATCTTCTAACTTCTACTTCTTTTCCTTCTCCTTAGCTTGGGGGAAGACCTAACTTGAAGAATGAGGGCTTACCTGTGAAAATTGATTGTATATTGTCTTTTGGCAGTGAGGAGGTAGGGAGAAATGTAAAAGACAAAATATAAGGGAAAAAAGCTTCTCAGTGTTAGTTGCATATAAATCACTGTTTCTTGTTGAAATGTAGGTTCTGATTCCGATTCTCCAATGTTGCTGGTTGGGAGGCCGTACTTTAAGAGTGAAGACCGTGGAGTCCCGAGTCTGGGCACCGATAGAAAAGAATCACCTGATTTCCTTGTCCGCAATCCCTGGGAGACACTCTTCAGGGTCTGACTGAATGGAAAAGGAAGCAGGGAATCCGGTCCAACGTTAATGTCACCGCCCTCACTGCCCTCTTCAATTTGAACATGGTATTTCTGGCAGTAGCCACCAGAGGGTGCTAAAGAACCTCCTTGAAACGGCTGCAGAGCCCTGTGAGGTTACCAGACTGTTTCCACAAGACCTGTCCTGGGCTGGTCTTGGGGTTTGTGGGGAGGACAGTTTGTTCAGGAGTGGATGAGGAACAGAAGGGCCCCGAGACCACAGGTTGTGTCAGAGACAGAGCTGAGGCCCTCGCTGGGACTACCACTCAGAGATAAGCACAAGAATCAGGCCAAGGAGGCATCATTTGGGATCCTCATTCCTCTTGCCCCCCTTTGAGGGCAAAGGGTGTTAGTATACTTAAGGATGTTGTCCACTTAATAGAGAGAAAGGGCTAGATCAGGGATTTTCCCCTGGGGCTTCCAGCCCCACTCAAGTTAAGGGATATATTGAGATATTTATTTGATCTTTAGATTTCAAAGGGAGAGGCTGTTATCCAGATTTAAAAAAAAAATGCTTGAAAATAAAATTGATTGCCTGCCATAAGATAAGCAATTTTTTCAATAGTAGAATATGTGATAAAAATACACATCTTTAGCCTTCATTAACTTTTATTAAAAATTATAACAATTCATATTTGGCATAGCCATCAGTTGTACATGTAAAGTAATAAATGAGATCATGGTATTTGGAGTCGGTCTGTGGGATTCAAATATCAGAACTGACATTCATTAGCTGGGTGATACTGGGCAAATTCATTTACCTCTCTGAACCTTAGTTTCCTCATCTAACCTCTTCTGAATGGATTTGGCCAATGATGGGAGTCAGGGGGATGGAAAGCATGAATAGGAAATTGTAAGGTGGGAGGATGTAGAGGTAGAGACACTTATTTCCTCCAAGCCCTGTTCACACTCAGTTCTGTTCATGGCTGATGACTTGCTCGATTTGATAATGAATTTAATAATGTCAGCACTCTCGGATGCACAATAGTAGTTATAAAAATGTGGTTAGGTCCTACTCTCTCCTAGATAATATGGTAAAAAAATTATTTCCGGCCGGGCGCGGTGGCTCACGCCTGTAATCCCAACACTTTGGGAGGCCTGGGCGAGTGGATCACGAGGTCAGGAGATCAAGACCATCCTGGCTAACACGGTGAAATCCCGTCTCTACAAAAAAATACAAAAAAATTAGCCGGCCGTGGTGGCGGGCGCCTGTAGTCCCAGCTACTCAGGAGGCTGAGGCAGGAGAATGGCGTGAACCTGGGAGGCGGAGCTTGCAGTGAGCCGAGATCGCGCCACTGCACTCCAGCCTGGGCGACAGAGAGAGACTCCGTATCAAAAAAAAAAAAAAAAAAAAAAAAAAAAAAAAATCCTAAATATTCCAAACAACTTACATGCTGTTACAGTGTTTAAGCTATTTAATCAGTCCAGATGAGACTTGATGGCATCTTGGCCGATGACTCATTCAATGACTATGGCTCCTGTTGGGCAATCTGTCTTCCAAACTGCAGGTCTACAACAGCCTTCCATAACGCCATTTCCTCACCTTTCTTCTTCAGGCCTCGGAGTGGCTACTGGTCCCTAAGTGCCTCAATATTCCATTAACCCTGCCCACAGCTTTGAAATAGTTTCCTTCATTGCATTCTCTTCAAAGTTCCAGTTATGCATGCCTTCTATTTCCTATTGGTACCCTAAATGATATGGCATATAAGAATTTAATAAATATCAGTCACTTTAAATTTATCTTGAGAATGCATTCATATAGATTTAGCATTTTCCAGCAATATATGCTAGTGTCATAATGTCATGACATACTTTTAGTGGAGTTTAGCTTGGGGAGCTCAATGTTATATTAAATTTCAATGACAATTATCAGTTAATTCAAACCCACCAGCATGTTCAGATGCACATGATAGTTATAAAAATGTGGTTAGCTCCTACTCTTTCCTAGCCATGTATTCTAGATAATATAGTAAAAAAAATTATTTCCTAAATATTCCAAACAAATTACGTGCTGTACAAGATGCTTTTCATTCTGCACAAGAGTTGCTTATTGAGTATGTGGGACACCATGTGGGTTGCAAAGAAATAAAAGTCTGACTTACTGTCTCCAAGAAATTTTCAATCCAGTTATGAAAATAAGACAAATATGAAAAGTTATTTTCTTGAAGTATCTTAAATAGTAACAAATGAGACCGTTATAAGATATTCATTTATTCACTCATATATTTATCCAAAAAATACTTGAACTCCCACCATGTGCCAGGCCATAATCAATGCTAAGGATCTGAGGGTGAGCAAAACCAGGCACAGTTCTGGCCCTTATGAAGTTAATATCCTAATTGGAGACGGACGACCAATAGTCACGCTAACAATGGTATTATTAGTGACTGAGGTAAGTGCTTTCGAGGAAAAGAAAGAGTTACATGACAGCTTATCACAAGGAGATTAACCTAGGCACGGAAGGCTGTCCTGAGGAAGGGACCATTGAGCTTGGAACTGGAAGAAGTGTGACATTGTCAGACTTGCATTTTGAATGGATCACCTTAGCTGCTTTATGGAGGGAAGTCAGGGGGGTGGGGGAGGGTAGCTACTTTTTAAGCTATTTAATCAGTCCAGGTGAGACTTGATGGCATCTTGGTTGGCATAGGGAGGTAGTAAAGATGGAGAGTTGTGTACGAATTAGGAAGATATTTAGGGAAACGGATCAATGATGTTTTGCTATGGATTGGATACAGAACTGGTGGTGATAGAAAATAAATTTTGAAACGAGTCCTAGTTTTCCATCTTGCATAATGAAACAAATTGTGGAGCTTTCACAGATGTAGGAAATACTGGAATTGGACCAGATTGGAATTGGATCATGAATTTTGGTCCTTGACATTGAGTTTGAGGTACCTTTGCAAAATCCAAAGTGGAAATATAGCAGAGTCATTTGGATGGAATGGGATAGAGCTCCTTCCCACCCACCCAGAAGGTGGGGGCAAGTAAGACAGATTTGTAATGTAGATACAAAGATCTTAAACAAACACATGAAAACTATTCAGCATCATTAACCATTAGAGAAATACAGATTAGGACCACAAGAGATTAAACACCCACTAAAATGTCTAAAATTTAAAAGACCGATAATACCAAGGGCTGGTGAAGATGTGAAGCAACTGGAACTCTCACATATTGCTGATGGGAATGCAAAATGGTACATTTACTTTGGAAAACAGTTTAGCAGCTTCTTATAAAGTTAAACATCCACCTGCCACATGACCCAGCATGTCCACTTGCAGGTATTAATCCAAGAGAAACCAAAACGTATGTTCCCACAAAGACTTGTAGTAAATGTTAACAGCAGTTTTAATCATAATATCCCCAAACTGGAAACAACTCAACGGTCCATCAACTGGTAAGTGAATAAACAAGTTGTTGTATGTCCATACAATGAAATAATAGTAACAACAAGGAAGAAGCTAGTAATACATTCAACAAGATGATGAATCTCAAAACCATTATGCAAAGTGAAAGCAGCCAGACAAAAGGCCGTACCATTTATAGGACAGGCTGGAAAAGGCAGAAGTATAATAACAGAACAGGGGCTGGGGCTGTTCCTGCTAACTCACTGAATTGAACACTTAGACAGGGTCAATTTTACTGTCTGTAAACTATAACTTAATTAACCTGACATAAGAAAAGCGAGCTCCCTTGATGACTTTAATATTCTGTGCTGGCTGAACTATGCGTTCCAATTTTAGAACACCGAAATCACCTGGAGGTTTTGGGAGAGGTTTTTTCCCTTTTTTTTTTTTTTGCCTCAAGTGTTTACTGACACCAACCAAATCTCCAATTCTGTGATTCTCTTACACCAACTGGGTATCCAGCAATTCAATTCAGTTATAATACTATCTGTACTTAGTGTAGACCCCACAGGTTAAAGGCTCAGTCCCACAGATGCCAGCTGCACATAGGGTGCCCAGGCTATCTTCCTTTCTGCCCAGCCAACCACAAACTTAAGGGTTCCTAGGTCACCCTCCTCAGGTTTGATAATTTGCTATAATGACTCCCAGAACCCAGGAAAGTAGTACTATTTCCAGGGTATTATAAAAGATACAACTCAGGAACAAATGGAAGAGATGCACAGGGCAGGGTGAGGAGAGAGGGGCACAGAGCTTCCTTCCATGCCTGCTCCAGCTCACCACCGCCCCCCTACCTCGATGTTCTGGAATTTCTCTGAACCTTATTGTTTGGGGGTTTTTATATCAGTTTTCATTACACAGGCATGATTGATTAAATTATTGTCCATTGGTAATAAACTCAATTTCTAGCCCCTTTCCTCTCTCTAGAGGTGGTGGGGAGGGTGGGACAAAAGGTCCAACCCTCTAATCACATGGTTGGTTCTTCTGCCTGCCAACCCCCATCCTAAGGCTATCCCAGGGCCTGCCAATAGTCACCTCATTGCCACAAACTCAGATATGGTTAAAAGGGGCTCATTGTGAATAACGAGACACTCGCATCACTCAGGGAATTCCAAGGGTTTTAGGAGCTCTGTACTAGGAACCTGGGACAAAGACCAAATATAGTTATCTCTTGGTATCTTCAGGGGATTGGTTCCAGCCCCTTCCCCAAAACCCCAGAGGACACCAACATCTGAGAATGCTCAAGTCCCTTATATAAAAGAACAGTATTTGCATATGGCCTATGCACACTCTGCTGTGTACTGTACTTTAAATCATCTTTAAATTACAATATAAATTCTATGTAAATAGTTGTTATGCTGTATTTTTAGAATGTATATTTTTAAATTATTGTATTGTTATTTTGGTGGATTTTTTTTTCCCCCTCAAAGTAAGGCCAAGGCTGAGCCCTTCTGTTGGAGAAGCAGAATCTTTTCTTCCTGGGCCTCTGCTGGTTGGGTGGATGGGTTTGAGCAGCACTATTGATGGGTTTGTTACAGGTCCCCTGCATTCTGCTACTAGGAGATCCCTGTGCTGCTTGGCCCATGCACCTCCTTCATTCAGTTTCTCAGTGTTGAACATCCTGTTTTGGCCAGCATTACCTTATATTTTCCATTCAACTCTATTTTACTTTGATTTTTGATTAACTTGTGTGTGTGTGTGTGTGTGTGTGTGTGTGTGTGTGTGTGTAGAGTCATTTATCGCATGAATACTGCACTGCCCTACTCTTCCACAAGTCTTTCTTTCCAGACCCAAACCCACTCAGATCTGCAATAGCCCGCCTTTCCTCAGACACTCCAGGAACTGGTTCACAAGTTTCCTGCATCTATGAGTTCAGCTCTCTGTCTCAGACCAGGCTGAACATCCCCAAATCCACTCCGACTTTTGAGGAATGCATGCCTGTGTGGTAAGAAAAGCGAGTTTAGAAACCCTCACTGGCCCTGCTTTTGTTTCGCTTTCCACATTGGCCCACTGCCTTCACGCCACCCACCAGCTGCCCAGATCCCCCTGGGATTGGACAACACAGGATGAACGTCTCAATCCAGCGGAAGCCTGAACGTCCTGGAGCTCCCACCCTTCCCCTGGCTTTGATTGGCCCTGAAAAGGATAGTGGCCAAAGAAGTTGAAGTAAGAAATATGTTTAGGGAAGGGAAAACTTGAGGCAGTCTAGTGAAGTGATTAACAGCATTTGCTTAGGAGTCAGATGGCCCTGGGTTTGAGTTCTGATTTGTCTTTTCTAGTTATACGATTTGGGGCAAGTACATGCCTCAGTTTCTACTGATGATACCAACCTTCTATAGAGTCAGCACAGTACAATAGTTAGGCACATGGATTCTGGTTCCGCACTGGCTGAATTTGAATGCTGGCTTGTCATTTAGTAGCTGCAGCCTTGACCTCCTGGGCTCAAGCAAGCCTCCCTCCTCAGCCTCCTGAGTAGCTGGGACTACAGGTGCACACCTCCATGCCCAGCTAGTTTTTATTTCTGTAGAGATGGAGTCTCATGAGCAAATGACTTAACCACTGTGTCCCAAGCAGGGGTGATAATAGTAGATACTTCACGAGAAATAGTGGTGTTTCTTATTTGAGACTTCTGAATATTTGTCTAACTACCAAAGGAGACCAAAATCGAATTAAAGAATGAAGTGATTCCTGATCTCTAAACACTGGAATCTGAAAAACGCTACAAGGCAGGATCTTGATGACATTTTATCAGCCCTCTATGTGTGCGTGTGTGTATTTGTAATTTAAAAGACATTGAATTGTAGACAAGAGAAAATATAGTAATTACGGGTGCTTTTAATTTTCTCCCAAGAAAGAATTTAATAACATAAAAATAAATTTAAAAATAAAAAGAAAAGTGAAAGAGGGAGTCAGAGATAGCTTAAAACCTGGGTGAACTGGGAGCAGACCCCCCAAAGCAGTTGTTAAGCAGTAGCGGGGTGGGGTGGGGAGAGGAACACACAGTGGAGCTTAGTGGTGTGGTGGGTAGGATATCCAGGCTGATGCCAGGGGCAGATAGGGACCAGAGTTCAAGTGTCTTCTTTGTCTGTTGGTCAAACTCAATGCAAAACTGTCAGATGAAACATTAGTGACTTTAAGAGTCAATATGACACAGTGAAAATGGGTTTGATAAGTGTTTGAAGTCTGGAGGAAATCACGGTTAGTATGCGGTAGGTAACACTAGGGGGAAGAGGCCCTCATAGCCAAATATTTCCCACTGTGTTAATATCAGGAATAACTTCACTCATCCTTTGCCAAATGATTTTAGATCATCTGTAAAAGGCAAATGAGATACAAAGAAAAATTAACCTCATAAAATCCTATTTTAAGAATCAGAGAATGTCTACATTTGAGTAGATGCTATATTAAGAATGAATTGCTCACAGCCTGGACAACATGGTGAAACTCCGTCTCTACAAAAGAATACAACAATTAGCTGGGTGTGGTGGTGTGTGCCTATAGTCCCAACTACTGGGGAGCCTGAAGTGGGAGAATTGCTTGAGCCCAGGAGGTTGAGGCTGCAGTGAGCTGTGATTGTGCCAGTGCACTCTAGCCTGAGCGACATAGTGAGACTCTGTCTCAAAAAAAAAAAAAAAAAAAAAGAAGAAGAAGAAGAAATTGCTCATAATTAAGTAAAATGTTTGCTCAACTTTATTGAATGTCATTAGATTTATAGGAATCATTAAAGAATTAGATACCAGAGTCCCCCCGGCCCCGCCCCCCACAAAAAAAGTCAGTGAAAAAGATGTGAGTGAAAGAAGTTTGTCAAGGCAAATGTGTGAAAGGATACATGTGTACATCACCCTTTAAATGCTTTCCCTGAGTATTCTATGAAGTCTGGGGATCTTCGAATGCTATTAATCTTAGACAGTAAATTTTATAAAGAAATTCTTTAAAAGTAGGACTTAATTCTCCTCCGTAGTGAGTTTTTAAGCAGAGGATATCTACTACATGGATTCCTTTGCCTCTTGACAGGCTCAAGTTCCATCTGCCTCCCAGGCAGCTTTTTGAGTCTTTCATAGAAGCCTGCTTTTAATATATGCCATAATTTTCTTCTTAATTCAAGCCACATGTTCAAATTTGAGGCTTAAATTCTCATTCCATTGTTTTCTAAGAAATTTTAAACATTAAACAACAAGTATATAATCAAAATAATCCTGTATTACTTATAACTGAATAACTATTTTCAAAGAAACTTTCCTCCCTGATGAATAAGAATGCAAACTCCAAGTGTATATAGGGTGCTGTGAGTGAAGAAGCTTGAGTTTGCCCCATCAGCTTCTGCAAGGTTATTTTTACATAGTCTCATGCTTATTTGTATGGGGAAGTTCTTTTTCCTGGAAAAGATTTAACTAAGCACAAAACTAAAATCCAGAGCAGGGATAAGGGAAGAATGCAGGTGTTCTTAGTGGAAATATCAGCATCAGGGAATCTTTCTCTTAAACACTGGAACTGGTAGAGTTGAAGAACTTCTTCTGTGAAGCAGAAACAAAAACAAAATTGTCATGTTTAGAGAAACACAAGAAACTGTGGCTTTCCTCTGGAGATACCGGGCAAGGACTCTTATGTATACTGGCATCTAGTTTGGTTTACTGAGCTGCTGGAATGAGCTACCCCTACTCCATCTGATAAGCAATAACAGTGAAAAACACACATTTGTCTTAGGAACTTCTCATAAATTCAAGCTAGTCCCTATTTTGACTGCCCAGGAAAGGGAAACTCTTCAGTACAAGTTGGAATCTGAAACCCCTTGTTATGCCTAACTTACTTTCTCAATACTTCCATCATTCTTTGTATCCATTCAGCTTGAGGGTCCACACACACAATTGACTTGTTCTTCTTCCAGACTCTGGGGGAAAATAAAAATTAAATAATTCAGTCTTACATTTTAGTCAATCCTATACTTTTAATAAAGAAAAGAGTTTGGTATGAAAATAATTATTCCTAGATGAAGTGAAATTGGAGCTGGGCAGTTTGGGATCTGGAATAGGTGATTTGTAGTATGGGGTCAGAGGAATAAGAGAACAACCATTTGTGGAACAGTATGTGTGAGCTGGTGGGGTTGAATCCAAAGCTGCGAGGGCCTCACATGTCAGAGGTTAGTGTTTTGTTGATAACATTTACGTGCATTGGAGAACAACCAAATAACTTACTCCAAGATTGGCTCACTTCTAAAGTTATATCACAATATCTTTAAAATGTGCTTATCTGTTGCACTGCATTTGGGAGAACAAAATAAGCTGTAGAAAACACTCTCTTGAGAACCTGAATTTCACTGAAAAAAAAAAATTCAGTGCAATTTCACATGAGACGCATGCTGCAGAGCAGATTGCTTGGAGTGACATCTGCATTTTGTCGAATTACCACTTAGCAAGATTTTTCCTGCTCTAAGATATTAAGCAATAGCAAAAGTGGCAGCAATAATTAATAGCTAATATTTATCAGGTACTTATAACACACCAGGCACTATGCTTAGCAGGTAACATGGATTATTTCAATTCATCTCACAAAAATCCTTTGCTGGAGAAATTATTACTTCCTTACCTTCTGATGATAACTTAGGCTCAGTGAATTTAAATAACTTGTTCAAGATTGCACAACAAATACATGATACAGAAGGATTCAAATGAAGATTATCTGACTCCAGAGCCCACACTTTTCTTCACTGTTTTTCATGAGCATGACCTGAGTGATTACCAAGTGCCAGATATAGTGTTAAATGCTTTATCTGAAGTGGAAAAGTGAGGTCTGCCAGACAGCAGAAAACTGGGAGACTCTACCCTCTATTGGTGTGAACTCAAACAAAACACAATTTCCTTATATGTCATTTATCTTAGTTATAAAATGACAAACAGCCAGCAGCATGGTAGCTCATGCCTGTAATCCCAGCACTTTGGGAGGCTGAGGTGGGCGGATTGCTTGAGGCCAGGAGCCTGGGCAACTTAATGAGACCCCATCTCTACAGAAATAATAATAAAAAAAACTAGCTGGGCATGGTGGTGTGCACCTGTTGTCCCAGCTACTCGGGAGGCTGAGGAGGGAGGCTTGCTTGAACCCAGGAGGTTGAGGCTGCAGTGAGCCATGACTGTGCCACTGCACTCCAGCCTGGGCAGCAGAGTGAGATCCTGTCTCAAAACAAAACAAAACAAAACAAAAAAAAAACCCAAAACACAAAAAACAGAAACAAACCACAAAAACCCCAAAACAATAAAGACAAACAGCAAGGATCCATCCATCTAACTCTGAAACTGCACTTTTGCACGTAAATCTTAGAGAGGTCACAGGACATGGAGCAGTTGGGTTTTCAGATAGACACTTCCAATTGGGTTTCTGAGTTCATGATGGAAAGACAGATTTCTGATCATCTGGACTCACGGTATTTTCACCTGTGACTGGCATGAATTTCTCACAATAATTTGAAACTTTCATTTCTGTATCTGGTTAAAATTCACAAATGCAGAACTTGATGAAAAGATATAAAATCAGATTTTTGTCATTTCAAAACAATCAAAGTTAAAGCAGAGAAAATTAAGGTGCATTACCTTCCTTGGTTGACAGGCAAGAGACCAGTCATGACAGAGGAAATGGAATCAAAAGAAGGGGGTCCCAGTTTTCTAAACAGCCAGGGGAACTACTCCCAAGTAGGTCATGGCTAGACTTCACATCTCTGAGTTTGATGCCAATAATTGTAGTTTAGTTAGACATTATTGTTAAAGACGTTAGTGAAATGCCTTTCTAGTGAAAAACTACCATATGCACTTTTGATATCCCATATTTCAACTGGTCCAAGGCCCCAAGCACTGGTAACAAAATGTGACAAAGAGGAAGTAGCTGCTTACAAACATTGCAAAAATCTAAAGAAGTCCATGGGAAAAGCCACTCATGAATGCCAAGTCAGGGATGCCCTGAGAAAGATGCTGTGCCTAATACTTCAAGGTGTCGCAAAGAAGAGGCTTTGCAACGGGGAAAATGTGAATGGAGTCCTGGCTAATGCACTTTCTTTCTTTCTTTTTTTTTTTTTTGAGATGGAGTTTCGCTCTTGTTGCCCAGGCTGGAGTGCAATGGCGTGATCTCGGCTCACCGCAACCTCCGCCTCCCAGGTTCAAGCGGTTCTCCTGCCTCAGCCTCCCAAGTAGCTAGGATTATAGGCATGAACCACCACACCCGGCTAATTTTGTATTTTTAGTAGAGACGGGGTTTCTCCATGTTGGTCAGGCTGGTCTCGAACTCCTGACCTCAGGTGATCCGCCCTCCTCGGCCTCCTAAAGTGCTGGGATTACAGGCGTGAGCCACCACGCCTGGCCACTAATGCACTTTCTAATCCTTTCTGATGGTGTGTCTCAGGCAGTTAGTTAACCTTCCTAAGCCTCAGACTGTAAGGAACAATAGACTTACCTTAATAAAGTGGTTGAATAAAGAAAATGAGTATGTGCATGTAAAGCACTTAGCTCAGGGCTGCTGCAAACTAAGCTCTTAATTATTAACAATTTTCATTATTAGTTTGAGAATTTTTAGCAACACTCAAGTAAATCTCTTCGACATTCTTGAGTAAGACTACTGTATGGTAACATTTGATCTGATTTCATTGGGAGAAGGAAATCTTATTTATTTTTCTCTTGAAACTTACATGATTTCTTTTCTTGGACAACCATTCCCACGGGGCAAGATTTGAATTCGATCAATGAAGCGTCTAGGGATAAAGACTGAGCTCTCTTGGACACATCTACACCTCAAGCTTGTGTAATAGACCTCCAGAACACCTGTAAGTAAACACAGAATCAGTTATTTTAATCCATTGGCATGTAATTCATAACTAGAATTTAATTACTAATCTTTCATAACGTGCATTTGAAGACTTAAAAGTTTCAAGTCAGTGCTTCCACCCATATGTCTTTAGTTTGTATATTTCTGCTTGTCTTGGCTTGAGTATTTTCAAATGTTTTCTACCAAAACTTTAAAAATAAAGTTAGCTTTTAGGCCAGGCACAGTGGCTTACACCTGTAATCCCAGCACTTTGGAAGGCCAAGGTGGGAGGATTGGTTGAACCCAGGAGTTTGAGACCAGCCTGGGCAACAAACGGAGACCCCATCTCAGAAAGCAAACAAACAAAGCAAAAAGAAAACAAAACAAAAATTAGCTTTCAAAAAAACACAGCAATTTTGAAATTTGTGATAGTGTTATATTTGTACTCAGGTGATAGTCCACATAATAAAATTTGAGAACAGCCTCTGTAGGGACTTACAACTCAGTTATAATTAATGCAATATAAAACCAGTGGATTATCTTCACTCCCAACACATAAAAACCGAGGACATGACCTGGCTCAAGAGTCCTGGGAGCAATAACATGCTGGAACAGAGTTTTCTCTATCAGACTCTCTGCCATCCTCCCCTTTCCTCTCAGAAAATGTCACAGACGTTTTTGTTTGATATGTTGGTCCTCTGTCTGGGTTGCAAATCATTACAGAACAAAAGGCAATCATAAAAATTCAAAAGTCTTTTTATTTAACAAAAGCAATTAATACTGGATGGGTACCATTAGTATCCATCTCATGAATTTTAATGGGATCTAATGAAATCTAAGCCAAAGACATTTATCAGATCTTTTCTATCCAGCCTACTACTGTGCTTGACATACATTTATAAATAAAAAGGCTCACCTCTCAAGGTGTGTACAAGTTAGTAGGGGAAACAAGCAAACAAAAACTAAAATACCACAGAAGGTTGTATTACGCTCAAAATCTAACATGCATGCTGAGAACAGAAGATGTACTAAGAGCTACCTCTGCCGGGAGCCATGGGAAAGCCCCGTGGAGAATGCAAGAAATTAGGGTTTTGAAGAGTGAAAATAACATGTGAAGCAAAATTAAAACTGGGGGACAAAGCTCCTCTGTGTTTTAAGAACAAAAATTTGGCCTTCTAAATCTGAGCAGAAGGCTTCTTTCTGCACATATCCATTTCTTCGGCCACATAAAAACTTACTACTTCAACTGGATATTTATCTATTGACACAAAGATAGCTGCCCCACTTAGACATGGAAGTCTGCTTCTTTGCAGAATGTGTGTAAATACCCCTGGTGTACTGACAGTGGTGTACTTGATGTCAGATCTAACCATTTGGAGTTACATGAAGCATGTTCACTGCAAGAGACCAGTAGAGTTCAATAATCTTTAAACCCTGTATAGGGTTTGGTCAGAGTGGGTAACATTGAGAGGCAGAACAAAGAAGAGCTACATGTAAAGAATTATATATAGCAGGAGCTGAATCAGAAAAAGGCTGGGAATATATAATTCACATGAATATTGGACTTGTGGTATCTCTTTTTGCTATAAATAAAAATCTTAACAATATAAATACTTCCAGTTTTGAAGAGTTAAATTCCTAAACACCTTACTTTGAGAAATCTAGAAGGAACAGAGCAGTTTTTTCCCCCTTTAGTCAGACTTCCCTGCGGTTTTTAATCGAAAGAAAATTGAAGTGGTTAAAGACTATTTCTGTTCAACAAACAGTGAAATGTAAATGAAATTTCTCACCTTGGACTGGAGAGAGGCTGCTGACCAGCAGCATGAGAAGCAGAGATGTCGAGATGAACTTCATTCTGTCTGGAGGTAGAGTTCAGACTTGAGCTCTGAGTCCAGGCTGTGGGTTTGCAGTACCAGAGACTCCTATTTATTTATACCAGTAAGGGCCCTCCCACTGCCTTTGTCTCCAGTAGGTCAGCTGCATCATCAGCTTTAAAAGCCCCCAAATATTGCTGAGCTTGCTTTTTTAAAACTTCTCTTGCAAACTTTATAAATTTGTTTCAGAGCACTATAATAAAATATTTCTTGCAAACATGGACTATAAGTGCCAGAGACACTGGAGAAATCTGAGGGTGGGGAGAAAGGATAATCTATCAGCTTGGAAGCTCCAAAGCACTGTCTTTAGTAGCGCTATTGGTGATGGTGGTTTTGAGTGCTTCTCTCAGTGCAGGGTGAGCCAGGTTTCTCAGTGGCATTAGATATATACTCCATGACATTGGGGACTCCGTCGAGCGCATCACGTCCCTAGCATGTGGAAGGGATTCCGGCCTTTGGTAGGTGCTCAGTAAATATTTGCACAGCAAATGAATGTCTCTTTATATACAGATCCTAACGCTGATTATGCTATTGATTTTCCTACCAGTCTTTTCCATCTCTTATTTTGCTATCTGAAATATATGATTACTTATATAATCTGACCATCATGGAATTCTTAGAAGGGGGCAGTAGGAGTCCCCTGCTTTGTGTGCCTGTGTCTGCATGAAGGGAGGGAGACAACAGCCTTGAGGAAGAGAATCTCTCTGGCTGTCGTGTGCAAGTCCATGAGCTTGAGAACCATGTGGCAGGGGAGGGAGTCATTAGAACTGCATTAGAGGGTGAACCCCATATTACAGTCTGACATAAACATATGTGAAGTTAGGTTTTGATCCCACCAACTAGTCCATGGGGACAATCAGCCCACAGCTTATCCCATTTTCTAGAAGCTCTTTGATTAAAAAAAAAGTATGTAGACTGGCTAGTCTGGCCTAGAGTACCACTAAACTGCCCTGGAAGTGGACAAGGATGATGTATCAAACCAGACCCACTGATCTGCTAAGAAATCAGAGGTTTGGGCTTCCTGGCGCGATTTCCTAAACAATTTGGTTTTTGCTAATCAATTAGCATTGTGGATGTTTAGCATCCCAGGTGCCTCAGTATTCATGGGGGTAGAAGTGGAGGAGTGGTAATGCCACACAACCTTCACACAAAAGCAGTTCTCCAGTCAGCCTGAACGCAGTGACAGGGCACTCATTGATCTTGAGGCAGGTTATTCTATTGTTTGGCACTTCTAGTTGTTACGATGTTCTTCCTTATGTATATGTGAAAGCTGCTTCCCTAGCAGTTTGTTTATGCTTGTGTTGTGATAAGGGGTTGAATTTTGTCCTAATTCAACCCCTTATCACAACACAAAACAATTCTAAACAGTCTTCTATATGATGGCAATCCAAATATATGAAGGCAGGGTGTGCCAGTTGTGTCCTCTGCAAAGCAGATGCTGAGATGGACATTGGAGTAAAAGAAGGTTATTCAGAACAACTCCTGCGATAGACAGAAGGAGGAAGGAGGCTGAATTGGGCAGGGGGAGCCTCAGATTGCAATGCTGATCTGGTGAAGTCTACAACAGCTCAGTGGGGAGCTCCAGAGGAAAGACTGTTTATTAGAGGGGCCCATGGTGGGCAGAAATGTTCAGACTCTTCTACCCCAACCGTGCTCGGTCCTTAGCTGGGCCTCCTCAGAAACAACATGGTCTCTGGTTGAAAGCTGAAGCAGAGCCCGAGGAGGTTATCAGTAGAGGCTGTCAGCTAACTGCACTCCTTGCCGCTGGCCAGCAAGTTATTTCTTTAAGAGAGAGTTGAGTAGGCCACCTTTGAGTGTCACTCAGGGTTATAAACTAGAGGTTAACAGCACAAAGTCTGAGCTCAGCCTGGCAATGACTTTGGACAGGTCACTTAATTTCTCTATGCCTCATATTTACCACTTTCCACATGAGGATAATAGGAATTCCAAAGGGTTGTTTGGAGAAGAAAGCACCTGGTATATGTAGAGGGTTCGGCCAAATACTGGCATGTAGAATGTATTCAATAAATAGCCTGCCTGTCTGTCTGACTATCTAATCTGTTTGGGAAAAAACTGCTCCATTGCTTCTACATTTCTCAAAGTGAGGTGTTTAGGGATTTAACTCTTCAATCCATCCACCACCCCCATCCATCCATCTGTCCATCCATCCATAAAAGATCTTACTAACTTCCACTCCAAAACCCACTTCAAAAGTAAATACTCCTATTTCTTTGAATTGATAACAGTTTGAAACTCTCTCACCATCTTGGTTTACCTTTTTGAAACCTGTTGATCTTTTCCATTGTTCCTCATAAATTATAACTACCTTCCCTTTTGCCTCTCCATCACACTCTCTGACTCACAGCCACAGACACGCATACACTTAAATGCATACATCTGAACATTGTATTACCTCAATTATGGCTTTGCCAGTACAAGCTAGAGGAAGCCCATTACCTCCTTTGTCCTAGCACTATTCTTCTATTAATAGATTCCTAGACTGAATAACATTATTCTAGTCACTTATATTGAGTTGGTAGGCAATAACATTCCTGTTTTTGAATGGTCAATTTCTTACAGTGTCTAATTCATTTCACTCTTTTGTGATATGATCTTGAGACCCAAGTATAGAAGTTTTACATTTACCTCTAAGTACTATATATTTTCTTGTGAGAGCAAAAAAATGAGTGATACTGACAAGAACGGGAAGAGTATAGGGACAAAGTTACCTGAAAGAGAGCTCTGAATAAACCTAGGAAACTCCTAAATTGGCTGCTATTAAAAATAGGACCACCAGGTCAAGGAACTAATTGCAGAACAATTCTAAAATCTGACTTCAGTTTCTTTAATGCCCAGAGCTCTGGATTTAGCTTATTTAGACCAAAGAAGCCTTATTCATGTCTGCCCTAAGATGGGGCTGGAGGTTGGGCAGCTCTCTGATAGCCAGATGATTCTAGAAGTTTCAAGTCCAACACTACATGATATCTTATGGTAGAGGTATAAATTTCAAAAACTCTGATGACAAGAAGAAAAAATATTTAAACAAATAGATTTAAAACTCAAATGGAAACAATTTATTTTTAAAATAGATTTTATAGATACCCTTGTTTAGAAACATAAAAATACATAACTTGGTTTATATCAAACCTGATTTTTATCATCAGATACATAAAATGAGAAAATTATAGGGAAGTTTTTTTTTTGCTTCACTTTGGAATCGAATCAGATTTTCTTTCCAGACCCAAGCATAACTGGGTAATTTAGAACCTTGGTACTTAAATTGTGATCCAAGGACTGGCATCATTAACTTCACCCGAGAGCTAGTTTAAAATGTAGAATCTCAGGTCCTGCATTCAACGAGATTCTCAGGTGGTTTGAATGCATGGGCCTGGTCTAACATAAGCTGCATAGTTTGCTGTGGCATGCTATTTCTGGATAAAGATATTATGCACATTCAAATTATCTTCAGAGATATGTTTGGACAAGACATTTCCTCAGAAAATGATGCATAGATACCTTATTTTAGTAAAAGTGGACAGGACACATCCACTGTAGATGTCAGTACTCACTGACATCTAAATGCAGAGCAGTGACAAGAAGGAAACTCTCTCTCAAGATATCAAAAAGTGAAATGTCACTAAAACAGTGAGATGGCATAATTGGACAAAGTATCTGACAATCTAGGTAGTCAACAGGTATTAAACAGAGAGTTAACGGTAGAGTTTCACAGTGATTAAATAAAGTAGTTTGTAGTAAGAGATAGGACAAATGTCACTGTGATACAATTGAGAACATTTTCTTTCATGCCACTCAACTAGAAAACAGAAACTTACTGTATCCTGTTAACACATGTTTTAACCTGCTGAACATCTGACATCTGTTTGCTCCCACATAACTTTCAGCACAATAGAAAAGTATTATAACCTTGGAGGTGAGAGCTCAGGCTCTGAAATCAGACTGGCTCGGTTTGTATCCCGACTCCAACACTTATTTGCCTTGTTAACTTCCCCAGGCCACCAGTATCAGTAACATCATCTCAGGGGATTGTGTAGGTTACATAACAGTGCTTGGAAAGTGTTTTACTCAGTGTTGGGCAAATAGCAAACACTTCAATAACTGTTAGCTGTTTCTTTTTAACCTTTGTGAAAACACAAAAACGTGAAGTACATGAAAAAGTAACTTTGCTTAGTTTGCAAGTGAAGCTCCTGCTGTGAATTAAAATGTCACAGCATTTAGGTTTCCAGTAGGCACATAGGTGATACTTTGAGATTATGACTCCAGAGTTCTCTGGTTAAAGAGCTGTTCTTCTTTGACGCTGATCATCCACACTTTGTTTTTACCTACTCTCCTCACAAGTTACTTGTAGAGGTTTGTTATTTCATACAAATGTACTGAAGTTTTACACAGGGGGTGTTTTATTTTTTTTCATCATTTTCTTTTTATTTTACCATTTTTTAAACAGCTTTATTGAGGAATAATTTATATAAAAAGAACTGCACATATTCAGTGTCTGCAATTGGATGAGTTTGGACAGTGCAAATCCTGTGCATTTTGCCATCATTTTCATCTTGAGCGAGCTGCTTTCAACAGCCTATTTTTTGCCACACCATGATTTCAAGACCTATACCTGCAGAAAAGACATTTTTCAAAGGTAATTAAATTCATATTTCAAGTGTTGTTTAAACCCAACTTAAATGCAGGGAAGCCACCACAAACCTAAAACGTGTGTACCGAAAGCTATTACCTTGTAGGGTGGTGATTCCCCAAGAGACTGCTAGGTGGCAGCATTACTTACAGAAACAGTTTGCGGGAAGGAAAAGGTCTGTCCTCAGGTAAAGAAGACCCTGCCTGTGTGCTGACCAGAAGGGGTGTGTTGCATTATTTCAACATTCAAATCATTTATTTGATTTGACTTATTGCTTTAAAAATATTGTGAGGTTTGAGATTTTTTTGATTAGGCTGAAATATTCATGAAGGAGGGGAGAAAAACCCCTAAAAATCTGAAATAGTCCAACAAATTCTTGCCCAAATCCAACTCCTTATTCCTGAGGTTGCAAAATCAGATTGCATATTGGTCCTCTGGCATGAGATCACATTCGGCCTCAGCAGTGGCTGGGCTTGTACCTTCTGTGATTAGAAAGATTTCTGAGAACAGTGAGGCCACCACATACCAATGTCAAAGTGATCAAGCAATTGTGCTTTTGCTTTTAAAGCATAGTGCATGCAGTGAGCATTAGCAAAATACTCATCTTGTTTCTCCTCTACTGACGCTATAATGTAATCATATGTCATCATATATAATCATATGTCATGTAGATAATAAGTCATCATCTACTTTTCTCATTCGGCATATATTTATGTTATAACCATCAATGAAGACCTGGACATTATAAATAAAAGTCAATAGTTTCATTTTCCAGCAAGAGAACCCTTATGCAATTTTGAAAGTTTTTGGCATATCACTTTGTTCCCTTGATATCAGCTAATCTGCAAACCTCAGGTGCCCCCAAGTAATCTTCTCAGTGTCATATTGCTTTGCTCTTTTCTCTTCTTCATCTAACTAGCTATTCCGCTCCTCTCACTGTGTACTCTCTCCCTAGGGGTGTGTGTCTCTTCCCAGTCCTTCAAGTTTACATGTAAGTCCTCTCACATTGGTATCTATTCAATAGCCTAATTACTGGTCATTTCTTCATAGAGGCCTCCTAGATACTTCTCACTAATCATATTATCCCCAAACTGAACTTAGTGTCCTCAAAACCTGCTCTATCTCCAATATTCCAAGTCTTAGTAAATGGTATCATCATTCACCCAGTTGCTCAAAAATTTGCTTAAAAACCAGGGAAGTTATCTTGAACTCCTTCATCGCCTTTAATCCCCATATCTATTTGGTCTCTAAGAGCTGGCACTTGTATATCTTAAAATAGCCTGACTTTCTCCACTTTCCTCCCGTTTCACTGCTAGAAACTATTCCCAGCCACCATTGTCCAACTACTTCAATAGCTTGCTAACTGCTCTTTTCCCATCCCCAATCCCAATCCACTTTCCACACTGCAGCCAGAACCATCTTCTCAAAACACAAAGCTGTTTGTGTCTTTGCTGTGCTGCAAAGGCTTCCCACTATCCCCTGTGTGGAGAAGTCCTTAGTGGATCCTGGTGCTCTCTCCAACTTCCTCTGCTGCCTCATCCCTTTGCTGTCCACCCCAGTTCTCACAGATGGGGTTGAGGACTCTTTGCAATCACTTTGACCACCACTAGGGGCCTGAAGTTCACAGGTTGAATATCTTCTCCAAGTACTCCAATTTACGTTCCAAATGAATACAGTCGGCCTTCCTTATCCATAGGGTTTCACATCTGTGGATCCAACCAACTGTGAATCAAAAATATTTTAAAAAGGACCATGTCTGTTCTGAACATGTACAGATTTTTTTCTTGTCATTATTCCCTAAACAATATAACTATTTACATAGTGTTTACATTGTATTAGGTATTATAAGTAATCTAGAGATGATTTAAAGTATACAGGAGGATGTGCACAGGTTATATGCAAATACTACCCCATTTTATATCAGAGACTTGAGCATCTATAGATTCTGGTATACACGGGAGTCTTGCAACCAATCCTCACGGATACCAAGGAAGGTTCATTGGCAGTACCTAGATATTGTTAATGTTTTTTTTCCTCTAGCTCTACTCCTAAGACTCCATTTTTATTTACCTTCAGTAATAGTGTTGGGGCTGGCCGGGTGCGGTGGCTCATGCCTGTAATCTCTGCATTTTGGGAGGCTGAGGCAGGTGGATCACCTGAGGTCAGGAGTTCAAGACCAGCCTGGCCAATATGGTGAAACCCTGGCTCTACTAAAAATACAAAAATTAGTCGGGCATAGTGGCAGGTGCCTGTAATCCCAGTTACTATGGAGGCTAAGGCAGGAAAAATCACTTGAACTCGGGAGGCAGAGGTTGCAGGGAGCCGAGATCATGCCATTGTACTCCAGCCTGGGTGAGACTCCATCTCAAAGAAAAAAAAAAATCATTGTGTTGGGGCTAGGCCAAAAATGGGACATGAATATTTTCAAAGCTTAGAGTTGGGCGACACCTCACCTTCCTTCTGTAGAATGTGTTCACTATGGAGTCTCAATGTGTTAGTGTATAACGAAGAAAAGTTTTCCGCAATAACCTGCCACTCTACTATATTGCCTCTCCCTTTCTGGTGGTGTAGCATCTCTCATGAGGCATCTTCCAGATTCCATAACATCTTTTTGTCACTTTTTGTTATTCAAATAGTCTTATTTCTTTGTTGAATAAATTTCAATGTTTGATTCAAAGCTCTTCTCTCTTCCAGCTAACATAGATGAAAACTTTGACTATAGAGGCTTGGAGTGGGTGAGAAAAGCATAGTCTGGTTGTTCTATACTTCCCCTTCCCTCTTCCAGGCTCTGAAAGGGACGAAGGGATTGGGGATGGAATGGTTATCTTTCATGGCAAGACGACAGGCACTATCCAGCCCTGTTACTCCCCACTGCTCTCTGTTAACTCTATGGATGTGGCTGAATCTCTCTGCAGAGTCTCCCTAATACAGTGCAAACTAATATGGCAGACTCGATTCTGAACCAACGGCTTCCGCAAATCTTCAGCTGCTACCACAGGAGCATATTCCACAGCCCCTTGTTGCTGGGATCCCCTTGCTCCATGCCAGTCCTTTGGAGGCAGTATACTGTCAAGACAGGCAAGCCTGGTCATCTCCCGCAGTGTCCACATGACCCACAGAAGACTTGCTTTGCCAGACAGTAGAAAAACAGGCTGACTCAATGGTTCCCTTTTCTCAGCTTCTTGTCTTCCTGTCTCCCCTTCTCCAAGCTCCAATGACATCAAGCACTCTGCTGCTTTAGTGGCTTGCCAAAGTTCCGAAGAGAAATGAGAGGGCAGGGATTCTCTTATACACCTGGCAGTCTCCCAAAGCTCTCTCACCTCTCCTAGTCTTTTCATTTCATTGACTTAGGTGCTGGTGGTGGGCAGGTGCCTCTTGGTAGTCCCTGTGGGTGGTCAGCCTTGGTGCTGCTGGTGCTTTGGACATAGAATGTGGCCACAGAGCAGATCCTGTTGCCCACCCAAGAGCCATTTGTGCACTTCCACCATTCTAATAGACCCTATTCATTTGAATATTCAACTTCTTCCATATTCCAAGACTCTTGGTGGGGAAATCTTTATTTTCTTAAGCCAACCATGAGAATTTCACTTTTCTAAGGAATTGGGGTCTGGGAAAGAACTTTTTTACTTTAGCTCTTAAAACAGGGATAATGTAAAAGGCGGCCCCTTCCTGCCTTAGGAAATTGTCCTCAGGCTAGATTCACTCATGGCACAAAGTGGCTGCATCAATTCCAGATGTTACATCCAGGTTCAACAAAACCAACACATGGAGAAGCTCCTTGCCAAAAGAATGGAAATCTTTTTTAAAATGACATATTGCTTTAGTTTATGCAAAAAGATTAAAAAATATACTATTCAAAATGAATGCATTCCTTTTGCCCCCAGGGGAAAACCTAAGTATCAATACATTAAAAAAAATATGATTTACACAATTAGCTGGGAAGTCTACAGAGCTTCAATCTAATAATCAGTAAAATATTCCCTCTGAATCAATTAAAAATGTTTTTAAGTAATCTATCATTTTTTAAATGTTTCTCTATTTCCCCCACCTCCTCACCCTTGATAACCACTACTCTGCTTCTATATGTTTGACTGTTTTGGATTTCACATATAAGTGAGATTATGCAATATGCTTCTTTATGTGTCTGGCTTATACTACTTAGTGTAATGTCCTCCAGGTTCATTCGTGTTCTTGCAAATGGCAGCATTTTCATCTTTTTAAAGGCTGAATAATACTCCACCGCATGTATAGATCACATTTTTCTTTACCCGTTCTTCCATCAATAGACACTTAGGTCATTCCCACGTCTTGGCTATCGTGAGTAATGCTGCAATGAACGTGTGGATGCAGATATCTCTTCAGGGTATTGACTTCTTTCTTTTCTTCTTTTTCTTTTCTTTTTTTTTTTTTTTTTTGAGACAGAGTCTCACTCTTGTTGCCCAGGCTAGAGTGCAATGGCGCGGTCTCAGCTCACTGCAACCTCTGCCTCCCGGGTTCCAATGATTCTCCTGCCTCAACCTCCCCAGTAGCTGGGACTAGAGGCACCCGCCACCATACCCAGCTAATTTTTGTATTTTTAGTAGAGATGGGGTTTCACCATGTTGGCCAGGCTGGTCTCTAACTCCTGACCTCAGGTGATTCGCCCACCTCAGTCTCCCAAAGTGCTGGGATTACAGGCATGAGCCACTGTGCCCAGCCCAAGGTATTGATTTCATTTTGTTTGGGTGTATACACAGAAGAGGGATTGCTGGAGCGTATGATAGTTCTATTTTTAATTTTGGAGTAACCTCCATACTATTTTCCAAAATGACTGTACTAATTTACACTCCCACCAACAGTGTACGTGTTCCCTTTTCGCTACACTCTTGCCAACAGTTACCTCTTGTCTTTTTGATAATAGCCATACAAACAAGTGGGAGGTGATACAGAGATGGTCTTACTCAAGACAAAACCTATACCTAGCAATTTTGGTTACTTAGAAAATCATCTTAATGGACACACACTGTTAGTGTTTTTGCTTGTCAGCTTTAGATCTTAGCTCCCTTCCGGGACAACAGGAAAAATTCCATTGTATTTCTTGTTATACTGCCTTCTATCTGCCTCAGTAATATGAAAAGGGACTTTGTTTTGTTTGCAAAAAGTAACAATTTGTTGAGTATGATTAGGTCAACAGAGGGAGTGGTTAATTCCCCATTTGTACCCAAGCTGAAAGACTGTTTGGACCCATGGGAGAGGTGTTTGAGTGCCAAATTGAGGAGCCTCTATGTGATCACATCTCTGGATGCAAGCATGCTTGTTTGGAGCCCAGGGGACATTGTCTTAGGAAGTGGGACAGAAAACTGGGGAGAGAGTCCTTCCCTCTAACTGCTCTGCAGACAACAGTATAGCTCCAAGACTGTGAAGGCTCAGGGTGACAGAACAGCATCCTCACAGGAAGCCTCCACAGGACAGCAGTGATGCTTTTGATAAGAAGGCTAGAGCAAAAAATCGCCAACAGTATTGTTTCATTATTAGGGTGCTCTTTGGGGGTGCAGGACAGAGGCCCTATAGGCAAGTAGGACAAAGTTATATACGTGGAGTATTAACACCTACATGACTGCATTTATATTCAAAGTCTGTGGCTTTCACACTTTTATGCCATACTCTCCTATGTGTCACAAACAAAGAAAGGCTTATTTGATCTTCCCGCATGGTTCAATTTTACTCAGGGTCCAAAAGTGAACTAAATCATGGCCATTGCTCTGTTCTTGCCTTCAGATGAGCAAACTATCTTGCAGGCAATAAGCAATGTACAAAAAAGATGTGGTCTGTGGTACCGAAATTTTAGCATCCTTAGTGTGTGTACTTGGGTTTCTAAACTCAATACATCCTGGCCCTGAGTTTAAAAGTACAAACTAGGGATACTTTTACTCAAGGTGTCTCAGAGTGGTGGAAATTTTCTAAGACAACATGTTTTCTTGATTATAGCATAAGAGGTCTTAGAAGATAACTCAAAAACAGCGGCTGCCCGTAGTACATTAAGTGAATGGAAACTAGGGGGCCATGCTGCCTCCCTGATATGCAAAGGGACTTTGTGTCACTGGTAAAAAAAAAAAAAAAAAATCACCTAAAACCAAAAATGATGTGCTGCTGGTAAATGCTTTACAACCAGCTTTCTGGAAAATATAAAGTTCTGACTCATGGCATTTGTCTATTTCTGTGATGTACATACTCTTACCGTGGCCAATTTTTTTCCCTCTATTTTTCTGTATTTTATTTTCTAATTTTTATTATTTTTTAAAATTTTATTTTAAGTTCTGGGATACATGTGCAGGACGTGCAAGTTTGTTACATAGGTAAACAGGTGCTGTGGTGGTTTGCTGCCCCTATCAACCCATCACCTAGGTATTAAGCCTCACATGCATTAGCTATTTATCCTGGTGCTCTCCCTTCCCCAGCCTCCTACCCCGACAGGCCTGAACAGTGTGTGTTGTTCCCCTCCCAGTGTCCATGTGGATTATGGCCAATTTCAAACCACCAAAATGAGGTTGTTGAATGTGGACCTGGGAAAGATGAGCCCCATGGCCCTCACTGGCATCAGTATGCCCCTGGACCTGCCCAGCTGCCTGTCAACAGAGCCCAGGCCACTGTGCCTGGGATTTGTGACATGAAATGTTTTATTATGGCCAGAGGGAAGCTTTTGAGCTATGTTGATGCCCAATAGCTCTAATAACAAGCTGCTAAAATGGGTAATTTTGATGCAAGTATTGGGGGACTTCCTGACCAGCCTATTGTCTCATTATTTTAATTGTTGTCCCTGTTTGTAGAGGAGACAAATGGCTCCAGTGATCTGTACTCCAGATAAGTGGTGCTACCAGGACCTTTGCCCTGGGCTTGAGGTACTTAAGATGGCTCTGTGGACCCAGGTTTTCAGGGCAGAAGGAGAAACTGGACCTCTATGGACTTGAAGCAAGTTGGCTAAGAGCTCACTCCTCTCGTCCTCTGCATGACTGACTCTGGCAGCCTCCAGAGATAGACATGCATGACTCAAGCCAGCTCCCTTGATTAAAAGTCCAGTGCTTTTTGCATCACACTGGAATGTGGAGCCCCCAAACACTTACACCTGCAGCATGTATTACCAAGAGGCAAATGTCACTTTTTAAAGCAAAACATCCTTGCCTACTACGGCATGGCTTTCATTATAAATTCCACATCAGCCAGCAGCAATGCTGACCTTTTGCTGCTGCTCAGAGAGAGGCACTGCCCCAGTTTATCCTCTAACTCAGCCCAATCTCTGTGTTCTGTCCTTAATAGCTGTTAGAAATACCCCTGTCTTTTCACTTTCAAGCTACCACCTCTGGGGTAGCACTCGTCCTCACCTCTCCTCGACTGGTTGATGACAGAGCTTTTTGCCCAACTGGTGATACCACTGTGACATATGTTCTTCTCTGCAAGAGCACCCTTGTCTTCAAGCATGCCAAGATTTTCACCAGAATCAAGAGACCTAGATTTAACAGCTCATTCTTCTTAAACTGACCATTTAAATTTTGAGTTCCAAATGTTCTCATCTATAAAAAGGGATATGCAGGGATATTACAAGAAGTTAAGGTATGCGAAAGTGCTTAATAAAATGTGAAATGATTTTCAAATTTAAGGTAGTTTTCTATCTCATCATTGCTCCGCTTATGCATTTCCATTAACTTTTATTCTGGAGTCGACTTCCTCAAAGCCACATGAGTTGACCAGCTTTGCTTTGGAAGGCCAAGTCTCACGGGGATGTCCACTCATTCATCGTGATGGCACCAGTGACGACTCTCGAACTTAGGTATGATTCCTAATACAGGGCACATATGGGAGATGATGTGATGCAATGATTATTACTGCTCCTTCTTACCATAAATTGGAAGTGATTCTGTTCTTTCAAGCCTTGTTGGCTTTTAAAATGTTTAATTTGAGGTTAGAAACAGTTTCGTTTTGTCAGAAAGTGATTAATCATAGGCATAATCAGGGAAACAGAGTGTGCTTTTCAGTTTCTACTTTCTGCTCGCCTCTGTAAGGTCAAGCATTTCTTACCTTGTTGGTGTGGGAAGAATCGATGAGGGAAAAAAATTGCCTGAGACCACTGAAATTCAAAGGAAAGCCAAAAGAACAGACCTTCAAGAGGGCTCTGTTCTAAGTACAAAGAGAGGAAAGAGATATGAGTTAAAACCACAGCTCTGCCACTTGTTTATACGTTATTAACCTCTCTGAATTTCTTCCAACTTAAGTTGGAGTTAATTCATAATGCACATTTAGCTGCCCAGCATTCAAAACTTCCTGTTTTGGAGAAATCTTGTGTAAATCTTGAGGGACAATGAGGCCCCATTTCCACTATGAAATCTGAAAAGGCCCCTGGCAGCCAGTACACAAGACCCAGGATGGCCAGCTTCGTGTTCTCACTCAAAACTGAATCTTGAGTGATGAAAGTCTATGTCTTCACTGGATTGCCCCTGTGGCATGATCTTGGCATGGTTCCTTGCTGCCCAGCTCCCCCTGGTTTCCTCAGTCCTTCAGCCTTGCCAGGGATTTCATGAGCTGT
The DNA here is from genome assembly GCF_000001405.40 of Homo sapiens. Classification (NCBI taxonomy): domain Eukaryota; kingdom Metazoa; phylum Chordata; class Mammalia; order Primates; family Hominidae; genus Homo; species Homo sapiens. The sequence goes on along the minus strand of NC_000004.12, from coordinate 77,592,643 downwards.
CCAATGTCCTTTCAATTATTTATTTAATTAATTTCATTATATATTGACAAACTATAATTGTATAGAATTATGGGGCACACAATGATATTATGATATATATAGTGGAATAATTGTATCAAGCTAGTTAATATATCCATCATGTCAAATATTTACCATTTAGTCCTCCTGTTAAACTGAAACTTTGTACCCTTTCACCAATATCTCCCCATTCCCCTTCCCCCAACCCCTGACAACCACCATTCCACTCTCTACTTCTGTGATTTCAATGTTTTCTTAGATTCCACATGTAAGTGAGAACATGTATTTGTCTTTCTATGCCTGGCTTATTTCACTTAGCATAACTAAGTGTATCCATGTTGTTGCAAATCATAGGATTTTCTTCTTTTTAAGGCTGAATAGTACTCTATTGTGTATAAGCACCACATATTCTTTATTCATTTATCTGCTGATGTACACTTAGATTATTTCCATATCTTGGCCATTGTGAATAAAACTACAATAAACATGGGGGTGCAGATATCTCTTTGACATACTGACTTCAAATCCTTTGGATAAATATCCAGAAGTGGGATTGCTGGATCATGTGATAATGATCCAATTATTTCTTTTCTGATCAAGGTGGCCAGAAATGTTTTTGGTGTTGCTTCTTTGTCACTGACAACCTAGAACTCTGTAGACAGACATTATTCCCTTTTTACAGATAAGAACATTTGGAGCTCAGAGTTTAAGTGATCAATTAAAGAAGTTAAAGAAGAATAAGTTCTCAAATCTAGATGTCCTGATGCCAAAGTCTGTCATTCAGTGGATGTTAGTTGCACAGTGACTGTGCACAGGCACTTGCTGGCAGCAGGGCCACAGTGGTGAATGGCGTGGATATGAAGCTGGGGCAGGGCTGTGCCAAGTGTGGCCTGGGTCCTGTTGGCTGATCAGGGTCATTTGGGGCACTTGTACACATGTGGATTCCAGAGTCCAAATTACAGAATCAAAATTTCTGGGGATTGGACTAGAGAAGCTGTGTCTGTTTAATTCACTTCCCAGGTGATTATGATAGTTGCTAAAATTTGAGAAACTTTTTTTTTTTTTTTTTTTTTTTGAGATGGAGTCTTGCTCTGTCATCCAGACTGGAGTGCAGTGGCGTGATCTTGGCTCACTGCAAGCTCCGCCTCCCGAGTTCAGGCCATTCTCCTGCCTCAGCCTCCCGAGTAGCTGGGACTACTGGTGCCTGCCACCACGCCTGGCTAATTTTTTGTATTTTTTAGTAGAAACGGGGTTTCACCTTGTTAGCCAGGATGGTCTCAATCTCCTAACCTTGTGATCCACCCACTTGGCCTCCCAAGGTGCTGGGATTACAGGCGTGAGCCACTGCGCCCGGCTGAGAAACATTTTTAATATGGTGACACCAGCCATAATTAGTATGTGTATATAGTAGGAATGTATATATATCTAAATAATAATAGTATAACAATAATGATAGTATAATATAATAGTACAGTATATGTAATAAATGGTACGCCCAGGCGGGTAGATCACTTGAGGTTAGAGTTTGAGACCAGCCTAGCCAACGTGGCAAAACCCTGTCTCTACTAAAAATACAAAAATTATCTGGGTGTGGAGTGCATGCCTGTAATCCCAGCTACTTAGGAGGCTGAGGCACAAGAATCACTTGAACCCAGGAGGCAGACCTTGCAGTGAGCCAAGGTAACACTACTGCATTCCAGACTGGGTGACAGAGTGAGACTCCATCTCAATAAATAAACAAATAAATAGTATGAGACAGGTAACATTTCTTATTAATAAACTTTGCATGGCATAAAATAGCATTTAACATGCCCATTCTGGTCACAAAATAAAAATACTGGCCCTGTACTGGGGCCTGGAGCAAAGAACTACACATGTGCCAAACCCATTTGAATTTATAAGACTATTGTAATCCTGCTCACAGAATGAGTGTGTGACATCTCCACAGGAGAGCGAATAATTCATGGGCTACTGTCATGCCAATGGACATTGTGTTGACTATTCGGTTTTCTATACAGGAGCAGAAAAAGAAGGAATGGCCATGTGACTTATGTCCATGGAAAACCTGTTCTTGAGCGTTTTTCCAGGTAAGTTTATGATTCATATTTTGATACTGTGTTTCACTTTACTGAATTATGCCACATGCAATTCTGTTGAAAATCATTTATTTTAAAAAAGAAATAATACTTGCATTAGCTGAAAGAACTGGAATATCAAACTTCCTGTAAACTGCCTCTGTGAATCCCCCACAGCTGTCAGCTTCTTTGAAGTAGGATGGTGACTTTTGACCTTGGCTCACTTATTACGCTGCTGGGAAGAGAAAGACTTTTACCTTAGGCTGCTTTTTCCTCCTATGGAAACTGGTTTCTAAAGACAGAAGAGACATTCCCTAAAATGACATTTCTGACATGTGTGGTAGGTGGTTAGCAATTTATATATAAATTTAGGATATTATCCTCTTCTGAATTAAAAATATATCTTACCTTTTCCCGGAGCCACGCAGTACAAACGTCTCTGACTACCTTGGAACTCCTCTACATATTCCAAGAGGCTGTAATCCTATGTTAATAAAAATGATCAATAGGCTTCAATCATCAATATTTATAGAGCATTTACCTGGGCCACGTACTTGCGGCATATGGGAGATGCGAATATGGGGAATGTATATGTAGGTGTTTGGGATAATTAAAAAAGGAGAGAAAAGTGGAATTACTATTCTGATGGTAACACAGGCAGTGTTTCAGTGTGTTGTCTGTTGAATGGAATGAACCTCTTCCTAATTTCCTCTGTCTAATTGATGCGAAAGAAGCACTAGACAGCTTGGGCCAGTTGAAAACATGAGTATCTGTCAATGTCCATGTCTCCAGAAAAGCATATAATATCTCTCAAACACTTAACAAATGCCAACTCTGTGTCAAGCACTTGGTGTTCAGCCCTGAGGTCAGAAAGTAGAACTTTGGTAGATAGTAGTCCCCCCACCTTATTCGTGGGGTGTATGTTCCAAGACTCCTAATGGATGTCTAAAACTGGGGATAATACAGAACCCTATATGTACTAGGTTTTTTTTTTCTGATACATACATACCTGCCTACAATAAAGTTTAATGTATAAATTAGGCACGGTAAGAGATTAATAGTAACAAAACAGAACAATTATAACAATATGCCAGCATCACTACTCTTGAGCTTTATGGCCATTTTTAAGTAAAGTAAGGGTGACTTGAACACAAGCACTGTGATACCGAGACAGTAGCTCTAATAACCAAGAAGGCTACTAAGTGACAAAGGGCTGGATACATAGATGGTGTGGATGTGCTGGACAAAGGGATGATTAGTGTCCCAGATGGGATGAAGCAGGATGGCATGAGATTTTACCACACAACTTAGAACAGTGCACAATTTAAAACTTATGAATTATTTCTGTAATTTTCCTTTTAATAATTTCAGACTGTGATTGGCTGTGGATAACAAACTGCGGAATGCGAAACTGTTGATAAGGGTGGACTACTGTAACTCTGGACAATTTCCTCAACTCTGCCCAATATCAAAGGAAGGCTCTTGTAAGCATTTCTATAAATTGCAAAAGGTATATGTTCTATAAGCCTTTCCAACCACATCGGCCTAAAATAGAAATCTAGACAGAGTGAAAATAGAAGTGGCTAAGAGGAAACTGCTTCAACCATGGGGGTAATTTTCATTTCTGGTAGTCATAAAAGGAAATTTTCTATCCTAGTCTTCCTGAGTTTGATTCACCTCCATTACTACATGTAGTGGTTTTAATAGTAGTGAGCAGTGATTGCTATGGGAGAGTTCAGCTTTGTTCTCGTTTATCTATGCTTGAGAAGGGAGGGTTGGAAGTGGTCAGAGCCCAAGAAATTAATCCAGGAAAAGAACCAGAGAAAGAGGATCTGTGAGATGGATCAAGAGAATGAAGATAGAGCCAGATTCATGTCTCAGGCTAGAGAGAACTGAGTATCCAAAAGACAGAATATTAGCTAGGTAGGTAGTTGTGGAGAGAAGCTCCACTGTTGACAAATACACATGCCAAGGACAAATAAGAAAAAATTACATATTTAAAAATAATTCTTCTGCTGTGCTCTCTTAGCAGGCTCCAAGCATTGTCAGTGATGTGCTACAAAGAGGAACAACTAAGCTGACACAGATATGAAGGCAGCAATGACACTGAACTGCCAGAATAGTGATCCTCAAAGGTGGACAGGTGTCACACCTGAATCCCTGGGGGTCAGGACCAATCAACTTCCCCGCCTACCCCAACCGTGGCCACTCTTTCTAGTCATAGTTTATCTTATGCCTCAGGGGCAGTAATGGGGTTAAGAAATGGTAGAAAGTATGTACCCAAATTCTCAATCACATTTGATTGTTCACTAGAACTTTTTCTAAGAAGACTAAATGGTGAGAACGGGGGGATGGCCCTCCAGGAAAATTCAGGTAGGTGTCATAATATTTAATGAAAGAGGCATTTCCTTTTTTAATCCTTTGTAGGGTCAGAAAAGAAAAAAATTCAAGATATGCAAAGGAAGCCAGATCAAAATCCCCTTGGCCATGGATACTGGTGCCCTACATCAGCACCCTTCAAGAGTGTGGATGAGGCTGAGTAGGTGGGAACCTGCATCCCTTGAAAGAAGCAGGCAAGGACAGGGTAGTGACAAGTGCTGGTCACTTGTGAGGGCTGCCTCCCCATCCAGTTCCCTCTGCAGCCAGGAGCAGGAGTTGTTTCTGGCTCAAGCCAGCCCCCATGGCCGCCATTCCCTTATATGACCCTGCTTCGCAGGGTAACGTACCAGACAGTTTCACGCTCGTTATCCTTGCAACGGATTACTCGGTGAGGAGCATCAGAGAACTGAAAAGACAGACTGACTTCGACTTGAATCCTGGCTCTTCCTCTTACTAGTTTCATGGCCTTGGGTATGTTACTTGTTTTCCTGGAGCTTTGTTTTAATAATCTTTGAAATGGTAGTCAATGGAGAATTAAATGAGATAAAACAGGTAAAATATTTGGTACTGTACCTGGCATACAGTGGAAGTTGAATCATGATGAATATCAGTTTTTGTGAAGGATCCAATTAAGCAATTCTGTCTCTCCCTCCTATGAGCCACCATTGTACCAAGTACCACCTCCAGTATTGTATCTACCCCTAAGGATCACCATTGTTTATTTTTGCACGTGTCTCCTTAGCTGGACTGTGAGCTTCCTGCAGAAAGAGAGCAAACCTTACAGCTTCGTATTCCTTAAACTGTAACCAGCACATAGTATATAACCAGTGAAAGTTCGTCATATCCCCCTGGCTCCTCTGCTGACTGAATGCACAAGTGAATGAACAAAGGGGATGGTGGTGGGGAGAAATGAAACTAGAGATCTTCAGTTAACCAAAGGGAATGTTCCAACAGAGCCCACTTTTCTTGTTTTGACTGGTTCGGCAAGTAAGACATCAGACTTACCGGATATTGTTCAGAGCACTGTTGACTAACTTGTTGACAAGGGATGTCTGGGCTGCATTATAGCCAGACAGGGAAGGCTGTTCAAGTTTCAATACTAGGTTCCTGAGTTAGGAGTGACTAAGCAGCAGCCGCCCCATACTGCCAAGCTACCGTGTGGTTTCACACCATCTGTCACTTGCTGAAGAGGACGGAGTCCCCCCTAGAACTTCCCTTATTTCACTACCACCTACTGCAGCTGGGTCTGCAGTTTGTAGGCAGGAGATGTGGGGGTCAAACTATACTTCATTTGTGCCCAATTTTCAATTGCTATCTAGACTCTTTTCCTCTCTGGACTTTAACCTTTGCTATAAAATTTCCCTAGAGCTTCAAAATTGTACCCCGAAGTGCCCCTGACTAACATCAAGCATATATGAAGATAATGTCTCAGTACTCTATTTACAGATGGAAAAATGAGTTATTCCACTGAAGCCAGGAAAATCCATGCTGGCACCCTAGCAGTCCATCAGAAAGTCGTTATTTCTCCACTGTCAGAGATCCTGTCCTGAATATGCAGCCTAGCACAGCATGTTATGGAGGTAATACCCATGTCCTTTGCCCAAGGCGCTTGCTCTTACTTGTCCTCGTGGGCACAGTGGAATTCTAAATCATCGATGCATACTGCCTGTTTTGTTAGGTCCCTTTAAGTTCATATTCAGCTGACCTGGCAAGAGATATGCAGTAAACTTTGCTCAAAAACGTTAGGACCGGAGATATAGCAAACTTCAGCAAAGATGGAAAGAACCATCCTGCCAACATACCGATTTTAAGAACAGCACTCTCTCACCAAATTCAATTATCTTGTTACTCAAAAATATTTTTTACATGTGATTTCATTGTGTCCCTTTGAGAACAGGGAGAACAAGTAGCTTATCTAGGATGGCATTGGTCCAGGCCTCTTATTCACAAAATATGTCAAATTTAGACTTTCACCTTAACTTCAAACGAGGTTATGCATATGGTCACTGAGATTCAGGATAAATGTGAAAAGGACTTTTTTCTCATGCAACTATACAATTACCCCATTATAAAACTGCACAGCCTGAATTAATTTTTACAAGTCATCACACAATTATGTTGCATTGTTTATAGTGTTTCACAAGTGTTAATTTATTAAATGTAAACACTCAAAATATACTATATTTTTGCAAGCCTGTTTTGACAGTTCCTCAATCAATGTACTGGGGCTCAACCTCTGGGAAGTGCTAGGTCTGAATTATCTTTGTGATGGTAAATTCCAAGTCCACAGGAGAACCAGCAAGTGTAGATTTCATCCCTCATGATGAGGCCTGCCGCGTGCCCTATGGAAGCAGAAAGATGATCACTCAGCTGCTTTGGGGCCTATTATAGCTTCTCAAATATTTTGAAGTACCCAAAGCATAGATAACCAGGTGTTTTACCACAAAAGTCTAGTTCTAAGAAAATATTCTTCAAGAGACTATGGTGACCTATCATTAGTCATTGATTAGGTTTAAAAAGCCATCACTTTAGTGTCCACTGGGTGACACAGCGTCTCTCTGAGACTGGTGTAGGAAAGGAAAGGAGTGGCAGCTCTGAAGCAAGCACAGAGCTAACGGCAGCTTTCACCCATCAGCAGGTCAAAGGCTTTGTTACCCAGACTGCTAGTTCTCGTTTTTGTGCATGTTATGAGAAAGACTCACACGATGTGGCTGAGGACGTTTAGGAATCAGTAGTGCAGCTTTCTGGACAGTAAATGGCAGCCAATGACATCAGCCGCAACCTGCTCTGCAGACCTTGAGATTTAATCATGATTTAAATAAACATCGTTTGCAATAATTTTTCATTAAATTAAAATTCCTGATTCACATTAACCAAGTCCCCCTGCTCCTGTGCATCCATACCTGAAGAGAGGTTTTAAATAACCAGAATGCTAAGATCAAGATTTTTATTGAATAAAGAAGCCTTTCTCCCAATTTTTAAAGCCAGGTTTCAGAAAACAGCTTTGATAAAGCCTGTTTCCAGTGGCCTGATGGGATTCCAGGATGCAGTCATGCTGTAAGATGGTGGCCAGACGTGTGTGATTTGGAGCTCTACTTCAGGAAAGCTTGCAAGTAGTCATGAGCTCATGGCAACATGATGTGCTCAGCCAGCCATGAGCACACTTCATTTGAAGTCTTTAAAGAAGAAAAAATCTTTAGAGCATATATTGGGCTCTAGACAAGTGTAAGTCATATTTGTCATGAAAGTGGCCTTAGGGTTGGGGTAATTGAATCTTATATTCTTGGATTGTGATGCCTAGTATTTCTCCTTCCTTTTGCCATTAGTGAAAAAAACCTAGAGGAGAAAAAGCAGATTGGCATTCCCAACTTTTCTCCCAGCACTCGCCTGAGGGGCAGAAGCCCTTGACTGGACTTTCCAGCTTTTTTCCAGGCAATTTCTTCCTGACCCCAGCTTTCCCAAACAGTCAAGGCACTGGATCTTCTGGGCTGATCATCATGCTCCTTCTCCCAACTCAGCTCACTCCTCAGCATTTCCTGTGCCCTAGAAACTCAAATTCAGCCATGGCTTCTATCCAGTGTCTCCAAACTGTTAAAAATGTCTCTTCTAAGGAGAACTCAGATTTTTAGAAGACTTTGAAACAATCTAATTTTACTTTCTGTCAAATGTTGAGATTATTTTCATTTCTGGTAGCAGCTGAGGAAAGAGTGTTACTTTTTGTATTTTTTGCATATTAGAACAACATCAATGAAATATTTTACCTGAATGATCTTCTTCCCTGTTCTCAACCCACATGAGTCCCATCAACTGTCTAATGAAGACAAGGCATGCTGATGGACTTAGGGCATGTTGGGGGAATGGTGAATAGACCAAGGCAATAAGAACAGAACTGTGATGTGAGAGGAGTTGGGAAGGTGCGTGCTCATCAGTGGTTGGGATACAAATCTTGAATAGCCATCTATTGTGGCCACCATAGTCTTTGAGGAATGATATTTAAAGACTATCTAGGCCATGGAATCATGTTATTGGTCTGTGCTTTGGCCCTACACTTGAATGCAATGTCCTAAATCAATGGCATGGAATGGACCTCCACCATAGACTCCTGTTGCCCCTTCATTTTTGAGAACAATCTCAGTGGCATCCTTAGCCCATTTCCACTGGGTCTTACCTTGCCTGTCTGCCACTTTCTTAGTTTTAAAGGGAAGTAAGTGGGATTTAGAGGGAAAGAGTGTCCCATGTAGTTCCCTGCATGGGCTCACTGAAATCCCAAACAGCAACAAACAACAAAACAAACAAAGAAAACAAAGCAAATAATAACAAACTCACCTAGCCCATGAAGAGTACCTTATAGATCGATGGTTATCCTTCATTGCTAACAGGTGCCACTTATAACGGCCTAGAAAGGACCTTGATGGAGATAAGCACCTAGAGCTTTCTCTGCCAGTCAGAGGACCCGGTCAATGCAAATAAGAATTTGTGTGCTGTTTCATTGGTGAAGTGACAACAAAGCCCCATAGCCATTTGTATTCTTATTGCAGCTGCCTCTGGGATCAAGGGAAAGGAGAACTCAGTACCCTGAGGTGCACAAAAGGCACTGCACAAGAAGGCCCACATTGACGTGCAGAAGGAAGTGAAGAGGAAGGAGTGATACATTCTGAAATGGTTGAAGAGTATGTTCAGGAAAATTGTTCTCCAACCCTTACTCTCCTTTCTTTCCTTCTCTATTGGAGGCAGTGGCTTACACAGTGGTCATGCTTGAGTCTGGCTTTCAAAACATGAGAGTGGCAGGAGTAAGGGAGCAAGAAGAGAACTGTGTTGGGAGATGAAGGATGGAAGGCATCACTCAGGGATTTTGCATCCCTACCAAGCTGCATACCTTGGCTATATTGATCCCTGTTTCATTCCCATGGAAAGAGGTTGGGCCTAAATTTATTCAAGTGGTCCAGATGGACAAAAAATAAGCCCTAAGAGCAATTTCTAGCCCAGGGATTAAAGTAGAAGCTTTCCCAATGGCCACCTTAATCTAACTGTGGTTCTTCCTTGGCTCTCTGACCTAAGGAAGAGCTGAGGAGGGCACATGTCACAGTTAGATTATTCAGTTTGTCTAGAAGGAAGCATTTCAAGGCTTTGTTGCTTACATTAAAAGCTTCAACCCCAGTAACAGCATGACTATTATAATGGCATCTTCAGCCATGACCTAGTTATGAGTACCTTCTTCTTGAATTTGGAGGGAATGGAGGAAAGCCTTGAAATTTTCTGAGTTTGGTTGGTGTTCCAAAAGTCCACATTCCTTCTGTTGATTTCATTGTCTACATATGTTGGAATCTGGTAACAACCACCAACTCTTACCTACCCTCTGTCAATAACTTACTAATTAGAATCCCTGTCTCTTCCCTGGCCCCCTGCACCAATTCTTCATATTGCAGCAGAAGCATTTTTAAAAAATATGTTGAAGTAATCATGTTATCTCCCTTGCTTTTAACTTTCCATGTCTTACTATTGGCTTTAGGATAACAAACCTCTTACCATGACCTGCAAGATCCCGTCTGATTTATCTAGACTCATCTTTCACCACTCTCCCCTTCTGTATTCTCTTAGTTCCTACGTCAAGCTTCCCCCACGCTGGTTTTATTTTTCTGCCTGGAATTTACTCTCTTGCCCTTGCTCTTGCTCTCTCTCTCCTCACTTTCTATGAGAAGAAAAGCAAAGGATGAGTAGAAATGAACTGGACAAACATAAATTCCCCAGGAATGTCTCCCCTGATCCCACTGCCTACCCGATCTAGGTCACCTTCCTTTGTTATTGCATGGTCTCTTAAGAATCATACTGTCTCTCTTGGAGTGCTGCCCAGTTAGTAATTATATATTCATCCAATATGCCACCAGACTATAGACTCCATGAGGACAGAGGCTTTGTTTGTCCACAGGGCCCAGCTTTATTGAATGAGTGGGTCAGCTCCAATGTATAGAGGGAGGGGGTATTCATCCTTGAGGGAGATCTACAAAAGATCAGAAGAGCTCTGTCTGGGAAAAACAAGAGAAAATCCACTTTCCACCGACTTTTTAAATTTTTATATTAGGAGAATAGAATGATGTTTTTTTTCTTTCCATTTTTTTCTATGTTTTCCAGGCCGAAAAAAGGCAAAGCATTGAGGAAAGTGAGAACTGAGGAAAAGGGCACTGGATTTGATGACTCACTACTCTCCTTTAGTGAACTTTAATAGAAGAGTTTCAGTAGAGTAATAGAAACCAAAATTGCAACCAGTTCAACGAGTAGGAGGCAAAGAAATGCCAGTGAACATAGATTATGCTTGAAATGAATGCAAGAGATGAGACAGCTGACTTCAGAAAGCAGCGGATTCAACAGAAGATTGTTTAATTGGCTGACAATTTTTATGATAAGAAAGACCAGAAAAGGTCTATAGGCTAATGGGGGAGAGGATAGTGGGAAAAGATTGTAGAGGTTTGGGAGGTTTTTGTCCTCAGATAGGAGGAAAGAGAGAAGGTACATGGCACCTAATACATACTCAATACGTATTTGTTGAATTAAAAAGGATCTAGTTTGGAGGATGCTAACTCTTATGGGGAGTAATAGTATAATAATTAAGTCAAATCTTAGCAAGAGGTGGTTCCTGGAAGAACTCAGGTCTCATTTGAAGGGATCCCAAGATCCCTTGAGCCAGGCACTTCTCCCCATGCAGGAATATAGAGCCATTGATACCAGAGATTCTGATGGCAAAAAGCTGGATTTTTGTGGGAGATTTCTTTATTTTTAAACTTTGACAACTGTTTTAAACAACGTTAATCCAACAAAATAGCCAATATTCAGTCAATTGGCAACCACTTGGTAACTTGTATTTTAGCACATATTTCTCTAGATCATACTTGCTTGAATGGCATTTAACAGTTTTATTGATATATAATTTACAAATACAATTCACCCATTTAAAGTGTACAATTCAACTGCTTTTAGAAATTTCCAGATATGTGTAACCATCACCACAGAGCATTTAAAAAATTTTCATCACCTCAAAAAGAAACCTGGGGGTTCTTTAGCTATCACTCCCCTATTTCCTCACTCCCCCAACCCCAAGCAACCACTAACCTACGTTCTCTATACATTTGCTTATTCTGTATTTTATTTGAATGAAATTGTGTAAAATGTAGTCTTCTGTGACTGGCATATTTCACTTAGGGGATAGGTTTTTTTTTGTTTTTGTTTTCAAGTAAAGAAGTGAGAATGTGAAAAATTTGGAGGGATTTTAATCTCAGTGAAAGGGAAGGCCAGGGGGTCTCATCACAGGAGAAGAGGAGAGGAAAAGGGAGAGGGGAAAGGAGGAGGGGAGGAGAAGAGAGGGAGAGGGGAGGGAAGGAGAAGGGGAGAGGAGGGCAGGAGAGGGGAAGGAGGGAGAGGAGGGGAGGGGAAGACAGGGGAGGAGAGGGGGAGGGGAGGGGAGGGGAGGAGAGGGTGTCTAGGCTAAAAACCATCCTCCAGAAATAAAGGAAAGGAAAAGCCAGAAATAAATCCTGAAGGCTTTATAAGAGCCCGGCTGGGCATGGTGGCTCACACCTGTAATCCCAGCACTTTGAGGGGCTGATGGAGGCGGATCATGAGGTCAAGAGATGGAAACCATCCAGGCTAACATGGTGAAACCCCGTCTCTACTAAAAATACAAAAATTAGCTGTGCGTGGTGGTGGGTGCCTGTAGTCCCAGCTACTTGGGAGGCTGAGGCAGAAGAATTGCTTGAACCCGGGAGGCAGAGGTTGCAGTGAGCCAAGATTGCACCACTGCACTCCAGCCTGGTGAAAGAGAGAGACTCCATCTCAAAAAAAAAAAAAAAAAAAAAAAAAAAAAAAAAAAAAGAAAGAAAACTTGTCTTTTTAAAAAATATATATTCTATATTCTTTATTTTAAAATTTATTTGTATAAAATTGTAGGTTTAAAAGTGAAATTTTGTTACATGCATAGATTGCATGGCAGTCAAGTCAGGGCTTTTAGTGTATCTATCACTCAAATAATGTAATTGTACCCATTAAATAATTTCTCACCATTCATCCCCTTCCCACTTTCTTGCCATTCCAAGTCAAGAGCCCTTAGTTTTAATAATCAACCTGCACCTGGCTGATAGTCAGCTGGTTTGTACAGTTTGGCTATATCAGTGGTTTACACAGCCAAGGTCTGATCTGACTCTCTGTGTCTATGCCTGGCCTGTGGTTAGGAATGATAAATATCACCCTGGATTGGCATAGCTATTTTTCAGGATGTTACCCTTGAGTAAGTCGTTGGTTCTAGTCACCAGCATTGCTCATAACAGGCAAAAAAGCAGAATAATCTAAGGCTCCCTGAGTGCTTAGCGCTAACACATTTGGGGTTATTTGCTTGTACTAAAGAGATTGATCTAAAACCTTCTCTGCAAAGAAGCAGAGCATTTTCAGGTAGCTGAGTACATCATTTTTAAAGGGGTAGCAGGTCTAATTTCTAGGGCTTGGCACTCATCAGAATTAAAAAAAATAAAAGGTCCTTAACAGCATGCCAGGGAGACACAACTTTGGAATTTTTAGTAAAACCACAGAGTAGAGGAGTGTCTGTAAAATATGCAGTATGAGTCAGACACATAGCTAATAGGGATTACTAGACTTCTGGGGACTCCAATAGCATAATACATTGAGAAAACCTTAACTTTCTAATTAGAATATAATTCAGTCTGGAGAGGGTCACTTCACAAAGTGTTGAGGCTGTAATTGAATTAAAGGACAACCTTTGGGAGGCAAACGGCCTGCATCCTTAGTGGGGTGAGCAACAGCAGCAACACTTCCTCATCAGGAAAATGGTCCTTATTCAGCTTTCCAAAATTCCACCCAGAGATTGACTCCTTAAGAGCCTCTGGGGGTTGGGGGGAAAGCAAGCATTTTGTTTGTATAAATTGACATTAGTTAGAATTGGATGAGTAGCTGAGGGCCAAAATGTGGGTGCCTTCAGTGAGACAGTGGGGCATTTCCCAACAAATGTCAGTTTGGAGACCATCCACAGCTGATGGCAGCTCTTCTCCACAATCCAGGCACTCAAGGCCCTATGGCCTCACTGCTCTGCCATCCTCAGAGTGTAGCCCTTGCAGTGGCTGGAGTTCCAGCCTCAAGTTCTCATTTGCTGGGGCAGGATCAAAGAAAAGATGATGAAGGAAGTTCAAAATGCACCTTCGGTCTCAGAAACTGCTATGCGACACTTCTGCTTACATCTTACTGGCCAGATGTAGTTATCAAGCCATATTCAGTTGCAGGAGAGGTTGGAAACCATCAGCTTTATTCTACATGATTCTATACCAGGTAAAATTTGGGGGTGTGATTATGCTGCAGAGACCAGAGAATAAGAATGCTGTTGCAGAATTTTTGCTCCTTAGTTCAGCTAAAACTGGGTTCTTGTCACACAACCAGGAAAGATTAGGCACATGGACACATTGAAGGGTGGGTAGGGTTGAACTTATTAGGAGAGAAAAAGAAAAAAGAAAAACTCTCAGTACAGTGAGAGGGTGTCCTGCTAACAGGCCCCCACCTCACAGATTGATTCCAGGCCACCACACATGACCTGAAGAGGTCAGACTCTTTCCCCCTACAGAAGGCATGAAATTCTCGTGGCTCCACCCCATTCTCCCAGTGCACAGGTGGCTCAGAGATTCTCCAGGGACCCTTCCCCTTATCTGCCTCCTGCATCTATCATTCCCTGCCTAAAGAAGTACACTTAACTGCTATTAGAACAAAGATAAGGATAAGAATGAAGGCTGATCTTAACTGCTTCCTGCTGACAGGGGGCGCTGTTTTGGGAAGGCAGAAGTCAGAGCTCCCTCAGAGGGCTATCTAAGGGTCCCTGGCAAACAGGGCCATCATCTGTGGCTCCAGTTGCATGACTGTTTGGAGTTTGATAGTCTAAAGGTGAGAATAGACAAACCAGGTTATTAGGAAACATATATCAAAATAAAACAAGGGGGGTGGATAAAGTCAGCTCAAGAATCCTGAGGCCTTTTACCAGTTTGCACAGGGAGAGGGAGGCCAAAATCCTGACTGGTAAAAAAGGACTTTTACCCTTTTGCCAGGATGTCAGTCTTCTGGGTTCCATTCCCCAGGCCCAATCCTAAGCCAACCAGTTTAAGGTTTGGGAAATTGAGTTTTCCCAGTTTGGAGGATGCATCTGAGGGGAGTGTCGCATAGTATGGAGACATGATTACCTATCAGTGAAGTGAGGACAGAGGAGGAAGAAGGAAAAAAGGAGGTTTTTTCAAAGGAGTCCCAGGGGTTCAGGATGCATCCGAAAGGGGTAAAGTCTGAAGGTGAATAGCTACTCATCTAGAAAGAAGGGAGCAGGTCTCCCTGGTTCCCTTCTCTTCCTAGCAAATACCCGAGGTACATGAGGGAGAGAAAGTGAGATATTCCTCTTTCTTTCTTCTGTTCTTATATCCCTGAGTCCCAGTGACCATTACAGGGTGCTTGCTACTCATGGGCATCAAAGTGGCTTTCACTCATATTAATGGAAAGGCCTAGGTGGTGGGAATATCCACTCTGACCCATGTACGTC
The DNA here is from genome assembly GCF_000001405.40 of Homo sapiens. Taxonomy (NCBI): domain Eukaryota; kingdom Metazoa; phylum Chordata; class Mammalia; order Primates; family Hominidae; genus Homo; species Homo sapiens. The sequence continues at coordinate 77,577,604 of NC_000004.12, read as the reverse complement.
CTACCTCCACTGCTGTCAATAGTATTTGCATTTCCTAGACCTCATTTATGCCATGGATACTAGCATGACCTTTATCCATGAAATGGGAAGCTTGGCTTAATTGGCAGGAATTAGTCACACTCACCTGCACTGTGCCTTTTAACTTCCATTATTGTCTGCCTCCGGACCCCTCAGATCTAGTTTTCTTTCTTAGGGCTTCAACTCAAAGCTTAGAATTGAGTTTGGGACCAAAAATGTGTCTTGGTGGGGGTTGGATGAACTCCTTATTATAATCCAAATGCTAAGGTGAAGCTATGGAATTGAGTTCTCCTCCAACAAGGCAGGTTAAAGGACAACCTGTGACACACCCAGATAACTGGTGGCTATGGTTAAGGAGGCTTGCTAAGATTTGGGTGCATGATGCTTGGCTTTGGTTAGCTTCCTTGCTCTTACCTCCCAAAAAGAAAACCTCCAGGTGATGGTCATCCTATTTTTTCCCATCACCTGGCAAGATTTGCAGGATAATTGCTCAGAATTAGAATATTGATCCAGATTTTTACATTACCCATAAAAGCTATCTATGCTTTTGTTCCTTCTGAGCTGCAGTCAGAGGTCACTGGATTGTTCACGGGAATAAGCAGGGTTAGTCTAAGATGTAGGCAAAAACTTTAAAACAACTAATGAGTCTGGAATTTAATGACAAATGTATGATAAGTTTGGAAACATAATTTCTCTCTCTCCAGTCCTCATTTCTGCTAAAAACAAATCATGATAGGACGGAGTTGTTTGCAAAATAGACTTTAGGCTTATAAGTCTTATACTTGGCCTGATTATTTGTGTACAGTGCAGCAAGAATAATTATTTTTACATAAGCCTTTTAGATTGACTTTGATGGAACTCTGTTTCACAAGGAATCTCAGATAGGACTTTTTAAAGCTGAGCCCATCCATGGGTTTTTGCCATCAAATACCTATGAGCTGGGTAATCCTCTCCTCTTAAGGTCCCAAGATAAACCTGGAGCTCCTGGACCTGTCAGAAAGTGACATTTTTCACTTACCACAGGTCAGGAACCCTGGACAAGGATGGTGTAAACAAGGTATGAGGCCAATTTTCCCAAGGGGCTTTTATCAGCTTTGCAAGAAAGTGGATTCTTGTTGCACTGATGCAAACAATTATATTGCCATAAGTTAAGAATACTTGCAAGTAGTTTCCAAATTCTGGAGAAGCCAGGCAGAGAGAGACAAATATGCCCCAAATTTTGGTCACAGGAGTATAACTTACTCAATTATTAAAGGCCATAAATAGCTCAAAATAAGTTTCCTTGACTCTGAAGAACAAAGCAAGGATCAGCAATGTTCCAAGCAAAAGCAAAAAACATTACTTCAGTTTTCTATTGGTTCAGTCCATCCAGTTAACTCTAGTTTTGCTTGATATTTGTAAACATTTCAGCTCTTCATGAGTCCTGTACATTTTTCCTTTATTCCAACGTCATAATCTCCAAAATTATCAGAAACCTGCATTTGAGAGTACCTGTCAAAGTTCTGTAGCTGATTATAAACCATCTTTTGCAGAGGATCAAAACAGTACAATTTTCTGTGAGTAGCAAAATGTCCAGGGTAGTTACAGCCAGTAACATAATTGACAAAGAAATTTGGTTATCTCTGTGGTTTACAATAACTTAACATAACAACCTTAATTGTGATCAATAGCATATACTCAGACATTAGAATTTTAGAAACCCCATACAATTTTGGAATATATGTTAATATTTTTCACTAAAATATAACCTAAAGAAAATTGAACATCATTTTGGCAATCCCATGTACCTAAACATGCCAGGTAATCCTGTTTACCTCTCTTCTGAATGCTCTAGGGGCCCTCTGTAGCATTAAAAAGCTAGGTGTCAGTAAAGCTAATTTTGAAACTGAAGTTTGATTCTGGGAAGCCTGTTAAATGTTGGAGGTTTACATGGAATACTATGCAGCCATAAAAAAAGATGCATTCATGTCCTTTGCAGGGACATGGATGAAGCAGGAAACCATCATTCTCAGCAAAATATCACATGGACAGAAAACCAAACACCACATGTTCTCACTCATAACTGGGAGTTGAACAATGAGAACACATGGACACAGGGAGGGGAACATCACACATCAGGGCCTGTTGAGGGGTAGGGGGCTGGGGGAGGGATAGCGTTAGGAGAACTACCTAATGTAAATGATGAGTTGATGGGTGCAGCAAATCAACATGGGATAGATACCTATGTAGCAAACCTGCATGTTGTGTACATGTAACCTAGAACTTAAAGTATTATAATAAAAAAATAAAAAAGTTGGAGGTTTAAAACACTTGATGTTATTAGATAGAATTCCGGATTTCCTTAAATTATTTACTTTGCCAAAATGATGACTCAGAAATTTTAAAAAAGCAAAAACATTTTATAACCCTTTACAAATTTTGCTTAAGAGCTGATTAGTGCCTTAAGAGTACCCTGTGTTTTTATTTCAATGCTTAATTTACAGGAAAACTATACAATAACCTTTTGAATTTAGTTAATATGTTCACACACAGAATTTCTTTTGCAAGCTAATTTTTACAATATTTTCACAACTTGTTTGAACTTTCAGCATTATCTTTTCTAATTCAAAACAACCCTTTAGCCCTAGGTAAATATTTACATTTTGACAACATCTACATTGCCAATAATCTTTAAGGCTGTTTTTATTTCTCAAAGATTAAAGTTACATGAACTTAAAGGGTACCACAGCTTTTATCTTCCCTTTAAAAAATATTTGATCCAAGCACTTATTCTTCTTTAAGTCCATTAATTAGAGCTCCTTGTTATAGACATCACACACACAACGGATATCTAACTACACAGACAGGCAGAAGAAAACCCAGTAGCCATCAGATTTTTCATTGCAAGAATGTTCCTCCAAGACTAGTGGCCAACCCAAAGCCAATCAGCTCATTCTATAATCAGCCCATCTCCATTTTCTGTCTTTTAGGTGCCCAATAGCACCTTTTTAAAAATTTAAATAAAAGAAGAAAGAAATATTGGCCTGTGGTAATAATGACTCACTGTAAGCAACTGCTATTAGCCATCCCTGAAAGTATATGTTCTACCTAGCTATTACACACCAAGGCTAAAAGTTGTCTCATAATGCAAAGTAATTTCTGATACCCCCAAAAGTCAAAAAGGTGAGGTAACATGATACAAAATATAGGACGGCCGTAGATTTTGAGACAGACCTGTCCACTTTCAATTACTGTGGTTCCATGAAGAAAACAGGTTTTCCCCAAAATGGGGTCTGTGGCACCTTCTCTGTTTATCCCAAGGAGTTCTAGGCTGTCAGAAATTATAATAGGTCCTCTCATGGGACATTGAAGGTGATAAGAAGACAGATTGGGGAAATAATCCAGTTGACTGAAAAGAAAAACAAACAAACAACAAAAAACAAGAGCCAAGAAGAGAAAAAGCATAAAACTTTTTATCCATTTTTAAGATGACTTTTAACCATACGCCTCTTAAAAAAATCCTTTTATATCTCTAATTACCAGACTCTAGCTAGGACAAACAGCCAACACCTCTGGCTTTTAAGCAAGCCCTTTGTTTTCCTCAAAGATATTTTTCTAATTGAAGCCAATAAGCCTTAAGGTTATGACTTAACCATGGATGCACAAGGTGTCTCTAAACAGATGGCACATGGTTTTCACAAGACCTAGAATCACCCCTAATGTCCCTCAAAGAAAAGAAAATTCAAGTCAGGAAATCAGAAGCTATCCATGGAGGGGAAAAGAATAAATAAATTGTAAAAGTCCCACAGGTATCAAACCAGAAAGAATTCATTCCCTAAGCCAGGAATTGAACCCAGGCCACCATCATGAAAAAGCAAAGCCTTAGCTACTGAGCTATAGCATGAAGTGAGTGCCATGTTGTTTTTCCTAAATCCGTATTTTAAACCATACTTTAAATAACATCTGAATTGGCCAATTTTTTTTAAAATAAAAGAATATCTTCTTTGGCATATTTTATATACAGAATTACAAATGAATTTTTAGTAACCTTAAATTTTAGTGAACTTAAGTCATGTGAACTTGAAAAATGCTTGGACTTCTTTAATTTTTGGGAACACTTATTTATAAGCCAATTTGGCACTCTGTAGATACAATATATGACATAATGTAAATACACATAAAACACATTTAGACATACACACACACACACACACACACACACACACACACACACACACACACACAAAAGACCCAATAGCTTTTTTTCTTGGAACTCTAGTCTTGAGATAGTAACACAAACTATTTCATAAAATATAAGTGGATTCAAATTATTTCTCTTAGAAAATTTCTTTTTTTTAAATTTAACTTTTATTTTAAGTTCAGAGGTACATGTGCAGGTTTGTTACATAGGTAAACTTGTGTCATAGGGGTTTGCTGTACAGATTATTTCAACATCCAGGTATTAAGTCTAGTACCCATTAGTTATTTTTCCTGATTGTCTTCCTTCTCCCACCCTCCATTCTCTGATAGGCACTAGTGTCGGTTGTTTCCCTCTACGTGTCCATGTGTTCTCATCATTTAGCTCCCACTTATAAGTGAGAACATGTGGTATTCAGTTTTTTTTTCCTGTGTTAGTTTGCTGAGGATAATGACCTCCAGCTTCATCCATGTTCCTGCAAAGGACATGTTCTCATTCTTTTTTATGGCTGCATAGTATTCCATGGTGTATATTTACCACATTTTCTTTATCCAATCTACCACTGATGAGCATTTAGGTTGATTCCCTACCTTTGCTATTGTGAATAGTGCTGCAATGAATATATGTGTGCATGTGTCTTTATAATAGAACAATTTATATTCCCTTTGGTATACACATAGTAATGAAATTGCTGGGTCAAATGGTATCTCTGTTTTTAAGTCTTTAAGGTATCACTTCACTGTCTTCCACAATGGTTGAACTAATTTATCCTAACAACACTTTATAAACATTCCTTTTTCTTTGCAACCTCACGAACATCTATTTTTTTTTGACTTCTTAATAATAGCCATTCTGACTGGTGTGAGATGCTATCTCATTGTGGTTTTGATTTGCAGTTCTCTAATGATCAGTGATGTTGAGCTTTTTTTCATACGATTGTTGACCACATGTATGTCTTCTTTTGAAAAGTGTCTGTTCATGTCCTTTGTCCACTATTTTTTTTCTTTTTGAGACAGGGTCTCACTCTGTCACCCAGGCTGGAGTGCAGTGGCAAAGTCTTGGCTCACTGCAACCTCCACCTCCCAGGTTCAAATGCTTCTCATGCCTCAGCTTCCTGAGTAGCTGGGATTACAGGCATGTGCCACCACTCCTGGCTAATTTTTACATTTTTAGGGGAGATGGAATTTCACCTTGTTGGCCAGACTGGTCTTGAACTCCTGACCTCAGGTGATCCACCCACCTCAGCCTCCCAAAGTGCTGGTGTGTCCGGAATTGGTGGGTTCTTGGTCTCACTGACTTCAAGAATGAAGCCGCGGACCCTCGCGGTGAGTGTTACAGCTCTTAATGTGGCGCGTCTGGAGTCTGTCCCTTCTGATGTTCAGATGTGTTCGGAGTTTCTTTCTTCTGGTGGGTTCGTGGTCTTGCTGGCTCAGGAGTGAAGCTGCAGACCTTCGCAGTGAGTGTTACAGCTCTTAAGGCAGCACATCTGGAGTTGTTCATTCCTCCTGGTGGGCTCGTGGGCTCGCAGGGCTCAGGAGTGAAGCTGCAGATCTTCGCGGTGAGTGTTACAGCTCATAAAAGCAGCGTGGACCCAAAGACTAAGCAGTAGCAAGATTTATTGCAAAGAGCAAAAGAACAAAGCTTCCACAGTGTGGAAGGGGACTGGAGCGGGTTGCCACTGCTGGCTCCGGCAGCCTGCTTTTATTCTCTTATCTGGCCCCACCCACATCCTGCTGATTGGTAGAGCCCAGTGGCTTGTTTTGTCGGGGCACTGATTGGTGCATTTACAATCCCTGAGCTAGATACAAAGGTTCTCCACGTCCCCATCAGATTAGTTAGATACACAGTTTCGACACACAGGTTCTCCAAGGCCCCACCAGAGCAGCTAGATACAGAGTGTCGATTGGTGCATTCACAAACCTTGAGCTAAACACAGGGTGCTGATTGGTGTGTTTACAAACCTTGAGCTAGATACAGAGTGCCGATTGGTGTATTTACAATCCCTGAGCTAGACATAAAGGTTCTCCACATCCCCACCAGAGCAGCTAGATACAGAGTGTCGATTGGTGCACTCACAAACCTTGAGCTAAACACAGGGTGCTGATTGGTGTATTTACAATCCCTGAGCTAGACATAAAGACTCTCCATGTCCCCACCAGAGCAGCTAGATACAGAGTGTTGACTGGCGCATTCACAAATCTTGAGCTAAACACAGGGTGCTGATTGGTGTGTTTACAATCCCTGAGCTAGATATAAAGACTCTCCGCATCCCCACCAGACTCAGGAGCCCAGCTGGCTTCACCCAGTGGATCCCACACCGGGGCTGCAGATGGAGCTGCCTGCCAGTCCCGCGCCATGCGCTCACACTCCTCAGGCCTTGGGTGGCCGATGGGACTGGGCACCGTGGAGCAGGGAGCGGCATTCGTCAGGGAGTCTCGGGCTGCACAGGAACCCACGGAGGCAGAGGAAGGCCCAGGCATGGCGGGCTGCAGTCCCGAGGCCTGCCCCATGGGAAGGCAGCTAAGGCCCGGTGAGAAATCGAGCGCAGCACCGGTGGGCTGGCACTGCTTGGGGATCCAGTACACCCTCTGCAGCTGCTGGCCCGGGTGCTAAGCCCCTCACTGCCCAGGGCCGGCAGGGCCGGCCGACCGCTCTGACTATAGGACCACCAAGCCCACGCCCACCCAGAACTCCAGCTGGCCCACAAGCGCTGCGCGCAGCCCCAGTTCCTGCTCGCGCCTCTCCCTCCACACCTCCCTGCAAACTGAGGGAGCCGGCTCTGGCCTTGGCCAGCCCAGAAAGGGGCTCCCACGGTGCAGCAGTGGGCTGAAGGGCTCCTCAAGTGCTGCCAAAGTGGGAACCCAGGCAGAGGAGGCGCCGAGAGCAAGTGAGGGCTCTGAGGACTGCCAGCATGCTGTCACCTCTCACTGGGATTACAGGCATGAGCCACCATGCCTAGCCCTTTGCCCACTTTTTAGTGGGATTGTTTGGTTTTTTTCTTGTAAGTTTATTATAGATGCTGGATATTAGACCTTTGTCAGAGGCATAGATTGCAAAAATTTTCTCCCATTATGTAGGCTGTCTGTTTACTCTGTTGATAGTTTCTTTTGCTGTGCTGAAGCTCTTTAGTTTAGTTAGATCCCACTTGTCAATTTTTGCTTTTGTTGCAATTGCTTTTGGCATCTTCAACATGAAATCCTTGTCCATTCCAGAATGGTATTGCTTGTATTTTCTTCCAGGTTTTTATAGCTTTGAGTTTTACATTGAAGTCTTTAATCCATGTTGAATTAGTTTTTTTATAAGGTGTAAGGAAGGGGTCCAGTTTCAGTCTTCTGCATATGGCTTACCAGTTATCCCAGTACCATTTATTGAATAGGGAGTCCTTTTTCCATTGCTTGTTTTTGTCAGTTTTGTTGAAGATCAGATAGTTGTAGGCATGCTGCCTTATTTCTTGCTTCTCTATTCTGTTCCATTGGCCTATGTGTCTGTTTTTGTACCAGTACCATGCTGTTTTGGTTACTGTAGCCCTGTAGTATAGTTTGAAGTTGGGTAACATGATGCCTCCAGGTTTTTTCACTTTGTTTAGGATTGCCTTGGCTATTTGGACTCTTTTTTTGGTTCCATATGAATTTTAGAAGTTTTTTCTAGTTCTGTGAAGAATGTCCTTGGTAGTTTAATAGGAATAGCATTGAATCTATCAATTGCTTTGGGCAGTATGACCATTTTAACGATATTGATTCTTCCTATCCGTGAGCCTGAAATGTGTTTCCATTTGTTTGTGTGACCTCTGATTTCTCTGAGCAGTATCTTGTAGGTCTCCTTGTAGAAATCTTTCACCTTCCTGGTTAGCTGTATTCCTAGGTACTGTGTGTGTAGTATGTGTGTGTGTGGCAGTTGGGAATGGGATTACATTCCTGATTTGGCTTTTGGTTTGACAGTTGTTGGAGTATAGGAATGCTAGTGATTTTTGCACATTGATTTGGTAACCTGTGTCTTTCCTGAAGTTGTTTATCAGCTCAAGAAGCTTTTGGGCTGAGATTATGTGGTTTTCTAGGTATAGGATCATGTCATCTGCAAACAGGGATAGTTTGACTTCCTCTCTTCCTATTTGGATGCCCTTTATTTCTCTCTCTTGCCTGATTGCTCTGGCCAAGACTTCCAATACTGTGTCAAATAGAAGTGGTGAGAGAAGGTATCCTTGTCTTGTACAGGTTTTCAAGGTGAATGCTTCCAGCTTTTACCCATTCAGTATAATGTTGGCTGTGGGTTTGTCATAGATGTCTCATTATTTTGAGGTATGTTCCTTCAGTACCTAGCTAAACTTGTTTCTCATTTGAATTTGCTCCAATTGCTTAAAAGGCACCTTAGTGACAAGTCCTTTGGGATTCACCATTGTCCCCATGTCTAACAAGGATCTCTGCTAGATATAGAAGTTTTTCTAAGTCTTTCAAGAACCCAGCTATTTTCCCCTGCAAATTTTCACCTCCTATAGCAAAGCATTAAATAAAGAGACAATAAGAAAAGAAAATACTGTTACAGAAAAATGAAAACTTTAGGGTAGAAAACAAGGAAAGGCAAAACTAAGATTCCCCTAGGGTGGGACTGTAACCCACAATCCTAGAGAGAATGCCAATGCCAAACACCACAGAGCATTTCGGGGGCAGTAAACAGAACCAAATGCCGAAAAGCCCAAAATACCCAAGTATCAGCCAGTGAAGATCCTCACACCAAATGCCAAAAACCCTAGAGCATCTCCAGGGTGGCCAACAGCAAACACCAGAGGCACGAGACCTAACACAACTGGGGCCACAGAACAACATGACTCTCGCATCCTAGGGTCAATAGAATGGGGGACCTCTCACAAGAAAGCATCCTTCCTTAAACAATTGCCCAAATAGCAAAAGAAGACAATAAATGCCACAATGACATGAGCATAAGCAAGCATTTTGGCACTGAGAGGAGAAAAGTAAAATGGCTGGTTGTTAGAAACTAAAGAGAAACGGTTGGAGAGAAGAGGTGACAAAGGGGGTTATAAAGAACATGGTTGGCCAGGTGTGCTGCTATGGGGCACCCAGACAATGGGAGACTGCAAACAGGCTATCAAGCTAGAAGTCTCGTGGCCACTTCTCCATCTGTCCAAAATAAAGAATACAGGAAAGGACAGAGGAGCCAAAATAGAAGATAAAAAAGGATAGTGAGTTGAATCTGGACAAAAGGAGACATGCCCATCTGTCAGGTCTGAATGGTGCTGATCAGTCTTAATTTGGAGTCCAAGGGGAGGTCTCCATTGTCCCTTTGTGTTACCAGAAATGATGTCACAGGGTTAACTCCAGAATTGGGGTTCAGCCTGGGAGTCCATTGGGGTTATTGGCTTCATGAAGGAAGGAATTCAAGAGCCAAGGGCAAGTGGACAGAGTAAAGTGAAAACAAGTTTATTAAGAAAGTAAAGGAAAGTAAAGGAATAAAAGAATGGCTACTCCATAGGCAGAGTAGCCCTGAGGGCTGCTGGTTGGCTATTTTTATGGTTATTTTTGAACATATGCTAAACAAGGGGTGGATTTTCATGAGTTTTCTGGGAAAGGGGTGGGGAATTCCAGGAACTGAGGGTTCCTCCCCTCTTTAGACCATACAGAGTAGCTTCTGAACATTCCCATGGCATTTATACACTGTCATGGTGCTGGTGGGAGTGTCTTTTAGCATGGTAATATACTATAATTAGCAGATAAGCAGTGAGGATGACCAGAGGTCACTTTTGCCACCATCTTGGTTTTGGTGGGTTTTGGCCAGCTTTTTTTACTGCATCTTGTTTTATCAGAGGGTTCTTTCTGACCTGTACCTTGTAAAACCAAGCCTGCCAAACTCCTGTCTTGACCTCATGCTGCTTTAGTTGTTAACAGAGTTCCTCACGTAGGGGCAACATCTTCCTTCCCTTTGTGAAAAGTCTCTGACTGGACTTTGAACAATGCCAGTAAGTATTTGTGTGGAGAGTTGCCACTCTTAACTTTAAATGAAGATTTGGGACATGTCTTGGAATCCCAATGTTGTGCGCGTCCATGTGAAGAGACCACCAAATAGGCATTGTGTGAGCAGTAAAACTTTTTAATCACCTGGGTGCAAGTGGGCTGAGTCTGAAAAGAGAGTCAGCAAAGGGTGGTGGGATTATCATTAGTTCTTATAGGTTTGGGATAGGCGGTGGAGTTAGGAGCAATTTTTTTGTGGGCAGGGGGTGGATCTTACAAAGTACATTCTCAAGGGTGGGGAGGATATTACAAAGTACCTTCTTGATTGGGTGGGGAGGATTTTACAAAGTAACTTCTCAAGGGTGGAGAGGGTGTATTGTCACAAAGTCAATTGATCAGTTAGGGTGAGGCAGGAACAAATCGCAATGGTGGGATGTCATCAGTTAAGGCAGGAACTGGCTATTTTCACTTCATTTGTGAATCTTCAGTTGCTTCAGGCCATCTGGATGTATAGGTGCAGGTCACAGGGGATATGATGGCTTAGCTTGGGCTCAGAGGCCCGACACCCAAAATTACCTTAAATAACATAATTTGTAACCTAACTCAAGAAGTACAACTGGTTGGATATCTAAAACCATTCTTAAGGTTGTGTTGTTACGTTTTGTAGTGATTGGTTAATAAGTTTTACTCCTTGCTATAAAGAGGGTAATTTAGGATTAAAAGGGCCAAGGAAATGCACTCTAATATTAGGGGGTGAGGGGACAGGAGGCTCTGAAATAGCCTAGTATTTTATGTCTTACTAAGAGAAACAAAAGCTACAAATTGAAAAGGAAATTTCAAGAGCCTCAATACTCACATTTTGCACCTCAAGGATTTTTTTTTTTAAATTTAAAACAGGTTTGATGGTAAAGTTTATGTTATGTAAATTTTATTGCTATAATCCAATTTTTAAAAGGAGAAAAAAATGTATGGTCCAAGAGATAAAAACATAGCAACAGTTTTAGAGCTGAAATGTCTTAAATTACACTTTGTTTCTTTTCTAGTTCCTATAATCTGAAGGAATGTTGCCAATTAGCAAGTCAAAGTTTTGTGCAATGGTTTGCTTTAGTAACAGTTATGTTCTTAACCCCTGAATGAACTGGTAAACAAGAGGTAGGAACACACGTTTCTAATCCTGGATGTTTTAGAAAATTTTAAATGTGTATTTTCTAGTTAGGCTTTAGTTTATCCCATAAGGCCATTTGCTGAAGCGGGACGGAAGAAATTTGTCTGTTCACCAACACTTCCTGCTGACACATACTTTTATTAGAATTATATGTATAGGAAGGTGTGCCTTCATCACCAAACTTGAACTGAATTATACAGAGGATCATCTGAATCATTAGTCTATGAAACTTGACGCATAGGTCCAGATTTTGAAGAGCATGTGAGATGAGAGAGGCCTCAAGGGAAATATTAGAAAACCAGGTTCCTATCCTCAAAGGTGACTTTTCAAGGTTTGTAGGATTTGTTTATGCTATTGCTACCTTTGTGTAGCTATTATATCATCTTCTCTTGGAAAACTAATTACACATCCACCTAGGGAAATGCAGTTTCTTTAAGGCCAAACCTGGCTGCCATTCTTCCATCAATTTTTTTTTCCATGTCCTTCAGCTGTCTGCACTTCCTATTGCCTCTGTAACATGAGGTAGAAAGTGACCATCGTCATGACAGGCACAGGAATTATTTAGGTCCTTTTACTACTAGACGGTGAGTCCTTTGAGGGCAGGATCACCCTGTTTTACACTTGATAGATATTCAAATAATTGTTGGTTGCTGCAGGAAAGCAGAGGAAAGAACAATTAATTCTGGCTCCTACCTGAAAGGAAGGTCAGAACCACTATTATTGTAAAGGCGTCTGAATTGACCCTGCAAATATATATATATATTTTCCTGATGAAAACACTGTATGTTTAAAAACTGTTCTTAAGTGAGAAACAAACTCACAGTTAGTGAACAAGTCTGTGGCATAGAGAAGATTCAAATACTTTCTGCCCAAGATTCTACAAACACCAAATACCAGTATTAGCCTTTCTTCACTGACCCAGGTTGAATCTGAGTTGTGTTTGGGGGAGGAGAGGGAGGAATGTGTGTGCAAGAGCCCTGTGATCTGCCTACAGCTTATTCGTCTTCTCCCAGTTGAAGTGACTGCCCAGAGCAATGGTTTTTATAGTGTATTTTTAGCTGTAGAACCTCATCTTCTTTTTGCAAACAAATTTTTATCCATAATCCCTATATTCAGATGAAAATAAGTGAAAGGGAAGCTGTGCAAGTGAAGCAGGAGCCTGAGCCCCTCCATTCAGTTCCCTCTCATTGTGGAAGACAGTTGAGCTACAAAAGTTGAACCAAGGGATCAGTAGAACAGTTTGAAGACCACTGACACTCTGACACAGCCTAATGAAAATCCATGGAAAATGTGCTTGTGAAGCAAAATGGGTCCAGGAAAACCCCGTGTGGGCTCCCCAAGGTCTGTGGATGTTTATGTTTGGTTGCCCCCACCCTAACCCCTACCCCTGAAGAAATGGGGAACTTTGCTCCACAAAGGATTGCACCACAGGGACACAGCCTTTCTCTTTTCACTTCTCCACTGGGGTCCTTTCCGCACAATATCTGCTCCATCATGCCTTTTAGAGTGGAGAGCCATTTTACTTGGTAGGGGAGCTATATGTCATAATTAAGAGTTTGGGCTCCACAGTCTGTCAGGGTTAAAGTCCAGGCTCCAGCACTTGCTAGGTGCCCTGGGCAATGATTTAATCTTATTTTGTCCTAGCTTTCTTCACTGGTGGTATAGGAACAATAATAGCACATGCCTTAAAGGGTTGTTGTCAGATTAAATGAGATGACTATAAGTCCCTTTTTAACAGTTCCAGGTACAGAGTAAATGTTTGGTAAATGCTGGATATCATCAGGAACAATCAGGAACAGAATCTGTTTGTTTGCCTAATGCAGAACAGCTAGTTCAAGTGGCTCATTCTTTTTGCTTCTAATTTCCTGGGTCACTTGAACTTTCCCTGCTGGCTCCAAGTCAAACTTGCTGTCTTAGCCATCCCATCTGTGCCTGCTCCTCTGCATATGTACATTTCAGAAGTAGTACAGAACGTCCTGATACCACGGCTTTCCTCCCACTCTCTCTGCAGCAAATCTTTCATAACTGCCAGAAGTTTCTAGAAACTCCAGCTTTTGTTGGATCTAGTTTTCCTGAAAGCTACTTTGCTCTTCCTCTTACCATTCTTTTAACCTGACTTCTCTTGCTTGTATCATGAAAATTCGTACTTCAAAGAGTTTTTAATTAATACAAATGGGACCGGGTTCATAATTTCCAGGATCTGGTGCAAAATAAAAATGTGGGGTGTCTTGTTCACAATTATTAAGAATTTCAAGGTAGTGACAGCAGAGTATCAAACCAAGTGCAGGGCCGTCTGTCACATGCCCTCGAAACTGGCCCTGAGTACAAACATCAGCATATGGAAAAACTTTATGCCACAGACAGGATGAGATACTTCATTTACACAACGAGTTTTCCCTCACTTTTATACATGAAGATTTGAGGCATAGAAAGTATGTATGTCCCAAAGACACCTGTTCATTCCTCCCATAGAAGACAGTTATATAAAAAAGACAATATATTCTAACAATGAGGAGGAGAATTCCTATGAGGAAGAAGTTAACTCTGTTTTTCTGTATATTCCCCTGTAATTCTTCATTTTAATAAACGTCATAGAATCTCATCTTTCATCTGTCAGCAGTCTCATAAGAAGATCCCACTATTCTTGAGAGTGTTATACTCATTGTATTCAAGAGAAGTTAATTGTTCACTTTTCAGTGCTTCTTTTCTTGTGGTATGAGGAATTTCTCATAGCAGCCAAGGTTACTCTTCTGCTATCTTAATGCTGGTCTCCCCAGAAGTGGAGCCTGAGATAAGGATTTAATTATGGTGTCTAAGAAATGCAGGGAAGTAGAGATGAGGTGGGATTAATAAAAGGTGCATTATTAAGCCAGCTTCCAGATTAGTACATTGGACATTAATCTCGCAGGGAAACTGTAAGCTGTAGTGTAAACACAGCACAAAATTATCTCACCTGAGCGCCAAGGGAGCCAGGGAATTTAGACACTAACTCTCATCGGTCTTTGCTTGAGAACTGCTGTGTCTGGAATTGGTGGGTTCTTGGTCTCACTGACTTCAAGAATGAGGCTGCGGACCCTCCCGGTGAGCGTTACAGTTCTTAAAGGGGCGTCCGGAGTTTGTTCCTTCTGATGTTCTGACGTGTTTGGAGCTTCTTCCTTCTGGTGGGTTTCTAGTCTCACTGGCCTCAGGAGTGAAGCTACAGACCTTCGTGGTGAGTGTTACAGCTCATAAAGGCAGTGCGGACCCAAAGAGTGAGAAGCAGCAAGATTTATTGAAAAGAGTGAAAGAACAAAGCTTCCACAGTGTGGAAGGGGACCCATGGGGGTTGCCACTGCTGGCTCTGGCAGCCTGCTTTTATTCCCTTATCTGGCCCCACCCACATCCTGCTGATTGATCCATTTTACAGAGAGCTGATTGGTGTGTTTTACAGAGAGCTGATTGGTCCGTTTTGACAGAGTGCTGATTGATGCGTTTACAATCCCTGAGCTAGACACAAAAGTTCTCCAAATCCCCACTAGATTAGCTAGACACGGATCACTGATTGGTGCATTTACAAACCTTGAGCTAGACACAGGGTGCTGATTGGTATGTTTACAATCCTTTAGCTAGACATAAAGGTTCTCCAAGTCCCCACCAGATTAGCTAGATACAGAGTGCTGATTGGTGTGTTTACAAACCTTGAGCTAGACACAGAGTGCTGATTGGTGTATTTACAATCCCTTAGCTAGAAATAAAAGTTCTTCAAGTCCCCACCAGATTAGCCAGATACAGAATGCTGATTGGTGCATTCACAAACCTTGAGCTAGACACAGAGTACTGATTGGTGTGTCTACAATCCCTTAGCTAGACATAAAGGTTCTCCACGTCCCCACTAGACTCAGGAGCCCAGCTGGCTTCACCTGGTGGATCCTGCACCCCGGTGCAGGTGGAGCTTCCTGCCAATCCCGTGCCTTGTGCCCGCACTCCTCAGCCCTTGGGCAGTCGATGGGACCCAGCGCAGCAGAGCAGGGGGCGTTGCCCGTCAGGGAGGCTCAGGCCTCGCAGGAGCCCATGGTGGGGTGGGGGTTGGGGTGGCTGTAGGCGGGGCGGGGGGCTGCAGTGATGGGGGGGTGGGGGCAGCGGTGGGCAGGGGGTGGGAAGGCTTGTGCCGGGAGGGCTGCAGGTCCTGAGGCCTTCCCCACAGGGAGGCAGCTGAGGCCCCGCGAGAATTCGAGCGCAGCCCTGGTGGGCCAGCACTGCTGGGGGACCCGGCGCACCCTCCGCAGCTGCTGGCCCAGGTGCTAAGCTCCTCACTGCTTGCCGCTCCAAGTGCAGGGCCCACCAAGCCCACACCCACCCAGAACTTGTGCTGGCCCACAAGCACTGGGCGCAGCCCAGGTTCCCACCTGCGCCTTTCCCTCCACATCACCCCACAAGCAGAGGGAGCCAGCTCCAGCCTCGGCCAGCCCAGAGAGGGGCTCCCACAGTGCAGTGGTGGGCTGAAGGGCTCTTCAAGTGCTGCCAGAGTGTGCACCGAGGCCAAGGAGGTGCTGAGAGTGGGCAAGGGCTGCAAGGGCTGCCAGCACACCATCACCTCTCACTGCTGCAGGGGAGGCAAGGACCAGTCCAGCCCCTGCACTCTGGAATGCTAAGGGGCAGGGACATATAGGCAGGCTCTGAGAGCATCTGCTGCATCTGCAACAGAAAGCCTGAAAGATAGTCTTCGAAGCAGATGGTGCTACACTCCAAGATCAGCACTACTGATTATAAGCAGAACGATCTTGGCTAAGTTAGCCTCTAAGTATCAGGTTTTTCATCTGTAAACAGAAATAGCACCTTCAGGACTGTTGGGATAATTAGAACTGTATGAAGCATCAAACATGTGGCTGGCCCATGGTAGGCACTAATGGAGAACCACTTTTATATAGAGCTGCCATTAAATTATTTTTTAAAGTAGAACTTCTCAAACTTAAATATTGATAGGAATTACCTGCAGATCTTGTTAGAATGCAGATTCTGATCCTGCATATCTGGGTGGGGGACAATTTTCTACATTTCTAACAGGCCTCCAGGTAACACTGCTGTTCCTGGTCCATGGACCACACTTTTTGCAGCAAGGTTTCAAACCATTCTAAAATTTCACTTTAGTCACTAGGTACAATAGATCATACAATATTTTCCCTGGAAAATATAAGGTTTAATCTGTGGGTTTAATTGTACCTAAAACAGAAAAAGTTTAATTATAACCATGAGAACTGTTAGCCTTAAATGGAACATAACCAGCTTGTGTTAATCATCACTAATAAACTTAACTGCCTGGGGTTCCCAGGACAGAGCTATGCAAGAGAGGAAGTGCAGAGTGACAAATATATAGGATAGATAAGGATTTCAGCATCATGGGAAACCTAAGAAAATATAAAAATTATATCATTATTAGAGAATGAGGAAACAGAAGAGAGCCCAAGGGCATATCACTAAGTAATTCATGACATTAATACAAAATTAATGTAATCTGCTTCTAAATGTCTCCTATGTACAATACATTATATAGGGTAGTGGTGTGAAAGACCGTGCGTGATGTTTACAATCTGTTGAAGGGAACAGAAACATATATGAAGATACTAAGCAGTAAAAATGTGGCTAAATCCTTCTCACTGGTGGGAAAGCTTTGTTAGGCACTGGGAGGCTATTCTGGTCTGGAATACCTAAGAAAAGTACAGCTAGAAAGGAGACTTCAATTGAGCCTGGGAGGACAGCTGAGTCTTAGGTTTGAACACAGTGGGAATGTATAGAAAAAAGATCAGAACTTTAATAAAATGATTCTATAAGTTGTACCTCAAAAGGCATTGTTTAGGAATGTATGCTGCAGGGAACAGGGCTTGATCAAGAACAGTGGCCTACAGTGTACCTGTTGACCTTTGGCTGAGGCAGTTGGAGATAAAGAAGCAGGTGGCCAATTGCAGTGTCATTACTAAGATTGACTTTGGAGTCAGATCTGGGTTCCACACAGATTCCAATAAGAACTAGTAGCGTGACTTGGAAACACAATTCAACCTCAATCTCTATTTTCTTACTAAAGGCTTACTCAAGTTTACAAAATAGAATTGAAGTGATGATTAAATGAGATCATTCATGAAAGATTATCCATATATATACCCTTGCACAGGGCCTGGCTCATAGTAAATGTTTGATAAATAGTAAGTATTAACATATCCAAAACAAAAAAGAAAGACCAACAAAAAAAAGAAAAAGAAAGAAAACAACCTCATTGCTGTGGTCACAGAAGTGTTTATGACTAGGAAGTTCTAGGAAGTGAAGGGGTCACTGGAGCTCCAAGATATTTGGAAAGCACATTGAGCGTCAGGTTTTTTTTTTTTTTTTTTTGTGATGGAGTCTCGCTCTCTCACCCAGGCTGGAGTGCATTGGTGCCATCTCTGCTCACTGCAAGCTCCGTGTCCCAGGTTCACGCCAGTCTCCTGCCTCAGCCTCCTGAGTAGCTGGGACTACAGGCACCCGCCACCATGCCCGACTAATTTTTTGTATTTTTAGTAGAGACGGGGTTTCACAATGTTAGCCAGGGTGGTCTCGATCTCCTGACCTCGTGATCTGCCTGCCTCGGCCTCCCAAAATACTGGGATTACAGGTGTGAGCCACTGCGCCTGGCCAGAGTGTCAGGTTTTACTTTACTTTCAATCACACACACACACACACACACGGCATATTTAGTCCTTGAATGGAAGAAAGAGGTGGATGGTTGCTGTGCGATAGCTGTAATGTGTTCAAACTCTCCCCAGAATGAAGAAGCTATTGCCCCAGCTACTGGGAGTGCCTCCAGGTGAAGACAGCCACCCTTCTCAAGGTCGTCCACATCCAATGACTGTTTAACATGGGAGTATAAAGGCTCAGCCTTCTCACCCCAATTAGGAATATCTCTGAAGGGTCATTCCATTTTCAGAAATGGCCAAAGGGTCAACTGAAGCTTTATTTAGTCTGCATCATATCTCAATTTCTTCCTCTGCCCAGTCTCCTTCTTTCCCCTCTCTCCCCTCAGTCCCCTTTCTTCCCCAGGTGTTGGAGCCAAGGGAACCTCCTGATAAACCTTCTATATGATAGTCTTTATCTAGAGTCTGCTTCCTAGAGAGTCCAATCTGTGGCAGAAGGTACTGCTGGTGGTAGGCAGAGGACATACAATCCCAGCGTGAGATGGTTGTTTAGTTGTTAAAACAATCACAGTTGATGAAGTTGGATGGTATACTGGTGGAAGAAAATGCTGATATCTGACATTGGAGAAATAATGAGGAAAATACTAACTAGAGAGGCAATAGAATCGGGTGGCTTCACCAAGCTCAATTAAGGCCTTGAATAAAAAGATAAGCTAGGGGTGAAAGGCAGAGTTCTCCTTAGTAGCATAAGAAGAAGCTCTTGTTTCCTTCACAGAAGGTCCAAAAAAGTTGAGGATCAAGCCCAGAAAATAAGAGTAATGAATCCCAAAGGAGGTTCAACTCATAACATAGGCAGACCTGCTATGCCAGGGTCAGGGCCTTTGTTGAGTAAAAATAAGACCCTGACACGTGGTATGGGAACATTGCAGTTGATGCCCCCCATATCTTGAATCTTCATTTTCCTCTGATTCCTACAGAAGTGGTTTACTCCAGCTGAGTGCGGTGGCGCATTCCTGTAATTCCAGCACTTTGGAAGGCCAAGGCGGGCAGATCACCTGAGGTCAGGAGTTTGAAATCAGCCTGGCCAACATGGTGAAACCTCATCTCTACTAAAAATACAAAAACTAGCCAAGTATGGTGACTTACACCTGTAGTCCCAGTTACTTGGGAGGCTGAAGTGGGAGAATTGCTTGAATTTGGGAGGCAGAGGTTGCAGTGAGCTGAGATTGCTCCACTGTAGTCCAATCTGGGTGACACAGGGAGACTCCTTAAAAAAAAAAATTAGAAGTAGTTCACTCCTCCCTAGTAAGGGTTAGCCCTCTCCCCTTGCTCAAAGGCAATGCAGAAGCTTTTCCTTTTCAAGATAACAGGTGCCCATCTCAGGATCAAGGGCCACCTACATACTTGGCCATGGGCCTATACCTAGGGTTAAGTTGCTGCAAAAACAGCCAGAGGCATCTTAGAAGTGATAAAGGAACTTCAGGACCTAGCCATTTTTTATAAACAAGAACTAGAAGAGTATAGATAGTATTGGTTTCTAAGGGTTCTGGATCAAGGTGTCAGAGCATGTTGTTTGAAAAGAGAATTTAGCAGTTTGGGAGACTCTTCTAGGGTATGCGACTTGAAATTCTAGCAAGGACACAAAGAGATGGTGCAAACACACCCCTAAGATGGCTCTTAGAGGCATGGAAAGGTCAATAGCTCACACTCAGTAAGGTAAATACCAGAGTTGCCAAGGTAGATGGTAGAAAAGAATAAAAGGCTCAGAGAAGTACACATACCAGGGTGAGTATGCTGTGTAAGGCTGGAAAGCCCACTAGCCATCTGTGTTACTGAAGCAATAAGAATTTTCCTGGTGTGAGAAGCTCCAGCATCAGTAAGAAGTTCAGTGCCAGCACTCCTCAGCAGGCCAGGCTGTCAGTAGAAAATGCCACTAAAGACCTGGGCTTACTGATAACAGGACCTGCCCCGCTCAATGCACACAATAGAAAACAGGTGGTGGTTCTTACTCATCAGAAGCCAGGTAATGGCAATTATCTTAATGCAAGGACAAAATGTAATGAATGGATCTGACTTGCAGAGAATTGTGGAGCTGATTAATAGAAAACAGTGTCCCTGAGGAAAAACTAGAAGGGCAGCCAAGAAGGGTATGATTCCATCTACATGAGTAAAATAAATCAAGGATGCCTGATTGGGAGGTTGACGGCAGTTTCTTCAATATATAGTCATGATCCATTGTCCAGTTTCCAGAGGCCAAAGATGGATGAAAAGGCCAGGTTCCAGGCCCCCTGCAGCAGCCTTGCAAGTGTACACTGGGATGATTCCCCTAGCCTTTCCACAGGCCATTTACACAAACAAATGTGAACTAAGGAAAGGAGACTGAGTTAAAATTGGTACTTAGAGACCTGAAACATCGTTGTGGCCCTGTTATTAATACAATGGAAGTATAAGAGAACCAAGTAATCAATGAATTCAATGAATAAATCAACAACATTTGAAACTGAAGATTTCTGTTTTCTTTATACTCAGGAAAATAATGGGATTTTGTTTGTTTTGTTTCTTCCTTTCTCTCCTTGTTTCCCATTTTTCTTTTCTCTCTCTCTCTCTCTTTTATTTTTTAGAGACAGTCTTTTGGGTCTCACTCTGCAGCCCAGGCTGGAGGGCAGTGGCACGATCATAAATCACTGCAGCCTCGAACTCCTGGGCTTAAGTGATCTTCCTCTCGGCCTCCTGAGTGGCTGGGAATACAGGTGTGTGCCCCCACGCCTGGCTGATATTTTAATTTTTTTTGTACGGACAAGCTCCTCTATGTTTCCCAGGCTGGGCATAAACCCCGGACTTCAGGGGCTTGTGCTGGGATTACAGGTGTGAGCCACTGTGCCCAATCTTGTTTCCCATTTTCTTGGATTGTGGACCTAATATTCTGGATTCATCTTTGAATTTTTCTCATATTTTATATTTTGAAAATATAAACCATTTCTTAAACTTTATATTTTAGTATTTTGTAAGATTATCACAATGATATATAAATCAATCTTAATGAGGTTTAATATACATACAATGTGTACATTTTAAATATACAGTTTGAGTTTTGACACATGTATACATTTGTGCACCTACCACCCCGATCAAGCTATAGGACATTTCCATTATCCTGAAAAGTTCTTTTAGGCCTCTTTATTGTCAATACCACCCCCAACCACCAGACACAAGTAACTACTGACCTATTTTCTGTCACTATGGGTTAGTTTTCCTTTTTCTAAAATATCACATAAAAGGAATTATGCAGCATGTATTCTTTTGTGTCTGGCTTCCTTCACTCAGCATTGTTTTTGAGATCCACACTCTGTATATCAATAGTCTGTTGTCTTTTATTATGAAATAGTCTTCTATTGTAATGATATACCACAATTTGTTTAACCATTCATTTGTTTATGGACATTTGGGTTGTTTCTAGTTTTAGGATATTATGAATAAAGCTACTATGAGCATTTGTGTATAAGTCTCTGAATGGATGTATGTTTTTATTTCTCATTGGTATATATGTAGGAATAGAATTGACAGATACATGGCAGTGTAAATAAGTAAGGAACTGTTCAACTGTTTTCTAAAGTGGTTGTACCATTCTACATTTGTCTCAGCAATATATGAGAGAGTTTCAGTGGCTCCATAACCTCACCCATGACATTCTCAGTTATTTGGTTTTATTTTTAGCCATTCTATGGGTATGTAAAAATATATCAATGTGGCTTTAACTTTATGGCTGAAAATGTTGAACATCTTTCTATGCATATATTGATCATTCTCATCTTTTTAAAATGTCAAATGACTTACCCAATTTTAAAACTGTGTTGTCTTCATTATCAAGTTGTAAATGTTCTTTATATATTCTGGATACAGGTCTTTCATCAGATAAAAGTAACACAAACAACAAATCTGTTGGGGCTTGTTTTATTTTTTAAAGGTGACTTTTGAAATATGGAATGTTTAATATTATTCTTTCATATTTTATGTGATATCTAAGAAATCTTTGTCTGCTCCAGGTTTAAGAAGACATTTTCCTATGTTTTGTTGTAAACATTTTATAATTTTTATTTTTACATTTAGGTCTCTATTCTATTTATAATTAGTCTTGCATTTACTGTGAGGTAAGAGTTGAAGTTCATGCTTTTTTCACATAGGCATCCAGTGGTTCAAGCACTATTTAATGAAAAATCTTTTCTACTTTTAATTACTTTGGCACATTAAATTTCTTTAATAAATACAGTGCTATTAGGTTTCCCTGTTTCTTTTTATGTTAATTTTGGTAGCTTATGTCTTTCAATAAATTTGCCCATTTCCTCTAAGTTATTCAATTTGTTGCATGCATTTGTTCATAATAGTCCACTTTTATCTTTTTAATGCCTGCAGTGATGTCTCCTCTTTCATTCCTGAATTTAGTAACTCATATCCTTTTTTTCTTGGTCTAATTAGAAACAACAATTTTTCAAAGAATCTGCTTTTGGTTTCATTGGTTTTTTTCCTGTTAATTAAATATTTTCAAATTTCATTTATTTTATTCATATTTTTATTTCTTACCTTCTACTTACTTACTTTGGGTTCAATTTGTTCTTCTGTTTTTTTAGCTTCTTAATGTAAAATTTTGTATCATTAATTTTAGACTTTTATTCCTTTCTAATGTAAGCATTTAAAGCTCTAAATTTCCCCCAATCACTGCTTCAGCTGTATCCTACAAATTATGATGTATTGTATTTTAATTATTATTTAGGTAAAAATATATCCTCATATTCTTTGTGATATGATCTATAATACATGATTAGAGATGTTTAATCTCCAAACATTTGTGGATTTTTCAATATCTGTTATTAATTTCTAATTGATTCTTTTGTAGTCAGAGGACACAGTCTATATTGTTTTAGTGCTTTAAATTTGTTTAGACTATAATCCTGCATATATGTTGCCTTGATGAGTGTTCCATGTGCATCTGAAAATAATGTATATGTTATTGTTGTTCCATGGAGCATCCTAGAAATGTTGTTCTGTAAATATCTAGATCAAGTTGGTTGATACTGCTATTCCATTCTTCTATATTCTTACTGAGTTTTCTGTTTTACCAACTACTGAGAGAAGAGATTTGAAATTCCCAAGTATTACTGTGGGCTTATTTCTCTTTTGTCAGCTTTTGCTTCATGTATATTTGAAGCTCTGTAATTAGATACATGCACATTTATGAGGCATTCTTGATTAAATACTCTGTTATCATCATAAGACATTTCTCTTTATCTCTAGTATTATTTCTTGTCCTGAAACATCACTCTAGTTTTCTTAAGGTAAATGTTTACAAGCTATAATAATTTTCCCTTTTTCTTTAAACTATCTGTTTTTTAAAAATTTGAACATATTATTTTATTATATAATAATAATCTCACTACTCATGCATTGGCTGCCAAAAAAATAGAGCACACAATTGATGAGGGAATGCTGTTGGTTGGTGGTGGAGAAAGAGAATAACTTCATGAGTAAATCTGGGGAACTGTTCTGGTTGGTTTCTTTAAAAAAATAAATTTTATTGTGTATATTTAAGGTATACAACACGATATTATAAAATACATATATATTGTAAAATGGTTACTACAGTGGAGCAAATGAACATTTCTATCATCTCACATAGTTACCTATTCCTCTTCCATGTGGCATCAGCCATAGTCTACTCATTTAGCAAAATCCCAAATACAATACGCTATTAACTATAGTCCTTACATTGTACACTAGATATTTCAATTTGTTTATCCTACATATTTGGATTTTGCTTTTTAAAAAAAAATTTATTTTTTCCAAGATGGTGGATTAGAGGCTTTCAGCATGCCTCATCCACTCGGAAACAGCGAGGTAGTACACAAAGATCAACTCTTTGAGCTTCATTTCAAGAAGGAAAATGGGAATCCACTAGAATCACAAAGGAAACCCCAGATCCCAGGGAGGAGAAGGGGTGGGCAAACAGCCCCTGTGATGACATGGGGCTGATTAAAGTGAGTGAAGCACCAGTACACAAGAGAGGCAGAGAGCCTATCTCTGTGACTCACCTTTCCACTGGGGATCCAAGCAATTCAGGCCAAGGGAGAGCACTTTGTTTTCCCAGGCCCTGGAGCTATACTGGGGAAAGGCTTGAAGGTGCTATGAGGGAAAGACACTGAGAAAAGCTGTAAGCATTTTTCCAGACCTGGAACTGAGGGCAGGACACCATTTTTAACCCAGGCACATACAAAGTCTGCCATTCTTTGGCAACCCAGCAGCATGGCTGCTCAGGAACTTCAGTCCTGGGCCACAGATTGGAGCACATGCTCTGGAGTTGGGTAGAAGCTTCCACAGCCAGAACTGTGAAAAGTACCTCAGCAGTAGGTGCTGGAATTTTGCTCTCCCCCATCACAGACCTGGAGCAGGAAGAGAGCTGCTACAGCTATAGTTTCTCTCAGACAACGAATCTTACAGCTAGGGCCAGCTGGTGACCTGGAATAGGTGTGTATGTGTCATTGCTGGGTACACCAATCTGCTACCCTAAGACCGTGATGCAGTAGGGCCCCTTTCCACTCCACCCCCAAGCCAAAATTCAGGCAATCAGAGTACCATCCCCTTGCCTGGACCAGCAGCCTGAGCAGCCGCACTCTTCATGGGCATAGATGGTGGTGCAGCGGGGCCTTCTCTGCTCCACGCCCATGCAGATCCCTAGGTATTCAGAGTACCCCCTGGCCTGGATCAACAGCCTCAGCCACCTCATGCTTCCTGTACGTAGATTATGGTGCAGTGGGACCCTCTCTGTTTTACCCCCAGGCAGATCTCCAGGCACCTGCAGCATGCACTCTGTTGGATCAGAAGTTTAGGCCATCGCCATCCCCATGCAGAGAACTTGGGGTTGAGGAGGCTTCCCAGCTTCATGCCTAGGCATATCTCTGAGGGCTTGGTGGCTGGCCACTGGATTCTCCCCTCAGTGCTGGTGCTTGTGTCTGCCATCAGGGGACCTGTAGGTCCAGACCTGCCTGGTCCAGCCCCACACATCTTGCCCCCTGCCTCTCCAGGGGTAAGGAGGGAGCTCAGACCACTGTGAACCCCATAAATAAGCCCATTTCCTGAGGCAACAGAGAGCTTCTCTCAGTAAACAAGGATCACACATATACCCAGCTGTACTGGCCACAGCTGGCTCTTACCCATAAGTGCCATCTATGGCTTGTAGTTTGAACTGCACAGAGTAAAATAAAACCTGCTGACAGAAATGCACAGGACTATAGAAGCAAAGCCAAAGGACCCTACCTAGGATTCTCTACAGTCACATTCCCTAGGAAGTCGGGGAAAGGAAAGGGAAAAAAATGTTATTATTATAGGGAAAGAAAGAAAAACAAAAAATCCTACCCACATGAAAATAATTACAAATATTAGAAGTGCTAGCATCTCTAGGTAAGAAGGAACTGACACAAGAATTCTGGCACAATGAAAAATCTGAATGTAGTGACACCAAAGTATCACACTACCTCTCCAGCGAAGGACCCTAACCAAAATGGAAACTCAGAAATGACAGATAAATAATTCAAAGGATAGATTGTTAGGAAGTTCAATGAGATACAAGATAAGGTTGAAAATCAACACAAAGAAACTTCAAAGGGAATCCAGGAAATGAAGGAAGAGATAAATATTTTAAAAAGAAATCAACCAGAGCTTCTGGAATTGAAAAACTCACTTAAGGAATTTCAAAATACAATGGAAAGCTTTAGCAATAGACTGGACCAAGTAGAAGAAAAAATTTCAGAGCTTGAAGACTAGTCTTTTGAACTAACTCAGTAAGACAAAAATACAGAAAAAAGAATTTAAAAAATAAACAAAGTCTTTGAGAAACATGGGATTATGTATAGCAACCAAGCTTATGAATTATTGACATTCCTGAGAGAAATGGAAAAAAAGAAAATAAACGTATTTCAGGGAACAATTCAAGAACATTTCCCTTATCTTGCTAGAGAGGTAGACATTCTAGAAAACACTTGCAACATACTATACAAAACGAGTGTCATCAAGGCATGTAGTCACCAGACTGTCCAAGGTCAATACTAAAGAAAAGACTTAAAGGCAGCTAGAGGAAAAGCTCAGATCATGTACAAAGGCTAACAGCAGACTTCCCAGCAGAAACCTTACAAGCCAGGAGAGATTGGTGGCCTATTTTCAGGATTCTTAAAGAAAAGAAATTGCAGCCAACAATTTCTTATCCCACCAAACTAAGCTTCATAAGTGAAGGAGAAATAAAATCCTTTTCCAGACAAGCAAGCATTAAGGGAATTTGTTACCACTAGACCAACCTTCAAGAGAGCCTCAAAGGAATTTTAAACATGGAAACAAAATAATGATACCTGCTGCCACAAAACACACTAAAGTACATAGCCCACAGAACCTATAAACCAACCACACAATGGAAACTACAAAGCAACGAGCTAACTTCATGATAGGATGAAAACTTCACATATCAATGTTAACTTTGAATGTAAATGGTCTAAATGCCCCACTTAAAAGGCACAGGGTGGCAAGTTGAATAAAAATACAGGACCCAAGTGTCTGCTGTCTTCAAGAGATCTATCTCACACATAAGGAAACCCCAAAGCTCAAAGTAAATGTCAGAGAAAGATTTGTTATGTAAACAGAACAAAAAAGGGCAAGTGTTACTATTCTTATATTAGATAATACTTTAGATATTAGATAAACACTTTAAAACAACAACAGTAAAAAAGGACAAAGAAGGGTATGACATAATGATAAAAGATTCAATTCAACAAGACTTAACTATCCTAAATATATACACACCCAACATTGGAGCACCCAGATTCATAAAACAAGTAGTTCTAGACCTATGAAAAGACTTAGACATAGACACAATAATATTGGGGAATTTTAACACCCTACTGACAGCATCAGACAAATCATCAAGGCAGAAAACTAACGGAGAAATTGTGAACTTCAACATTTGATCAATTGGACCTAGGACATCTACAGAATACTCCTCCCATCAACTACAGATTATATATTTTTCTCATCTGCAAATAGAACATATTCTTAAATCAACCACATGCTTGGCCACAAAACAAGGCTCAGTAAGTTTAAAAAAAGGGAAATTGGGATTGTTCCCAGATGGCTGAATAGGAACAGCTCCAGTCTACAGCTCCCGTCTACAGCTCCCAGCAGGAGTGATGCAGAAGACAGATGATTTCTGCATTTCCAACTGGGATACTGGGTTCGTCTCATTGGGACTGGCTGGACAGTGGGAGCAGCCCACTGAGTGTAAGATGAAGCAGGGTGGGGCATCATCTCACCCAAGAAGCAAAAGGGGTTGGGGAATTCCCTTTCCTAGCCAAGGAAAGCCATGACAGACCATACCTGGAAAACCAGGACACTCCTGCCCTAATAACATGCCTTTCCAATGGTCTTAGCAAGTGGCACACTAGGAGATTATACCCTGTGCCTGGCTCAGCAGATCCCATGCCAACAGAGCCTTGCTCACTGCTAGCACAGCAGTTTGAGATTGAACTGTGAGGCAGCAGCAAGGCTGGGAGAGGGGTGTCCGCCATTGCTGAGGCTTGACTAAGTAAACAAAGCAGCTAGGAAGCTTGAACTGGGTGGAGCCCACCACAGCTCAAGGAGGTCTGCCTGCCTCTGTAGACTCCACCTCTGGGGGCAGGGCATAGCTGAATAAAAGGCAACAGAAACTTCTGCAGACTTAAACGTCCCAGTCTGACAGCTTTGAAGAGAGCAGTGGTTCTCCCAGCATGGAGTTTGAGATCTGAGAACAGACAGACTGCCTCCTCAAGTGGGTTTCTGACCCCCAAGTAGCCTAACTGGGAGACATCTCCCAGTAGGGACTGACTGACACCTCATACAGCTGGGTGCCCCTCTGAGATGAAGCTTCCAGAGGAAGGATCAGGCAGTAACATTTGCTGTTCTGCAGCCTCTGCTGGTGATACCCAGGCAAACAGGGGCTCAAGTGGACCTCCAGCAAACTCCAAAAGAACTGCAGCTGAGGGTCCTGACTGTTAGAAGTAAAACTAACAAACAGAAAGGAATAGCACCAACATCAACAAAAGAACATCCACACCAAAACCCCATCTGTAGGTCACCATCATCAAAGACCAAAGGTAGATAAAACCACAAAGATGGGGAGAAACCAGAACAGAAAAGCTGAAAATTCTAAAAACCAGAGCACCTCTTCTCCTCCAAAGGATGGCAGCTCTTTGCCAGCAATGGAACAAAGCTGGATGGAGGATGACTTTGATGAGTTGACAGAACTAGGCTTCAGAAGATTGGTAATAAACTTCTCCGAGCTAAAGGAACATATTCTAACTCATTGAAAGGAAGCTAAAGGCCTTGAAAAAAGATTAGAAGAATGGCTAACTAGGATAAGCAGCATAGAGAAGACCTTAAATGACCTGACGGAGCTGAAAACCGTGGCACGAGAACTACGTGACACATGCACAAGCTTCAGTAGCTGATTCGATCCAGTGGAAGAAAGGATATCAGTGATTGAAGATCAAATGTATGAAATGAAGTGAGAAGAGAAGTTTAGAGAAAAAAAGAGTAAAAAGAAATGAACAAAGCATCCAAGAAATATGGGACTATGTGAAAAGACCAAATCTACATTTGATTGGTATACCTGAAAGTGATGAGGAGAATGGAACCAAGTTGGAAAACACTCTTCAGGATATCACCCAGGAGACCTTCCCCAACCTAGCAATGCAGGCTAACATTCAAATTCAGGAAATACAGAGAACACCACAAAGATACTCCTTGAGAAGGGCAACTCCAAGACACATAATTGTCAGATTCACCAAGGTTGAAATGAAGGAAAAAATGTTAAGGGCAGCCAGAGAGAAAGGTCGGGTTACCCACAAAGGGAAGCCCATCAGATTAACAGTGGATCTCTCAGCAGAAGCTCTACAAGCCAGAAGAGAATGGGGGCCAATATTCCACATTCTTAACGAAAAGATTATTTTCTAGTACCAGCCGAGGAATTCGGTTAGTACTCACTTGTATTCACTGTCACTTTTTCTCATGTACTAATTATAAATGACCAAAATCAAGATTGCTCAAAAGGGTAAATGATAGCCACAGTATTGCTCCCTAAAATATGCATAAAGTAGAAATTCACTGCCTTCCCCTCCTGTCCATGACCTTGGGCACAGGGAAGTTCTGGTGTCATAGATGTCCCATTTTGTGAGGTAGAGCTGTGCATTAAACTTGCACATGACTGGAACAAAGTATGAGTGCAACTCAAATGTGTTGAAGATACTGCAGTCATTTTTGTAAAGACCTTGCTGAATGTTTCCAATAGACTAAATACTGTTTAGGCCGCAGGAGAGTTTGGAATCCAGAATAAATACTACCTGGAGGTTTGTCCTCTCCATTTGTCTCTTTCTCCTCCTGGCCTGGCCTGAATATTATGCTACTCTAAATAGCATATTTCATCCAAGTGCAATAATGTAAGCTGAATCTTTTTTGGACTTCTGCTGGCCTGTTTTATTTCTTTTATATAAATGTGATTTCTCAGAAATTGATATTAAACACTATTCTAGTCCTTAAAAAAAATTTTTTTTCAACCCAGAATTTCATATCCAGCCAAACTAAGCTTCATAAACAAATGAGATATAAAATCCTGTACAGACAAGCAAATGCTGAGAAATTTTGTCACCACCAGGCCTGCCTTACAAGAGCTCCTGAAGGAAGCACTAACCATGGAAAGGAAAAACCTGTACCAGCCACTGCAAAAACATACCAAATTGTAAAGACCATCAATGCTAGGAAGAAACTGCATCAACTGATGAGCAAAATAACCAGCTAACATCATAATGACAGGGTCAAATTCACACATAATAATATTAATCTTAAATGTAAATGGACTAAATGCCCAATTTAAACACACAGACTGGCAAATTGGATAAAGAGTCAAGACCCATCAGTGTGCTGTATTCAGGAAACCCATCTCAAGTGCACAGACACACATAAGCTCAAAATAAAGGGATGGAGGAAGATCTACCAAGAAAATGGAAAACAAAAAAAAAGCAGGGGTTGCAATCCTAGTCTCTGATAAAACAGACTTTAAACCAACAAAGATCAAAAGAGACAAAGAAGGTCATTACATAATGGTAAAGGGACCAATTCAACAAGAAGAGCTAACTATCCTAACTATATATATGCACCCAATACAGGAGCATCCAGATTCATAAAGCAAGTCCTTAGAGACCTAGAAAGAGACTTAGACTCCCACACAATAATAATGTGATATGTAAACACCCCACTGTCAACATTAGACAGATCAATGAGACAGAAAATTAACAAGGATATCCAGGAATTGAACTCAGCTCTGCACCAAGCAGACCTAACAGACATCTACAGAATGCTCCAACAGATTATACATTCTTCTCAGCACCACAGTGCACTTATACCAAAATTGACCACATAGGTGGAAGTAAAGCACTCCTCAGCAAATGTAAAAGAACAGCAATCACAACAAACTGTCTCTCAGACCACAGTGCAATCAAATTAGTACTTGGGATTAAGAAACTCACTCAAAACTGCACAACTACATGGAAACTGAACAATCTGCTCCTGAATGACTACTGGGTACATAATGAAATGAAGGCAGAAATAAAGATCTTCTTTGAAACTAATGAGAACAAACACACAATGCACCAGAATCTCTGGGACACATGTAAAGCAGTATGTAGAGGGAAATTTATAGCACTAAATGCCCATAAGAGAAAGCAGGAAAGATCTAAAATCAACACCCTAACATCACAATTAAAAGAACTAGAGAAGCAAGAGCAAACACATTCAAAAGCTAGCAGAAGGCAAGGAATAACAAAGATCAGAGCAGAACTGAAGGAGATAAGAGACACAAAATCTCTCCAAAACATCAATGAATCCAGGAGCTGGTTTTTTGAAAAGATCAACAAAATAGACCGCTAGCAAGACTAATAAAGAAAATAGAGAAGAATCAAATAGATGCAATAAAAATGATAAAGGGGATATCACCACTGATCCCACAGAAATACAAACTACCATCAGAGAATACTATACACAACTCTACACAAATAAACTAGAAAATCTGGAAGAAATGGACAAATTCCTGGACACATACACCCTCCCAAGACTAAACCAGGAAGAAGTTGAATCCCTGAATAGACCAATAACAGGCTGTGAAATTGAGGTGATAATTAATAGCCTACCAACCAAAAAAGTCCAGGACCAGGCAGATTCACAGCCGAATTCTACCAGAGGTACAAAGAAGAGCTGGTACCATTACTTCTGAAACTATTCCAATCAATAGAAAAAGAGGGCATCCTCCTTAACTCATTTTATGAGGCCAGCATCATCCTGATAACAAAGCCTGGCAGAGACACAACAAAAAAAGAGAATTTTAGACCAATATCAGTGATGAACATTGATGCAAAAATCCTCAGTAAGATAGTGGCAAGCCAAATCCAGCAGCACATCAAAAAGCCTATCCAACACGATCAAGTTGGCTTCATCCCTGGGATGCAAGGCTGGTTTAACATATGCAAATCAATAAATGTAATCCATCATATAAACAGAACCAATGACAAAAACCACATCATGATCTCAATAGAGGCAGAAAAGACCTACAACAAAATTCAACAGCCCTTCGCTCTAAAAACTCTCAATAAACTAGGTACTGATGGGATGTATCTCAAAATAATAAGAGGTATTTATGACAAATGCACAGCCAATATCATACTGAATGGACAAAAACTGGAAGCATTCCCTTTGAAAACTGTCACAAGACAGGGATGCCCTCTCTCACCACTCCTATTCAACATAGTGTTGGAAGTTCTGGCCAGGGCAATCAGGCAGGAGAAAGAAATAAAGGGTATTCAATTAGGAAAAGAGGAAGTCAAATTGTCTCTGTTTGCAGATGATGTGATTGTATATTTAGAAAACCCCGTCATCTCAGCCCAAAATCTCCTTAAGCTGATAAGCAACTTCAGCAAAGTCTCAGGATACAAAATCAATGTGCAAAACTCACAAGCATTCCTATACACTAATAGCAGACAAACAGAGAGCCAAATCGTGAGTGAACTCCCATTCACAATTGCTTCAAAGAGAATAAAATACCTAGGAATCCACCTTATAAGGGATGTGAAGGACCTCTTCAAGGAGAACTACAAACCACTGCTCAAGGAAATAAAAGAGGACACAATCAAATGGAAGAACATTCCATGCTCATGGGTAGGAAGAATCAATATCATGAAAATGGCCATACTGTCCAAGGTAATTTACAGATTCAATGCCATCCCCATCAAGCTACCAATGACTTCCTTCACAGAATTAGAAAAAACTACTTTAAAGTTCATATGGAACCAAAAAAGAGCCCGCATTGCCAAGACAGTCCTAAGCCAAAAGAACAAAGCTGGAGGCATCACCCTACCTGACTTCAAACTATATTACAAGGCTACAGTAACCAAAACAGCATAGTACTATTACCAAAACAGAGATATAGACCAGTGAAACAGAAGAGAGCCCTCAGAAGTAATACCACACATCTACAACCATCAGATCTTTGACAAATCTGACAAAAACAAGAAATGGGGAAAGGATTCCCTATTTAATAAATGGTGCTGGAAAAACTGCCTAGCCATATGTAGAAAGCTGAAGCTGGATCCCTTCCTTACCCCTTATACAAAAATTAATTCAAGATGGATTAAAGACTTGCATGTTAGACCTAAAACCATAAAAACCCTAGAAGAAAACCTAGGCAATACCATTCAGGACATAGGCATGGACAAGGACTTCATGACTAAAATACCAAAAGCAATGGCAACAAAAGCCAAAATTGACAAATGAGATCTAATTAAACTAAAGAGCTTCTGAACAGCAAAAGAAACTACCATCAGAGTGAACAGGCAACCTACAGAATGGGAGAAAATTTTTGCAATCTACCCATCTGACAAAGGGCTAATATCCAGAATCTACAAAGAACTCAAACAAATTTACAAGAAAAAATCAAACAACCCCATCAAAAAGTGGGCAAAGAATATGAACAGACACTTCTCAGAAGAACACATTTATGCAGCCTACAGACACAGAAAAAATGCTCATCATCACTGGTCATCAGAGAAATGCAAATCAAAACCACAATGAGATACCATCTCACACCAGTTAGAATAGTGATCATTAAAAAGTCAGGAAACAGCAGGTGCTGGAGAGGATGTGGAGAAATAGGAACACTTTTACACTGTTGGTGGGAGTCTAAACTAGTTCAACCATTGTGGAAGACAGTGTGGTGATTCCTCAAGAATCTAGAACTAGAAATACCATTTGACCCAGCCATCCCATTACTTGGTATATGCCCAAAGGATTATAAACCATGCTACTATAAAGACACATGCACACATACGTTTATTGCGGCACTATTCCCAATAGCAAAGACTTGGAACCAACCCAAATGTCTATCAATGATAGACTGGATTAAGAAAATGTTGCACATGTACTCCATGGAATACTATGCAGCCATAAAAAAGGATGAGTTCATGTCCTTTGTAGGGACATGGATGAAGCTGGAAACCATCATTCTCGCAAAATATCGCAAGGACAGAAAACCAAACACCATATGTTCTCACTCATAGGTGGGAATTAAACAATGAGAACATTTGGACACAGGGTGGGGAACATCACACACCGGGACCTGTCATGGGGTTGGGGGAGTGGTGAGGTATAGCATTAGGAGAAATACCTAATGTAAATGACGAGTTAGTGGGTGCAGCACACCAACATGGCACATGTATACATATGTAACAAACCTGCACATTGTGCACATGTGCCCTAGAAATTAAAGTATAATAATTTAAAAAATAAAATAAAAAATGGAAATCATAACAACCATTTTCTCAGACCATATTGGAATAAAAATAGAAATAAATACCAAGATGATCTTTTCAAATCACACAATTACATGAAAATTAAACAAGTTGCTCCTATATGACTTTTGGGTAAACAACAAAAGTAAGACAGAAATTCAAAAATTCTCTGAAATAAATAAAGATGGACAGAGACACAATGAAAATCTCTGGGATACAGCAAAAGCAATGTTAAGAGGAAAGTTAATAGTGCTAAATGCCTATGTCAAAAAGTTGGAAAGATCTCAAATTACCTATCTAACAGCACACTATAAGAATAATAAAAACAAGAATGAGCTAACCCCAAAGCTAGCAGAAGAAAAGAACTAAACTCAGAGCAGTACTGAATGATTGAGATCCAAAAATCCATACAAAGAATCAATGAAACCAAAAGCAGTTTTTTTGAAAGGATCAACAAGATTGATAGACACTAGACTACATTAATAAAAAATGAAAAAAACAGGAAAAATAAGCACAACCAGAAATGACAAAAGTGACCTTACAACCAATCTCACAGAAATACAAAAAGCCCTTAGAGACTATTATGAACACCTCTATGCATACAGACTAGAAAATATGGAAGAAATGTGTAAATTCCCAGAAACACACAATCTCCCAAGATTGAATCAGGCAGAAATTGAAACCCTGAACAGACTAATATTGAGTTCCAAAATACAATCAGTAATAAAAAACCTACCAACTGAGAAAAGCCCTAGACCAAATGGGTCCATGGCCAAATTCTACCATACCTAAAAAGAAAAGCTGCTACCAATCCCACTGAAACTATTCCCAAAAAATTAAGGAGAGATTCCTTCCTAACTAATTCTACAAAGCTAGCATCACCCTGATACCAAAACCTGGCAAAGGCACAACAAAGAAAGAAAACTATAGGCCAATATCCCTGATTAACATGGATGCAAAAATCCTCAAGTAAATACCAGCAAACTGAATCCAGTAGCACTTAAAAAAGTTAGTTCACCATGATCAAGTAGGCTTCATTCCTGGGATGCAAGATTTGTGCCACACATGCAAATCAATAAATGTGATTCACCACGTAAACAGAATTAAAAGCAAAAACCACATGATATTGTTTGCATCTGTGTCCCCACCCAAATCTCTTGTAGAATTGTAATCCCCAGTATTGGAGATGGGGCCTGGTGGAAGGTGATTGGATCATGAGAGTGGATTTTCCCCTTGGTACTGCTATAGCAATATGAGAACAGACTAAGACACCTTGCACTCATTTCAATAGACACAGAAAAAACTCTCAATTAGACCAAAAATCCCTTCAGAGTAGAAACCTTAAACAAACTTGGTATCAAAGGAATATACCTCAAAATAATAAGAGTCATCTATGACAAACCCGTAGCCAACATTATACTGAAAAAGCAAAAACTGGAAGCATTCCCCTTGAGAACTGGCATAAGACAAGTATACCTACTCTCATCACACCTATTCAACATAGTTCCAAAAGTCTAAGCCAGAGCAATCAGACAAGAGAAAAAATGTAAGCCATCTAAACAGGAAAAGAAGAAGTCAAACTATCTGTCTTCTCTGATGATATGATTCTATACCTAGAAAATCCTAAAGACTCCTTCAAAAGGCTCCTGGAGCTGATAAATGACCTCAGTAAAATCTCAGGATACAAAAGCCAATATACAGAAATCTGTGGCATTTCTATACACAAATAGTATTCAAGCTGAGAACCAAATCAAGAACACAATCCCATTCACAATAGCCACAAAAAAACCCACCTAGGAATAATCTAACCAAGTAGGTGAAAGATCTCTACAAGGAGAACTAGAAAACACCGCCTGAAAGTAATCATAGATGTCATAAACAAATGGAAAAACATTCCATGCTCATGATTGGAATCAATATCATTAAAATGGCCATACCACACAAAGCAATGTACAGATTCAATGGTATTCATATTAAGCTACCAATTTAATTTTTCACAGAACTAGAAAAAACTACTCTAAACTTCATTTGGAACAACAATAACAAAAGCCTGAATTGCCAAAGCAATCCTAAGCAAAAAGAAAAAAGCCAGAGCCATCACACTACCTGACTTCAAACTACACAATAAGGCTACAGTAACCAAAACAACATGGTACTGGTACAAAAACAGACACATAGACCAATGGAACAGAATATAGAACCCAGAAATAAAGCCATACGCCTACAGCCATCTGATCTTCAACAAAGTCGACAAAAATAAGCAATGTGGAAAGGACTTCCTATTCAATAAATGGTGCTGGGATAGCTGGCTAGCCATATGCATAAGAAAGAAACATGGATTAAAGATTTAAATGTAAGACCCCAAATTAAGAATCCTGGAAGAAAACCTAGGAACCACCATTCTGGACATCAGCCTTGGGAAATAACTTATGACTAAGTCCTCCAAGGCAATTGAAACAAAAATAAAAATTGACAACTGGGACCTAAATGAACTAAAGAGCTTCTGCACAGCAAAAGAAACTAACAACAGAGTAAACAGACAACCTACAGAATGAGAGAAATATTCACAAACTGTGCATCCAACAAAGGTCTAATATACAGAATCTATAAGGAACTTAAACAATTGAACAAGCAAAAAGAAAATAACCCCATTAAGAATGGGCAAAAGACACGAACAGACACTTCTCAAAAGACAACATACAAGCAGCCAACAAACGTATGAAAAAAATGTTCAACATCACATCATCAGAGAAATGCAAATCAAAACCACATTGAGATACCATCTCACACCAGTCAGAATGGCTGCTATTAAAAGTCAAAAACTAACAGATGGTGATGCTGTGGAGAAAAGGGAAGGCTTCTACACTGTTGGTGGGAATGTAAATTAGTGCAGCCTCTGTGGAAAGCAGTTTAGAGACTTCTCAAAGAACTTAAAAAGGAACTACTGTTTGACCCAGCAACCCTATTACTTCCAAAAGAAAATAAATTTTTATACCAAAAAACCACACGCACTTGCATGTTCATCACAGAACTATTCACAATAGCAGGCATAGAATCAGCCTAGGTGTCCATCAGTGGCAGAATGTATGAAGAAAATATGGTATATATACACCATAGAGTACTACACAGCCATAAAAAGAAAGACATTGTGGCCTTTGCAGCAACATGCATAGAGCTGGAGGCCATTATCCTAAGTAGATTAACACAGGAACAGCAAACCAGATACCACATGCTGTCACTTCTTACAAGTGGGAGCTAAACACTGGGTACTCATGGACGTAAAGATGGAAACAACAGACATTGGGGAGTACTAGAGGAAGGAGGAAGGAGGCAGGGAGGCAGCAGTTGAAAAATTAACTATTGGGTACTATGCTCAGTACCTGCATGATGGGATCAATCATACCCCAAAACTCAACATCATGCCATATACCAGGGTAACAAACCTGCACATGTACTCTCTGAATCCAAAATAAAAGTTGAAATTATTAAAAAATGTATTTATGGCATATTTCTTGTAAATACCACAGTTAGGTCTTGCAGAACCCTCATGAAGTGTATAAAAATTTTTTCTATCTTGTACTATTATTAGATACCTTAGGTATCTGGCATATAAATTACATAAAGTTAACAGAGATAATCAATCTATAATACTGAACATAAAAAATATCGTGTCTATTTTTCTAAAAATAATTATATGAAGTTAATTTCTTCCTTCATCAAGATTGATACAACTGTCAGCATCTCCCTGTTTTTATGGCCCTTCTGACCCAATGGTCAAGGACAATAATAGAGACTCTTGGTTTTGAGTCACTTTTGGATGCCACTATTACAGTAGGTAGCTAGTCAGATAGGAGCTGAGCAGGATAGGGATTCCCCCCCTACCCCCACCACACACACCAGGAATGTCAGGCAGCCATCAGGTGATGGTAAGGCGGTTGTTAACTGTCTCGCTGAAATAATAATTGGTTGCAGCTGGCACCAGGGAACGGCAATCCCCTAATAAATATAAACACCTGAAACTGGTGATCAGCAGCTTCCCAAAAAGATCTCAGGAATTGGGTGAGCGGGTTCAAGCAAGCACATTAAAATGGTGGAGTTTAACTGGCATATGACCTTCCAGGGACATTCAACTGGTAAAAGAAGAATGCCTCAAGTGAGCATGTGTACAACTCCAGTAAACACACTGTGCATTCTCCCAAGTGCTAGCAGGCCACTGCCATGCGGACAGCCCACCCCAAGGGAAGAATTAGAGGAGAAGGGATGCAGGACCTTGGAAGTACACTAATGTATAAAACCTCAAGTCAAAAGGTCAAACTGGGGCCAGGTGCAGTGGCTCATGCTTGTGATCCCAGCACTTTGGGAGGCCAAGATGGGCGGATCACTTGAGGTCAGGAGTTTGAGACCAGCCTGGCCAAAGTGGCAAACCCCTGTCTCTATTAAAAATACAAAAAATTAGCTGGGTGTGTAGTTTTTATGACTAAAATTAATTGGCCAGTCCCTTCACTGGGAGCCAGGATACCCTAACTCTGGGTGCATGCCTGTAATCCCAGTTACTCAGTAGACTAAGGCAGGAGAAATGCTTGAGCCAGGAGGCAGAGGTTGCAGTGAGCTGAGATCACGCCACTGCCCTCCAGCCTGGGCGACAGAGCTAGACTCCATTTCAAAAGGAAAAAAAAAAAAAAAAGGTCAAATTAGGTCAAACTGTGCACTAGTCTTTCAAGCTGTCCACTTGGCCCTCTTCCAAGTACACTTTCATTCCTGCTCTAAAGCTTAATAAACTTTCACTCTTGTTCTAAAACTTGCCTAGAGCTCTTTCTGCCTTATGCCCCTCAAATTCATTCCTCTGAGGAGACAAGAATTGAGGTTGCTACAGACCCAAATGGATTGGCTGCCGATAACATATCTTGTTGCCATGTGACTTGGATAACTTCCACCAC
Source organism: Homo sapiens (assembly GCF_000001405.40). Classification (NCBI taxonomy): domain Eukaryota; kingdom Metazoa; phylum Chordata; class Mammalia; order Primates; family Hominidae; genus Homo; species Homo sapiens. The sequence continues at coordinate 77,538,807 of NC_000004.12, read as the reverse complement.
CAACACCACTGCTGTTGGTCTTTGCCCACACGTACAGTGGAAGGCTGCCAGGTTTGGTGAGACCTGATTATCCCCTCCCCCAGTACTGAGCTCAGATATGAGATGGGATGATTAATGCTCTCCTTGGGTATCCAGGTAGCCATTTCTACCAGTGGGTCTACCATCTCTAGTGGGCTTTGTCAGAGTGAACCTGACTATTACCCTCTTCTACCTCTAAAGCACAAAGCCCCTATCATCTTTTTCTCTTCAAATTAGCCAGCCTAATCAATTTTGCTTCTATAGTACAGAAGTGGAAGTTGAGGGTGGGTGTGGAGAAAAGGTGATGTTTTCTGATTTCTTCTTTCCTGGAAGAGTCCACAGCTGTAGGAAAAAAAAAAAAAAAAAGACAAGACATTGAATAAATCTTACAACAATTCATTGTTACACCCTCAAGATAAATAATGAGTCATTCTTCACTGATTAAAAAAAAAACCAAACCAAAACAAACAAAAAAAAACCACAACTCTTTCATGAGACTGAGCAGAAACAGAGCTCTGAGGCAGTCTCTTTTTGTGAAAGCTTCCAGAGTAGCCTATGTAGTCATGAACTGAGGCACCTTCCTGCCTCCTCTCTCATTGCAACCCAAAGACTTCTCATTGCTGAGGTAGGAAAAAGACAACTAAAATATCCAGAGGTATCTTGGTTTTAGGCACAGTGGGTTCAAGGTGTTCCATCAATTCCACTGGGACTCTGGGACTCAGTTTCTCCATCACTGATCTCTGCTTCCCTCTCTGTTGTCTGTGTTCTCAGATTCTTACTCTCTGGGGGCAGAGATGGCTCTAACTTTGGGCTTAGATTCTATAAGCTTAGAAACTGCAACAGAAAGAAAGATACCCTTTTCTGAAGCAATAGCTTCAGGACTGAAGCTCACTGGGTTGATTTGGATCAAGAGTTCATCCCTCTAGACAGAGGAGAAAATGCTTGGGTTGGCCAAATTGAATCACATGTCTACCCTAGGATCCATAGAGTGGAGTCAGACCCACAACAACTGCATGGGTTAAGAATGGAGGAAGAGTCATTATGCAAAGGAAAACTGGAGTGCTATTATCACACATGCACAAAAACCTCAAATGGATGCTGGGACATGGAACACAGTAAAACAAAACCAAACAAAATTGCTATCCATTACACACTCTGTAATAGAAAACATTTTAGAACTTAGCTAAATACTTGGAATCTTCTAACCAAGCCCATGGGGATGGATGACTGTTATCCAACACATTACTGAAGCATGCTCCTCACTATATCTTCCATTGCCCCTCCAGACCTATTCTCTGCTTTGCTCTGTACCCTGTATGGAGTTCAATAACCACTTTTGTTCTCTCTGGCTTCTTTAGGTTTCCCCAATAGGGAGCTCTGACAACAAGCTGGAGGTGTGATGGAGAGGTAGGTTGGGATATTGATTTCCCCTGGCTTGCTCCTTATGTGAATCAGCTGCATCTCTACAACTAATGCCACACACAGCTCCTCTCTGCAGTCGTGTTCATACAGCTTTCCCTCCAGGTTTAGCCAATGACTCTGTACTCTTGTACCTTCAGGTCTAGGGGTTGCAGTAGTACTCTTATAGCTGCCAGTCCCAGAGTAATAAACTATCCCTTGCAGTTTCTTTCTTTATGCCTTGCTCATGTTTTTATAAATATTCCGTTTAATAAACTCTTCATAACACAATTTGAATATGTCTTTTATTTTCTCCTTGAATGTCATTGCTACTAATAGTATTTATCTAGAGGTTGTTTATAGAACCATTGTCTTGGATTTTAATTTTTTGAATGGAAGCTGGGAAGAGAAGACCAAAGTAATAGACCTACTTCAAAGATAATATGCTCTAATAATGTCTCACTGGTTCATGAGAACTCAACAGATCACACCTCTAGTTCATAAAAAAATGAGATAGCTTTTTTTCCTTCTTACCTACTGTACTCACTCTTGAACCTTTTTCTATCCTGATAAAGTCATTCTTTTTAAAGAATTTCTAAGCATCAGAGATAGTTGAATCAGCTATTGCTATTTTTCAGAAGAAAATAAAGCCAAAAAGAAAGATATTTTGCCACTTTTCCTCTTGTTTCTTTGCCACACTTTGCACCTTGTAATCTTCTTCTAGGTGTTATAATAATGGCTAATGCTTATGGAGTATTTACTCTTACCCAGCACCATGCTAAATGTTTTATCTTTATTAACTAATTTGATCTCCACAACAAATTTATAAGGGAGGCAATATTTTTATCCCTCCTTACAGATGAGGGAAGTGAAACACAGAGAGGATAAGGGAGCTACCCAAATTTATACAGCTGGTTGGTAGCAGAGCCAGGATTTGAACCCAGGCAGACTGGCTCCAGAACCTATACTCTTAGTGATTAAACTCTGCTTCTTCTTCATGATGGAGCCACACCCAAAAGGGAAGTTAAAAGTTAACTATGCTTCGGAACACCTCATTTCACAGATTTATCTGAAAAGGATGATTAAATGATTGGTATTTATTATTTATTCCATAATGATCAAAATTTAGGCATTTCAACTTTCATGCCATCTACTTTACATCGTCAATGAAATAAGGCAGAGTGTAAACTACACTGGATATCTGCCAGTTTTGCCAGCTCCACACTCCACTCTATTTCCTGCCCCCAAAAGCTGACTTATATGGGTTACATCACTGGGCTTCCTTTCTTTCTGGATTCCAGTTGGGTTTGGCCAATGGGGAGCACCAGCAGAAGATTGAGAGAGGGAGGGGAGTGAGGTTAGGGTGTTTATTCTATCAAGTATAATCATAGTTATCTATTACTGCTCAACAAAGTATTCTAAATTTAGTGGTATAAAATAATAATTTTATTATGATCAATTCCACACCCAACTTTTGTGGGACAGGAATTCAGACAGCATAGTGAGGATGGCTTGTCTCTACAATGTTTAGAATCTTATCTGGCACTCAAATGCTGAAGGTGGCTTTACATCTGGGAGCTGAAGTTATCTAAAGGCACATTCACTTGAATGTCTATCAGCTGATCTAGTTATTTGTTGGCTGAGACTTCAGCTGAGTGGTTGGTCAAAACATCTATGGCTAGCCTCTCCATGTAGCCTCCTTACCTTGGTAAATTGGGTGAGTTTGGGCTTCCTCGTAGCATGGCAGCTGGGTTCCAATAGTGAGTATCACCAAGAAGCAGGTGGATGCACATGGAATTTTTATGCCCTATCTTTGGAAGTTGCATATGTCACTTCCAACATGTGCTATTAGCTCTGCTCAGATTCAAGGGGAGGAAACATAGTCTCCATCACTTCATGGTAAGAATGTCAAAGTTGCATTGTAAGAACAGCATGTGGGATGAGAATGATTTTGCAGTCATCTTTGGAAAATACAATGGGTCGCAAGATTGAGATTTGAGGACTAAGTTTGTATATACAAGCATGGCTCAACTGGAAAGGGTACGCCTATAAGGGAAGGAATACATTGAAGAATTTATAAAAATGTCAAGAAAGAAGTATGTCACAACTGAGGGCACCTCCAGGGCTTACAGTATAAATGAATGAATGAATGATTGAATATTGAATGCAAAACAGAGTTCCTAAAGGCCCCCAGTTCTTCCCCCAGTTTCTAAAAAAGAGATCTGAATATTTTTAAGAAACTATTAACTTGATCAAATTGTGTGTGTCTGGAAGAAGTTCCTTCTTTGTGGAAGAGGACATTGTGAGGACACTGTGAATTTGGGGATCATTTTAGCCATGAAAAAGCCATGCTTGGTGTTTCTCCTTTTGTAATTCCAGTAATCTTGCTGTAGCATGCAAAGCAGTTTTCAGGAGGGTGGAAGGCAGAATTTACTTCTTTTGTTGTAATGCCAGAAAGGTAGTTACTGCTGTTTCCATAAAGATTTTCAGAGGGTCTCTGATAAATATAAGGCCAAAACAAAGGTTCCACAAATGTGTATAGCTCAGTAAGGTCATGGAATTGTAGAAGCAAAGAGGAGGTCCTGAAGCTTCTTTATGGTCCAACCCCAACATTTTGCAGGTGTGAAGGCAGGAGATGAGAGATTAAGTGGCACACCTGAGGCCTGCACTAAATGGACTTCTGCTGTGTATCACCTGTTTGAAATTGATCCCAACACAAACACTGTTCTCAGAGGTGTATTTTAAAATTAAACTTTATTTTTAGATCATTGTAGATTCATATTCAACTGAAATAATACCCAGAAAGAGATCTGACAATTATTAAGAAAGTATTAAGAGATCTCATGTGCATTTCACTGTTTCTCCCAATGACACATAAGTGGAATCACACAATATGTAAGATGTTTAAATTGTTTATTTCACTCAGCATAATTCTCTGGAGATTTATCCAGGTTGTTGAGTATATCAATAATTTGGTCGTTTTATTTCTGGGTAGTATTTCATGTATGATGTGCCATTGTTTAGCCATTCATCAGTTAAAGAACAACTGGATTGTTTCCAGGTTTGTACTGTTACAAATGAAGCTATTAGAAACATCCATGTGCAGGTTTTTGTGTGAACATAGTGTTCATGTGGGATGAATGCCCAGGAGTGCAATTGCTAGGTCATATGGTAGTTGCATGTCTTTTGTTTTTGTTTTTAAGAAACTGCCAGGTGGAACCAAGATGGTCGAATAGGAACAACTCCAGTCTACAGCTCCCAGCATGAGCAACGCAGAAGACGGGTGATTTCTGCATTTCCAACTGAGGTACCAGGTTCATCTCACTGGGGAGTGTCGGAAAGTGGGTGCAGGACAGAGGGTGCAGTGCACCAAGCATGAGCCAAAGCAGGGCAGCACATTGCCTCACCTGGGAAGTGCAAGGGGTCAGGGAATTCCCTTTCCTAATCAAAGAAAGGGGTGACAGATGGCACTTGGAAAATTGGGTCACTCTCACCCTAATACTGCACTTTTCCAAAGGTCTTAGCAAATGGCACACCAGGAGATTATATCCCGTGCATGGCTCAGAGGGTCCTATGCCCATGGGCCCTTGCTCATGGCTAGCACAGCAGTCTGAGATCAAACTGCAAGGTGGCAGCGAGGCTGGGGGAGGGGTGCCCGCCATTGCTGAGGCTTGAGTAGGTAAACAAAGCGGCCTGGTAGCTCGAACTGAGTGGAGCCCACCACAGCTCAAGGAGGCCTGCCTACCGCTATAGACTCCACCTCTGGGGGCAGGGCACAGCCAAACAAAAGGCAGCAGAATCCTCTACAGACTTAAATGTCCCTGTCTGATAGCCTTGAAGACAGTAGTGGTTCTCCCAGCATGGAGCTGGACATCTGAGAATGGACAGACTGCCTCCTCAAGTGGGTCCCTGACCCCTGAGTAGCCTAACTGGGAGGCACCTCCCAGTAGGGGCAGACTGACACCTCACATGGCCGGGTACTCCTCTGAGACAAAACTTCCAGAGGAACGATCAGGCAGCAACATCTGCTGTTCACCAATATCTGCTGTTGTGCAGCCTCTGCTGCTGATACCCAGGCAAACAGGGTCTGGCGTAGACCTCCAGCAAACTCCAACAGACCTGCAGCTGAGGGTCCTGACTGTTAGAAGGAAAACTAACAAACACAAAGGACATCCACACCAAAACCCCATCTGTACTTCACCATCATCAAAGACCAAAGGTAGATAAAACCACAAAGATGGGGAAAAAACAGAGCAGAAAAACTGGAAACTAAAAATCAGAGCACCTCTCCTCCTCCAAAGGAACACAGCTCCTCACCAGAAATGGAGCAAAGCTGGATGGAGAATGACCATGATGATTTGAGAGAAGAAGACTTCAGACGATCAAACTACTCTGAGCTAAAGGAGGAAGTTCAAACCCATGGCAAAGAAGTTAAAAACCTAAAAAAAAATTAGATGAATGGCAAACTAGAATAATCAATGCAGAGAACTCCTTAAAGGAGCTGAAAACCAAGGCATGAGAACTACATGATGAATACACAAGCCTCAGTAGCCGACTTGATTGACTGGAAGAAAGGGTATCAGTGATGGAAGATGAAATGAGTGAAATGAAGCCAAAAGAGAAGTTCAGAGAAAAAAGAATAAAAAGAAATGAACAAAGCATCCAAGAAATATGGGACTACGTGAAAAGATCAAATCTACGTCTGATTGGTGTACCTGAAAGTGACGGGGAGAATGGAACCAAGTTGGAAAACACTCTACAGGATATTATCCAGGAGAATTTCCCCAATCTAGCAAGGCAGGCCAACATTCAAATTCAGGAAATACGGAGAACGCCACAAAGATACTCCTCGAGAACAGCAACTCCAAGATACAGAATTGTCAGATTCACCAAAGTTGAAATGAAGGAAAAAATGTTAAGGGCAGCCAGAGAGAAAGGTCAGGTTACCCACAAAGGGAAGCCCATCAGACTAACAGCTGATTTCTCGGCAGAAATTCTATAAGCCAGAAGAGAGTGGGGCCAATATTCAACATTCTTAAAGAAAAGAATTTTCAACTCAGAATTTCATCTCCAGCCAAACTAAGCTTCATAAGTGAAGGAGAAATAAAATACTTTACAGACAAGCAAATGCTGAGAGATTTTGTCACCACCAGGCCTGCCCTAAAAGAGCTACTGAAGGAAGCACTAAACATGGAAAGGAACAACTGGTACCAGCCACTGCAAAAACATGCCAAATTGTAAAGACCATTGAGGCTAGGAAGAAACTGCATCAACTAACAAGCAAAATAACCAGCTAACATCATAATGATAGCATCAAATTCACACATAACAATATTAACCTTAAATGTAAATGGGCTAAATGCTCCAATTAAAAGACACAGACTGGCAAATTGGATAAAGAGTCAAGACGCGTCAGTGTGCTGTATTCAGGAAACCCATCTCACGTACCAGAGACACACATAGGCTCAAAATAAAGGGATGGAGGAAGATCTACCAAGCAAATGGAAAACAAAAAAGGCAGGGGTTGCAATCCTAGTCTCTGGTAAAACAGACTTTAAACCAACAAAGATCAAAAGAGACAAAGAAGGCCATTACATAATGGTAAAGGGATCAATTCAACAAGAAGAGCTAACTATCCTAAATATATATTCACCCAATACAGGAGCACCCAGATTCACAAAGCAAGTCCTTAGAGACCTAGAAAGAGACTTAGACTCCCACACAATAATAATGGGAGACTTTAATACCCCACTGTCACCATTAGACAGATCAATGAGACAGAAAGTTAACAAGGATATCCAGGAATTGATCTCAGCTCTGCACCAAGTGGACCTAATAGACACCTACAGAACTCTCCATCCCAAATCAACAGAATATACATTCTTTTCAGCATCACACCACACCTATTCCAAAATTGAGCATATAGTTGGAAGTAAAGCACTCCTCAGCAAATGTAGAAGAACAGAAATTATAACAAACTGTCTCTCAGACCACAGTGCAATCAAACTAGAACCCACCAAACACCGCATGTTCTCACTCACAGGAATTGAACAATGAGAACACATGGACACAGGAAGGGGAACACTACACACCAGGGACTGTAGTGGGGTGGGGGGAGGGGGGAGGGATAGCATTAGGAGATATACCTAATGCTAAAAGATGAGTTAATGGGTGCAGCACACCAACTTGGCACATGTATACATATGTAACAAACCAGCACGTTGTGCACATGTACCCTAAAACTTAAAGTATAATAATGATAATAATAATAATAATAATAATAATAATAATAAAGAAACTCACTCAAAAACACTCAAATACATGGAAACTGAACAAATTGCTCCTGAATGACTACTGGGTACATAACGAAATGAAGGCAGAAATAAGGATGTTCTTTGAAACCAACGAGAACAAAGACACAAGATACCAGAATCTCTGGGACACATTCAAAGCAGTGTGTAGAGGGAAATTTATAGCACTAAATGCCCACAAGAGAAAGCAGGAAAGATCCAAAATTGACACCCTAACATCACAATTAAAAGAACTAGAGAAGCAAGAACAAACACATACAAAAGCTAGCAGAAGGCAAGAAATAACTAAGATCAGAGCAGAACTGAAGGAAATAGAGACACAAAAAACCCTTCAAAAAATCAATGAATCCAGGAGCTGGTTTTTTGAAAAGATCAACAAAACTGACAGACCATTAGCAATACTAATAAAGAAGAAAAGAGAGAAGAATCAAATAGATGCAATAAAAAATGTTAAAGGGGATATCACCACCAATCCCACAGAAATACAAACTACCATCAGAGAATACTATAAACACCTCTATGAAATAAACTAGAAAATCTAGACGAAATGGATAAATTCCTGAACACATACACCCTCACAAGACTAAACCAGGAAGAAATTGAATCTCTGAATAGACAATAACAGGCTCTGAAATTGATGCAATAATTAATAGCTTACCAACCAAAAAAAGTCCAGGACCAGATGGATTCACAGCCGAGTTCTACCAGAGGTACAAGGAGGAGCTGGTACCATTCCTTCCGAAACTATTCCAATCAATAGAAAAAGAGGGAATCCTCCTTAACTCATTTTATGAAGCCAGCATCATCCTGACACCAAAGCCTGGCAGAGACACAACAAAAAAAGAGAATTTTAGACCAATATCCCTGATGAACATCGATGCAAAAATCCTCAATAAAATACTGGCAAACTGAATCCAGAAGCACATCAAGAAGCTTATCCACCATGATCAAGTGGGCTTCATTCCTGGGATGCAAGGCTGGTTCAACATATGCAAATCAATAAACGTAATCCAGCATATAAAAAGAACCAATGACAAAAACCATATGATTATCTCAATAGATGCAAGAAAGGCCTTTGACAAAATTCAACAACGCTTCATGCTAAAAACTCTCAATAAATTAGGTATTGATGGAGCGTATCTCAAAATAATGAGAGCTATTTATGACAAACTCACAACCAATATCATACTGAATGGGTGAAAACTAGAACCATTCCCTTTGAAAACTGGCACAAGACAGGGATGCCCTCTCTCACCACTCCTATTCAACATAGTGTTGGAAGTTCTGGCCAGGGCAATCAGGCAGGAGAAGGAAATAAAGGGTATTCAATTAGGAAAAGAGGAAGTCACATTGTCCCTGTTTGCAGATGACATGATTCTATATCTAGAAAACCCCATCGTCGCTGCCCAAAATCTCCTTAAGCCGATAGGCAACTTCAGCAAAGTCTCAGGATACAAAATCAATGTGCAAAAATCACAAGCATTCTTATACACCAATAACAGACAGAGAGCCAAATCATGAGGGAACTCCCATTCACAATTGCTTCAAAGAGAATAAAATACCTAGCAATCCAACTTACAAGGGATGTGAAGGACCTCTTCAAGGAGAACTACAAACCACTGCTCAAGGAAATAAAAGAGGATACAAACAAATGGAAGAATATTCCATGCTCATGGGTAGGAAGAACCAATATTGTGAAAATGGCCATTCTGCCCAAGGTAATTTATAGATTCAATGCCATCCCCATCAAGCTACCAATGACTTTCTTCACAGAATTAGAAAAATCTACTTTAAAGTTCATATGGAACCAAAAAAGAGCCTGCATTGCCAAGTCAATCCTAAGCCAAAAGAACAAAGCTGGAGGCATCACGCTACCTGACCTCAAACTATGCTACAAGGCTACAGTAACCAAAACAGCATGGTACTATTACCAAAACAGAGATATAGACCAATGGAATAGAACAGAGCCCTCAGAAATAATACCACATATCTACAACCATCTGATCTTTGACAAACCTGACAAAAACAAGAAATGAGGAAAGGATTCCCTATTTAATAAATGGTGCTGGGAAAACTGGCTAGCCATATGTAGAAAGCTGAAACTGGATCCCTTCCTTACACCTTATACAAAAATTAATTCAAGATGGATTAAAGACTTAAATGTTAGACCTGAAACCATTTAAACCCTAGAAGAAAACCTAGGCAATACCATTTAGGACATAGGCATGGGCAAGGACTTCATGTCTAAAACACCAAAAGCAATGGCAACAAAAGCCAAAATTGACAAATGGGATCTAATTAAACTGAAGAGCTTCTGCACAGCAAAGGAAACTACCATTAGAGTGAACAGGCAACCTACAGAATGGGAGAACATTTTTGCAATCTACTCATCTGACAAAGGGCTAACATCCAGAATCTACAATGAACTCCAACAAATTTACAAGAAAAAAACAAACAGGCCCATCAAAAAGTGGGCGAAGGATGTGAACAGACACTTCTCAAAAGAAGACATTTATGCAGCCAAAAGCCACATGAAAAAATGCTCATCATCAGTGGCCATCAGAGAAATGCAAATCAAAACCACAATGAGATACCATCTCACACCACTTAGAATGGCAATCATTAAAAAGTCAGGAAACAACAGGTGCTGGAGAAGATGTGGAGAAATAGGAACACTTTTACACTGTTGGTGGGATTGTAAACTAGTTCAACCATTGTGGAAGTCAGTGTGGTGATTCCTCAGGGATCTAGAACTAGAAATACCATTTGACCCAGCAATCCCATTACTGGATATATACCCAAGGGTTATAAATCATGCTGCTATAAAGACACATGCACACATATGTTTATTGCGGCACTATTCACAATAGCAAAGACTTGGAACAAACCAAATGTCCAACAATGATAGACTGGATTAAGAAAATGTGGCACATATACACCATGGAATACTATGCAGCCATGAAAAAGGATGAGTTCATGTTCTTTATAGGGACATGGATGAAGCTGGAAACCTTCATTCTCAGCAAACTATCGCAAGGACAAAAAACCAAACACCGCATGTTCTCATTCATAGGTGGGAATTGAACAATGAGAACACATGGACACAGGAAGGGGAACATCACACACCAGGGCCTGTTGTGGGGTGGGGGGATAGGGGAGGGATAGCATTAGGAGATATACCTAATGTTAAATGACGAGTTGATGGGTACAACACACCAACATGGCACATGTATACATATGTAACTAACCTGCACGTTATGCACATTACCATAAAACTTAAAGTATAAAAATAAAATAAAAAATAATAAAAAAAGAAACTGCCAAACTGTTGCAAGTTTGAAGGTGGCTTTACAAAATCTGGGAGCTGGAGTTATCTAAAGCACGTTCACTTGAATGTCATTCATTCAAGTGTCTATCATTTCTTTTCTTTCTTTCTTTTTTTTTTATCTGAGACTGTGTCTCACTCTGTCACCCAGGCTAGAGAGCAGTGGCATGATCTTGGTTCACTGCAACCTCCACCTCTCAGGCTTAAGTGATCCTCCCACCTCAGCCTCCCAAGTAGCTGGGATCACAGGCACAAACCAACACACATGGTTAATTTTTGTATTTTCTGTAGAGATGGGGTTTCACCATGTTGCCCAGGCTGGTCTTGAATTCTTGAGCTCAATTAATCCACCCGCCTCAGCCTCCCAAAATGCTGGGAAACAGGCATGAGTCACTGTGCCCAGTTGCATGTTTAAGAAACTGCAAAACTGTTTTCCAGAGTGGCTGTATCATTTTACATCCCCATCAGTAATGTATGAGTTGTTTAGTTTCTCAGCATTCCCACAGCACTTAGTGTCATCAGCATTTTTTAATTTAAGCTGTTCCAATCGGTGTACAGTGCTACATTTTGTGGTTTTATTTTGAACTTTCCGAATGATTAATGGTGTTGGGCATCTTTTCATGTGATTATTTGCCATCTGTAGGTCTTCTTCGGTGAAATGTCAGTGATATATTTTGAAATGTTTAATATGAGCATTGTCTATTTTCCCACTCTCTCACCCACACTTGAGGTCTTGTTTACCAAAGTTCTAGTCCCTGATTTTCACAAAGGGAAACCAAATTGCCTACCATGTTCCAGCCCCGCTTGCCTTCTATCAGTGCTTGAGCCTGTCCAACTCTTCTTGTTTAACCAGGAAGAAGAGTGGCCCTGTGACCAATCTGCTTGGCTGTTCAAGTGGCTGGCCCTTCTTGGCTTTGGGTCTCAGCTCAAAGGCCTCTTCTTCACGAAAGGCTCCCTGGCCTCCCTAAGCCAGTCCTGTGTGTTCCTCTTTGATGGCTCTGTTTTCCCTTCCCTCATGTTTAGCCTAGTCTACAATTTTACTTATCTGCTTGCTTGTCACTGTCTTTGCTTACACCATAGTGTGGAAGCTCCATGAGGCCAGGGACCTTGTTTCTTTCCTCACTTGAAGCCCTGGCCCCTGGGCTAAGAGCCAATTATGTAATAAATGCTCAGATTTGGTGAGTTAAGAAGTATATTTCAGGGTTGCTTCATGTAGATTTGAAATTACCATGGACTTTTCCCCCTTTGAGTGTGTTTTCCATCATTTGCCTTTTAATATTATCTAGTATTGTTATTATCACCCTCCCTGGGATTAAACTAAGACATACATCATATTTTACAATGTGAAGCACTCTGTAGTATGAAGGTTTTATTTATATAATGAGTTGGCATTCAACCTTTAAGCATATTAGATGAATGTTTCACATTTAAAATTTTAAATTTAATATATTAATTTATGTTATCTCTTTTATTTTCTGTTACTATAACAGAATACCTGAGACTAGGATATTGTTTATTTAATATTTGCCATGAAACAAACCTCTTGTTTATTTGATTAACCAAAAAATAAAATAAGCTGCCTAGGAACAATTTTATGATCCAAAGATATACCAACTTTGTTTTAAGGCTGTGGTAGTTAATACAACATCTTTCTGCTACCTTCTGCAGTCTTCTCTGTGGACCACAGTGATACCTCTAGAAACCTGTTAGCTAACACAGGAGTTTTTTTAAATGCTTTTTCATTGTTTCTTTAGCTGCTCATTGTTTGTCATGTTGTGGCCTGCAGTAGTAGCATTTAAGATTTAAAAATGAAGGCAAAAATAATAAAAAAAAAACAAACCCACAATTTAAAAAAAGCCTACCTTTGCCTAAAAGTTTAGAGGAAAATTTTCATTTCCCCACCCATCTGCTGAATTGATGGAATTCACACCATCATGGCCATGACCATTTAAAAGAACCCCAGGTGTGCTTGCAGCATAGTTTCTGTGACCATGAGTGTTATTTTGGTAGTGCATAATCCTTATGTCATGTTTGCCTTGGACAAATAAAAATCAAGAGGTTTAACTTAGTCATTCTAACAAAAGGCAACATGTACATGTTAATTCCTTCAATTCTGTGTTCACTTTTCTTAAAAAAAAAAGACTCAACTGTGTCATATGTTCTACAGCTAAACATTCACGCATTTTGCTGACCAGCCATGAGAGCTAATAGACAGTATTAATCAAGATTCATAGAAAAATACTAACAACACTTCCACCCACACAAGTATACCTAACATGCTGTTTAAAAACAAAATCCTTTACCCATCCACTCTCACCTGCATTGATTTTAGGAGAAAAGGAAAAAAGAAAGAAATCTTACCACCCTAAAATCAAGAAAACCCCCCAAATGAGAAAAATCTTCCTTTGAAGAAAGCTAAACAGACTTCTGGAAACATAAAGAATTATTATAGAGCTGGTTATTTGAAGAAAATAAACACTTTGTTACACACATCAACAGTCAGTCGGTGTGCTCTGAGACAGAGAGACTGAGTAATTTTTAATGAACGGAAATTTAGCTCACTGTTCTGGAGGCTGGGAAGTCCAAGAACATGTGGCCAGCATCAGAGAAAAGCCTTTGTGCTGCATCATCCTATAATGGAAGGCAGAAGAGAGCACATGGGGGAGAGAGTGCTGCTCTAGAGATAACTGACCCACTCCTGTGATAACTACACTAATCCATTCACCACTTATTAGGCCTCACCACCCAACACTGTTGCATTGGGGATTAAGCTTCCAACATGTGAATTTTGTCATATACATTCAAACCATAGCATAATCTGATGCATGGTCTAATTTTGTAAAGTAAAAATATTTGTGTATGATTGAGGTATATAAGAATATACACTAAAGTGGTGCTCTGTTCCAAGATGGCTGAATAGGAACAGCTCCAGTCTGCAGCTCCCAGCACTATCAATGCAGAAGACAGGGGACTTCTGCATTTCCAACTGAGGTACCTGGTTCATCTCACTGGGACTGGTTGGACAGTGGATGCAGCCCACAGAGGGTGAGCTGAAGCAGGGTGGGACATAGCCTCACCCGGGAAGTGCAAGGGGACAGGGGATTTCCCTTTCCTAGCCAAGGGAAGCTGCAACAGACTGTACCTGGAATAACAGGACACTCCAGCCCAAATACTGAACTTTTCCCGAGGTCTTAGCCACCGGCAGACAAGAAGATTCTCTCCCATGCCTGGCTTGGCAGGTCCCATGCCCATGGAGAAAGTGCAACAGCCTGAGATCGAACTGTGAGGTGGCAGCCTGGCTGGGAGAGGGGCATCTGCCATTGCTGAGGCTTGAGTAGGTAAACAAAGTGGCTGGGAAGCTCGACCTGGGTGGAGCCCACCACAGCTCAGCAAGGCCTACTGCCTCTATAGACTCCACCTCTGTAGGCAGGGGATAGCTGAACAAAAGGCAGCAGAAACTTCTGCAGACTTAAACATCCTGGTCTGCCTTCTCTGAAGAGAGAAGGGGTTCTCCCAGCATGGCATTTGAGCTCTGAGAATGGACAGACTACCTCCTCAAGTGGGTCCCTGAACCCCATGTAGCCTAACTGGGAGACATCTCCCAGTAGGAGCCAACTGACACCTCATATAGGCAGGTGCCCCTCTGGGATAAAGCTTCCAGAGGAAGGATCAGGCAGCAATATTTGCTGTTCTGCAATATTTGCTGTTCTGCAGCCTCCACTGGAGATACCCAGGAAAACAGGGTCTGGAGTGGACCTCCAGCAAACTCCAACAGATCTGCAGCTGAGGGACCTGACTGTTAGAAGGAAAACTAACAAACAGAAAGGAATAGCATCAACATCAACAAAAGGACATCTACACCAAAACCCCATCTGTAGGTCACCAACATCAAAGACCAAGGTAGGTAAAGCCACAAAGATGGGGAGAAACCAGAGCAGAAAAGCTGAAAATTCTAAAAACCAGAGGACCTCTTCTCCTCCAAAGGTTTGCAGGTCCTTGCCAGCAATGGAACAAAGCTGGACAGAGAATGACTTTGATGAGTTGACAGAAGTAGGCTTCAGAAATCGGTAATAACAAACTTCTCCAAGCTAAAGGAGCATGTTCTAACCCATCACAAGGAAGCTGAAAACCGTGAAAAAAGTTAGACAAATGGCTAAGTAGAATAAACAGTGTAGAGAAGACATTAAATGACCTGATGGAGCTGAAAACCATGGCACGAGAACTTCGTGATGCATGCACAAGCTTCAGTAGCTGATTTGATCAAGTGGAAGAAAGAGTATCAGTCACTGAAGATCAAATTAATGAAATAAAGTGAGAAGACAAGGTTAGAGAAAAAAAGAGTAAAAAGAAATGAACGAAGCCTCCAAGAAATATGCGACTCTATGAAAAGACCAAATCTACATTTGATTGGTGTACCTGAAAGTGATCGGGAGAATGGAACCAAGTTGGAAAACACTCTTCAGGATATTATCCAGGAGAACTTCCCCAACATAGCAAGGCAGGCCAACATTCAAATTCCTGAAATACAGACAACACCACAAAGATATTCCTTGAGAAAAGCAACCCCAAGACAAATAATTGTCAGATTCACCAAGGTTGAAATGATGGAAAAAATGTTAAGGGCAGCCAGAGAGAAAGGTCGGGTTACCCACAAAGGGAAGCCCATCAGACTAACAGTTGATCTCTCAGCAGAAACTCTACAAGCCAGAAGAGAGTGGGGGCCAATATTCAACATTCTTAAAGAAAAGAATTTTCAACCTAGAATTTAATATCCAGCCAAACTAAGATTCATAAGCAAAGGAGAAATAAAATCCTTTACAGATAAGCAAATGCTGAGAGATTTTGTCACCACCAGGCCTGCCTTACAAGAGTTCCTGAAGGAAGCACTAAACATGTAAAGAAACAACTGGTAGAAGCCACTGCAAATCATGCCAAATAGTAAAGACCATCGATGCTATGAAGAAATTGTATCAATAAACGGGCAAAATAGCCAGCTAACATCATAATGACAGGATCAAATTCACACATAACAATATTAACCTTAAATCTAAATGGGCTAAATGCCCCAATTAAAACACACAAACTGATAAATTGGATAAAGAAACAAGACCCATTAGTGTGCTGTATTCAGCAGACCCATCTCACATGCAGAGACACACATAAGCTCAAAAATAAAGGATTGGAGGAAGATCTAGCAAGCAAATGGAAAGCAAAAAAAAAAAAAAAAAAAAAAAAAAAAAAGCAGGGGTTGCAGTCCTAGTCTCTGATAAAACAGACTTTAAACAAATAAAGAGCAAAAGAGACAAAGAAGGCCATTACATAATGGATAAGGGATCAATTCAACAAGAAGAGCTAAATATCCCAAATATATATATGCACCCAATACAGGAGCACCCAGATTCATAAAGCAAGTCCTTAGAGACCTACAAAGAGACTTAGACTCCCACAAAATAATGATGGAAGACTTTAACACCCCACTGTC
Source organism: Homo sapiens (assembly GCF_000001405.40). NCBI lineage: Eukaryota > Metazoa > Chordata > Mammalia > Primates > Hominidae > Homo > Homo sapiens. Next base: position 77,522,273 of record NC_000004.12, on the reverse strand, counting down.
AATATTAGACAGATATCCAGGAATTGAACTCGGCTCTGCACCAAGCAGACCTAATAGACATCTACAGAACTCTCCACCCCAAATCAACAGAAAACACTTTCTTCTCAGCACCACATTGCCCTTATACCAAAATTGACCACATAGTTGGAAGTAAAGCACTCCTCAGCAAATGTGAAAGAACAGAAATCACAACAAACCATCTCTCAGACCACAGTGCAATCAAATTAGAACTCAGGATTAAGAAATTCACTCAAAACTGCACAACTACATGGAAACTGAACAACCTGTTCCTGAATGACTACTGGGTAAATAACAAAATGAAGGCAGAAATAAAGATGTTCTTTGAAACCATAAGAACAAAGACAAAATGTACCAGAATCTCTGGGACACATTTAAAGCAGTGTGTAGAGGAAAATTTATAGCACTAAATGCCCACAAGAGAAAGCTGGAAAGATCTAAAATTGACATCCTAACATCACAATTAAAAAAACTAGAGAAGCAAGAGCAAACAAATTCAAAAGCTAGCAGAAGGCAAGAAATAACTAAGATCAGAGAAGAATTGAAAGAGAGACAAAAATACCCTTCAAAAAATCAATGAATCCAGGAGCTGTTTTTTTTAAAAGATCAACAAAATTGAGAAACCACTAGCAAGACTAATAAAGAGAAAAGAAAGAAGAAACAAATAGACACAATAAAAAATGATAAAGGGGATATCACCACCGATCCCACAGAAATACAAACTACCATCAGAGAATACTATAAACACCTCTACACAAATAAACCAGAAAACTTAGAAGAAATGGATAAATTCCTGGACACATACACCCTCCCAAGACTAAACCAGGAAGAAGTTGAATCTCTGAATAGACCAATAACAGTCTCTGAAATTGAGGCAATAATTAATAGCCTACCAACCAAAAAAAGTCCAGGACCAGATGGATTCACAGCTGAATTCTACCAGAGGTACAAAGAGGAGCTGGTACCATTCCTTCTGGAATCATTACAATCAATAGAAAAAGAGGGAGTCCTCCCTAACTCATTTATGAGGCCAGCATCATCCTGATACCAAAGCCTGGCAGAGACACAACAAAAAAAGAGAATTTTAGTCCAATATCCCTGATGAACACCCGTGTGAAAATCCTCAATAAAATACTGGCAAACCAAATCCAGCAGCACATCAAAAATCTTACCCAACACGATCAAGTTGGCTTCATCCCTGGGATGCAAGGCTGGTTCAACATACGCAAATCAATAAACATAATCCATCACATACACAGAACCAGTGACAAAAAACCACATGATTATCTCAATGGATGCAGAAAAGGCCTTCAAGAAAATTCGACAGCACTTTTTCTTAAAAACTCTCAATAAACTAGATATTGATGGAACACATCTCAAAATAATAAGAGCTATTTATGACAAACTCACAACCAATATCATACTGAATGGGCAAAAACTGGAAGCATTCTCTTTGAAAACTGGCACAAGACAGAGATGCCCTCTCTCACCACTCCTATTCAACATAATGTTGGAAGTTCTGGCCAGGACAATCAGGCAAGAGAAAGAAATAAAGTGTATTCAATTAGGAAAAGAGGAAGTCACATTGTCCCTGTTTGAGGATGATATGATTGTATATTTAGAAAACCCCATTGTCTCAGCCCAAAATCTCCTTAAGCTGATAAGCAACTTCAGCAAAGTCTCAGGATACAAAATCAATGTGCAAAAATCACAAGCATTTCTATACACCAATAGCAGACAAACAGAGAGCCAAATGATGAGTGAACTCCCATTCACAATTGCTGCAAAAAGAATACAGTACCTAGGAATCCAACTTACAAGGGATGTGAAGGACCTCTTCAAGGAGAACTACAAACCACTGCTCAAGGAAATAAAAGAGGACACAAACAAATGGAAGAACATTCCATGCTCATGGGTAGGAAGAATCAATATCTTGAAAATGGTCATATTGCCCAAGGTAATTTATAGGTTCAATGCCATCCCCATCAAGCTACCAATGACTTTCTTCACAGAATTGGAAAAAACTACTTTAAAGTTCATATGGAACCAAAAAAGAGCCCGCATTGCCAAGACAATCCTAAGCCAAAAGAATGAAGCTGGAGGCATCACGCTACCTGACCTCAAACTATACTACAAGGCTACAGTATCCAAAACAGCATGGTACTGGTACCAAAACAGAGATATAGACCAATGGAACAGAACAGAGCCCTCAGAAATAACACCACACATCTACAACCATCTGATCTTTGACAAACCTGACAAAAACAAGAAATGGAGAAAGCATTCCCTATTTAATAAATGGTGCTGGGAAAACTGGCTAGCCATATGTAGAAAGCTGAAACTGGATCCCTTCCTTACACCTTATACGAAAATTAATTCAAGATGGATTAAAGACTTAAATGTTAGACCTAAAATCATAAAAATCCTAGAAGAAAACCTAGGCAATACCATTCAGGACATAGGCATGGGCAAGGACTTGATGTCTAAAACACCAAAAGCAATGACAACAAAAGCCAAAATTGACAAATGAGATCTAATTAAACTAAAGATCTTCTGCACAGCAAAAGAAACTACCATCACAGTGAACAGGCAACCTACAGAATGGGAGAAAACTTTTGCAATTGACCCATCTGACAAAGGGCTAATATCCAGAATCTACAAAGAACTCAAACAAATTCATGAGAAAAAAACAACCCCATCAAAAAGTAGGCAAAGGATATGAACAGACACTTCTCAAAAGAGGACATTTATGCAGCCAACAGACACATGAAAAAATGCTCATCATCACTGGTCATCAGAGAAATGCACATCAAACCACAATGAGATACCATCTCATGGGGGAGGAGCCAAGATGGCCGAATAGGAACAGCTCCGGTCTACAGCTCCCAGCGTGAGTGACGCAGAAGACGGGTGATTTCTGCATTTCCATCTGAGCTTTGAAGAGAACAGTGGTTCTCCCAGCACGCAGCTGGAGATCTGAGAACGGGCAGACTGCCTCAAGTGGGTCCCTGACCCCTGACCCCTGAGCAGCCTAACTGGGAGGCATCCCCCAGTAGGGGCAGACTGACACCTCACATGGCCAGGTACTCCTCTGAGACAAAACTTCCAGAGGAACGATCAGACAGCAGCATTCACGGTTCACAAAAAACCACTGCTCTGCAGACACCGCTGCTGATACCCAGGCAAACAGGATCTGGAGTGGACCTCTAGCAAACTCCAACAGACTTGCAGCTGAGGGTCCTCTCTGTTAGAAGGAAAACTAACAAACAGAAAGGACATCCACACCAAAAACCTATCTGTACATCACCATCATCAAAGTCCAAAACTAGATAAAACCACAAAGATGGGGAAAAAACAGAGCAGAAACACTGGAAACTCTAAAAAGCAGAGCACCTCTCCTTCTCCAAAGGATCGCAGTTCCTCACCAGCAATGGAACAAAGCTGGATGGAGAATGACTTTGAAGAGTTGAGAGAAGAAGGCTTCAGACAATCAAACTATGAGCTACAGGAGGAAATTCAAACCAAAGGCAAAGAAGTTAAAAACTTAGAAAAAAATTTAGACGAATGTATAACTAGAATAACCAATATAGAGAAGTGCTTAAAGGAGCTGATGAAGCTGAAAGCCAAGGCTCGAGAACGACGTGAAGAATGCAGAAGCCTCAGGAGCTGATGCGATCAACTGGAAGAAAGGGTATCAGCAATGGAAGATGAAATGAATGAAATGAAGCAAGAAGGGAAGTTTAGAGAAAAAAGAATAAAAAGAAATGAACAAAGCCTCCAAGAAATATGGGACTATGTGAAAAGACCAAATCTACATCTCATTGGTGTACCTGAAAGTGACAGGGAGAATGGAACCAAGTTGGAAAACACTCTGCAGGATATTATCCAGGAGAACTTCCCCAATCTAGCAAGGCAGGCCAACATTCAGATTAGGGAAATACAGAGAACGCCACAAAGATACTCCTCCAGAACAGCAACTCCAAGACACAGAATTGTCAGATTTACCAAAGTTGAAATGAAGGAAAAAATGTTAAGGGCAGCCAGAGAGAAAGGTCGGGTTACCCACAAAGGGAAGCCCATCAGACTAACAGCGGATCTCTCAGCAGAAACTCTACAAGCCAGAAGAGAGTGGGGGCCAATATTCACCATTCTTAAAGAAAAGAATTTTCAACCCAGAATTTCATCTCCAGCCAAACTAAGCTTCATAAATGAAGGAGAAATAAAATCCTTTACAGACAAGCAAATGTCACCACCAGGCCTGCCCTTAAAGAGCTCCTGAAGGAAGCACTAAACGTGGAAAGGAACAACCGGTACCAGCCGCTGCAAAATCATGCCAAAATGTAAAGACCATTGAGACTAAAAAGAAACTGCATCAACTGACGAGCAAAATAACCAGCTGACATCATAATGACTGGTTCAAATTCACACATAACAATATTAACTTTAAATGTAAATGGACTCAATGCTCCAATTAAAAGACACAGACTGGCAAATTGGATAAAGAGTCAAGACCCATCAGTGTGTTGTATTCGGGAAACCCATCTCACATGCAGAGACACACATAGGCTCAAAATAAAGGGATGGAGGAAGATCTACCAAGCAAATGGAAAACAAAAAAAGGCAGGGGCTGCAATCCTAGTCTCTGGTAAAACAGACTTTAAACCAACAAAGATCAAAAGAGACAAAGAAGGCCATTACATAGTGGTAAAGGGATCAATTCAACAAGAAGAACTAACTATCCTAAATATATATGCACCCAATACAGGAGCACCCAGATTCATAAAGCAAGCCCTGAGTGACCTACAAAGAGACTTAGACTCCCACACATTAATAATGGGAGACTTTAACACCCCACTGTCAACATTAGACAGATCAATGAGACAGAAAGTCAACAAGGATACCCAGGAATTGAACTCAGCTCTGCACCAAGTGGACCTAACAGACATCTACAGAACTCTCCACCTCAAATCAACAGAATATACATTTTTTTCAGCACCACACCACACCTATTCCAAAATTGACCACATAGTTGGAAGTAAAGCTCTCCTCAGCAAATGTAAAAGAACAGACATTATAACAAACTATCTCTCAGACCACAGTGCAATCAAACTAGAACTCAGGATTAAGAAACTCACTCAAAACCACTCAACTATATGGAAAATGAACAACCTGCTCCTGAATGACTACTGGGTACATAACAAAATGAAGGCAGAAATAAAGATGTTCTTTGAAACCAACGAGAACAAAGACACAAGATACCAGAATCTCTGGGACACATTCAAAGCAGTGTGTAGAGGGAAATTTATAGCACTAAATGCCCACAAGAGAAAGCAGGAAAGATCCAAAATTGACACCCTAACATCAAATTAAAAGAAGTAGAAAAGCAAGTGCAAACACATTCAAAAGCTAGCAGAAGGTAAGAAATAACTAAGATCAGAGCAGAACTGAAGGAAATAGAGACACAAAAACCCTTCAAAAAATTAATGAATCCAGGAGCTGGTTTTTTGAATGGATCAACAAAATTGATAGACCACTAGCTAGACTAATAAAGAAAAAAAAGAGAGAAGAATCAAATAGACACAATAAAAAATGATAAAGGGGATATCACCACTGATCCCACAGAAATACAAACTACCATCAGAGAATACTACAAACACCTCTATGCAAATAAACTAGAAAATCTAGAAGAAATGGATAAATTCCTCCACACATACACTCTCCCAAGACTAAACCAGGAAGAAGTTGAATCTCTGAATAGACCAATAACAGGAGCTGAAATTGTGGCAATAATCAATAGCTTACCCACTAAAAGGAGTCCAGGACCAGATGGATTCACAGCCGAATTCTACCAGAGGTACAAGGAGGAACTGGTACCATTCCTTCTGAAACTATTCCAATCAATAGAAAAAGAGGGAATCCTCCCTAACTCATTTATGAGGCCAGCATCATCCTGACACCAAAGCCGGGCAGAGACACAACCAAAAAAGAGAATTTTAGACCAATATCCTTGATGAACATTGATGCAAAAATCCTCAATAAAAAACTGGCAAACTGAATCCAGCAGCACATCAAAAAGCTTATCCACCATGATCAAGTGGGCTTCATCTCTGGGATGCAAGTCTGGTTCGATATATGCAAATCAATAAATGTAATCCAGCATATAAACAGAACCAAAGACGAAAACCACATGATTATCTCAATAGATGCAGAAAAGGCCTTTGACAAAATTCAACAGCACTTCACGCTAAAAACTCTCAATAAATTAGGTACTCAAGGGACATATCTCAAAACAATAAGAGCTATCTATGACAAACCCACAGTCAATATCATACTGAATGTGCAAAAACTGGAAGCATTCCCTTTGAAAACTGGTGCAAGACAGAGATGCCCTCTCTCACCACTCCCATTCAACATAGTGTTGGAAGTTCTGGCCAGGGCAATTAGTCAGGAGAAGGAAATAAAGGGTATTCAGTTAGGAAAAGAGGAAGTCAAATTGTCCCTGTTGGCAGATGACATGATGGTATATCTAGAAAATCCCAATGTCTCAGCCCAAAATCTTCTTAAGCTGATAAGCAACTTCAGCAAAGTCTCAGGATACAAAATCAATGTGCAAAAATCACAAGCATTCTTATACACCAATAACAGACAAACAGAGAGCCAAATCATGAGTGAACTCCCATTCACAATTGCTTCAAAGAGAATAAAATACCTAGGAATCCACCTTATAAGGGATGTGAAGGACCTCCTCAAGGAGAACTACAAACCACTGCTCAATGAAATAAAAGAGGATACAAACAAATGAAAGAACCTTCCATGCTCATGGGTAGGAAGAATCAATATCGTGAAAATGGCCATACTGCCCAAGGTAATTTATAGATTCAATGCCATCCCCATCAAGCTACCAATGACTTTCTTCACAGAATTGGAAAAAACTACTTTAAAGTTCATATGGAACCAAAAAAGAGCCCACATCGCCATGTCAATCCTAAGCCAAAAGAACAAAGCTGGAGGCATCACGCTACCTGACTTCAAACTATACTACAAGGCTACAGTAACCAAAACAGCATGGCACTGGTACTAAAACAGAGATATAGATCAATGGAACAGAACAGAGCCCTCAGAAATAACTCCGCATATCTACAACCATCTGATCTTTGACAAACCTGACAAAAACAAGCAATGGGGAAAGGATTCCCTATTTAATAAATGGTGCTGGGAAAACTGGCTAGCCATATGTAGAAAGCTGAAACTGGATCCCTTCCTTACACCTTATACAAAAATCAATTCAAGATGGATTAAAGACTTAAACGTTAGACCTAAAACCATAAAAATCCTAGAAGAAAACCTAGACATTACCATTCAGGACATAGGCACGGGTAAGGACTTCATGTCTAAAACACCAAAAGCAATGGCAACAAAAGCCAAAATTGACAAATGGGATCTAATTAAACTAAAGAGCTTCTGCACAGCAAAAGAAACTACCATCAGAGTGAACAGGCATCCCACAAAATGGGAGAAAATTTTCGCAACTTACTCATCTGACAAAGGGCTAATATCCAGAATCTACAATGAACTCAAACAAATTTACAAGAAAAAAACAAACAACCCCATCAAAAAGTGGGCGAAGGACATGAACAGACACTTCTCAAAAGAAGACATTTATGCAGCCAAAAAACACATGAAAAAATGCTCACCATCACTGGCCATCAGAGAAATGCAAATCAAAACCACAATGAGATATCATCTCACACCAGTTAGAATGGCAATCATTAAAAAGTCAGGAAACAACAGGTGCTGGAGAGGATGTGGAGAAATAGGAACACTTTTACACTGTTGGTGGGACTGTAAACTAGTTCAACCATTGTGGAAGTCAGTGTGGTGATTCCTCAGGGATCTAGAACTAGAAATACCATTTGACCCAGCCATCCCATTACTGGGTATATACCCAAAGGACTATAAATCATGCTGCTATAAAGACACATGCACACATATGTTTATTGCAGCACTATTCACAATAGCAAAGACTTGGAACCAACCCAAATGTCCAACAATGACAGACTGGATTAAGAAAATGTGGCACATATACACCATGGAATACTATGCAGCCATAAAAAATGATGAGTTCATGTCCTTTGTAGGGACATGGATGAAATTGGAAATCATCATTCTCAGTAAACTATTGCAAGAACAAAAAACCAAACACCACATATTCTCGCTCATAGGTGGGAATTGAACAATGAGAACACATGGACACAGGAAGGGGAACATCACACTCTGGGGACTGTTGTGGGGTGGGGGTAGTGGGGAGCGATAGCACTGGGAGATATACCTAATGCTAGATGACGAGTTAGTGGTTGCAGCACACCAGTATGTCACATGTATACATATGTAACTAACCTGCACATTGTGCACATGTACCCTAAAACTTAAAGTATAAAAAAAAAAAAAAAAGAGATACCATCTCACACCAGTTAGAATGGAAATAGTTAAAAAGTCAGGAAACAGGCCAGGTGTGGTGGCTCATGCCTGTAATCCCAGCATTTTGGGAGGCTGAGTTGGGTGGATCACAAGGTCAGGAGATGGAGGCCATCCTGGCTAACATGGTAAAACCCCGACTCTACTAAAAAGACAATAAAATTAGCTTGGCCTGGTGGTGGGCACCTGTAGTCCCAGCTACTCAGGAGGCTGAGGCAGGAGAATCCTGTGAACCCAGGAGGCGGAGCTTGGAGTGGGCTGAGATTGTGCCACTGCACTCCAGCCTGGGCAATAGAGTGAGACTCCGTCTCAAAAAAAAAAAAAAGTCAGGAAACAACAGATGCTGGAGAGGATGTGGAGAAATAGGAATGCTTTTACACTGTTGGTGGGAGTGTAAATTAGTTCAACCATTGTGGAAGACAGTGTGGCAATTCCTCAAGAATCTAGAACTAGAAATACCATTAGACCCAGCGATCCCATCACTGGGTATATGCCCAAAGGATTATAAATCAGGCTACTATAAAGACACATGCTTTATTGTGGCACTGTTCACAATAGCAAAGACTTGGAACCGACCCAAATGTCCATCAGTGATAGACTGAATTAAGAAAATGTGGCACATATACACCATGGAATACCATGGTGTATATGGAATAGCCATAAAAAAGGATGAGTTCATGTCCTTTTCAGGGACATGGGTGAAGGTGGAAACCATCATTCTCAGCAAACTATCACGAGGACAGAAAACCAAACACCACATGTTCTCACTCATAGGTGGGAATTAAACTATGAGAACACTTGGACACAGGATGGGGAACATCACAAACTGGGGCCTGTCGTGGGGTTGGGGGAGTGGTGAGGTATAGCATTAGGAGAAATACCTAACGTAAATGATGAGTTAATGGGTGCAGCACACCAACACGGCACATGTATACCTATGTATGAAACCTGCACATTGTGCACATGTACCCCAGAACTTAAAGTATAATAATAACAATAACAAAAAATATACACTAAAGTAATGTTCTGGGTTAAATTGTGTCCTTCCACCACCCAAATCATCTGTTCAAGTCCTAACCTCTAGTATCTTAGAATAATACTGTATTTGGAGACAGGGTTTTTAAAGAGGCAATTAAGTTAAAATGAGATCATCAGGATGGGCCCTAATCCAATATGACTGGTGTCCTTATAAGAAGAGAAAATTTGGACACAGACACACAGAGAAAAGGCCCTATGAAGAGCAAGGGAGAAGACAGCCATTTACAAGCCAAAGAGGGAAGCATCAGAAGAAACCAACCATGCTGACATCCTGATCTTGGATTTCTAGCCTCCAGGATGGATAGACAATTACTTTATTATTCAACCCACTCAGTATGTGTTACTGTGCTATGGAAGCTCTAGCAAACTAATAGAAGTAGTAATAGCAGCAACATGTGATGATAGAATTACATAAATTTACTCTTTGATACTCTGCATTTCCTGACTTCTATAAAATTAACTACAAATTTTGCCACTAAATTTATTTAATGCTGTAACTACACTAAACTGAGAGATGGTCAGGATGAATCTAATGAGAAAACAAGAATTAAAGAGGCAGCAAGCAGGCTAATTAGTTTCCCTGTTTCTCATTGAATAATATGGAAGTAAAAATCAGATTCACAGTTTAAGTCGAATGAGCTTTAAAGTTTCGATCAAAGAAAAATGTTCTGAACGGTTAGTCCTCTGAACAGACTATACAACCAAGGCCTCTCTCCATTACCTGGAAGTGGATCTTCAAGGTGCTCCATGGCACAGTGCTCCAACAATGATTCTGGGGGCTTCCAAACCCTTGATTTGAGACTCAGAACAAATAGAACATACACATTCCTTAGTATAACTTGGAAACAAATTCCAGATGAGGGCTGCCCCAGTTCAAAAAGAATGATAGACATTAACTCTGGAAGTTACCCAGCCACTGGAGAATTGGTAGGGTTGACATATTCAACCTCTCACCTCATTAGCAGAGTCAGTTTTTTCAAACATCTTCTCCTTTCGCTCCCTTGAATAAATGTAATGGTCCAAGAGTAGTCAGAGATGATTAGATTAAATCTGTGGGACCTGGGGACCTTCGTCAACTTGTCCAATCCTCTCATTTTACAAGGGTGACAACTGGGACCCTGAAATGCTCAGGGTAATGTATATGTGCATGTGTGCCTGCAGAATATTTATAGCAGTCTACCTCAGTCTGAAGTTAGAGATAAAGAATCCTCAGAGACATACCAAGTCTAAAATTTCTCATGCTAGGAACAGAACTTTGGATTCTCTTGATAGGCCTTGTTTAATATCTCAGAGGAAAATAAATTTAAGGGATGTTCCAAAATTAATTGCTTATCTTATAAAGTTGGGCTAAAAGTTAAAATCCTATCAGTAGAACATATGGAAGATATAAATAGATTAATAGTTGGAGAAAGCTGTACTATAAATGAAAAGTAACTCAATCTCACCAGCAATGTTCAATACTTACTCTTGATAAATTATTTTCTTTCTTCAACGTGCATATACCTTCTCTCTTCAACATGTAGGTACTTGTTTTACAGTCCTTTGGAATTGATAACGTAGGGAGCTAATTCATTTGAGACCTAAAGGGTTAAATAAACTATAGTGTATTTCCATTATATGTACTCCAACTCTCAGACCTTAATTGTATGCCTATACACTAAGAATATTTTAGGATATAAAATTGGGTAGGACGGTCCTTCACCTTAAGGAGAGCTCATTCTGGTAGAGAAATTGGACACATGAGGCATTGTTAAACAAGGGGTCTCAAGGCTGTGATTAGAAAATGTTATCCTCTTATTCCCAATTACCTGTTCTAATTCACTCTTCAAGTTTATATTCAAGGGAAAAAAAGTTCTTCCTGACCTTTGGAAGAAATCTAGGACACGTCTCGTGATCTTTCTGGTATATTCCAAATAATGCCTTCTGGTCACTTCCAGAGACAACAGGGCTTGTTTCAGATTTCATTGAAAGATCAAGATTTCCCTTCTACTAGCTTAAGCCTGCTCCCGAGGCACAGACAGCTTCTCCATGCCCCTGTCCTGAAGCTCTGCCCCTCTTCTCCCACTCACCCGGCTGCATCTGGTTCCTCTAAGGCTGGAGCCCAAGGTGAAGGTGAGGGCTGGAGTTCTAAGAGGCAGGAAAGGGCTTGGCTGGCTTTCAGGTAATCTCATGTTGGCTCCCTTGGGCCAGGGCAAGTGTTTGACTGACAGTCTGTCACGTGGGTTATTTGAAGGCTCCCCGTAGGAATGCAAAGCAAACTGCTCTGACATGAGTGATGCGTTTTCTTTCCAGTGGCTGCTTATATCTCCTACCTCCAAGCCTGGCAGTCGAATGGGCCATCTCTCAGTTGGAATAACTGCCCCTCCATAAAGTCCTTTTGGGTGGAATTTAAAATGGCTCTAAACTGGTATGGTCTCTCTGTCTCTCTCTCTGCAACTCTCTCTGTCTCAGACGAAAAGAAACCTAGAACACTGAACTGTCAAGGCAACGCAGCTGGCTCCCAATGCAGCTGGTTGAGCTCTCTTTGCTCTACTGTCTTTGGCTAATTGTCACAGTTTCTGGCCCTTAAATCCTTCTGGAGTTTTTGCTGCTCTGTCCCCTGAACTGCAAGAGGCATAGATCAGACTCTCTTAGCTCATCAAAGCCCTGATTGCTAGGCTTGAGGAATGGGAAAGAACCCTCTACCTCTCTTCTGTGTGGTAGGAAAGGCCCACAGCATACTAATAACACTCTCCAAAGAAATTATTTTTCCTAGATTCCAATTTATTGACTGAATTCTTAACCATCACTAAAATGGCCTGGATATGGCCAGGAGCCAGCTTGTTTCTTCTCTACAAGTTTTGTCTAGGCATATAGCACCTCACTTTGGATTGTGGGATTGGCTGCTTTTTGGTCCTTGGCAAAAACTAAGGCTGAGTCCCATCTTGTAATACAAGCAAATATGTCATGAATGTGACAAGTGAATGCTAGGATAGAGACATGCAAAAGCTTTTGTAGCAAATACTACTAGTCTATACTAGGAAAGGGAGGTGTTAGTAAAAGTTTCCCATAAAGCTGGCACCTGAGATGAGTTCCAAGCCATAAAAGTTGGACAAGAGGAAAAAAGACATTTCATGTGAGTTTGTTTGCAATTGCAGGGTCCATTTGGATCACTTGTGGTTGTTTGCTATAGTAGATAGTGTTATTCTCATATTCTGCATTTTTACCAAACAAAACACCAGCGTTTAATATTGTGAATATTGTGAAGTATTCTTGCCAAGAACAGTTGAACCTAGAGTCTGTAGAGCAAGCTTTTATTAACAGAAGATACAGGGATAGAAGAACAAGTAAATGACATCAGTACAAGGAAGCAGACAAATCCAGAATGGGGGACCATTCTGCAGAACTGACTTATTTACTGTAAGATGACAATGGCCGGAGAAAAAGTTGGGAAAGGGGACAACTTCATGTAAGAGACACAGCAATCCAATGTAAATGTATGGACTTTGTAGATGATGCCAAAGAATTATTAATGATTTTATTAAGTATAACCTGGCATTCTGGTCAAGAACATATTCTTTAAGGGCCACATACTGAATTACGAAATGATGAAATGACACAATGCCTGGTGTTTACTTTGAAATACTTTAACAAAGAAAAGACAAAAGGGACAGTTAAGCCAATAGAGAAAATCTTTGGTAATTGTTGAATCTGGGTAATGGGTAAATGAGACTCATTATTTTAATTTTGCTAATACTTAAACATTTTAATAACTTTTTTCAAAGTTTCTTTCTTGCTTGTGTGCGATGCCCTTGTTGGTGGGATGCTTTCCTCCTTGTGATGCTCCAGGGACCCTGATCCTCTTATCTTGTGGTTCTGCTGTGCCCTAGGGCCTCTGAGTTCTCTGCATCCAGATGGGCAGTAGGAAGGAGAGAACCCTATCAGGTACACCCATTCTTAAGACTGTAGTGCAGAAGCGACATACTTACTTCCACTGACATCTGTGAGCAAAGCTCATCCCATGGCTTCATCTAGATTCAGGGTAGGCGCTGGCTGTAGAGCAGCTTCCAGCAATTACTCTATGAAAGTGAAGCAAAGCTCTTCAGTGGTGGCTTACTGCCTCTATCACAAGCAGAGACAGAGATTCTTTTAGCAGGTGGGATGGGCCTCAACAATCTGCTTCTTCCACAACTCCTGCAGGGGACTCTGATGCCAGGTATGATGGTACCTTATGTTTACCCGCCTGAGCCACACTAGCCTTTCCCTACCCTGCCCATGCCCTGGGACTGACCTGCTTGGTCTGCATTATGAACTCCCTTGACCAGTGGCTTCTGGTGGGGTTCAACCAATGGAAAGCATCAGCAGAGACTGGAAAGGAGGAGGGTTGAGAGGGAAAGAAGCCTCTCAACCCCCAGCACCAGAGCCCATTAGATCGCCTTGTGGCGGCTTTGCTCCTCTGAGGTTCACAGCTCATTCTGCTGGCTCTCTCCACAGCCCTTTGTGTCTTGAGGTTCTGATAACTGCTCCCTCCTCTCACCCCCTCAATACCAATGCCTCTTCAGAATACTGGTTTTTATAAAATTTATTTCAAATGTATTTATCATTATTATTTCTAGAGATGGGGGGTCTCACCATGTTGGCCAGGCTGGTCTCAAACTCCTGGACTCAAGTGATCCACCTTCTTGGCCTCCCAGAGTGCTGGGATTACAGGCATGAGCCACTAAACCTGGCCTACAATACTGCTTTATCCATTGTGTCTTCTCTACACCTGCCCACACCCTCACAACGAGTACTTTTATTGCGTTCTCCTCAAATTCCCATCTGTTTGTGCCGGAACCCTGGCTGATACACAGGGGTCCTTGGACAACATTGAGAAGCACTATCTAGGAAGAATATGACACAGCCACTGAGGGACTATGAATGACACATTTGAACTACAGGCATTTAATGCAGCTGGAGCAAATTGGAGGGAAGCTAAGAATAGTGAAGTGCCAGGACCTGCACCATGAAAAGGCCTATCTGCCATGCTAGATCATCTGTCAGCAGCAGAAAGATTAATCAGAGGCTCTGCAGTAACAGGTGAGTTTCAACCTGGAGATAGTAAATAGTGAGAACAGAGAAGGAGAAAATTAAGATCCTATTGTTGGAATCCACTCAGTGTTACCAGCACTGCACTTGTGGACTAATGAAGCCATAGCATAGGAAAATAATGCCTCTGAAGAGAAAAACCAATGAGGTAGCTAAAGGAAGATCCTGATTTAGAAGAAAAGAACTACCAGGATTATCATGTCCCTTCTGCCACACTTCATTTCTGCATTTACCACAAGAAAGGCTGTGTTCAAACTTTGGAGGTTTCCCCCACCCACACATGAAGATTGACCATTCTAGGATCATTTATTATAGAAAAGAAAATGGAATTTGTTGTAGAGCCAGCTTTGCTAAACTATATTTGCTATGTGAAGTGAAAAATATCCAAAATGGGAAAGACTAAAAACTGTAAAGATAAATATTATTTGCTAAGCAGTATTAATGATTTAATGTTGCAGAGGCCCAGTGCTATAGAGACCTCTTATAAAGTATTCTTAAAGATCCCTAATATTTATGCAGAATTGGAATGAATTCAAAACAGAAATTTTATGTCTTCCCTTTTCCCCATTCTCTGCCTAGGAACTGACATTATTCCCTCAAGGTAAAAGAGCTTTGCATTGCTATATATTTGCATATTTATGTTCAGGCAGTTGCTTTAGAATATTATTTTGCTCTTTCCTACTGCTTTCTGCTTTGACTATATATATGTATATATATTTTTTGAGACAGTGTCTCACTCTGTCACCCAGGCTGGAGTGGAGTGGCATAATCTTAGCTTACTGCAACATCTACCTCCCATGCTCAAGCTATCCTCCCACATCTGCCTCCCAAGTGGCTGGGATCACAGGTGTGTGCCACCACACCCAGCTAATTTTTGTATTTTTTGTAGAGACAAGTTTTGCCATGTTGCCCAGGCTGGTCTTGAACTCCTGGGCTCAAGCGATCTGCCTGCCTCAGCCTCCCAAAGTGCTGGAATTACAGGTGTGAGCAACCACACCCGGCCCATCTTATGATTTGTAAATAGGATTCTGGGAGCTGATATATGAACTTTAGATAACATTTATCATCAATTTTGGCCCTAATTATAGGGCATTAGAAAATATTCCTTCCTTCCTTCATTAATAGCATGTTTTGTGATAGGGGAAACTAAAGTCTGTTTGCCTATTTCCCTTTGTATTGTGGGTGCCATGAGTTCAATAAAATTTTCTACATTTCTCAGAATTCAAACAATAAAGGATGTCCCCCTTACAACCTTCTAAGTTATTTTGATACTATTCTGGGGGAGGGGTCATTACCAGCATCACCTTTCATTGAATAATGGTTGGTATATTTTAAAACATGCTATCTTTCTCATTTGAAGGTATCTTCCACTAGCTTAATTTGGCTATAGTTTGTAGTCAAATAGAAGTATGCTTTTAACATTCAGTCCATGTTCCAAGTTTGACTTTTAAACTTAGGATTAGAATAAAAATTCAAGCCACTTTCCAGGTTTGCTCACTGCTCCTGGACATGTCAGTCAGTCCCCGGCCTACCCACAGCCCATGCTGAAGGGGTAGCACTAGGTGATCATGTTTGGCATCACGTGGCCAGGTGACTGGGCACCTGATAAAAGGGCTATCAATCCAATGCCAGGACATCTTTTCATACCCAGCTCTGTCATAAGCCAGTTCCTCTTCTCAGGAATTTGAACAAGGAATTACCAAGAGGAAGGGGAAAATAGAGGCAGCAGCAGCTGAGAGACCATGAGGTGGAGTTTTCTGTTACCCATATCACAAACCTATCACCTCAGGCACTTACGTCAGTCAGGAGATTCAAAGCAAAACACCTTTTTGAAAGCAAAAGACTTGACATTTGTCATTTTGTGAACTACTCCAGCCATCCCCATTCCCCACAAAAATCACAAGGCAATATTAGTTTGAGTCAGCCACATCACATTGTCTGACCAATTGCTACCCAACAATGCCCTGTAATTCAAAGACCCTTGTGTCATATTTTCATCCAAACTTTGGAATACACTCCAGGTGTTCAAGTTAATTTCTGTGTTTGGATGATCATACCAGCTGGACTTGCTTAGAACCAAGGAATGACCTCAATACAATCTCTCCTGTCTACAAAAGAATGGTGGTCACACATATTCAGATCATTCATTTCAGGAAACACTCACTGAACCAATGAGCTAACGATGCCCAAGTCTGGCACTAGATCAAGTTACTCTGCACATACCTTACCCAGGCTGAGGTTTCCTCGGCAGTATATTTCTGGCTCTCTGTTGGCCACAGCACATTCTTCTAAGGCCAGGTAGCCCGAGAAATAGCAAATACTCTTGGAAACAATTAGTCTAAATCCAAATATAGAGGAAACAGCCTATCTCAATATCAGGAGGGGACAAACCTTTTTAATTAAAATCTACCACATGTCACAGGATTGCTGATATTTCAGTAACCAGTGATGTTCCTTACCAAATCTAAGTTTACACTATGATGTTGAAGTTATGATAGTGACCAGATATACAGATAGACAAAGGAACATGAAACAAAAAGTAAAGGAACCATTTGATTGGTTAAATAACAGCTGCAAGATGACAGCTTTGGCCATGGAGGTGGGAATGCAGAACAAAGCTTGACTCCCCTTTCCACCCAAGCACCCTGACCTGACCCCTTCCCCTCTGGCCTTCTCCTTATTCCTCAGCTCAAGAAGGCTCTCTTTTAGTCAATATATCTTCCTGGTGGATTAACTACACGAGCCTCACCTGCAAAACTCAACAAAGCACAGTCTCATTTACTAGCAAACAGCCAAGTGGTATTCATGGCAGAATTTATATATTAAAAACAATTCACCTCCAGGTAAACTAGCAAACCTTAGTGGCTCAAAATATTTCTTGATGGTACCTTCCAGTCAAGCTTGATAGGCTATCAATCAATGAAACACTTTCACAGCTGTGAGAGGAAGACATTTTCAACATATTTCCATAAGTGGGCTTTGGGGAAATGAAAATGTAAAGGACCTTTATGTCATCAGTTCTGGAAACTGTGTGCAAATAATTAACACACTTGCCTCGTTTGACTTCTCAATCTTATGACGACAGACACCCAAATAATTTCCTATTTGCATACTGTGAGTGCAACTCAACACCCATTCATATATCTGTAAGGGTGAATCTATAGCTTTTATAGGTTATTTTGTGGTTGTTGTTTGGCCATAGCCTTTCTTTTTCAAACCTGTGGCTTAAATATCAATCTAATTCTAGGTTAGAAATCTTTTCTAACAAAAGTTATCCCACTGCTTATCTTAATTATGTAAATAATTCATTATAATCACTACAGTGAAAAAGGAGCCTTCCTATAAAGATGGGAAATGAGCTGTAATTCAATGCATTTTGGGAGCAATCATTGCTTTAAAAAAAAAACACAACAACCTAAGCTCTGCTATTACAGTTTTACATAGGAAAAAACACAGATTTGAAAATATTTTAATTTGCATTTTCTTGTACTCATTATGAGAACACTTCAGAGAATATTGGAAAGTTATTTCCTAACAAGGAAAGCAGATAACCTTGACTAATGCCAGTACTTGTATTTATTGATGTTTTACAGGCTAATAAACACTGAATTTTCTTAAAAAGTTATTTTTACTGACTAGGCATGGTGGCTTGCACCTGTAATCCCAGCACCTTGGGAGGCCGAGGTGGGCAGATCCCGTGAGCCCAGGAGTTCAGGACTAGTCTGGGCAACATAGCAAGACCTCAACTCTATAAAAAATACAAAAATTAGCCAGTGTGATGGTATGCACCTGTAGTCCCAGCTACTAGGGAGGCTGAGGTGGGAGGATCACTTGAATCCAGGACGCAGAAGTTGCAGTGAGCCGAGACTGTGTCACTGCATTCCAGCCTGGGTGACAAGAGAGACACTCTCTCAAAAAAAAAGTTACATTTACTGATTGATATAAAATAATTATGTATTTTGCAAACTTCTTTTTAACTAAAATATTTCCCTTTCTGCTCAGAAATACTTCTTCACTTGGCACTAAGAAAAAATAATGTAAAACTTGTTAGATATGCAACAGCATCCAACTAAGTTGAACAGCCTCATTTATACACACAAAATAGACAAAGCTCACCATAATTATATCAAATCACATCACTTGTTACAAATGAGATTGGTGTTAAGTTACGAAGTACAGAGAAGCCGAATGGTACCTATGATGTGAAGAGTATAGACATCCCAACAACTCACTAGGTTGGAATCAATTCCCAAGTTTGCCATTCCAAGAAAAGACACTGGAAGAAATAAAAGTAGGAATAGTTTAGGCATGCAATTATTTGCACTTTGCCATTTACAATTTGTTGTTTAATATGTATTTTGATGATAAAAGCTGAACAACTTCGACAAATTTTGAGGCAGAATACATTATCTTCTTATTCAGCAAATAGAAAGCATCTAATGTAGGCCGGGCCAAGGCACAGACACTGGGGACAGAGAAAATAAGACAGTTTCTAGCCTTCACCTAATAGTGAAGTTGACTTGTGAGTAGATCCCAGAAGAAGGGCCTATACAAGTGAAGACCATGTAACAGGGGAGAGCTTATTTGGAAAGTCTTATTTACTGAAAAAGATAATGCTTGATCAGAGTACCATTAAGTGAAAATCCCAAAATAGGAACTGGAGGAAAAGTAGTGTAAAGGCAGAGCAAGTGCACATTTGGGAAAATATCCAGCAGTTTGGTATGGCTGAGATGTGGCAAGCAGTGATGCTGAAGAGGCCACAAAGCTTAGACCCAGAAAAGCCTTGTAAGTCCTGTTATAGAGTTTGGGTGTGATCCCATAAATAGGTGAGAAAGGCTGAGGTTTATGCATAAGGCAGGCTAGCTATTATTCACCTTCTCTCTCTTATCCACTAATGTGTCTAAAACAAGGGAGGCCATGATCCCATTTAAAGTTCTTATTAAAGTTATTTACCAAGCAAGAGTAAATGTGGAAGACTTGAATTATTTCTATTAATAAATTACTTGTAACATCGCATAATTACTTATGGCATTGGCCATGAGTGTGTATTTAAGATGTGGTTGGTGGAAAGGCATTAAAGGATTTCATGGGGCAATGAAGTGATAAGATTTGAGTGGTTCTGTATTCACCTCTCTTATAATTCGTGTTTTTTGGGTCAATCCTGGGCAAGGCAGTGAAGGTGGAACTGGTCATGGGTCTTCCTCTCCCATCACTCAACATGGGTGACTGACAAATCTCACCCTACTCCTCATTCCACCAGGACTGACCTCTGCTCTCAATTTTCTCCTTTCTTCTCTCACTTAGGTTTTTCATTTCCTTGCACCTCAAAAAGAAAATGAAAGATTCCAATCCCAACAAACCCACTAGGCAATAATAGCCGTCCCTGTCCTGCAGAACACCTCCACTTTAAAAAAGGCAATCCCTTAACTCAAAAAGAAGGCATCCCTGAAGTTAGGTTACCAGTCACCAATGCTGCCTACTCAGGAAATATTATTTTGTAGGAGTGGAATTAGGGTAGCTGGGAGGTCTTTCCTTGAGAAACCACAAATCACCCGAGTTAATCATCACCAGCCTGAGCCTCCAGCCTTGGAGCTGTCAAGTGCTCATGTATTCATATGATTGCTCTTCCTTCTGCAGCCTCTGGACCTGCTGACCATCCT
Organism: Homo sapiens; assembly: GCF_000001405.40. Taxonomy (NCBI): domain Eukaryota; kingdom Metazoa; phylum Chordata; class Mammalia; order Primates; family Hominidae; genus Homo; species Homo sapiens. The sequence goes on along the minus strand of NC_000004.12, from coordinate 77,502,015 downwards.
CTTTGCATGAGTAGTAGGCTCTGAGCCAGCAAAGTGCTAAAGAGTGCTGTTTAGGCATTCATACATGCCAGATGATGTGCTTCTACACATGATGAACAATTGACCTGATGAAGAGTCTTCCTGAAGCACCCAAAAGACGCCAGAATTGGATCAAGCAGTAGGCAGACAGGAAATGTGGAGACAATGGCTATATAGAATAAGATAAATGACATACACCACCAAAGGTTTTGACAAAAATATCCTCATGGGAATGGGCATTTACTTCTCTTATTTGCTATTCAGGAATGTGGAATGGTAAGTGGTGGGGTTAGACTATATTTAGAATTCAGATCTTTGAAGATGGTCTGTACTAAAGAAAAATGGAATAGTGGATAACTGGCATTCTTGAAGGAGTTCTAACTTTGCACATCACTGTATCTTGAAGGATTAGCTATTTTTTTTTAAGTTTGATATCTGTCTGAGGTGAGGGAAATGCACAGCCACCTAGAATCTCAGATCCATTAAAAGCTTACTGTTTCATGTAAGGGCCATGTTCTGGAGTAGAGATGGGAAAAGCCTTGAAATTCTGATGTATTGTGACATTTGGGGATTTTTGAATTCTGTTTCTAAGTTACACAACACAGCACTGCTAAGAATCATCCATCAAACTAAAGATGCCCCAGGGACCACCAACTAATCAGAGAAGTGTCTCTTGAGCACTAATTGTAGTTGCTAGAATTTATTCTGTTTAACTTTTCAAAAACTGAACAATGGTCCAAATAGTACCAGTTATCACAGGACCCCCCAAAACAAGAAAAGAAACTAAAGGGAAATGATAATGAGTTTTTCTCTTATTTGGCAACAAGAGAAAGTTTCCAAGAATTTATAACCAAAGTCTCCTCTTAAGGAATTAAGTAAAGCAGGGTGGCTTTTAAAGGGGGATGCAAAGATGATGCTACTGGTTCATCCTAGGCTGATGGTCCCTGTGGTTTTCTAATAGCTGGAAAATGCCTAGATATAAAATGTACAAAATGTGGCCACTGCATTCTTTAAATACCAAATGTATGCGTAAAACCTTTTTTGAATCAAGTGACGTTTTTGTGCATCTTTCCGGTTTTGCTCAGTAGCCATTGCCATTGTGGTCTCAGTTCCAAATACCACCACTTGTCCCAACCTCTTTTGTGGCACAGATTCTAGGGTGCCTTTGTAGCAGCAGCTGCAGCAGCCCCATTGCCAAGGTTTGACCCAACCAAACCCATGAGGCTCTGGCTTACCTGGCAGGTGTCTGGATTGGCCAGGCAACATAATACCTGTGGGTGAGTTATTCTTCCATAAGAAAGGCTTGACCAATGAGGAACAGAAGACAAAAGGAAGCTAATTCCATGCCCTTCTTCCTAATCACCCACTAGATGTTTCCAAGACCCAATGACACCTTACATATGGCCTTTTAAGAGATGTTGCCTGTGTCAGAGCAACCCGTTTGGTGTTTTTTTGTTTTCTGTTTTTTTTTTAAATAAAGCTGTGACCTTAGTTATATATCGCCTCATATAATCATCCCTTGGTATGCACAGGGGATTGGTTCTTGGAATTCCTTTGATTACCAATATCCAAGGGATGCTCAAATCCTTTCTATAAAAATGGTGTAATATTTGCATATAACGTATGTACAGTCTCCTATATACTTAAAATCATCTCTAGATTACTTGTAATATTTAATACAATGTAAATGCTATGTAAATAGGTGTTATGGTATATATATTTATTTGTATTATTTTAATTATTCTGTTTTTTATTGTTTTTTTTTCTCAAATATTTTCAATTGCAATTGGTTGAATCCATAGATGCAGAAGCTACGGATATGGGGGGCTGGCTGTATTTGCTTTATTTCTCTGCTTCCTTTGTTTCTCTTTTCTTGCTGCCCTGAAATTGCAACTCTAACAATGTGTTTACATGTAAGCTTTGCCTCAGATTCTGTTTTTAGGGATAAGACATTTATACTTTCTGTGTTCACTTTAACTTTGAACTAAATACAATGTGTTTTTCCCTTTAGTTATCTACTTTTTAATCACTAGATTTCCTCAAGATGGGAATAAAGAGCTAGTCCATAGTATTAGTGAAAGGAAAGTCAGTCCAGGGGTATTTAGATCTTCATTAAATCCATTGCACCACTGTATGCAGTGCACGTCAAATTCTGAAACTGATGTGGTAACTTGAGGGAAAACAAGCTTGGTGTTCTTTTCTGGCTGGCAAGTGGGGCCTTCTCTTTGAGATACAGTAGGTATTGATTTTCTCCTCTTATATACCAAGAGCAGAAGCCCCCAACTAGGGATGCCCTGTAGGAGGCTGATAAATTTTGATGGAATAAAGTAAAACCTTGTTTGCCCTTCTTCCTTAAATGTATGTGCTTTGTGAATAAGTACAGTTTTAATTTCAGTACAGTAAATATCAATAGATGCAACCCACATAAGCAAGTTATTTGGAACTTTCAGTAATTTTATACGTGTAAAGGAATCCTGAGACCAATAAGTTACTAGATCTCTTTAGGCCTAGTATAATATCTGGAACAAAGAAAAAAAGTCCTGTAGCTGACACTTCTGGTACCCATGTCATAGCTCATTAGCCGACCTTGCTTAGCTAACTACCATTTTATGGCGGTTCGCAATTTGCAAATAGCTGGTAAAAAGATCTACTGAGTTACCATATATTCCTCTGTTGGTATATCTTCTTGCTAATAAATCACATAAATTATTACTTTGAAAGCTTAGCTTTTCAATATTTGCATTTCTAGTCTATTCTACTATAAGACTTCATTGTCCTTGGTGCTATTTCTTTTTCTTCCCAGATTGCTGCTGACATAAATGTACCATACTTGTGTTCCATGACACATTGAGCTTAAAGATCATATATCCTATATCTACAGTGGAAAATGTAGTGTTTAGGGAAGAATGAAGAGAACTATTACTTGGATTGGAATTTGAGGTTCCAATTCTATTTATGGGTATAATTTTAAAAGCTTAGATATCTTCCCCATAATTTTTTTTCTCCCTAAGATTTAGGTAAAAAGAATAGTGCTTCAGTGTTTGACATGAATAATACCTAATTCTTATGTTCTTCTTTACTTATCTAATACGTTAGTATAAGTGAAGTCAAATAGCACTAAAACTATATAGCAATGAGGTGTACCAAATGCTGAAATCATTGGCATGTAAATCTGGCTAAGATATAGGACTCCAAGAATATACGGTATTAATATGATTTAGCTTTATATTTTATAGAAATTGTCACAAAAATGTTTTTCATTTAATTCAAAGTTTTATGCTGGAAATAGTCATGTTTCTAACATGTAAGTTCATAAGATGAGCTTACAACCTGGCCTGATTACCAATTGGAAAATTGTATCACAACTAAAAAGACAGACTTTCATTCAATGGAAATTGGTCACTGGGGATCTCTCTCTCTACCTCCTCACTAAAGTAAATGTCTCCAGAAAGGGACTCACACTTTTCCATTATTTCTCAGTAAGCTTCTTGGTATATTAAGAGTGTTTGTGTCAAATTGCTTTCAGCTAAAAGTATCAGAGTATTGATCTAAAAGTGACACTCAGTTGGGATGTACTTTTCTCAAGCTAAAGGTTGGTTAATGGATACAAAAGAACAGAATAGGCTGGGCACAGTGATTTATGCCTATAATCCTAGCACTTTGGGAGGCCAAGGTAGGAGGGTCACTTGAGGCCGTGAGTTTGAGATCAGCCTGGGAAACATAATGAGACCCCGTCTCCACAAAAAATAAATTTAAAACATTTACCAAGCATGGTGGCACATGCTAATTGTCTTAGCTACTCAGGAGGCTGAAGCAGAAACATCACTTGAGCCCATGAGTTTGAGGCTGCAGTGAGCTAGGATTGTGCCACTGTACTCCAGCCTGTGTGATGGAGTGAGACTTTGTCTCTTAAAAAAGAAAAAGTATAGCTAGGTAGGAGAAATAAGTTCTAGTGTCCATAACATTATAGGGTGATTATAATTAGCAACAATTTATTGGGTATTTTCAAATACTAGAAAAGCAGAATTTGAATGTCCTCAACACAAAGAAATAACTGTTTGAGGTGATGGATATGCTAATTACCCTGATTTGATCATTACACGTTGTATGCATCAAAATATCACACGGTACTCCATAAACATGTACATTTATTATGTGTCAATTAAAATAGCAATAAAACCAAAAAAAGAAACAAGAAATCCAGAGGTAACTGGCTTCAGCGTTGGTCTAGAAGCTCAACAATGTCTACCCCTTTGCCATCCATCCTTAGGTGTCAGGCATTAGGCTATCACGCAGGGCTACAAGATGATGGCAGTAGCTCTAGTATCATATCCTCACATGACAAAGTCCAAAATCAGAAAATAATTGGATCTCTCTTACTAGTTAAGGAAACATTTCTCAAATTTTTCTCTACGTAATCATGGCCATAACTGGGTCATTTAGCCAACACTAGCTAGCTGCCAGGGAAACTGGTAACTGAGTGTCTGGTATGGCCGGCTTCTACTGAGGCAAGAAACAGTGTGAGAGGTGAATGCCCACTGGGCAGGCAACCTACAGTGTAGGCCACAGAGGAGTATTGCTATTTGGAAAGGCAATGGGAATAGAAAGTCAAAAACAAAACTAGAATAGAGGATTGAAGAGCAACATAGATGGTGAACATGCTTAGAATGACAGGAGTTAAGTCAGACTATGACCATATCCAGGTTCCCAAATCCTCAATAAATCTATGCGCATTTGGGAATTTGGGTGAGATTTCATAAGATGATAGCAATGATAACAGGTATAACAAGTACCTAAGGAAGGTTATAAGAATGGCTGAAGATCCATGACTCCTCAGTGGACAGGGAAGAACTAGACATTGATACTGAGTTACACTCAAGTTTTGAGGTCTTCTGGGAGAATGGGCAGATCCTTCAAGTGAGTGATCAAGAAGTTAGCATCTCCAGCTTTCAATCAGAAGAAGAAAGTTTAGGAGTGGTCTATTTTGCTGTGAAGTATATAGGAATGTTTATAGAAAAAATGAGAGTTGCAGTTGGCAGTGGGAGCAGTTGAGAGAGCAATATATAAAAAAAGATGTGGCTTGGAGGGTGGGGCAAGAAACAGGTAGGCAGGAAGCTGGGATGAACAAATGGGCAAAAATCAATTTCCTGCAAGGTTTCTACTCCAGATGCTGGCAGGATGACAGGAATTCAAGAGAATGGGAAATCAGAGATAAAGAGGAAGATTATGGTTAGATTTAACTGGCTCTATAAATTATGGCTCTCTAGTGTCAAGTAAACCAATTTAAATTTTTTTAAAAAGAGGACAGATGTTGAACAGACTCTAAGATTAAGGCAGCTGGGCCTCAGAAAGTGACAAGAATTGCAGCCTGGTAAACTGCCAGAGCTGTCCCATTCCTGTTTTTACATATTCAGATTATTTTTCTCTGCTCTCCTAGGCTATTGAGGGAATACAGCCACCCCACACTTAAGTTTCCATGAGATATTTTGAGCCATCCACTAACATACTGACTTAATTCCAAGTCCTTGTAGAGGATCTAATTGATCCTCTTCGGTTTAGGTGGGGTCTACCCAGCCTCAACTAATGCCAGGAAGACACACAATTGTGTAATATAAGTATGGCTTCCAGGGGTTCATCCCTAAAATGGGAAGAAAAGACAGTTCCAAGAAAAAATGGTATTATTATAAGCTGTGCAGACATCTCAGGTATACATATTATGGCAGCAGTCCCCAACGTTTTTGGCACCAGGGGCCAGTTTTATGGAAGACCATTTTTCCATGGATAGGGATGGGGGAATGGTTTCAGGATGAAATTGTTTCACCTCAGATCATCAGGCATTAGATTCTCATAAGGAGCACAAAACCTAGAGCCTCACATGTGCAGTTCACAATAGGGTTTGAGCTCCTATGAGAATCTAATGCCTCCACTGATCTGATAGGAGGCGGAGCTCAGGGAGTAATACTGTCTTGCTGCTCATCTACTCCTGTGCAGCCTGGTTCTTAACAGGCCATGGACTGGTACTGGTCTGCTGCCTGGGAGTTGGGGCCCCTTGTATTACAGCACTGAACACAGAAGGATTTGGTGTAGGATGACTTGGTACCACTCTGGTCTTCAGGAATCTCTGGTGATAACCAAGGTCAACAGTAAGACTTGAGTTTATCCTACCCTCACACTGTATCTCACATTTCCTCCTATCCTGCTAGTGGATTCCCTGGAAGGAGAAGCAGATCATAGAAAGCCAAGGCCAGCTCCCAGGAGTTTGTCACATATGTCATGTAGAAGAAGGTGTTTGTCTGAGAGAGATGGGGAGAGGTTGGAAGGAAGGGAAGACACACACAAACATCAAGAACAGAGAGGATACTGGCTCCTTCTCCAACAAGGATCTCCAGTTAGGTGGTCCTGCTATGCAGAAAAAGAATGTATAGATTTCACTTCAAGGGTCACAAAATATGCTACAGGAAGAAAATGGTGATTGGGAAGTGGCCATTAGCTGACTTCATAATTTCAAGGTATCTTCTTGTAAATACCATCTTTTAGATGTTTCCTCAATACTTTACATTTTAAAACATTAAATACCTTAGAAGAGCTGGTTATCCAGATCTGTTAGAATAGCATGAAACAGTGGAAAGAATTCTGGATTGAAATGAAAAGCCAGAATTGGAATTCTGGCTGCACACTCCAGCTGTTACCTTGAGCAAGCACTTACTCCTTTTTTTAATGAATAAGGAAACTAATTGCAGAGAGATTGAGAATTTTTTTTTGACTGGACTTTACAAGACTGTGAGGATCCATTGAATTGGCAAAAATAGCAGATGGGAAACAGCTGAGCTCAATATGTATGTTAGTAATTATCCAGAAATTGGAGGACAAATGTTCATATAATAGATCAAAGGGGAAGACTCTCACTTTAGCAAATAGTCACTCTTTTAGCAAGTGAATGCCTTGGGACTGGGGGAATAGAACTGGACGGTGAGTACTGAACGTGCAGTCTTCTTCAGGCCAAGTGTCAGCTTGGAAACTTTGTCTTGTGAGAAAGCTCTTCCTGGGCTGGGCGCGGTGGCCCACGCCTGTAATCCCAGCAATTCGGGCAGCCAAGGAGGACAGATCACGAGGTCGGGAGATCGAGACCATCCTGGCCAACATGACGAAACCCTGTCTCTACTAAAAATACAAAAAAACTAGCCAGGTGTGGTGGCGGGTGCCTGTGGTCCCAGCTACTCGGGAGGCTGAGGCAGGAGAATGGCATGAATCTGGAAGGTGGACCTTGCAGTGAACCGAGATCGTGCCACTGCACTCCAGGCTGGGCGACAGAGTGAGATTCTGTCTCAAAAAAAAGAAAAGAAAAGAAAACTCTTCCTAAATCATTAAGTAGGCCTCTTTGCAGGAATTTTGGAGGCATAAAACCAGACAGAAACACTTGCAAATATTTGTGATATAGATAGGGGCTCAACTTGGTTAAAAGTCTAAGGACCTTACAGAGCAGCCTGTTGGTGTGGGTATACAGAATTCTCTTCCAAAGATTGGACTTGTTGGCATGGGGAGGGGTGTTGGGGAAGGGTACAAAAGTCCTTACTCAATGTCCTGGATCAGTTGTGCTCGGAAGCCTCTGGGTGAGGATGATGTCCTAGAAATGAGTGGCTGGGGACTTTTTGTTTGGGCATACATCTGTTTGATCTAGAGGTCAGCAGGGCCACAACAGGAAGATCCAAGTACACACAAGCTTGCAGCCTGCAAGACAGCTTTGCAGAGGGAAATCTACTGCCAAGTTTTCAGCTTTTCCAGGAGCTAGGCGGCTTTCTTCAGGAAAACTCTTTGAGCCCTCTCAGGATGAAGGTACCTATGTTTCTTAAGCTTTCATTTTATATTTATGGTCAAGGATCTCAGAATCCTTGTTTAAAAGAGGAGATGGTTGAGTCAGAGCTTGAACTGCCCTCAGGCCAACAGTGCCTAAGGGCACTGTTCTCTGTGGTTCTCAGTGTGGTTTTCTGACTAGTCCACTGGCCAGAAATAGAGTCTTCTTTGAGAGTATCTATCAAAAACAAGTTCTGTAGGACTATGGAGCACTTCTAGCAGGACTCTAGGATGTTCTCACCCTTCACCTTAGCTTGTTTCTAATACACCAAGTGGTAAGGACATGAGTGAAAGATACTGTCCACACCAGGATGGTTTTGGGTCATCTAACTATTTGACAGAGATAGGCCCATAAGTGCAATCTTGCATTGTTTATTTTAAAAGAGGAAAAAGGCAGGAAGGATTAAGACAGGAGGAGAATTGGGGAAGAAAGGATATTATGTTTAGAATAAAGACTTAAAAATCCACAATGAGCCAAAAGGGGAATCCCACTCTTTTTGCATGAACCTAGTTCCTCTTTTACATATTTGGGAGGACAGTATAATCAGCTTAGGAGACTGAGCAACTTCAAGGCATTTGGAAGTCCCCTCTAACCCCCATTTCAAAAGGAGGTTCTTAATTTAATTCAAAGTCCTGACCACAAATGTGCTGAATCAGACCTTGGATGCCTTCTGTCTGCCAGCAGGAATGGGACTCTTGAAGGTACCAGTTAGCAGGAAGCCTAATTCACTTTCTGGTAAGAAAAACAAAGGGAATGACCCTAAATTTTGGATTATACAAGTCTGCTCAGATGATGGTCTGTCAACTGCTGGTTGTACAGTCATCCTTGTGCGTCAATAATTGCCACCCCTTCCCCAATCACAGGGGCCACATCCTCATCAAAAAGAACACATGTTAAACACCAAAAAACAGATGTAATGCAGTCAGACTGAAAGTTTCTACAAGGAACCTTGCTTAAATCACTAAATACTAAAGATTTCATTTATATTCCATAGCCATGGTCTCTACCCCATATATTTTCACCCTAAGCATTGTCTATATGCACAAAGACTTATGGAGAACAGCAGATAAGCAAATGTGCCTCTAACCTATTGGATAATTAGAATTAGTTTCATAGAGTAGGAAAGTCTACAAAGGAAAGTTGATTGGCAGCACCAAGGCAACCTGGAAAGGACCCACTTGTTGGCATGTGGACCCATTGAAACATAAGAGGGCTCATCTGGGAGCAACTGCATATTCCTGATACAAGGGAAAAAACCCTTATTATTTGGGGAGACAAACCCAACTCCTAAGTTAACCAGGGTACAAGTGACCCCAAAATATTAAATGATGAAAAGAGTGGCAAAGAGATCCTGATTTCCTACTGGGGTAGCCGATATCAAATTTTTACCCATGTGTTCCTGATTGTTCTTTATTATCTATATTAAGGAGCATCCAGTGTTTGTCCTCCCTTGCCCATAGAAACACCACGTATTTTTTTTTTTAAGCAATCTCCATAGTCGCTAGGGGTCAGGCCTCCCTGAGTCACCTGACCTCACTCCCCATCGTGGTCATTATGCCCACCTTGTTCTGAAGGTTCTTGGTCCCTGCTTTTCTGGGATATCATTACCCACATTTCTTTCAGAAAGCACAATTCCATAATGACATCTCCTACTGTCAGTTCCAGCTCACAGAGGACAGCTTGTTGTCAATGCTGGTGTCCCGTCACCAGCACATTCATTATTGCCTTGGTAAAAAGAATGTCCTCCAGGCCCTGCAGGGGAACATGATCAGCTCGTATAAAGTTGGTTGTGGTTTCAGGTCGTATGCGGTAGATCCATATTAGCACAATCCCCTGCTCAATAGCCTGTCTAGGCAGCTCTGGAGTCTCTACTTCATTTAATATGGGATATCACTTTTTCCAAGCTTCCAAAAGCCATCCCAGCACTATCACTTAGGGTCTTTTCCAGGGCATTAAATCCTATGTCCGGGGGAGTGCTCTCATTTTAACAAACACCCCCACATCCAGATTTATATTCCTCCCCCAGCTGGCCCAGCATCCTTGAGATCCATTTCCAGGTCCTCTCTCCTGGCTCCTGCCTGAATGTTAGCCAGGTTCTGTAGCTCCTGTGGCATCCTCACCTGCCTCGACAGGCCTGGCACTTCCCTAAGAAGGTTCTGCTGAGATTTGACCCTAACTATGGGTCTGGTGGACAGGAGATGAGGTGGGTGCACCTAGCCTCACTTGCACTGAGGAAGAGAAGTGTCTTATAAGATGTGTGTCTCATGTGAGGCTTCTGCATAGTCTTCAAGGAATAAAGGGAGCTCTGTCTTTGAACAAGGGGTGTGAGCTACTTTTGCAAGCTTAAAGGGACTAGAGGGATCAGGAGATTCAAGGTTCTCAAGTCCCTCTCCCCAGATATTCCCATTATCAGAACTTTAGTGCAGAATTCTCAGCTAGGCTGGCAATCCAGCCTTCTCTGAAATTCTGTTTCTATTCAAGTTAACTCCTGTGCCTGATCTTTGGCTGTAGGTCCAGAACAAGGATGCAGCACATGAACCACCTAGGGTACAAAGTTTAAGGAAGGGCCCATCCTCACGGTCACACACGTTACTGACCATGCACTGTCATAACTCTGGGCCTAAGTGCCTTCTAAAATTTTGTGCCCTAGGTGCCTCAGCCTAGTTCTAATCCTATTCAGCTATGTCTGTCCTCCAGCTGCAGACATATGGGTCTGTTCAAATGTTGTCAAAGAGGGCATGTGGCTCTTGCATCTTTCTTTAAATCATTGGTTATTACATCCTAGTCTGTCATTTTCTTTTCTTTTTAATAAGTCAGTGGCACTTAGCAGCTATAATTATTGTGGAATGAATGTTTGTCATTCTTTCCCCAACACCCCTGAAGTGCCCAGGTCACTGCACCAACTAGAGCTTCCACTTCCACCTGTATGTTAGGTCTCTATCATATTCCTATATCAAATCACCATTTACACCCTGAAAAAACCATTTATATCCTGGTGGATGATGGTAGACTAATGTAAACCTAACCAAGCTATTGTGCCAGATATGATATTCTTACTAGAACAGATCAATTGTTCCAGCTAGTATGTGGCACTAGGTGTGTGTTTATTGATTCACTGCATGCTTTTCAATTCTTAACAGAAAGGAGGATCAGGGTAGTTTGAATTCACTTGGAATGAAAAGAATTGTGCATTCATGATCTTGCCCCATACTCTCTGTCACAATATATCTGAAGAAATCTTGATTATCTGGTCAGTCCATAACATCACACTGATCCACTAAACTGATGACATCAGGTTAATTAGACTTGAAGAGCAGGGAATGGCAAGTACCCAGGACAGCCTGAAACAGGCAAACTAGGATGGTGAGAGAGAAACTCTACAAGAGATCAAGTCCCTACCACATCAATTAAGTCTTTAGGGATCCAGTGGTCTGAAGCATGCTGGCACATCCTCTCCTCATACCACCAAGAAAGATGCAGAGCACTTGGTAGGCCTCTGTGGATTTCCAAGAAGCCACGTTTGGGAATATTACTCTGATTCATTTGTTGGGAGATCCAAAAATCTACATTCCATGGAAGGAACAAGAGAAAGAGAGGGCTCCACAGCAAATTCAGGGTATGGCCCTTCATTCTATTGTCATGGGAGCAAGGTTGTTTCCAATATGGGGAAGACTAGAAGTATCAGGGAGTCAATATTCTCAGGAGTAACACTCAACCAACAAAGACTCATAGTTGATGAATAAATACTCATTTCCTTGCACCTCGATAATACAGTGTGTTCCATATGGTCCTTTAAGTGTCTCCAGGGGGACGGAGCCCCATTTACCCATTGTAGTAACCCACTAATTAAAGTACTTTTTTTGGTCTTGCTCTCTTCTCTCTCTCTGTGAGACAGAGAGGTTCACTGCAACCTCTGCTGCCCACATCACCTCCAAAATAAACTAGAGCATCCAAATTCTTGTCTCATGGTCTGCTTTCAGGGAAACCCAATCTAAGACAAGGTTCACCGTGGCTGGAATTGTGGGAGGGAGGGAGAAATGAAATGACAGGAAGTTGAGAAGCAGGTAAGGATCAGATCATGTGGGGTTTTATAGTATACAATAAGTTTGCATTTAATTCTAAAGGCAATGGGAAGTCAATGACGTGTCCTAATTAGAGAAATTGAATGAATAAATTTAAGTTTCTAAGAAAATATTATCATGGCCACTTTGAAAGAATTATTTGAGAGAAATAGTAATGGATTCAAAGAGAACAGTTAGGGAGTAATAAGGGTGCTTAGGTGATAAAGGTTACAGTGAGAGAAAGGAATGGGCTAATTCCAGATACATTTGAGTTAGAGGCTACAGGACTTGCTAATAAATTGGTTATGAGGACCAAGGGAAAATTATGATGCCATTTTCTGAAATGGAAAGGATGGGATGCAGACATGCTTCAAATTTCAAATAAAATATTTCTTCTTTATTTTTTATCCTTCCTGCCTTGTAAGGTCTAGGATCCAGGTGCTTTTCGACAGGTTGGGTAGGTGGGATATAAGACCTCTGTGGACACTGATAAAATCCTTTTCACAAGTTGTGGGGGTAAATAGGCTGTCACATAAAAACTAGACAGAAGGTTTTTGATGAACTTTTTTGTTATTTTTGCATTCATCTCACAGAGTTGAAATGTTCTTTTGATTGAGCAGTTTGGAAACAGTCTTTTTGTTTAAGCTATATTTGCTAAAACAAATTAGCTATATTTGTTTAAAACAGAATATATTTTAATTCTGTTCCTGTCATATTCATATTTTAGGTATGACAGCTAGAACACTATTGCCCTTCCCAGGTTCATTTTATTATATAATATATGGTTTTCTAAAGACAAAAACATTCAGTTGCAATTTGTAAGTATCTTTACTCCTAGCCAAATTACATCACACAGGCTGCTGGAAGTGCATATTCTAAAAAGGAAGAAGTAATTCCAAATTGAGCCATGTTCTCCTCATGCAGGAGAGGAAATGGTCAGCTTCCTGGGAAGCACAGGCTATCTGAGGGAGAGAACAGATGGTTTATGCATTACTAACACTGCAGGGCAGGGGAACACTGAGAACAGTCCAGAAGACACTGCTTTCTAGACAAAACACAGAAACATTTCAGAGTCTGCCTCCCAAGCCAGCTCTTGGAACTTCCCACTCCATGGACCCATGCTGCCCTGACTTCACGCAAGGAAAGAATAGCTCCCTTTGAAACACTAGGGAAAACAGCAGTCCTGCTGGCATTAGCTCTAGGCCAGAAATCACTAAATACTTATATTAAACAAGGGTAGAAATTCTAAAGGCTTAGACTTAGGAATTGTGAGCCGTACAGGTAGTTTAGCTCATAGAAAACTGTCTATAGACATTCACAGTGTAACTTTCATTTCTGTAGATCACATCAAAAATGACAAGGTTGAAAGAGGAGTCAGCTTCAGCAGGACAACCCCTAGTGAGCTAGGGCAGTACAATTATAGTCCCTTTCCAAGGTGTCTTCACTGTGTGTGGTGCAGAATGGTTAACATTGAACTACTGCATGACTTGGAAGAAGCTCAATCATCTCCCAAAGCCAAACATTTATTCTTACAGAGTAGACTCTATATGCCTATTGAAAGTCAGATTCAAAAAACTACTTTAAAGTTCATATGGAACCAAAAAAGAGCCCGCATCACCAAGTCAATCCTAAGCCAAAAGAACACAGCTGGAAGCATCACGCTACCTGACTTCAAACTATACTACGAGGCTACAGTAACCAAAACAGCATGGTACTGGTACCAAAAGAGAGATATAGATCAATGGAACAGAACAGAGCCCTCAGAAATAATGCCGCATATCTACAACCATCTGATCTTTGACAAACCTGACAAAAACAAGAAATGGGGAAAGGATTCCCTATTTAATAAATGGTACTGGGAAAACTGGCTAGCCATATGTAGAAAGCTGAAACTGGATCCCTTCCTTACACCTTATACAAAAATTAATTCAAGATGGATTAAAGACTTACATGTTAGACCTAAAACCATAAAAACCCTAGAAGAAAACCTAGGCAATACCATTCAGGACATAGGCATGGGCAAGGACTTCATGTCTAAAACACCGAAAGCAATGGCAACAAAAGCCAAAATTGACAAATGGGATCTAATTAAACTAAAGAGCTTCTGCACAGCAAAAGAAACTACCATTGGAGTGAACAGGCAACCTACAAAATGGGAAAAAATTTTCGCAACCTACTCATCTGACAAAGGGCTAATATCCAGAATCTACAATGAACTCAAACAAATTTACAAGAAAAAAACAAACAACACCATCAAAAAGTGGGCAAAGGATATGAACAGACACTTCTCAAAAGAAGACATTTATGCAGCCAAAAAACACATGAAAAAATGCTCATCATCACTGGCCATCAGAGAAATGCAAATCAAAACCACAATGAGATACCATCTCACACCTGTTAGAATGGCAATCACTAAAAAGTCAGAAAACAACAGGTGCTGGAGAGGATGTGGAGAAATAGGAACACTTTTACACTGTTGGTGGGACTGTAAACTAGTTCAACCATTGTGGAAGTCAGTATGGTGATTCCTTAGGGATCTTGAACTAGAAATACCATTTGACCCGCCCGTCCCATTACTAGGTACATTCCCAAAGGATTATAAATCATGCTGCTATAAAGACACATGCACACGTATGTTTATTGTGGCACTATTCACAATAGCAAAGACATGGAACCAACCCAAATGTCCAAAAACGATAGACTGGATTAAGAAAATGTGGCACACATACACCATGAAATACTATGCAGCCATAAAAAATGATGAGTTCACATCCTCTGTAGGGACATGGATGAAACTGGAAACCATCATTCTCAGCAAACTATCACAAGGACAAAAAACCAAACACCACATGTTCTCACTCATAGGTGGGAATTGAACAATGAGAACACATGGACACAGGAAGGGGAACATCACACTCTGGGGACTGTTGTGGGGTGGGGGGAGGGGGGAGGGATAGCATTAGGAGATATACCTAATGCTAAATGAGGAGTTAATGGGTGCAGCACACCAATATGGCACATGTGTACATATGTAACAAACCTGCACATTGTGCACATGTACCCTAAAACTTAAAGTATAATAATAATAATAATAATAATAAAAGTCAGATTGCTTTAAATGTAACTTGACTTCTGCCCCCAATGGGATTAATGTGCGATATAGCTCACAGTACTATCAGTCATTATTATAACTCTGTTCTTCCCCTCCTTTTTTTTTTTTTAGATAGAGTTTTACTTTTGTTGGCCAGGCTGGAGTGCAATGGCACGATCTCGGCTCACTGCAACCTCTGCCTCCCAGATTCAAGTGACTCTCCTGCCTCAGCCTCCTGAGTAGCTGGGATTATACACACCTGCCAACATGCCCGGCTAATTTTTATATTTTTAGTAGAGATGGGGTTTCACCACATTGGCCATGCTTGTCTCAAACTCCTGACTCAGGTGATCCACCCTCCTCGGCCTCCCAAAGTGTTGGGATTACAGGAGTGAGCCACCATGCCCAACCTATTCTTCTACTTCTTAAATGAGTATTAGAGCCCACATTTTCTAGAACTGGACCAGTCACAGAACCATATGCCCACTGGTAACAACCCCAAAAGGTAGCAAAATCTCTGAATTTCTACTTAATTTTATCTTGGGACATATGACACTGCTAGGCATAGTTAGGGGCATGGAGATGATGTCATTTCTACCCTATGTGCTCCTGAGACACCTCTGAGCTGGTCTTCAGCTACAGTGGTAGCCTCCTACTTTAAGCATCTATCTGAACTTCTCCACTTGAGGATTTCCTCTGGTGCTACACATGCTTGCTTCATTTGTATACAGAGAAGATTGGAAGAGCCAGGGATTTAATGCACCCAGAGGTAACCCTCAACCAGTAATGAATGGGAATAAGTAGAGAAAGAGTCCAGCTTCCCCATCTCTTGGTAAGGCAATTCTGAGAGATATCCTCAGCAGATGCTTAGAGAGTCCCAGTGGGAATTAAACTTTAGTTGCCATCAGCAGTATCCTTCTCAACATGCACTGTATTGTCTTTCATTCCATGGTAGACAAGGAGATGCACCATACAGATCTGAGGAATGTGACCAGCTGCCCCAGCTGTCAGCTCCCTCAGGGTCTGCCTGAGTCTGACAGTTGCCTTACCTAAGGTAATGCCCTTCCTGGGCAGCCGTCATCTGGTGACAACATGAGATGAGGGTACAAAGGTGTAGTCATTTTGGTCCCATGCAGGATGGTGCTGATGGGGAATACTTGCTCCAGGGTGCACTGCCAGATTGGCCAAGGTTTTGTCAGGGCCATGTCATGGTTTGACTGCCCAATCCTCCTTCTTCCTCCTTCCTTTCACAGATGTTAATCCCTAAAAAACATCTTGCACCCTAAAGTCTGCATAGCACCTGCTTCTAGAATCAATCTATAACAACTTTCCTATCTCACTCTCCCAACTCCCTCACTTGTGCCAACTGGGACCATATATCAACCTCCTACACACAACTCCAACTTTTTGGAAGGGACTCAAACTAGAAAATGAGAAAGAGAGCAGTTCTTCTTTCACTCCTAATTTTCCCTTCCTTGTAGAGGTAGCTCCAGTAACTAAAATAGTCTTGGCTTTTCTCTCCCCACTCATTCCCTCCTCCCTGAAAGAGTAAACTGGGTATGTGTAGCCCAGCTTGTTCCTCTCTGCTTTCAGGAGAGGGGCTGCACACAGGAATCACATATTCTTCCCCATTTCTGCATGCTGTCAGTTTTCCATAGACAATGCATGAGTTAGAGAGTCCTATAGTGGTTAGTGTTACTGGACTGGCTGTCTACCTGTCTAGTGCTGTGGCTTAGTTTTGAGAAGCCCACTTGTCTGCAGATATAAGTCACATTCTCCAATGTCTGGTTTATCAGTAGGAAAGAGGCGATATTAGCCACCATCTGCTGATTTTTGTTCTGTGGCTCTATTGTTTAAGGACTCAGGCAAGAAAGAAAATGATTATTTACGAGGTTCCACCAAACCTCCTTGCTCACTTTGAAAGCAAGCTCTAGCTGTGTTGTGAGGTCACCTGGGTTGTAATCAGGCAAGGAGAATGTGGTGGTCATGGAAATGTCCCACTCAGATGTCCCATCCAGAAACCAGCTGCAGGGAGCATAGCTGACCAGCAACCTCAGTGCTGCTCCTTTGGATCTAGCATGGCATTCACTGATCAGTGGGAGCCCAGGCAATGACAGAGCACAGCAGGACTGCTAAAGCTAGACCCATCCTGCCTGCCTGATGCAGGTCTCATCCAACAGGCAGCTTTGCCTCGGGGACTCCTCATCAGCCTGGTCAGGACTTTGTCGAACTGCACTGCAATATGAGGCTCTTCATGCCCAAAACTTCTTCCTTTGCTCTGTCCTTTCACATGTGTCAGATCAGCATGATGGTTTGAAGGCTCTCCCTGCCTGCAACTGCTCCTTCCTCCTCTATATTTCAAAGGCATCTCCCCAAACCATGCAGTCTATTCCATCCTGGTGTCTGATCATTAGAGAACCTGAACCAACAGAGTAACTGCCCAAAGAGGAAGAATGGAGGAGTGTCAGGGTGTGGTTTTCTCCTGGGTGTTGGAACCCCACTTGGGATGGCTCATTTGTAAAGTGATACAGAATCCTGGCACTCATGTCTTAGTTGCAGGACTTTTCCATGTAATAATTGTACATTTTGTGAAAAAACTAAGGAGTTTTAATTAAAGACCTACATCCCTCACTTTCCAAGGACCTCCAGAGCCACTTTGATCAGGCCTTGAACAGGGCAATTACCATGTTGAGCCATTTTTATAGACCTGATTAACTAGAATCTGAACTTTCTTTTCTCCTCCACACAGAAGCCCTACAGCTTCTTTCAGCCATTTCTAACTGGAGTAGTACCAACTGCTCATGATAAACAGACCTTTTCTGAAAGCAGTGCCAAACCTTTAGCACATTATTCTTGGCTCATATAGTCCATACCCCTGTAGAAGGGAAGGAAACTTGTGTAATTGAAAGTACAAGGACCTTCAATTATACAACAGTTAGGACAGAAAGATAGGCTTGAGCTCTAGCTGTCCCATTCACAGCTAAGTGATGATCAGGAGACCACTTATTCAGAGGCTTAATTTCCTATTCTGGAAAATGAAAAGGCCTCCCAGGGCTTTTTGCAAATGGTGAAGAATACAAATGTATTTCATAAATTGTGGAGCAGAAAGGTTGTACAACAGTGATGAGTGGGACAGATCTGGTCTACAGATGTGTTGGGTTTGGCCCACAGAGAATTTCTTTTTTTAATCTGAAAATTTCAGAGACAGTGTGGCTTTCTGACTTATTTCAAAAAATCCTCATTGCAGAAATTCAATGGTGAGAAACAGCAGCTGCCCCAAGGAGTATATTTCTTCCAGTTCCCAATGGTCCCCATAACTCACAGCCTCACTCACTGAGATGTCACTTACTCACATTACTTGATGGGATCCGGTAGGTATGAGTTTGGGACCCCTGGGGTAGAAGATGATGAAAGTTTCATCACCTGTGAGGGGACAATCAGATTCTACTGGAGAAGATCCAGAGAGGACAGTCTGTCACCACTCAGGATGTGGATGTCATATTAAGGTAACACTGAAGTGGTGCCTGATGGATCCTGCCTGACCATGAGTCCTTTCATCAGTCCAAGAATATGCACGGTATAGGATTGTGATGTTGTGTTTTATAATTATATATTTTTGTTTTCATCCTTGTTCTTGGCAGAGTGCTTATGACCCTTGTAAGGAGATGTAGGCCCACCATACTTGAAAGCATTTCAATGTACAACTTCCCAGAGCTGCAAGAATGTTCCACCGTCATGCCATTGTGCTCCAGGAGTTACAAGGGTTCCTTGTAGATTCTCGATATTAGTCCTTTGTCAGACGTGTAGTTTGCAAATATTTTCTCCCATTCTTCAGGTTTCTGTTCACTCTATTATTTCTTTTGCCAGGCAGCAGCTTTTTAATTAAGTCCCATTTGTCCACTTTTGAATGGAACAATAGACATTGGATATTTGAAAGGGTGGGAAGATCAGGGGAAGGGATGAGAAACTACTTAATAAATACAATGTATACTGTGGGTGATGACTGCACTTAAAGCCCAGACTTTACCACTGCACAATATATCCAAGTAACAAAACTGCAGTTGTACTTCCTAAATCTATTTTTTAAGAAAAGAAAAAAAGAACTGGGAAATTCTTGTTTCAGGGTTCATGGAGTATAGATTTGTTAGATTTGCTAGTATTTGAAATGATTGTAGTCAGACAAAAACTACTCCCAAAGGGGAACAAGAATTATTGCTGTATCTCTTATGCCTCCCAGACCTGTGCCTTAGTTTGGATTCCCTGAGAACCCAAGGCAAGAACTCGAGTAATTTACCTGAGAGATAGAGGGAACTCTGTTAGGAGACTGGGAAAGGGAGACAGGGAAGCAAAGTAGCCAATAAAGTGCATTTTATCAAGCCAGCTACCATTGTCAGCAACTGGAGCATCATTCCAAGGACAGTCTGTGCTCTGGTGGTGATCATAGTTTACAGTTCACTAGGACCCTGTGGTACCAGTACCAAGCAAGAGTGTTTCTAGTTTGGAGACCAGGACCTCTAACCTTGCAGAGCCCAGATTTGTGGGGATGAGAAGCACAGTGTTCCCTTAGTGGGATGTTGGAGATGATGATGAGTAAAGCCACTCCTGCTTCCAATCCTTGCTTCTTGGTCCAAATGTGCTCCCTGTTGGAGTCACAGTACCATTGATAGGTCTCTCCACAGTTCATGCAGTACATTCGGGGGAAAGACACTCCACATGAGCTGCAGCTTCAGCTTCAGCTCTGCCTTCAGCAGGCCTTTCCAAAGCTCTATGGGACCAGTGCTTTTAATGGTGTGGTTTGTGATATGATCAAGGGATCCCATGGTCAGGGGTCCATGACCATGCCTCCTTCACTGTAATAAGAGGCCTTGGTCAGATGCTGTATTGTATGAATTAGGCATTTTGTAATCCCCTGAATAGTGGTGCTGAATGACGTGCTAAGGGCAAAAAAAGGCAAACCCATGACAGGAATGTCTGCTCCTATGAGAATGAGTCACTAGTCTTTCTGGAATGGAAGGGTTTTAGTTAATTTGGTTCTAAGTGGCTCAGAAAAGTAGCACAATATCAGGGACTCAGTATTGGTCTCTGTTGCTAACAGGTTGGATATCTAGAAGGAGCAGTAACTAGATTGTTCTTGGTAAGTGTGAGTCCACATTGTTGGGCCCATGCATCGCCTCCAACTCTGCCACTGTGGTCCTTCTTTTTATATGCAACACATGCCATTTCTGGGGTGGCAGATGACAAAGGTTAGCAAACAATAACTGGCAGAGACATTTGGCTCAATCTGGAGATAGGGTGAGGGATTATTACTTTATTAGAGTAACTACTCTCAGCCCTTTTGCACATTCTTTTTTCTCATTAAAGTATTAATCAATAACCTCAATTTCTCATACATTTCTACAAATGCTGTGTTCTGTTATACCCCTCCATAACTATCTGCAGGTATGCCAGATGGTTGGCTGCCATTCCAACCTTAGCTGGCATTATGATAATCATGACACTCTGGCTTCCAGTGATTGAGGGCTGCCACCCTGCCTTTTTGGCTTCAGGGACCCCACCACCACATTGTTAGCAATTCGGCAAGATCTGTAACTGCACTTACTACTATCTGTAACTGGCCTGCTGGGGGGAGTGATGGCTGAACTTCTTGATGCTGATTCCTGGCATGCCAGTGCATTCTTAATGGCCTTGGCAGATGGCTGTCTTGTGTGTTTCCCACAGAACATAATCCTATGGTGCGTCTTTAGTCATCACAAAATATATTTAATCTGGTATGCCCGAATCCTTGGGCTATTTAGTTTCTCCCCTCCTGTCATTGCAAAGGTGTTTCAGCTTGGTTCAGCATGGGCACTTGCATTTTCTAGGCTTCTAGGGGCCCTTATAATGGTAAGTTTGCCTGAAACCCTGAGGTCTTTGCCAGCATGTTAAATCCAGTATGCTAAAGGGGTACCCTCAAATCAACAAACTCTCCCTCCACTTGTCTTATGTGCTGTCTCCCCTTAATCTAGACATTCAAAATCCAAATCCATGGTTATTCTCCTGGCCTCTGCCATTTCATGCTAACCAATTCTTGCAGTTTATTTGGGAGTAAGCTGTCTTACCTGATCAGGCCCAATATGTCCATGGCTGATTATGCTATGACTTCACACCAGCTATCAGCCTGGCTATCAGTAGAACAGGTAGGGGGCTGATCATGAGGTAGAGCCCCTATTACCTTATGGAGAAGAGGCCACTGAAGGGGGGAAGCAGAAGTGTATTAGGGTCCTCCAGAGAGACAGGCCAATAGGATAAATGGGTAGATGGATAGATGGACAAATGGATAAATAGGAGATTTATTGGGAAAATAGGCTCACATGGTTATGGTGGCTGGGAAGTCCTATTCAGGCCATCTGCAAGCTGGAGATACTAGGATGCTGGTAGTGTTGCTCAGTCCCAGTGTAAAGAGCTCAGAACCAGGGAAGCTGATGGTGATGGTGTAACTTTCTTTTCTTTTTTTTTTTTTTTTTTTGAGAAGGAGTCTTGCTCTGTCACGGAGGCTGGAGTGCAGTGGCACAATCTTGGCTTACTGCAAGCTCTGCCTCCTGGGTTCACGCCATTCTCCTGCCTCAGCCTCCTGAGTAGCTGGGACTACAGGTGCCTGCCACCATGCCTGGCTAATGTTTTTGTATTTTTAGTAGAGATGGGGTTTCACCGTGCTAGCCAAGATGGTCTCGATCTCCTGACCTCATGATCTGCCCATCTCGGCCTCCCAAAGTGCTGGGATTACAGGCGTGAGCCACCGCTCCCAGCCCTGATGGTGTAACTTTCAGTCCACATCTGAATGCCTGAGAACTGGGGAACCTGGAGTCCAAAGTCTAGAGAATCTAGTGTTCTGATGTACAAGGGCAGGAGAAGAAGGGTGTTCCAACTTCAGAAAAAAGAGGGTAAATTCATCTTTCCTCTGCCTTTTTGTTCTATCCAGGCTGTTAGCTGATTGAATGGTGCCTATGCACAATGGATGAGACTGGGTCTTCCTGAGTCCACTGATTCAAATGCCAATCTCTTTCAGAGACACCCTCACAGATGTACCCAAAAATAATGCTTTACCAGCTATCTTGGTATCCTTTAATTCAGTTCACACCTAAAATTAACCATCACAAGGAATAAGAGGTGACTATTTCCTAATAGGGGAGGGAAGGATGGGCCACATCTGTAGTATTTAAGGGTTTAGAGGAATACGGAGAATCACATAGTTCCATCTCATATTAAGCATCCCAGGTTTGTCCAATGAGGTTCTCACCTTGGTACAACAGACCTTCCTCAGTTAAGAATTCCATCAGCTTTGCATCTTGACAACTCTATTAAATCAAGGTTTGGGTCTTCCACTTTTGTTCTTTCACTTTGGGAGATACGGACTTTTTGGAAGCTTCTAAAGAAGCCCTCTGGCCTTCACACTTAGTTTTTAATTGTTAACAACCTCATCTTTTTTTTATTATCTCTCTCTAGTGGGTCAATGCAATTTAGTGCCAGCCAACCAACTCTATTGCCCTCCTCTGCATTTTCCTGCAAACCAACCCATACCTGCTTTTCAAGTGGCCAAATGATTGTTCTTGCCAGGGTGTTCCCCTCTACTAGAACATTCTCTCAAATCAGCCTAGAGAACATTTTAGCAATTGGGCTGCCACTTTCACAAGTTTGCTGGTGAGCAAAGTTCCTGACAGAGGCCAGATAGTATTTTTTGGCTCTGTGGACCAGTCTTTGTAGCAACTACCCAACTTCCTTGTACTGCAAAAGCAGCCATAGGCAATACATAAATGAATGGATATGACTGTGTTGCAACAATTTTTAAAAAACAAGTGGTTGTATAATTCAAAACGTATGACCTTCTGGGAAAGACAAAACTATGGAGACAATAAAAAGACTAGTGACTGATAGATTCAGGGATGAATAGATGGAACTCAGGTTCATTTTAAGGCAGTGAAACTATTCTGTATGATACTATAATAGAGGATATATTATACATTTGTCAAAGCTCATAGAATGCAACACAAAAAAATGTACCATAAACTATGGACTTATGAGGCTTTTAATTTCCATTTTTCTTTTAGTTTCAGGGGGTACCTGTGCAGGGTTTGTTACAAGGGTATATTGTGTGATGCTGAGGTTTAGGCTTCTATTAAACCTATCACCATGGTAGTGAACATATTATTTAATAGAAAGTTTTTCAATCCTTGCCCTACTCCCTCCTTTTGGAATCCCTAGTGTCTATGGTTCCCATCTGTATGTCCATGTGAACCCCAAATTTAACTTCCACTTATAAGTGAGAACATGTGAAACTTGGTTTTCTGTTTCTGTGTTAATTTACTTAGGATAACAACCTCCAGCTGCATCTATGTCCTGAAAAGGACACGATTTTGTTCTTTTTTTATGGCTGCATAGTATTCCATGGTGTATATATACCACACTTGCTTTATCCAATCCACCATTGACGAGCACCTGGCTTGGTTCCATCTCTTTGCTATTGCGAATGGTGCTATGATGAACATACGATTGCATGTGTCTTCTTGGTAAAATGATTTTTCTTTTGGATATACACTCAGTAATGGGATTGCTGGGTGGAATGGTAGTTCTGCTTTTGGTTTTTCAAGGAATCACCACACTGCTTTCCACAATGGTTGAACTAATTTACACTCCCACAAACAGTGTATAAGCATTCCTTCTTCACTGCAACCTTGCCAGCTACCCATTATTTTACTTTTTAATAATAGCCATCCTGACTGGTGTGAGATGGTATCTCATTGTGGTTTTGATTAGCATTTCTCTGATGATTAGTGATGCTGAACATATTTTCATATGTTTCTTGCCCACATATATGTCTTTTTTTGAAAAATATCTGTTCATGTCCTTTGCCCACTTTTGAATGGGTTTGTTTTTTCCTTGTTGGTTCATTTAAGTTCCTTACAGATTCTAGATATTAGTCCTTTGTCAGATGCATAGTTTGCAAATATTTTTTCCCATTCTGTAGGTTGTCTCTTTACTCTGTTGATAGTTTCCTTTGCTGTGCAGAAGCTCTTTAGTTTCATTAAGTCTCACTTATCTCTTTTTTATTTTGTTGCATTTGCTTTTGGGGTCTTCATCATAAATTATTTGCCTAGGCCAATGTCTAGAAGAATATTTCCTAGGTTTTCTTCTAGAATTTTTTTAGTTTGAAGTCTTACATTTAAGTCATTAATCCATGTTGAGTTAAATTTGTATGGTGAAACGTAGGGGTCCAGCTTTATTCTTCTGTATATGCCTAGTCAGCTGTCCCAGCACCATTTATTGAATACAGTCCTTTCTCCATTGTTTTTTTTTTTTCAATTTTTTCAAACATCAGTTGGTTGTAGGTGTGCAGCTTTACTTCAGGGATCTCTATTCTATTTCATTAGCCTATGTGTTTATTTTTGCATCAGTACCATGCTGTTTTGGTGACTGTAGCCTTATAGTATAATTTGAAGTCGGGAATGTGATGCCTGCAGCTTTCTTCCTTTTGCTTAGGGTTGCCTTGGCTATTCAGGCTCTTTTATGGTTCCATATGAACTTTAGTTTTTCCTAACTCTATGAAAAATGATGTTGGTAATTTAATAGGAGTCGCATTGGATCTGTAGATTGCTTAGGGCAGTATGGACATTTTAACTATATTGGTTCTTCCAACCCAGGAGTGTGGAATGGTTTTCCATTTCTTTGTGTCATCTATGATTATTTCAGCAATGTTTTGTAGTCCTCCTTAGAGATCTTTTACCTGCATGGTTAGGTGTATCTCTAGGTATTTTGTATGTGTGTGTGTGGCTGTTGTAAATGGGATTGTGTTCTTGATTTGGCTATCAGCTTAAATGTTATTGGTGTATAGAAATACAGATTTTTGCACATTGATTTTGTATCTTGAGAATTTACTGAAATTGTTTATCAAGTCTGAGTCTTTTGGCAGAATCTTTAGGGTTTTCTAGGTGTAGAGCTATATTGTCAGTGAAGAGAAATAACTTGACTTCCTCTTTTCCTATGTGGATGCTTTTTTTTTCTTTTTGCCTGATTGCTCTGGATAGGATTTGCAGTATTATGTTGAATAGGAGTGGTGAGAGTGGGCATCCTTGTCTTATTCCAGTTCTTAAGGAAAATACTTCCAGCTTTTGCCTGTTCAGCATGATGTTGGCTGTGGATTTCTTATAGATGGCTCTTATTATTTTGAGGTATGTTCCTTAAGATGTAGTCTGTTGAGGGTTTTTATCATGAAGGGGTGTTGGATTTTATTGAATACTTTTTCTGCATCTATTGAGATGATCATATGGCTTTTGTTTTTAATTCTATTTATATGATGAATCACATTTGTTGATTTGCATATATTGAACCATCCTTCCATCACAGGAATAAAGCCCACTTGATCGTGAATTAACTTTTTGATGTGCTCCTTTTTGATGTTAGTATTTTGTTGAGATTTTTTGCATCTATGTTTATCAGGGATGTTGGTCAATAGTTTTCTTTTTATGTTGTATCTTTGCCAAATTTGGGTATCAGGATGCTACTGCTTTCATAGACTGAGTTAGAGAGGAGTCCCTCCTCCTTGATTTTTTGAAATAGCTTCAGAAGTATTGGTATCAGCTCTTCTTTGCATGTCTTGTAGAATTCAGCTGCAAATCCATCTTGTCTGGGGATTTTTTTTTGGTCAGCAGGATTTTTTTTATTACTAATTTCAGAACTCAGTATTGGTTTGTTCAAGATTTGTTCCTCCTTGGCTCAATCTTGGGAAGTTGTGTGTTTTCTTCTAGATTTTCTAATCTGTGTGCATAGAAATGTTCATAATCGTTTCTGAGATCCTTCTGTATTTCTCTGGGTTCAGTTGTGAAATTACCTTTGTTATTTTTGATTTTGCTTAGATTTTCTCTTTATTATTCTAGCTAGTGGTCTATCAATCTTGTTTATCCTTTCAAAGAACCACCTTTTAATTTCATTGACCCTTTGTATCATTTTCTGGGGCCTCAATTTCATTTAGTTTTGCTCTGATTTTAGTTATTTCTTTTCTTCTGTTAGCTTTGGGTTTGGTTTGTCCTTGTTTTTCTAGTTTTAGGTGCAAGGTTAGGTTTTTAATGTGGTATCTATCTTCTTGATGCAGGTGTTTAATGCTATAAACTTTCCTCTTAACACTGCTTTTGCTGTATCCTAGAGGTTATGGTATGTTATGCCTCTGTTTTCATTTGTTTTAAAGAATTTTATTTGTGCCTTAATTTCATCATGTACCCAAAAGTAATTCAGAAGTTGTTTTGTTTCCATATATTTGTGTCATTTTGAGAGTTCCTTTTGATATTAATTTCTATTTTTATTTCACTGTGGTGTGAGAAGATGCTTAATATTGATATTTTTGATTTTAAGACTTGCTTTATGACTGAGCGTGTGGTCAATTTTAGATGAGAAGATTGCAGATAAGAACGTATATTCTGTGGTTGTTGGATGGAGTATTCTGTAGATGTCTATTAGGTACAATTGGTTAAATGTTGAATTAAAGTCTGGAATTTTTTTAGTTTTTCTGGGTGTGAATGATCTGTCTGAAGATGTCAATGCGGTGTTGATGTCCCACACTATTATCGTATGGCTGCTAACTTCTTTTGTTAGGTATAGAATTCTGTGCTTTATAAGTCTGGGTGCTCCAATGTTGGGTGCATATATATTTAGAGTAGTTAAATTTTCTTGAATTGAACTCTTTATCATTATATAATGCCCTTTTTTATTGTTTCTGGTTTAAAGTCTATTTTATCCTATACAAGAATAGCAACCCCTGTTTTTTTTTGTTTGTTTAGCATTTGCATGATCAGTCTTTCTTTCCATGTCTTTACTGTGAGCCTATGGCTATCATTACCTGTGAGATGGGTCTCTTGAAGAGACCAGACAGATCTTGTGTCCTGTGTTTTTATCAAATTTGCTACCCTATATCTTTTAAGTATGGTATTTAGGGCATTTACATTAAACGCTAATGTTGATATGTGAGGTTTTATTCCTGTCATAGTGTTATTAGCTAGTTTGTCTTGATTATGTGGTTGCTTTATGGGGTCCATGGGCTATGTGCTTTCATGATAGTATCAGTCTTTTGTTTCCCTGTTTAGACCTCCCTTAAGCATCTCTTTTAGGGCTGGTCTTGGGGTGATGAAGTCCTTTAGCAATTGCTTGTCTGGGAAAGACTTTCTTCTTTGTTTATGAAGCTTAGTTTGGTAAGATATGAAATTTTGGCTGACATTTCTCTTTAAGAATGCTAAAAATGGGCCCCAATCTCTGACTGTTAAGGTTTCTGCTGAGAAGTCCATTAGTCTGATGTGTTTCCCTTTATAGGTAACATGACCCTTTTCTCTAGCTGCCTCTAAGATGTTTTCTTTCACATTGACCTTGGATAGCCTAATGACTATGTGCTTTGGGGATGGTAATCTTGTATAGTAACTTGTAGGACTTCTCTAGATTTATTGTATCTGCATGTTGTCCTCTCTAGCAAAATTGGGGAAATTTTCCAGAATTGTATCCTCAAAAATACATTTATCAAGTTGTTTACTTTCTCTTCTCTCAAGAATGCCAATAAGTCATATATCTGATCACTTTAGATAGCCCCATATTTCTCAAAGGCTTTATTCATTTTTAAATTTTTCTTTTTCTACTGGGTTGATTCAAAGGACCATTCTTCAAGCTCTGAAATTTTTTCCTTAGCTTGTTCTAGTCTGTTAAGGCTTCCAATTGTATTTTGAAATTCCTGTAGTGAATTTTTCAGTTCCAGAAGTTCTGTTTGCTTCTTTCTTAATACAGCTGTGTTATCTTTTAAATCTTGGATTGTTTTTCTGTTCATGTTGGATTTTTTCTCTTAAATCTCATTTTCTTTGACATCCATATTGTGAATTGAATGTCTGTCATCCTAGACATTTCATTCTGATTAGGATCCGTTGCTTGGGAGCTAGCGAGATCCTGTGGAGGTGACAAGACACTCTGGCTTTTTGTATTGTCACAGTTCTTGTGCTGGTTCCTTCTAACGTGAGATAATTAATGCTTCTTTTTTTGAATTTGCTATTGTTTGGAGCTTCTTGATTTCCTATTCTTTTTTCCCTTGGGGGTATGACTGCAGTGTATACTGTGTATAATAGATTGGCTTTGTTTCTGGGTGCTTTTAGGGAGCCAAGGCTCTGTTTGGGTTCCTTGATTGCAAATATGTTCCTGTGGTGGTCTTCTCAGGTGTTGCTTGTTGTAGCAATGTCATTTTGTTTGGTGGTGTAATTCAATCTTCTGTCCAGAAGGTGGTGCTGAAAAGTAAGAGCCAACAGGTAGGAGCAGGGGCAAGGGAGAAGTGAAAAGTATCCTTCCCTAGCAAGTGTTCAACCTTCAGTGGGGGGTGGAGCCACTGTAGTTGCCTAATAAGTGGTCTGTTTCAGCCCACGTTCCCTGGGTTCTTATGGAAAGAGGTGCTGCCAAGTCCACAGTAGTGTGGAGGGGAGAGATTACCCATTCTCCGTGTCCATCCCTGGGCTTTGGTGGTACTGTCTCAAGGGCTGGTGCTGCACTCATGTTTCCTTTGGCCCGAGGGGTGCTTTGGTGGGCTGTGCTCCCCACTTCTTTAGGGGAAGACCATGCCAGGGGTTAGCTCTCTCTGGTTCTGGGTGTCTTTGGTGGCAGAGTCTGTATACATTCCTTGGTTATAGGTAACTTTGTATAGCGGCTCTTCCAAATGCTGGTTGTAGCATGTGGGCAGACTCACTGCCTCCTGTGTGGCTGGGGTGGCAGAGGTCTCAGGAAGCTTTTCTCATTCCCCACTGTTGAGCACTTGTGTCTGCAGATTTTCTATTGTGTTGTGCCATTCAACCTCCAGGCCAGTAGGTATCTTATACAGGTAAAAGCCAGCTGCAGCCAATGCAGATGTGCATATACCTGATCTTTGTTTACTGGGAGAAGCTCTGTTGCCTCTGGCAATCTGTGGGGTGCACAGTGGTCTGAGCTTCCTGTTCAGCTCCAGAGTGGGAGACTAAGAGGGATGGGGCCTGACCAGGCAGGTCCACTTACAGGTCCCCCAATAACAGGCACGAGCACTAGCTCCAAGGTGGGGGGGCCCAGTGGGTGGCCACCAAGTGGCCAGAGGTGTGCCTAGTTATGGAGTTTGAAAACTTCCTCTGCCCCAAGTTCTCTGCCTAAGGAAGAGGAGAGGTGTAAACTCCTAATCTAGATGAATTGGTACTTGGAATGTCTAGAGATATGTCTGGGCATTGAGAGGAGGGTGAGCTAGTGCACCACAATCTCCACACCTGAAGGTGGGGGTGGCTCAGGCTTCTAATCCAGGCAAGCAGGTATGCCAAATGCCTGGAAATATGCCTCAGCAAGGAGTGGAGAAACTACTGCTGCAACAAGGTCTTTGCAGGGGATGGGAAGGGTGGCTCTGTCTCCTACTCCGAGAGAGCAGGTGTACCTCATGCCAGATGATATGCCTGGGGTAGAAGCAGAGAAATCACTGCCACATTAAGATCTTTGCATGGGAAGGGATAGGTGGCTCAAGCTCCTAATCTGTGAGACCTAGTGTGCTAAATGCCTGGAGTTCTGTCCAGGTGTGGAGTGGAGGAAGTGTCACTGCACCGAGTTCACTGCATGGGAAAGGGATGGAAGCTCAAGCTCCTATTCCAAAGGGGCAGGTATGCCAAAGGCCTGGAGACATGTCCAGGCATGGAGCAGGGACTGTGCCACTGCACCAAGATCTCTGCACAGGAGGGAAGCTCAGGCAGGTGAGCACGTGTGCTGAATGCCTGAAAATATGTCCCCCAGTAGGGAGCAGAGTAACAGAGTGCAACAAAGTCTTTTCAGGAAAGGGGTCAGCTCAGGCAGCTAATCCAGGTGAGAGTGTGTGCCAAACACCTAGAGGTAGGCCCATGCATGGTGTGAAGGGAGCACCACTGCACCAAGATCTCTGTAGAGGAAGGATGGGGTAGCTCAGGCTGCTAATCCAGGGGAACAGGTATTGCAAGTGCTTGGCGACATGCCTCAGCATAGGGTAGAGAGGGCCCCACTGCACCACGATCTCAGAAAAGCAGGCTGGAGCACCCAGCAATGATACACGCAGACTGGTTCCAGGTTGGCAAACTGGCCCTGGCAGCAAGTCTTGCTGCCCAGGAGAAACTAGCTTCAGCAACTCTCCTACTCCAGACCTGCAATGAAGGAGAGCCCAATTCCAGCACCTACTGCTGGGGTGCTTTCCACACCTGCTGCTCAATTCTGGCTGTGGGGGCTCTTCCCCAGCTCCATAGAAAGCACTCCAATCTTTGGTCTGAGACTAAAATGCCTGTGTGGCCATGCTGCTGGGTTGCTGAAGAATGGCTGACTTTCTATGAGCCTGGGTTCAAAATGGCATCCTCTTCTCAGTCTTGGGTGTGGGAAAATGCCTGCAGCTTTTCCTAGTGTCTTTCCTGCTCAGTGTCTCCAAGCCTGTCCTCAAATTAGCTCTGGAGCTTGGGAGAAACAAGATGCTCTCCCTTGGCCAGAGTTGCATGGATCCCTAGTGGATCGGTGAGTTACAGAGGGAGGCTCTCTACCCCTCTTGTGTACTGGGGCTGCACCCACTTTTATCAGCTGGACACTGTTTGCCCACCTTCTTCTCTCCAGGATCTGGGATGTCCTTTGCTATTTTGGTGAATTCCCATTTTCCTTCTTGAACTAAAGCTCATCAAGTTGATCGTTATGCACTATTTTGCTCCTTCCAAGTCATTTAGGCACACAAAGAGCCTCTCATCTGCCATCTTAGGGAAAAAAACTGAACTTTTATTAACATTTTACCAATATTAGCTCATCAATTGCAACAAGTGTACCATAGTAAGCCAAGATGTTAACAATAGGGGAATCTTGAGGAAGGAGAGGTGAATGAGGGAATTTCTCCTAAATTTAAATGAAAACTTAAAGTTACTAAAAAATAAAGACATCTAAAAAGCTAATGGGACCAGGCATGGTGGCTCATGCCTGTAATCCCAGCACTTTGGGAGGCCGAGGCAGATGGATCACCTGAGGTCAGGAGTTCAAGACCAGCCTGGCCAACATGGTGAAATCTTTCCCTACTAAAAATACAAAAATTAGCCAGGCATGGCAGCGGGCGCCTATAGTCCCAGCTACTCAGGGGGCTGAGGCACAAGAATTGCTTGAACCTGGGAGGCAGAGGTTGCAGTGATTTGAGATCACGCCACTGCACTCCAGCCTGGGTGACAGAGCAAGATTATGCCTCAAATAAATTAAAAGCTAAAGGGAAAATAAAGCCTTTCTAACACAAACTTTAAAACAAAACAGGTGGCAGGTGAGATCTGTTCCTCAGGCTGCAGTTTATTAACCCATCCCCATCTGCACAGCCCCTACCCCCAGATTACTGTGTATCACGTAACAACCAGGATAGGGTCTTCATTGCCAGGTTGGAAGTAAGCAATTCAGTCCCTAAACCCTATCTTGCTTTCTCATACCACTCTTAGGACCAGTTATGTCTGTTCAGGTACTCCAGGAAACAGATGCTGAGATGAAATTAGTAGTGTAAGAGACTTGTTAGGGGATAACATCTATAAAAAATAAAGGGGGAGAAAGCAGGATGGGGTGGCTTGGAAAGCTTTTGGACCATGCTACATACCTGATAGTATCTTGGTGAACCTCAGAAAGCTCTGGAGCAAAGATTACCCACCAGAGGAGTTCCTACTTGGTCAAAATGGCCAGGCAGGCCCTAGCATCCCAACCATACTACCTCACTGGCTGGGAGCTGCCCAGGGCACCACAGAGAGAAGGTCCGTCAACAGCTCTCCTCATAGCTCCACTGCAAGCCCTTTCTTGAAAGGGAATCTGAGCAAGGTATCTCCATGGTTGCCTCAGGGTGCCAGTTTCTTAAGGCAATCTCCCTCAGGCTCTGAATCAGAGCTGAGTTCCGACAAACTCTAGATCAGCTTATATGTTCCTTACAACCAAGGCAAAAGCCACTCTTTAAAAGAATGAGAAAAGTGCAGTTGCACACAGCAGCAACGACAGCATAGGCACCAGGATTGTCTCCTACAAGATCGCAAAGATTAGAAAAAAGCCCCATCAATGGAGGAATCATGACAAGGCCCAAATAGAAAGAATGCAAGGTATGTTAGAGATTGATTTTCTTATTCCTTCACTAGTGGAGGAAACTTAAAACA
The DNA here is from genome assembly GCF_000001405.40 of Homo sapiens. NCBI lineage: Eukaryota > Metazoa > Chordata > Mammalia > Primates > Hominidae > Homo > Homo sapiens. Next base: position 77,469,834 of record NC_000004.12, on the reverse strand, counting down.
CTGGATGTAAGTTCCTGAAGTCAACAATTATCTTCATCTCTGGTCTTCTCTTTCCACATCAACTGAACACTGCTTTGCTATGGCTTTGTAGATTATGTACTTTTCTCTCACTCACTTTTTGGAATTATAGGAGTTTTTTCTGTGTAACTCAAACCTCCTGAACCTAGGGCCTGTGTCTTAGTTTGGGTCCCTATCTTAGTCTGTTTAGGCTGCAACAAAATACCATAAACTGGGTGGTTTACAGACAACAGAAATTTATGTCTAAGTTTTGGAGGCTGGAAGTCTAAGATCAAAGTGCTGATAGGCTCAGAGTCTGGTGAAGGCTTGTGTCCTGGTGCATAGCTGTCTTTTCACCATGTTCTCACATGTTGGAAGCGGTGCCTGAGCTTCCTCGGGCTTCTTTCATAAGGGCACTAATCCGATTCGTGAGGGCTCTGCTTTCATGACCTAATCATCTCCTAAAGGCCCCACCTCCTTATATCATCACCTTCAGGATTAGGATTTCAACATAAATTCTGGAGAAACACAAACATTCAGATCATAGCAGCCTCCTAAAAGCAGAGACTAAGATAAGAATTTGGGATTGCCTCCTACATAAACTGCCTGTGCCCAGGAACCAGGAGTGAAAAAGAAGTGAAACAGGGAAGGAGAAAGAGTCAATGTAAGGCACATTATTGAAATCTGCACTCCAGCTTTTCACTCTTGAGGAGGGGTCTGTATGCTTCTCAGACTTTTCACAAATAGTAACTCCTCAGCTCTTCCAGGCTGCACATAGAAAAGAGCATGGATTGGTAAAAGTCAAGCCCATCAGAAAAGCCAGTGTGAGCCTGGGGAGCACACTGCAAGGATGAAGTGGGAGGTAAATGTCTACATGTCTACTACGGGCCTGGCTGAAGCCACAGGTGGCTGAGGGGATACAATGTGGTCATACAATGGGTCAATTTGACCTAAACTCTAAGTATTCAAAATATGTCATTCCTTTGGGTTAAAGCCATTGCCTTTAAATAAAACACTATGGTCAATGGTGCACATAAGGGATAACACATTGATCTGGATATGAGCTGCTCCAACAGCTTAAGAAATTCAGAGGAAGTTCAATAGTTTAGCGAGTCAAGGGATAACTGAGAACATGGTATTATGAAAGCAAAACATTAGACACCATTGAATACATAGGGCTTTCTTATTTATTTTTTTTAAGAGACAAGGTCTCACTAGGTTGCCCAGGCTGGTCTCGAACTCCTGGGCTCAAGCAATCCTCCCACAGAGCTGGAATTACAGATGTGAGCCACTACACCCCGTCTATATATAGGACTTTTCATGGTTACCACTGGGATGCCCCCAAAGACCTCGTTAGCCACTAATCCCATGACAACTGAAAAGTTATTCATGGCCTTGGATTCCAATTCTTTTGTCTCACGATCTGGTTCCCTCCTTAGTGCTGGCTTCTCTCCTAGACGTTTTTCCGTTTTCCTGCTATCCATCTGACTCGGAAGCAAAGATATCTAAGAAGGCCAACATTAGCCTTGAACCTTGACATTAGGAGAAATCAGTGCCCACAATAGACAGTGCAATATTTTGCATAGACAAAAAATGATTCATGTTCTGCAGTTGGGTGTCTGGAAGGGTCTTGACACAGAACAACCAAGCTAGTAGGGGAGATGGAGTGCCACCTTCTTCAGTCCCATCACCCTGTACAAGGTTCTGAATGGATGTGACAGGGCAGGTTGGTTCACCTTGGTGCCCTTATCACCATCAGGTACCTTCTTACAAAGGAGTCTTCCAGAAAGGATTTACTTATTTTTAAAACTCCTATAGCTTAATGTGTGAGCCTACAGGACCTGAAAGAGTATGCAGTTGTAATTTCTGCTTACATAAACTTGATTGTGTGGTGGTGTCTGAACAAAGTTCACTAGACTAAATCAGTACTCCTAGAATCCAGAGCTGGTCCAACTCTCAGATCTGAGTTACCTTGGGCAAGTAATTTACTTGTATGCTCTAGGGAAGCTCAGCAATGATACATGTCCTATTAGGTATTGATTATCAAATGCAATTATAGAAAAACCTATTAATAAGTATAAACCACTTATCTAGTAAGTCATTTTCTTAGATGTTTTCACTTCTATGCAAATCACCAAAGTTCACTGTGTGTGTGTGCCATTAATAGTACCAAAGTTGCTATGGAAATGCAGACTCGGGTTTTCCTTCTGTGTCACATAGTATTGTGTCCAGAATTGGTGGGTTCTTGGTTTCACTGACTTCAAGAATGAAGCTGCAGACCCTCGTGGTGAGTGTTACAGTTCTTAAAGGCGGCGTGTCCGGAGTTTGTTCCCTCTGATGTTCAGATGTGTTTGGAGTTTCTTCCTTCTAGTGGGTTCGTGGTCTCACTGGCTCCAGGAGTGAAGCTGCAGACCTTCGCAGTGAGTGTTGAATCCAAAGAGTGAGTAGCAGCAAGATTTATTGCAAAAAGTGAAAGAACAAAGCTCCCACAGTGTGGAAGGGGACCCGAGGGGGTTGCCACTGCTGGCTCAGGCAGCCTACTTTTATTGTCTTATCTGGCCCCACCCACATCCTGCTGATTGGTCCATTTTACAGAGAGCCAATTGGTCTGTTTTACAGAGAGCTGATTGGTCCATTTTGACAGGGTGCTGATTGGTGCGTTTACAATCCCTGAGCTAGACACAAAAGTTCTCCACGTCCCCACTAGATTAGCTAGATACAGAGTGTCGATTGGCGTATTTACAAACCCTGAGCTAGACACAGAGTGCTGATTGGTGCATTTACAAACCTTGAGCTAGATACAGAGTGCTGATTGGTGCATTCACAATCCCTTAGCTAGACATAAAGGTTCTCCAAGTCCCCAAAGGATTAACTAGATACAGAATGCCAATTGGTGCATTCACAAACCCTGAGCTAGACACAGGGTGCTGATTGGTGTGTTTACAAACCTTGAGCTAGATACAGAGTGCTGATTGGTGTATTTACAATCCTTAGCTAGACATAAAGGTTCTCCAAGTCCCCACCAGACTCAGGAGCCCAGCTGGCTTCACCCAGTGGATCCTGCCCGGGGCCACAGGTGGAGCTGCCTGCCAGTCCCATGCCATCTGCCTGCACTCCTCAGCTCTTGGGTGGTCCATGGGACTGGGCACCATGGAGCAGGGAGCCGCACTCCTCGGGGAGGCTCCGGCTGCACAGGAGCCCACAGCAGGGCAGGGGGAGGCTCAGGCATGGTGGGCTGCAGGTCCCAAGCCCTGCCCTGCGAGGAGACAGCTAAGGCCCAGTGAGAAATCGAGCACAGCAGCTGCTGGCCCAGGTGCTAAGCCCCTCACTGCCAGGGGCTTGTGGGCTGGCCAGCCACTCCAAGTGTGGGGCCTGCCGAGCCCACACCCTCCTGGAACTTGCGCTGGCCCGCAAGCACCGTGTGCAGCCCTGGTTCCCATCGGCACCTCTCCCTCCAGACCTCTCAGCAAGCTGAGGGAGCTGGCTCTGGCCTTGGCCAGCCCAGAAAGGGGCTCCCACAGTGCAGTGGTGGGCTGAAGGGCTCCTCAAGCATGGCCAGAGTGGGCGCCAAGGCCGAGGAGGTGCTGAGACCAAGCAAGGGCTGTGAGGGCTGCCAGCATGCTGTCACCTCTCAGTATCTTATCTCATAAAAGCCCTTCCTCCCATTTCCATTCTAGTGGACCCCAAAGCAGTTCATATAAGCCATGGATCATCATACTTTTGGCAAGATAGCAGGGTCCAAAGTGGGACCCATCCAGTGGATCATGGAGCTATTTACCACTGTCAGGAACACCTCTCCCAAGGCAGCTAAAGAGGTCAGATGCCTTAACCAGAAAGCAGAGACTCAAGCAAGTCGGGGTCATCTGTGTATTGCTCACCTGCTTCCAGCTTTGTTATCTCAGCATGTTTTTGGAGCATAAATTGTGTAGTGAAGGTCAACAGAGCCATAACTGCTGGTGTTCTGAAAGGCAATCTCTACAATTTCCTCACTGACAGAACTTGTCTTTCCTCTGGTCTCCTTGAGGTTAGTTCTCTTCTAAGACCTGCACCTGTTGGTCAAAGTCTTGCTTCTCCTCTGGATTGTCATTGCTCTTTTACCTTTCAGCATCTCCTCCCCATCTAATTCATTTCTGCTCATCAGTCTCTGATCATGCCAGTTAGCTGAGCCTGGCCATTATCCTCTCAATAACTATGTTTACCAACATCTGTAGAACCCAGATGTCCTTCTACTACTTCTTTAGTCACTGCTGTTGTGTCTCCCCAGAAAGCCCTCCCAGAAGCTTCCCAGTATGGCTCCATCCAAGCCAAGCTGCCGCAAAGCTCAGGGTTCTACTGTATGATTACACGCTGCCATCTCCTGGCCAAAGCACTGAACTTGGGCCCAGTGGGTCTGGCCCCACAGCTTGACCTTGGTTTTAATTATGTGCTGTCCCCATCCACTCTGCCAGCTAGGATTAGAGAGATGTTCATGACTACCCACAGCTCATAAGGCACAGAAGAATTTAGAGAATTAGCTGATAGTATTGTCCTGTTGGCCCATCTAAAGAACACACCTCCCTCAGAATCCAAACACCTCCCTCATAAAGGAAAATCAGCTCTGGAATCCTAGATCTCATTTTGTCTTCAGCATAGCTGGTCAAATAAATCACCTGAAAGGGATATTTAAAAAGTACTGCCTTAATTTTGGGTGCTTGTCTTCACTGGGCTTCTAAGCAACAGTCTCTCCTGGTAACCAGGATTAACTTGGGTTTCTACACAGTAGCTTTGGAATTCAATTTCTAGTGGATGACTGCATGAGTAAAAAACAGTCTTCTGTTGAGTTGCTAATCCATTTGGTCGATGAACTCCAGCATACATAAAGCCTCCCTTCCCAAATGACATATTCAATGTTTCTACCAAGGCTAAGCAGCAGAGACCAAACATGCTAACTATCCATTCTAGTCTAAGTTCTAAGCCAGCTGACCCTTTAGATGTTATCCTCTCCTATTCTTCATTCCCAGACCTTAATGGCTCATGAATGGAGCTGGCTCTTGCCAGCAACATTTGCCAGGATCTGTAGAATACCAACTCTACTTTAAGAATTTCCTTAGGCGAGGGATTCCATTCCAAGATGGCTGAATAGGAAGAGCTCCGGTCCGCAGCTCCCAGTGTGATTGATGCAGAAGATGGGATTTCTGCATTTCCAACTGAGGTACCTGGTTCACCTCATTGGGACTGGTTGGAAAGTGGATGCAGCCCACAGAGGGTGAGCCAAAACAGGGCGGGGCATCGTCTCACTCAGGAAGCACAAGGGGTTGGGGGATTTCCCTTTCCTAGCCAAGGGAAGCTGTGACAGACAGTACCTGGAAAATTGGGACACTCCCACCCAAATACTGCACTTTTCCAATGGTCTTAGCAAATGGCACACCAGGAGATTATATCCCATGCCTGGCTTGGCAGGTCCCACACTAACGGACCCTTGCTCACTGCTAGTGCAGCAGTCTGAGATCAACCTGCATTGCAGCAGCCTGGTGGGGGGAGGGGCATCTGCCATTGCTGAGCCTTGAGTAGGTAAACAAAGCAGGCCAGGGAAGCTTGAACTGGGCGGAGCCCACTACAGCTCAGAAAGGCCAGTTGCCTCTGTAGATTCCACCTCTAGGGGCAGGGCATAGCTGAACAAAAGGCAGTAGAAACTTCTGCAGAATTAAATGTCCCTGTCTGACAGCTCTGAAGAGAACAGTGGTTCTCCCAACAAGGTGTTTGAGCTCTGAAAACGGACAGACTGCCTCCTTAAGTGGGTCCCTGACCCCCATGTAGCCTAACTGGGAGACACTTCCTAGTAGGGGCCTTCTGACACCTCATACAGATGGGTGCCCCTCTGGGACAAAGCTTCCAGAGAAAGGACCAGGCAGCAATATTTGCTGTTCTGCAGCCTCTGCTGGTGATACCCAGGCAAACAGGGTCTGGAGTGGACCTCCAGCAAACTCCAACAGACCTGCAGCTGAGGGACCTGACTGTTAGAAGGAAAACTAACAAACAGAAAGAAATAGCATCAACATCAACAAAAAAGACATCCACATCAAAACCCCTTCTGTAGGTCACCAACATCAAAGACCAAAGGAAGATAAAACCACAAAGATGGGGAGAAACCAGAGCAGAAAAGCTGAAAATTCTAAAAACCAGAGTGCCTCTTCTCCTCCAAAGGATCACTCCTCCTCACCAGCAATGGAACAAAGCTGGACAGAGAATGACTTTGATGAGCTGACAGAAGTAGGCCTCAGAAGGTTGGTAATAACAAACTTCTCCGAGCTAAACGAGGATGTTCGAACCCATGGCAAGGAAGCTAAAAACCTTGAAAAAAGATTACATGAATTGCTAACTACAGTAAACAGTGTAGAAAAGACCTTAAATGACCTGATGGAGCTTAAAACCATGGCACGCAAACTACATGACACATGCACAAGCTTCAATAGCCAATTCGATGAAGTGGAAGTAAGGGTATTAGTGATTGAAGATCAAATTAATGAAATAAAGTTAGAAGAGAAGTTTAGAGAAAAAAGAGTAAAAATAAATGAACAAAGCCTACAAGAAATATGGGACTATGTGAAAAGACCAAATCTACGTCTGATTGGTGTACCTGAAAGTGACAGGGAGAATGGAACCAAGATGGAAAACACTCTTCAGGATATTATCCAGGAGAACTTCCCCAACCAAGCAAGGCAGGCCAACATTCAAATTCAGGAAATATAGAGAACACCACAGAGATACTCCTCCAGAAGAGCAACCCCAAGAAACATAATTGTCAGATTCACGAAGTTTGAAATGAAGGAAAAAATGTTAAGGGCAGCCAGAGAGAAAGGGTTATCCACAAAGGGAAGCCCATATGACTAACAGCGGCTCTCTCGGCAGAAACTCTACAAGCCAGAAGAGAGTGGGGGCCAATATTCAACATTCTTAAAGAAAAGAATTTTCAACCCAAAATTTCATATCCAGCAAAGTAAGCTTCATAAGTACAGGAGAAATAAAATCCTTTACAGACAAGCAAATGCTGAGAGATTTTGTCACCACCAGTCTTGCCTTACAAGAGCTCCTGAAGGAAGCACTAAACATGGAAAGGAAAAACTGGTACCAGCCACTGCAAAAACATGCCAAATTGTAAAGACCATTGATGCTAGGAAGAAACTGCATCAACTAATGGGCAAAATAACCAGCAAACATCATAATGAGAGGATCAAATTCACACATAACAATATTAACCTTAAATGTAAATGGGCTAAATGCCCCAATTAAAAGACATAGACTGGTAAATTGGATAGAGTCAAGACCCATCTGTGTGCTGTATTCAGGAGACCCATCTCATGTGCACAGACACACAGAGGCTCAAAATAAAGGATTGGAGGAAGATCTACCAAGTAAATGGAAAGCAAAAAAACAAAACAAAACGAAACAAAAGCAGGGGTTGCAATCCTAGTCTCTGATAAAACGGACTTTAAACAAAAAAAGAGCAAAAGAGACAAAGAAGGCCATTACATAATGGTAAAGGGATCAATTCAACAAGAAGATCTAACTATCCTAAATATATATGCACCCAATACAGGAGCACCCAGATTCATAAAGCAAGTCCTATGAGACCTACAAAGAGACTTAGACTCCCACACAATAATAATGGGAGACTTTAACACCCCATGGTCAATATTAGACAGATCAATGAGACAGAAGGTTAACAAGGTTATCCAGGACTTGAACTCAGCTCTGCACCAAGCAGACTTAATAGACATCTACAGAACTCTCCACCCCAAATCACGAGAATATACATTCTTCTCAGTACCACATCATGCTTATTCCAAAATTGACCACATATTTGGAAGTAAAGCACTCCTCAGCAAATGTGAAAGAACGAAATCACAACGAACTGTCTCTCAGACCAAGTGCAATCAAATTAGAACTCAGGATTAAGAAACTCACTCAAAACTGCACAACCACATGGAAACTGAACAACCTGCTCCTAAATGACTACTGGTTAAATAACGAAATGAAGGCAGAAATAAAGATGTTCTTTGAAACTAATGAGAACAAACACACAATGTACCAGAATATCTGGGACACATTTAAAGCAGTGTGTAGAGGGAAATTTATAGCACTAAATGCCCACAAGAGAAAGCTTGAAAGATCTAAAATTGACATCCTAACATCACAATTAAAAGAACTAGAGAAGCAAGAACAAACAAATTCAAAAGCTAGCAGAAGGCAAGAAATAACTAAGATCAGAGCAGAACTGAAGGAGACAGAGACTCAAAAAAAACCCTTCAAAAAATAGCTGGTTTTTTGAAAAGATCAACAAAATTGATAGACCACTAGCAAGACTAGTAAAGGATAAAATAGACAAGAATCAAATAGACATAATAAAAAACGATAAAGGGGATATCACCACCGATCCCACAGAAATACAAACTGCCATCAGAGAATACTATAATCACCTGTACACAAATAAACTAGAAAATCTAGAAGAAATGGATAAATTCCTCGACACATACACCCTCCCAAGACTAAACCAGGAAGAAGTTGAATCTCTGAATAATAGGCTCTGAAATTGAGGCAATAATTAATAGTCTACCAACCAAAAAAAGTCCAGGACCAGATGGATTCACAGCTGAATTCTACCAGAGGTACAAAGAGGAGCTGGTACCATTCCTTCTGAAACTATTCCAACAATAGAAAAAGAGGGAGTCCTCCCTAACTCATTTTATGAGGCCAGCATCATCCTGATACCAAAGCCTGGCAGAGACACAACAAAAAAAGAGAATTTTAGACCAATATCCCTGATGAATATCAATGTGAATATCCTCAATAAAATACTGGCAACCCAAATCCAGCAGCACATCAAAAAGCTTATCCACCATGATCAATTGGGCTTCATCCCTGGGATGCAAGGCTGATTCAACATACAAAAATCAATAAACATAATCCATCACATACACAGAACCAATGACAAAAACCACATGATTATCTCAATAGATGCAGAAAAGGCCTTCGACAAAATTCAAGAGCTCTTCATGCTAAAAACTCTCAATAAACTAGGTATTGATGGAATGTATCTCAAAATAATAAGAGCTATTTATGACAAACCCACAGCCAATATCATACTGAATGGGCAAAACCTGGAAGATTCCCTTGGAAAACTGGTGCAAGACAGGGATGCCCTCTCTCACCTCTCCTATTCAACACAGTGTTGGAAGTTCTGGCCAGGGAAATCAGGCAAGAGAAAGAAATAAAGGGTATTCAGTTGGGAAAAGAGGAAGTCAAATTGTCCCTGTTTGGAAATGACATGATTGTATATTTAGAAAACCCCACTGTCTCAGCCCAAAATCTCCCTAAGCTGATAAGCAACTTCAGCAAAGTCTCAGGATACAAAATCAATGTGCAAAAATCACAAGCATTCCTATACACCAATAACAGACAAACAGAGAGCCAAATCATGGGTGAACTCCCATTCACAATTGCTACAAAGAGAATAAAATACCTAGGAATCCAACTTACAAGGGATGTGAAGGACCTCTTCAAGGAGAACTACAAACCACTGCTCAACAAAATAAAATAGTACACAAACAAATGGAAGAACATTCCATGCTCATGGATAGGAAGAATCAATATTGTGAAAATGGCCATACTACCCAAGGCAATTTATAGATTCAATGCCATCCCCATCAAGCTACCAATGACTTTCTTCACAGAATTGGAAAAAACTACTTTAAAGTTCATATAGAACCAAAAAAGAGCCCAAATTGCCAAGACATTCCTAAGCCAAAAGAACGAAGCTGGAGGCATCACGTTACCTGACTTCAAACTATACTACAAGGCTACAGTAACCAAAACAGCATGGTACTGGTATCAAAACAGATATATAGGCCAATGGAACAGAACAGAGCCCTCAGAAATGATACCACACATCTACAACTATCTGATCTTTGACAAACCTGACAAAAACAAGAAATAAGGAAAGGATATCCTGTTTAATAAATGGTGCTGAGAAAACTGGCTAGTCATATATAGAAAGTTGAAACTGGATCCTTTCCTTACATCTTATACCAAAATTAATTCAAGATGAATTAAAGACTTACATGTTAGACCTAAAACCATAAAAATCCTAGAAGAAAACCTAGGCAATACCATTCAGGACATAGGCATGGGCAAGAACTTCATGACTAAAACACCAAAGGCAATGGCAACAAAAGCCAAAATAGACAAATGGGATCTAATTAAACTAAAGAGCTTCTGCACAGCAAAAGAAACTACCATCAGAGTGAACAGGCAACCTACAAAGTGGGAGAAAATTTTTGCAATCTACCCATCTGACAAAGGGCTAATATCCAGAATCTACAAAGAACTCAAACAAATTTACAAGAAAAAAAATCAAACAACCCCATCAAAAAGTGGGCAAAGGATATGAACAGACACTTCTCAAAAGAAGACATTTATGCAGCCAATAGACACGTGAAAAAATGCTCATCATCACTGGTCATCAGAGAAATGCAAATCAAACCACAATGAGATACCATCTCACACCAGTTAGAATGGCGATCATTAAAAAAGTCAGGAAACAACAGGTGCTGGAGAGGATGTGGAGAAATAGGAATGCTATTACACTGTTGGTGGAAGTGTAAACTAGTTCAATCATTGTGGAGGACAGTGTGGCAATTCCTCATGGATCTAGAGCTATAAATACCATTTGACCCAGCAATCCCGTTACTGAGTATATACCCAAGGGATTATAAATCATGCTACTATAAAGAGACATGTACACGTATGTTTATTGCAGCACTATTCACAATAACAAAGATTTGGAACCAACCCAATGTCCATCAATGATAGACTGGATTAATAAATTGTGGCAGATATACACCATGGAATACTATGCAGCCATAAAAAAGGATGAGTTCATGTCTTTTGCAGGGACATGGATGAAGCTGGAAACCATCATTCTCAGCAAACTATTACAAGGACAGAAAACCAAACAACACATATTCTCACTCATAGGTGGGAACTGAACAATAAGAACCCTTGGACACAGGGTGGGGAACATCATACACTGGGGCCTGTCATGGCATGGGGGCAGGGTGAGGAAATATCTAATGTAAATGACGGGTTGATGGGTGCAGCAGGCCAGCATGGCACATGTATACCTATGTAACAAGTCTGCATGTTGTGCACATGTAACCTAGAACTTAAAAGTATAATAAATAAATATATAAAAGAATTCCCTCAGGATTGCTAAGGGGATTTCCCCTGGCCCAAAATACTAAGGTACCAGAGGACAGGTATAGTCCCTAAAACCAAGGCTAGGCCTTTACAATTTCAATGAAATTGCCAGAGGTAGATTTCTAGATGTGGACAAAAAGATTATAGACTCATTGTGCACCACTCCCCTTACATATATTGAATCCCTAACCTCCGATATGGTGATATTTAAAGATGGGGCCTTTAGGAAAGCAATTAACATTAAGTGAGGTCTTAAGAGTGAGGCCCTAATCCAATAGGGCTGATGTCCTCAATAAGAGAGGGAAGAGACACTAGAGAGCTCTCTCTGCTCATGCACAGAGGATCGGCCTTAAGGCAGTGGCAATCTACACAGCAGTGAGAGGCCTCACCAGAAACTAACTATGCTGGCACCTTGACCTCAGATGTTCAGCCTCCAGAACTGTGAGAAAATAAATTTCCATAGCTTAAATATTTAGTTGACTTGCAATATTAAAACTTGCAATATTAAAACTTCTAGCTTTGCCTATGTGGACCAAGGCTACTCCAAACAAAAGAGGGATGGAGACTCACATAAATCAGAGGTCTTGGTTAAGCTGCTGGATATTGGATATAACTTGACTTCATCCTTATTTTTTCAGGGATTGGATCAACTCTGAACAAACAATTCTTTTATACACCCTTCCTAGAAATTCATTTCAAATCATCTGCTGCCTCTTTCCAAAAGACTAATTGAGAGGAGTGATGTTTATGAAAAATTGATTGGAGGTCAGGCAGCACATCCAACTCTTGTTATTCCACATTGCACCCTCAGGTTGAATGGGACCCTCATGTACTAGGACAAAGTTTTCTTGGCCTCACACATGATCACGTTTGCTGGGCTATATCTTGGGGTTATGCCTTCAGCTTTCATCAAGGGATGCTATGAAAAAACAGGCTAATGAAATCCATTATTCTTTGTTCTAGGAACGCGGAAGATATTGCCCACTACATCCCACAGCTCTCGCTCTAGAAAGCCTCTCGTGAAAATTTCCAACAAAGTGGCCTGCTAGGAAGGCTTTGCATCCCTTGAGTAACAGGCAAAATTTTTTTCTCGGTTGATAAGACTAGAGTAACTCTCTCTCTTGGTACTTTGCCTAACAGGAACTTAGAGCCTTATTTAAAGGTCAAAGATTCAGTCTCCAGTTGGGGGACATGGCTCATCTAGCACTAACAGAGTTGGTTTCTAGAGTGGAGAGGAGACCCCAGATCCATGAGGCCAAATATCCTGCTCAGGGCTGGCCAGAAAGAAATCTCAGTTTATGGAGCTTCTGAGCTAAATGACCAATAGATTTTTTTTTTTTTTTTTGGATGATGCTTTCCCTGCCAGCCTGTGAAGTTACTGAACTTAGGGCCTTACACAGGGTAATCCATTGGGAGTCCTAACTTGAGTACTAAGTTACACTTCCTTTAGAGGCCAAATTATTGGCCTATTCCCTGCAGATTTTTTTTTGTCAAATAGAGTAGGGGATGGAACAGAGATGTCTAGCTATCTACAAAGGTACCATGTCGCATGCACTCTGGAATGACTATCAGATTTTTCTGCTTCAACCTTCTCACCTGACTATTGTAAGCTGTTTCTTTCTGGTACTGATCCTGATGAGCTTATCACTTGTCACTCTGTTGGACATAGCTCTTTCATGGTGACCCACACTGACATCTCCATCAGATTCAGGAAGGCAAGACTGATAACTGCATCCAACATGTTGGTCTTGCCCCTGTGTAGCAGGGCCAGAACTCAGACCTGCTCCCTTGAATTTGAAGCCCATGCTACAGGCTGCCACCCCAGATCCCAGCTGCTCAGGAAGGGGTATGCTATTATTTAAGTGTATTGAGTCTTTCCAAAATTTTTATGTTGGAACCTAATATCCAATGTGATAGTATTAAGGGGTGGGACCTCTGGGGAAGTGGTTAAATCACGAGTGCTTCATCCTCATGAAAGAAATAGTGCTCTTATAATAGAGGTTGAAAGCAGTGCCATGGTCCCTTTTGCTCTTCCATCCTTTTTGCCATGTGGGGACAGTTGTTCATCTTCTCTGGAGGTTGCAGCAACATGGCACTATCTTGGAAGCAAAGAGTAGCCCTCAGACACTGAATCTCCCAGCACACTGATCTTGAACATCCCAGCCTCCAGAACTGTGTGAAATACATTTCTATTGTTTGTAAATTATCCATTCTGTGGTATTTTGTTATAGCAACATGAACAGACTAAGACAAGGTGGCTCCACAATGTCGTTGTTGTCAATAAAGGGAGATTGTGTGTTCTCACTCTTGTTACCACATGGAGTTCACCCTAACCATCAAAACTACTGCTCACTCTCCTTGCCCAAAAATGTATCTCATGTCTTACCCCAATCCTTAGACTTACTGGGGGACCTATGGGATATGTTGGTATGTTTCCCAAAACCTGGGTCATTTCACATTTCATATGTTCAGGTCATTATCCTAGAAGGGGTCTCCTCAGTGTGGTGAATCCTCGAGGATCTAGAACCAGAAATACCATTTGACCCAGCAATTCCATTACTGGGTATATATCCAAAGGATTATAAGTCATTCTACTATAAAGACACATGCACATGTATATTTACTGTGGCACTGTTCACAATAACAAAGACTTGGAACCAACCCAAATGCCCGTCAATGATAGGCTGGATAAAGAAACTGTGGCACATATATACCGTGGAATACTATTCAGCCATAAAAAAGGATGAATTCATGTCCTTTGCAGGGACATGGATAAAGCTGGAAACCATCATTCTCAGCAAACTAACACAAGTACAGAAAACCAAACACCACATGTTCTCATAAGTGGGAGTTGAACAATGAGAACACATGGACACAGGGAGGGAAATACCACACACTGGGGCCTGTCCAGGAGTCGGGGGCTAGGGGAGGGATAGCATTAGGAGAAATACCTGATGTAGATGACGGGTTGATGGGTGCAGCAAACCACCATGGCATGTGTATACCTATGTAACAAACCTGTATATTCTGCACATGTATCCCAGAACTATAATTAAAATTTTTTAAAAAATTTAAATAAATGAAGTGGCTGAAATGTAAAAAAAAAATGTCTCCAAGAAACAGGTCAGGGTTTCAACAAAAGAATCTTTAGTCTGTAAATATACTTGTATGTAAATCCAAGCTAATACTACCTGTGGTAAGTATATCACAGTATGAAAGTGCTATGTGATTTAGAAGTGATAATTGTACCAACTGTGACCCATAGCTTTGATTTTGATCATAACTTGTAATATACTGACATAGTAAATAAATTCTAACATAAGTAGTACCAATTTCCTTCATAGTCTTAATGGCACTTTCCCCCCACAAAATGTATTCTTTCAAATATATCTCATGTCTCATATCTATATAATTTGATTGCATTTTATTAAGATCCTGTGACTTTATGATAAAATTTACAGATGTTCTGCAGTAAGATCTAACTTTAATATCTTGCAATGAGATATTTCCTTAGCAGCCGTAACTGATATAGCTTTTGGCAACCAGCCAGGAGATGACTGGCCTATAAAATCATACAAGTATTATTTACAAACTAGCCAGCTGTGGTAGCACCATTATTTTAGATATCCTTTGCCCTTTACAGCAATCTTCCTTATTTCATGCTTTGCCATACATTTCCCAGAAAATTACAATGTTCTTTAACTTACCCTCAGGACTTGATGATCAAATAAACAATTACAAAGTATATTTGATTCCCAGTTCATCCAACATAAGAATGCTGCCCAACTGAAATTCATCTGGGATCACTCTGATGTCTCAAATTGTGTGATATAAAACAATAACTTGGAATGTGATTTTGATCAACATTTTGTTATCACTTGATTAAGTCCCAAATAGGTCACTAGAGTTAAAGGTGTCAAGTGGTAATTAAAAGCAACCTATACTGTCTAATGAATTCCACAACCAGGTTAATTTGCCCTCAAAATAAATGGGCATAGAATTGGAATTTCCCAGAAGCCAACTCAATAGTGGAGCTGGCCATCTTGTTTCCACTATCTAGGAGAAATAACCCTTGCTGTTCTTCACATTGGACTCTCTAGCAGGAAAAGCAGGGGAGTTAATAAGTTTCCTGCATGTTTAATGCTGTCTGTCTTGGCCTGTTTATCATGTGATACCAGAAGTGGTCTGACAAAAGTGTTATAATATAGGGATTTGGGACTGGCTCACACCCTGCCCAGTGGGCAAAGGTGACCCCATCCTTGGTAGAGGGGCACAAATAGAATCTGTGACAAAATGTTGGCTTAATGAATGAAGATTTCACTAAAGGAAGCCTGAAAAATGTCCTTGTGAAGCAGAATCCTGCAAGTGCAATGATGCAGCCTTTTGAAAAATACAAGGGGGACAAAGCCTGTGAAGACAGTAGAGTTGATTACTTAACGGGAAGTTATACTGATGCCCTGCAGCAGAATAATGACAGGCTGAGAGATATCAAGCAGTTAATGGGTAAATGTGAGTCACAGGGCTTGTGTGGTAGCTTGCAAGGAGGCTCATCCCTCCTGCAGTGGAAGGGCAAACAGTTTATAAACCTAAGCTGTTGGCCACAGAGCTCCAGAAACATTGAAATGCTCAGCCAAGTTATTTTGTTATGTGAAGTTCAAGGCCCTACTAGGGAGACCTGAGACCTTGTAACTTAGATCCAGACATCTGGATAGATGCCTCTAAAGATGTTGAGTCTGCAAGATCCTTTGGATTTGCAGAGGTGGCCCACCTTCCCTAGGAAGAGCTAGCACTTTGTGCTTGAAGATGCTGCAGAGATTTCTCCTTCACTAGACAATAACTTCCCCACTCCCTGATAGGTACAACCCCGCCTTCCTTGGCTTCTAGACAATAACTAGAGTTAAATCTTAGCATAACCCAGCTGGGGATGTGCTGGGCCTGATAAGGGAGGGGAACCACACATCTGTTACAAGAATGAGCTAGCATGTGCCATCAGGAGTCAGGGGAGTACCTGGGTTTGGACTGAGGGTGCCCAGTCAAGAGAGGCCAAAAGATAAGCCTGCAAAACTAAGAATTCGCTGGCTTGGCGATGCTCTCAAGACACTGGGTTTAATACACTGGCATGGACCCCAGGGATGGAATAAACCCACTGCTGAGATGGAAATTGGGAGCCTGAAAAAGGTGACGTCCAAAATCCAGGGAAGTGGAAAAGCTTGAGTTGCCCAGCCAGAGCAGAGAGAAAATAGAGAAGCTAAGGAAAGTGGGCTTGCTGGAATACCTGATACCAGTGAATTAGTCGAAAAATTGTACTGATGCTTTGGGCCTGTGAATCCTCATTTTCTCTTACCCTCACCTGTATGCATGTGCCTTGTCAAGGACTTCAACATTTTAGCCACTTCTTGTTCATCTGGTCAAATTACTATGATGTCACCTATTTAATGGACCCACGGTCTATTCCACAGGATGTTCTCATGGTTCAGGTCTCTTCAAGCCAGGTTGCAATGCCATGGCTGCCACTCAGACCTTGATGCTGACTCTAGTGATTCTATGCACTTGGCTTCTGGTGGTCATGCATGATCACCAGGCCTCCACTGTTCAGAATCCAGTCATCCATCCCATTTGCTACTGGGGTCCCAGTCCTGTAACGGCAGCTCTGGCTACAGAGGGCAGCCCTCACTGAACTGCTCAGTGATGCTGATGCCCCTCTTGGCTGCACATTACTCATTGCTTTGGTAGAATGGTGTCTCTTCCATGCCATCCTCCAGAGCAGTTTAGGCTAGCTGGAACTCTAAGGTTGACATCCTTTCCATCATCTGGTCATAAGGGACCCTGATTCTGCCTTAGGTGTAACATGGGGGAAGGACATAGTGACAAGTAACCTGGAGTCAGCACTACCTGTGTTGCTGAGTGTGGCCTGCATGAGTCCCACTCATGCCTAATTCTGGATGTATACTCCACTGCACATATCCATTGATCAAGACCAAGTTAATTTTCATAAAAGATATTTCATATAAGCCATCATTTTCATTTTCAGAAAGATAAATCAGAGAAAAAAAAGGATGAGAGCCCTTGAAAATAATCTTAGTAGGATGAGGTGACTGAAGTTTTGAGACACACGCTTTGGAAAGTGGAGGGAACACTTACTGCAAGTGGAAGCTTCAACCTGAGAACTGGAGGCAGGCAGCTTACAGTCTGGCCTCATTGGCAAGCTTTAGGGAAGGAGGTGGAAGATGCTTCAGCTCCTCCCCCTCTCTGCAGAGGAGCACGTGTGCTCATCTGTTGTTCTACTCCATGCATAACTTTTCAGGAGCTGGACCTTGTTAGGGAGGCCTGACAATGTCCAGGTCTGTGTGTGCCGAGTTTAATTTGGGGTGCATTAGTCACAAGTCTTTTTGACGAACAATCTAAATTACATTTCTTCCAACCTATTTATCAACTACCAAAGGGGGGTCTTTTGATCTCCCGCTCACCAACTACTACCTCTATGTCCCAATTTGTCTTGAAATCAAGTAAAGAATGTTTATTCCTAGGGCCATCCTTTAAGCTCCAATATGGTTATTAGTACTCATAAATTTTAACATTTGTACTATAGCAATATTTTGGAGTATGTAAGGTGAAAATGAAAAGTGGCATCTTAGTCCAACAATAACAATAACAATAACAATACTGTATCCATTCAGAGTTCCAGCACAGAGTCTACTCCCGCTCATAAAAGTAGGAAGAAACTTAAAAGCCTGTCAAATGGTTTACAGAACTGAGGGAAGAAAAAGCCTCCAGCATGTGTCCAGGCATGGCTCCCAGAGCCACACCACAGAACTGAGTAGCCAAGGAAGCTGCTTTATTATCAGAAAGCTGCAACTCAGATGTTGCCTGCTGACTTGTGAAGTGGTCATGCAACTCCTGGCTACAGGGCCAGGCCATTTGTCATAATCAACACCAGTAAAATTGGTTTTCATGGGTATTGAGAATATACAGCACACCTAACACATCTAGCTTGCTGGCAAAAGGAGGAGATTCAGCTTACAAATTTGATTACATCAAAATAGACTTCTGAAGGGCTAATTTCCCCATATAAGGAGTGGTATAATTACTTAACCTCTCAGGACCTGTTACCCTCTACCACATTTGAATTTTGTTGACAGAGGAAAGCTCATTGCAAAGTGAAAAATTTCAAGAAAGCTAGGAGTTTGGAATTTGATCATTACAAATTTGAGTGCCATTTTCAGTGCAGTTAATGACTCAATATGTTATCCTATAATTTATATTTTTCTTTGCGTTTTCCACAGCCTTTTGTTTCCTATGAGTTTTTTTATTTTATATATATATACATGTAACAGTTAACCCTTGAGCAATGTTAGGGTTGCTGACCCCCCACCCCCATGTATTCAAAAATCTATGTTTAACTTTTGACTCCCCCCATAACTTAATAGCTTACTATTAACCAGAAGTCTTACCCGATAACATAAACAGCCAGTTAACATATTGTGTATTTTCTGTGTATTATAACTGTAGTCTTACGAAGGGAGAATATACTTACTACTCATTAAGTGGAAGTAGATCATCATAAAGGTCTTCATCCTTGTCTTCACCTTGAGTAGGATGACAAGGAAGAAGAGGAAGAGGGGGAAGTTTGTCTTGCTATCTCGGGGTAACAGAAGTGGAAGACGAAAAAGATTCTAGGCAAAGAGTAAATGAACATATAATTCAGAAAAGGAGGCCAGGTGCAGTGGCTCATTCCTGTAATCCCAGCACTTTGGGAGGCCAAGGTGAGCAGATCACGAGGTCAGGAGTTCGAGACCAGCCTGGCCAACATAGTGAAACCCCCCGTCTCTACTAAAAATACAAAAATTAGCTGTGTGTGGTGGTGCACACTGGTAGTCCCAGCTACTCGGGAGGCTGAGGCAGGAGAATCACTCATGAAATCAAGTAAAGAATGTTTATTCTTAGGGCCATCCTTTAAGCTCTGATATGGTTATTAGTATTCATGAATTTTAACATTTGTACTATAGCAATATTTTGGAATGAGGTGAAAATGAAAAGTGGCATCTCTGGGAGATGGAGGTTGTGGCGAACCAAGATTGCACCACTGTACTCCAGCCTGGGTGA
This sequence comes from Homo sapiens, assembly GCF_000001405.40. Taxonomy (NCBI): domain Eukaryota; kingdom Metazoa; phylum Chordata; class Mammalia; order Primates; family Hominidae; genus Homo; species Homo sapiens. The sequence goes on along the minus strand of NC_000004.12, from coordinate 77,450,499 downwards.
CAGAGCAAGAATCTGTCTCTAAGAAAAAAAAAAAAAGGAAAAACTCTTAAATATATGAGAAGAGCTCAGAAGTTCAAGGCTGCAATGTGCTATGGCTGTGCCACTGCATTCCAGCCTTGGTGATAGAGCAAGATTCCATCCCTAAGTTGTTGTTTTTAATGAAAAAAGAAAAAAAAGATGGTCGCCCTCACTTATAAGATATATTCAAGTTAAAACTATGCTGAGCTCTTTTCCTTCCTTTCCCTGGAGGTGGTGGGGATGAGGTGGTGGCAGCAGCGGGGCTTGAGACACAGCATGGAGCCAAGAAGCTGTCCAGCACGGTCAGATTTGCTGCAGCCAGAGTCTGAGGAATAATGAGAGCCAGAGAAGGAATTTACAAATACGGAAAGAAAGAAGGCTAGCAGGAACCCTGAGATGTGGGACTGAAATTGCAGGCAACAGTGTGGAAGTTATATACCATAAATACAGGTGTGTACTTATATCTCTAGTTCTGTTTCTTGCAAGAATCCGGAAATAAGACATCCCAATAGCAATGAGTATACTAAATGCCCAGATCTTGGTTTCTTAACAGCTTTGTCACTAAAAAGAGGGCTTGGGAATCTACAGCTTGTGGGCCAAATCCAGCCCACTTCCTGATTTTATGAACACTTTTGCTGAAACACAGCCATGCCCATTTATATATTACCTGTGGCTTTTGCACTGTAATAGCAGAATTAAGCAGTCAATGCTGAGCCCAAGGGCCACAGTGCCTAATATATTTACTATCAGGCCCTTTCCAGAAAAGGTTTGCTGACCTTTGACTAGGAGAAACCAGGGCTCCTTGGAGAAATGGCTGACTCCTGGGCTAGGTCAGGGAAAGCACAAGATGAGTCTGGGACATCTCATGCCAGAAACAAAATGCTCAGAGGACATAGGATCTAGCTTTAAGGGGCTTCTACTGGCCAAATCTGAGACAATTTTAGCATCAAAATAGAGGAGAGTAATGGATTATAACCCACTGAATTAAATTGTATGATTATATAGTAATAAACATGAGAAGGAAATTACTTTCCTCACAATTGAATGCCAACAAATGTAGAATAACGGAAATAAACACACCATTTGGCAACGACTGTAGTGATGATTCAAGTGGGAGTCAATGGATGCTAAGGCTGGTGAGTGGAAGTTTGAGACTAGGCCAATATCCCATTTATCAGAGTACTTCCCACAAAATATTTCTCAATTACAAAGGGGAAAATGGCAGGTTTCTCTATCTGTAAGTTTGGCAGGTGATCAAGGTTAACATCAGTGGTGGGGCAGGTCCTGATGTGATCCACTAATAAGAGAACAGCATCACTTCTGAATGGCAGGGTTCCTTCAGGGATGCTTATCCTGATTTTGACGATTACACTGCAGTTTTATAAGAGAAGTCCCTGTTTTCCAGAAACACACACTGAAGTATTTAGGGGTGAAGGAGTATCATGTTAGCAACTTGATTTCAAGTGGTTCAGAAAATGACAATGGATATTTATAAAGAGTGATGGAGCAAATACCTGAAGTCAATAATTGGAGAGTCTGTGCAAAAGAGAGATAGTAGCTCCTTACTGTTCTTGTAACTTTCCTGTAATTTTAAAATTTCAAAATGAGTTTTAACAATTCACTGAGATACCTTTGAAAAAGTGTGTTTATAAAATGGTTTTATCATTGTCATTTTGGCAAGGGGGTGAAAAAGCAAGTAATCACAGATTTCTGGGTGGGGTGGTATATGTGTACTGTTTCTCATGATAGGCTGTCAATATCTATCGAGTTTTAAAATGCACATATCCTTCAACCCAGTAATTATACTTCCAGAAATTTATGCTACTGACATGTCTATAAGTGAGATAATCTCTAAGTTAGATGAAATGAAAATAAGGCTCATTCCTGTAATCTCAGCACTTTGGGAGGCCAGGGTAGGTGGATCACCTGAGGTCAGGATTACAAGACCAGCCTGGCCAACATGGTGAAACCCCTTCTCTACTAAAAAATACAAAGATTAGCCAGGCACTGTGGCACATGCCTGTAATCCCAGCTACTTGGGAAGCTGAGGCAGGAGAATTGCCTGAACCCGGGAGGCAGAGGTTACAGTGAGCTGAGATAGTGCAACTGCACTCCAGCCTGGGTGACAGAGTGAGACTCTCCAAAAAAAAAAAAAAAAAAGACCCAGAATTGTGTGAAATATGCAATTTGTACAAGAACGAATCAGACATATTTAGTTATAGATGCCGTTAATAGCTGAAAGAATAGAAAGATCAACTGAGCTTCCCAGTGAAAAGGTGGACAAGAGACTTTGTCCCTCATTGTAAGAGTAAAAAAAGTGCAGATGAAAGAGAGGTGGAGAACTGAAGCTATTATTGCATCCAATCTTAGGTTCTACTTCTTGATGACTAGAAGGAACCACAATTTCCCTTTCCTTTGAATCTTGACTTTGGCAAATTGAATGTAGAACTGACAATATGACAGGTCTGGGCCTAGATATTAGAGATCTGTGATTGACATGAGAATTGTGTCCAGAATCTAGTTAGAAGATGAGACACATAGAATAGGGCCAGTGGTCCCAGTTAAGGCCATCTTAAATTAGCTACCAGCCAGCCAACCACCAGAGTGAGCCCAGCTATGACCAGAAGAATCACTAAGCAGACCTATGATCTTGTGAGCATAGTAGATGTTTGTTTTAAGCCACTAAGTTTTGGAGTGTTTTTACATTAGTGTGGCAATAGAACCCCTTACTATATGGGTTCCTACATGGATCTTGCACATGACAAAGCCTGTTTCCTGCTACAAACCTAGCAGTCCAAATGTAGTCTCAACGTTCCCTTATCCTCTTGGGAGCTGGGCATGACCTAGAATGAGTTAATCAAATGCTTACCTATGAGACTTTGAGTGCTGCTGCATCTATTAATGAAAGTGTCAAGTCTCCAGTGTCTTTGTTTCTTGGTGTTGTTTGCGCCAGACTGACTGATGACAGCATTGCCAGCTGCATGAGATCCTAGCACTGATGCCTTCAGTTGATTCTTGGGCTGTGTTGTCAACTATCCCCCTAACATTTTCTGAGCTTGATTCCCTGTTCCTGATAATTGCATGAGCTACCCAATATCCTCTCACCTCTCATTACATTTATTTCTGTTTACAAGAGCCAGGGGGCTTTTTGTTTTAAAATCGAATGTCATTCATTTGAAACTCTTTCAAACTGATTAGCCAGGGATCTGCCGGTATGGGCAGTCCAAACTGCCACATTAGTGTAGAGAAGTTACAGGGAAAGCAAATGGGGGAGAATTTTAGGAGTGAGAATAGTATAAATGTGCAACTATTTGCCTTTCAATCATTAGATTATTAGCTCAGCACATCTCAATTACCATATTAGTATAATCAAATTAGAAAGTATCATCTAGTATGGACCTTGGCACTGGACATCAATTGTATGAAAACTGGAGTTTCACCAACCTTTTACATTAGGAGTGACCAGCATTAAAGCTTTGAATTGTGCTCATAACCTATTACATTCTTAGATTTGTGGTTTGTTAAGTTTGACCGCTCTCACACTGTCTTGTAAAGAAGTTCAGAATCAAATATTAGCAGTGTGGCTAAATGCCTTCTATTGCCCCTGAGTGACGTGAACTTGGATCTCAACTCAGGAAATCTCGAATCAAATTGGATAACTACCAACTTTCCTATCCCTGGGCAGCCAGTTGTCTCCCAATTAGTTTGAGGCTCAACAGAACTAGGACCCTGGATAAGTTTCAGCTGGCATCTGTTCAGTCTTTAAATTTCTCAAATCCATCATGTCTTATTCCATCATTCATGCCCTCATTTCTCATCCAGGTCATTACAGTAACTCAAGCGAATATTGAAGTCAGAGAGACCAAATTTATAACAGGGGATCAGCCTTCTGTGATGTGATCCTGCTTACCTCCCATTGCAACTTCTACCAATCCCAGGGTAGGAAAAAAGATATTTGCCTGAATATATCAGTGACTTTCAGAACACCGAGCCCCCGCATGTGCTGTTCTCTATGATTTGAATGCCCTCCAAGATAAACGTCTACTCACCCTTCAAATCTCAACTTAAGCATCACTCACTGTGAATCTCCAAGTAGAGTTGATAATTCGCCTCTTGCAGCTGTATCTATTTAACCCCATTCTCCATCACAGGGCATTGATTTCCTTCTTTTGTTCAGAGTTATTTTCTATCCCTATGGCATAGGCTACTATACTAGAGTACTCAAATTATATCTATGGACTACCTTGGAGGAGCAAAACAAAAATCCTGCAGTCCCAGGAGGTCAACTCTGTCCCCTGCACACAAAAATTGTGTTCATTCTGCCAAGAAAAATGTCCCTGACATTTAAGAGCCATACTTAGAAAAAGAATGACAAAAACATGACAATTACTGCCTAGGCTTTCAACCATTACTCAAGTAGTCTATCCATCACACTAATAAAGGAAGAGCCCTTTCTTCCTTGTTAACCATGTAAGCTGAACAGCAGCTGACAGGGCATCATGGAAATTTTATGATCCCTGATGACAGTTATGGTTTGAATCTGGCCTTAGATAGATTTCTTGCCCTCTGGATCCCACTTCCTTGAATTAAAAGGATTGTACTGCACTCCTATGAATCTTATGGAAGTACTTCTAAAACTGTGTAAGGATAGATGTATATGCCTGTTCATTTGAACAGCTACAAGAACTAAAATTTGGGTACAACAAACTATATGGGAAGGGTTAAAAATTATACAAAGTCCATAACCATCCAATTCTATGCAACATTTGAAAATATTGAACCATTTGTCCTTAGAAATCTGTTCATGATCTATTCTGTGGTCATGGAAACATGCTGAACATGTAATATAATCGAAATGAACATTATGAAAACATGTATCTACACAAGTATGTACATACTTGTGCAAAATAATGATTAGGGAAACACTCACCAAAGCCAAAGTTTGTAATATATGATGTAAGTTGGTGTGAGGGAGAGACATAAAAAGAATTAACAAGTAGCTGTTATGATTGAAATCCTCTTAAGAACACATTTAAAAACATAAACTTTAAACCTATATTGAAAGAATTATTTCTTATGAGTGACGTGGACAGGTTCTTACACCTACGGATCTCACATCCTGAAGTAGGCTATTGCCCCCAGGAAGGTAGGAGGATAACACAGGAGGTTAACTTCCAACAGAACTGAAGACAAATATTGCCAAGGTATATATGCAGTCCAACTACATGTACTCTCTAGTCGATTTTTTCCTTGAAGGCCAATGACTCTTCAGATTGCAACTATCCTCTTCTTGGATAGTGGTTTATTCTCTGATATTTCTTTGATATTTCCAAGTACTACCAGACGATGGTAGAAAAGGATAAATAGGCAACTGAAAGCTGTGGCAAACAGAAGGATCAAACTACTGAAGTACTGGCCTCTGGCAACTTCAAGATCTATTCTCAGCATGACAGAAATAAGTGATCAGAACTTGTAGAGCAGTTCTCAAACTTTTTGGTCTTGGGACCCTTTTATGCTATTAAAATGAAAAGCCCAATTAGCTTTTGGGTGGATTTTATCTATTGACATACACAATACTAAGATTTTTTTAAAGTTTGAGAACATTTAACTTAAAAATGTTAATCTCATCAAAATGTCATTTTATGAAAAAATTTCTTAAACAAAAAATAGAATAGCAACATTGTTTTATGTATTTGCAAGTACCTGGTGGATTAGAAGACAGTTGAATTCCCATACCTATTTCTGTATTCCATCTGTTGCAATGTTACTTTGAAGCTTATAAATAAAATCTAACCTCACAAGGAAATATTTTTAATGCCTTTTTAGGTAACTGTGGATATTTGTTTAATGCTATACCAAAACTCAACTGGTAAAGATGAGTTGCAATTTGGAATTAGTAGCTGTATCAATGAACATCATGCTCTCTTCAAGTCCATTGATTTATTTTTTAAATGGATTTATCTCATGTGATTTTGTACTATCATACACTGGTCATCTGGAAAGTTTGTTGGTGGAGTTATGCAGACCTTCTACATGTTGGTATTTTCATTATAAAATAGCAAAAATTCACATTCTTAATATGACTATTCTCATTACAAAAGTCTTTAATCAGAAGTTGTCAAGCTCAAGGAGGCAGATTCCAAAAATCTAAATTTTACCTGAACACAAATTTTTACCAGTGCTAACCAATACCATCAGCTGGTTTTCTTGAAGTGACTAGCTCACTTTATTCATTTAAGAAAATGTCGGTCCAAAATCCAAGTCTGAGCCACAGTAATTTGAGTAGTGAGCTGAACTACATTCTTCATGGAATACCATTTCTACTTGGAAGAATGACAATTGCACAAGTTCTTGGCTTTAAGACAGCCATCATACTTTCATAAGCAAAGAGCTTTATGTGTACTTCCCATTTCATCATGCAGAACATCAGACATGTACTTAAAAGATGCAATAAAATTAATTTTAACTGCTCCATCATGGACATTCTCTGGCTTTTCAAATTTTAATTTTACTGCAAGGTCATGGAGGTGAAGAACACAATGATTACTAGGCACCCTTTAGAGCCACCTCCTTATTTGTACTAAGTTTTACCGATGCTCTGCAGGAGCATAGTGAACTGAGGGATGTTGGATTTGTCAGGGTCCTCCAGAGACAGAAACAATAGGAAACAAATATATGGAAGGGGATTAACTAGGGGTACTGACTCATGTGTTAATGGAGGCTGAAAAGTCCCATATCAGGCTATCTGCAAACTGGAGAACTTGGGATGCTGGGAACACTGCTCTGTTCAAGTCCAAAAGCCTCAGAACCAGGGAAGCTAAGGGTGTGACTCTCAGTCTGAGGCTAAAGGCCTGAGAACTGGGGGTGGGGTGGGGGTGGTCACTGGTGTATGTCCCTGGTCCAAACACCAGAGCACTTGAAGTTCTGACATCTAAGAGCAGGAGGTGGAGGAGGAGGATGTCCCAACTCTGGGAGAGAGACTTTTTTCCTCTGCCTTTTTGTTCTATCTGGGTCCCTAGCCAATTGATTGGTACCTACCCACCTTGAGGGTGGATCTTCCCCACTCACTCACTCAGTCCACCAACCTACATGACAGTCTCCTCTGGAAACACCTCACCCACACACAGAAATAATGCTTTACCAGCTCTCCAGGTGTTCCTTAATCAAGTCAAGCTGACATCTAAAATTAGCCATCACAAGTCCACTTCTTGTCAACTTGGCACCCATTTGCATCTCCTTACCTAGCATAATGCAACTATCCTACAAATAAAACACCTTAATTTCTTCGGCAGAAAATGTAAAGTCCTTGGGTGAGCTTTACTCTTCCACTGATAGTCCACAACTTAAATACTACGCAGTAAAATACTCATATAAAATGAGTAAGTCTGGCTTGGCGTGGTGGCTCGTGCCTGTAATCCCAGCACTTTGGGAGGCCAAGGCGGTTGGATCACCTGAGGTCAGCAGTTCAAGACCAGCCTGGCCAACATGGTGAAATCCCGTCTTTACTAAAAATACAAAAATTAGCTGGGTGCAGTGGCACGCACCTGTAGTCCCCACTACTCAAGAGGCTGAGGCAGAAGAATTGCTTGAACCTGGGAGGCAGAGGTTGCAGTGAGCTGAGATCATGCCACTGCACTCCAGCCTGGGCAACAGAGAGAGATTCCATCTCAAAATAAATCAGTAAGTCCTGTATTACATAATAAAGGAATAAGAATGAAAATAAAAATTTGCTTAATATATTAATGGGTATATACATTCTTTAGAAATACTCATGACAGTCTACCGCTATATAACTGGTCATGTGGTCATAGGTGGTATTTTTAATGATCTTTCCAGGACACATTCTATATTCCCCTTGCCTTCAGCAAGTATTTCATCTGATTATGGTTCTTTACCTGGTAAGGTGACCCAAATCTTCATTCCTGAAAGTTCTGAGCCATTCCTAGTCCTGCCTGGCTAGGGTTGTTGTAATTTCCCATTGAACTTAATCATAGGGCATGGTAATACTATGACTTTCTAAGAGATATCCTGTATTCCAGAACTATTCTTCCTTACCTCAACTGCAGAGTAGCCGTCTACATATATCACCCCAGCCAACACCATTACTCCCCTCTCAGCCTGCTAAGTCAGAGGCATGAGGAGTCCAGTGTGACCAGGTGGCAGTCTTAACTTCCAGCTCAATTGAGTCATTGTGTCTCCTGGTGGACCATTCCTGCCTCTGGAACCATGACCTCTAAGCCAGCAGAGCTTAAGTCATAAGAACAAAAAGCAAACATTTTGCTAATGGGTCATTAGGGGTGATGGTGCAAATGTCACTCCCGTTTCTACCCCTTGATCCCTGGGCCTGTGAGTTCTGGCTATAGGAGAAACAGTACCACACACTGGATGCTGATTCAGAGCATATACAGCCTTCTGGAAGACCCTTCCCCAGCCCTGCAAAGTACTGTTACCTAGTTGGTACCACAACTGACTTCAAAAGGCTATTCCACCATTTTATCAAGCCAGATGTCACTGAATGATGGCAAACATGGTAAGACCAGTGAATTCCATGAGCATGAGTCCATTGCTCTATTTCTTTGGCTGTGAAATGAGTGCCTTAGTCAGAAGCGATGCTCTGTGGAAGGATAAGGCATTCAGTATGTCTATGGATGGTAGTTTTGGCAGAAATATTGTATACAGGAAGACAGATCAAGAGTAAATATCTATTCCAGTAAGGACAAAACTCCACCCCTTCCATGATGCAAGTGTTTCAATGCAATCAACCTGTCATCAGGTAGCTGATCACCCCAGGAATTTTGCCAGGTGCGGGATATGTGTTGGTCTGTACTGCTGACAGATTGGGCACTCAGTGGTGGCCATAGCTAGGTCAGCCTTAGTGACTCAGAGTCCATGTTGCTGAATCCATGCATAACCTCCATCCCTGCCACCATGGTCACTTTGTTCATGAGCCCATTGGGTGATGACAAGGGTGGCTGGAAAGAGGCTGATTAGAATCCAAAAAACATGTCATCCTATCTACTTAAGATCCTCCTCTGCTTACTCTTTGAACATGCACATGGGATGTAACTATCTTCTCATCCTTTGCCCACTCAGATCTATCCATGTACCTATTCCCAAATTTTTCAGTTTTCCAGTCATGTTCCTTCTAAGTCCCTGACCATCCAGCTAAATCACTGGCCACAGCCCATGTCAGTATAGTCATGCATCACTTAACAGGTATACCTTCTGATAAGTGCTTTAGGCAATTTTGTTTTGTACGACCGCAGAGTATACTTTCACAAACCTAGAGGGTATAGCCCATTGCTCCTAAGCTACAAACCTGTACAGCATGTTACTATACTGAATACTATAGGCAATTGTAACACAATGGTATGTATTTGTGGTATTTCAACATACCAAACATAGAAAAGGTATAGTAAAAATATGGTAAAACAGAAAAAATGGTATGCTTGTAATGGGTACTTACCATGAATGGAGCTTATAGGACTAGAAGTTGCTCTGGGTGAATTAGTGAGTGGTAAGTAAATGTGAAGGCCTAGGACATTACTACATACTACATACTACTGTAGGCTTTATAAACACTGTACACTTAGGCTAAGTTTATAAAAAATATTTTTCCTTTAATTAACCTTTGCTCATAATTTTTACTTTATAAATGTAAGTTTTTTAAGTCTGACTCTTATAACACTTTGTTTAAAACATTTTATCTGCACAAACATTTTCTTTATATTCTTAAGCTTTTTTCTATTAAGTGTTTTACTTTTAAACTTTTTGGACACAAGCACACACATTAACCTAAGCCTACACAGGGTCAGGATCATCAATATCACTGTCTTCCACCTCCACATCTTGCCCCACTGGAAGGTCATCACAGACAGTAATGTGCATGGAGCTGTCATCTATGATAACAATGCCTTCTCCTGTAATACCTCCTGAAAGACCTACCTGAAGCTGTTTTACAATTTTAAGAAGGAATACACTAAAATGATACAGTAAATATATAAACCAGTAACAGTTATTATCAGGTATTATGTACTGTACGTAACTTTATGTGCAATACTTTCACTTGACTGGCAGTACAGTAGGTGTGTTTACACCAGCATCACAAGCATGCGAGTAATGCAGTGTTCTATGATGGCTATGATATCACCAGGCGACAGGAATTTTTCAGCTTCATTACAGTCTTATGGGTTCATGGTTATATATGTGGTCCACTGTTTATACAATCGTGTACCACATAATAATGTTTCATCAAATATTGCCATTTTTCCTTGCAAGCAAAATGCATGACCAGTATACTCTCTGAAATTCTGCCTATTCAGATTTTCTTTCCCCGTTATCTACAGGAATGTCCCAGAAAGGGCTATCATGCTGAAGCTGTCCACTTGTGGATAGTGCCTGCATATTGTGCAGAACCATCTGTAAATCAGGCTCCAGTCGTCCCTTCCTCTGTCAACTGATCATAGGGTACTCCTCATGAGGCACAGGTATAGGTTGGGGGAGAGAAGGCAGTGTAGCAAGAGTAGAAGCAATGGACGTTTGGGCCAATTCAAGTAACTTACTTGTGCCTTCAGGACCTACTCAGGCCTGACCACATTTACACCACTATTTTATTGAGTGCTGCTGCACATACCCAACTTTATGGTTTAGTGGGTCAAGTAACACCCAATTCAGTTTGCATGGTTAAGAAATAGACAAAGGACATTAGTGGCCTTTGGTCAATTGTTCAATTCCTACTAAGGCCCAATGGCAGGCCAAGAGTTTTCTCCAAAGGAAAGTGGTTATCTGTGGATGACAGTAGGGCCATGCTCTAAAAGCCTAAGGGCCTCTGCTATGATTCACTTACAGGGGCCTTACAACAGCTCCAAACAGCATCACTATCTGCCACTGACACCTTGAGTACCATTCAATTTTTTGGATCATATGCCAAATGGCAGAGCAGCTTGAACCTGCTGTAGAGTCTTTTGCTGTTCTGGGCTCCACACAAAATGAGCAGCTTTTCAGGTCACTTGGTAGATGGGCAATTTTAATACAATGAATGAGGAATGTGCTGCCTCCAAAAATCTAAGTAGGGTATATGGTATCATCTATTGCTCCTAGGTTACAAACCTGTATCACTTGTTACTGTACTGAATACTGTAAGCAATTATAACATGATAGTAATTATATATTTAAACGTTTAAACATAGAAAAGTTACAGTAAAAATATAGTATAGTTTTATGGGACCACCACCATATACGTGGTCCATCATCGACCAAAAAATTGTCAGGTGGCACATAACCGTACATAAGATTTATCAGTTCACACGATTATGGAAGCGGAGAAGTCCCATAACAGGCCATCTGCAAGGTGGAGACCCTGGGATGCTGGTAGTGCTGCTTGATCCAAGTCAAAAAGCCTCAGAACCAGGGAAAATGGTGTCATTCTCAGTTTGAAATTGGAGACCCAAGAACTTGTAGGGCCATTGGTCTAAGTCCCAGAGTCCAAATGGCAGAGTGCCTGGAGTTCTGACATCTAGGAACAGAAATAGGGTGTCCCAGCTGAGAAAGTGTGTGTGAAAGACAGAGAGTGTGTGAAAGACAGAGTGTGTGAAAGACAGTGTGTGAAAGACAGTGTGAAAGGCAGAGTGTATGAGAAAGCGAGTATGTGAGAGAGCGAGTGTGTGAGAGCGAGTGAAAGACAATGTGTGTGAAAGACAGTGTGTGAAAGACAGAGTGAAAGAGTGCACGCGTGAAACAGTGCGTGTGTGAATGTGAAAGAGATAGTGTGTGAAAGACAGAGTGTGTGTGTGAAAGAGTGTGAGACAGAGTGAGAGTGTGAGGGAGTGTGAGAGCGAGTGTGAGAGCGAGTGTGAGAGCGAGTGTGAGGGAGTGTGAGAGGGAGTGTCAAAGACTGTCAAAGAGGCCAGGCATGGTGGCTTACACCTGTAACCCCAGCACGTTGGGAGGCCGAGGTGGGCGGATCACTTGAGGTCAGGAGTTTGAGACCAGTCTGGTCAATGTGGCGAAACCCTGTCTGTACTAAAAATGCAAAAATTAGCCAGGTGTAGTGGTGGGCGCCTGTAATCCCAGCTACCTGCGAGGCTGAGGCAGGAGAAGCACTTGAACACGGGAGGCAGAGGTTGCAGTGAGCCTAGATCATGCCACTGCATTCCAGCCTGGGTGACAGAGTAAGACCCCACCTCAAAAAAAAAAAAAAAAGAGTGTGAAAGAATGTGTGAAAGAGTGAGAGAAAGAGTGTGTGAACAAGAGAGAGTGTGTGAACAAGAGTGTGAAAGAGAGTGTGAATGAGAGCATGTGAGTGTGAACGAGAGCGTGTGTGTGTGTGTGTGTGTGTGTGTGTGTGAAAGAGAAATAATTCACCTTTCCTCTGCCTTTTTTCTCCGAATGGAATGGGAGAAAATATTTGTAAATTGTATATCTGATAAGGGGTTAACATACAAAGTATATAAAGAACTTAAACTCAGTAGTAAGAAAACCACCAGGTTACAACATGGGCAAAGGACCTGAACAGACATTTTAAAAGATGACATACAAATAGCCAGCAGATACATATATATTTAAAAAATCAACATCACTAATTATCAGGGAAATACAAATTAAAACCACAATGAGATGTCACTTCATGCTTGTATTAGAATGACTATTATCAAAAAGACAGAACATAAGTATGGGGAAAGATGTGGAGAAAAGGGAATCTTTGTGTACTGCTAGTGGGGATTGTAAACTGCAAAATGGCTGTAGTACAGCCATTATGGATAAATTAATACTCATGTTCTCCAAAGAGACAGAACTGGTAGGATACACGCATGTGTATACATATGAGGGGGTTTACTGGGGAGAATTGGCTCGATTACATGGCAAATCCCATGACAGGCTGGGGAAGAGAGAAGGCATGAAAGCTGGGGAAACAGAAGCCAGTAGTATGGCTCAGTCCAAATCCGAAAGCCTCAGAACCAGGGAAACCAACAATGCAACCCTCAGTCTGAGGCCAAAGGCCCAAGAGCCCCCAGGAGGCAGCTGGTGCAAGTCCAGAGGCCGAAAAACCTGCAGTCTGATGTCCAAGGGCAAGATGAGAGAAGGCAAGTGTCCAGCACAAAAAAAGCCAGAAGATCCAACAAGCTGCTTGTCCCTTTTCCGCCTGCTTTGTTCTGGCTGCCCTGGCAGCGGATTGGATGGTGCCCCACCCCCCACACTAAGGGTGGGTCTTCCTCTCAGTTCACTGACTCAGATGTCAATCTCTGATGGCAACACCCTTACAGACACACCCCAAAATACTCTACCTGCCATCTAGGCATCCCTCAATCCAGTCAAGTTGACATCTCATATTAACCGTCACAATGGAAAAAGGTATGGAGGATCCTAAAAAAGTTAAAAGTAGAACTACCATATGATCCAGCCATCCCACTATTGAGTATTTATCCACAGAAAATCAGTATGTTGAAGCGATATCTACACTCCCAGGTTCCTTGCAGCATTATTCATAGTAACTAAGATATGGAATCAACCTAAGTGTCCATTAATGAATGAATAAAGAAAATGTAGTAAGTATACACAATGCAATATTATTCAGCCTTACAAAAAGAAGGAAATTGTATTATATACAACAATGTGGATGAACCTGGAAAACACTAAGTGAAATAAGCCAGACACAGAAAGATAAATACCATGTGATCTCATATGTGGAAACTTAAAGAGTTGAACTCAGAAGCAGAGAGTAGAATAGTGGTTACTAGGGGCTGAGGTGGGGATTACCAAATATATGCTAGTCAAAGGTAAGAAGTTTCAGCTAGACAGGAAGGGTAAGTTCAAGAGATCTATTGCATAGCATGGCAACTATAGTTAATATATTGTATATTTCAAAATTGCTAATTTTAAATATCCTTACCACAAAAAAGAGAGATAATAGATATTTTAGATTGATTTAGCCATTGTACAAAGTATACAGGTATAAAACATCACATTGCAACCCATAAACATATTTTCGATTAAAAATAAATCTAAAAACTTGTAAAGCAAAAATTAAAAATCCTTAAGTGTAAGAACCAGAGGGCCTCTTTGGCAGCTTATCAAGAGGCCCTCATCTCCTACAATAAAAGAGTAAACACAGCTCAACAAAGAAGTGAGAAAAACAGAGCTTCGGTGGGAAATGAATGTGCCCAGCCAGCTCGTGTCTGTTATGTTCAGGTCAGGACCTTGATGGGGAAAACTGGGGGATGGGGACATCTGGATGGATGCCTGAGAGTCTTGGCTCTACAGACCCCCTGAACCCTCAGTTTACAGAGGCGGCTTACTCTTCCCTAGTAAGTGCTAGCACTTCCCAGTAAAGGCCTATGTCACCAAGGCCTGCAGGAATGCACTGAGCATGGGGCACCAGTACCACTCAGAAGTTCTATCTGTTGCAATATGATCTTGTTTCAGGGCCAGCGTTGGCTCTCCTCTGCAGACCAGGGCTAGGCTCATGTATATCCACATGGGCTATGGCCTTCCCTAGGAGTCAAGGACTCAGACTTCCCATAGATAAAGGTCTGGGACACCAGGCAAGCTCTCTAGCCCAGGAGAAGTACTAAGGCAAGGGTGAGGATAATCCTGAGTAGGCAGTAGAGAAAGAAGAAAGCCATGTATGGCCTCAGGACCAAGTGCAGCAGTAAGAGGTAGAGCTAATCCTACTAACTGCTCTCCCCTACATGCACTTGACATCCATCTGAGTCTCAGTTTATTCCAACCTGTGATGGCATTGAGATGGTAGCCTGTTTCTATATGGTGAGATGACGTCTACTTCATTGGATTTTCGTGAAGAGTAAATGAGCTTATATACATGGTACATAGTATACATATGTTTGGCCTCTTTATAGAATGTTTTGTCATCTATGTCTCCTGTTACATGGAATTCCCAAGCTGTGCCTCCTAATTTAGTGAAATAGTACCCCAAAATGAAGGTACTGCAATCGTGAGCAATGATAGAGGGGTCACATGGTTCTGAACACCAGCCACAGAGGCTGCTGACAAGTGAATCCTGTCATCCTGGTTCAATTCCCTGCTTTAGAAGCCGCTAGATAAGTTGATTCTGAGAACCAAGATGTTTCTGAGAAGCTGGTTGTCATTTGTGATTGTTCTACATCCTTCTCCCAAGATTTTCCTTTCATCATTTTAATGCAGCTCTTAAACTTGAGTCATGACAATGATCAGCAGGCTCTCATGAATTTTGCTGCAGCAAGGTGTTGGTCAGAAGTTGGTAACATTCAATCCTTTCCAATTTGTCAGGTTCTCTGAAAAGCAGAGGCTGGGAGAAAGGTTTTGGAGTGAGAGGTTTCCTGGGGGTACTGCCTGTGAACAGTGAAGGGTGAACACAAGGTCAAGCCAGTGCATTAGTTTCCTCTTGCTGCCATAGCAAGTTACCACACTTACTGGCTTAAGACACTAGTTTATCATCTTATGGTTCTGGATGTCCGAAATAAACAGGTTTCTCTGAGCTTAAAAAGTCAAGGTCTTGGCGGCAGCCTGCGTTCCTCCTGAAAGTTCTAGGGGAAAATCCACCTACTCACTTTCCAGCTTCTAGGGGCTGCCTGTACCCCTTGGTTTGTGACCTTGAATCATTCTAACCTCTGCTTCCTCTCATTCTGACTGATTATCCTATCTCCTCTCCTTTTCAAGTACCCCTGTGATGCCATTAGACCCACCCAGATAATCCAGAATAATCTCATCTGAAAGTCTTCAACTTAATCACAGATGACAGTTCCTTTTACCATGTATAGAATACTCGCAAGTTCATGGGATTGGAATGAACATTTTGGGGGCATTATTCCACCCATCATAGTGAGGAAAGCCTTCAGGTGGCTGTGCAGATCTAAAGTGGGGAGGAGGACTAGGCATAGAGACTTCAGTTCTGAGGCCGATCTGACAAAGTCTCCACCAGTTAAAAATCAGCAGAGTCATGTATTTTGGCAGAAATAGTCTCTAATTATAACTACCAGACTCAGTCGTTGGCTGGAAGCTGCCCACGAAGACCATGACCTTGGCTTGAAAGCCCAAGTGGATCCGGAAGGACAGCTGGAGGCTTTCCACCATCTGCGCTCATAATAGCTGAATAAGAAGTTTTTCTATGAAGGGAGATCCATGTAGCATTTTCTATGGCCACATCTTTAGTGACTGCACGAATTGAAAGGTACATAGGGATAATAACAAACAATATGGAAGGACAATCCTATGCTAGATTTGTTACCTCTGTTCTTGGATGTGTTACCCAGCATGAGTATCAAAGGGGTTTTGCCTAAGAATCTACCCTACAGAAATAGGAGCACAGAGAAGCAAGGGTATGTTATGTTTCTTCACTGCATCATTTTTAATTGCCAAGGAGATGGACAACCTAAATGTCTGTCCGTAAGGCAAACACTAAGTTCCAGTTCATTCATACTATAGAATACTGTGCACATATTAGGAATGAGTGGATCTTTATTGATAAATTGCCAAGATACATCAAGTATAGATAGGAAATTGCATAAAAACATAAGTTATCAGCACTTTTGTGAAAGCTTGTTCTTCTACTTAAAGTATTTTTAAGTAATCTTTTAACAAGCAAGTGGGATGGAGAGGTGGGTAGTGAGAAAAGGACTTTGAATCTCAAGAGGAATATGTAAGACTTTCTACCAAAAAACTGCTTTTCTATTTCTAAACTTTTAAAAAGCAACAAACATTCTGATGGCTGCCATGAATGTTCACATTCTAAAGTTATTTTCAGCTAGGAAGTCAACTCCAAATAATGGAAAAATAGAAAACTATGATTTATCTGGTTGTACCCTTGGCATAATGCCTATTTTTCCATGAGACCTCAGCAGAATTGCCTGAGAATCATGAGGGGCGTTTCTTTAGCCGACATCACTGTGAATTTCCTTGTATCACCAGAAGAGGGCAAAGGTGGATAAATTATGGGACAGCTGACACTAAAGGCTCAGACTTACAGAAGTCACTTTCATTTTCCTCTGCAAGGCTGGAACTGCTGCTCTTGGCATTCTTGAACCTTAGAAGTGGTATCAGATATTAAGAGGGTGTATCATGCAAGGTTTAACCAGAGAAACAGAACCAGGAGATACATATTAATACATGTTGAGATTCATTGCAAGGACTTGTTTTATGCAATTGTGGAAGTTGGCAAGGCAAGCCCATTATCCACAGATAGGGAAGGCTTTCAGGAGGAACAGGCAGGAACTCAGGGGCTGCTGAAACTTCTGACCACAGCAGAATGTCTTCATTAGGGAAGCCTCAGCTCTGTTCAGTCCTTTCAAATGATTGGATTAGGCCCATAAACTTTTCTGGGAGAATATCCCTTACACTTCAAGTCAACTAATTGTGAAGTTTAATCATACCTACATGACACTTCTAAAGCAACACCTACATTAGTGTTTTTAGAACTGGGGACAGTGGTCTGGCAACGTAGGCATATCAAAAAATCATTACAGTCTACCCTTATCAACTTGGCACCCTTAGGCCTCACATTAAGACACAGTTAATCTCCAAATAGATAGTCAATTCTGCCTAATATAATACAGCTGTCCCGTGTACAACTGAAAACACAGTAACCCTTTCCCCAAAAGAGGGCGCAAGTTTACTTGGGTACAGTTTACTCTTCTTTAATATGTGATAGCTTGAATACTACCATAACAAATACTAGGTCAACTAGTATTAACATTTATATTAGACTGTAAGAAGATGAGACACAAATAGTTACTCTATATGCAAACATTCCTAACAAATATTTGTAACTGTCAGTGTCTTTGTTTCTACAACTAGTCAGATGGTCAGAGCTAGTATTTATAACCACCTTCTGCCAACCCCCCCTTCCATATTTCCTTTACCTCCAGTAAGTACTTCAGCAGGCTGTGGTTCTTTGCCGTATTGGGTAACCCAACCTTTCATTCCTGAAAGGTGTGGACCATTAGCAATCCCTTCTGAATGGAGTGGGTATGGTATTCACTTGACTGATCACAAGACATGGTGGTGCCAAGAGACACCCTAAGGGATCTTGGGTATTCCAGGCATATTAGACCTTACCTCCTTGTGTAGCAGTCCAGTTTCCCCTTGGTTGTCAGGAACAATCGCCCTAACCAGTACAGCAACTCCTTTACTTTTGAATCAGAGGTATGAGGCAGCCGGCCATCTCAACTTTAACAGAGTCATTATTTTGTCTCCTGGTAGAGTCATTCCTCCCTTAGGCTCTGCTGTCTAGGGGTCTTAGTTCCAAACTCCTTGGGAATAAAACAATTTAGTAGATCACTAGGGGATAATAGTAAAGTTATTTGTATTTTCACCCCTTAATTCTTACACCCTTGAAACCTGGTTATGGGAGAAACAGTTATATTGGACAGTGATTTAAAGACTACATAGAATCCTAGAAGCCTTAGCTTGAGCCCTGCAAGGTATTGCCAATAGCTGACGCCGTAATTTAGTTTTCAAAAGGCCATTTCCACCTTTCAGGCCAGTCCACATACCTCTCCCTGATACCTTATTGTATCCAGTTTTCTAATTTTATTCCTTCTACACTTGTATTCCTTCTACACCCCTGACCATTCAGCCAAAACATTGGCCACAGCTTAGGAACTATTACAGATTCTTACCTCAGGCCCTTTCCCCTTCCAGGCAAAATGAACAATCAGGTTTACTGTTCAAAGTTCTGGCTGCAGAAAGGATTTTCCTTCATCAGCATTCTTTAAGGATGTCCCAGAAATAGGCTGTAGTGCTGCAGCTGTCTACTTGTGATGCCTGTATATCATGGAGAGTCATTTGTAAACTGAGCCGGAGTTCTCTCTTCTACAGTCAACTGCTCATATAAAAATCTTCATGAGCCCATAGTTATGAGCTGGGAGAAGGTAATGTAGGATGGGAACAGAAGCTCTGAACATTTGGATCAATTCCTCATGCAAATTGGGCTTGTGCAGACCTTGAAGACACAATCTCAAATATACTGCTCCCATTTATTAATGAAGTGCTGCTGTGTATATCCAACTTTGTAACTGTGGGGCATACACTACCCAGTTCCTCATGGGCATCTCAGGTCACACAACAACTTGGTGACACACGATTAAGCATTCAGTCTCTACAAGGTCCTGTAGCAAGCGAAAAGTTGTTTCTAAAAATAAGTTATCCACAGGCAATAGCAGGGCTTGCTTAAAATCCTGACTCAGTGATTTATCTATGGGAGGTCTCCTCAAGGCTTCAAACAGCATCCCTATCTGCCACTGATACTTTCATCGCCACAGGATCTGCTAAGCCATATGGCCAGTGGCAAAGCACCTTGAATGGTAGCAGAGCCTTCTCTTGTTCTGGGACCTATTCAAAGCTTATAGCTTTGAGTAACTTGGTAAGTGAGCTGGAGTAGCATACCTCAGTAAGATATGTTTCTGCGAAGATCCGAGAAGGCCAATTAGGCATTGTGCCTCTTTGGGCAGTAGGAGGAGCCATTTGCAATAAACTTTTGCCTTAGATGTACCTAAGGTGCCCCATACCACTGGGCCTTTGGAAATTTCACTTAAGTGAATGCCCTTTGATTTTCGGTGGCATTTATTTTCTAGTGTCATGCAAATGTCTTAATCCTATGTCTAGATTAGTTACTACTTCCTGATCACAAGGCCCAATCAGCATATCATTAATATGATTAACCAGCATATATTATGGAAAGGAAATGTAATCAAGATCTGTGGACTATGACATAGGGATAGAGTTGATACCCTAAGGTAGAATCGTGAAAACATATTGTCATGCTAGCTGAAAGCAAATTGCTTTTGATGGTTTTTACTAACAGGTATAGAAAATGTATTTGCCAAATCAATAGCTGCATACCAGGTACCAAAAGGTTGTATTAATTTTCTCGAATAACAAATCACATCTTCAACAGTAACTAGAGTCACCACTTGACTAAGTTTGACAATCCTGAACTGTCATTCTCCAGAATCTGTCTTCTGCATAAGCCAAATAGGCAAGTTAAGAATGTGGCAAGAAGCAGTATCCCTGCAACTTTCAAGTCCTTGATATTGGCACTGTTCTCTAGAATATGGTACTGCTTTTGGTTCACTGTTTTTGTAGGTAGAGGTAGTACTAATGACTTCCACTTAGCCTTTGCTACCAAAAAGTCTTCATTCTACAGGTCAGGGAACACACAAGGGGATTCTATTAGTTGCTGGGTATGTCTGTTATAAATATACATTCCAGACTGGGGGAATAACCACAGGATGAGTTTGGGGACCCACTTGACCCACACTGTGAATTGACCCTTAGCTAAAATTCTATGACCTGACCTTCATAAGCCTCTCCCTTCTGTACTGCAGTGATATTTTGGGTTTACAGGAGTTACTGTCAGTTCATAGTGTCTAGTTATCCCTGAGAAGCCTGATTATCTTCCTTTCCCTAGTGCATCGTCACACTGATAAGCCCTTTTGGGGAAGGCTGGAAAAAATATTAACAGTATGAACTTTTAGTCATACAGCAATATCATTCCTCAAAGAGACCAAGTCTCCCCTTCAAACGATTCTTGGTCTGAACTAGTTGATGTTTGGGAATTGATTGAGGGGCTGTGACTTTTGCTGATTCAAGTTAGACCATTTACTAGAACTCTTACTTATGCTGTTCAAGAATTTACTTTTCTATTACTTTTCTAGGGATATCGTGTTCAATCAGTGAATAGCATGGGTCTCCGAGTCAGTCTATTCTGATTACTGCTTTGGTTTTACACTAATTATTCCTGCCTGTCTCTGGTGTTTAAGTACTACCACCTAGCTTCTCCTACCCTAAGATTCCATTATCCCTATTGTATTTAAGGGTGGCAGTTTCATGGTAGCAGTTCCCAGTGTAATTTCTGACCTACAGAGAATGACAACCAAGCTCTTAGAAGGGTGCTGGGACACTCAAATTTCTCAAAGTAATAAAAAGCAGGTCCTCTAGACCCTCCTGGGGTAGGTAAAAGGGTCTTATGTGACAAATCCATTACAGGATTCCTACCTCCCTAAGCCTTCTGATACCCTTCCTCTAGAGGAGGCCCACACATGTCTAGCATTTCAACTTCATTTAGTGTAGGCCACCTTTGGGTCCACATTTTAAACAGACAGAACACTTTATAACCCCTAAAGCTAAAATAAACCTAGAATCTGTGCTTAATGGACACATGAATAAATTTAGCTTGATCCAACTTTATATTCTTTTCATCATGACCCCTCTCTGAAGATTCATTCCTACATATTCCCTGTATTTCTGTATAAAAATAAGGAAAAGTCATGCAGCTATTTTGAGATTGTGCATCTCCTCATGGGTCATACTTTGTACTTCACCCTTTAGGAGCTTTTGGAACATGAGTCTAAGTCTGGAAACAGATGCCAGGAATATACCCTAAGGAGAATCAGTGGTGCCTTGCAAAGCAACAACCTCAGACAATGGAGAGCTAACCACCCTGGGCAGGGGTAGAAGTGCTGTTTTTACCAGCCAAGGAAAATCCACAGAATTTAGGAATCTGATGTCCCCAGCTTCATTGGAATCTGCCCAAATTTCTCTATTCAGAATCCTATTTCTTTTCAATCAATGCTCTCACTTAAACAGAAGTCATCTGATGAGGCTGGGAATCCAATTCACATCGGAATTCAATCACTCACTGGATGTGATACTCTGGGTTTGACTTTTGGAAATCTTGACCCTGCAGCTATAGCAGATAAAGGGTCATTTCAGGACAGATATGAAAGTTCAGGTTATTTATACAGAGATTAAGCTTAGAATTTGAAGGCTTAAGCTCAGCCTTTTCTTTCCCAACTTTCTCCAAGGCTGTTATAAGCATTCAGCCAATCCCACTGCACTTATTTTGTTTAAAAGGTTCTAAGGTAGCAGATAAATAACTTTATCTATAGGTTATCAAATGGTGCTACATTGCAATTCTGGGGGCTGGTTAGACAAGTTTGAAGTCTGTAGGGCAGGCTTTCAGGAAGCGCAGGCTTGAACTCATTTGCAGATTAACCTGCTGTCATCAGCCAGAATCTCTTCAGTAGGGAAGCCTCTGCTCAGCTCTTAAGGCCTTCCATCTAGTTGACCCAGGCCCAGCATATTGTACAGGATAATCTCCCTAACTTAAAGTCAACTGATTATAGGCTTTAATCACATCTACAAATTACTTTTACAGCAACACAAATTGACTGGAAACTACAGCCTAGACACACTAATACATCAAATACCATCATACAAGTCAGGGTAATCACTTTTTCCAATACTATAGAATACTACTGAATGAAATGCATCCATTTATCATTGCACATATTGAAGGTCCATAGTTTGGTGTGGAGCCGGGTAGTAGAGGATGAGAAGTAGAAAAGTAGAGAAGTAGAGAAACCACTTTAGGGTTTGAGTCAGAGAAGAGGAAAAGGGCAGTGGCTAGAGGGCAGCATGAGATCAAGGGTGGTGCTTCTAAGATGGGAGACAGGCTACTATGGCTTGAGTATGTCTCCTCCAAAGTTCACATGTTGAAACTTCATGACCAATGTGATACTAAGGGGTGGGGACTTTAAGAAGTGACTAGATCACAAAGGCTTCTCCTTCACGAATGGAATAAAGGCACCTCTAAAGGAGGCTTTACTTAGCATCTAGTACCTCCTTTCCCCTCTACCTTCTGCCATGTGAGGCTACAACATTCCTCCCCTTCAGAAGATGTAGCAAAAAGGTGCCACGTTGGAAGGAGAGACACTGCCTTCCTCCTCCCTAGACACCAAATCTGCTGGTGCCTCTATCTTTGACTTCCCAGCCTCCAGAACTAAGGAAAAAAATTGAGATGGCATCTTGTTTTTGCCCAGGCTAAAATGTAGTGGGGTGATCATGGTACATGGCCTTTACCTCCTGGGCTCTAGCGATCCTCCAGCTTCAGCCTCCCAAGTAGCACATACCACTGCACCTGGATATTTCTTTTTTTTGTAGCGCTGGGGTCTTTGTTGCCCAGGCTGGTCTTGAACTCCCAATTTTAAGCAATTCTCCCACCTCAGCCTCCCAAACTACTAAGATTACAGGCATAAACCACTGTTTGTTCTTTATAGGTTACCTATGTTCTTCATAAATTACTCAGTCTGTGATATTGTTATAGCATTCTGAATAGTCCAAAATTGATACCAGACAAGTAGCATGTTATAACAAACACTTAAAAATACAGACACAGCTTTGGAACTGGGTAATGGGTAGCAGCTGAAACAGCTTGAGTGCTGGAAAAGGCCTGCATTGCCATGAACAGAGAAGTAAGGGGAGATTCTGGTGGCAGCTCACAGGAAAGAAGACAGCTTTCATCTCAGAGGTGATCTAAGTGGTTATGAATGGAATGTTGGTAGAAATATGGATAGTGATTACTATTTTGATGTCTCAAATGAGAAAGTACTGGAAACTGGAGGAAAGCTCATCCTTGTTATATCATGTAGCCAGGAAGTTGGCTGAATTTTGTCCATGCCCCAAGACTTTGTGGAAGGCAGAAATTAGAGCAATAAACTAAAGTATTTGATGGAAGAACTCTAAGCAGTAAAGTCTTGAAGGTGCTGCATGGCTTCTCTTACCTGCTTATGGAGAAATCTAGAAAGATGGAATTCATGATTTAAAAGAAAGCAGAAAATAAAGATTAGGAAAGTTTCATCCTGGCCATGTGAAATATTTAGAGACTGGTTAGGAGAGAAAAAAAGGGTGGGGCCAAGCAATTGTTTGATAAGGAGATTAGTATGGATAAAAACTACGTGCTGTTCATCAAGATAATGGGAGAATGACCCCGAAGGCATTTTGGAGATTTGTGCTGCCATGCCCATCACAGGCTCCCAGGGTACCAGGGCCTTGAGGGCAGAATGGTTAAGAGAGGTACCCAGAGGACCTGTGAGACCTCAGAGCTCGTTGTCCAGGGCTGTGTCAAGTCTGCCCCCTGTATTCCAGGGCAGTGCTCCTTGACCATTTCAGCTGTAGCACAAGCAGTGAAATTTGGCAGTATCCATGTGGTGCTAACTCTATATGGAGTGTAGGAGCTGTGGAGGCATAGCTACCTCCACCTGGATTTCCAAGGATGCCTCAAAAAAACCTCGAAGGTGGGACCACCACCAAGTGTCCTCATGAGAACAATGCTTAGTGGAGCCATGGGGACTCTTGGCAGTGGTCCCACCTTTAAGGATCTCCAAGGTTATTACAGAACACCCTAACTAGGAGAGTGCCTACTGGAGTCACGGGGGTGAGGCAGTCCCAGAGACCCCAGAACTGCACACTCTGTATGCAACTACAGCCTGGGAGACCTGCAGGCACTTGACTTTAACCAGGGAGCTGCTGCATGGGCTGAACCCAGAAAAGCCATGGGGCCATCGTCCCCACTCCATATCCAGTGTGTCTGGAAGTCATGACATAAGAGTCAGAGAAAGAAAAAGACTATGGCAAAGTCAACAAGGGTTATTAAGGTATTCCATAAAAAACGTTTAGGATTTTATGTCCTGAAAGACCTCCAGAAGCAGAGAGAAGCACACACATTTCCACACTTGGGTTCTTCCCGACTCTCCTAGGTTCCATCAGAGCAGAATAAGTGCCAGTGTTCTGCCAACCCAGGAACAGGCCCTGCAGGTGCAGTGAGAAGAATCCCAGGAGAAAACTCAGGAATAAAAATGGAGAAAGTGACACTTCAGACTGAAACTACCAGAAACATCCAGAATGAAGGAGAAGAAAGCAGCCCAGGGACCAGAAAAGCCCTCAGTTCAGTTAATTAAACCATGGAATGACCAGGAAATCCAGAGTTTCCTGCAAGAATGGGAATTTCTTGAGCATGAAGTATACAGGGTATCACATAGTATCAAAAACAATTACCCGGCGTCTCAAGCAGAGGGGTATGAAGAAGAGCTAGCAGGAATGTCTCCAGATGCTGATAAGCTTGCAGGACTTATACTTCACTATTCATGAGGCCAACCAGAGGCCAAGGTGCCAACCCTTGCCATGTCCTCATGGAGAGGGCTGCCGGGCCCATCCTGCGGACTCTGGCCGAGCAACAGCTGAAAGGAGTACTCAGACACAAGTATCCAGTGAAAGAGTGGGCTAGGGGACTGCCGGCACTAGGGGCCAAAGAGTTAGCAGTGTGGATAAGCTGGAGAAGCTTGTATTTATTCAGTACAGATTTAATGACAAAGGCCTGGAGCCAACACAACCTGTGGATAATTAACATTGTCGTTCCCCCCTTGCAGGGAGCAGTCTTGCGCATGGATGACCAAAGGTTGGTTTCCCGACAACATGAATAAACTTATCTAGATAAACTTCCCTACATTCCCTTGCACCTACTTCTTGCCCTCTGCCTCAGAGTAAGAGAATTAGCTGCCTTCAGCTTTTATTCTCTCCCAAAGCTTTGCAAAACCTCCTGACCTGTCAAGAAGGTTTGTGTCTTTCCCTATAACTTACAACTTTTCCCACCACCCTGACTGATCTCCTTCAGAGGCTCTGCACAGGATTCTGGGATACAGATGGAAGATCAGCATCTTCTCTGGTCCTCCCTGTGCAGATGTGGCTGACCTCACACCTCCCCAGCACCAGCCTAAGGCCTGTGGCATTCCTATAGCCTTTCAGGAGCCAAAGTGGACCCCAATACCTGTGATCTATGTGGAAAATCCTCAGGTATCCAGATGGGAGCCCTGGAACATGAACCCGCCATGGTCAGTTCCATATGTGTATCCTGCCTTTCAGCAGCCCTGGGCCCCCCACCACAGTGGTCCATCTCTGCTGACTAATCCAGATCTTGAATACAATTAGAATCTGGATCCTGACTCTATCAGAAAGATGAAAAATAGCACAATCTGTGTGTGTTGGTACATGACTCCTTCCTCTCCTCACCCAGTGTGATGAGAATAAATGTGAAATAAATGAATGACTGTGACCTCAAAAAAAAAAAGATTTTATGTCCTGTTGATGTTCCGTTCTTACTTGTTGAGTTTTAGACTTACTTGGGACCTGTTAAAAACCCTTTCTTACCTATTTCTCCCTTTTAGAATAGAAATATCTGTCCTGGATATTTCCCATTGTGTTTTAGAAGCATGTAATAACTTTGTTTCACAGATTTATAGCTGGAATTTTTCTCAGGATGAAACACACCTTTGAGTCTTATCATATCTGATTTACGTGATATCTAGATGAAATTCTAGACTTTACAGATGATACTAGCAAGAGTTAAGACTTTGGGGGCCATTGAGA
This sequence comes from Homo sapiens, assembly GCF_000001405.40. Taxonomy (NCBI): domain Eukaryota; kingdom Metazoa; phylum Chordata; class Mammalia; order Primates; family Hominidae; genus Homo; species Homo sapiens. Next base: position 77,424,285 of record NC_000004.12, on the reverse strand, counting down.
TAAATGAATGTATTTTGTATGTAGGGAGGGGACATAACTTTTGGGGACCAGGGGTAGAATACTACAGTTTGAGTATGTTCCCTCCGAAATTCACATGCTGAAACTTAATGGCCAGTGTAATCGTTTACCAATGGTAAATGATTCATCTCTCAAATGGTAGGGCATTTGAGAGATGAATAAGCCATGAGAGCTCCTGCCTCATGAATGGAGTTAAGGCTGTTATAAAGGGGCTTCCTTGGAGCATTAGGCTTTTTGCCCTTCCACCATGGGAGGACAGAGCATTCCTCCCTCCAGAAGATCAGCAACAAGGAGCCATTTTGGAAACAGAGAGCAGATCCCTCACTAGTCAGCACCTTGATCTTGAACTTCACACCCTCAACAACTGTGAGAAAATAAATTTGTTTTTAAGTTACCCAGTCTATATGTAGTATTATTATAAAAGCACAAATGGACTAAAACACCGACTTAATTATGGGCTGACAAAGAGGCAGGAGAAGCAAGGGGAACAGCTTGAAAACCTAAGGAGGCATAACTGGTAGAGTCAAGTGGTAGGTGTTGGTGTTGAGTACACGGGAAAACTTGGCCTTCAACACAAGATATCCTGAGATAACGAAAAGTAGATGTCAGGAGTCAAGTGGGGGAGAATGGGCATGGAAGTCGAGCAAGGGACATGGCAATTGGAGAAAGTTGACAGCGATTGCTGAGGTTAGTAAAGAAAAAAATAAGTGATTCATAACCACTTTACTGAACTGTTCTGAACTTTAGAGTAAAAAATACAAGGTTGCTACTCTTCTCTATTCCCTAACCTCAATCATTTGGTCAAATCTTTCCCTAGATGATTCTATAACTTTGTAATATTAATAACTGAAAGTGACCTGACTATGCAATTCGATTTGAAACTGGAGCCCTCAGGTCATGTTTGAAGTAAACATGTGGGAAGGAGTTTAGCCATAAGAACTTGCCTGGGGTGGGGGGTGAAGTTAAGCATGTTCTCTCCTCCCCACTCTGGGTCTAGTGCTAGCATAGTCAACAGAAGGCCCTAGAGGCAAAGAGACGACTTTAGGTTGCTCAGCCAGATCGCAGTTGCAATAAAATATTTCTGCTTCTCTAGTTAGCCATTGCTACTGCCTATCCTAGGAGCCCCATTAGTGAGCTCACTGGAGAGACCTATAGTACAGTTGCCTGCCATGCTTCACTTGACCCAGAGCTACCTCCGAACTCCCAACCATGTTCTTGCTGCCAGTTGTGCTATCGTTCACCCTCTTTCTGGGGTAAGTATATTCCTTAAGAACGTAGAAGCTGGTCACCTTCTACCAGGACAAGAGCTGGGCAGCTCCATTCTGTCCCATTTGTCTTGCATCTTCATGCTTGTAACATTTTTACAAGATAAACAAGAATAAACATTCAGTAGTGTGTCCATTATCAACCTAGAACCAAAATTCATGAAAATAAAATGGCGTTATGTGTTGGGTCAGGGTGACAGAGGATTATGTAGTGAAGATGGAAGTAAATTCATTAGTTTGGAGGAAGACGCTGGTTATAACCAGTGGTTATAAAAACCAGAAAAACACTGGTTACAGAAAATGTAGGTGTAATGATCACAAGAATTGAATACATGACGATAAGGAAACAAGGTAAGGGTCCATAATGGATGAATGGGTGAAGAACAAGTAGTGTACATACACAAGGGTTATACGTGCACAATGGTGTACTATCCAACCTTTAAAAAGGGAGAAGTCCCATCACTTGTGACAACATAGCAAAATTTCCTCCACATTCACCTAAGTGAAATAAGCCAGGCAAAGACAGACAAATACCATACCATCTCACTGATATGTAGGATTCAGTAAAATTGAACTCAGAAGTAGAAAGTAGAATCACAGGCCAGGCACGCGGGCTTACACCTGTAACCCCAACACTTTGGGAGGCCAAGGTGGGCAGATCACTAGAGCCCAGGGTTTCAAGACCAGCCTGGGCAACATGGTAAAACCCCATTTCTACCAAAAATAACAAAAATTAGCCAGGCGTGGTGGCATGTGCCTATAATCCCAGCTACTCAGGTGGCTGAGGTGGCAGAATCACTTGAACCTGGGAGGTGGAGGTTGCGGTGAGCCAAGATTGCACTACTACACTCCAGCCTGGGTGACGGAGATCCTATCTCAAAACAACAACACACAAACTACAGGCACTAGATGATAGGGTTAGGGAGGGAGGGCAAAGAGTTGTCGATCACAGGGTACAATATTTCAGATAGGAGGAATTGGTTTTGACATCTGTTGCACAGTAGGGCAGTAGGGTGACTATGGCCAGTAATGTATAACGTATTTCAAAATAACTAGTCAACTTCAAATATCTTACCATAAAAAATGATGGGTGAGGTAATGGATATGTTCATTAGCTTGGTTTAATCATGCCACACTGTAAACACATACCAAACCATCACATTGTGTCTCATATACATACAACTGTCAAAAATGATATTAACTAAAAAAATAAGTGAAAAAAAAGTGCAGCACCCAAAAAAGATATTGTCTAAGTAAAACTTTGGCAGGCAGAGGTGGGCAAAAGAATGCATCTGAAAACATAACATTGCAGACATTAAAAACAATGTAGTTTAAAGTGACCTTATTTTTTTTTTTTTTTTTTTTTGAGACGGAGTCTCGCTCTGTCGCCCAGGCTGGAGTGCAGTGGCGGGATCTCGGCTCACTGCAAGCTCCGCCTCCCGGGTTCACGCCATTCTCCTGCCTCAGCCTCCCAAGTAGCTGGGACTACAGGCGCCCGCCACTACGCCCGGCTAATTTTTTGTATTTTTAGTAGAGACGGGGTTTCACCGTTTTAGCCGGGATGGTCTCGATCTCCTGACCTCGTGATCCGCCCGCCTCGGCCTCCCAAAGTGCTGGGATTACAGGCGTGAGCCACCGCGCCCGGCCTAAAGTGACCTTATTAATGCTTATGCTGTAATATAACTGAAATGAACTAGGATAGGAAGTAGTATTTCTAAACCTTCCTATGTGTCTCATGTGCAGAAACAGGAGTGAAATAAGCCAAAAAGTAAGGCTTAATGCATGACTTCTAAGCTAGCAAAATATTTGACCTACGCAATGGAGAGCAAGAAGAGTGGTAGAAGCATAGTAAGTGGAATAATGTGAAATGGCTAAAGTGATACTATACATGTAGTTTGGTTAGACTGACTGTAGCATAGTTGACACCCCATCTGTATCATCTCAGGCTTGCCAAATTCAGTGTGCCTCACCCTGCATGTCTTCACCTGAGGTTCTCTCAGGCAACAATGCAGTTGTGGCAAGTTAATATATATCAGGAAATCAACAGCACATTGTAACAACCCTTTAATAATAAGTGATGTATATCAGTAGATAAATATCCCAGATCCCCTGACTCTCAGGCTGGGACAATTCTGACATGTGTATCTACTCTGGCCACCAGACTCTCCCTGGCAGAATTCCCCTTAGTTGTTCTCAGGATGACAAACTTGTTAATGCCCCCTTTTAGGAGAATGCATCAGTAAAAGATTGGGGAGTTGAGACAGAGGAAAGGCAGCTGATAAACCACTGATGTTTGAAAACCTGCCTCAAGGTCTCATCCTGGGGCTACCCAAACTAAGGCAATTCATTCCAGAAGTGATCTCAGGAATGAGATTTTAGGAAGGAATTCTGGGATAGAATCACTTGCTAGCCAGGTAGCAAAGGGGCCCTATTACTGGTAGAAAGCAGGGCAGAACCCTAGCATGCTCTAGCGTCACAAGTACTAAGAGAATTGGGATGAAAATAGAATGGCACCTAGTATAAGGTTAGAGCAGGATCCCTAGTCTTGAAACATGGTGTCTTCCAATCTGAAGCAGCTTACTAGGCCCTGTGCTTCTCTTTACAACAGGCAACATAATACACAGCACTTTGTCTTTCATATTGGAAGGTATAAAGGTATATCCTGGAACACCCCTAGCTACTGGGCCCTGAAAACCTCCCTAGAGGGACAAGTCCATGAACTTCCATAGGATATCTCTTTACATCTGAGGCACTTGTATGTTACCAAGACCTCCAGCATGCTAGCCACCTTTTGCTTATCCTGTCCAGTGTTATATTCTGTGGGATGTCCAAGTGGTCCAGATCTCTTCAGACTGCATTATGACAGAAGCAGAAGCAGTAACAAAAGGCACAACTGCCCTGTAGAGTTTTCTATTGCACATTAGTGTGGGCCATTTCTTTTCTGGTCAGAAAAAAAAATGCAGTTTATCTGTGGCTGCCTATCATGTACCTAAGGCAGCCTTACTCTGTTCTAGCAATAACAGCATACTTGGAACAGTAGCTACAATTCAGGCTACTTGACTGCATTTACAGAGGCCTATTCTCATCCTTCAGGGTTTATCTCAGTTCTGCAGGGGCCAGGCTGGTAAATGAAAAGGAGCTGTGATAGGAACCACCAATCTCATGTTATTTGGATCCCTATGAGTGACACTGATTTTAACCAGCCCTTTTCAGTGTTAACAGTTTAAACATCTTCTACTTGGCCTGTAGGTAAGTGCTATTATAGCAGAAAAGGCCAAGAACACTCAAAGTGAGAGGTGTTCCAAGCACCAAGGATGTCCATTCCAATATATTCTGGGACTTGGGAAGTCACCAACAGGCTGGATGCAATGGGCCTATAAGCTGCTGAACTTTGGTCATGACTCTGTTCATAATCTGGCCATAGTACATCCCTACTTTATCATGGGGGCCAGGATGACACTATGGCTCTCTAATGTCAATGGTACATAGCCAATAAAAGAATTAAGACTATTTCCCTTGCACTTCTCAAACATGCTATGTTATACTAATTAATGCACTTCACTCTAGCAGTATACCATCCTAATTTATCACTGGGGAGACCATTTAACAACTGGACTGCTATCTGTGGAGGGTTTGTGTTCCACCTGCCACCAATAAGGTCTTCAGAGTCAGGTGGACAGCCAAGAATCCAGCCTAAATCAAGTACCATAGTATTACCTGCTTTCTTGGACCACTTCTGACACCAGCTGCCTCAGGCTGGCTTCTTCAAAAGCAGATGTTAAGAATTTGGCATGCAAAGTATTTATTTGGGATGAATATTTATGGGAGAGCGAGGTAGCAGGATTGGTCATAGGAGAAGTCAACTGCAATAGAGAGCTAAGAACCTCACCCAACACTAGAGAGTTCTGGAGAATTAACCCATTAGAGTTGTTCCACACTGGGTAAACATGGGTGGGCCTTTACACTTCCAATACAATCAGTCATTAGATGAAGAAAGGCATGTTCCTGGGTGAATTGAAAGCAGATAGCTGAAGGCTGTATTTGGACAACACTTCTGGTAGCTGGGCCAAGTCACTCCTCCAAGGGGAATCTGAAATATCCTCAAAGACACCTGGTATGAGCCTTAGTGCCCTCACAGGATGGCTCCTTTAAGCATGGGAGAAGTTGCCAAGGCATTTCTGGAATTTCCACCTTATCTACTGGAGGTTGAGCATTGCAGTCAAAAGGCTCAGAGTTGGGCAAGCTAGAATGAATTTAAGACTAGATAATTGATCATGCATTTATGTTCCCTAGGAGTGCCTGGAAGATACAACCTTCACCAAGGTAGTAAGTGTTAGCAGGAGTAGCACTGGCATCTTTAAGATTTTCACCATTGGCTGTCTTACAAAGTCCTAGGTTGATGGCATGACAGTGTTATGAAAATGGGGCTTTCTCATATATGTGAGTAAGGTGGAATAGCAGCAAGAGGGCAGCATTTAGCTGGCAGAATCTAAGTGGATGTGGTTACTATGATAGGCAGCAGAGCTGCAATGGCTGTCGGAGCTCCAACCCACAGGATTTCTGACAATGCCCAATAAACCAATGTTACCAAGGATAAAACAGATGAACAGCCAATGACCTGCATAATCAATGATCAATACAAGAATAGCAAAATGCAAATGTCAGCTGTTCATTTTCTACACTTCGGCTACTTACTAGACATAGAGCTTATTAATTGAATGGGCTACCGATACTCTGGACAAGGATTGAAGGAGTAGCTGTACACTTGCCATGGTGTAGGATCCCTCTAAAGGGTAAAGTCATTAACCAGATTAATTGTACCATGGGAAAAGGAAAATATCCAGCTCATTTGAAGGCTGTTAGAGGATCTGAGTGATAATGGCACAGGACACTCAAAATGCCAACATGACTTTCCTGATAAAGTGGCCAGAAAACATACTCAAAAATCTCCCTAAATTGATCTGATTCAAGCTATTTCAGAAATACCGGCAGACCTTGTTTATGGAATTGGCAAACTGACTCTTCAGAAGTAATGGAAGATGATATATCCATTAAAAATGAAACAATCCAACTGTTTTTCTATACTGCTTTCTCTATAAACATTTTAAATCCTTCTTTATCTTGCTGCTCTGTGACCAATTGTGCAAATTCCCTACAACTACACCACATGTGGGCATTTGCCCTCTTGTTTCCAGTGGGGTTAAAGAGGGACCCAGGAGATTAGTGGGTGACTAGTCCCCCATTTCCTCACAGCCTCAGCTGAGTATTGAACAGATAAAATAAATGAAATGCCATTAGTGTCTCAGCAGATATTAAAATAACTCTTTTGGGAGAAATAAGACTTTTCCCACTTCCTGCTTTCTGCTTGAGATTTTTGTTCAATAGTGGTCACTTTCAATCACAGCATTCACTGAAATGTGACCCAATTGAAGATGTAAATTCCTGGGGCCAATTTTTTAGAAATAAGACAATGATTTCCTAACTAACCTTTGTTTATATAATTTGTGACCTTAAAGAACTAATACTAGTCCCTCAGTGATTCTTGTTCTGAGACCAATTTCTCACGGCTAATTCTAATTAAGACTTTACTGCAATAAAAATGTATCATAGTGATACTTTTAGAGATGGAAAATAAGCAGGGAGTTACTTTTTGTAGTTGTCTTTAAATGTTAAGACAATATCACTTTCGATAAATCCAACATCCCTTCACAATGAGGGCCCTCAAGGCACTGAAGGAACAGACCTCAAAAAATAAGCCATTAGGACACACCCACAGCCAAACTGAATGGGAAAAAGCTGAAAGCATTCTTCTTGAAAATCAGAAGGCGACAAAGATGCCCACACACTTACCACTTGTATTCGACATAGTACTAGAAGTCCTAGGCAGAGAAATCGGGCAAGAGAAGGAAATAAAGGGTATCCAAATAGGAAAAGAGGAAGTCAGATTCTCTTCACTGACAATATGGTTCTCTACCTGGAAAACCCTAAGGATTCTGACAAAAGACTTCTAGACCTAAGTGACTTCGGTAAATTCTCAGGTTCCAGAAAATAAAAAAAAATGTGTAAAAATCAGTAGCATTTCTATAGAGCAGTAACATTTAAGCTGAGAGTTAAATAAAAAATACAATCCCATTTACAATATATACATACAAAAAAGATGCTAGAATACACCTAACCATGGAGGTGAAAGATCTAAGGAAAACTAAAAAACACTGCTGAAAGAAATCATTGATGACACAGATGGAAAAACGTTCCATGCTCATGGATTTGAAGAATGTGTTAAGATGGCCATACTGCCCAAGCAGTCTGCAGATTCAATGGTATTCCTATCAAATTACCAACATTTTTCATAGATTTGGAAAAACCTATTCAAATTTGCATACAACTAAAACAGAGTTTGAATCGCCAAAGCAATCCTAAACAAAAAGAACTAAGCCAGAAGCATCACACTATCCAACTTCAAGCTATACTACAAGGCTACAGTCACCGAAACAGCATGGTACGGATACAGAAACAGACACATAGACCAATGGAACAGACTTGAGAACCCAGAAATAAAGCTATACATCTACAGCTATTTGATCTTTGACAAAGCCAACAAAAATAAGCAATGGGGAAAGGACTCCCTACTCAATAAATTGTGCTGGGATGGTTGGTTAGCCATATGCAGAAGAATGAAACTGGACCCCCACAGTTTACCACATATAAAAATTAGCTCAACATGGATTAAACATTTAAACATAAGACCTCAAACTATAAGAATCCTAGACAAAATATAGGAAATACCATTCTGGACATAGGCTCTGACAAAGATTTCATGATGACTCCAAAAGTAATTGCAACAAAAACAAAAATTGACAAGCAGGACCTAATTAAACAAGAGCTTCTGCACAGCAAAAGAAACTGAGCAGAGAGACAACCTACAGAAAGGGAGAAAGTGTTTGAAAACTATGGAGATTAGACCTTTGCCAAAGCAAAGCCTAAGAAACTTAAATCAATAAGCAAAAAATAACCCCATAAAAAGTAGGCAAAAGACAGACTTCTTGAAAACCACACAAGTGGCCAAGTACCCACATAAAAAGTGTTCAAAATCCCTTATCAAATATAAATGCACATCAAAACCACAATGAGATACCATCTCAGAGTCAGAATGGCTATTAACTAACAGATGTTGGCAAGGTTATAAAGACAAGGAAATGTTTATACACTGTTGGTGGGAATGTAAATTAGTTCAGACACTAAGGGAAGCAGTTTGCAGATTTCTCAAAGAACTTAGAACTATCATTTGACACAGCAATCCTATTACTGGATATATATCCAAAAGAAATTCTACCAAAAGGACACATGCACCCATGTTCATCACTGCACTATTCACAGTAGCAAAGAAATGGAGTCAATCTAGGTGCTCCTCAGTAGTGGCTTGTATAAAGAAAATATGCTACATGTATACCACAGAATACTATGCAGCCATTAAAAACAAAATCAGGTCCTTTACAGCAGAATGCTTGCAGTTGGAGGCCATTATCCTAAGCAAATTAATGCAGGAACAGAACAAGTATCACATATTCTCCCTTGTAGGTGGGTGCTAAACATTGGGTATTCATGGACATAGAGATAGCAACAATAGACACTGGGGATGAAAAGGGGGAGGGAAGAAAAGAGGGGGTCAATAGTGGAAAAGCAAGTGGGCACTATGCTCATTGCCTGAGCGATGGGATCAATCATACCCCAAACCTCAGTATCACACAGTCTATCCAGGTAGCAAAACTACACAGGTACCCCCTGAATCTAAAGTTATTTTTAAACGGTAAGCTCATAGTATGATTATAGTTCTACAAATACTATTTAACATAGTAAAAATAAGAGTATGCTTTGTTATAATGTGCTGATGTTGACAAGACTGTTCAATATTTTTTTATTATAAGAAAAGTAGCCTAGAGAAATACCAAAAGTTGTTGCCATTATTGTATATATTCCTAAATTTAGTCCTGTGAGTTTAAGAGCCAGTAAAACATAAAAGCTATGTCTTACAGATGTGTCAATTTGGTCTGACCTTTCCAGATTTGCCCAGCCCTACCTGCCTCTTGGCCCTTGGCTTCTTGCTCAGTGGGGAACCCCAGCCTCAACCATCACCACCCCCACCCTGCCACCTCCCCACTCCATCATCTCTGGCTTTGCCAGCAACCTATGCTTCCCCCAGGAAGACAACTGCACTCTGGCCCTGTCTCCATGGTCCAGCTGTGATAGGCGACAGTCATCTCAAATTCAGTCTCGGCTACGGAGAGCTGGTGGGGATACAGCCTACATCTGATATCTGAGCAAGGTAGCCTAAAGAGGCCAAACCATCACAGACATTGAGGAGCAATACTAGCTCTGGAACTCTCTACCACATTAGTGAAAACTTTGTGGTGCCCAGATCACAGCAGACCTCTTCTCTAATTCTGCCTTCTTCCCCTCCCCCCTTCCATAGGCAGCCATTCCTTATAGACAATCTCATACTTCAAACTCCATTTCAGCAAGGACATTTTATGGAGCTAAGGCTGAGAGATGCATCCTGTACGATCAAAGAGAACATGCCCCATTTGGTATCAACCCCTTTCTGCTTTCCTTCTTTCCATAACTCAAAGAAAGCAAAAAGCAGGACAGAAAGCACAAAGACAGTAGGTTGACACTCATGATTTCTAGTATTTCTAGTTAAAGAACATTGTCAGACTGGATTTTTAAGTTCTATTTATGTTTCCAATTTCTTAAGTATATCACTTTGAGTAAGAAGATAGGAGAACAGATACTAATAGTGTATCAAAAGAGCTGGTATAGTTACCAAAATGATTATCTGAAATAAAGTCACCAACTAATTTTGGCAAATATAAATTCATCAGAAACAAGCTTCTACGAATCTAATAATCTTAATGTGTATGTGAAAGTTCACAACTGCAAGGAGAAACTTAGCAGGCCAAGACTGCAGTGTTCCCCTCCAAATATTTAAAGTGTTTTTATTTGACCTGCATAGGAAGCAAGCAGCTGAGTGTCTTCTCGTAATTGAGCAGCTGCCGTCATGTAACTCTTTCCTGCCTGACTTTAATTCCCTCACTCTTGCAGCCCTGGGTTTGCAGCCTCCTTTCCCCAGTACACAAATGCTTCTATATTTTGTTTCAGGATCTGTCTTCTAGGAATCCCAAGTACACAATCACAGCAGGCACATGTACTATGTTATAAGGTCCCTTTGAAAAGAGGCAAAACTTTCTTCATGTTTTCTGTCCTGAGATTTTTGTTCGGCAGTAAACAGTCACTACCAGTCACATAGCATTCACTGAAATGTGACCCAACTGAAGATGTAGATCAATTCTTATAGCTAATTTTGAGTGTCGTAGTGTAGGAAAGTAATTCCTTGGAAATAAAGTGATTTTCCAAATAACCACTTTTCTATCATTTGTGACCTTAAAGAGCTTACACTGGTCCTCAGAGATCCTTGTTCTGATACTGCTTTAGTCTTCTGTTTATTCTAACTCATCAGTGAAAGTGTGAGTATGCTTTGTTAGAATGTGCTAATGTTAAGGCTTGATATGACTATCAAGAGACAATTAGTGTAGAATATTCATAGTTATAGCCATTATCATAGGTATATATATATATATGATGCCTGTGAGCTTTGTAAAAGTTATGCTTTCAGAAGCATGTCAATTTTTATGCATCTCTAAAGTCAGTTTAGCCCTCCCTGCCTCTCAGCTGCTTGCTCAGTGGAGAGCCCTGGCCTCAACCGTCATCTCACTAAGGTCATGTGCCTCCCTTACCACTGGGACTCTTGCAGACCATACACCGTCGGGTGTGAGAGCTGACTTTTTCAACAGCTGCTTGGAAGGCACAAGTGACAACTTTCTGGAAGTGCAGGGGATTTCATGCACAGAGGAAGGAGGACAAGGATGCTGGCAGTTAGATTCTGTGCCCTCCATCCCCTCAGACCGGCCATGAGAGCCATAATACTTTACAGCCACTGGAGTAGATACGCAAAAGGATACCTTGTACCCCAAACTCTGTGGAAGCGATGACTGAGAGCCCAAGCTGTGAGAGAGCTCCCACATGATCAAGGAAAACATGGTCCTTTTGGTAGCAGGCCCTTACTGCTTTCCCTCTTTCCATAACTTGAGGAATACAGTTGAAGCACAAAAATAGAACAGAAGTCACAAAACAGTGGATTGACACTTGTGATTTCTAATCTTTTGAAGACAGGGTCTCGCTCTGTCACCCAGGCTGGAGTGGAGTGGCCCGATCTTGGTTCACCACAGCCTCCACCTCCTGCATATTGGCCAAAACCACAGTTACTTTTGCAACCTAATAGGAACCTTAAGAAGTACATGGACGTTCACAACTACAAGAATTTCAGCAGTCTACTACACTGCAGTGTTCTCCAGCAGATGTTGTTACATTATTTTTACTTGGCCTACAGAGGAAGCAAGCAGCTGTGTGTTTTCCAGGAAAGTGGTACGCAGGTGAAGTCACTGCAGTTTTCCTGTCTCACTTCATTCTCTTACTCTGGCTGTCCTGTATACTGCCTTCCTCAAAAGATTATACAAATGCATGTAAGCTTTCTCAAGATCTTCCAGAGATCCCAGGTAAGTAATCTTAAACACTCAAGTCCTGTTTCTAAGCAATAACGAGGTTGCACTCTTAGCGATAATATTCCATGCACTACTATGTGACTGCTATACCCAATAAGCAACATATCGAACATTGACAGAGTCAGGCCAGCATGAGCCCAGGCACCAAGGTACAGTGAACTATAAATCCCTGCCTGCAGTTTGAACTCAAATGTGGAGACAAACAGGTGTAAGTACTATGAAGGAAACAAAGTAGGATGTGGAGTGGGTTTGTGATAGGGAAAGAAGCAGTCCTGTTTTCATTAAGGTTGCCAGTGCATACAGCACATCTTTGATTTGCTCTAATCTGCCATTAACTGAGATTGTTGTGAAACTGGCCCAATTTTCCCAGAGAACTGATATCTACATGTTTTTTTTGTATAGAAATAAAAATTGACCCTTCAGTGTTAAAGCTTGAGAAACTTACCTTTGTCTTGTCTGAGTTCCCTCCTTAGGAAACCAACTGTCAGACAAGAAAAGTGAGTTCCTAAGAAAGGAAGTCTCCCCACTGACATCACCTGGGGTAAAGTCTGTCTTCCCTGGCAATACTCATTGTCTCAGTAATTGGCTTTCTCTGTGGCAAGCCACCAGACCTAGGCGGAACCCCTGGCATTCAGCAACGGTAGCAAGACCACATTTTGCAACACTGACTTTCCTTTATCCTTATTTTACTTGGGGCACTCAGCTTTTGTGCACACAGGTGGTATGTGTAGAGTCTACACATGCAGGTTAAGATTTAGACCACAAGAACAAGTAAGCAGCTTTTGCCACCACTTTTCAGTGTAAAATGTCCATGGTATAGAACACACATACAGTTGTATTAGAATGTGGGTTGAGACTAATATATATGAATTACTCATTAGAGTCATTCACTATCCAGTCACAAAATAAATTCTGACAGATCCCTAAACAAAAGCTCAGGTCCTTTGGCTATCTTAGTAGTTTCCTTCCAGCATGTAATAGGGTCCAGTCTCACATTGAGATATTTTGTTCAGCCACAGGATCAAGAGAATGCCCAATTAGGGCAAGCTTGCAAGTTTTGGCCCACAGAAATAGTTTTTCTGCCATTCTTCCTTAAGCACATATCCCTTCTGGAAAAAAATATAGTTTATTCCATTTGAAGTGATTTCCCACACATTCTGTTGCTCAACTTTTGTAGATGAGATATGATGTCTGACAAAGATCAGGAAACAGGTTTAGAGAAAGAAACAGACTCCCTCTCAAGCTAGTAGGCAGACTCTTCTTATAGGGACATTGCTTACACAAGGAAGAAAAAGATACTTGCACACGCATGTTTATAGCAGCATAATTTGCAATTGCAAAAAATGTGGAACCAACCAAAATGCCCATCAATCAATGAGTGGATAAAGAAACTGTAACAGGTATACACATATATATGTGTATATACACACCATGTGTATATACATATATATACACACCATGGAATACTACTCAGCCATAAAAAGGAATGAATTAATGGCATACACAGCAACCTGGATGGTATTGGAAACTATTCTAAGCGAATTCAGGAATGGAAAGCAAACATCATATGTTCTCATAAGTGGGAGCTAAGCTATAAGCATAACAATGACACAATGGACTTTAGGGACTCAGGGGGAAAGGATGCAAAGGGGTGAGGGATAAAAGATTACTAATCAGGTTCAGTGTGTATTGCTCAGCTGATGGATGCACCAAAATCTCACAAGTCACCACTAAAGAACTTACTTGTAACCAAATACCACCCGTTCCCCAAAAACCTATGGAAATAAAAAATTTTTAAGAAATACAAGAAGAGGAAAAACTTCCAATTATAGTATTTTCATGCAGAAATGCAGGCAACAGCCAATAGGCTAAGTATTTGTTTCGACAAATGAACTATTGAGAAACATACCATTTTATGTCACATACTCACACCAACTGGAAAGACTCCACCAAGGAAAAGGTACTTAAACCCCTAGGTTATAGATTCTACTCATTACAGATGCAAAGGTAAGTAGCTGTGTATTTCATCACACCTAATCCACAAGGACTAAGGCTTGAAATCAAGTTATACCACCTGGGCAAGACATTGGTTTGTGCCATCACTCCTCAGCCCAAACCTGACAGGCATCAATCCTGCCTCCTTGCCTGAACTTTTGGAACATGGAATTTGAGCGTTCATGGGCATTGCTGACGAGAACCTGGAGTATCCTAGGGTCAGCCTGCTTTCAACTTCTATTAAGTGAGAAACTATGCTTCAAGAATTTCATTATCAAGTAATCAAAAATTTTCCTCAACCCCTTAATCAAAAGGACCTCTTATCAAAAGGGTACACATATGTCAGTGAATCCAAGTTTAGGTTGTTCAGGAATTTATAAGCTTTTGTGAGAAAAAAATATTTTGGGATTAGGAGAGAGACAAACTTGTATTCCAAATGCTGAGGACTATTTCCAATTCGAAAGCATCTTACCTAGACTCTGGTTTCAGCAGCCATAAAAATGCCTCTCAGGCCCCCAACTTTGGGAAAAATAATTAACAACTCGAGCCAGTTCACTATGAATCTACCTTAAGTGGAGCGACACATGGCCCAAGAAGAGAATGTATACTGATCTCTCAGCAGGGACCGATGGCCTAGTCATCTGGTCAGTAGCCTGGATGGAAAGGACTAGAAAGAGACAAGAAAGTCTATAGGACATGCATGTGAAAGACATGTAGATTTCATGTCAGATGTTAATTAACACCCACTACAGAGCACCAGTCACAGAAGACTCAACGAACAACCAGACAAAATAGCCTTTCCAGTTGTCAGCCAATGTTTGTCAGACAATGGGAAAATGACAATGACCATGGTGGCTGAGATTGAGGCTACATAGGTACTCAACATTGGACCGTATTTCCTAGAGACAACTTAGCTACTGCTACAGCTGAATGCCCAGCCTGTAGTGAGACAAGTGTTGAATCCCAATATAGCACTATTTAAGAAGACTTGCCACTTGGCAAATTGACTACATTGAGCTGCTTCCATTCACAGGAATATGTTTTGGTATAGGTTTGTCTTTCCTGCTTGCAGATTCTTAACCACAACCACTGTCTGGAGATATTTGCACTACATCATTCACAGATGTGGAATTATACCCAGCAAAGGATCTTATGAATGGACTGAGGTCATAGAAGTTACAGAGTGGGCCCCTGTTCTTGAGGTCAACTGGTCATATTACCACCATTCAGAAGCATGTAGCCTCAATGTTGGAAGAGGCTTCAGAAAGCACAGCAGAAGCATTAAATCCAGGTAAATGTGCTAAATGTGTGGAGTGCCCTAGTTCATGATGCAGCAGTATATTACAGAAGCACCTATAGAGCCCTGTATTCCCAGTGGGAAGACAGCACAGGTGCAGTGTGTTCCCCTACAGGCACCTGAATCCTGTTAAACTCTTCCATTCACTAAAAGCAAGAACATTTAATAAGTTGTTCTGATGCAGGGCCCAACATTTAGAAGAATGACCCCATTTTCCATAGCTCTGAATGAGCCACTGGTCACTTACAGTCTTCCTCATGGCAGGGGTAAGTGACCGATTAGTAAGAGATTGTGCTATCTTACACTCTGAGAGCAGTAAGAATATGGATGAAACCCAGGTGATGCACTCCAGTATCTCCTCATACTTTTCTCGCCCTACTGTAACCCCAACATTCAGCAGCCCTGTCTTGAGAAGCACATGATCACTAGGGTTCAGACACTTTAAGATGAAGGTTTGGGTCACATCACCAGGTAAGCACTAAACCTCAGCTAAAGGCAAAGAATGCAGGGTTGATGGTAAAGGAGGCAGAAGATGAGTATCTGTTGTGACCCCAGATCAGCTTCAGTGGCAGGAGCTTTATTTCATCTCAGTAGTATCCTCTTGAAATTCTTCTCAGGAAGGGTATCCTATAGGACAAGGAGTCACTGTTCTGAACTCTGCAAAGTAGTAAGTCTGCACAACAAGGGCTAACTGTAGGGGCTATTAGAATGCTATACTTCCACTGCCTCATTCTGCCTGAACGCAACCAGGGTGCTAAGGCAGCCCCATTTAAGACATTTATGACTCCTCTGATGGGCAATTTGGGCTCTGGTATTTGTCGCCAGCCTTCCCAGAACACTTAGTATTGCACCTCGGTCTAAGGTACTTCCTAACAAACATCTTTCTTCTCTTTCCCTAACAAGGCCAGACCTACACTGTGATCTGATCTTCTCCCAGACTCTTTTGGCTCCTTCCTTAATTTCCCTCACAGCACTTTCTTCCTACCTCTGAATCTCTTGAACATCTAATCCTACCCTGACATCTACATGTAAGAGGACAAAAGCCAGCATAGAGTAGTTTCAAATGAAACTTCATCCTATAATTCAGATGTGGAAGCAATCTTGCATATCCCTGTAGACACAGACTACTCCATTCAGAGGAAATGGAGTAGCAAAAAATACCATCTAAGTCAGAAGAGGTGACTGGGCCCATTCCTGCATTACCCTAACTATGGTTATTAACTTTATTCCATATCGATGTGATGTCTGAGGTATATGGATCTTCCCTTCTAAAACTCCCTACTACTACCAGTATTTCAAAGTATGTCAAGTTGTCACCTCCCATTTGCTCTGGGCCAATTTTGGATTCCTAGTTATGGTTTTATGTTCCACTACAAGCGGTATCTTTCTACTCTTGACCCAAGTAAACTCGTGACTTTCCTGGGCAAAGCTCTCTTATGGCTCCCATTGATGTCTCACAAAGCAGCTCATCAAGGAGAATCCAAAATTAAGTGGCCCAAGGAACCCAGGCTGACCAGTGAGGCCAGAATTCATTTATTTTGATTGGAGGCTCACTGGATTTACTGACTCACTAGGATCCAGGCAACTCGCTTGCACAAGGGTTTGTTATTAACCATGACACCACCGAGCTAGTCCTTCAGTTTGTATTTTATTTCATTTAAAGCTTCTTCTTTGTTTTAACCAGCATTAGTTCTGGACAGTAGTCCCACATATGGCAGGGGATACTTAACTTTTTAAAACTTGCATTAGTCATGACTTTAAGAGCACTATCTTGCCTTTGTAAAGTGGCATATATACTAGATTTATTATAAACAAGATGGCCACATGGGTATGGAATAATTTCATTATATTTGCCTTGGCATAAGCTTTCTGGCTCCCTTTAAAATGGGAGAAGGTAGTTTCCTAAAGTGTGTAGTCTGAGAAACCTGAATTATTCAGTTCACTCCAACTTCATTAACCTTGCAAATAGAGGAAACCCATTTACTCTAATACATACATTAGTGATGCATTGGGCTATAACTTTTAGGATTCTTTGGTCTGCAAGTGACAAACACCTAACTACACTAGCTTAAGTAAAAATAAGTAATCGGCTCACAAACAGTAATATCCACATAAGTGGGCCCACAAATATACCAGAAAGCAGAACTTATTTTTGAGTAGGTGAACCAACACTAAATGACCAGGCTTTGTTTTTTTTAACAGTATCCCTTGATTGTAATCACATAAGGCAGCATGACAGGTTAGGGAATAAATAAAGTCAAAGCTGGTTGAGTTTGACTGGTCCAAGTAAGGCTGGTTCGACAGGCTCAGTTTCTCCAAGAACCAGATTTTCTTGTGTCCTCTACCTTCTCTGGTATCAGATTCATTCTCACGGTCCACATAGTGCCCTAATACCACCCTCACTCTGATTAGGAATTTCATAGTCTTATGAGGGCCTGTGCTCCATAATGCATTATTTTGCAAATATTTCTTCCAAAAGCTGCTCTGGAACAGATGCCAGTTTTAGCACATATTGAGTTTTAGTAGCATGACCATCTAAGATAGCATGCCGTTCCTTGAACTAGTCATGGTAGTTATGGGGATGTGGGAAAGGAAATGGGATATTACCCTAATAAAAAGTCATCTAGACCTACAGCTAAGAATGACCAAGGGGAGAGGCAGATGGGGAATAGATTCTCTCCAGAAGAAAGTCAGGGATGTGTTTGGCTGAGAATGTGGCAATAAATGTTGAACACTCACACTCTTTTCTATAAAACCCAAGCCAAGTACACAGAATCATTAGGTCTCTGAGCTTATGCTATCTTGCTCACTGAGGAGTTCTTACTCAAGTCAAGACTAGCATAGACTCTACTATACCTTGAAACTTGTCATGTTGCTCTATGTGATTAACATCAAGGGATAACCAAAGATACTAACAATTTCTTGTTCACCTACTCAAAAATTCAGGTTTATGGTCTATTTGTGAGCTCACTTACGATGTATTATGCTTAGACAACAGTTCCTTAGGAATCTAAGATTGGGGGTACCCTCTTCTCACTGTCCATACCAAAGGAGCTACCCTGTTAACAGATTCTTAATTATTTAATTCACCTTCCTAACTTCCCAAGTTTACTAACTAGTGACTGATTTTAACCTTGCAAATAGAGGAAACCCATTTACACTAATACCTCTAATATTCTAATACATGCAATACACCCAGGAAGAAAGTGATTGTATTGCATTTCCAGTTTCCCAACCAGACATCAGGACACTCCACCTGTTTTACAAAAGACTTCCTGAGTAGTAACCTATAGCACATAAAACTCAGGCATAAGTTGTTTAAAAAAATTTTTTTTGAGACTGAGTCTCGCTCTGTCACCCAGGCCGGAGTGCAGAGGCATGATCTCGGCTCACTGCAAGCTCTGCCTCCTGGGTTCACACCATTCTTCTGCCTCAGCCTCCCCAGTAGCTGGGACTACAGGCACACACCACAACACCTGGCTAATTTTTTGGATTTTTCGTAAAGACGGGGTTTCATCGTGTTAGCCAGGATGGTCTCTATCTCCTGACCTCATGATCTGCCTGCCTCAGCCTCCCAGAGTGCTGGGATTACAGGTGTGAGCCACCGCACCTGGCCATAAGTTGTTAATTTCTTAATGCTCAGTGAAGCTTACAACACGAACTATTTAAGTAGCTGATTATGTTCACCCTGTAGAGTCTAGAGCTAGCAATATGAAGATCTACACCTTGCTTCAGATGTAACTGGATTTTATACCTTAACAACAAACAAAAAAACAGCCCTGAGATCTATATCCAAGTTCTAGGATTCTTCTCAGGTTAGAGCTCTACTGGTCATGGGAAAGCTCCATTCAGATACCTTCAGTAGGGAGTGCAATTGACTAAAAGGTCCAGCCAAGGTGCCATGGCAAAGACATGAAGGCAAGCCCATTAACTCACTGTGGGATCCCTGTCAAATATTGAGTCAAAGACTTGCTATTGCCCTACCCAAAGTCCTTGTGCAACTCATTGCAATCTGAGGATTTATAACTGACCTCCTTCCTTCCCTACTTTGTGGGGCAAGCCCCTCCTGTGGCCCCTACTCTTTTCTCTCATAGACATCTACCCCAGTGAATTCCTGTCCATCTAATACTGTCTTGGCATTTGTTCCTCGAAGGACCTGCTGCAACCCAGGTCGCTTTCCATTCCTATCAGAAGACCTAAGAACCCAGCAAAGCTTATAGCGCCTATGGTTACTGTAGCTTAGAAATATCCTTACTCTAAGTTTCAGGGTTTTTAGCAACATGACCTGGAAGGAGGACTGGCAATTCTACTACACTTACAATCCTGTTCTGACAAGCACACAGCCTTCACTATCCAAAATGAGAGTAAGTCCTCTGGGCATCAGTAATTTTAATTAAAACTCAGACCTTAACCTAAAGGAATAATCATCTGGATGCCAGCTGCCCTAAATGCTTAGGGAAAATTGAAGGAGTTGAACAGACTAGAAGGTTTAAGATCTTCCTGACATCAGTTTGCTAGGTAGCAAAACATTAACCTCGAGTCCCCTGAAGAGGTGTTCTGCCCATTTCTGGTGGTTACAGCACAGGACATGGTTTATTCCAACTTCTGGAATTTCTTCCAGTGCTTTGTCACCATAGATACTTATTTAATCCTCTGGCCTTGTTTCCTACCCAGTGTTGGCTCCTCACTTACAAAATTCTCTAGGTGTCTTTCACCTATCCAACCGAAACAAATGTCCAAGAAAGCCGAAGTTGGCCCTACCTCCTGAATCTAGGAGCAGCATTGCCGACCGTGGGGCTTATCAATGTCCAGACTGTTCATGAACTGGCTTTACAGATTCAGGGATGCCAGGCAGGATCCCAACAAAGCCACAAAATCATCTGGGGGAGAGGAGATGCCACATATCTGTCTTCCCACAAGTGGGGAGCTGGGAATTTCATCATTTCTCTTTACTGGTATATCTTCCATGAGATCTAAAAAGATGTAGATGAATATGCTTACGTAAATTTAATAACGTTTGAGAAACACTAGACCAAAAAAACCAGGATGAAGATTCTAAATCTAATACCAGAGCTAAATTATCTTGGGAAAGGTGTTACCTATGAATTTCAGATATGTTAACACAGACATTAAGCACCAAGAAGGAACAAGCATACAGGGCTCTGTAAGAACTGCCTAGATGAGTAAAACGCATTATAAACTAGCATTCTTTAAGCCTTCCAGGATCTCTGGAAGAGCAAAAGACATATTTGTTGTGAATCAACGAGTTCAGTGATATTCTTTGCTATCTGAGGACACCCTCTGCCTATTTGTACAACTGGCAAAGCTTTTCTAACCAAAGCTACGAAACAACAAATTCAGTAAAATCAACCTTTGGGTGCACACTGGGCAAATTCAGCTGCATTTATGTGCAGAAGATGCCAGTGAGCTGCCGTCTTCTCTGCTGTGTCCCCACAAGACCAATATCATGCTCACATTGTGAGGTTGTAGGGATTTATTTATTTCTTGTAGGGATTTCTTATTTCTACCTACAAATGAAAATTAGATGAGCCTAAGGCCTAAAAATACTTCTATGTTACAGGAAGAATTGCCTGCATAATATATATTGAAAAGCATAAAAGATACACTAAGCCTCCCACATTCCTTTGAATGGCTTCTCTATGATTAGAGAAAAAAATGAACATCATGTTGTTTGTGAAGAACATACTTAGAAAATATGCCATCCTCCACTACTGTGGCCTTAATCTACCCTACAAGGTGTTTGTCATTGACATAGAAGAGCTGACTCTGGCTTCTCTGGATCTTTGCTTTAGAGCTTCAGCATCTATTCATCCACTGAGATCCTCTTGCTTTGAAATACCTTCTTCTGTGGGTCATCTGCTCCGAGACCAATTTTCTTAGGTTAACCTATTCTCCTTTCCAAAAACTGCCTCCATCCAGGTTTCATGCCCCAGATATCTTTTTAGGGCCCTCCTAGTACTCCTATTGAGTTAACTAGAATAAGCAGTGAGAAATAGAGCTAACACTTGTTCTTGGATCCTTGTTTGGACACTGCTTTAAGGTATAAATCATGTAAAGGTTATTTAGAAAATCACTGTTTCCAAAGAACTGCAGTCAGTGCCCATATATCTCAGTGACACTTTTAGAAATGGAGGTTGCACATCTCCCACATGAAACAATCACACTGTTTTCCTATACTTGCTTCCTCTATGAAGGTTTTCCATCTTTGCCCTGATCTGTGCCCATTTGTGCCAATTCTTTACAAATTACATCACATGTGGTCCTCTGCCCTGTTACTTCCAAGTGGGATTATACAATAGGAGACACCCAGGAGGGTAGTGGGTGATTATTCGCCCATCTTCTTAGAGCCTCAGCACCTCACTTCTGCCAGCAGCTGTACCTTCTAGAACCACAGCTCCTGGTGTTGAAGCCCCTCACACAACACCCCCTTTACTGGCTCTGTTTATTCCATGCCTTCTCATGGCACTTTCATGCCTGTGGTGGTAAAGTCATTTACCTGCACTAGCCCTTAGGCTTTTCACATCCTTGGGTTAGGGTAACCTATCCCCATCTCTGCAAAGTTCCCCCTAAAGTCTGAAGTCAGTGCAGAATGTTCCCCTTCCTTCTGGGACTCTGATCATCATGAAGTCTGCAAATGCAGCAAATACATTCAACTGTAGTGTCAAATTTTAGTTAAAAAAATGATCAATACATTAAATGTGTATGTGAACAGCCAGAAGGGAAAACAGATGCCATTTATGTCTTAGATACGTGTAACGTGTTAAAAGGTCTCTTTGAAGAAAGTTAAGACTTAAATTTTCTACCCCAGAATTTTTATTCAATAGTGATCAATGAAATATGACCCACCTGAAGATGTAGGTTAATTTTTGCAGCTCATTATGAGTGTCACAGTATATCAAGGCAGTTCTTCGGAAATAGTGATTTTCTAAATAACCTTTATATGATTTATACTTTAAAGCAGTATCCAAACAAGGATATGAGAACAAGCATTATCTCTATTTCTCACTGCTTATTCTAGCTAACCCAATAGACTTTGCTGCAATCAATGCCATCTTAGTGACACTTTTAGAAACGAAAGTGAGTTGCCTTGTTTTCAAATATTAGGCTAATACCATAATTATCCCTACACATTTAACTAGAAGTAAAACTATGAGTATGCTTTGTTAGAATGTACTAGTTTTTAATTTGCCTTGCAGCTCCAGCTCAAAGGAAGAATGTACTAACATTGATAATGCTATTTACATTTGTTTTAATTTTAATTGAGAAAAATAGCTTATAATATGATGGCTGAATTATGTATGTCACCTAAATTATCAACCTCTTTATGATTCAGAGATACAGACCAGATTGCTATGCTCCTTACATTAGCTCAGCCCTACTCTCAGCTGCTTTCCCAGTGGAGAGCCCTAGCCTCAACCGCCATTGCAGAGGTTATGCCTCCCTCACCACTGGGACTCAGGCAGACCACCACACACCATGGGGAATGAGAGCCAGCTTTCCCAGCAGCTGCTTGGAGGGGACAAATGATGACCTGGACATATGGAGTACTTGATGCAGACAGGGAAAGAAGGAAGAGGGATTCTGGCAGGTAGGTTATGTGCCCTTCATCCTTCAGACCAGACATAGGTGCCATCATACTTTTGGAAACAAAGCCACTGCAGTAGTCATACAAACCAAAACCTTGCACCCCAACCCCATGTCAGCAGTCACTCCAGGAGAACCTAGATGGTGAGAGACACCCTACATACTCAAGGAGAACATGGCCTTTGGTAACAACCCCTTATTGCTTTCCTTCTTTCTGTAACTCAAAAAGAGTTGAAACACAAGAACAAAACAAAGCATAACATAAGGGTAGATGGACACTTGTGATTTCTAATATCTGGTTACAGAATATTACCAGACTGGATTTTAAAATTCTATTTGAACTCCCAATCCCTTAAGTGTGTTACTTTCCCAAAACAAAGATGGAATAGATAATAGCAATATAAGAAGAGCTAATTTAAAAATCCAAACAAGATGATGACCTGAGATAAAGTCATTAACCAATGTGAGCAGCAAGTTTCAGTTTGCTGGAAGTAAGCCTCTATGAATCTAACAGTTTTTTTTTTTTGTTTTTTGTTTTTTGTTTGGACAGAGTTTCACTCTTGTTGCCCAGGCTGGAGCGCAATGGTGCAATCTCAGCTCACCGCAACCTCCGCCTCCCAGGTTCAAGCGATTCTCGTACCTCAGCCTCCTGAGTAGCTGGGATTACAGGCATGCGCCACCTCACCTGGCTAATTTTTGTTTTAGTAGAGATAGGGTTTCTCCATGTTGGTCAGGCTGGTCTTGAACACCTGACCTCAGGTGATCTGCCTGCCTTGGCCTCCCAAAGTGCTGGGATTACAGGCATGAGCCACTGCACCTGGCCTGAATCTAGTAGTCTTAAATTATATATGTTTACAAATAAATTCAGTTCTCTGCTAACAATGGAAAAATTTGCCTGCATGATGTGGCAAGCAGCTGTGTCCTTCTGAAAAAGCTGTGGGAAGCTAAAATCACCCAACTTCCCCTCTTCCTGCCTCACTCTTTATCCCCTCACTCTTGCTATTCTGAGGCTAGGCACTCCTTTACCCAATAAACTATTGTACCCGAGTTCTACCTCAGGATCTATTTTCTAGGAATCCCAGGTAATCTCAGAAGTACAAAAGTCCTTCCAAGCACTGACAGAAATGTTGTACTCTTAGCAGTGATATTCCATGCACCAAACTGCATGACCACCATATCCAAACTGTCAGACAAGTACAATCCTGGGCACTGGAGGTGCAGCAGTGAACAGTAAGTCCCTGCCCTCCTGCAGTTTGCATTCACATGCAGAGAGAGTCAGGTAGGGTGTAGAGAGCTGAAGGCCTGTGGGTAGTGACCAACTCAGCATTTCACTGAGGTTATATGATCAAACAACAAACTGTTTATCATGAATGCAGAATGTGGGCAATCTCACTTCTGCTCCTGCAGACAGAAGGTTTGCTGAGGGCAATCACTCCCTGGCACTGTGCTCCTTGAGGTTATCTACTGGAACATGTGGAGATTACTGTTCAAAGATTGCTGTTGTGCAAGCCTGCTCTAAGTCAAGCAGCTGACTGACAACCACCCCCCTTCTCCCTATCTCCTTTACTCAATAAATATGAAGGGCTCTAAAGCTCAGGGCCCTTGTTCACTAGAAGCAAGGAGCCCCCAACACTTTATTCCAAATATATTCTTTTGTCTTTATCTTTATTCCCATGTTCATCCTCCTTTGTCCAGTCCAACAGGGATTGGATCTGCATCAAGTAGCATCCAAACACAAGGACTTAGAGGGTGTGAACAAAGAAGGTCTGTTGGAAGAGAGGAATTGAAATTGACAAGATGAACACGGATGCTGGGATGAGTCTGCCAGCAGCAGATATGTCAGTGCCCTAAAGAGGTACTGATCAGTGCCCTAAAGAGGTAATGGGAGCGATATAAGGTCAGTGCTCTAAAGAAGTACTGGGAATGGGAAGTTTTCTGAATCAGGGTAACATGGGGGCATAATTTGTCTGTTGAAGAAAACATTATGTGCAGTTGCTTAAAGTTTTGTTGAAACAATCTGGTGATCAAGTTAATTCTCAGACATTTAGATGTTGCAGGAGGTTATTACGTATAACCCATGGTTTCCACAGACAGGCACTCTTGATGTGGAAAATTGGGACAGAGCAGGAGAAGGATTAAAATGGCTCATCAAAAAGGTCTTAAATTTGATCCTTCTGTTTTCTCCACTTTGTGTTTAGTTCATACTGTCCTTCTGCCATTATCTCCTTATTCTGCTGGACAGTCGGAGTCATGTTCTGAGTTTTAAAATCTGAAAGAATTGGTTGTCCCACTCACAGCACAAATTGAAAATGAAAAACAGGAGAGCAAGGATAAAAATTGGCCTATACTGCCCCCTACAATAGCAGAAACATCTGTACCACCTCCTTTGGTAGCAGAAATAGAGACCCCAATACAAAGAATTTTATGCTCTGCTGCCATAACTGGAGAGCCCTTAGGACCTTGCACTTTTCCTATTTCCATAAGGCCTGATCCAAACAATCCACAGCAGTTTATTCATGAGCACACCCCACTAGAGTTTAAGTTGTTGAAGGAATTAAAAACTAGTGTAGTTAATAATGGGGTACAGAGCCCATTCATTTTAGGATTGCTAGAATCCGTATTTGGTGCTATGTGCCTTCTACCCTTTGATGTAAAACATTTGGCTCACACTTGTTTGTCTGCTAGTGCACACCTGACATGGAATTTAAATTGGCAAGAAATGTGTGCAGACCAGGCTAGACAGAACCACGCTGCTGGACATGGAGACATTACAAAGGATATGCTGTTAGGTAATGGCCCTTATTCATACCTGGAACATCAAATGGCACTCCCAGACACTGCTCATCAGCAGTGTGCACAGGCCGCTAAATGCACCTGAGCCACAATTCCTGAAGAGGGACTCCCAGTACAATCCTTTTTACATATCATGCAAGGGTCACAGGAGCCCTAAGCACATTTTCTTGCTTACAAGAAAATTACAAGATTACAGGAAGCAAGATTACAGGAAGCAGTGAAGCATCAGATTCCTCACACCACTGCTGCAGAAATGCTAACCTTGACTTCAGCTTTTGAGAATGCAAATGTGGATTGTAAACATGCACTGGCACCTGTGAGTTGTACAAAAAACTTGGGAAATTTTCTCAGAGCTTGTCAGGATGTAGGAACTGAGCTTCATCACTCTGCAATGTTAGTGCAAGCAATGGCTAATTTAGTAGTTAACAAATCTAGAAAAGATAACAAATCTAAAAAAGAGCCAAGGGTTGAACCCTAAAATGGGAAAATGTTATAATTGTGGAAAAACTAGACATTTTAAAAAGGAATGCCACCTGATCTCAGGACAGAAAGGATCTTATAATGCAGTTCACCCAACCCCCAGTGGAAAAAAACCACCAGGACTCTGTCCTCACTGTAACAAAGGAAATCAGTGGGCTAATCAACGCCACTCAAAATTTCACCAAAATGGCACCCCCTCCATTGGGAAATGAGATGGGGGTCTGGACCCAGGCTCCTCAAACAATGAGGGCATTCCCAGTCCAGGCCACAACTGCATTTGAGGGGTGGGTCCCAGGAGAAACATTAATTCCCTCAACCCAGGAAGTGCAGGATTAGATCTTCCAGTCAGAGAAAGAATTACATTAGTTGGTGGAGACAAAACTATCAAAGTTCCCACTGGCATTTGGGGACCTTTACCGGCACGATATATGGGACTAATTTTAGGCAAAAGCCATCTTAACTTGAAAGGCATCACTGCAGTCCCTGGAGTGATTGATTCTGATTATGAAGAAGAAATTAGATCTTTGGGTTTTTGAACTGGGAGAATATATAGCACAACTATTGCTTATTCTCTGCAAATTACACCCTTCATGAGAGGAGAGATGAGGAAATAAAGGGTTTGAGAGCACAACTACAGGAGAAATCTATCACAACCTATAGCCTCTAATAGATCCACCTGTGTAGTACAGATTAAAGGAAAAATTTTATGGGCTTATGGACACAGGAGCTGATGTGTCAGTAATATTAAGTAAGGACTCACCCCCAGCATGGCCTCTCAGACTAACCTCCAGATCCCTAGTGGGAGTGGGAGCAGCTAAGTGTTCAACAGAGTGCTGAGATTTTACCTTGTCTTGGTCTGGATGGACAATCATGTACTTTCCAGCCTTATGTTACAAATACAGCTAACAATTTATGGGCTTGAGACTTACCTATAGCATGGGATGAGACTTACAAATGAAAACTTTGATAATCCAGGATTTAAAATGTTGAAGGACATAGGATATCAGAGTGGGAAATGTTTAGGGAAATTCCTACAAGGAAACCCTAAGCTGATATCAATAACTGGAAAGACAGAAAAAGATTGGCTCAGTGACAAACCTGTGTGGGTGGATCAGTGGCCCCTAACACAGGAGAAGCTAGCGTAACTTCATTTGTTGGTAAAAGAACAATTGGTTGCGAGACATATAGGAGTCAGTCCCTGGAATTCACCAGTGTTTGTTATTCCAAAAGAGTCTGGAAGATGGCAACTGCTACATTATTTGAGAGCTATTAATGCGCAAGTTAAACCGATGGGCACTTTACAGCAAGGTCTGCCAACCCAAGCGGCCATTCTAAGAGACTGACCTCTCGTTGTAATAGTTCTTAAGGATTGTTTATTTACTATACCATTACATGAGGAGGATAAGCCTTGATTTGCCTTCTCTGTGCCTTCTATTAATCAAAGAGAACCTGCTTCTCACTATCAATGGAAAGTTTTGCCTCAAGGCATGCTAAACAGACCTATGTTATGTCAGCATTTCATGGGAAGAACATTAAAGGAGCCTTGAAATATGTTTCCTACTGCATATATCATTATATGGATGATACACTTTTGGCCACTCCTACAGATCAAATATTGCATCAATTATTCAGAGAAGTAAAGAGAGCTCTTGTTAAATGGAATCTCAAAATTGCTCCAGAGAAAGTACAAACAACTTCCCCATACCATTACTTAGGAGCTATTGTTAGAGAGGAGTGTACAGCCTCAGAAAGTAGTTCTCCATAAAGATAGATTACAGACTTTAAATGATTTTCAACAATTATTAGGAAATATTAATTGGTTGTAACCAATGCTAGGTATTGCAATTTATCAACTTACACATTTTTATCAAACCCTGCAAGGAGACTCTTCTTTAAATTCCCCGCAGCAATTGACAAAAGAGGCAGAAGCAGAGTTGCAGCATGTAGAGCAGATGCTACAGCAATGACATGCCTCCCACCTACAGCCACAAAAACCTTTGCTTCAATTCTTCCTATGCCCCATTCTCCAACAGGACTTTTAGGCCAATGCTTAGACAAATCTGTAACAGTAATAGAATGGCTCTTTTTGCCTAATCAAACAGTGAAAACTTTACAAGTTTGTCTTTAATTACACAAATTGTGACTATGAGCAGTCATAGGTCAAAGATGCTTATGGGATATGATCCAGGTAAAATCATTGTTCCCTTAGACTCCCAGCAACAGGCCACAGCTTGGGATGTGTTGATTGCATGACAAATCACTTTTGCAGACTTTGTGGGAATAATAGACAACCACTACCCCTCAGACAAAATTTTACAGTTTTATAAAGTCCATTCTTTCATTCTTCCTGTGACTACTCATCACAAGCCTATTTCAGGTGGCTAGACTTATTTTGCTGATGGCTCTTCCAAAGATTGTACAGCTATTTATGGACCTAAACATAAACAATAATGACCTCTGGGGTTTCAGCTCAACACTCAGATTTAATTGCAGTCATTCAGGTTTTATAGCTCACAGCTTCAGATCCTATCAACAGTGTCTGTGATTCAGCTTATGTTATAAATGTAGGCAGTCACATAGAAACTGCTACAATTAAATATACCCTACAATCAGAACTGCTTAATTTGTTTCTAAGACTTCAGTAAGCTATGTGCTCTCATGCAGTTCCTTTTCATATTTCTCATATTCACTCTCACACACAACTTCCCGGATGACTATCTCTAGGTAATGATAGAGCAGATAAATTGGTTCTGTGTTTTAGCAAGCTCAAGCCTCCCATGTGCTACTGCACCAAAATACTTCTGCTCTTACTCGCATGGTTCACTTGTCTCGCATCCAAGCTAGGACTATAATACAAGCCTGTCCTACTTGCCAGCATGTCCCTGGAGCCACACCTGTAGAAAGTTGTAACCCACAAGGTTTGGCTCCAAATGAAATCTGGCAAATGGATGTTCCACATATAGCAGCCTTTGGCAAACTTAGCTATGTTCATGTGACTATAGACACTTATTCTCATATGCTGCATGCTACATGCCAAACAGATGCATGCACAGTGACATTGTTATTTGCTCATATGGGAATCCCTAAACAATTAAAAACTGACAATGGACCCACTTATACTAGTCATGCTTTTCAAAATTTCCTACAGCTTTGGGCTATAACTCACAAAACAGGAATTCCTTATAATCCTAGAGGGCAAGGCATTATAGAGTGGGCCCAAACATTACAACACATGTTGAAAAAACAAAAAGGTATAGGAGACCAGTTACCACCACAAACAAAATATTTAGCTTTATTTACATTAAATTTTT
This sequence comes from Homo sapiens, assembly GCF_000001405.40. Lineage (NCBI taxonomy): Eukaryota > Metazoa > Chordata > Mammalia > Primates > Hominidae > Homo > Homo sapiens. The sequence continues at coordinate 77,394,905 of NC_000004.12, read as the reverse complement.
TGACTCCTGGTACAGATGGTAAGACTCCAGCAGAAAGACATTGGCAAGTGTTAGAGGAAAAGAGGAAAGTTTATCCAAAAGTGTTATGGAAATCCCTGGAAGGAGGACAATGGAAATGTCTGGTGGATTTACTAACATGAAGACAAGGGTATGCTTGTGTTTTTACAGGAGACAAACAAACTGTATGGGTGCCCCGAAGGTGCGTGCAACCACGGAATGGGAAACTGGAGGAACACTTGGTTGCAAAACATGGGCCCGGTCCCTCTGGTATGAGCCATGAGCCAGCTGAGCCTGAGTGCAAAGATGGAGAGATGGCTGACCAGAGTCACAATGACATCAACCCCCATAACTGGGGGCAACTCAAGAAAACCACACAGGAAGCTAGAAAACTATGGGAGCATCAAGGCCAGACAAAAACCCCTGATTCCATGTTCTTGGCTATGTTAGCCATAATGTCCTGTGTGGTATGTTTTCCCTGTGCAGAAGCAAAAACATATTAGGCATATGTTCCCAATCCCCCACTAGTACAACCTATACTTTGGAGTGACACTCCTCTAAAGTGATCTATCATGATCAGGGAGTGTGGGCTCCAGGACCCCTAACTCCCCCGACGTAGAAAAGTTAGACTCTCAGAACAATGTCATTAATTATACTGCCCCACTGGAAGGACTCCTCTTGTGTATCACTACAAAAAAGTCACTCAACCGTATCTGTCTTGCAATTCAAGCTCAAGAATGGTTGAGTCACTATGGAAATGTCATGTACCTATTAAATCTTGGTTCCATTAATGTAACTGGTGTGCTAACCAACCATTCCCGGCCCAGTCACCCCAGTTGTGCTGACTATACGGAATGGATTCCCTTCACTAGTTCCTATCCACCTCTGTGGACCCAGTGTCTTGGCCAACTGGCTAGAAAACAATGTATGTTAACTGGAGACATTGTGGATTGGGGGCCTAAAGGTCGAATATATGGAAAAGATGAAAATCAGAAATCATGGCACAAACTTCGCTGGCATTAGTGGCAAGTTTTAATGCTGCTTCTTTATACCACACTGGGATCCAATCCCAGTCTGCCACCCAGATTGTTGGCATGGAGCAGGCTTTATCCCACCTCTTCCTCAATGGCACTATCTAGGGAGGAAAGGACCAATCCAAGAGACGTTATGGAAGGCAGCACTCCCATTTATGAATGGCAGCATCTGGATTGGGATACTATCCAATAATAGCAATAGTAAACAACAGTTTTAATGTTACATTTGTAAAGAATATCACTACTCAATTTACAGTTTGTGTTTTTAATCCTTATGTCTTTTTGGCAGCTAAGAAGGAGCAGCTCCAGGTAAACAATACCCCAATTGACCTGTAAATCTTGCCAGTTATATCACTGCATTAATCATAGCACATTGCAAACACATAATATCTCTACTTTGATAATTTGGGGTCACATCCCTGGGCTATGGATTCCTGTTAATCTGTCTGAGCCTTGGGCTGCCACCCCCTCCTTGCACTTCGTGAAACTTCTAACTCAACTTACTCATTGCATCCATAGAGCCTTAGGCATGATAACTTTTGCTATTGTTTCCTTGGTCACATTAATAACTTCTGTTGTGATGCCCTCTATAGCTCTGCATAGTTATATTCAAACAGCTCAGCATGTGGAAAACTTGACACATGCAACCAACCAAGCATGGCTACTTCAGAATAAAATTAACACTGAGTTACAAACTGAAGTGGCAATGTTGAAATCCATGGTTCTATGGTTAGGAGAACAAGTACAAAGCTTACAATTGCAACAGCAATTGCGCTGTCATTTTAATCACACTCATATTTGTGTAACCAACTTAGAATATAACCAAAGTGAGTATCCGTGGGACCTTGTGGAAGCCCATTTGCAGGGAGCTTTCACATCCAACATCACCTTTGATATTGGTGAATTACAAAACAAAATTCTTGGTTTAAATAAACTCAAGAGTTTCAGCCTTCTTTAGAAGACTGGACTGAAATTCCAGCAACACCTGCAGAGCATCAATCCTTGGACCTATCTAAAGCACCACATTAACATCTTATATGTAATCCTTGGAATGTTGTTGTTTTGTCCCTGTCTTCTGTTCATAGTCTAAAATCAGGTGGACCGCCAATCACAAAATGAGAGCTGCCAAACCTGGCCTTACATTCTTTCAATTAATACATAAACAGAAAGGGGGAAATGTAGAGAGCCGAAGGCCTGTGTGTCATGACCAACTCAGCATTCCACTGAGGCTGTATGATCAAACAACAAACTGTTTATCTTGAATGCAGAACATGGGCAATCTCGCTTCTGCTCCTGCTGACGGAAGGTGTGCTGAGGGCAATCACTCCCTGGTGCCATGCTCCTTGAGGTTATCTACTGGAACATCTGGAGACTACTGTTCAAAGAATGCCATCGTGCAAGCTTGCTCTAAGTCAAGCAGCTGACTGACAACGATCCCTCTTTCTCCCTATCTCCTTTACTCAAATACAAAGGGATCTAAAGCTCAGTGCCCTTGTACACTAGAAGCAATGAGCCCCTCAACTCTTTCTTCCAAATATACCCTTTTGTCTTTATCTTTATTCCTGCATTTGTCCTTTGTTCAGTCCAACAGGGATTGGGTCTGGGTCAGTAGGGTAAGTACTATGAAAGAAATAAAGCAGGATATGGTGTGGGTGTGTGACGGAGTGTGAAGCAGTCAGTTCTGTTTTTGGTAGGGTTGCAGGAGGTGGCACATCGTTGACCCACTTTAGTCTGCCATTAACTGAGATTGTGGCATGACCACATGTAACACTTCCACTTATTTTACTTGGCACACTCAAAGAGCTTTTGTGCACACATTTGGAGTTGTAGAGTCTACATGTGTGGGTTATAAGCTTTAGATCAGAAACCACTACCATTTCAGTATAGGCTATCCAATATAGAAAACCACACGTGCTGTAGTATGAGAATGTGGGTTATGTTGCTTGAGACTAATGGGTATCAGGTCTTTATTAGAGCCATTAGATGCTCAAAAACGAAGTTCTTCCACATCCTGAAAGAAAAGCTCAGGTTGTGAGGCTATCAAAGCAGCTTGCTTCTAGCAAGTGAGTCCTGTCTCACATTACCATCTATTTTGCTCAACCACAGAGTAAAGAAAATGCCCAGTAAATTAAGCAAAGCCAACAAGTTTTGGCCCAGAGAGTATATTTTTTTCCTCCCGTTTTTCCTTATAAAGCATGTGTACCTTTGAGAAGATTCAGTTCATTAGTATGACAAAGTAGTTTGAATACTTATCTTCCCCTTCGTAACTTTGTAGAGGAGAAATGAAGCTCAACAGAGGGATCAAAACAGATGGAAACAGACTTCCCCAAAGTAACTAGGCAATTAGGTCAAAGAGGGACCTGAACTCAGATCCAAAGTCCAAATATTCACCACATTTGTAGTTTTAAACTAAAGTGACCAGCACAGAACACTTGGAACTTTCTTTAGCATTAGTTTATCTATAACGGTAATACATTTATTACATGAAATAACAGAACCCCATGGTTTATATTAACTCCCAATTCTGTCACTTTTATGATGTTACCTTATTTGGATACTTGCTTACCCAAGGTAATAACTTATCTGTGTGTCTACTATAGGACTACAAGAGCCAGCAGTCCAAGTCCTTTGGACTTGAGGCAAATGCCCAAACAAGTCCCTAACTTCAAAGAAATATGAGTGAGCTTTGTTAAATAAAGCACCTAATTAACTGAAGGGTTTGATCTGGGCAGGTGCAACCAAGATTGACTCCTGTAGAAATAACTGATCCAAGGGGCTGTATTCATGTTTTAACAGTGCTTATATGAGAAGGGAAAACATTCAGTTATACTAATTTCTGTATAGACATGTCTAAAGCCAATAGGCTAGATATTTGTTTTGGCAGATGAGTGAGAGAGGACCCTACCATTCTGTGTCACACATTAACACCAACCAGAAAGACTCCACCATGGAAAAGGTAATAAAACCCTGGGCTCAGACTCTGCCTTGGGAGAATCTAAGCTTAGCTCTGTATGCACTGATAGGAAATATCTATAAAATATGTTGGAAAAGTTTATATTTGGTTTTAAAGTGGTGATGTACATAAGTATTAGTACTATCCACTCAGCCAAAGTATAAGTAAAGAATCTCTGGAAGAAAACAAAGGAACGTTTTCTTTAGAAAGGGAAATTGGTTTGCTCAGAGAAAGAATAAGGAGGGAAACTACATGTTTTCAGTGAGTAATTCATCAACACGATTTACACAGCAAGACATCCAAAGATACAAAAAAAAAAAAGGCTATCGTAAAAGTAAGCGTTCTGGAAAAGCTGGTGAAAAAAAATTATGTGGTCACAGACTGAGGTCTCATATTCCCAATATTCAAAGATCAAGTCAAATACTTAGGAAGTACAGAGTAAAGATCAGACATAGATATTTTACATAAAGCATAGTAGCCAATAACTACCTAAACATGACTGGACAAATAAGTGTGCTTCATTTCCACTTCAAGGATGGCAAATATTAGATGCTGCTGCCTAGTACCTGCTAGCATAAATAGGGTCACAAACCATGACAGAATGAATGGCACATAGGCTGTGAAGCAGCATATGAAGCAGGAGCACTTAGCCTGAGGCAGCAGGTGAGGCTGTCATCTAAGGGAGCTTGAACAGCCATTCTCCTTGGGCAAGGTGGAGGTGAACAGACACCAGAGCAGTATTTACGAACACCCAAGTCACAAGGCAGGAGTGTGGAAATTTGGCAAAGCCAAGGGACCTGGAAGGCACTAGGCCAAGGATGCTTCAGTGGGGGACAGAATGGCTGTGGGAGGTCAAATAAAACTAGGCCAGGGTTTTCTTTTCTAGCCTGTGAATTATCCAATACACAGAATTCCCCAAGAGACAAGTGAGATTGTAGTAAAGACTGGACTGTAACCCAAGGATCCAAAAGTCTAAGCTCCAGACTACAATTTAGAGGAAAGTTAAAGGACATATCTGAAAAAAGAAAAAGCAGAAGTCTACATCAAGCTGTGCCCTTCATCCAGGTAGAGACTGTCTCCCTCACAGTTGTCTCTAGGTCTCAGGGAAGCCAACCATCACAGATCATCTATCCTCATGCTCACTTGGAAGAGAGCACCAGGGAATGGTCAGGGGCTAGGACTTGAAGCACTTCCTCCTCCTGCTGCCCTGGAACCATGCCATCCTGACCTGATGCTACAGGGGCTAGCTATAAAGTAGCCAAAGACAAAGTAGAATTTACCAGTAAAGTTGGAGCTGAGAGTAACAAGAACTGTAGCTTCCAGAATGGTCATGTGGTAGGCATACAAACGCGGTCCCCTCATATCTGTAGCTAACACCTGCCATGGAGGGAGGGAAGGAGGTGCCTAGGTTATAGGATAAGTTCCACTCTAGGACACCATCACGGGCTTTGAGCTCTATATTGGGGCTCCCGACTTACATTCAACATGAAAGTCAGTTGTTCTGAAGAACTCTACATCCAGGATGAATAAGACCTCCCTGGATGTGTGCTGCACAGCCCCTGCCCACGGTAGATGGGCACTTCATTGTGCCAAGTGTCAACCCTCATCCTCTGCAGGCTGCCCAGCTTGAATCTTCCCCTCAGAGTGGTGGACAGTCCAACCTGCCCTCCCCGGGTCCCTCCTACTTTGGGGATTGAGTGGCCCCACATCCATGACAACTGCCCCAGTTCTGGCTAGGGTCACTATTGTGACACTAGCTGCTGCCACAGCTGAACCTGCCCCTGCCCTACCTCTGCATACCCTGGAGAGACTAGTTCCCTCCACCAGGTGATGCAAGAATCCACTTGTCCACTCCCTGCCAGTCTGATGCCTACACAGCCCACATTGCCCATCTGGCCTCCATGCTTACATGAGTACCAGTTCCAGGCAGTAAGAACCATCTCAGATTGTTTCTAATTTTTTATTCTGCTGAGGGTTCAGGTCCAAGTAGAAGACATTCATATCATAAGGCAAGCAAAGGGTTAAACTACTGCTGTGTCCTGTGAAGAAAACTTTGGATTTTCTCTCCCCAACCCCATGCCTGTGAGAAGACTGGAACAAGACTTCTGCCTGGAGACCTACCCCAACCCGAGGAGCCTGGGATAAGGATCCTATAATAGCTCTGCTCGAGCCATCAGAATCCTTGGATAGGTTTTCAATGTAGCAAACTACTGAGGGTAAAGATTGAGGATGGATTTAAGACACAAAGTCCTACAGCCTGGACCTACCTATGACCAAGGTTAAGAAAATGAATTTTCCCTGTGGTCCAAACCATCTGGGACATGGAGACAGCATGAACTACTTTGGTCAATTTTGTAAGCTGTAGAAGTGACATGTGGGAGGCCTATAGACTGCACTTGCTATGTGTCATGAAATTGTTCTGAAAGTTTAGTTTTCTGCAAACAAGAACCTCATTAGGTTATGAGAGTGAAAATGGGTATGTAGTGGTCTCCAACCTGTCTAGTCACTTCATAGCTTCTGTCTCTCATGTCAATCATCTAATACCTAAAGCTCAGATTCCATCTGGAGCTCAGTAGGAAAGGTAGGGCCAAAAAAAAGCTATGCTGAGCATATGCATGTGTTAACACAGGCCAGAGATTAAAAAGGGTAGACAATTCCACCAAATCACTGGATTTGGAGGGCATAGGAATGCTCCAACCAGATCCCCTTCAAAAACATGTTGCCCTAGCTGCTTGAAGCACTGTCAGCAGCCTCCAGTCAACTTCAGGGTTTGCCTCAGCTCCAAGGGCATGCCCTTCCCATGCAGCCCCCATCCAATCACTGACTGCAGCAGACACATAAAGATCAGCTATTTCAGGCCACCATGGAACAAGCTGAAGGGCCACATGAATACCAACACTGGCTAAGGCATTGCTGGGCCTGCACTGCAGTTAAGTGCTCCTGTCACCCAATCCTGTTTCCTTTCCCATCCAGGATAGGATTTGGTCTCTACATACCATACTTCCTGCCAAATTCCACTTCAATTTTTATTCTAAACAGTCTAATCTACAACACAGACAAAAGGGCCTAGAGAAATGCAGTTCCTCTGTTCTGTGCCCAGAATGCCTGTTCATTACAATGAAGTCCTCCCTCAACTCTCAACATTCTCCAATTACATGTTCTGCCCAATTCTGGCAACTCCATGATCTGTCATGGTTCCTAGATGTCTCTAGTTTCAGTATTTGCATGCCAACTTTTCTACCTCATTATGGCACTGGATTGCAGTGATTTTACCACTAACCATGGTTTCTTGCCTAGTGTATGGCTCTTCAAGAACACGTCCTGTGTGGCTTATTTATCCAACCTAACACATATACATCTAAAACCTCCAAGTTGGTTCTACCTCCTGGAATTGGTATAAAGTATTGCCCACTTTATCCTAGATAGCACCCAAGTGGCTTTACACATTCAGCAACATTAGGGAGGATTCATACTTAGAGCCAACAAGCTAGTAGTAGGAAATGAAGGACCAGATATTCATCTTCCCACCAGTAGAGTCCTCAGAAAAAATTATAGAAAAATCAGTAATGTCGCATGCTTCGAGACCTAGTTGTAGATACCATTAAATTTACATAAGCAGAAAATGTATGTGTAACAAAAGCCACTCAGTCAAGTCAGAACTGAGTTTCAAAACTAGACTAAAATCTGAGCTTAATTACCTTAAGATGTTGTTTGCCTATAAATTCCACGTATCATACCGACTAGAATCCCAAGAAAGTTACATCATACAGAACTCTAATAACTTCCTTAACTAGCATAAAATACTCTCTTAAAACACTCTAGCTTCTCTACAAGAACCAAAAGCTGACTGAGTTTGTTATGAACCAATGTACTATAGACTTTCTTTGCTATCTCAGGTCACCATCTGTAGTCATTGTTATGTACTGGGAAAGTGTTCTAGGCAAGAGACACTATGCAAACAGAAAACACACAAAAATGACCCTGTGGGTGCTCACCAGCAAATCCAGCTGCACATGAGCGCAAGGAGGATGCTGATGGTCTTCCATGTGCTCTGTGTTCTCACAAGGCCTACACCTTATGCTCACATTGCTTAATTCACTGCACTTTGTCACTGATAGTCACATAAAGGGAAATATTAAGTAAGCCTAGGAAAGCTCATGTTTGCATAAGATTTGTGAGCAATAAAAAATACAGGGTAAAAGCATAGAAGTCTCACTAATCCATACACTTACACCTTCTGAGATGCTGTTTTATGCACACAAGAGAAACGTGCTCACATGATGGATCTAGAATACCAAGGCCAGCCTGCTTTCAACTTTGAGAATCAAACTATTTCCAATGTATTTTTCATCCCTTTATTAGAAGGGCCAAGATACTAAGGCAGGTATATGCTGCTCAAGCACAAGTCCCTCTGAGAAACATGCCATTCTGTGACCATCTACTCAACCAAGGTGCTTATTATTGACCAAAGAGCTGACTCTGCCTCTCTGGATCTTTGCTCTGTTTTAATCTTTCCGCATCTGGTCCCCCACTGAGATCTTTCTCCAACACCTACTCTGGATCATCTGCTTTGAGACAGGTTCCTTTTACCTTCACCCATTTCCCTACCAAGAAGTGCCTCTACCCAGGGCTGTATGCCCAAATTTATTTTTCAAAATGCTATCAAAATTTGACATGGGAACCTTCAGAATGAAGACCCACGGAGAAACAGAAAACTTTCTATTTTCCTGCTTAGGTTTAATGATGTATGAACAGCCATGTAGGACTGTAAATGGTCAGAGATATATGACCTAATGCTAATAGACTGAGTTGGGAAAGCCACCTAGGCCTGTCTAGATTCTTTGTCTCTGGCATTTCTTCCACCTGGGTTGGTGGCAGGACCCCTTGTGGAATGAGGGTCTCATAACCTACTATTAGTCAAGGTAGGTCAGAATTTCTTCATGGCCAGTCCTTACACAGAAAGGCAAGGAGAAAGTGAGCAATCTTTCCAGGTTTTACAGCTGGCCTTGGGGAAGAGGGCTTCTAGTTTCTATGACTTGCCTTGAGGAAGAGGAAGTCTAGTTTCTGTGACCTGTCTTGGAAAGAACAAACAGGAGACAGAAGAACAGAAGGTCAGAGACTGACTGTTTCTGATACTGCTTCTGAGGCCTTCCTATCTCTTTTAGTGCAAAGTACTTATCAGGCCAAGAGGCCACTCACTTGTCCATTCTTTCTTCCCAGAAACATCACTAAGAAGCTGCTCATTTGAGGCCCCAACCCCTCTCCAGGCTTTCTCAGGGATCGTTGGCTCTGAGTATGGATCCTCCTTGAAGTCACTGAATGCGTAAAGTTGTTCTGCTGTGTGAGTGCTGCCCTCTTCTGGCCAACACAGTGAATCAGGTTTCAGAGTTTCTGCCCTGGCAGTTTACCTTTGGGACTTGTCTGATTCTTTCACACCCCACATGCACTTCCAGAAACCCTGGGAGGGATGCACAAGACCACTCATATCTCGTGAAGCATAGAAGTCAGCGAGTCAGTTTCTAGCAGTGTCCTGTGGTCTCAGATACCTCATCCTGGACTCTAAAGCCATCTCCCTCATACAGGAAGTTAAACTCATGATCTGATACACTTTGAGCCATCCAATCAAATAACCACTGAGAGGTCCACAGAAGTGCTGTTTAGCTTTTTAGTACAGACTTGCTTTCACATGGAGACCTCTGTTGAGTGAGTCCCTGATTAAAAAGCAGAAATAAACTCTTGGTTCCCCAAAAAACAAAGTGCCAAGTGCCAAGCAACCTTTACCAAGGTCAAGGCTCTAACTTACACACTTGCCTGCCCCACAATATAAAAGATGATCAATTTAGAAGCAAAATATAGAATGTATAGCTGTGCCACAGAACAGTGATATCCTATTCCATAACCCATAACACCAAATATGGCTCACTAGCACTCCCCCAGAACATGCAGGCATAGCCACTCCCCCAGAACATGCAGGTGACTGCCGTAGTTGGCAGGTCAAGCCCCCCCATCCCCCATCACTCAATTATAGGCCTGTCTATAAACTAGGAATCTTGTGACATAGTTTAACTCTGCATACAAATTGGGGACATTGAGACAAGGGGCTAGAAGGCAAAGCTCTTATACATCCTACAAGCCTGAGTGTGTTTGGACATACCTCTCATAGAGCTTTAAGCCTGGGAACTCTTATTAGGGAACTGGGAAAGATGAGTCTTCATGTTCAACTCAATACAGGGAGTCTTGTGAAACAGATAAAGGTCTAAACTCACAGCAGATTTCAATCCCATCCTAAAGACAAGAACAATGAAAGGAAGTTTCACTTTTTCCAAAGGAAGAGGGCTTGAAGTGAGAAGATACCATCTGAGCAAGAAACCTATTTCTGCCACCATCCTCAGCGCAACACAGATGGGTATTTCTTCCTCATTGTCTTGACCCTTGGCTCAAGGCTTTGTGAGCAAGCCAAAGCATTACTGACCAGTACTGGGAATACCAGGGCCAGCCTGCTTTCAACTTTGAGAATCCAAATGTATTTCCAACATATTTTTCATCTCCTTATTAGAAGGGCCAAGACACCAAGGCAGGTATATGCCTAAGTCATACAGCAATATTCTTTATGAGTTTTAGCTTATATCAGCAAAACTAGTACCACTTTGGGATTAAGAAAGACATACTTGTTAAATTGCTAAGTGAGAACACTATTTCCAATTCTAAAGCCTCTTGGCTATGCTCTATGGCTATGACACCAATAAAAATGCCTCCCAGGCCCTCATCTTTGAGGAAAGTAATTGACAGCTCAAATTAATCTGCTATGAATCTACAACAGAGGCCCATGGCCCGACCACTTGACCAGTAGACCAGATGCAAATGGACTGCAAAGTCAGACAAAGAACCCTGAAAAGGTGTGTTCATGTAGACATGTAAATTTCATTTCACATGTGAAGACTCACTACAGAGCACCAGCCACAGAAACTCACCGAGCCACCCAAACAAAATGACTGCCAGTTATCAGCCAACTAGCAAATGAATACAGGCTATAGTGGCAACAGACATGGAGGCTACACAGGTGCCCAACAGCATGTAATGCCAATTTCTAGAGACAGTCTAGTAACTCTGAATGTGCAGCTCTTTAGACAAATGTTGCATCCCCATATAGCACCCTGATAAGGAGACCAAAAAACCACTTGTTAGCAAGTTGATTACATTGAGCCATTTCTATTCTAAAAGAGTCAGCCATATAGACTCACAGGAATAGACAACTATCTTACTATGAATGTCCCTTTCTTCCTTGAGGAATCTCTACCACCACTACTATCTGGGATCATTTGCAATGCTCCTTCCACAGGCATGCAATTCCACACAGACATGTCACCAATAAATTGGAATCAGAAAGAAGTGGTACAGAATGGGCTCCTAATCATGAGGTAACCTGGTATCATACAACATCATTCTGAATCAGGTGACTTCAGCACTGAGAGACTCAGAAAGCCATGCAGCAGCACTGAGTGAATGTGCTCAGAGTTTGGAGTGCCCTTCTTCATGATGCCATAGTACATTACAGAGGTGCTGTATCCCCAGTAGAATGATTACAGGGATGCTGCAACCTACAGTTGAGAAGGAAAAATGGTCTCATTTTCTACTGCTTCAAGTGAGTTACTGGTCACTTTGAGTCATCCTTGTGGCAGGGCAACAGAATGACCAGCAGGAGACTAGGCACCCTGGAGCAGTAAAGAACATGAATGGAACCCAAGTATTCCACTTGAGTATCTTATTTCTCGTCCCATTGTAACTGGGGCATTAAGTAGCCCTATCTTAAGCATCTATTCACTAGAGGTTGAAATACCTCAGGATGAAGGTGTGGATCACACCACCAGATCAGCACCAATCCTCAGCTGAGGCGATAGCTGAGTGCAAAGGGAATTCAGGGTGGATTTTGGTGGTGGAAGAGGAGAAGTAGTTGTGAGCCAAGACCCACTTCAGCCACAGCAGTTGCATTTCTTCCCCTAACATCTTCCTGTATAAGTTTCCTCTCAAAAATAGAGGCCTGTGGACATGGAGTCACTGCTCTGTGAACTGGTGTAGGGAAGTAGATCTGTGCAGCACAGGGGCCAACTGTGGGTCCATTAGAACACCACACTTCCTAAATGCTGCTTCCAGCTGATGCTTCAGTGCAGCTGGGAGACTATGGCAGGCTCATTTAGGACACTTGGAACTCCCAGTGGGCAAGTTGGGCCCTGGGACTTGCCATCTGCTTTGCCAAAACACTTAGTATTGTACTCCTCAGTCTAAGCCACTTCCTACCTGACCTTTCTTCTTTCCTTGAGAAGGTAAGACGTGCATGCATTGTGGTTTGATCCTCCCAGACTCCTCCAGCTCCCTCCTCAATTTCTGTCCCCGGGCTTTCTTCCCACCCTCAAAGCTTTTGAACATCCAATCCCACTTTGGTATCTGCATATAAGAGGACAAAAGCTAGCAGTCAAGATGTTTCATTTTAATTAAAACGGATACACTAAATTCAGGCGTGAAAGCAAGCTTGAATATCCCTTAGACACTCCGAAGGCTACTCCATTCAAAGGGAGACCATCTAAGTCAGGGAGATGACTAGGCCCATTCCTCTATTACCCTAACATGATGGATAGTAACTGTACTCCACATCGATGTGATATCTGAGGTATACGAATTCTTTCTTCCAAACAATAATCCTTACCCTCTTCCAATCCTAGTATTTCAAGATTTGTCAAGTTACTACCTCCCATTTGCTCTGGGCCAATTATTTTGGATCCCAGTTCTGTTCTTATGTTCTACTATGAGCAGTATCTTTCTACCCTTGACTCAAGTGAACTCATGACTTTCCTTGGTGAGGCTCTCTACTTATGGCTTCCATTTATGCCTCACAGAGCACCTCATCAATGAACATCCAGAACAAAAGCAGCCAGAGGAACCCAGACTGACCAGAGTGCAGGATTCATGTGTTTTGATTAAAGGATTGTTGAATTCAGACTGACTGGGACCCACATAACTGTCAAAATATGTTCTTTATCATGATGCCACTCAGCTAATCCTCCAGTGTGCATGCTGCTGCCATTTCATTTAAAGCTTCTACCAAACATTGTTAACTGACTTGTTTTTTTCTGAATGTCAGACTCAACCACAGCAGCAAGAATTTCAAGGAAAATTGGATTTTCACATTGGTTCTAGTCAAAGAGGAACCTGAGAAAACAGAACCTAGTGTTTCTTCAACTGCAGATGTTAAGCTAAAGAAGCCTAGACAAAGTTTATCTTCCTCAAATGAGTAAATCAAAGTTTGTCCAAAACCAAGTCATAAAATACCAATCCCCACTTGCCAAATGTTTTGCCCCCCACCAATAAAGTGAAAAGATGAGGTACAACATTTTGCAGAACTGGTGCCAACAATTTACTCTGATGACCAATGGACAGAAAACAGGTTTGTCAGAGACTTGTGCCTCTGCTTACAGAAAGCAAAACTATGTGTGAGGCTCATGGTGGAGGTATGAAGGGTACTCCTGAAACACAGGGGGCCAAATTGTAGTCTTATTTGATTGGCAGTGAACAAAACAGCAAGGCTTCAAAAAAGATGAGTAGGGGAAGGGACTAATAGATTTGAGGTTACAATATCAGCTCGGGACGTCATGTTGGCACCACATGCAAGAATGACTGCAAGACCTAGTCACACTAAGGCTATAGATTCACATTTCATTCCTTCTTAGAAGACTTCTTGATGCAACTTTCTAGATCAGGTGATGGTGTATGGTCCACAGCAAACCCCTTTCCACAGACATAAAGGATTGGGTTTACCTAGTTTCATGCATGTCAGTCTCAGGAGAACTTCTGTTACCAACCTGCACTTTCCCATCCCCAGACCTAGAATATGCTATGCCTTGAATGTGCTAAGAGGATAAAGATGAAGAGATCAAAGACAATGGGGGAAGGAAAAGAAACATAGTTTTAACACACCATGGGAGACTATAATATGCCACCCCAGAAAATCTATAAGCTGAAGTACATGACTGTGAACAGAAGGCAATGAAGCAGCAGATAAGAGAGAGTTCATTCCTTAAAACAATGTATCCAGCTTTACTTACTAGGCTTTATCTACCATGTGTTTACTCTCCCACAACTTGCCATCCCTGGAGACTCAGGGTCCTGTTCCATTGTCTTTCCACTTCTCTAACTGTACTACTCTTTGTGTCAGAGACCACTCATCATCCAGCAAGGCCTCTCTGTACTTTATGCCTCCCACAGCTTCGACTCCCTCATGCTTATGTTTTTGAGTTACAAGTAACCCAGCAATGTGTCATGAAGCAATGTGTCCAGGGAATTCAGCAATGAATCTGAAGAAGGACTGGCAGATCTACACTGACTGCCCCTCTGACATGCATTACAATGGTCTTTGTTATTAAAAAAAAAAAAAAAAAAAAAAAAAAAGCCTGGGGAGCCCTCTGGTCACCAGTTATCATAAACAGAGACCTTAAACCAAAGCATATAGTCATCTGGATACAAGCTTTCAAGGATAAAAGGAAACTGAGGCAATTGAACCAACTAGAAGGTTAAAGATATTCCTGAGAACAATATGCTAGGTATCGAGAAACTAACCTAGATTCCCCTGAAGTAGTTTTCTGCCCATTGCTGGCTTGTCTCACATGTGACATGCTTCATTCTAACTTCTAGTCATTTCTTCCAGTGTTTTGTCATCCTAGATACGTATTTTATCCTCTTTTCCTTGTTTCCTGCCTAGTGCTGGCTCCTCACTGAGGGAATTTGTGTGTCTTTCACCTGTCCAGTCCAAGCAGACAAATGTCTTGAAAGCCAAAGTTGGTTCTACCTCCTGAATTCAGGAAAAGCCTTGCCCTCTGTGGGTTTACCAGTGGTCTAGATAGAGTCCAAGAGCTGGCTTTATACATTCAGGGAGGCCAGAAAGGATCCCAACACACAGCCACCAAACTGGTCAGGGTAGAGAAGATGCCAAATATCTATCTTCCCATCAGTGAGGGGCTTGGAATTCAGTCATTTTTCTCTGCACTGGTATATCTTCTGTGAGACCTGAAAAGATATCCATACATATTCTGCTTATGTAAATTTAGTGTGTATGAAAAACACAAAAGATCAGGTAACTAGGTTCTAAACCTGGTTTAACACCAGAGCTAAATTATCTCAAATCATCAGCCTATGAATTCCACAGGCGTAGCATGCAGACTAAGTCACAAGAAGGATAACGCAAACAGGGTTCTATGAGAACAGCCTGAACTAGTATATCAAGCATTGTAAACTAGGGTTCCTTAAAGTTTCCCAGCTGGAAGAGCAAATTTGTTACAAACTCAAATTTGTTACAAACCATTTAATAGTGATACTTCTTACTATCTGAGGTCACCCTCTGCATGTTTGTTGTATGACTTGCAGAATTCCTCTAACCAAAAGCCACCATACAAATTAAAAATGCAGTAAAGTGAGCCTGTGGGTGCACACCAGCACAATGAGCTGCACTTATGTGCAGTAGAAGATGCCCCTGAGCTGCAAGTCTTCTTGGCTGTGTCCCTGCAAGGCCCCATATCTCATGCTCACATTGTGTAATTTGTTGTGTTTTATCACTCATCCCTACATGAGGATATGATTTACATGAGCCCAAGAGGTCTACAAACGCTTCTATGTTCACGAAGAGTTGTATGCATCAAGTCCCAATGACAGGGAAAGCATAGAAGACACACCAAGCTTCCCACTTATTCCTTCCAATGACCTATGTCTTCGCTTAAGAGAATAATGTGAACATAGTGGTGTTTAAAGCACATCCTTAGCAAACATGCCATCTTCCTCCCCGACTGTGGCCCAGCCCTCAATCCACTCTGCAAGTTTGCCTTTGACCCAAGAGCTGACTCTGGCTTCTCAGGATCTTTGCTCTGCTTTAGCCCTTCAGCATCTCTTCCCCCCAGTTAGTTCCTCTTGCTCCTAATCAAAACTGCCTCCATCCATGCCTGTATACCCTAAGCATTCCTTTAGAACCCTCTTGGTCAATCACTACTGATTCCGTCTCTCCAACATGAAACACTCCGACTGTTTTTCTATACTTGCTTCCTGCATGAACTTTGTCCATGCTCCTTTGCCCTGCTGCTCTGTGCCTGGTCATGCCAGTCTTCTACAAACTGTATCACATGTATTCCTTTGCCGTCCTGCTTCCAGTGGGATTAGACAACAAGAGGGAACAAGGGGGTTAGTGAGAGATCAGTCTCCCATTCCCACAGCTCTAAAATCTGCATCCTTTTAGGACCACGGCTCCTGTGGTGAATCCCCTCCCACAACAACCCTTTTACACCTGGCTGTTTACCCTATGCCTTTTTACTGTACTTTCAGGTCTATGAGAGTAAAAGCTTCCACCTGCACCAGTCCCTCAGTGTTTAAAATCATTGAGTTAGAGTAACCTACTCCCACTTCTGCAGAGTTCTCCTTAAGTCTCTGCAGAATATACCTCCCTCCTTCTGGGGCTCTGATCATCCTCATGAAGTCTGTTAACAGAATAAGTGACTCTATTTAATTGCTGTATTGAGTTATCAAAAAGTAATACACAATATGCCTAAACAGCTGGAAGAGAATGAGGAGATGCCATTAATGTCTCTGAAAAACAGTAGTATGTTAAAAGGCCTCTTTAGGGGAGAAATAATTTTTCCGTTTTCTGTCCTGAGATTTGTTCACTAGTGAACAATCACAACATTCATTGAAATGTGACCCAACTGGAGATGTGGATCAATTCCTGCAGCCAACTTTGAGTTTCACAGTATATCAAGATAATCATTTGGAAATAAAATAATCTTCCAGATAATCCCATTATGTAATTTGTAACTTCAAGGGGTAGCACTGGTCCTCAGAGATCCCTGCTCTGAGACTGCCTTACTTTTCTTACTGCTTATTCTAATTAAGTCATTAGACTTTATTGCAATCAAAATATCAGTGACATTTTTAGAGATGGAATATAAGCATTAAGTTACCTTGTTTTTTAATGTTAAGCCAATATCATTAACTATGCCTCTAATAGTTAACCAGAAGTAAAATTATGAGTAGGTTTGTTAGACTACGCTAAATGTTTTTATGGGGAGAGAAGTAGCCTAGAATAATACCCATAATTTTAGTTATATTACCTTGACTTGGGCCTATAAGCTTTACAAGTAAAAGTTAGGCTTTGGAAATACAGACAAAATCGCCATGCTTCTCAAATTAGCTCAGCTCTACTAGCCCTGCCTAGGCCCAGAGGGTGTTGCAGGAAATAGTAAGTCCCTATCATTCTTGACTGCTTGCCTAATGAAGAGCTCCGGCCCCCACCATCATCTCATCTCAGAGGCTATGCCTCCTTTACCACTGGGACTCGGGCAGATCACCAACACCGTTAGGAATGAGAGCCGGCTTTTCCAGCAGCTGCTTGGAGGGGACAAGCAAACACCTCGAAGTGCAGGGGGTTTGATGCACACAGGAAAAGAAGGACAAGGACGCTGGCAGGTAGTTTATGTGGCTTCCCCATCCCTTAGATTGGCCACAGGGAGCCATCATACTCTGGAAGCAGAGCCACTGTGGTAGCCATGCAGGCGTTCCACCCACACCGTCCTCCAAGGAAGGGCTTGCTTCTCACTGTAGGAGTACTCAAGCAACCCCCAGGCCACAGCTGTTTGAGACTCAGTCTCAGCTGCAGAGAGCTGCTTTGCCCGAGATCCCCCCTCCCAGGGCAGCCTGCATCTGATGTGTAAGCAAGGTGGCCTGCAGAGGCCCGACCATCATGGCTCCATGTAGGATAGTGAGGCGCAATACTAGCTCTGGAACTCTATCAGGGTAGTGAAGGCTCTCTTGGGACTATGTCACAGTTGACCTCATCTCTGCCTAATCCTGCCTTCTTCCCCTCCCTTCACAGGCAGCCATTCCTTAGACAAACTCCATCTCAGCAAGGACTTCATGGAGCCTAAGCTGTGAGAGCGCCCCCATCTGATCAAAGAACACACCCAGTTTGGTAGCAGCGCTTCTGAGTTCCCTCTTTGTGACTCAGGATGAGCAGAGTTGAGGCATAAAAGCAGAATAAAGCAGAGAGACAGTAGGTTGACACTTGTGATTTCTAGTTAGAAAAACATTGCTGGGCTGGAATTTAGATGCTATTGAAACTTCTAATCCCTTAAGTGTGTCACTTTTAGAGTAAAAAGATAGCATAGACACTAGCAATATAACATAATTACAAAATCAAGATTACCTGAAAGTCATTATTGACGTTTAGTATCAGAAATAAGTTCCTACGAATCTAGTGACCTTAACATGTACCTGAAAGTTCAACTGCAAAGACATTCAGCAGTCCACACTGCCATGTTCTCCTCCAATTGTTTTTAAGTAGTGTTTCTTTGACCTGATGAAACAAGCAGCTTTAATATATGTGAAAGTATACAAGTATAAAGTTCAGCAGTCCATAAATACAACAGGAAGTTCTAAACACACCCCCTTTCACAAAATATTATGTTTTTGTTTTGTATAAGGCTAGCAGCTGCGTGTTTTCTAGTACAGCAATGAGTGGCTGAAGTCACCTAACTTTCTTGCTGCTTCTGCTTTTTATCCCCTCAGTCTTGCTGTTCTGGGGTTGGATACTTCTCCCCACAATAAACTAATACGCCCAAGTTTTCTCAGGATCTACTTTCTAAGAATCCCAAGTAAGTAATATCAAAAGCACCAAAGTTCTTCTCCTAAGCAATGACAAAAGTTGTACTTTCAGCAAAATTCCATGCAATTGACTGGCTGACAATTACATCCATGCAGTGTTAGGCAAGTATCCTAGGGCCAGAGGCTACTGCAGTAAATAGCAAGTTTCTACCCTTCTGCAGTTTGCATTCATATGCTGAGACAGTCAGGTAGGGAGTAGTACTGTGAAGGAAACAAAGCAGGATATGGAGTGGGTTTGTGATGAAGGAAGCAGTACTGTTTTCAATAACATTGCCAGTGAATACACTGGCACATCTTTGATGCACTCTCATCTGCCAATAACTAAGGTCATTACACAATCAACTCTCACATTTACTTCCATTTCACCTTGTTTTAGTTAGAACACTCAAGCTTTTGTGCACACATCTGACATTGTAGTCTGCATGTGTGGGTTATACTTCATATTAAAAAAGTCTCATACCACTAGTTTCAGTACAGAATGGCAGTTACGTAGAATACACATCAGTGTGTGTGACTGGACGCTAATGTTTTAGAGCCATTAAACAGTCAAAGAGCAAATTCTCCCAGATCCTGAGACAAAAAGTTAGGTTCCTAGGCTATCATAGTAGCATCTTTCCAGTATGTAATGAGGCCCTGTCTCACTTTGAGATTGTTTTCTACATATACAGGGCCAAGAGACTAACCCATGAGTTGAGGGAAGCCAGCATGTTTTGATCCACGAAAGTAAAGCTTCTCTGGCATTCTTCCTTCAAAAGCATATGGACTTTTGCAAAGAAGATACACTTGATCATATTCCAAGTGCTTTGTCCTACCATCCTCTTGCTCCTATCTTGAAGATGAGATTGGATGCCTGACAGATCAAAACACAGGTTCAAAGAAACCAACCCCCTGAAAGCAACAGGGCAGTTAACTAGAAGTGGAACTGGAACTCATTTACAGTCTAAGTCCAAATATTCACATCTGTGGTTTTAAACTGGTGTGACCAGTATAGAAGATTTGTTACTTCCTATAGCATTAGTTTATAATAGCAATACTGTTCTTACATAAAGAAACTCCAAGATTTCTATAAACTCCAAACACATCATTTGTATTATGTTACCTTATTTGGATAATTGCTTACCCAAGCTGTAACCTATTTGTGTGTATATGATAGGATTGCAAAGCTGGCAGTGTAAGTCTTTTGGACTTCAGGAAGATGCCCAAACAAGTCCTTAACTTCAAAGACATGTGAGCGAGTTTGTTTAAATAGAGCACCTGATTAACTAAAGGTTTTAATCTGGGCAGGTGCAACCAAGATTGACTCCTATAGAAGTCACTGACCCAGTGGGCTGTACTCATGTGACAGTGCTAATGCAAGAAGGGAAAACCTCCAGTTATACCAAGTATTTTTGTACAAACATGTGAGCTATAGCCAACAGGCTAGATATTCATGTAGACAAATGAGTGACAGGGCTTATCATTTTGTATCGCACACTAACACCAACCACAAAGATTCCACCATGAGAAACTTAATCAACCTCTAGGCTCAGGCTCTGCCTTGAGAGAATCCAAACTATCACAGGTAGTTCTGTGTGTAGTGAGAGAAAATATCTATGATATACTAAAAAATGTTTTCATTTGGTCTTAACGTGGTAAGTTAAGCATAACCATAGAGTCTTGAACCAGAGAGTTTCCTAAAAAAAAAGGGGGTTTGCTAGGAAAATGCATGCCTGAGCCTTTTTTCAGTAATTCATCAACAGGATGTACATTCAAAGATATAAGGGATATGTACAAATTAAGAGTTCCAGGAAAGCTGGTGAAGAAAAACGTAGTCAGAGTGAGTTCTCATTCTGTGTTCATAAACTTCCTGTCAATAAAATACTTAGAAGGCCAGCATGGGAACTTTATGAAAAACACAGTAGCCATGAACCATATAAACTTGAGCTCAACACATAAGAATTGTGAGAAAATAAGTATGCTCCCTCATGTTTCAACTTCAAGGATGGCAAGGATTGAACAATGCTACCTAGTATGTGCTAGGATCAATATGGTTGCAAGTTGTGATAGAAAGTGATTGGCACACAGGGTGAGAAGCAAGGCATGAAGTAGGGGCACTTAGGTTGAGGCAGCATGTGAAGCTGCCATCTAAGGGGTAAGGACAGCCTTCTTTGGGCAAGGTGGGGTAAGGAAATACCTGAATGGTCTAAGTGCCCAAGCTGGCCAACAGCAATGCAAGGAGTATAGAAACAGGGGTAGACAGAGGAAGTTAGGCAAAGCCCAGGAGCCTGGTAGGCATTAGGCAAAGGATGCCTCAGGAAGTACAGAATGTCTGTGAGAGGTCAAATGGAACAAGGCCGGTCGTCTTTCCTCGCCTGTGAGTTTTCCAATACACAGAGTTCTCCCCATCTCCCCAAATAAGATGGTAGTGAAGACTGGTGTATACCACAGGGATCCAAAATCTGAGATCCGGACTGAATAAACAAAGGGTATCGAGGAACCCCCCACCTCCAAACACACACACAGACACACAGTCCACATCCAGTTCTGTCCTTCATCCAGGTAGACTCTTGTCTCCCTCACAGTTGGGTCTAGGCCCCAGAGAAGACATTCAGACAGTCCTAAGCCTCACTGGCAGAGAGCACTAGGGAACACTCAGGGGCTAGGACTTGAAGCACTTCCTCCTCCTGCTGCCCTGGGACTACGCCATCCTGACATGATGCTACAAGGTCCAGCTGCCTTTAACAGAAGGAGCAAAAAACCCTGCTGTTGTCATGAGCTCTAGAGCAGCCAAAGCCAAAGTAGAATGTCACAGTCAAATGGGATTCAGGGTAAAAACTTCGGCTTCCAGGAGGTTCCCAATGCAGTCACCTCATATCTGTAGCTCACACCTGCCACAGAGGGAGGGAAGGAGGCACATGGATCAGTTACACTCTAGGACACAGTCATGGGCTTTGAGCTCTAGACTGGGACTCCTGACCTACATTCAATGCCAAAACCAGTTCTGAGGAAGTCTACATCCTTCAAGAAAAAGACCTCCCTGGATATGATCTGCACACACCCTGCCTGAGGTAGACGGGCACTTCATCATGGCAAGCATCAACCCTCATCCTCCACAGGCTGCCCAGCTTAAGTCTTCCCCTCAGAGAGGTGGACAGTCAAACTTGCCCTCCTTACTCTGGGGATTGAGTGCCCCCATGTCCATGACGGCTGCCCCAGTTCTGGCTGGGGTCCCTATTCTGACACCAGCTGCTGCCCCACCTCTGGAACACCCTGGAGAGACTTGTTCCCCCCACCAGGTGGTGTAAGAATCCGCAACTGTCCATTCTCCATCCTAGAAACAACTGTACCTTATAAGAGCCAAAAAAGTTAAGCCACATCAACTCCTGCACTTAGTTCATTTTGCCTTTACCATTTACCAGTTTCCCTAAGAACTGGAAGGCTTGAGGACAGCATGGATAGTTAATCCTCCAATGTCCAGCAAACCTACAGAGCAGATCCCTTACCAGTAGGAGGGGAATTACTATCTGGACTAGAAGATTATAAGGATCAGAGCTACAACTCACAAGTGGGAATAGTTGAGACTTGAACATACATTTAACCCAGCCCAAGAGCTTTAAGGGTGATCTCACCTGGTTCTTAGTTAGCAAAACATGGCTACTAGCCTGGTTAAAATATGTGGATCACGTGACTTCTATGTGACAGCACTGACCCCAGGCTACAAGTAGGTCATTCCCTATACTGAGAGGGAATCCAGGTCTCCGGATGGTCTCTAGGGTGATTCTAAGAGGGGCCATCTCAGAAGGTGGATCCTCACAAGGCCGTGGCATGCCTATCCCTGTTAACTCTTCATTGTGGTCTGAGCCTGGTAGGATCTCCAGTACTATTCCCACTCCCTTCCCCTACCTCCGATTTTCAGAAGACCATGTCAATGGTTCTTAACCAATTCAGGTCCCCATTGTATTTTGACCCAGGTACCTTCTCTCTCATCCTGTTAATAGGCTGAAAGGAGAGTAAGGTAAAAGTAGAAGATAGTGGAAAGAGATCCAGGATACCACTTTAGTTTCATTTACAGAGGAACCATAAAGCCTTCATGTTATCAAGCTAACCACGGTAGGAAGAAAAGGAATTAATGCAATAAAAATGCTGCATGGGTCAAACTAAACTTGCCTGAAGACTAGACTAAGCCTACCAGCACTGTATGACTTCTGTTTTACAACTCACATTTACATGGATTATCAGATGTCTGGCTTTTTAATTAAGCTATTTATCGGCCGAACAACTTACCATAAAAATGCCAACATAAGATAGACATTCACATCCCAGTTTACAGATAAGGATTGCTGGCAAAGCTTAGCTAGATGACGCTGTTTGGAAGTCTCATGACTCCAAGTCAACCTGAGGGCTGGGATGTATTCTTTAAGGCTCAACTAAGCAAGAAGAGATCTGTTCCCAAGGAGACTCATGTCACACCTTCAATGTCCACTTCCAAGCTCACTTCTTGTTGGTGAGCTTCAGCTCCTCAGCCTGTGAAACTGAAGGCTTCTCCCTTTTGCCATACAAGGCTGCTCCAAGGGGCAGTTTGTAACATTGCAGCCGGTTTCTCTTAAAACAACTTCTAAGACAAAGGTAAAGAATATGAGAAGCTGGTCATTACATCCAACCTCAAAGGGAAGGGGCTTACTACAGGCAGCAAGACCAGGAAGTGAGGAAGAGCTCAGAATTAGGGACCTCTGCTATTGAGGGCATGGAAGTATTCATCTCTGAGAAGATCAGAGTGCAAGAGAGGTCCTGTTTGGGACAGAGGGGTTGGACATGAGTCGGGGTATGGACCAAGAGTTGTTTCAACATTGCCTTAACATGCAGTTTCCCAAAACTCCAGTGCATTGCAGTGACAAACTGAAGAATGATTTTCATTGTTTGACAGGCTAGTTAGTACTACTAGGAATAGTATTTGTCATAGACAAGATCCCCCTGGATCATTCTGGTACCTACGTAGCTCACATTGCCCATCTGGCCTCGATGCTTATTCGAGTGCCTGTTCCAGGCAGTAGGTGCCCTTTTAGGTTTTTCCTCCTATTTTCTGCTGAAGGCTCAGGGTCAGAGCTGAGGACATTGGCACTGGACACATTCTGGCTGGGCTGTGCTTCCCTGGATAGGTTTTCAAAGAGGCAAAATACTGAGGGAAAAGATGGAGTGTGGCTTTATTACAACAGGTCCTAGAACCTGAACCTACCTATGACCAAGGCAAAGAAAGTCTTCCTAGTGGTCCAAACCATGTGGAGCATGGAAATGACCAACTACTGGGTCAATTTTGCAAACTCTTGAAGTGACATGTAGGAGGCATACGAGACCACCCCTGTTACATGGGCCATAAAATGGTTCTGAAAATTTAGATCCTACAAACAGGAACTTCCTTTGGTCTAGAGAATGGAAACTGATCATGTAGTGGTCTCATAACAGAAAACAGTAACCTCATGGCTTCTGTGTCAAATCGGTCATCTCGTACCTAAAGAGCTGATTCCATCTGAGACTTATTAGGAAAGGTAGGGCCCGAGCAAGAAAGCCATGATGAATATACACATATGTGAATTCAGGCCAACGACTTGAAAGGGTTGACATCACCAGATCACTGGATTTAGAGGGCATGAGAATACAGCAACTAGATCCCCCTTCAACAAGGACTCATTGCCCCAGCTGCCAGAAGCACTGCCAGCGGCTTCCAGCTATCACCTTCTACAGGGTTTGTTTCAGCTCCAAGGGCATGCTCTTCCCTTAACAGCCCTCATCCAATTACTGACCATAGTAGATGTCTGAAGGCCAGTGATCTCAGGCCACCGTGGAACAACTGATGGGCCACATGCATGTTGACACTTGCCAGGGCATTGCTGGGCCTGCAGTGCAGTTAAGTGCTCCTGCCACCCAATCATGCTTCCTTTCCCATTCCTTAGAAAAGATTTGATCTCTAAATGCCATATTTCATGTCAAACTCCATATCAACCTCTTTTCTGACAATCCAACCTGCAACACTAGTCAAAAGGGTCGCAAGGCATGCAATTCTTCTCTGTGCCTGGAATGCCTGCTCATCATATTAGCCAAGTCCTCCTCAACTCTCTGAACATTTGCAAGTAACACATTCTGCCCTGTGCTGGCAATTCTATGATCTGTCATGGTGTCTGGACTTTGGCAGTTTCTATAGTTACATCCAACAATTCCATGCATTATGACACTAGATTCCGGTGATTTTACCTCAACTATGGTTTCTTGCCTAGTGGATGGTTCCTCACCAAGAGCATTTCCCATGTGTCTGAATTACCCAACACATGTACATCCAACAAAATTGGTTGTACCTCCTGGAATTCATGGAAAGCACTGCCCACTATGGGCTCAATGGCCTAGGGTCCAAGAACGGGCTTTCCACATTTAAGTATGCCAGGGAGGACCCACACTCAGAGCTCCATCGGTTGTGGGCAATAATATACCAGATATTTGTCTTCCCCCATCAATAGTGTTTAGAGAGAAGTGATTGGAAAAAAAAAAAGCCAGTCCTACTGCATCTTCCATGAGACCTGAAAAGATGTAGATGGGTTTCATACTTAGTGTATTTAAACACACACTGGTCCAAGTCAGATCTCAGTGTTAAACCTAGGTGGAAGCCTGGGCTTTGTTAACTTGAAGTTGTTTGTATATAAGTTCCTCATTTGGTAACATTGCCCATAAACTCAAGGAAGTCATATCATACTGATCTCTAAGAACTACTTTGACCTGTATACAATACTACAGTTGTGTTGTTTCTTAAAGCACTCTTTCTTAAGAGCCAAAAGTCAACCAGGTTTATCATGAACCCAAGTTCCTTAGAGAAATTCTTTGCTATGTGAAGTCACCATCTGCACATTAGATATAATTGGCAAAAATTCTGCCCAGTCTGGGAAAAACCTAGGGAAAATCTTTTTATACTGGTCTTGGCAAGAATTTATGGCTAAGTCCTTAAAAGCAATTGCAACAAAAAATGGTAAGCGGGACCTAATTAAACCAAGTAGCTTCTGCAAAGCAAGAGAATTATCAAGCAAGAGAATAGACAGCCTACAGAAAGGTATCAAGTTTTGGGAAATGATGCATGCAATAGTCTGAGGAACTTAAATCAACAAGAACTCCATTAAATATTGGACAAAGGGCATCAATGGACACTTCACAAGAAGACGTAAGTGGCTCAACGGGAAGTCACTGATCAGAAATGCAGGTCAAAACCAAAATGAGATACTGTCTTGCACTAGTTGGAATAGCTTTTGTTAAGTAAAAACACATTAGCAAAGCTGCAGAGGAAAGGGGACACTGATACATTGTTGGTGGGAATGTTAACTAGTTCAGCCACTGGACAACAGTTTGGAGACTTCTAACATAACTAGGAGTTGAACTATCATTGGAAATAGCAAGCCCGTTACTGGATATATACTAAAGGAAAATAAGTTATTCTAACAAAAGGACACTTGCACCCTATGTTCATCACAGTACAATTCATAATAGCAAAAATATGGAATCAACCTAGGTACCCAAAAGTG
Source organism: Homo sapiens (assembly GCF_000001405.40). NCBI lineage: Eukaryota > Metazoa > Chordata > Mammalia > Primates > Hominidae > Homo > Homo sapiens. Next base: position 77,368,698 of record NC_000004.12, on the reverse strand, counting down.
GACTGAATCAAGATGTGGTACATATACACCATGGACTACTACACAGCCATTAAAGAAAATCATGTCCTTTGCAGCAACATGGATACAGCTGGAGACCATTATCCTAACCAAATAAGCAGCAAACCAAATGTCATGTGTTCTCACTTTTAAGTGGGAGCTAAACATGAAATACACAGTATCTGAAGACAGCAACAATACACACTGGGGACTACTAGAGGGAAGAGAGGGAGGGTGTAAGGGATGAAAAAGTACCTGTTAGGCACTATGCCCACTACCTGGGTGATGGGTTTAGTCCTACTCCAATCATGCAATATACCTTTGTAACAAAGCTGCACATGCACCCGATTCTAGAATAGGAGTTGAAGGAGAAAAAATTCTGCCCAAGAGACACTACACAGATGGAAAATAAACTGAGATGATTCTGGGCTCACCAGCAAATTCAGCTGCACACAAGTGCAGGGGAGATTGATGAACTGCCATGTGCTCTGCTGTGTCCCACAAGGCCCATGTCCCACACTCACATTGTTTACTGTGCTGTATCACCAATACTCCTCACATTAAGGGAAACACTAAATGAGCCTCAGAGGTCTAGGAAAACTTGTGTGCAGTAAAATACACACAAGTAAAACTTGTGTGCAGTAAAATACACGCATGGTGGAAATGTAACAGACACTAGGACATGAACTTACTCCTTCAAATGTAATGTTTTCTACACCCAAGAGAAAAAACAATGGACACGTTGCTTCTGGGAATGTACCATGCTGCTCCTGCACGGGTACATTCTGAAAGACATGACACCCGGACTACTGTGGCCCTCAGCCACTCAGGTGTTTGCCGTTGACACAGGAAGCAGCTGACTCTGGCACTTTGTTCTGCTCCAGCACTTCAGCATCTGTTCCCCACTGAGGTCCTCTAAGCACCTTCTACTTGGAGTCATCTGCTTTGAGACCATTCTTTGAGCTTAACCCATTATCTTCCCATACCCACATATCCCACCCACACCTCCATCCAGGGCTATATGCCCCACACAGCTGTTTTAAACAAAAAAGGTTCTTATCAATTGTATGTGACACGGGAGCCAGAGTGAAGGCCCAAAGGGAGAACTTGCTATTACCATTTTTCTGCTTAGATTTAATGAAGCATGGACAGCCGTGTCTAACTGTGATTGGACAAGGGCATGACCTAATGCCCCGACTGAGTGGGGAAACCCAGCAAGGCCTGTCTGTTTTATTTCCCTTGGTCTCTACAGCATTCCTTCTTTCTGGGTAGGGAGCAGGACCCCTCTGGAGTGAGCATTTGATGACCTGTTTATCAAGGCAAGTCAGAATTTCTTTACGGTCAGCTGTTACACAGAAAGGGAAGGGGAGAGTAATGTTCCTAGCTTTAGGGCTGGCTTGGGGAGGAGGGCTTCCAGTTTCTAAGAGCTGCCTTAAAGAGCAAGAAGGGCGGAGAACAGCAGCAGAAGACAGAGCTTGTTTCCGAGGCCCTCCAGTCTCCTATTTGGGAGTACTGGGCCCACCAAAGCCCCACTCCCTGCCAGTTCCTTCTCCACAGGACACCCTCTGGAGGCTGCCTGGCTGAGGCTCCAACCTCACCAAGGTTTCTCAGGACACAGAGCTCCACCTGTGATTCGGTGCTGCCCTCTCCTGGCCAACACTGCATTAGGTCCCAGAGCATCTGCCTCTGCAGTTCATTTTGGGGATTTGTCTTACTCCCTACACACCCACTGCACTGCCAGATACCAGGGGAGGGAAGCAAAGGAGGACCCACATCTCACAAGGCATGGAATTCAGGGTCAGTTACTAGCCATGTCCTCGGGCTCAGACACCTCATCCTGGACTCCAAAGGCTTCCCCCTCACAGGAAGATAAGCTCAAATGATCTAACCTACTTTGACCCATCAGATCAAATGAGTCACTGGGGGTCTACAGACTTCACATGGAATTCTCCTCTTTTTACCAATTGGGAGAATTTCAGGTTCTAATGCTTGGGAGGCACACCTCTGTTGGGCAAGTCCCTGATTCGAATGCAGAGATGACCTCTTAGTTCCCCATGGTTCCCCAAAAGACAAAGTATCAAGTGACAGGCAACCTTTACCAAGGCCACAGCTCTTTAACCCTTACATCTAGCCTGACCCACAATATAAAAGGTGACCAGTTTAAAAGGAAAATATAGAATATATAGCTATGCCACAGAAAAATACACCATTTCATAACCTGTACCATTACAAAAAACTCACCAGCCACTTACCTGGGAACATCTAGGTGACTACCATAGTTCGTGGGCCAGGCCCCCTCCACTCAATTATAGCCTGTATGCTAGGAATCTTGTGACAGTTCCCAACTTTGGATGCAAATTGACACACTGAGACAAGGGGCTAAAAGGCAGGACTCCTGTATGTCCTCAGAGCCCAGTTGTGTTTGGACACACTGCCTGCTGTTCTCTGCTATTCTTAGCCTGAGACCTCTTCCTTCTTGGGCAACTGAAGGATAAGCCATCATGCTCAGTCAATGTAAGGAGGCTTAGAAAACTAAGGTCTAAAGTCACTAGAGATTTCAATCCCATCCTAAAAACTAGAACAGTGTGATGTTAATATTGAGTGTTGGCCGGGCATGGTGGCTCACACCTGTAATCCCAGCACTTTGGGAGGCCAAGGCAGGTGGATCACCTGAGGTCAGGAATTCCAGACCAGCCTGACCAACGTGGAGAAACCCCATCTGTACTAAAAAAAAAAAAAAAAAAGTACAAAATTAGCCAGGCATTTTGGTGCATGCCTGTAATCCCAGCTACTCAGGAGGCTGAGTCAGAAGAATCGCTTGAACCCTGGAGGCAGAGGTTGTGGTTAGCGGAGATCACATCATTGCACTCTAGCCTGGACAACAAGAGCAAAACTCTGTCTCAAAAAAAAAAATTGATTGTCAACTTGATTGGATTGAAGGATGCAAAGTATTTTTCCTGGGTGGGTCTGTGAGGGTGTTGCCAAAGGAGATTAATGTTTGAGGCAGTGGACTGGAAGAAGCCGACCCACCCTCAATCTGGGTGGGCACCATCCAATCAGCTGCCAGCCCAGCTAGAATAAATTAGGCAGAAGACATGAAAGGACTTAATTTGCTGAGTCTTCCGATCTTCATCTTTCTCCCATGCTAGATGCTTCCCCATCCTTAAACATCAGACTCCAAGTTCTTCAGCTTTTGGAGTCTTGGACTTACACCAGTGGTTTGCCAGGGGCTCTTGGGCCTTCAGCCACAGACTGAAGGCTGAACTGTCAGCTTTCCTTCTTTTGAGATTTTGGGACTCAGACTGGCTTCTCTGCTTCTCAGCTTGCAGACAGCCTATCGTGGGACTTCACCTTGTGATTGTGTGAGTCAATTCTCCTTAATAAACTCCCCTTCATATATACATCTATCTTATTAGTTCTGTCCCTCTAGAGAACCCTGACTAATACAGATTTTGGTACCAGGAGTGGTTCTAGAGGAACAGAATTTTAAGGATGGATTTCTCTAGTTGGTTTTTGGGTTTCTGGAGTTGGCTGTTTAATCTTATTAGACCCCAAAATGCTAAGGACTCTATTTTTAATAGTATGGAGAACACTGATAGTCCTTGGAGAGAACTGTTTAGAGAGTTATGCAAAATAAATGCATTTGATACTCCTGATTCACAGCTCCTGAGGGACTAGGAGTTTAGCGACTCTGTACATGACACCTTTGACCATATGTGGAGAACCAAGGAATATAATGAAGTTGGTTGCTCCCAAGTTTGCTGGACAAAGTGAAGGAAAAAAAGGATGAGCTCAGGGATGCTAACTCTCTGCTCCAGAAGCACATACAGAGTCTCAAATCTTCTAAGATCACCCTGAATGAGAGTCTTATCTCCTCTAGACAAAAGGCTGAAAGTTGTGATAATTCAGACAAGCTCTTATGAGAGTTACTGACCTGCAACAAAAGGTGCAGGCTCAGTCCTGCCAGATGTCTATCTTTAAAGTTGGGGCATTGGAAAAGAATAGAACCCTGCAACATGGAATGGAGATGTGTGCAAGGACCTTTTTTGCCAGAGGAAGTAGCCTCCCCACCCCCCCAAGTGGTGGCAACATCCCCTCCTGCACCCACATTGCCATCAGCCTTTCCATTTTTGTCTGAGGAAATTAACTATGCACTTCCTGAGGCAACAGTGATGGCCTCCCCTGAGGCAGTTGCTAGGCAAGACAATGTTGATTCTCCCCAGGACCTACCCCCAACACCCCTGTTTGCTTCTAGACCTATGACTACACTCAAGTCTCAGCAGGCCTCTAGAGGTGAGGTTGAGTGTGACCCAAAAGGAGACACTACACTCAAAAATTGAGTTTTCTAATGTATATAAGCAGAAATCTGGAGAACAGGCATGGGGATGGATATTAAGGGTGTAGGATAATGGTAGAAGGAACATAAAGCTGGATCAGGCTGAATTTATTGATTTGGGCCTACTAAACAGGGAGTCTGCACTTAATGTTGCAGCTCAGGCAGTTAAAAAAGGTTCTAATAATTTGCTTGGTTAGCTGAAATAAAAAAGATGACCCACTGTGAGTGAGCTGGTAATGCCTGATCTCCTTAGTTTAATATAGGGGAAGGGATCCAAAGGCTAAGGGAGATTGGAATGGTGGAGTGGATTAGTCTCACTTTAGACCTACTCATCCCAGCTGGGAGGGTGCAGAAGATATACCCTTGACCAAAGCCTTGCAAAATAGATGTGTGAGGGCAGCACCTGCATTTCTGAAGAGCTGTGATTGCTGTTTTCTGTATGCCAGATCTAACAGTGGGAACCACGGTCACTCAACTACAAAATTTAAATACAATAGGAATAATTGGATCCTGAGGTGGCAGGGGCCAAGTGGCAGCACTCAACCATCAAAGGCAAGGTGGACATAGCTACCGTAATGAACAGCAGAGGCAAAGTGGCAATCAGAATAGTCTGACTCATGTAGAGCTCTGGCATTAGCTAATTAATCATGGTGTTCCCAAAAGTGAAATTGATAGGAAGCCTACTGCATTCTTAATTTATATAAGCATAAAACTTCCAGGTCAGTATACAAAAGACTAATTTGAATTATAAAAACAGTCACAGCCCCTCAATTTCCAGACTTGAGCCAGTTTACAGACTCAAAGCCCCTTGAATGAAGGGGAGGACAGGTCCCCTTGAGAAAGGACCCCACTATACTACCAATGATTTATGCCATTAATCTTTCTCCCGTCCTTCTCCAAGGAGACCTCTGGCCTTTCACTAGGGTAACTGCACTGGGGAAAGGGAAATGATCAGACATTTTAGGGACTACTGGACACTGGCTCTGAGCTAACATTGATTCCAGGGGACCCAAAACATCATTGTGGCCCTCCAGTTAAAGTAGGGGCTTATGGAAGTCATGTAATTCATGAAGTTTTAGCTCAGGTGTGACTTATAGCGGGTCCAGTGGGTCCCAACACTCATCCTGTGGTCATTTTCCCAGTGCCAGAAGGCATAATTGGCATAGACATACTTAGCACTGGCAGAACCCCCACATTGGCTCCCTGACTGATAGGATGAGGGCTATTACGGTGGGAAAGGCCAAATAAAAGCCATTACAGCTACCTCAACCTAGAAAAATAGTAAGTCAAAAACAATATTGCATCCCTGGAGGGACCGCAGAGATTAGTGCCACCATCAAGGACTTGAAAGATGCAGGGGTGGTGATTCCCACCACATTCTCATTCAACTTTATTTGCCCTGTGCAGAAGACAGATGGATCTTGGAGAATGACCGTGGCCATTCCTTAGACACCAAACTCCATCTCAGCAAAGACTTCATGGAGCCCAAGCTGTGATCACATGAGGAGCCCACACGAGGAGCCCAAGCTTTCCTCTACATGAGGAAAGGCAACATGCCTTTAGTAGCACCCCTTTCTGCTTTCCCTCTTTCTGCAGCTCAGAGAAAGCAGAGTTGAAGCACACACACAAAACAAAGCACAGCAGAAGATGGTAGATGGCCACTTGTGATTTCTAATTTCTAGTTGGAGAACACTGCTCGGCTGGATTTAAGATGCTATTTAAGTTTCTAATCCCTTCAGTTAAGTGTCACTTTTAGAGTTATGAGGGAATAGATACTAGCAATAAACCAGCTAATTTAGTTAAAAATCAAGCCCAGGTGACTACTGGAAATAAAGTAGCTACTCAATTTTAACAAGTTTCAGTTCACCAGAAGTAACCTTCTGTGAGTCTAATAGCCTTACATACTTGCAAGTTTGAGATTCAGCAGTCCACCACTACAATGGTAAGTTGTGAATACACTCTCCTGTATAAAATGTTTTCAGTGTTTTCCTTTTGCCTGTGTGATAAAGCAAGCAGCTGTGGGTTTTCTGGTAAAGCTGCGAGACACTGAAATCATCTCTTTCTGCCTCACTTTTTATCCCTTCAATCTTGCTGTTCAATATACCCAAGTCTTGTTGTAGGCTCTATTTTCTGGGAATCCCAAGTAATCTGAGGCACAAAAGTCCTTTTCCTAAGCAATGACAAAGGATTTTGCTCTTAGCAGTAATATCGTATTAATTAGACTGCCTAACAACTACATCCAGAGTGATAGGCAAGTACCATTTTAAGGAACCTAGGGACAGGGGTAAATAGTTCCCTACCCTCCCAGAGTTTGCATTCAAATGCAGCAATTAACAGGTAGGGATAAGCACTATGAAGGAAACAAAGCAAGATACAGAGTGAGCTTGTGATGGGGCAGGAAACAGTTTTATTTTCAATAATGTTGCCAAGGAAGAGGACACATCTTTGATTCACCCTCGGCTGCCATTAACAGACGCTGCATGATCACACTGCAATTTTACTTCCACTTCCTTGCTTGGCATCTCAGAGCTTGTGCACACACATCTGATATTGTAGTGTCCACGTGTGGGTTAAGCTTTAAATGCAAAGAGTCTTTCACTATTTCAGTATAGAGTATCAGTGATATAGAATACATCATACTGTAGCATGAGAATGCAGGTGCTTTGAGACGAATGTATTAGAGCTATTCGACAATCAAAAAGCAAACTCTCTCATATCTTGGAACAAAAGCTTAGCATCTTAGGCTATTAATTACAGTTGCTTCCTTCCAACATGTAACAGGGTCTTATGTTGATATTTCTTGTTCAAACACGCTGTGGTCAAGGGACTGCCAATTGAAAGCCAGAAAGTTTTGGTATATGGGGGTCTAGTTTTTCTGTCATTCTGTCAAGAGCAGCATACCTTTGGGAAGTAGTAGTTCATTGCATTCAGAGTACTTTCTCCTACATTCTCTTGCTCTCAGCTAGTACCTTAGATATGCCCAAGTCAAAGAAACAATCTCCCTTAGAAGTAACATGACAGTTAAGTGGAAGTAGGACCTGAATATCTATTGTAAGTCCAAATATGCACCATATTCATGTTTTTTGTTTTTTGTTTTTAAGATGGAGTCTCGCTCTGTCACCCAGGCTGGAGTGCAGTGGCACGATCTCGACTCACTGCAAGCTCCGCCTCCTGGGTTCACGCCATTCTCCTGCCTCAGCCTCCTGAGTAGCTGGGACTACAGGCGCTCGCCACCACGCCTGGCTAATTTTTTGTATTTTTAGTAGAGATGGGATTTCACTGTGTTAGCCAGGATGGTCTTGATCTCCTGACCTCGTGATCCACGCACCTCGGCCTCCCCAAGTGCTGGGATGATAGGCGTGAGCCACTGCACCCGTCCCATATTCATGGTTTTAGACTGAAGTGACTAGTATATTAGATTTGTTACTTTCACTCGCTTTAGTTGGTTTACAATAGCAGTATATGTTTTCATAAAACAGAATTCTAAGAATCTTCCTGGCTCCAAAACCAGTCACTTGTACTGTTATTTGGGTAAGTCCTCATGCAAGGTATATAACTGTATACGACAGGATTATAAGAGCCAACAGTCCAAGTTTTTGACTTCAAAGAAATGTGAGTGAGCTTGATTAAACATTAGAGCACAAGATTAACTGAAGGATTAGAGCAGAGCAGGTGCAACGAAGCTTGACTCCTATAGAAGCAGCTAAGCCGGTAGGCTGCACTGTCACAGTGCTTACCCCAAGGGCAAACCTCCAATTACACCAGTATTTCCGCAGAGACATTTGGGCTACAGCCAACAGGCTAGGTACTTGTTTTGACAAATGAACAGAGGACCCTACCATTCTGTATCATACATTAACACCAACTGGAAAGCCTCCACCATGGGAAAGGTAACAAACCTATAGTCTCAGACTCTGCCTTGCTCTGTATGCACTGATAGGAAATATCTAAGATAAATTGAAAACATTCACTGTTTTAAAGGGGTAAGGTATGTAAGTATTAATACGGATTCTGCTTGGAGAAAAATTAAGTATAAGCAGAGTCTCTGGACAGTAACAAGAGAGTTTCCTTTAGAGAAGGGGTTTGGGTTGCTAGGGGAAAGAATGAGGAAGGAGACTACTTTCTTTCAGTGAATAATTCACCATGATGCATGTAGTGTAACATTCAAAGGGACACTGTAAGGGATGCAGTAACAATTAACAGTTCCAGGCAAGCTGGTGAAGAAAAAGTTTGAGGTCTTATATTCCCAATACTCAATAAACCTCACAAATGAAATACCTAGAAGGTAAGGAGTAAAAGCCGCCATGCATATTTTATGAACAAGATAGAAGCCATTAAGCATATAAACTTAAGCTCAATTGAGTGATCAAGTAAGTACACTCCCTCATGTTTCAACTTTAAGGATGGCAAAGATTGAATGATGCTACCTAGTACCTGCTAGGATAAATAGTCACCAATTGCGGTAGAAAGTGGATGGCATGTAGGGTGTGAAGCAAGGCATGAAAGTAGGGGCATTTAGGCCGGGCAGCACATGCAGCTGCCATCCAAGGGAGACTCACAGCCTTCTTTGGGCAAGGTGGGGTAAAGAGACACTTGAAGATGTAAGTGCCTGAGCTGGTGAACAGCAGTGCAAGCAGCATGGTGACAGCGATAGAGAGGAGGATTCTAGCAAAGCCCAGGGGCCTGGCAGGCGTTAGGCAAAGGATGCCTCAGGAAGGACAGGATGGCTGTGGGTGGTCAAGTGGAATAAGGCCACAGTTATCTTTCCTGGCCTGTGGATTTTCCAGTACAGAATTCCCCCCAGAGACTATAAAGGAGACATCAGAATTGGACTACTATCCAAGGATCCAAAAGTCTGAGAGCCAGACTATTTTAGAGGAAATTGAAAGGATACCTTGAAAAAAAAAAAGCCACAACCAGCACGAGTCCACATCCAGCTCTGTCCTTCATTCAGGTAGACTCTTGTCTCTCACAGTTGGCTCTAGGACTCAGAGAAGACATTATCCAATAGTCCCAAGGTTCACAGGCAGAGAGCACCAGGGAATGGTTAGGGGATAGGACTTGAAGTGTTTCTTCCTACTGCTCCCCTGGGACCACACCAACCTGGCCTGATGCTATAGGGTCTAGCTGCCTCTAACACAAGGAGCAAAAAGCCCTCCTGCTGGCATGAGCTCTACAGCAGCTAAAGACCAAGTAGAATATTACAGTCAAATGGGATCCAGAGTAACACAAGAACCTCAGCTTCTAGAACTGTTGCATCGGTGTCCAAAGGCAGACCTTTCATTTCCCTAGCTCACATCTGCCATGGAGGGAGGGAAGAAGGTACTTGGGTTGTGGGTCAGGTCTGCTCTAGGACACTGTTATGAGCTTTAAGCTTGGGATTGTACCTCCCAATCCAGACTCCAACAGGAGGTAGAAAAGTTTTCCTCTGGGTCATCAGCATTTTTACACATCAAACACAGACCTACATTCTACACCAAAGCCAAATACTTCTGAGTAATTCCATACCCAAAATAAATAAGACTTTCCTGGATGTACCCTGCACAGACCCCAACCATGGTTGACTGGCACTTTCTTCATGGCAGGCATCTCAAACCTCATCTTCTGTCAGCGGGCAATCTTGGCTCTTCCCTGAAAGAGGTAGACAGTGGACAATCTCCTCTTTTCAGGGTCCTTCCTACTGAGGACTGAGTACCCCCTCCCCACCCCCCCCCCCACCATCTGTGACAGCTGCCCTAGTTCTGGCTGGGGTCCCTATTCTGATTCTGGCTGCTGCCACAGCTGATCTAGCCCCTGCCACCACCTCTAGAACACTGTGGAGAGATTAGTTTCTTCCACTAGGTGGCAGAAGAATCCAGTTGTCCACCCTGCCAATTTAAAGACAATAGTCACATTTAGGAGCCAGAAAACCTCTAAGCTATTCAAACTTGTGCACTTATAGTTTGTTTTGATTTAGAACATTTACCCATTTCCCTGAAAACTGGAAGGTTTAGTGAAAGCATTGAGATTTTACCATCTGATGCCCAGCGAGCCTACAAGGCAGAGTTCCCCTACATTAGGCAGGAAATTATTGTCAAGACCAGAAGACTAAGTTAGGAGCAGAGTGCAACTGACAAGGGGCAACACAAGTCTAATTCAACCCAAGAATCTTAATGTTAGTTTCACCTGATTATTTTAGTTTTTAAAAAACCTGTGATGAGGGGGATTAACACGCGACTTCCATAATACTTCTACCTGACGGAACTGCCTACAGGCTATTACGCAGCTCTGTGCTGATGGTGGGGAATCACCAAGTCTCAGGAAGATGGTCTCCAAGGTGGTTCTAAGAGAGGCCATCTCAGGTAGTAGATACTCAAGGTCATGGCATGCCTGTCCCTAATTCTTTATTCTGGAATGAGAAAAATCATATTTCTGGCTTTTTAACAAAGCTATTTATAGGCCGAACAATTGACCCCAAAGATTAGCAACATGAGAGAACATTTAAATCTCACTGTTTGTAAAAATAAGGGCTTCAGGTAAAGCTTAGCTAAATGCTCTTGCTTGAAAGTCCCTCCTGGCATTGTCAACCTGTGAGCTGGAAACATGCTCTCATTTTAAGCCTCAACTAGTGAGAACGGATCTACTCCAAAGTGGATCACACCCCAGAATGCCTACTTCTAAGCTCACTCATAGTTGGTGTTGAACATTAGCTGCTAACAGCCTGTTGGACAGGTGACTTCTGTTCCTAGCCATGACAAATGGGCTACTCTAAGGGTCACTTTGCCTTATGGCTCAATTACTCTAAGGCCACACCTGTGAGACCTCAGAGAATAGGGACTATGCTATTATAGAAGGTCATGAAAGTATTCATTCCCAGGAAGGTCAGGGTGCAATGGAGGTCCTGCTTGAGACAGGAATCTCACATGAATCAGGATATGGGCCAGGAGTGATCACCATGCTCACATGCAGCTTCCCAGAAATACAGTCCATTACAATGACATTATAAACTGGATGGATTTCACTGTCTGCAAGGCAGCCACTACTAGGCATCATGGGCTTCACATAAAAAATCCCTACCCTTAGATCACGCTGGTATCTACACAGCCCACATTGCCCATCTGGCCTCCATGCTTATATAAGTGCCTGTTTCAACAGTAGGTACCCTTCTAGGCTTTTCCTCCTATCTGCCCAAGGCTCAGGGTCTGAGTTAAAGACCTTCATATGAGGCAAGCAAAGGGTTAAAGTGCTGCCCTGTCTTGGGTAGAGCACTCTGGATTCTCTCCCCTCTGTGCCTGTGAGAAGGCTGGGACAGGACAGTTCCTTCCTGGACATGTACCCCCCACACCTGAGGAACCTCAGACAAGGGGCCTAGAATATCTGTGCTGCAGCCACTGGACCCATTCTGCCTGGGTTGTGCTTCCCTGCAAGGGTTTTCTGAGAGGCAAAATACAGAGGATAAAGATAGAGGGTAGCTTTTTAAGTTTTAAACCCTGGACCTATCTATTATCAAAGCAAAGAAAGTCTGCCTAGTGGTCCAAACCATCTGGGGCATGGATATAGCATGCCAAGCTAATTTGGTCAATTTTGCAAGCTATAGACATGACATGTGAGAGGCATACAGACCACCCCCGCTAGACGTACCATAAAGCGGTTCAGAACACTTAGACCCTATAAACAGTAACTTCTTACATTAATCCTAGGTAGGTTAAAAGAATGGAAGTGATCGTGTAGTGGTCTCAGAATAGAACACAGTCTTGTCACTTCATGGCTTCTGTCTTGTCAAGCATCTAGTGCTGAAAGAGCTCAGATTCATCTGGGGCTCAGTAGGAAAGGTAGGGCCTGAGCAAGAAAGCCACACTGAGCATATCCACACATGAACTCAGGCAAGAGACTAAAGAGGGTAGACAGCTCCACCAGATCACTGGATTGAGGGCATGGGAATGTACCACCAGATCCCCTTCAACAAGGGCTTGTTACCGCAACTGCTTGGAGCACAGCCAGCAGCCTCCAGCCATCACCTCTACAGAGTTTGCCTCAGTTCCAAGGGCATGCCCCTTCCCCTAGCAGCCCTCATCCACTTGCTGACTACAGACATATGCAGGCCAGCAATCTCAGGCCACCATGATACAACCATGATAGGCCACCATGGAACAACCATGATGGGTCACATGCATGCCGACACTGGCCAAGGCACTTCTGGGCCCCACACTACAGTTAGCCCTATCCTGCTTTCCCATCTCTTAGACACAATTTGATCTCTAAATACCATACTTCATGCCAAATTCCACTTCAACCTGTTTCTAAACAGCCCAACCTGCAACACAGGCAAAATGGCTTTGAAGAGTATGAGTCTTCTCTCCTATGCCTGGGATGCCTAAACATGTAGTCTTCTTCAACTCTGGAACATTCAAGTGGCATGTTCTGCCCTATGCTGGCACCCCTGACACGTCATGGTTATGAATTCCTCTTGTTTCTGTAGTTACACCCTAACTCTCCCGCCTATTATAGCACTAGATTCCAGTGATCTTACCTCTAGATGGTTTCTTGCCTAGTGTATGGCTCTTTTCCAAGAACATTTCCTGCCTGGTTCATTTATCCAACCTAATACATACACATCTGAGAAACCAGAGTTTGTTTTACCTCCTTGAATTATAAAGTACCATTCACTATGGGCTCAATGGCCTATATAGAGTCCAAGAACTGGCTTTGTACATGCAGTGATGCCAAGGAGGATCCACACTGAGCCACTCAACTAGTAGTGGGAAGTGGAGGATGAGATATTCATCTCTACACCAGTGGAGTCCTCAAAGAAGAGTGCTAGAAAGTGATGCTGCATAATCCATGAGACCTTAAAAAACAATGTTAAATTTACGTAAGCAGAATATGTACCTGTAAGATAAAAAAAAAAAACACACTTTGCCAAGTCAGAACTCACTTTTAAACCTAGACCAAAACTTGAGCTTAATTACCTTATGTAGTTGTTTGCCTGTAAGTTCAACATATGGTAACAGGGACCATAACCCCAAGGAAGTCTTAGACAAAACTCTGAGAACTGCCTTGACTAGTATAATACACTGTTTAAATGCTCCAGACAGCATTTTCCAGTTGATGTAATGTCCCGTGTAATGAACCCAAGTGCCATAGACTTCCTTTGCTATCTGAAGTTACCATCTGCTCATTCATTATCTTCGGCAAGATTTTTTAGATCTGACACTACACAAATAGAAAATACACCGAGATGACCCTTTGGGTGTTTACCAGCAGATTCAGCTGCACACAAGTGCAGGGAAGAAAATCAGTGAGCTGCCGTGTGCTCTGCTGTGTCCCCACATCTCATATTCATTGTTTACTATGCTGTATAACCAATATTCTTCACATTAAGAGAAACACTAAGTGAGCCTGAGAGGCCTAGGAAGGCTCACTTGCATAGAACTTGTGTGCAGTAAAACACATGCATGGTGAAAACAGACTCTAGGACATGAACTTATTCTTTCACACAAAGTATTTTCTACACCCAGGAGATAAGTGTGGACACATTGGTTCTGGGAATGTACCATGCTGCTCCAGCATGGGTCCTTCTGAAAGACATGCCACCCTCCACTACTGTGGCCCTCAGCCACTTGGGTGTTTGCCGTTGACACAGGAAGCAGCTGACTCTGGCACTTTGTTCTGCTCCAGCACTTCAGCATCTGTTCCCCACTGAGGTCCTCTAAGCACCTTCTACTTGGAGTCATTTGCTTTGAGACCATTCTTTGAGCTTAACCCATTATCTCCCCAAACCTGCCTCCATCTACAGCTGTATGTTCCACACAGCTGTTTTAAGCAAAAAAGATTCCTATCAATTGTATGTGACACGGGAGCCAGAGTGAAGGCCCAAAGGGAGAACTTGCTATTACCATTTTTCTGCTTAGGTTTAATGAAGCATGGACAGCTGTGTCCAACTGTGATTGGACAAGGGCATGACCTAATGCCCACAGACTGAGTGGGGAAACCCAGCAAGGCCGGTCTGTTTTATTTCCCTTGGTCTCTACAGCATTCCTTCTTTCTGGGTAGGGAGCAGGACCCCTCTGGAGTGAGCATTTGATGACCTGTTTATCAAGGCAAGTCAGAATTTCTTTACGGTCAGCTGTTACACAGAAAGGGACGGGGAGAGTAATGTTCCTAGCTTTAGGGCTGGCTTGGGGAGGAGGGCTTCCAGTTTCTAAGAGCTGCCTTAAAGAGCAAGAAGGGCGGAGAACAGCAGCAGAAGACAGAGCTTGTTTCTGAGGCCCTCCAGTCTCCTATTTGGGAGTACTGGGCCCACCAAAGCCCCACTCCCTGCCAGTTCCTTCTCCACAGGACACCCTCTGGAGGCTGCCTGGCTGAGGCTCCAACCTCACCAAGGTTTCTCAGGACACAGAGCTCCACCTGTGATTCGGTGCTGCCCTCTCCTGGCCAACACTGCATTAGGTCCCAGAGCATCTGCCTCTGCAGTTCATTTTGGGGATTTGTCTTACTCCCTACACACCCACTGCACTGCCAGATACCAGGGGAGGGAAGCACAAGAGGACCCACGTCTTATAAGGCATGGAAGTCAGTGTCAGTTACTAGCCATGTCCTCAGACTCAGACACCTCATCCTGAACTCCAAAGATTTCTCTTACAGGAAGATAAGCTCAAATGATCCGATCTGCTTTGACCGATCAAATGATCCACTGATGGGTCTACAGAAGTACAATTTAACATTTCAGTACAAGTTTTCCTTCACCTGGAATCCCAGGCTTTGACTCTTCCTACCAGTTGGAATTATTCTTGGTTCCAATGCTTGGGAGTCAGACCAGTTGGGTGACACCTTGTAAATAATAAAGCAGTCCCTGATTGATCCCCAAAAAGACAGTGATCAGTCGCAAGCAAGCTTTACTGAGGCCAAGTCTCTGTAATACTTATGTTCTAGCTTGACCTACAATGTAACAGTTGACCAGTTGAACGAAAATATAAAATGTACAGTTGTGCTGTATGCTATTGTCCAGAACCTGCAACACCAGACATGGCCCTCTGGCCACTCCCCTGGGAACATCCAGGTGACCGCTGTATTTGGTAGACCAGCACCCTCCATCACTAGCAATCACACCAGCCTATATTCTGGGAATCATGTGATGTAGCAGTTTGGATACAGGTTGGCACACTCAGACAGGGGCTTAGAGTGCAGGACTTTTGTACATCCTCCAAGCCCAACTGTGTTCAGGCACACCTTCTGTAGAGCTCTTTTTAGCCTGGGAACTCTGCCTTCCTGGGAAACTGGGAAGATGGTTCTTCATGTTCTCTCAGTACAGAAAGTCTTGTAAAAGAATCAGAGGTCTAAGTCACTACAGATTTCAATCCCATTCTACAGACAGGAATAATGACAGCAAGTTTCACTTAGTACAAAAGGAAGAGGGCTTGAAGTCAGGGAATACCACCTAAGCAAGACATCCATTTTTCCACCACCCACAGCCCAACAATAGTGACCTCATTATTTCCTCATTAACTCTTAGCTTATGGCTTTGCAAACAAGCCTAGGCATTACTGACCGCAACCAGGAATACCAGAGCCAGCCTACTTTCAACATTTGTAGTAGATGAGAATCAGTGTACTTCATAAGCGTCCTCATTATCACCCCTTTATCAGAAGGGCCAAGACACCAAAAGCAGATATGTTCCTGAATATGATATCATTTGAGAATTTATAAGCCTCTGTCAGCAAAACCAAGATGTTTGTGGATTAGTAAGAGACCAACTTATGCTCTAAATGCTAACTGAGAACACTATTTCCAACACTCCAGAGCTTCTTGGCTATGCTTAGAGCACCAAGAAAAATACATCTCCCAAGGCCCCACCTTTAGGGAAAATAAATGACAGCTCAAGCTAGCTCATTATGAATCTACTTTAACAGGGATGACATGAGGCCTAAGATGAGAACATACCCTGATCTGAGGCCAGTGGTCTTGTTTCTGGTCAGTACACTGAATAGAAACTGACTACATAGCCAAAGAAAAGGAAGTCTATGAGAAGTACATGCAGAGACATGGAGGTTTCATGTCACGTATTATGACCCACTGCAAAGCAACTAAAGAAGACTCACTGGATGACCCAGATGGAATAGCTCTGCTAGTTTTTAATCAGTAAGCCACCAAGTGAACACAGGCCATGGTGGCAGAGATGGAAGCTACACAGTTGCCCAACAGCATCAAAATACTAGTTTCTAGGGCAATCTAGCTACTGCTGCTTCCACAGCCTTTCAGAGACAAACATTGAATCCAAATATAGAACTCTGATAAGGAGACCAACACAACACTTGGTATCAAGTTGACTACAACAAGTCCCTTCAATTCTAGAAAAGCCAGCCAAACTCACAGGAATAGCTACCTTGCAATGTACCTGAAGAGCCTCAAATAGTTCCACTATCTGGAGGCATTTACTTCACAGGATTTCCTCCCCATCCCTGGAACTTATCAACACCTAATCCCAACTTGCCAGCTGCATGTAAGATGACATATGCTGGCAGTAGAGGAGTTTAGTTTCCATTAAAACTGAAGCACTGTAATAGATTCAGCCATAAATGCAAGCATGTATACCCATGTAGACATTCAAGTCTACAGGGAGAGAACCATCCAAGTCAGGAAGATAACTAGGCCCATTCCTGCATTACTCTAGCACTATGGGTATTAACTTTATTCCATATTGATGTGTTCTGAGGTTTATTAATCATATTCCAGAAGATAGTCCCCACTACCCTTCCGAACCAACTATTTCAACATTTATCAAGTTACCACTTCCCATTTGCTCTGGGCCTGTTACTTTGTGTTCCTATTTCTGGTCTTATGTTCCACTACAAGGAGTATCTTTCTCTTGATCCAAGTGAACTCATGTCGTGGGTGTAGCCCTCTACCCATGGCTCTCATTGATGCCTCAAGAAGCAGCTCAATGAGCACCCAAAACTGAAGTGTCCAGAGAAAGCCATACTGACCAATGAGGCCAGAATTCACATTTGATTGGAGGCTCATTGAGTCCAGACTTACTGGGATCTCAGTAACTCTAAGTCTCCTACAAGTGTTCATGTTATTAACCTTGACCTTTTGGTAAATTCTCCAGTTTGCATGCTATTGCCATTTCATTTAAGCTTCTACCAAACATTGCTGACTTCTGTTTTTTCCCCAAACGTGTCAGACTCAAATTACAATAGCATCGAGAACCGAGAAAAGTGATTTTCACATTGCATCCATATAAAGAGAAACTAGAGAAAACAAAACCAAGTGTTTCAACTGCAGATTTCAAAGTGATGCAGCTTAGAAATTATAAAATTTGTATTCCTCACATAAATGACCAACTCCAACCTTGCCCAAAACCGGGTTGTAACATACTAGTCCTTCCTTTGCCAAATATTTTGCCTCCAATTAATAAGGTGGGTTGCCAAGATGCACCAGGATACTTTGCAGAATTGGCACCAACAATTTTGTCTGACCAATAGACAACTTGTTTATGAGACTCCAGAAGTATGCTTACCCAGAACAAACATGAGTGAAGAACAAGGTAAAAGCATCAAGGATATTCCTGCAACACCATGAGGGGCCAGCTCTAGTCATATATGACTGCCCACGACCAGGACAGCAAGGCTTCAAAAAAGTCTGGTGAGCAAGAGAGGAAGAGACTGATACTTGAAGAGCTGGGAGGCCATGTTGGCACCACAGGCAATAATTGCTGCAAGACTCATTGACGCCAAAACTATAAAGGCTCATTTTATTCCTTCACATATTCAAGGCTTTTTGCTGCAAGTTTCTGGCTCAAGTGTTGGTGTATAGTTTGTGGGAAACTTCACTACAGACACAAAGGGTTGGGTTCACCTATAGTTCCATGCAGGTTGACTTGGGTGCCCAACACTCCCTGGAGAAGGGCTTTTCCCTTCTTGTTACCAGCCTGCCCTTTCCCACTCCCAAACCTAGAAGATTATGTTATGCCCTGAATTTGCTAAGAGAAATGAAGATGAAAGGGAAGGAAAAGCAACCTGGTTTGAACACAATGTAGAAGACCACAGTATGCCACCCCAGAAAGTCCTTCAGCTAAAGTACATGATTGTGAGTGGAAGGCAATAAAGCAGATACAAGGAAAGCTCACATAGTCAAGAGCTCAGAAGCTGATCATTTGTGCTACAGAGAAAGTGGCAGGGTCAATTGTACTTGAACTGTTTACCAATCATTACAAATTGTCCATGCCACTCCCCCTGCTACAGAGGGGCATGTGCCTGCAATTGTTGATCCCATATAACAATCTGAGGAGACAGCTTTCACCACTGACTATGTACATAAATATGGTATGCAGTGTCATACCCTCATTTTGGAAGCATTTTCCTGTGCCAATTCATGAGTAAACCTGATGGCACTGTTACTTGGCTCCCTACAGGCTATGGAACTGAGTCCTGCAGAATTGCAGTCACTGATGATTCAACTCACCGACTTGGTCTTTACCATCCTGCAATTAGTATTTTCATTGCTCTTTTGTGATTCAAGAGACAACTCAGCTTCTGAGGACTGGTTCAATCCACTCAAGTCTGCTGCAGAAATCAGTGATATGTATATTAATTACCCACATCTTGATGTGGCTACACATATGTCTAAGATAGCAGTGTATAACTGGTGCCATAGAACCCTGATCAGAATACTCTCGACTAAGGACAGATGTTGGGCAACCATTCATAGTCCAAAATTATCTTGTTGCAAGTGAAACACAAGTGACAACACTGGTCACAATTAAGAACTTCCTTAGAGACTGACGCCATGCAAATTCTTATCCCTGAAGTAACTGATGAAATACTTAAGTTTAGAAATGCATGAGAGTCTCTTGAAGACTGTAGGATCTGAATGGTTTCCTTATGCCAAAGTAACTCGACATCTGGATGCTTCAAAATTAAATAGCATTCCTACATCTTGCTTCTGCAGCATTTTATCATGTAGAGACCAGCTCAACCATGCTGAATCACAGATAGGGGAATCCAATACCAGGTGATATTCTAGAAACATGACTGAAGGATGCATACAAAAAGCATCAGGAAAGATCAGGTCAATCAACATTCACTCAACAATGAGATTCTCAATTCAGGCAGAATAACTCACGAGATGGTTCAGCACTGGGATCCAAAGGAGAAGGAACAAATCCCCACCTCTATGACAGGAGAGTTTCTAATCAGCCATAAGAATAAAGGAGCTTGTAAAATAGACTTTACTAACTAGACTTTGTCTATCACATGTTTACCTTCCCACCACTTGCCATCCCCAGAGACTTATGGTCTGGTTCACTTGTCTGCCTCTTGAATTTTACCACTCTTTGTTCTAGATGCTACATACTGTCTAGCAAGGCCTTTATACTTCCTTATGGCTTCCACAGTGTAGACTCCTCTCAGGCTTACACTAAGTTATAGGTGATTCAGTGTGTCCTGAAGAGGGACTGGCAGATCTACACTGAAAGCCACCCCCACCCCCAACACACTGCAGTGGTCTTCATTACCAAGAAATGGAAACCCCTGGACACCAGTGATTTTTAAACACAGGCCTTTACCCAAAAAATAGTCATCTGGATGCAAGCTGCACTAAATGCCTAGGCAAAGCTGAAGGAGCCAAACATACTGCAAGTTTCAAAGTGTCCTGAGAACAGTACACTAGGTAGCACAAAAGCACCCTGGAGCCCCCTGAATTGTGCTGCCCATTTCAGCTCCTCTAATATGGGAGATGATTTATTCTAATTTTTCACAATTTCTTCTGGTATTCTCACCCTGGGTACTAGTTATTTTACCATCTGGTCTGGTTTCCTGCCTAGTGTTGGCTCATCTAGGGAGTTCTTTGTCTTACCTATCTAGCCTAAACACGTGTCTAAAAAAAAAAAAACAAAAAAAACAAAGTTGGCCCTTCCTCCTGAGTTCAGGAGAAACAGTTCCCACTGGGGGTTATCAATTGTCTAGAGTCTATGCATCTACTATGGAATATATATACTATGGAGTATATATAGTTTTATCTATTCAGAGAGACCAGGGAGGATCCCAACACAGCCCCCTCAACTGGTCAAGGGAGAGGAGATACCAGATATCCATCTTCCTACCACTGAGATGCTTGGAATGGTACTTTTCTTTCTACTGGTCCATCTTTCTTTATACCTGGGGAATATGTAGATGCATTTTCTGTATAAATTTAATGGTTTAATGGTGTTTATCAACAACCATGGAGAATAATCAGGGTAACTGTTCTTAGTGTAACACCAGATTGGTGCAAAAGTAATTGTTGTTTTTTGTCATTACTTTTAATGGCCTAATAAGTTATCTAGGGGAAGTTGTCTGCCTATCAACTACATGTTACTGTATCTGGAAACCTTAAAACCCCAGGAAGGAGAAAGCATACAGGGTCCTATAAGAACTGCCTGGACTAGTAGAAGGTGCAAGCTAGTGTTCCTTAATGTTTTCCAGCATCTTTGAAAGAGCTAAAGATTCAAATTTGTCATTAGTCATTCTGTTCAGTAGTGATTTTATTTCTTGCTGAAGTCACCATCTGCATATTTGTTGTGCATTTAGCGAGGTTTTTTTTTTTTAAAGAAAAGCCACTACATAAATTAAAAGTGCCCTAGACTGAACCTGTGGGTGTACACCAGCAAATTCCACTGCACTCTTGTGCAGCAGAGACTGCCAATGAGCTGCTATCTTCTCTGCTGTGTCCCTGTGAGGAGAAGAGCCATTTCTTACTGTCTCCTGTCTCCCAAGAGGAGGAGGAAGTAAAAGCTGAAAAGCAACAGGGATGAAGTCAGTGGCAAGACTGACTGGCACCACTGGCCAGACCTGGGGTTAAAAATTAACCTCTGCTCTAACCACATGCGTTATCTATAGATTTCAGACATAGTATAGAGAAACATTCTCCTAGAAGCATTGATCCTGCTCACCGCCCCCCCACCCCAACAAGTCACGTACCCCTTGCTTGCTCAATCCCTTTCACGTGGACCCCTTAGAGTTGTAAGCCCTTAAAAAGGGCCAGGAACTGCTTGGTGAGGAGCTCAGTTCTGGAGACACAAGTCTGCTGATACTTCCAGCCAAATAAAGCCTCTTCCTTCTTTAACCCGGTATCTGAGGGATTTTGTCTGCACTTATCCTGCTACACTCTGGCAATACCTTCATATTGTGTAATTTGCTGTGCTTTAATCACTTATCCTCAACATTAAGATAAGAATTGGAGGAGTGTAAGAGGCCTAAAAATGCTTCTATGTTACAGTAGAAGTTGTATGTGTTAAGACGTACTGACAGGGAAGTCAAAGACATGCTAAGCCTCCTACTTTTTTTAAACTGATGTATTTTTTCATGCATAAGAAAAAATGAATATAGTGTTGGTTGTGAAAACCATACTTAGAAAACATCCTCTACTGTGGCCCTCAAGCCACCCTCTAAGGTATTTAACATTGACATAGAAGCTGACTCTCTGCATCTTTGCTCTGTGTCAGCCTTCAGCATCTGTTCCCCAACACTCAGGTCTTCCCGCTCCTGAACACTTTCTGCTGTTCATCTGCTTCTAGGCCTATTTTCCCTTTAGCTTAACCCATTCTTCCCAAAAACTGCTTCCGTCCCGGACTTGTACCCTATATATTCCTTTAGGACTCTTCTAGTCTATCACCACTGGTTCTCTCTCCAACATGAAACCCAGATGTTTTTCTCTACTTGCTTCCTTCATAAACATTTCATCCTCCTTTGCCCTGCTCTATGCCCAGATGTGCCAATTGTTTATGAACTGCATCACATGTGGTCCTTTGTCCTCTTGTTTCCAGTGGGGTTGGACAACAGGAGGCATTTAAGAGGTTGGTGGGTAAATAGTCCCCCATTCCCTCATAGCCATAGCACCTCACTTCTTCCAGCAGCTGTATCCTAGGTGGTGAAGTCCTTCCCACAACACACACTTTACCTGGCACTATTTACCCTATGCCTTCCCACTGTACTCACATCTAATAAGGGCTTCTATCTATACTAGCCTCTCAGTCTTTTCACATCCTTCTGACTTGGGTAACCTACTCCCACCTTTAAAACTTCTTCCTGAAGCCTCTGCAGAATGTTCTTCCTTCTTGGGCCCAACCATCATGGCCTGATTCAGGAAAACGGGGAATACTAGCTCTTGAACTCCCCACCAGCTTAGTGAATACTTGGTCCAGCCCATATCAGTTGACTTTTCTCCCTAATCTTGCCTTCCCCTCCATTTCACAGGCAGTCAATTCTTATAGACACCTGACACCCCAAACGTCATCTCAATAACTTCGAGAGCCAAAGCTGTGAGAAGTCCTACATCAAAAAGAATATGATCCCATTTGGTAGCAGCTCTTCTGCTTTCCCTCTTTTTATAAACTCAGGGAAAGCAGAGTTGAAGCACAAAAGCAGAACAGAGAGCATAAGTAAGATGGTAGGGTTTACACTTGTGACTTGTAGTATTTCTAGAGAAATAACATTGTCAACCTGGATTTTTATAGTACTATTCAAACTTATCCCTTCCATTTTAAGTATATCATTTTTAGCATAAATTCATGGGATACTGGAAATCAATGAGAGTTAGTGTAGTTGAAAGTCAAGACAAGATTACCTGAGAATGTCATTACCAATTTTATCGTTTCAATTCAGAAATAAGCTTCTATTAATCTAGTAGCCTTAATATACATCAAGGCATCAAGTCTAAGAAGTTTAGCTGTATACTACTAGAATGGAAGATTTGATCTACCCCCCTTCACAAAGTGTTTTAATAGTGTTTCATTTTGCCTGCCACGATAAACAGTTGTGTTTTTTTCTGGTAAAGCTGTGAGCAGCTGAAGTCACCTAACTTCTTTTCCTGTCTCACTTTATCCCCTCACCCTTGCTGTCCCGTTTACCCCTTTCCCCAATACACAGAAGCACAGAAGTAGTTTCAGGATCAACTTTCTAGGGAATCCGGGTCAGTAATCAAAAGCACTGAAATCCCTTTTTTAAGCAATGACAAATGTGGTACTTTTAGTGGTAACACACCCGACTGCCTGACTGCTACATCCCAACAATACACAACCTCTACAGAGTGCTGGGCAAGCATGATCCTGGGCACCTAGGATACAGCACTGAACAGTAAGTCCCTGGCCTCCCACAATTTGCATTCAAATAGAGACAGGTGAGTATTATGAAGAAAACAAAGCAGGATATGGAGTAGGCTTGTGATGAAGGAAGGAAGCAGTCCCATTTTCAATAAGGTTGCCAAGGAAGAAGCATCTTTGATTTTCTCTCAACTGCCATTAACCAAGATTGCTGCATGACCATGTGTCACACATTTACTTCCCTTTGTTTTACCTGACCCACTCAGAGCTTTCATGCATGCCTCTGGTATTTGTGGAGTCTGCATGTGTGGTTTAAATTTGACCATAAGAAACTTAGTGCCTTTTACCACTAATTTCATTAGAGTGTCAATTATGTAGACTACCACATACTGTAGTATGAGAAAGGTGGTTTGAGACCAAAGTGTAAGCTAGAGCTGTTACACAGAGGACTTAGGAGAATTTGCTTTTTGAAACGAAAGCTCAGGTTCTTAGGCTTTTATAGTGGTTTCCTTCCAGCATGTAATAGGGTCTTGTCTCATGTTGGTACCTAATTGTTTAACCACAGGGTCAACAGAATGTCCAACCCATTGAGGAAAGCCAGAAAACTGCTCCAGGTAATTTTCTGTTATTCTATAAAAAGCATGTGTACCTTTGAGAAGCAGCTTATTGTATTCAAAGTACTTTCTCATATGTTCTCTTGCTGCTATTTTATAGATTAGGTTACTGAGGGATTAAAAAAAGTCTCAAAAATGGACTCTCTGCAAGTAACTAGGCAGTTAAGTAAAAGGGGGACCTGACCCAAACCAAATGTTCTTTAAGTCCAAATATTCACACTTGCAGTTTTAAGTTGAAGTGACATATATAGAAGACTTCTTGAGGGTTCTGTCTCTCAGCTTTGGAGCCTCCTCCCTCTGTCTCTGTACAGGGGAGCTTCTTCCTTACCCCTTCTTTCTTGCCTATTAAACTCCCTGCACCTTAAAACTACTCCATGTGTGTCCATGTCATTTTTTCTAATTCAACTCAAGATGAAGAACCTGGTGTTCTCCACTCATAGGAACTGTACCATTTTGGTGCATTGGCTGAGACTTGCCCAGACATATCCAAACATGCCTTGTGCTGAGAAACACAATGTGCTTACCAGAGAAGTGGTAGCAACTAACCTCACTGCGGGAGGGAAAGGGGAAAACTCTGCTTCTAGACTGTAAAAATCTTGCACATTTCATGCAGAGAAAGAGTAAGAGGCTGCAGATAGAGAGAGAAGAGTTGTGCACCAGGATAGTTGAGGTTCTCTGCCAACACCCAGAATTGGTTGTCAGAGGCTACATCCGGTCCGGAGACCTTTGAATCACACCTGGGCATGCCCTGGCCAGAAATTCTCAGTTGCCTCAGGACTTTTCCCAGCCTTGCGTGATGGCAAGATCCCCCATGAAAATAAGCTAGTTCAAACATGGCCAACATTCCCAATACCCCATGGGTAAAGGGGGTTCTCCGTGTTCTCCCCAGCAAGCCTCACATCCATGACTTGAGTACAGCAGCCAAGGCTAAGCATATGTACTAGGCTAACAGACGCCCATTGATTTATTTGATTTAATATAGAGGTGAAGAGCATCTTGGAATGATAGAACAGATTTTGAGCTTGCTCCCATACTCACCACTCTGACAAATGCCCTGGAGTATATGTTGAAGCACTGGGACTCCTTCAACCTTGAAACTCTGAAGAAAAAGTGGCTTATTTTCTTTTGTGGCCATATCGGGCAGGCTCGGGGAAAATAGTTCCCAAAATTAAAGTAACTTTCAGGGAAGTCATCTAAGGGTCTCCCTTATTTGGCGCTCCTTAAAGTTCCCTTCTCATTGCAGGACCTTAGGCAAGTAAAGAGAAACTAAGGCTGATCTTTTGATGAACCTGTTAGATACATGGAAGCTTTCCAAAATTTAACTCAGGTATTTGATCTCACATGGAGGGAAGGTTATGTTGCTGCAAAGTCAAACCCTCATTTTAGCTAAAATAGGCAGTTCCGCAAGCAGAAGAAAATTTTGGAGATAAGCAATATGTCTCCTATAGTAGGCCAGAAGGGAAAAGAGAAAATAGGGAAGGCAAAGAAATAGGGGAAACACCATTCCCAACAGGAAGAGAGGTATTACCTCTTAACCCTTAGTAGAACTCCTTTCTATGGTGTTTTTCCTTCTCTTGTGGTTTAAAATTGCATCTTTTCTTTGTGTACTTTCAACTTGGGAAAAGTTAATTCTCCAAACCTTAAAATGTTTGGCTTAAAGTTGAACTAAGGGGAAGGGAACCCAGAAGCCTAATATGCTGGCAGCAAAAGGGTAAAAATTTCTTACTACTCAGCTGGATTTTGGATTCTCTCCCTGCACATACCAGTAAAAGTGATAATAAGGATCACTGTTTATGTTTTCTGTAAATGTATAATTAATGATAAAGGATTTATAAGGTTGGTCTTAAGCTGTAGACAATCTGGTGTGCTTTGCATGTCTTTCTGCATGGTCCTGTCAAAGAAAGGGTATCTTAGTCAGGGTGCAGGCCCATGCCAGAGATGGTGAATTCTTCTTCAATGGGTTTAATTGTGTGATGTCCTTGTCCTTGGTTCAGAGGCCCCACCTCCTTGTACTATGTTTCTAGCCTGCAAGCAGCCCTCCCACTCTTGTTATGCTCTGAACTTGCCCAGACATGTCCAAACATGCCTTGTGCTGTAGCAGAGGGACCACTCCCACCCCCTCCCTCCCTTATGAATTGCACATTTACCTTTTTTGGAAAAGTTTAAGTCTTAGCCAACTGGGATGACTTTAGATTGTGCAGTCCAACCCTAGCTAATAGGGGAAGGACACAGGGATAGGGACTGCATTAGGGATAAAAACTCCTCTCCTTTGTTCAGTGTGCTCTTGCAATCATGGCTGAGACAAGCAGCACCCTTCTGCAGAAGTAAATTGCCTTGCTGAGAAAACCTTTTGCCTGAGTGCTAGTTTCACTTTGCGACACTGAGCATTTGTTTCTAACAAATCTAGGGGCTTTTGTGGGATTCCCATTCTCCTCCAGGGAAAGGGTCTCTGGTCACCTCTCATGAGGAGATGCATGCCACTGCCTCATTGTGGTGGCCTCAGGGTGAGGAATCGGGACCTACCTGGTGTGACGAATAAACCTGGACTCTCAGCTAGGAAGAAACTGCATCAACTAACGAGCAAAATAATCAGCTAACATCATGAAAGGGTCAAATTCACACATAACAATATTAACCTTAAATGTAAATGGGCTAAATGCTCCAATTAAAAGACACAGACTGGCAAATTGGATAAAGAGTCAAGACCCATCAGTGTGCTGTATTCAGGAAACCCATCTTGTGCAGAGACGCACATAGGCTCAAACTAAAGGGATGGAGGAAGATCTACCAAGGAAATGGAAAACAAAAAATGGCAGGGGTTGCAATCCTAGTCTCTGATAAAACAGACTTTAAACAAAGATCAAAAGAGATGAAGAAGGTCATTACATAATGGTAAAGAGATCAATTCAACAAGAAGAACTAACTATCCTAAATATATATGCACCCAATACAGGAGCACCCAGATTCATAAAGCAAGTCCTTAGTGACCTACAAGAGACTTAGACTCCCACACAATAATAATGGGAGATTTTAACACCCCACTGTCAACATTAGACAGATCAACGAGACAGAAAGTTAAAAAGGATATACAGGAATTGAACTCAGCTCTGCACCCAGCAGACCTAATAGACATCTACAGAACTCCCACCCCAAATCAACAGAATATACATTCTTTTCAGCACCACACCACACCTATTCCAAAATTGACCACATAGTTGGAAGTAAAGCATTCCTCAGCAAGTGTAAAAGAACAGAAATTATAACAAACTGTCTCTCAGACCACAGTGCAATCAAACTAGAACTCAGGATTTAGAAACTCACTCAAAACTGCTCAACTACCTGGAAACTGAACAACCTGCTCCTGAGTGACTACTGGGTACATAACAAAATGAAGGCAGTAATAAAGATGTTCTTTGAAACCAACGAGAACAAAGACACAACATACCAGAATCTCTGGGACACATTTAAAGCAATGTGTAGAGGCAAATTTATAGCGCTAAATGCCCACAAGAGAAAGCAGGAAAGATCTAAAATTGACACCCTAACATCACAATTAAAAGAACTAGAGAAGCAAGAGCAAACACATTCAAAAGCTAGCAGAAGGCAAGAAATAACTAAAATCAGAACAGAACTGAAGGAAATAGAGACACAAAAAACCCTTCAAAAAATCAATGAATCCAGGAGCTGGTTTTTCGAAAAGATCAACAAAATTGATAGACCGCTAGCAAGACTAATAAAGAAGAAAACAGAGAAGAATCAAATAGACACAATAAAAAATGATAAAGGGGATATCACCACTGATCCCACAGAAATACAAACTACCATCAGAGAATACTATAAACACCTCTACGCAAATAAACTAGAAAATCTAGAAGAAATGGATAAATTCCTCGACACCTACACTCTCCCAAGACTAAACCACGAAGAAGTTGAATCTCTGAATAGATCAATAACAGGCTCTGAAATTGAAGCAATAATTAATAGCTTACCAACCAAAAAAAGTCCAGGACCAGATGGATTCACAGCCAAATTCTACCAGAATTACAAGGAGGAGCTGATTCCATTCCTTCTGAAACTATTCCAATCAATAGAGAAAGAGGGAATCCTCCCTAACTCATTTTATGAGGCCAGCATCATCCTGATACCAAAGCCTGGCAGAAACACGACAAAAAGAGAGAATTTTAGACCAATATCCTTGAGGAACATTGATGCAAAAATCCTCAACAAAATACTGGCAAACCGAATCCAGCAACACATAAAAAGCGTATCCACCATGATCAAGTGGGATTCATCCCTGGGATGCAAGGCTGATTCAACATATGCAAATGAATAAACATAATCCAGCATATAAACAGAACCAAAGACAAAAACCACATGATTATCTCAACAGATGCAGAAAAGGCCTTTGACAAAATTCAACAACCTTCATGCTAAAAACTCTCAATAAATTAGGTGTTGATGGGACGTATCTCAAAATAATAAGAGCTATCTATGACAAACCCACAGCCAGTATCATACTGAATGGGCAAAAACTGGAAGCATTCCCTTTGAAAACGGGCAAAAGACAGGGATGCCCTCTCTCACCACTCCTATTCAACATAGTGTTGGAAGTTCTGGCCAGGGCAATCAGGCAGGAGAAGGAAGTAAAGGGCATTCAGTTAGGAAAAGAGGAAGTCAAATTGTCCCTGTTTGCAGATGACACGATTGTATATCTAGAAAACCCCATTGTCTCAGCCCAAAATCTCAAGCTGATAAGCAACTTCAGCAAAGTCTCAGGATACAAAATCAATGTGCAAAAATCACAAGCATTCTTATACACCAATAACAGACAAACAGAGAGCCAAATCGTGAGTGAACCCCCATTCATAATTGCTTCAAAGAGAATAAAATACCTAGGAATCCAACTTACAAGGGATGTGAAGGACCTCTTCAAGGAGAACTACAACCACGGCTCAATGAAATAAAAAAGGAAACAAATAGAACATTCCATGCTCATTGATATGAAGAATCAATATCATGAAAATGTCCACATTGCCCAAGGTAATTTATATATTCAATGCCATCCCCATCAACCTACCAATGACTTTCTTCTCAGAATTGGAAAAAACTACTATAAGTTCATATGGAACCAAAAAAGAGCCCGCATTGCCAAGTCAATCCTAAACCAAAAGAACAAAGCTGGAGGCATCACACTACCTGACTTCTAACTACACTACAAGGCTACAGTAACCAAAACAGCAGGGTACTGGTACCAAAACAGAGATATAGACCAATGGAACAGAACAGAGCCCTCAGAAATAATGCCACATATCTACAACTATCTGATCTTTGACAAATCTGACAAAAACAAGCAATGGGAAAAGGATTCACTATTTAATAAACAGTGCTGGGAAAACTGGCTAGCCATATGTAGAAAGCTGAAACTGGATCACTTCCTTACATCTTATACAAAAATTAATTCAAGATGGATTAAAGATTTACATGCTACACGTAAAACCATAAAAACCCTAGAAGAAAACCTAGGCAATACCATTCAGGACATAGGCATGGGCAAGGACTTCAAGTCTAAAACACTAAGAACAATGGCAACAAAAGCCAAAATTGACAAATGGGATCTAATTAAACTAAAGAGCTTCTGCACAGCAAAAGAAACCACCATCAGAGTAAACAGACAACCTACAGAATGGGAGAACATTTTTGCAACCTACTCATCTGACAAATGGCTAATATCCTGAATCTACAATGAACTCAAATTTACAAGAAAAAAACAAACAACCCCATCAAAAAGTGGGCAAAGGATATGAACAGATACTTCTCAAAAGAAAACATTTATGCAGGCAAAAAACACACGAAAAAATGTTCATCATCCCTGGCCATCAGAGAAATGCAAATCAAAGCCACAATAAGATACCATCTCACACCAGTTGCAATGGCGATCATTAAAAAGTCAGGAAACAACAGGTGCTGGAGAGGATATGGAGAAATAGGAACACTTTTACACTGTTGGTGGGACTGTAAACTAGTTCAACCATTGTGGAAGTCATTGTGGCGATTCCTCAGGGATCTAGAACTAGAGATACTGTTTGACCCAGCCATCCATTACTGGATATATACCCAAAGGATTATAAATCATGCTGCTATAAAGACACATGCACATGTATGTTTATTACATCACTATTCACAATAGCAAAGACTTGGAACCAACCCAAATGTCCAACAATGATAGACTGGATTAAGAAAATGTGGCACATATACACCATGGAATACTATGCAGCCATAAAGAAAGGATGAGTTCATGTCCTTTATAGGGACATGGAAGAAGCTGGAAACCATCATTCTCAGCAAACTATCTCAAGGACAAAAAACCAAACACCACATGTTCTCACTTATAGGTGGGAATTGAACAATGAGAACACATGGACACAGGAAGGGGAACATCACACACCGGGGACTGTTGTGGGGTGGGGGGAGGGGAAGGGGGAGGGATAGCCTTAGGAGATATACCTAATGCTAAATGATGAGTTAATGGGTGCAGCACACCAACATGGCACATGTATACATAAGTAACAAACCTGCATGTTGTGCACATGTACCCTAAAACTTAAAGTAAAATAATAATAATAAAGAAAAAAAGAAAGAAAGCAGAATAGGCCTAAAACCTATAATTGAAAGCCTCATCAAGGATGGGTTCCTTGAACCCTGTATGTCCCCTTATAATACCGCAATACTGCCTGTGAAGAAATCAGATGGCTCATATCAAGTGGTGCAAGACCTCCAGGACATCAACCAGATAGTCCAGGCTACCCACCCTGTTGTTCCTAATGCTTACACCATTCTCAGTAAAATTCCATATGAACATCAGTGGTTCACAGATTTGAAGGATGCCTTTTGGTTACGCCCCTTGCCCAAGGACAGCTGAGACATTTTTGCTTTCAAATGGGAAGATCCCCATTCTGGATGAAAGCAACAGTATTGGTTGACAGTTCGACCTGAAGGGTTCAGATTCCCCTAACCTCTTTGGTCAAATTCTAGAATAAGTGTTACAACAAGTTTCTACCCCAAAATGTATATGCCTGCTCCAGTACATGGATGACTTCTAGTATCTGGTAAGGCTGTAGAGGTGGTAACTGCCTTCTCCATCCATCTCTTTAACCATTTGCAAGGAGGGGGTATGGGTTTCAAAGGGAAAGCTTCAATTCATAAAGCCTGAAGTTAAATACCTGGGACACTTAATAATCAAGGGCAAATGAAGGGTAGGGCCTGAACGAGTTGAAGGGATTGTGTCCTTACTTTTGTCTAAAACTAAACAAGAACTCAGGAAAAATCCTAGGATTAGTTGGATATTGCCACTTATGGATTGACTCATATGCCCTAAAAACAAAAACTTTATACCTAAAACTTATCCAGGAAAAGTCTGACCGTCTCCTGTGGATTTCTGAAGAAATCCACCAGGTTGAGGAACTAAAACATCTGCTCATAACTGCCCCTGTTTTAGCTCTGCCTTCCCTAGAGAAGCCATTTCACTTTTTTGTTAGCATAGATAGGGAGGTAGCTTTAGGGGTACTTAACCAAGAAGATAGGGTCACCAGAAACTCATAGTTTTCCTATTGAGAGTTTTAGATCCAGTAGCCTGTGGATGGCCTGAATGTATTCAATCCATCACAGCTACCACCTTGTTAACTAAAGTAAGCAGAAAGCTTGCCTTTGGGGGAAACTTAGTTGTAAGCATGCCCCATCAGGTTAGAACTATCTTGAATCAGAAGGCAGGAAGATGGCTCACTGACCAAGAATTTTAAAGTATGAAGCTATCCTGTTAGAAAGACACGATTTAACCCTAACAACTGATAATTCATTTAACCCAGCAAGTTTCCTGACTGGGAATCAAATCTAAAGAGACCTGAGCATGAATGTTTAGATTTAATTATCATACAAAAGTTAGGCCTGATTTAAGAGAGACCCCTTTCAAAATGGGGCAGCACTTATAGATGGCTCTTCCTGAGTAATTGAAGAAAAGAGACATAATGGGTACCCAGTAGTCATGGGGAAGCCCTTGAAATAGTCAGAAAGACTGCCCATTAATTGGTCTGCCCAAACATGTGAATTGTTTGCATTAAATCAAGCCTTAAGGCACTTGCAGAACAAGAAGAGACTATTTACACTGATTCCAAGTACGCCTTCGGGGTAGCTCACACCTTTGGAAAAATTTGGACTGAATGAGGTCTTATTAACAAAGGCCAAGACCTGGTCCACAAAGAATTAATCACTCAGGTATTAGATAACTTCCAGTTACCAGAAGAAATAGCTATTGTCCATGTTCCAAGACATCAGAAAGGTATCGCTTTTGAAGGCCAAGGGAATAACCTTGCATATCAAATAGCCAAACAAACTGCCACTTCCTCTGAAATGCCTGTTTTTCACTTAGCCCCTTGTCTTCCTCCCCCAACTGCAATCCCCATTTCTTCTCCCGCTGAAAAAGATAAAAATAGGGAACAAAGAAAATTCATAAGGGAAATGGGTGTTACCAGATCAAAGAGAAATGTTATCCAAACTCCTCATGAGAGAAGTTCTCTCTCGTCTGCATTAAGGGACTCATTTGGGGACCTCAAGCTACATATGTTGCAGGCCTCCGGGTTTATAGGAATGTATAAGAATTTATACTTTAGCAAGACAGGTTACAGATAGTTGCCTAGTATGTAAGAAAATTAATAAGCAGACCCTCAGAAAACCACCTCTTGGGAGAAATCCAGGATTAAGACCATTCCAAAGTGTCCAAGTTGATTACACCAAAATGCCCCCAATCGGTCACTTAAAATATTAGTGATAGTAGATCACCTTACTCATTGGGTAGAAGCTATTCACCCTTTTCAAGTCCAACTGCTAACAATGCAGTCAAGACATTTGTTGAAAATACTATACCCAGGTTCAGATTAATAGAAAATGTTGATTCAGATAATAGGACTCATTTCACTACAAATGTCATTAAGAAACTAGCCCAAGTACTGGATATAACATGGGACTACCATATCCCCTGGCACCCACCTTCATCAGGAAGAGAAGAATGAACTAGACTCTGAAGAAACACCTAACCAAATTAGTCCTAGAGATTCAATTACCGTGGATTAAATGCCTTTCCATTGTCTTGTTGAGAATCTGAACTGCCCCTCCAAAAGATGTTGGCTTACCCCTTATGAAATGCTGTTTGGGTTGCTTTGTTTACACTCCACTGCTG
Organism: Homo sapiens; assembly: GCF_000001405.40. Classification (NCBI taxonomy): domain Eukaryota; kingdom Metazoa; phylum Chordata; class Mammalia; order Primates; family Hominidae; genus Homo; species Homo sapiens. The sequence goes on along the minus strand of NC_000004.12, from coordinate 77,335,465 downwards.
ACATTCCTACATTTGAAACAAAAGATCTATTCCCCAAAAACTATATACTTGGTCCATCCTCCACTTTCTCTTCCCTTAGAACCAAAGGCCTCCTAGCACAGAGGCCACCCCTCGAATTTCCAGTTCACCACCACCAGCCTGGAGACAACGTCCTCATCAAGGGTTGGAAAGAAGGGAAGCTCGAGCCCACCTGGGAGGGATCCTATCTAGTGCTTCTAAGGACCAAGAACAGCTGTCTGCACCACCAAAAAGGGATGGCTCATCACACTCAGGTCAAAGGAAGACCACCTCCTCCACAATCATGGACAGCTATTCCAGGGCCAGCTCCAACCAAGTTAAAGCTAAAACAGGTTTGATCCTCTTATGTTTTATTTCTTTTTCCCTTCTATTGCTAGTCACACTTTAGTATCAATGTAACCAGATCTAGCTCTCCTCAAACCATTACCTTTGATGCTTGTCTTGTCATGCCCTGTGGACATCTCCAAAGCCAAAGAAAGCTTGCCTCTTCAGAAAGGTACCCTTGCCATTCCAGGATAAATAAGACTGCCTACAAAACTGACTCTTGCACCAAGCAAGCACAAAGCAGTTATTGGAAGTTCTGTCCTAGTTGGGAAGATTTGGTCTGGACCACCAAGTATCAAGGCTGGACCTCCCCGGGAGGAGATTGCACTGACCTAAAGCCTTACATCCACTTTACCAGAGAGAGAGAACTCCCTCCAATTTTCAACTCCAACAATGTAACCCTGTGCAAATCTCTGTCACTGTCCCCAAGTCTACCGACACTAACCCCATTCTAGATCTCTATGGCCTAGGAGCTGATGCTCCTGGAATAGACCCTACAGGATCCTTTGAGATGTGCTTCATTACTCCTTCACCTCTCTCTCCTTCTAAATCCTAATCAAATGGCTGTTCTTCCCATACCCCATGATGAAACCATAGTAGACATTGTAGAAGTAAAAGATCTAAGACAAACCCTGCAATTGAAACAGGATACCGAGATGCAAATATCTGCTGGGAATGGATTAAATATTCTGTTCGCACACTAAACAAAAGCAACTGTTACACTTGTGCAGCAGGTAGGCCAGAGGCCCAAATAGTACCCTTCCCACTTGGAGGGTCTTCTGACCAATCAGGTATAAGCTGCATGGTGAGTCTCTTTCAAAACCCCACAGCCTGGGACAATGAGGCATGGAAGACTCTCTCACTGCTGTTCTCTGAAGTTAAAGGCCCCACAGCTCAGCCCCCATGGGCCATCCAGCCTCCAGCTCCTAATGTTGATTTTACCTCATGTCTCTCATGGCAAAGGGAAGGATTAATGTCCCTCAGAAACCTAAAAGGGTGTAGTGAAATCAAGCCTTTCCAAGAGCTTACCAGTCAAGCTGCCTTTGTCTATTCTCAAGCAGATGTATGGTGGTACTGTGGTGGACTACAATTGGGTACTCTGCCTAGTAACTGGAGTGGCACTTGCACTCTAGTCTGATTGGCCATCCCTTTCACTCTGGCATTCCATCAACGTAACAGGAAAGGATGTTGGGGAAAAAAGGGTTGCTCCTCACAGGTCTTTTGACCCTCACATTTATATAGATGCTATTGGAATCCCACGAGGGGTACCAGATTAATTTAAAGCCTGAAACCAAATAGCTACAGGATTCAAATCAGCACTGTCCTGGTGGTCAACTATAAACAAAAATGTAGATTGGATAAATTACATTTACTATAATCAACAGCAGCTTGTCAATTACACAAGAGATGCCATTAAAGGGGTCACTGAACAATTAGGCCCCACCAGCTGGATGGCCTGGGAGAATATGATAGCCCTTGACATGTTAGCAGAAAATGGCAGAGTCTGTGTTATTATTGGAGTCCAATTCTGTACTTTCATCCCTAGTTAGCCAAAAATTCCGGAATAACCCCTTCACAAGTCTCATGGAAAAGTGGTTTGGTAAATGGAAAGGGCTTTTGACTTCAATATTAACCTCTCTTGCAACTGTTACAGGTGCACTCATTGTATGATGCTGCATCATACCCCGTATCCATGGGTTAATGCAAAGACTTATTATAGAAACAGTTCTCACAAAAACCACCCCTACCTCTCCTCCTCCATACTCAGATAGGATTTTGTTCCTAGGTGAACAAGTTGAACAACAGAGCTGAATTATGTTAGAAAAATTTGCAGAGGAAAAAGTATCAAAAGACAAAGGGGGAAATTGCCAGAGATGGTGAATTCCTCTTCTAAGGGTTTAATTGTGTAATGTCCTTGTCCTTGACTCAGAGGCCCTACCTCCTTGTACTTTGTTTCTAGCCTGTGAGCAGCCCTCCCACTCTTGTGTCCTGACTTGCCTAGACATGTCTGAACATGCCTTGCACTGCAGCAAAGGGACGACTCCCACACCTTCCCTCCCTTACAAATCATGCATTTACCCTATTTGGACAAGTTTAAGTCTTAGCCAATCAGCATCAGGTTACATTGTGCAGTCCAACCCTAGCCAATAGGGGAAGGACACAGGGATAGAGACTGTGTTAGGGATAAAAACTCTTCTTTGTTCAGTGTGCTCTTGTGATCTGGCTGATGCAGGCAGCACCCTTCTGCAGAAGTAAATTGCCTTGCTGAGAAAACTTTTTGCCTGAGTGCTGGTTTCACTTTGCAACCCCGAGCATTTGTTTCTAAAAAATCTGGGGGCTTGTCAGATTCCTATTCTCCTCAAGGGAAAGGGTTTCTGACATCCAGAATCCCATAAAGCCTGCTGTTGAAGCCAGCCCAACAAAATTATCAGTAATAAACTTGGCTAAGGCCTCCATCTTGTTTCATGGCCTTGGGAACATGACCTGTAACTGTGTGGCAATACTTTTAGTCTCTGCCATTTTACAATGGTGGCTATCTTCTTGTGCTAAATCATATAAGCCAGTTTGTCAATCTGGGTGGTGCCAGCTGGTCCATCAAAGGCAGAGTTTACAAAATCTTAAGCACTGATCTTAAGAGCTATTTAGCAAGGGCCAAAGTCTTGTAGCCTCCAGCTGCATGGCTCCTGGGCCATAGTTTCTAATCTTGTGGCTATTTACTGGGTCTGGTCCCCAGGCAAGAGGAAGTATATCTTGGGAAGCAGTTGTTATCTTTGTTTTAAACTATAGACTGTAAACCAGGCTCCTCCCAAAGTTGGTTCAGCCTACTCCCAGGGATGGGCAAGGACAGCTTGGGGGCTGGAAACAAAATGAAGTTGTTTGGGTCAGGTCTCTTTCACTGTCTCAGTCACAATTTTGAAATAATAGTTTCAAAAGCTGCCTATCACCCCTTTAAAAATACCTTGTACACTTGCCATTAAGTAATAATCTAATTAAATCTCATCGGTTTCACCTGTAAGATTACTTTTTGTAAAGTTCAAAAGCCAAAAATCTTAACTGCTTGGTATGGCTAAAGTCAAGTAACAAGGGATTTAAAAGGATTTTCTTAAAGAGTGTTCAGCTTAATTAAGGGTGTATATTCAAGTTATAGGTATATTTAAAAGGCTTTTATGTTTTTCTCTTCTTGGATCTTGTTTTTCTGGAGAAAGGCTCTTTTCTTCTCAGTCAACGGAATTATTTTTCTCCATTTTTTGTCTTACACCACTCTTAATCATGCATGAGAGGTCCTAAAATAACTTCTGGTAGCATAGAGCTCCTTGGGAAAACAGGAGGTGCCACATACCACATTTTGAAAAAAAAAAAAAAAAACTATTTTATTCATGAAACCCCAAGAATTAAAAGCAATTGTGTCAACAGGACACAATTGGAAAAACTGGTTATTTTACCAAGGCTTTGACTGAAAGGGTGTGTTTCCTTTAAGGAATCAAGCTTGACACGCAAAACCAATAAAAGCCCCTTGGGGGAGAACTGACTTAATATCTTATGTACTACGCAGTCCCCGCACAGGATTCGTAACCTGTGGTCAGTAAAGAATGTCACTTTCTAACAGGTCTGGAAACTCTGAGTTTATCTTAGGACCTCAAGATGAGAGACTCACCCAACTCACAGGTATTGGAGGATACAAACCCATGGCTGGGCTCAGCCTTAAAGTCTTATCTGAAATTAGAAATAACCATTCTTGCTGTACTTTATGCAAACAATCAGGCCAAGTATAAGACTAAAGTTTATTCTATAAACAACACACACAGCCCTATACTTTGTTTTTCCCAAAAATGAGGACTGGACAGAAACTGTGCTGCAAAGCTTATCATACATTTGTCATTAAATCCTAGTCTGTTTTTAAGCTTTTTGCCAAAATTTTAGACTAACTCTGCTTATTCCTGTAAATCAAGTGTTGATCTTCTGCAGCTTGGAAAAAAGAAAAAGGGATGGGTAATGTAAAAATCTGAATCAATATACTGGTTCTGGGCAATTATCCTGCAAATTCTGCAGGTAATAAAAGTGAGTAGGATGCCCATAAATTGAAGTTCCTTTGTTTGGGAAAATAAAACTAAGGAACTTCATAAACCCCCAAAGGGAAATTGTATATCTTGGCAAATAAAATTTTAGATGGAAATTACTACACCACATTTGTAGAAATTGCTATGCTCACTCTACTATTTGCAATAGGGTTATACAGAGTAGCAGCTTCTAATTGAAATATTGGACAGTTTCCATTGCTGTCATATTTTGCTTAATTATCCTTATTAGCAGGAATAATGGTTACTAACAAAAAAAGCATAAGAGTTTTACTGTCGCTGAGTATGCTAAGACTTTTTATTGAGTTCAGTAATGCACTTTTAAATGAAACATACCCCTTCTGGATTAACACCTCTACTTAAATAGAGGAAAACCTGCAAGTACTTAAAAATCAAATCAGAATTAACAGGCTCAGGGAAAATGCCAGCTTCAGCCCTGAGTAGCTACAATCCCTCTTTAATAAATTAAAGTCTTCTTTATGGAATTGGTTAACCCCCTTATTAAGCCCTCTCTTGCTTATATGGCTTATGTTGACATTTGGACCCTGTGTACTCAATACTATAACTTGAATTGTTTCTTCTTGCCTAAAAGCAATCAAACTCCAAATGGTGCTGCAAACAATGTGTGAACCACACATTGACACATCATTCTTCTGAGGACCCTTAGGTCAACCCCAGGTTGAGCCGTAGCTGCTGTTCCCCATTTGATGCCCCTTTTTAACAGGAAGTAGCCAGAAAGAGTCATCGCCCAAAACCCCCTAACAGCAGTTAGTGTGATATTGCCACAGGGAGGAATGTGGTAGGAGTTAAGAAATTATTTTAGGCAGGTAGAAAGGAAAGGGGTCCTTGAGAAGTTTTCAATTTTTAAAGCATCTCCGCTAAAGTTTCTTTTAAAGCCCCAGCTCGTACAGCCAGGCAGGCAACCTTTGATATGCAAATGTCAGCTGTTAAAAACTGGGTCCACCCAAACATGGCAATTCCCGTGGCCTTCTTGACCTTTCCCCATATGTTCCTGGCAACCTGGCTGCCCCCACATATCCCTATGTATGTAGAACATCATGGCACCCTGGATTTGCGTATTAAAAAGTTAGGGTAGGAGGGCCCTGAGCCCTATGCAAATCAGATGCCACCTTCTCCAGCCTCTGCATATACACCTGGCTGGTGTCCACTGCACTTGGGGTTTCATCTCTTGGCTTTGGAGCCCCCCTCCCTGTCTCTGTACAGGGGAGTGTCTTTCTTCCCCCTTCTTTCTTGCCTATTAAACTCCCTGCTCCTTAAAACAAAACAAAAAGACTTCTTACTTTTGCTAGCTTTATCTACAATAGCAATGTATGTCTTACATACAGTAATAGAATTCTAAGACTTCTATAAACTCCCAAACCAGTCATTTGTGTTATGCTACTTTTAGATGGAGTCTTGCTTTGTCGCCCAAGCTGGAGCACAGTAACATGATCTCAGCTCACTCCAACCTCCGTCTCCCGGGTTCAGGTGACTCTTGCCTCAGCGTCCTGTGTAGCTGGGATTACAGGCATGCACCACCATGTCTGGTTGATTTTTAGTAGAGACGGGATTTCACTATGTTGGCTAAGGTGATCTCAAACTCCTGACTTCAAGTGATCTGCTCATCTCTGCCTCCCAAAGTGCTGGGATTACAGGCATGAGCCACCATGCCCAGCTACATTACCTTATTTGGATAATTGCTTACCCAAGGCTTAACTTGCATATACTATAGAATTACAAAAGCTGGCCGTCTAAGTCTTTTGGACTTGAGGCAGATGCCTAAAAAGTCTAACTTCAAGGAACTGTGACTGAGCTTGGTTAAACAAAGCAGCTGATTAACTGAAGGGTTCAATCTGGGCAGGTGCAAGCAAGATTGACTACTGTAGAAGTTGCTGGGCCAGTGTGCTGTATTCCTCATGTTGTGACAGTGCTCAGACAGGGAAACCTCCAATTATACCAAATATTTTTGTACTGACATGTGGGCTACTGCCAATAGACTAGATATTTGTTTTGGCAAATAAGGCAAACAGAGGACCTTACCGTTCTCTATCACACATCAACTAGAAAGATTCTACCTTGGGAAAGGAGGTCAACACCTGTGCTCAGATTCTGCCTTGGGAGAACTCCAATTTAGGTAGCTCCGTATGTACTGAATAGAAGTATCTAAGATACACTGAAAAGATTTTTGTTTTTGAAGTGGTAAGGTACATAGTAGGGTTCATACTGATTACACTTTGAGGGAAATTAAGTATAAGCATAGTCTCCGGAAAGAATCAAGAGCAAGGATTTTCTTTAGAAAGGAAGATTGGAGTGCTAGCAGGAAGTGTAGGGAAGTTACTAAAAGGAATGCAATAAAAGTTAGCAGTTCCAGGCAAGCTGGTGAACAAAATTTTGTTGCCGACTGGAGTTCTTATGTTCACAGAATATAAGGAGTAAAATGCAGGCATGTGTATTGATATGGTTTGGCTGTGTTCTCACATATATCTCATCCTGAATTGTAACTCCCACAACTCCCATGCATCATGGGAGGAACCCAGCAGGAGGTGATTGAATTATGGAGGCAGGTCTTTCCTGCACTGTTCTTGTGATAGTGAATGAATCTCATGAGACTTGGTTTCAAGAAGGGGAGTTTATCTGCACAGCCTCTCTTCTCTTGTCTGTTGCCATGTGAGATGTGCCTTTTACCTTCTGCCATGATTGTGAAACCTCCCCAGCCACGTGGGACAGTGAGTCAAATATACCTCTTTCTCTTGTAAATTGCTCAGTCTCAGGTATATCTCTATCAACAGCATGAAAACGGACCAATACACTAAATTGGTACCAGTAGAGTGGGGTGTTGCTGAAAACATACCTGAAAATATGGAAGCAATTTTGGACCTGAGAACAGACAGACGTTGGTACAGTCTGGGGGGCTCAGAAGACAAGAAAATGGGAAAGTTTGGAACTTCCTGGAGACCTATTGAATGGCATTGACAAAAAAGCTGACAGTTATATAAACAATAAGGTCCAGGCTGAGGTGGTCTCAGATGGAGATGAGGAACTTGTTGGGAGCTGGAGCAAAAGTGACTCTTGTTATGTTTCAGCAAAGAGACTGGTGGCATTTTGTCCCTGCCCTAGAGATTTGTGGAACTTTGAACTTGAGAGATGATTTAGGGTATCTGGCAGAAGTTTCTAAGCAGCAAAGCATTCAAGAGGTGACTTGGGTGCTGTTAAAGGAATTCAGTTTTACAAGGGAAGGAGAGCATGAAAGTTCAGAAAATTTGCAGTCAGGCAATATGAAAGAAGAGAAAGTCCCATTTGGTCTGGTTCTAAGATGGCCGAATAGGAACAGCTCCAGTCTATAGCTCCCAGCGTGAACACAGAAGACTGGTGATTTCTCTATTTCCAACTGAGGTACCGGGTTCATCTCACTGGGGCTTGTCAGACAGTGGGTGCAGTCCACGGAGTGTGAGCCAAAGCAGGGTGGGGCATCACCTCACCTGGGAAGTGCAAGGGGTTGGGGAATTCCCTTTCCTAGAAGACGGAAGCTGTGACAGATGGTACTTGGAAAATTGGGACACTCCCACCCTACTACTGAGCTTTTCCAATGGTCTTAGCAAAAGGCACACCAGGAGACTATATCAGACGCCTGGCTTGGAGGGCCCCACGTTCATGGAGCCTCGCTCACCGCTAGCACAGCTGTCTGAGATTGAACTACAAGGCAGCAATGAGGCTGGGGGAGGGGAGTCCGCCATTGCTGAGGGTTGAGTAGGTAAACAAAGTGGCCAGGAAGCTCAAACTGGGTGGAGCCAACCACAGCTCAAGGAGGCCTGCCTGCCTCTGAAGTCTCCAACTTTGGGGGCAGGACATAGATGAACAAAAGGCAGCAGAAGCTTCTGCAGACTTAAATGTCCCTGTCTGACAGCTTTGAAGAGAGTAGTGGTTCTCCCAGCATGGAGTTTGAGATCTGACAATGGACAGCCTGCCTCCTCAAGTGGGTCCCTGATCCCCAAGTAGCCTAACTGGGAGACACCTCCCAGTAGGGGCCCACTGACACCTCACACCATCGGATGCCCCTCTGAGACAAAGCTTTCAGAGGAAGGATCAGGCAGCAACATTTGCCATTCCGCAATAGTTGCTGTTCTGCAGCCTCCGCAGCCTCCCAGGCAAACAGGGTCTGGAGGGGACCTCCGGCAAACTCCAACAGACCTGCAGCTGAGGGTCCTGACTGTTAGAAGGAAAACTAACAAACAGAAAGGATATCAACACCAAAACCCTATCTGTATGTCACCATCAAAGACCAAAGGTAGATAAAAACTACAAAGATGAGAAGAAACCAGACCAGAAAAGCTGAAAATTCTAAAAATCAGAGCACCATTTCTCCTCCAAAGGAAGGCAGCTCCTTGCCAGCAATGGAACAAAGCTGGAAGGAGAATGACTTTGATGAATTGAGAGAAGAAGGCTTCAGAAAATCAGTAATAACAAACTTCTCCAAGCTGAAGGGGGATGTTCGAACCCATCACAAAGAAGCTAAAACACTTAAAAAAAGATTAGGTGAATGGCTAACTAGAACAAACAGCATAGAGAAGACCTTAAATGACCTGATGGAGCTGAAAACCATGGCAAGAGAACTACTTGGACGCATGCACAAGCTTCAGTAACCAATTTGATCAAGTGGAAGAAAGGGTATCAGTGATTGAAGATCAAATGAATGAAATTAAGTGAGAAGAGAAGTTTAGAGAAAAAAGAGTAAAAAGAAATGAACAAAGCCTCCAAGAAATATGGGACTATGTGAAAAGACCAAGTCTATGTCTGATTGGTGTATGTGAAAGTGACAGGGAGAATGAACCAAGTTGGAAAACACTCTTCAGGATATTATCCAGGAGAACTTCCCCAACCTAGCAAGGCATGCCAACATTCAAATTAAGGAAATGCAGAGAACACCCACGAAGATACTCCTTGAAAAGAGCAACACCAAGACACATAATTGTCAGATTCACCAAAGTTAAAATGAAGGAAAAATATTAAGGGCAGCCAGAGAGGAAGGTCAGATTACCCACAAAGGGAAGCCCATCAGACTAACAGCCAATCTCTCGGCAGAAATTCTACAAGCCAGAAGAGAGTGGGGGACAATATTCAACATTCTTAAAGAAAAGAATTTACAATCCAGAATTTCATATCCAGCCAAACTAAACTTCATAAGTGAAGGAGAAATAAAATCCTTTACAGACAAGCAAATGCTGAGAGATTCTCTCACCAGCAGAACTACCTTACAAGAGCTCCTGAAGGAAGGACTAAACATGGAAAGGAACAACCAGTACCAGCCACTGCAAAAACATGCCAAATTGAAAAGACCATCAATGCTAGGAAGAAACTGCATCAAGTAATGGGCAAAATAACTAGCTAATATCATAATGACAGGATCAAATTCACACATAACAATATTAACCTTAAATGTAAATGGGCTAAATGCTCCAACTAAAAGTCACAGTCTGGCAGATTGGATAAAGAGTCAAGACCCATCAGTGTGCCATATTCAGGAAACCCATCTCATGTGCAGAGACACACATAGTCTCAAAATAAAGGGATGGAGGAGGAGCTACCAAGCAAATGGAAAACAAAAATAGCAGGGGTTGTAATCCCAGTCTGTGATAAAGGACTTTAAACCAACAAAGAGCAAAAGAGACAAAGAAGAACATTACATAATGGTAAAGGGATCAATTCAACAAGAAGAGCTAACTATTCTAAATACATATGTACCAAATACAGGAGCACCCAGATTCATAAAGCAAGTCCTGAGAGACCACAAAGACACTTAGACTCCCACACAATAATAATGGGAGACTTTAACACCGCACTGTCAACATTAGACAGATCAACAAGACAAAGTTAAAAAGGACATCCAGAATTTGAACTCAGCTCTGCACCAAGCAGAACTAATAGACATCTACAGAACTCTCCACCCCAAATCAACAGAATATACATACATTCTTCTCAGCACCACATCGTACTTCTTCCAAAATTGATCACATAGTTGGAAGTAAAGCATTCCTCAGCAAATGTAAAAGAACAGATATTATAACAAACTGTCTCTCAGACCACAGGGCAATCAAATTAGAACTCAGGATTAAGAAACTCACTCAAAAGCACTCAACTGCATGGAAACTGAAAAACCTGCTCCTGAATGACAACTGGGTACATAACAAAAGGAAGGCAGAAGTAAAGATGTTCTTTGAAGCCTATGAGAACAAAGATACAACACACCAGAATCTCTGGGACACATTTAAAGCAGTGAGTAGAGGGAAATTTATAGCACTAAATGCCCACAAGAGAAAGCAGGAAAGATCTAAAATTGACACCCTAACATCACAATTAAAAGAACTAGAGAAGCAAGAGCAAACACATTCAAAAGCTAGCAGAAGGCAAGAAACAACTAAGATCAGAGCAGAACTGAAGGAGATAGAGACACAAAAAACCCTTCAAAAAAAAGCAATGAATCCAGGAGGTGGTTTTTTGAAAAGATCAACAAAATTGATAGACTGCTGACAAGACTAAGAAAAGGGAAGAATCAAATAGACACAATAAAAAATGTTAAAGGAGATTATTACCACCAATCCCATAGAGATACAAACTTCCAACAATACTGTAAACACCTCTACACAAATGAACTAGAAAATCTAGAAGAAATGGATAAATTCGTGGACACATACACCCTCCGAAGACTAAACCAGGAAGAAGTTGAATCCCTGAATAGAACAATAACAGGCTCTGAAATTGAGGCAATAATTAATAGCCTACCAGGTCCCAAAGTCCAGGACCAGAGGGATTCACAGCCAAATTCTACCAGAGGTACAAGGAGGAGCTGGTACCATTCCTTCTGAAACTATTCCAATCAATATGAAAAGAGGGAATCCTCCCTAACTCATTTTATGAGGCCAGCATCATCCTGATACCAAAGCCTGGCAGAGACACAACAAAAAAAGAATTTTAGACCAATATTCCTGATGAACATTGATGTAAAAATCTTCAATAAAATACCGGCAAACTGAATCCAGCAGCACATCAAAAGTCTTATCCACCATGATCAAGTTGGCTTCATCCCTGGGATGCAAGGCTGGTGCAACATATGCAAATCAATGAACGGAATCCATCATATAAACAGAACCAAAGACAAAAACCACGTCATTATCTCAATAGATGCAGAAAAGGCCTTTGACAACATTTATCAGTGCTTCATGCTAAAAACTCAATAAAGTAGGTATTGAAGGGATGTATCTCAAAATAGTAAGAGCTATTTATGGCAAACCCACAGCCAATATCACACTGAATGGGCAAAAACTGGAAGCATTCCCTTTGAAAACTGGCACAAGACAGGGATGCTCTCTCTCAACACTCCTACTCAACATAGTGTTGGAAGTTCTGGCCAGGGCAATCAGGCAGGAGAAAGAAATAAAACGTATTCAATTAGGAAAAAAGGAAGTCAAATTGTCCCTGTTTGCAGATGACGTGATTGTCTATTTAGAAAACCCCATTGTCTCAGCCCAAAATCTTAAGCTGATAAGCAACTTCAGCAAAGTCTCAGGATATAAAACCAATATGCAAAAATCACAAGCATTCCTATACACCAATAACAGACAGCCAAATCATGAGTGAACTCCCATTCACAATTCCTTCAAAGAGAATAAAATACCTAGGAATCCAACTTACGAGGGATGTGAAGGACCTCTTCAAGAACTACAAACCACTGATCAACAAAATAAAAGAGGAAACAAATAGAAGAACATTCCATGCTCATGGATATGAAAAATTAATATCATTAAAATGACCATACTGTCCAAGATAATTTATAGATTCAATGCCATCCCCATCAAGCTACAAATGACTTCACAGTATTGGAAAAAACTACTTTAAAGTTCATATGGAACCAAAAAAGAGCCTGCATTGCCAAGACAATCCTAAGCCAAAAGAACAAAGCTAGAGGCATCACCCTACCTGACTTCAAACTACTCTACAAGGCTACAGTAATGAAAACAGCATGGTACTGGTACCAAAACAGTGTTATAGACCAATGGAACAGAACAGAGCCCTCAGAAATAACACCACACATCTACAACCATCTGACATTTGACAAACCTAACAAAAACAAGAAATGGGGAAATGATTCCCTATTTAATAAACGGTGCTGGGAAAACTGGCTAGCCATATGTAAAAGCTGAAACTGTATCCCTTCCTTACACCTTATACAAAAATTAATTCAAGATGGATTAAAGACTTAAACGTTAGACCTAAAACCATAAAAACCCTTGAAGAAAACCTAGGCAATACCATTCAGGACATAGGCATAGGCAAGGACTTCGTGTCTAAAACACCAAAAACAATGGCAACAGAAGCCAAAATTGACAAATGGGATCTAGTTAAACTAAAGAGCTTCCGCACAGCAAAAGAAACCACCATCAGAGTGAACAGGCAACCTACAGAATGGGAGAATATTTTTACAATCTACCCATCTGACAAAGGGCTAATATCCAGAATCTACAAGGAACTTAAACTTACCAGAAAAAAAATCAAACAACCCCATCAAAAAGTGGGCAAAGGATATGGACAGACACTTCTCAAAAGACGACATTTATGCAGCCAAAAGACACATGAAAAAATGCTCATCATCACTGGCCATCAGAGAAATGCAAATCAAAACCACAATGAGATACCATCTCACACCAGTTAGAATGAGAATCATTAAAAAGTCAGGAAACAACAGGTGCTGGAGAGGATATGGAGAAATAGGAACACTTTTACACTCTTGGTGGGACTGTAAACTAGTTCAACCATTGTGGAAGACAGTGTGGAGATTCCTCAAGGATCTAGAACTAGAAATACCATTTGACCCAGCCATCCCATTACTGGGTATATACCCAAAGGCTTATAAATCATGCTGTTATAAAGACACATGCACACGTATGTTTATTGAGGCACTATTCACAATAGCAAAGACTTGGAACCAACCCAAATGTCCATCATTGATAGACTGGATTAAGACATTGTGGCATATATATACCATGGAAGACTACGCAGACATAAAAAAGCATGAGTTCATATCCTTTGTAGGGACATGGATGAAGCTGGAAACCATCATTCTGAGCAAACTATCACAAGGACGGAAAACAAACCACCACATGTTCTCACTCATAGGTGGGAATTGAACAATGAGAACTCTTGGACACAGGAAGGGGAACATCACACATTGGGGCCTGTTGTGGGGTGGGGGGAGGTGGGAAAGATAGCGTTCGGAGATATACCTAATGTAAATGATGAGTTAATGGGTGCAGAACACCAACATGGCACATGTATATATATGTAACAAACCTGTACGTTGTGCACATGTACCCTAGAACTTAAAGTGTAATTAAAAAAAAAGAAAAGAAAATCCCATTTTCTGAATAATTCAAGCTGGCTACAGAAATTTTCATAAGTAACAAGGAGAAAAAATTTAATACCCAAGACAATGGGGAATATGTCTCCAGGAAATGTCAGAGGTCTTCACAGCAGGCCCTCCCATCACAGGCCTGGAGGCCTAGGAAGAGAAAATGGTTTCATGGGCCTGGGCCAGGCCCAGGGTCCCTGTGCTGTGTGCAGTATAGGGACTTAGTGCCCTGTGTTCCAGCCACTCCAGCCATGACTAAAAGAGGCCAAGGTACAGCTTGGGCCATGGCTTCAGAGGGAGCAAACAAAACCTTGGCAGCTTCCATATGGTGTTAAGCTTGCAGGTGCACAGAAGTCAAGAATTGAGGTTTGGGAACCTCTGCCTATGTTTCTGAGGATATACGGAAATGCCTGGATGTCCAGGCAGAAGTTTGCTGCAGGGGCAGTTGTCTCATGGAGAAACTCTGCTAAGGTAATACAAAAGGGAAATGTGGGGCTGGAGCAACCTGACAGAGTCCCTACTGGGGCAGCACCCTAGTGGAGCTGTGAGAAGAGGGCCACCATACTCCAGACCCCAGAATGGTAGATCCACTGACAGCTTGCATCATGTGCCTGGAAAACCAGACACTCAATGCCAGCCTGTGAAAGCAGCTGGGAGGGAGGCTGCACTGTTGTTGGAAGTCAGGGACCCCAAACTGAGGGACTGGCTGGAGCCACAGCAGAGGTCATAAATTGTGAAGATTTCATGAACATTTATCACTTCCCTAATAATACTCTTATAATTTCTTACACCTGTCTTACTTTAATCTCTTAATCCTGTTATCTTCATAAGCTGAGGATGTACATCACCTCAGGACCCTGTGATGATTACATTAACTGTACAAATTGATTGTAAAACATGTGTGTTTGAGCAATATGAAATCACTGCACCTTGAAAATGAACAGAATAATGGCAATTTTAGGGAACAAGGGAAGACAACCATAAGGTCTGTCTGCCTGTGGGGTTTGGCAAAAAGAACCATATTTTTCTTCTTGCAGAGAGCCTATAAATGGATGTGCAAAAGTAGGAGAGATATTGCTAAATTCTTTTCCTAGCAAGGAATATAATATTAAGACCCTAGGAAAAGAATTGCATTCCTGGGGGGAGGTCTATAATTGACCACTCTGGGAGTGTCTGTCCTATGCAGTTGAGATAAGGACTGAGACACGCCCTGGTCTCCTGCAGTACCCTCAGGCTTACTGGGATTGGGAAACCCCAGCCCTGGTAAATTTGAGGTCAGACCAGTTCTCTGCTCTCAAACTCCGTTTTCTGTTAAGATGTTTATCAAGACAATACGTGCACTGCTGAACATAGACCCTTATCAGGAGTTTCTGATTTTGCCCTGGTCCTGTTTCCTCAGAAACATGTGATCCTTGCTCTGCCTTTTGCCCTTTGAAACATGTGATCTTTGTGACCTACTCCCTGTCTGTGCAACCCCCTCCCTTTTTGAAAACCCTAATAAAAACTTGCTGGTTTTGCAGCTCAGGTGGGCATCACAGACCTACCGATATGTGATGTCACCCCTGGTGGCCCAGCTGTAAAATTCCTCTCTTTGTACTCTTTCTCAGACCAGATGACACTTGGGGAAAATAGAAAGAACCTATGTTGAAATATTGGAAGCTGCTTCCCTGATATGGTACCCTACAAAGCCACAGGGGTTGAGCTGCCCAAGAGCATGGGCAGAGAGCACCAGGGAACAGTTAGGGGCTAGGACTTAAGCACAGCCTCCTCCTCCTCCCCGGGACTATGCCATCCTGAGCTGATGCTACAGGTCCAGCTGCCTTATAATAGAAGGGGAAAAAGACCTTCTTGCTGGCATGAGCTCTGAAGCAGCCAAAGCCCAAGTAGAATGTCACAATCAAAATGGATTCAGAGTAACAAGAACCTCAGCTTCCAGATGTTCCCAATGCAGTCCCCTCATATGCATACTTCACACCTGCCATGGAAAGAGGGAAGGAGGTACATGGGTTATAGGATCAGTTTTACTCCAGGACACTATAATGGGTTTTGAGCTACCTTCAATGCCAAGGCCAATTGTTCTGAAGAATTCTACAACCAGGAAGAATGAGCAAGACCTCCTTGGATATGTTCTGCACAGACCCTGCCTGCAGTAGATGGGCACTTCATCAGGCCAAGCATCACAACCCTAATCCTCTGCAGGCTGTCCAGCTTCCACCTTCCCCTCAGAGATGGAAAGTCCAACCTGCCCTCCCCAGGTCCCTCCTATTCTGGGGATTGAGTGGTCCCACAGCTGCAACAGCTGCTCCAGTTCCAGCTGGGGTCCCTATTCTGACACCAGCTGCTGATACAGCTCATTCTCCCCATGCCCCACCCCTGTAACACCCTGGAGACTTGTTCCCCACAGGTGGTGCAAGAATCCACAACTGTCCACTCCCTGCCAGTCTGAAGTTACTGTACCTTATAGGAGCCAACAACCTAAATCACTTCAACTCCTGCATTTAGATTATTTTGCCTTGTCAAACATTTACCAGTTTCCCTAGGAGCTGGAAGGATTGAGGACAGCATGGATAGTTTGCCCTCTGATGCCCAGCAAGCCTACAGGACATGTCCCTTACCAGTAGGAGAGGAATTACTTCTGGACCACAAGATTTTAAGTTAGGATTAGCGCTACAACTCACAGGTGGGAATAGTTGAGACTTAAATATACATCTAACCCAGCCCAAGAGCTTTAAGAGTAGTCTCACCTAGTTCTTAGTAAAGTGTGTCTACTAGCCTGGTTAATATGTGCATCACATGACTTCTATGTGACTGTGAGTAGCTAAGCTCCCTGTACTGAGGGGTGAATCCAGATCTCAGGAAGATGGTCTCCAGGGTAGTCCTAAGAGGGACCATCTCAGACAATGGATCCTCAAGGGTGTAGCATCCCTGTCCTTAGCCTGGTAGGATCTCTAGTACTACACCCACTCCTATCCCCCCCTTTTTCCATTTTCAGAAGATAGCACCTATAGTTCTTAGGTGATTCAGGGCCCCACTGTATTTTCATCCAAATACCTTTAACCTGTTGACAGGCTAAAGGTAGAGTCAGGTAATTGCATGTAAAAGGACAGTGGAGAAAGATGCAGGCTCCCATTTTAGTAGTCTCACTTACTGAGGAACTAGAGCATTCATGTTGTCACTAGGCTGACTGTGGTGAAAGAATAAGAACATGGATTTACTTTGATCCATTTTTGACCCATTTTTGACCCATTGAACAAAACATGTCTGAAGATCAGACTGAATCTACTAGCAGCATTTCATTTCTGTTTTACAATTCACCATTTAACATAAGTTTTTGAATGTTTTTATGGACTGAACTTACCTGAAAAATTAGCAACATGGCATAGCAAACATTTGTCTTTGACCACTGCCCCAGTTTAGGGACTGAGGGAAAGAAGCTAGAGGCACCTACGTGAATGTCACATGAGACAGTTGATCTCAGCTGGGGATGTACTCTCGTTTCAAGGCTCAACTAGTAAGGGGATCTGCTGCAAGGTGGACTCATGGCAGTTCCCACACCTCACAATGTCTACTTCTCAGCTCAAAGTTGGTGGTGAGCTTCAGTTCCTCACAGTCTGTCAAACAGGTTTCTCGTTTTGGCCACAGTAAGTGGGCCGCCCCAAGGGTTGGTTAACACAGCTCATTTCTCCTAGGAAACATATTCAAAGACCAATAAAGAGTAAGGACTCCTGAGAGAAGCCACAGTCTTTATAGACTCATAACAGATGACACGCCATCACTTCTTCCATTATCTGTTTGTCAAGCAACAAGTCACTACATCCACATTCGAGTGAAGGCTCTTACCATAGGAAGGATACCAGAAGCAAATATTAATGGGGGCCATGTCACAGGCTTCCCACCCTGCACGGACTGCCTTCTGTGCCCTGGGTTCTATCACTAATATCTTACACTTTGCCTTGTGGCTCAGTTACTCCCTGTGCCACAGCTTTGGAGACCTCAGTTAGGGACCTCTGCTATTGAGGACATTGTATTCATTGCTGAGAAGGTCAGGGTATAATAGAGGTCTGGCTTGAGACAGGGGACTTACATGTGTCAGGATACAGACCAGCAGTTATTTTTAACACTGTGTTAATATGCCACTTCCTAAAACTCCAGTCCCTTACAGTGACAAGCTGAAGGGTTGTTCTGTTTGGAAGGCTGCTACTCAAGGAATGATAGGCTTCACATAGGAGTTGCCTTGCCTCAGGATCAACTCTAGTACCTGTACAGCCCATATTGCCTATCTGGCCTCCATGCTTATACAAGCACCAATTCCAGGCAGTAAGAGACCTTTTAGGCTTTTCCTCCTATTCTCATCTGCTGATGGCTCAGGGTCTAAGTGGGAGACATTCACTTTGTCATGAGGCAAGCAAAGGGTTGGAGTACACTTCCCTGTCCTGAATATTTTCTATTCTATTTATTTCTGTAAGAGAACTTATACATGATTCTCTTGCCTAGACATCATCTTCAACCTGAAAAGCCTGGGACAAGAAGCCTATAATTGGTCAGCTCCAGCCAGTGACAAAGTTCTGGCTGGATTGTGCCTCCTTGGATACATTTCCATGCAAGTGGCAAAATACAGAGGGTCAAGATAAAGGGTAGCTTTAAAAGGTCC
The DNA here is from genome assembly GCF_000001405.40 of Homo sapiens. Classification (NCBI taxonomy): domain Eukaryota; kingdom Metazoa; phylum Chordata; class Mammalia; order Primates; family Hominidae; genus Homo; species Homo sapiens. Next base: position 77,316,996 of record NC_000004.12, on the reverse strand, counting down.
TAAATCCTGAACCTACACATGACCAAGACAAAGAAAATCCTCCCTGCAGTCCAAACCATCTGGGACAAGGAAATTGCAAAGTTGACCAAAGTAGTATGGCATGCTAACAATGCAAGTGACATTAAGCATCGTGACAACCACCTGCACCACCCCTCTTGCCATATATGCTACGCGATGGTTCTGAAAGTTTAGACCCTGCAAAACATAAGCCTCCTATACTAACCCTAGTTAAAAAGAATCTAAGTTGACTACAGTTGTCTCCTAACAAACTAGTCATAGTCATGGCTTCTGACTTCAGTCATAGTATCTGAAGCTCAGATTTCACTTGGAACTCAGTAGGAAAGGTAGGGCCTAGGCAAGAAAGCTGTGCTGGGCCTATCCATATGTGTGAACAAAAGCCAGAGCCAAGAAAGGGTAGACAATTCCACTGGATTTGGAGGCCATGGGAATATATTTCCAGATCTCTCTTCAATAAGGACTTATTGCCTCAGGTGCTGGGAGCACAGCCAGCAGCCTCCAGCCACCACCTCCTACAGGGTTTGCCTCAGCTCCAAGGGCCTGCCCTTCCCCTAGCATCCCTCATCCAATCATTGAGTACAGCAGGTCAGTGAAGGCCAGTGATCCCAGGCCACCATTAAACAACTGTGATGGGCCACACACTTGACCATACTGGCCAAGGAATTTCTGGGTCCACACTGTAGTTAAGTGTTCCTGCCACCCAATCCTGCTTCCTTTCTCATCCTTAGATAGGATTTGATTTCTACATACCTACTCCATGTCAAATTCCACTTCAACCTGTTTCTAAATAGGTCCTTGAATGCAAATCCTCTCTGTGCCTGGAATGCCAGAATATAGCAGTCTTCCTCAACTCCCAAGTGACATGTTCTGCCCTATGCTGGCAACCCTGACCTGTCATGGTTATGGATTCCTCTCATTTCTGTAACTACACCCTAACTCTCCCACTTGTTATGGCACTAGATTCCAGTGATCTTACCTCTAGCATGGCTTCTTGCCTAGTGTGTGGCTCCTCACCAAGAGCACTTTCCACATGGCTTATTTATCCAACCCAACACACCTAATCCAGAGTTGGTTCTACCTTCTAAAATTAGAAAGCACCATCCACTATGGGTTCAAAAGCCTAGAGTGCAAGAACTGGCTTTATACATGCAGTGTGATGCCAGGGAGGATCCACACTCAACCACTCTACTGGTAGTGGGAAATGAAGAGTTGAATATTCATCTCCAGGCCAGTACAGTCCTCAGAGGAAAGTGATTTACAAAATGATCAGTCCTACTGCATCTTCTGTGAGACCTGAAAAGATGTAGATGGGTCTTAAGCTTGTAGAATGTAGAGCTGTGCCACAGAAGTAACACCAATGATATACTATTCCCAAACCAGGAACGTCACGTGTGGCTCAGTGGCCGCTCCCCTGCAACATCCAGGTGACTGCCATAGTGGATGGGCCAGGCCCCACCACTCAGACTTTCCCGTCCTCTAGGAATCTTGTGGAATAGAATTGACTTTGGATACATATTGGCACACTCAGACAGGGGGCTAGAAGGCAGGACTTGTGTACACCCAAGCCCAACTGTGTTTACACACACTTCTTTTTTTTTTTTTTTTTTTATTATACTTTAAGTTTTAGGGTACATGTGCACATTGTGCAGGTTAGTTACATATGTATACATGTGCCATGCTGGTGCGCTGCACCCACCAACGTGTCATCCAGCATTAGGTATATCTCCCAATGCCATCCCTCCCCCCACCCCCGACCCCACCACAGTCCCCAGAGTGTGATATTCCCCTTCCTGTGTCCATGTGATCTCATTGTTCAATTCCCACCTATGAGTGAGAATATGCGTACACACACTTCTTATAGAGCTCCTTTTAACCTGGGAACTCTGCCTTCTTAGGAAACGCAAACTAGGCCTTCACACTCGCTCAGTACAGGGAGTCTTACAAAAACCAATAGCATCACAGGTCTAAAGACACTACGGATTTCAACTCCATCCTAAAAGTAAGGAGAGCAAGTTTCACTTTGTCCAAAAGAAAGGGCTTGAAGTCAGAAAACACCTCGTGAGCAAGAGATCCATTTCTGCCACTAACCTCAGCCAAAAACTGACATGTATTCCTTCATTTTAAGTTTTGGCTCATGGTTTTGTCATCAGGCCTAGGCATTACTGACTAGTACTATGAATACCCCAGGGCCAGTCTGCTTTCAAGTTTGGCTACTAAATGAGAATCCTATTGTACTTTAAAGACTTTATTTTTAATCAAGTGAAAGATCCTCATCTCTATCAAAAGAGCCAAAGACAAGTAAATTCCTAAATCACAAATTTTTGTTCAGGAGTTTATAAGCCTCTGTCAGTAAACCTAATACCATTTTGGGGTAAGGAAACAAACTTCTGTTCCAAATGCTGAGGACACTATTTCCAATTCTAAAGCATCCTGACTATGCTCTATGGTTATAGCACCAAGGAAAATATGCCTCTAGGCTACATCTTTGGAGACTTGAAAATGTAACCTATTATACCATGAATCTCTATGTTAAGGTGATTGACACACAGTCCAAGATGAGAATATATCCTCATCTCTGCAGAGGCCAATGTCCTGGCTACGTGGTCAGTAGACTAGACGGAAGGGGATTAGGAATTTTGAGACAACAAGTCTATGAAAAGGCACGTGCCTGTAGAAAACAGGTAGATTTTATGTTCTATGTTAAGCCCCACTACAAAGCATCAACCACAGAAGACTGGGTGAACAAGACCCAATGGCTGTGCCAGTTTTCAGTAGCCCACTTGGATCAGCTAATGGGAGAATAAGTGGCCCTAGTGACAAAGATGAAGACTACACAGGTACCCAACAGCATGGAATGCCAGTTTCTAGGGACAATCTAGCTACTGCTGCCTCTGAATGTCCAGCCTGCTGGAGATAAAACATTGGATCTAAATATGGCATTCTGACACCAACATACTACTTGGTAGCAGGTTAACTACATTGAACCCCTTCCCTTCTAGAAAAGCCTACAATATAGACTCACAGGAATAGATAGCTATCTTGCCATGGGTTTGTCTTTCTTGGTTGGAGACCCTTCACTACCACCACTATTTGCAATGTCCCCTCTACAGGCATGGAATTATACCCAGAAGGACATCTCACCAATGGACTGAGGTCACATATAAGGTACAGTGGACCTCAATCATGGGATAAACTGGTGTCACTGCATCTTTCAGAAGCAAGTAGCTTCAATGTTCAGACAGCTTCACACAGCATAGAAGCACTCAGTTAAACTACTGAAAATTTGGTGCCCTCCATGATGCACATTATAGAAACATCTATGTGATACTCTACACTCTATCCCAAGTAGAAAGACTACATAGGTGCTAAAAATGAGGAAGGAGCCCAAGTGGTGCCATTTTCCATCACTCCAAATGAGATATCACATCGCCTTGTGCATCAAACATGTTGCAGGGAAAAGAAAACAGTCAGCAGGAAGAGCTTTGGGCTGTTCTACACACAGGGAGAAGTTAATATAAGTTGAATTCAGGTTTGACTTGTGTCATCATACTTCTTTGACCCATTGTAGCTCACATTCAAAACTGAAAAGCATATGATCACTAGGGATTCAGACCCATTAATATTAACATTTGTTTCATACCAGTAGGTAAGCACTAACCACCTGAGATGGCGGCTCAGGGCAAATGGAATTTAGAGTGGCTAGTGCAGGAGGAAGAGGATTAGTATCAGTTGTTGGGGTAGCAGGAGCTGTATCTCATCCCACTAGCATCCTCCAAGTTTCCTCCTGTAAACCAGGAGTCACTGCTCTGTGAACCTCCATAGAGAAGATCTGAAGCACAGGAGTCAACTGTGCTGGTCATTAGAACACACTTCCCTTGGCTCTTTCCAACTGACGCTTGTGTTGGGATGCTAAGGCAGGCCCATTTAAGGCACTTGGAACTCTAGATGGCAAGTACCAGAGCCCAAATCACCCATCAAACCTTGCCAAAACACTATGGCACCTCAGTCTAAGCCACTTCCTACATAACACTTCTTTCCTTCACAAGGTCAATCCTGCTTTGTGGTCTAATCTTCTTCCAAATTCCTCTAACTCCCTCCTCTATTTCCCTCACAAGACTTTCTTCCCACTCCCATTACTCTTGTACACCTAATTCCATCTTGGCATCTGTATGTAAGAGGGCACAAGTCAGCAGCAGAAAAGTTTAGTTTCAACTAAAACTGAAGTACTAGAATTCAGATGTGAAGACAAGCATGCATATCCCCTGAAGACACTTCTAAGGCTACTTCATGAGGAGGAGGTTGACTATCTTATGTCAGATGATTTGGTCCATTTCTCTATTATCTTAACACTATGGATATTAACTTTATTCCATTTGATATTGTTATCTAGTATATATGGATCTTCTCTTCCAAAGTTTGTCCTCATCTTTCCAATCCTAATTTTACAGTTTGCCAGGTTACCTCCTGCCATTTGCTCTGGGCCAATTACTTTGCATTCTTCTGCTCTGGTCTTTTCATTTTCTGCTCTAAACAATATCTTTCTACTTTTGGCTTTCCTGAGCATAGCTATCTACCTACTTTTGGCTCTAATCAATGCCTCAACAGGTAGCTTATCACCAACCATCCAAAACTTAAGTGGCCAGAGGAGTGAACACAGACTGACCAGCAGGACCAGAATTCACATTTGTTTTGATTGGAGGTTCACTGGGTCTGAACTGACTAGGACTCAGGTAACTCTGCCACCAACTCTTGCTTTGCCTTCCCCTGCATGTTCCTGCAAACAGAGTCAAGTTAGAATGGTATTTAGTTGGGAATTCAGCAAGGAAAATGTGATTCTCACATTTCCATTAGGGAGTAGCTTAGTAAAATGAAACCAAGTGTTTCTTCAATGGTAGATGTCAATTTCAGGAACTCTGTTAAAAGTAGTTTATCATCCTGAAACTCACGAACAGGTCAAAGCTTGCCCAAAACCTAGTTCTAAAATAGCAATTCTTCCCTTGCTAACCATTTTGTGTCTGATTAATGAGGTAGATTAATAAAATGTATTGTGACATTTCACAGAACTAGTGCTAACATTTGAGTACCAATGGCCAGAAAACAAGTTTGGAGCTCTAGAAACATGCTTACCCTGAACAAAGGCATGTGTGAAACATAGTAGAGGTGTGAAGAAGATTCCTGAAATCTCACAGGTGAAATTTCAGTCATTTGATTGGCAATGACCAAGAGGACAAGGCTTCGGAAGAGGACTAAGATGAGAAGGATTAAGATGGTAACTTCCACTCAGAAGGCTATGTTGGCTTCATGGGCAAGAAGTGCTGCAAGAGCCATTTCACCCACAGCTGTGAATTTGTGTTCCAGTCTACCTCTGTTGAAACCTTTCTGTGGCAAGCCTCTGACATCAGGCAATGTGGGGTCCATGGCAGGCTTCTCTGTAAAGGGTTAGGCTCACCAGTAGATCTATGCACGTCAGACCTGGGTGCACAACACTTAAACAAGAGCATTTCTTTTACCAGTCTGCACTTTTCCATCCCCAGACTTGGAGGGTAACATTGTTCCCTAAATATACTTACAGGAATAACAAAGTGAGACTATGGTAATGGGTAAGAAAAACAACCTAGTTTGAACACACTGCAGATGGTCAATATGCCACCCCAGAACATGCCACTTTAGCATAAGAATTATTTTCCACTGAAGGCAATTAAGCAGATATAGGCAAAACTCTCTGACCCCCATTTGGAGACAAGCAGAGTACACTTGCCAAAGTGTCTTTCCCCTCCCTCTACTGCAACTGACTGCAGTAGACTCTGAACATGACTAATTTAGCACGCTGTGTTATTTCAGGAATGCCCTTCACACACATTTTTCCTGGGTAAGCACATTTCTGGGGCCTCAGGAAAACCCGTGTTTTCCCAGCACAGGACAAGGATGCCCTTTCTCACCACTCCTATTCAACATAGCATTGAGAGTCCTGGGCAGAGCATTCAGGCAAGAGAAAGAAAGACCATCCAAATAAAAAGAAGTCGTCAAACTATCCCTGTTTGCAGATGACATGACCCTATACCTAGAAAACCTCAGTCTCAGCCTAAAAGCTCCTTCAACTGATAAACTTCAGTGAAGTCTCAAGACTCAAAAAAAAAAAAAAAAAAAAAAGAGTGTCATTAGCATTCCTGTACACCAACAGTCAAACCAAGAGCCAGTCAGGAATGCAATCCCATTTACAATTGCAAGAATAAAATATCTAGGAACACAAAAAGGAGAACTACAAAACACTATTCAAAACAAATCGGAGATAAATGGAAAAACATTCCATGCTCGTAGAGAGGCAGAATCAATATCATTGAAATGGCCATGCTTCCCAAAGCAATTTATAGATTCAGTGCTATTCCCATTAAACAACCATTGACATTTTTCACAGAACTAGAAGAAAATCTATTTTAAAATTCATATGGAATCAAGAAGAGCCCGAATAGCAAAGACAATCCTAAGCAAAAAGGAAGGTGAAGGCATCATGTTACCTCACTTCAAACCATGCTACAGGGCTAGAGTAACCAACACAGTATGGTACTGGTACAAAAACAGACCAGCAGAACAGAATAGAGCCCAAAAATAAGGCTAGACACCTACAACTGTCTGATCCGACAAAGCTGACCAAAACAAGCAATGGGGAAAGGACTCTGTAATTCAAATGTTGCTGGGGTAACTGGCAAGCCATATGCAGAAGCTTGAAACTGGACCCCCTTACACCATATACAAAAAACAAGATGGATTAAAAGACTTAAATGTAAAACCCAAAACTATAAAACCAGGAGGACAACCTAGACAACACCATCCTGGACATAGGTACAGCAAAGATTATGACAAAGACTCCAAAGGCAATTGCACCTAAAGCAAAAATTGACAAGTGAGATCTAATTAAACTAAAGAACTTCTGTACAGCTAGAAGAACTATTGGAGTAGACAACCTACAGAATGGGAGACAATATTTGCTCACTATGCATTTGACAAAGGTCTAATATCCAGCATTTATACAGAATTTAAAATTGACAAGGAAAGAAACCACCCCATCAGAAAGTGGGCAAAGGATATGGACACTTTCCAGAAAACATATGTGGCCAAGAAGCATACGAAAAAAAAGTTCAGTATCACTGATCATTAAAGAAATGCAAATAAAAACTTCAAAACAATGAGGTGCCATTGGCTATTAAGTTAAAAATTAACAGGTTCTGGCAAGGTTACAGAGAAAAAGGAACATTTACACACTGTTGGAGTGTAGATTAGTTCAACTGCAGAAAACTGGTGATTCATCAGAGCTACCATTCAACCCAGTAATCCCATTACTGGGTATATACCCAAGTGATTATAAATCATAAAGATACATGTACATATTTATTGCAGCACTATTCACGATAGTGAAGACATGGAATCAACCTAAATGCCCAATGGCAGACTTAAGAAAATGTGGTACATATATGCCATGGAATACTATGCAGCCATAAAAAGAATGAGATCATGTCCTTTGCAGAAACATGGATGGAGCTGGGGGCCATTTTCCTGAGCAAATTAACACAGTGACAGAGAACCAAATACTGCATATTCTCACTTATAAGTGGGAGCTATACATGGATTCAGATGGAAACACACTGGGGACCTATTGGAATGTGGAGAGTGGGAAGAGGGAGAAAATCAGGAAAACTAATGGGTACTGGGCTCAGTACCCGGGTGACTAAATCTGTACAACAAGCCACTGTTACATGAATTAACCTATATAACAAACCTGCACATTACCCCCTGAACTTTAGAGTTAAAAAGCATTAGGTAAAAATAAAAACACGTGGGTTTTCTGGTCACTGGTCCTCAAACTCAGTCATTGGCACCAGGAAGGACAAAGGCTAACCAAAGTTTGCTTTAGACCTTTATCAGCCTGTAGATGGCACCATAGCCATCTACATAACATAGCCTTTATATTTACCCTCCTTCATTTGCCACCCATAGTGACTCAAGGTCTTCTTTTGTCTTGTCACTTTTCTAAAATCATATTGCTCTTTGTTCAGGGTGCCATATATAAGCCAGCATTCTAAGCCACTTCTTTGAGCTCCCTCATTTTGTGGGACCTCACCATGTATGAGGTATTGCTGCAACCTAGAGTTTCTCTTGTTTAAAAAAGCTTATTCCTTCTTTAAATCCTGGATGGAAGTGCACAGGCAATGGCTACAGCTTTTTTTTTTTTTTTTTTTTTTTGAGACAGCGTCTCACTCTGTCGCGCCCAGGCTGGAGTGCAGTGGCGCAATCTCGGCTCACTGCAAGCTCCGCCTCCGGGGTTCACCCCATTCTCCTGCCTCAGCCTCCCAAGTATCTGGGACTACAGGCGCCCGCCACCGCGCCCAGCTAATTTTTCGTATTTTTAGAGACGGGGTTTCACCATCGTCTCCATCTCCTGACCTCGTGATCCGCCTGCCTCGGCATCCCAAAGTGCTGGGATTATAGGCGTGAGCCACCACGCCCGGCCTACAGCTTTTCTTAACTGGTGTCATACGTGACATCTTAAAGCAATACCTTGTCTATAAAAATGGCATCTATGCTGGTAAACTTTGTTATAAGCAGTTAGTCATGTGCCACACGACGTCTTGGCCAACAATGGACCACAAACACAGAATGGTGTTATCTTAAGATTGTAATACCTTTTTTGAGACAGTCTTGCTCTGTCACCCAGGCTGGAGTGCAGTGGCACGATCTCAGCTCACTGCAACCTCCACCTCCCAGGTTTAAGCAATTCTCATCCCTCAGCCTCCCAAATAGCTGGGAATGCAGGTGCACACCACTACGCCTAGCTGATTTTTTAAGTAGAGATGGGGTTTTGCCATGTTGGTCAGGCTCATTTCAAAAAGTAATCCACCCACCTCAGCCTCCCAAAGTGCTAGGATTACAAGCATGAGCCACTGCGCCTGGCCTGTAATACCTTATTTTTATTGTATATTTTCTATGTTTAGATACACAGATCACAATAGCTTACAGTATACAGTACAGTAACATGCTGTACAGGTTTGTATCCTGGGAGCAATAGACTTTGGCATGTAACTTAGGTATGTAGTAAGCTGTACCATCTCGATTTGTGTAACTATATTCTATGGCATGCACATAATGATAAAATTGTTTGATATCTCAGAACATATCCATATCTTTAATACACAACTGTATAAGCATATGGATGTGATAATGTAGGTGTTATGTTGGTCAAGGCATACCGTTTCCAACTCCCTTTGGGAGATATTCTACCTCCTCCCACTGCATTTTCAAGTTTAGTCTGGAAAGCATTAGTGTTACTTAGTTCTACCTAATGCCCCCTGTTTATTAGCTAAAGGTCAGTATTAGTCTTGCAAGCGATAAACCAATTTACTCTAATACACACATTCTTGGTGTTTCTTTGGGCTGTAACTGTTAGGATTCTTTGGATAACAGATGACCAACACCCAACTGCACTGGCTTAAAAAGGAAATTAATTGACTCAAGAATATAAATATAGTGCTGGCTCCAGCTGAGACTACTTCAATAGGCTCATTTTCACCAAGAACCAGATTTCCTTACATCTTCTGTATCCTTCATATCATATTCATGCTCGGAGTCTACAGAGCCCCACTACAACCCTCTGGATGGCAAGTTCCAGACTCTCCCATCATGATGGACTTGCTCTACACTTCAGGTATTTATTTCAAAGCTCTTCTTGAAACATTATCAATCAATTCCAGCAGTATCACCTTGGGTTTTAGTGGCATGCCCATCTTGATAGTATGCCCATCCCTTCACAATCTATGGTAGTCATGGGAATGTAGGCAGGGAAATGGGATGCCCTAATATGCTCAAGTCATCCAGACCTATGGCTGAGAATGACCAAGGATATAAACAGTATATGAAATAATCTCCAAAACAAAGTCAGCAGTCATTTGGCTGACAATAGGGAAACAAATGTTGAGACAGCATCGGAAAAGTGTCTGCTGTAGGACATAAACCTAGTGTAGGATCAGTGTGAGTTTATAATGCTTTTTTCACCCTTCTGTATCAACCTGGATTCAGATTTACCAGTCTACCCAGAACTCTTCTGTAACTTCACTGCCACATGAGGCTTCTATAGAGAACCTCTTTTTGTGGGATGAAGGCTCTCCTGCAGCTCCTGTTTTCTCACAGGCATCTATTGCAACAGAAAGAACAGACAGACTAACAGATACAGAATACCTTGGCCAGCTGCATGTATTCCCAAGCTTGAACCAAAGCCAGGGTCCTTGAATATTCTCAGGCACTGACGAACTTGTTTAGGCTGTTGCATCAAGCATGTTGATTAACACGTAAAGGCTAGCCCCATGCCTAGTCAAATTCTGAAGACTCAAAACACTAACCTGTCCCACTCATTGGGGACATACCCAAGATACCCTTTCACTATCCACAAGGATCCCTGCATTTTGTAAGCAAGCTTCCTGGTAGGTGTTTTAGATTTATCCCCCTGGCATTTAGTGCATTTGGATTCCCAGCTGGCCCCATCTTGGGATGGTGGGCAAGTCCCATGAGTGAACTCCCCAGCTGTTGCTTTTGGGGCAACTCCAGGTAGTGGGTTGGCTGACAGAACATGAAATAAGTTCTTGCAGCTTAGGTGGTACACTGGTAAGCATAGCTGCCTTCCAGTAAGTTCCTACATGTACAATCCTGCCTCAGTATGGGGTTCTCACAGGACCAACAACTCGTTAGTTTTCCCCCAACCCTGACTCAAGACCCCAGAACCCAGAAAGGCCCTTATACTTCGTTTAAAACTCCATGTTTAGGTACCTGCCTCTGATAGAGGCAGTCTTATGTTCAGTTCATTTCTAACCAAGTCTCTGCCTTATACTGAAATACAATCCAAGCAGACCTAGCCTGGAAACCCACACGTGGGTACAAGAAGAATCATCCAGATTATAAGAGTGAGGCTCGAATCAGTTTGTAGAGATCAAAGTGATGAGTATGTCAACAATTGCATTGTTGCATAATTACCAGGAGGTGGCAGAGAATGAGTTTCAATTCTGACCCAAGATCAACTCCAGCCACAGGAGCCACATTGCATCCCACCATCTTTCCTCAGTTTCCCCTCAAGAACAGGAGCCTGTGGGACAGTTACTTCTGTCAACTTGTACAGATAAGTGTACCTGTGCAGCACAGTGGCCACCTGTGGAGCCATTAGAATGCCATACATCCCATGTGTGGTCGTTTCCAACTGATGCCCAGGTGCAGCTGGGATGCTAAGGCCGTCCTATTTAGGACACTCACCACTCCTCTAATGGGCAATCTGGGCTCTAGTATTTGCCATCGGCCTTGCCAAGGCACTTAGTATCACCTCAGTCTAAGCTACTTCCTATCCAGTATTTTCCTTCACAGGGCCTGACCTGCATTATAAGTGGATCTACACCCAGATCTTTCCAGCTTCCTCTCCTGTATCCCTCACAGAACTTTCTCCTCCCACAACTCAAACATTCAATTCCTTTTTGGCATCTGCATGTATGAGGCCACAAGGCAGCAATGAAAAAGCTTTTAATTTCAACTAGGCACACTCAGGTACATTCAGATGTGAAAGCAAGCTTGTGTATCACTGTACACACTCCCAAGACTGCTTTATTCAAAAGAAATAGATGCTCAGAGCCAGCCACATCTCATAAAACATGGAGGAACTCAGTGATCAGTTAATAGCCATGTCCTATGGACTCAGATACTACACCCTAGAGTCACTATGTGTCTCCTTCAGAGGAAGGAAAGCCCAAATACCCTGATCAACTTTTTTTGACCTATCTGGTCAAATAAGCCAGTGAAGAGACCTACAAAAGTGCCTTCTAGCCTTTAGGTGCAGGACTTGCTTTCATGTGCATTTCTAGAGTGATTTTTTACCAGTTGGGATCAGTTGAGTTCCTGAATGTCGGTAATAGGAAGGAAGAGCTTCTAATAGGAGACTGCTATAAGTAAAGAGCAGTGCTTTACTGAGCTGAATGGGTAGATGCATTTTACCTCCCCGTGCTTTATAAAGACTGGCAAGTGCTAGCCAACTTTTCACCAGGCCAAGGCTCTGTAACCCTTTCTTCCTGAGCCTGACCCACATGTAACAGTTGATCCATTTGAGAGTCAAGTATAGAATATAGTTTTGCCAGAGAAGTAACATCAATACTCCATTCCACAGTCTGTAGCACCAGAAATGGTTCATGGAAGCTCCCCCTTGAATGTCAAGACAATTCTGTAGTTAAGTGGAATCAGGCCCTTCATCACTCAGAATCACTGGCTGCCTGTGCTCTAGGATGTTGTATTAACAGATTTCCAACTCTGGATGCAGATTAAGAACTAACCTCCAAGAGGCTATAAAGGCAGGAATGTTGCATGACCTCCATGCCCAGAGCTGTTTCTATATACCTCTTGTAGAGTTGTTCTTAGCTTTGGAATACATTTTTGTTAGATAATTGGTAAGATCAACTTTCATACAACTTAAAAAACTACAAAAATCTAAGGCCTAAAAACCACAGATTTCAATCTCATCCTGAAGACAATGAGGACATTTCATTACAATTTGTCAAACACTTTTAAATCACAATCTACCTACTGGACAAAAAGATCCTTGCCACCACCTCCTCTCCCCCAAACTATCATCATCATCCATTTCTCACTCCCTGGCCTTTTGTAAAGTGACATTTGCCAGAAGCCTTAAGTATTACTGACTGGGGCCCAGAATACCCCATAGCCAGTTTTCAGCTTGCCCTAGTAAGTGATTTGCATATATCAGTTGCTGCCGTAAGTGATCAAATCTCTTTAACAAAGTCATTATCAAATCAAACTTTTTTCAAAAATATGCTCTTTGCTAAATAACAGACCTTCCTCACTGCTTTACCAGAAGGGCACAGGCACAAAAGACGGGTATATCCTCAGCCACAAGTGTAGATATTTCAGGAGTTTAAAGCCTCTGTCAGCATCACTAATGCAGTTTTGAGATTAGGAAAGAGACCAACTTATGTCCCAAGTGTTGGCTTAAGACATGATTTTCAATTGCAAAGCAGCTTGGCTATATATTATGTTTGTGGCATCCTTGATAAGCCTCTCTGGCCCACTATGTAGGGCAAGTAATTGACATCTCTAGCTGTTTTAATAATCTATTTTTCTGGAATAAGGAGTGGCCTAAGATGAGAATATATGCTCATCTCTGGCAGAACCCAATGGCCTGCCCATCGGGTCAGTGGCCTAGAAAGTCAGTCTGAGTTCCGTTCCAAGATGGCCAAATGGGAAGAGCTCCAGTCTGCAGCTCCCAGCATCGTCAATGCAGACGACGGGTGATTTTGGCATTTCCAACTAAGGTACTTAGCTCATCTCATTGCAACTAGTTGGACAGTGGGTGTAGCCCATGGAGGATGAGCCAAAGCAGGGTGGGGCGTGGCCTCACCTGGGAAGTGCAAGGGGTCAGAGGATTTCCTTTTCCTAGCCAAGGGAAGCCATGACAGACTGTACCTGGAAAAATGGGACACTTCCACCCAGATAGTGCACTTTTCCAACAGTCTTAGCAACTGGCAGACCAGGAGATTCTCTCCCATGCCTGGCTCAGCAGGTCCCACACCCACAGAGCCTTGCTCACTGCTAGTGCAGCAGTCAGATCGACCTGCAAGGCTGCAGCCTGGTGTGGGGAGGGGCATCCACTATTGCTGAGGCTTGAGTAGGTAAACAAAGCTGCTAGGAAGCTCAAACTGGGCAGAGCCCACCGCAGCTTAGCAATGCCTACTGCCACTATAGATTCCACCTCTGTGGGCAGTGCATAGCTGAACAAAAGGCAGGAGAAACTTTGAGACTTAAACCTCCCTGTCTGACAGCACCAAAGAGAGCAGTGGTGGTCCCCGCAAGGCGTTTGAGCTCTGAGAACCGACAGACTGCCTCCTCAAGTGGGCCCCTGACCGTGTGTAGCCTAACTGGGAGACACTGCCCAGTAGGGGCAGACAGACACCTCATACAGGTGGGTGCCTCTCTGGGATGAAGCTTCCAGAGGACGGATCAGAGGCTGCAGTACTTGCTGTTGTGCACTACTTGCTGTTGTGCAGCCTCCACTGTTAATACTCAGGCAAACAGTGTCTGGAGTGGACCTCCAGCAAACTCCAACAGACATGCAGCTGAGGAACCTGACTGTTAGAAGAAAAACAAACAGAAAGGAATACCATCAACATCAACAAAAAGGACATCCACACTAAAACCCCATCTGTAGGTCACCAACATCAAAGACCAAAGGTAGATAAAACTACAAAGATGGGAAGAAACCAGAGCAGAAAAGCTGAAAATTCTAAAAACCAGAGCACCTCTTCTCCAAAGGATCGCAGCTCCTCGCCAGCAACAGAGCAAAGCTGGGCAGAGAATGACTTTGACAAGTTGACAGAAATAGGCTTCAGAAGGTCGGAAATAAAGTTCTCTGAGCTAAAGGAGCATGTTCAAACCCATCACAAGGAAGCTAAAAACCTTGAAAAAAGGTTAGAAGAATGGCTAACTAGAATAAACAATGTATAGAAGAGCTTAAATGACCTGATGGAGCTGAAAACCATGGCACGAGAACTTCGTGATGCATGCACAAGCTTCAATAGCTGATTCAATCAAGTGGAAGAAAGGATATCAGTGATTGAAGATCAGATTAATTAAATAAAGTGAGAAGACAAGGCTAGAGAAAAAAGAGTAAAAAGAAACAAAGCCTCCAAGAAATATGGGACTAAATGAAAAGACCAAATCTACATTTGATTGGTGTACCTGAAAGTGATGGGGAGAATGGAACCAAATTGGAAAACACTCTTCAGGATATTACCCAGGAGAACTTCCCCAACCTAGCAAGGCAGGCCAACATTCAACTTCAGGAAATACAAAGAACACCATAAAAATACTCCTTGAGAAGAGCAACTCCAGGAGACACATAATTGTCAGATTCACCAAGGTTGAAATGAAGGAAAAAAATGTTAAGGGCAGCCAGAGAGAAAGGTCGGGGTACCCACAAAGGGAAGCCCATCAGACTAACAGCAGATCTATTGGCAGAAACCTTACAAGCCAGAAAAGAGTGGGGACCAGTATTCAACATTCTTAAAGAATTTTCAACCCAGAATTTCATATCCAGCCAAACTAAGCTTCATAAGTGAAGGAGAAATAAAATTATTTACAGACAAGCAAATGCCGAGAGATTTTGTCACCACCAGGCCTGCCTTACAGGAGCTCCTGAAGGAAGCACTAAACATGGAAGGGAACAACCAGTACCAGCCGCTGCAAAAACATGCCAAATTGTAAAGATCATCAATGCTAGGAAGAAACTGCATCAACTTATGAGCAAAATAATCAGCTGACAGAGTTGGTTCCAAGATGACCGAATAGCAACAGCTCCAATCTACGGCTCCCAGTGTGAGTGACACAGAGGATGGGTGATTTCTGCATTTCCAACTGAGGTACTGGCTTCATCTCATTGGGGCTTATCAGAGAGTGGGTGCAGTCCACAGAGTGTGAGCCAAAGCAGGGTGGGTCATCACCTCACCCGGGAAGTGCAAGGGGTTGGGCAATTCCCTTTCCTAGACAAGGGAAGCTGTGACAGATTGTACCTGGAAAATCAGGACACTCCCACCCTACTACTGCGCTTTTCCAATGGTCTTAGCAAATGGCATGCCAGAAGATTATATCCCATGCCTGGCTTGGAGGGCCCCACACCCACGGAGCCTTGCTCACCACTAGCACAGCAGTCTGAGATCAAATTGCAAGGCAGCAGTGAGGCTGGGGGAGGGGCGTCTGCCATTGCTGAGGCTTGAGTAGGTAAACAAAGTGGCCAGGAAGCTTGAACTGGGTGGAGCCCACCACAGCTCAAGAAGGCTTGCCTGCCTCTGTAGAGGCCACCTCTGGAGGCAGGGCATAGCTGAACAAAAGGCAGCAGAAACTTCTGCAGATGTAAACTTCCTTGTCTGACAGCTTTGAAGAGAGTAGTGGTTCTCCCAGCATGGAGTTTGAGATCTGAGAACGGACAGACTGCCTTCTCAAGTGGGTCCCTGACCCCCGAGTAACCTAACTGGCAGACATCTCCCAGTAGGGGCCGACTGACACCTCACACATTTGGGTGCCCCTCTGAGACAAAGCTTCCAGAGGAAGGATCAGGCAGCAACATTTGCCATTCTGCAATAGTTGCTGTTCTGCAGCCTCTGCAGGTGATACCCAGGCAAACAGGGTCTGGAGTGGACCTCCAGCAAACTCCAACAGACCTTCAGCTGAGGATCCTGACTGTTAGAAAGAAAACTAACAAACAGAAAGGACATCCACACCAAAACCCTATCTGTATGTCACCATCATCAAAGAACAAAGATAGATAAAACTACAAAGATGAGGAGAAACCAGAGGAAAAAAGCTGAAAATTCTAAAAATCGGAGCACCTTTTCTCCTCCAAAGGAAGGCAGCTCCTTGCCAGCAACTGAAAAAAGCTGGATGGAGAATGACTTTGAAAAGATGAGAGAAGAAGGCTTCAGACAATCGGTAATAACAAAACTTCTCCAAGCTGAAGGAGGATGTTTGAACCCATCACAAAGAAGCTAAAAACATTGAAAAAAGATTTTAGATGAATGGTTAACTAGAACAAACAGCATAGAGAAGACTTTAAATGACCTGCTGGAGCTAAAAATCATGGCAAGAGAACTACATGACAAACGCATGAGCTTCAGTAGCCAATTCAATCAACTAGAAGAAAGGGTATCAGTGATTGAAGATCAAATGAGGGAAATGAAGTGAGAAGAGAAGTTTAGACAAAAAAAGAGTAAAAAGAAATGAACAAAGCCTCCAAGAAATACGGGACTATGTGAAAAGACCAAATCTATGCCTGATTGGTGTATCTGAAATTGACAGGGAGAATGGAACCAAGTTGGAAAACACTCCTCAGGATATTACCCAGGAGAACTTCCCCAACCTAGAAAGGCAGGTCAACATTCAAAGTTCAGGAAATACAGAGAACTCCACAAAGATACTCCTTGAGAAGAGCAACACCAAGACACATAATTGTCAGATTCACCAAAGTTGAAATGAAGGAAAAATATTAAGGGCAGCCAGAGAGAATGGTCGGATTACCCACAAAGGGAAGCCCAGACTAACAGCAGATCTCTTGGCAGAAACTCTACAAGTCAGAAGAGAGTGGGGGGCAATATTCAAAATTCTTAAAAGAATTTTCAACCCAGAATTTCACATCCAGCCAAACTAAGCTTCATAAGTGAAGGAGAAATAAAATCCTTTACAGACAAGCAAATGCTGAGACATTTTGTCACCACTAGGCCTGCTTTACAAGAGCTCCTGAAGGAAGCACTAAACATGGAAAGGAACAACGGGTACCAGCCACTGCAAAAGCATCCAAATTGCAAAGACAGTCGATGCTAGGAAGAAACTGCATCAACTAATGAGCAAAATAACCAGCAAACATCATAATGACAGGATCAAATTCACACATAACAATATTAACCTTAAATCTAAGTGGGCTAAATGCCCCAATTAAAAGTCACAGACTGGCAAGTCCGATAAGGAGTCAAGACCCATCAATGTGCTGTATTTAGGAGACCCATCTCATGTGCAGAGACACACATAGACTGAAAATAAAGGGATGGAGGAGGAGCTACCAAGCAAATGGAAAGCAAAAAAAAAGCAGGGGTTGAAATCCTAGTCTCTGATAAAACAGACTTTAAACCAACAAAGAGCAAAAGAGACAAAGAAGGCCATTACATAATGGTAAAGGGATCAATTCTACAAGGAGAGCTAACTATTCTAAATATATATGCACCAAATACAGGAACACCCAGATTCATAAAGCAAGCCCTGAGAGACCTACAAAGACACTTAGACTCCTACACAATAATAATGGGAGATTTTAACACCCCACTGTCAACATTAGACAGATCAACAACACAGAAAGTTAAAAGGATATCCAGGAATTCAACTCAGCTCTGCACCAAGCAGACCTAATAGACATCTACAGAACTCTCCACCCCAAGTCAACAGAATATACATTCTTCTCAGCATCACATTGCACTTATTCCAAAATTGACCACATAGTTGGAAGTAAAGCTCTCCTCAGCAAATGTAAAAGAACAGAAATAACAAACTGTCTCTCAGACCACAGGGCAGTCAAATTAGAACTCAGGATTAAGAAACTCACTCAAAAGCACTCAACTACATGGAAACTGAACAACCTGCTCCTGAATGACTACTGGGTACATAACAAAAGGAAGACAGAAATAAAGATGTTCTTTGAAACCTGTGAGAGCAAAGACACAACATACCAGAATCTCTGTGACACATTTAAAGCAGTGTGTAGAGGGAAATTTATAACACTAAATGCCCACAAGGGAAAGCAGTAAAGATCTAAAATTCACACCCTAACATCACAATTAAAAGAACTAGAGAAGCAAGATCAAACACATTCAAAAGCTAGCAGAAGGCAAGAAATAACTAAGGTCAGAGCAGAACTGAAGGAGATAGAGACACAAAAAACCCTTCCCAAAAAAAAAAAAAAAAAAAAAAAAAATCAATGAATCCAGTAGCTGGTTTTTTGAAAAGATCCACAAAATTGATAGACTTCTAGCAAGACTAATAAGGAAAAAAAGAGAGAAGAATCAAATAGACACAAGAAAAAATGATAAAGCGGATTCTCACTACCAATCCCACAGAAATACAAACTACCATCAACGAATACTATAAGCACCTCTACACAAATGAACTAGAAAATCTAGAAATGGATAAATTCCTAGACACATACACCCTTCCCAAGACTAAACCAGGAAGAAGTTGAATCCCTGAATAGAACAATTACAGGCTCTGAAATTGAGGCAATAATAGCCTACCAACCAACCAAATTCCAGGACCAGATGGATTCACAGCCGAATTCTACCACAGGTACAAAGAGGAGCTGGTACCATTCCTTCTGAAACTATTCCAATCAATAGAAAAAGAGGGAATCCTCCCTAACTCATTTTATGAGGCCAGCATCATCCTGATATCAAAGCCTGGCAGAGACACAACAAAAAAAAATTTTAGACCAATATCCCTGATGAACATTGACGCAAAAATCTTCAATAAAATACTGGCAAACTGAATCCAGCAGCACATCAAAAAGCTTATCCTCCATGATCAACTTGGCTTCATCCCTGGGATGCAAGGCTTGTTCAACATACGCAAATCAATGAATGTAATCCATCATATAAACAGAACCAAAGATAAAAACCACGTGATTATCTCAATAGATGCAGAAAAGACCTCTGACAACATTTAACAGCGCTTCATGCTAAAAACTCAATAAAGTAGGTATTGATGGGATGTATCTCAAAATAATAAGAGCTATTCATGACAAACCTACAGCCAATATCGCACTGAATGGGCAAAAACTGGAAGCATTCCCTTTGAAAACTGGCACAAGACAGGGATGCCCTCTCTCCCTACTCCTATTCAACACAGTGTTGGAAGTTCTGGCCAGGGTAATCAGGCAAGAGAAAGAAATAAGGGGTATTCAATTAGGGAAAGAGGAAGTCAAATTGTCCCTGTTTGCAGATGACATGATTGTATATTTACAAAAGCCCATTGTCTCAGCCCAAAATCTTAAGCTGATAAGCAACTTCAGCAAAGTCTCAGGATACAAAATCAATGTGCAAAAATCACAAGCATTCCTATACACCAATAATAGAGAGCCAAATCATGAGTGAACTCCCATTCACAATTGCTTCAAAGAGAATAAAATACCTAGGAATCCAACTTACAAGGGATGTGAAGGACCTCTTCAAGGAGAACTACAAACCACTGCTCAATGAAATAAAAAAGGAAACAAATAGAAGAACATTCCATGTTCATGGATATGAAGAATCAATATCATGAAAATGTCCATATTGCCCAAGGTAACTTATAGATTCAATGCCGTCCCCATCAACCTACCAATGACTTTCTTCTCAGAATTGGAAAAAACTACTTTAAAGTTCATATGGAACCAAAAAAGAGCCCACATTGCCAGATCAATCCTAAGTCAAAAGAACAAAGCTGGAGACATCACACTACCTGACTTCAAACTATACTACAAGGCTACAGTAACCAAAACAGCATGGTACAGGTACCAAAACAGAGATATAGACCAATGGAACAGAACAGAGCCCTCAGAAATAACACCACACCTCTACAACCATCTGATCTTTGACAAACCTGAGAAAAACAAGAAATGGGGAAACAATTCCCTATTTAATAAACGGTGCTGGGAAAACTGGCTAGCCATATGTAGAAAGCTGAAACTGGATCCCTTCCTTACACCTTATACAAAAATTAGTTCAAGATGGATTAAAGACTTAAATGTTAGACCTAAAACCATAAAAGCCCTAGAAGAAAACCTAGGCAATACCATTCAGGACACAGGCAGGGGCAAGGACTTCATGACAAACACCAAAAGCAATGGCAACAAAAGCCAAAATTAACAAATGGGATCTAATTAAACTAAAGAGCTTCTGCACAGCAAAAGAAACTACTATCAGATTGAACAGGCAACCTACAGAATGGGAGAAAATTTTTGCAATCTACCCATCTGATGAAGGGCTAATATCCAGAATCTACAAAGAACTTAAAACAAATTTACAAGAAAAAAACAACACCATCAAAAAAGTGGGCAAAGGATATGAACAGACACTTCTCAAAAGAAGACATTTATGCAGCAACAGACACATGAAAAAGTGATCATCACTGCTCAGAGAAATGCAAATCAAAACCACAATGAGATACCATCTCACACCAGTTAGAATGGCAATCATTAAAAAGTCAGGAAACAACAGATGCTGGAGAGGATGTGGAGAAATAGGAATATTTTTACACTGTTGGTGGGAGTGTAAATTAGTTCAACCATTGTGGAAGACAGTGTGGTGATTCCTCAAGGATGTAGAACTAGAAATACCATTTGACCCAGTGATCTCATTACTGGGTATATACCCAAAATATTATAAATCATGCTACTATAAGGACACATGCACACATGTGTTTATTGCAGCACTATTCACAATAGCAAGGACTTGGAACCAACCCAAATGTCCATCAGTGATAGACTAGATTAAGAAAATGTGGCACATACACACCATAGAATAATATGCAGCCATAAAAAAGGATGAGTTCATGTCCTTTGCAGGGACGTGGATGAAGCTGGACACCATCATTCTCAGCAAACTATCACAAGGACAGAAAACAAAACACATGTTCTCCCTCATAGGTGGAAATTGAACAATGAGAACACTTGGACATAGGGTGGGGAACATCACAAACTGGGGCCTGTTGAGGGGTGTGGGACTGGGGGAGGGATAGCATTAGGAGAAATACCTAATGTAAATGATGAGTTGTTGAGTGCAGCAAACCATGTATACCTATGTAACAAACCTGCAGGTTGTGCACATGTACCTTAGAACTTTAAGTATAACAAAAAGTCTATAAAAAGGCACATGTGTGACACAGATGTTCATCTATCTAAAGACCTACTACAAAGCAGCAACATTCAAACTGGAAAAAATGGGTCTGCCACTTGACAGCCAAGCTTCGTCAGCCAATAGGCAGATGACTACAGTGACCACAGTGGCTGACTGAGAGGCTACATGGGGGTGCAACAACATGGACTGTCAGTTTCCTAAAACAATCTAACTACTGTTGTCTCTAAATGCCCAGCCCATCTACCATAGACCAAGCTGAGCCACCATGCCCGCCCAACCCCCCCACCTAGTGGAGCACTATTTAAGGAGATCAAATGCCATTTAGTAGTGATTTGATTACATTAAGCTCCTTCTATACCAGAAGAGGCAGGATCTTGATCTTACAGACTTAGATATCTGATCTTAGGGATTTCTTTCCTGCTGGCAGAACTTCAACTCCTATCACTGTCTGGGGGCCTCTGCCACGTTCCACCCAGATAGGTAGTTCCACACAGCAAGGCATCTGACCAGTGGATTCATATCACAGGAAAAGAAGTACTGAAGGGCCCTATGATTTGGGGTCCACTAGTTGTCTTACATGATAGCATTCAGAAGCTGCCTTGAAGAACTTTGAGATGACCTTCAGGGAGTATAGTAGAACCATCCAAGTAGATATTCTGAAAGTTTGAGCTGCCCTCCTTGATCTAGTATCTACAGAGTCATTTATGTGTGGTACCGTATCCCCCGAAAAAAGACTATGTGGGCCCTAGAACCATGAGATATAAGCAACATTGGTCCCTTTTTCCATCACCTGATCCACTGGGTTGCTTTGAGTCATCCTTGCTATAGGGATAACTGATCAGCAGGAGGAAGCTGGGGTAATTTTGCTTCATGGGAGCAGGTAAAACTATAAATGGAATCTAAGTGATATCATTGGATATCTCCTTACACTTCATTGCCCCATTGTAATTCAGACATGCTCTTTAAGCTAGGGCTGCTGAGTATTTTTACTAGTGGTTTGAGTATTTTAGGATAAAGGGTTGGGTCATGGTACCAGGTATGCACCAACGCTCAGCTCAGGTAATAGCTAAAGGTCAAAGGCATGGATGTTGGAGGAAGGAAAGGGTGAGGATCAGTTGGTGATGCAACATCTACTCCAGCAACTCCAGATGAATGGCATTTCATATCACTAGCACTGCTCTTGAGTTTCTACTGAGGAAGAAGGGCCTGAGTCTCTGCAGTCATGGGTTTGTGGGTAGGGAAATGGGATACCCTAATAAGCTGGGGTCAGACCTATGCCTGAGCATGACCAAAAATAGAGGCAGATGAGGAATAGATGACCTCTCCAGAAGAGACTGGGGTACCGTTGGCTAATATGGGGATAAATGTTGAAGCATCTACAAGTGTCTCCCATAAGATTCAAGCCCAGAATAGAGTCATTAGCCATCTGATTTTATGCCACCTTGATCATTGAGGAGTTCTCACTAGATAATCTCAAGTCTAACTTTCAATATTACCACCCACCCTTGAGACTTAGCAACACAGCATGCCTGGTTTAAAAAAAAAAAGTGCAAGAAATTCCAGGAAATAACTAGCCTCATGGCATTGATTTTCCTACTCAAATTTTAACCTTCAGCTTTCTGATCTGAGACTACAACACGGGTGATACTTAAACAGCTCCTTAGGGAGCCAAGCAGCTTGTGGACATATTGAAGTATCCAAGGGTACTCTTTCCTCTCACTG
The DNA here is from genome assembly GCF_000001405.40 of Homo sapiens. NCBI lineage: Eukaryota > Metazoa > Chordata > Mammalia > Primates > Hominidae > Homo > Homo sapiens. The sequence continues at coordinate 77,293,798 of NC_000004.12, read as the reverse complement.
TCCACATTAGAGGAGCAACCTTAATAGATTCTGCAAAACCTTCAGGAAAAAAAGATTCCATTGCCTCTCCAGTCAGTTTCCCAACCATGTATTAGGTCAGTTGACCAGGTTTTACAAAAGACTTGCTGAGCTGAAACCTGCAACACAGCTCAGGCATTTTGGTAGTCAGTAAGACTTCCCAATGCTGAGTGCTAGTGAGATCAGAAGCCATTTCAGCAGCTGACTACCTTCACCCTGTGGAATCTAGACTAGCAATATGAAAATCCATGCCCTACCTAAGACATAAGTAGGTTCTAAAACCATCTTTGGGTGTTCCTCAGATCTGCACCCAAATCATAGGCTTTTCCCAAGAGCTCTAATGACCAGAGAAAGGTCTACTTAGACACCTATAAAGGGGAGTATCATTGACTGACAGGCCAGGTAACATGCCATGGGAAGCATACTAAGGCCAATCTATTTCTGCAGGATGTGAGACCCCTCTCAAACATCTTTGATTCAACCACTTCTTTTGGCCTACCCCAAACTCTTGTATAACATCACTGTAATTTGAGGCATAATATTGACCTGACTTCCTTCTCTACTTTGGAGAATAAAGGCTCTCTTGCATTTCCCTTTTCTCACAAACATCTTCTCCGGTAAGTTTCTACATGTCCAATCCTGCCTTAACATTTACTTCTCATAGGACCCAGCCCAACCCAAGGACTAATTCCTCCCACTTCAACCCAGGTTAAAGGCCTTTGAACCCAGCAAGACCCTTATATTCCCCCTAGCTTCCATGTAAAGGCATGTGCCTCTGATAGAGCTTCACACAATTTAATTCTCAGCAAGTCTCTGCCTTATGCCAAATACAATCTAAGCAGACTTAGTCCAGGAGCCAACAATTGGGTGCAAAGAAATGAGATTACAGGCTCAAATCAGGTTGAGTAGACATGAGATCAAAGTGATGAAGCCTCCAACAACTGCATTTTATTTCCTGCTCCAAAACTGGTAGATCCATGTCTACCCAAAGATCCTTGATAGTCAAGATAATGGACAGGACTAAATACAAGGGTTAGCAGCAGCTCAGGTGGAAGTAAGGGGAACCAGAAATCAGAAATAGGTCGTAGTCAATGAATCCACCTCCATGCTCCAATCTGTTCACTAGGAATATGCTCTGTACCCTGAGGGCCAAGGGTACAGCTGCACTCAGTTCCTCTCATCCACTTAGACCAAGGAAGGAGAACTTCTCCCTGACCACCAAGTAGGCAGATGTCCTAACCCCATTCTTCATGGTGGTGATGGCCATGATTCTTTAACCTGCTTCAGTGAAGGAACGGCCTCATCTCATGCAAGACTGTCACAAACTTCTTACACTACGTTGACGTACCTGGAGAACAGGGGTCCTTGGCTTTTCCCACAATACCTGATCTTTCTCTCAGATCCCGATGAGAGAATAATTAATTTTATCATGTTATAACAAACAATGTTCTGTCCAAATTTGTTTAGATTCTTACATGTAAAGTACATATAAGATCTAATTATTGCCTCTAATTCTTTACATTCCTTCTATAGGGTTCACTCTTTGGCACCTGATCTGATGTGGTTTGAGGGGCCAAGCAAGTGGTGTTCTAATTAGCAGAAGAAAACACATTTTGATTTTTCCCACTTACTGTTATATTCACCTTGTTTCTTCTATCCATCTCCTGCCTGCCATGGTTCTCACCATTTGGGCAGACCCAACGTGGCAATTATTCAGTCAGCATCAGAAACACCATATTCCTGCCTTTTCATAATGGCCAAACAAATATACTAGACTTCAAATTAGGGAAAGTTCAGTGACAATTTAAGAAACCAAATCAACTCTAATCAACTTCAACACACCACCACTGGGAGACAATGAAGCAACACCAATCACTCTCAAGGGAAACATGACCCAAACATCTACCAGAATGGAACTTCAAGAATCAGACTAGAAACTGTTGTAAACGTGCAGGATTCAGAATCTTGCTCTAATGAGCCCATTCTTTGGAATACACTGGACAGCATCCTTCTAGACAGTCAAATGTCCACATCTCATTTAGAAATGGTGTTAATGCCAGGAGACAATGACAGGAAAGAACAGTCTACAGCCTCAGTACTCCCTCTGAAAGATCCTCAGCCCACGGGCCTCTTCACTTTGCAACTCAGCCGGAATTGCAGAATGTTCAAATCAGAGCTGACTACTTCAAAACACAAGAATATATTGAAATTTATACTATAGCTGTTCTGATGTGTCCTGCTTGCTCTTTTGAGGCATGATAAAGGAACATTGTAACAGCATATGAGGTTGGTCACTGTTTGGGAGTGATTTTGTTATTTTATACTGCTGCGTAGGAAGTATTGCCATGGTGGATGCCAAGAGGCAGCACCCATTTCCCCTTTCAGGCACAAAGGACTTGTTCTCAGCTACTGGATGCCCCAGGAGTCTGTTAGCCCCTCCTAGGCTAAGCTCAGCTGAAGAGAATCTCACCCAAGGCCACATCCCTTACTGGGTGGCTGCCATACAGTTCTTGTCAGCCTGAGTATAAAACCGCAGACCTCTTATCCCAACTCAGGTCAGCTCTAAAGGTCAACTTGGCTTCACAGCTCCCTCACAGTGTTGGCCATGGCTTCCGTGGAGGCTGCATCAAATCTCAGCTCCTCCCTCTGCCCGGTCCTGCTTCCTTTCCTTTCACAGGTACAGAGCCCAAGACCATGACCTGATGAGTTTCCCAAGGTTCACCTCCATCCACCCAAGGATCTGCTTGAAATGGAGGCCAAGCACAGAAGGTCTTTAGTAGAACCCTTTTCTCCAGAACGTCTATTCACTCTTCCTAGAGAGGTTTTTCTGACTGTTCCGCCTTGCCCCATCCCCTCTGCAAAAAAGTCATGAGCACATGCCCAGGAAGTATAAATGACAAAAACAGCACAGTACCCCTGCACAGGTAGACCAGGTAGCCAAATCTTATATATTACTAACGCTGAGATTTTATGACTTGAGAAGGAAAGTCAAACACATAGGAAGAAGCTTCAGAAGATTCTTTGTAATGGGCAATTCTTCAAGATGGTGACCCATCAAGATAAGACATAGTGAACTCAGTATGGGGATACATGTGGATCTAGGTGAGTCAGGTAGAATCACTCAGCTCCTCTTGCATATTTGATGAGGCCACCCCGAGTTCCCATGCAGACACGTCCACATGGTGTGTTCTATGGCTCTGTCTCTGCCCATGTTCTCCTGCCACAGGAACATGCTTGCCTACATACAGAGCAGGCCAAGAATGCTAATAGTTCATCCCCAGGAAGAGTCCTCAGCCAGTGAGGAGCAGGAGTGAGCGGCTCACCCCAGGAGTCCACATAGACCAGTCCTCAGGATTGTCCCAGGGAATCCTCAGCAGAATTAGCCCCAGTTGCTCACCAGGCTTACCTGCTCACTAACACTTTCATTGGATTACCTACATTCCCTCTCTCATTATTCTTAGAATCACCTGCAATAAGTTACTTGTACCCTAATTCTTGTCTGAGTCTCCTTTCTAGAGAATTCAAACTAAGCAGGAGTGAAATCTGAGCTGACTGAGCATATCAGAAAAGTAAGTGTTAACCCAGGAACTCAAGTACCTAACTGAATTTAACTGGGCTCACAAGTTGAGGTTGTTTTAATAGAGAAATAAAGTTAACATGTTTGTCTGCTTTAAGATGTAGGCATATTAGGTTATGCTGCTCACTTGCCTTTCATATTTAAGTTTAGCCAGGAGAGCAGCTTTCTTAATGGCATTAAAGCTAGGAACTTAATCCTGTTCCTCCTTTTGCCCTTGTAGGCTTTATAAGAAACATTTTTGGTAGATGAAAGTAAGCAGAGGTTTAAGAATTGAGTCTGTTTCAGAGTGATTTTTCAGTTAATTCAGTTGTTTTTATACAGGATACCAGTTTGGGCTGAAGTAAATTGTGGGTCATTTTCCACATATAGCAATTCAGGTGGTAAGTCATTTCTGAGTCCTGTGGCTCAGTGATGTCATCAGGGACCCAGGTCCTTTCTATCCTAGTCTCTAGAATGTTGACTGTCAACATGCTTGTACCTAAGGCCAAAGATGTCTGCTGACCCACAAATGTCACATGGACATTTCAGGAATAATTAGATATGTGGCTCCAGTTATAGAGGAAATCTTTCCAGAAGCCCTTCAGTAGAGATGTTTATGTCACATTAGCTCTTATGCTCTCACCCTCCTATTGAGGTTAGATGGAACCTGTGTTCAGCTTTCACAGCCTCTTTGAAGACAGGCAATAGTGATTGGGTAAGAATACTGGGGTGGGCCAACTAACAATGAATACCATATGGTTGAAATGTAATATGCAAGGAGGCCTAAGCCTAATATGAAAAGTTCAAGGAGTAGGACCCTACATCTTCTAGGGCCTATACAGTCCTACACTCATGACATTCTTCAAAGCAAAGAAACCACAATTGCCACAGCTACCTACTGACCAAAGTTAATGGATTCAGGGGTGCTGGGAAGTAGGCTCACCATATTCCCCCTCTTCTACCCTCTTAGATCAGCTTTAAAATGCTTATCTAGAAAGCCCCAGATCACAAAAAACCATTTGAGCTGTTAAAGCTGTTACCTGTATCTTGCTTCCACTAACCCCACACAACTCAAGCATCAGAAGCTCCATGTCCACATAACAATATTGCCTAAGGATCATGCATGCAGGTACCAAGCCTACCCTCAGGGACTACAGGCCTACCAGAAAACCCACAGCAGGAAATAAGAGTTACTTTCTGCTACTAGGTGAGTACAAAAGTAATTGTGGTTTTTGCATTGTTGGAATTTGCCATTTGATATTGGAATACACTCTAAAATGTGGCTATGTTATATGTCATTTTTAATGGGCTTTTCTCACTATGGTTTTGCTAATGACATATTACTTGTTTATTTTAGACTATGGAAACGTTAGACAAAAAGCAAATGAGTGATTTTCTCATTGAAGTTCAAAATGGGTCATAAAGCAGCAGAGACAACTTGCAAGAATGCATTTGGCCCAGGAACTGCTAACATACGGTACAGTGGTGGTTCAAGAAGCGTTGCAAAGGAGACAAGAGCCTTGAAGATGAGATAGTGGCCAGCTATTGGAAGTTGACAACAACCAATTGAGAGCAATCATTGAAGCTGATCAAAGCTGATCCTCTTACAACTATACAAGAAGTTGACGAATAACTCAATGTTGACCATTCTACAGTCATTTGAAGCAACTGGAAAAGGTGGAAAACCTTGGTAAGTGGGTGCTTCATGAGCTGAGTGAAAGTTTTTAAAATCATCGTTTAAGTGTCATCTTATTCTATGCAAAAACAAAGAACCACTTCTTGATCAGATTGTGACATGTGATGAAAAGTGAATTTTATATGACAACTGGCGATGACCAGCTCAGTGGTTGGACCAAGTAGCACCTCCAAAGCACTTCCCAAAGCCATATTTTTACCAAAAAAAGGGTCATGGTCACCGTTTGGTGGTCTGCTGCCAGTCTGATCCACTGTAGCTTTCTGAATCCTGGTGAAACCATTACATCTGAGAAGTATGCTCAGCATATCAATAAGTTGCAACAAAAACCCTAAGGCCTGCAGTTAATATTGTTTAGCAGAAAGGGTACAGTTCTCCAGGACAATGCCTGACTGCACATCACACAACCAATGCTTCAAAAGTTGAATGAATTAGGCTATGAAGTTGCGCCTCATCTGCCACATTCACCTGACCTCTTGCCAAAATGCTTGAACCGGTAGTCAGTTGCCAATTTTTGCAGGGAAAATGCTTCTACAACAAGCAAGATGAAGAAAATGCTCTCCAAGAGTTCAAATCCCAAAGCATGGATTTTTGTTACAAGAATCAACTTATTTCTCATTGGCAAAAATCTGTTGATTGTAATGGTTCCTACTTTGATTAATAAAGATGTGTTTGAGCCTAGTTATAATGATTTAAAATTCACAGTTCAAAACCGCAATTACTTTTGTGCCAACCTAATACAGCCCCTCACCAGAGAAGCTTGGGTAACCTCACACCCAATACCTATTTTTACATCTCTGTAGCCCAAGAATACAGGCATCTTTCCTACTACATCTTTCCCAGGCCACACAGCTGGATGACATGCTACAGCTTTACCTAGATTCTGGTGAGGTACTGAAGACACCAGCATCAGGGGCCAGGACTTGCACAAACAACAATGTGATGGGTTCTTAATGATGGTTTCACATGAGCTTCCTTAGAATACCAGAACTCCACCTGAACCTGCCAGTGGCCAATGTCTAACCACTACATTCAAAGCCAGACTGAAGTTTTAGCCAGGTAGCCAACCTCAAAAGTTAGACACCACCAGCCTAGACAGTGGGAGAAGCAGAGGAAACCTGATCAGGTGAGCTAGCATATCATTACTAGTTGAGTTTGGTACTAAATCTGAAGAGTTCTCTTCTATACCGGGTGGTGTAACAGACTAGTTACCCCAAATCCTTGCTTTCCTCTGTTTTGGTCAGAGTCTCCTGTTAGGTAGCCATACAGCTCCCCAAGCTAAAAACAAGACAAGCCTCTTACTCATACTTGTGACCACATGACTATCCTGGACAATGTATGTGAGCAGAACTTGTGGGAAAATTCCAGTTCATGCCTTTAGAAAGGCAGCTTCAGGCTGGCCACCTTTTGTTTCTACTTCTGCTTGTTGGCACAGATGGTGTCATAGTGAGCCATCTTTCACAACTCAAATGCCTTTGGGAGACTCGATCAAAGAAAGGGATCCCAAATCCACAGCTGACCTGAACAAAACCACCCATGGACTACTTACTACCTTAAACCATTAGTCATTGAATGACTAAGTCAGGATTTTGATGTCTATTCAAGCAAAGGAACATCCCAAAGAGAATGGATATGTAACACCAACTACTTAATGGATACATAACACTAACTACCTATCTCACTGATACTGGTCACGCAAACAACCTGACAATACCTCGATGATCCTCCAGTGCTAGACTTCAGTAGTTACAGACTAGGCTCCTTGCCCTGGGGGAAAAGAGGGGAAAAGACTGGTCTCCAATAGAACCTCATACCAATCAGATGGAACCCTTTCAGGGAGATTAACATGATCCTCTTCAGTTCCACTTGACAATTACTTCATGCCCTGAAAATTCAACCAACTAAGCACAACTCTTCCTGCCAGTTCTTTACCAGGTACCAGCAATGCTGCAAGTTAAGTTCTGGGACCCAAGTAGATCACTGCGCTGATTTGGCTATCCCTGCTCCCAGAAGAGCATTGCAGCTCCACCAAACAGAGGAACAGTCATTGAACACCAATACTCATTAGAGGCAAATATGAAGGAGAAAAACCACTTTGAATTCAAAAGGACATGAATGTTAAAGACAAAAAGTTAAGGAAACACCATGTTCAGGCTACAGGGGAGGAATCTGACCATGTAGCCTCAAGTTCTATGATTTGATATCTAAACACAAGTGATAGAAAATGCTATGTCTAACAGTACCTGAAGTTGTAGTCAAACCAGAACTAGAAGAAGATATGCAGCTTATGTAGACCAAAGAGGAGCTTGCAGGTCAAAGTGAAGGAGAACCAGAAGGAACATCATGTCCTCTATCAAAGAGGCACACAGACCTACTTGTTCTCAGATGTATCTCCTTCACTCAGTAGGTGTCTCCATACCTACTGAGAATATGTCTTTGGAGCCTGTGCTAAGATGGTGGGAATAGCCAACACCTGATGAGCAGCATCAGCATAATGGACTCACTTGACTCATTTTAGAACCTCCTACCCTTTCAACAGGTTGAGACAGGGTCCCAGACCCTTCTGTGGAAAAATGATGGCACCCAAAGGTGTTCTTGTGTCACAGAAAATTAGGTTTTACACATCCCCACACTTGCAGTTCTCAATAGCATCCCATTGGATACAAGATACTGTCAAAAATCCTTAGCAGTACCAAAGATGTTATCTAGTGCTCAGCTTCCTGTCAGCTCAGCAAATGAAGTCTGTTTCAAATGTGGCGCTTCACATTAGAATCAAAATGGCCTGGAGATAGTTGATCTGTCCTCATTGTTCACAGATTGTGACTGAGACTGAATGGGGAATGCACATAGGGAGGTCAGGCATGAGTGAAGTACAGGCACTTTGGGGCAGGCACATTTAAGCCAAGATCTAGAATCCAGCAAGGAGCTTCAACCATTGATTAATGTAGGATAAAAATATATGTCAACCACATCTTCAAATGCCCATACTGGTCGGTAGCCACAGAAAATGGGCCACTGATTGCAGTAAAGGAGCACCAAAGGCAAGAGGCATGGGGGACAGTCATCTAGGGAAGCTCCAGGGTGGGACAGCATTTGCATTTGTGAGGTTTGGGAGGTGAAGAGTTAACCACCCTACAATTTTCTTCAATCTCTTATCTAGCACACAGAATCCCCCCCATGGACTCACTATTAGTTGGTTCTAGTCCAATTCATACCACCCCCAACTATCCCAATGTTTAGCTCTAATCTGTGTCTTAGAGGAAACTAGAGGATACACTCTGAAGGAAAAGCCAACATTCCAAGTCAAGCGGTGCCCTTCACTCAGGGAGGAAACTCATCTTTTCCTCAGATGGACCCATAACCAGGACATGGGAACTCAGAAGATCCTAAGCCTCCCTGAGTAGAGACCACAAGGGAATATTCAAGAGGAAAGCACTTCAGTACTTCTATGCTTCTGCTCCTACTCTATTGGTCCCACACCATCCTGGCCTGTTGCTACAAGGTCTAGCAGCCTTTTCCACAGAAAGGGAACAAGTGTCCTGGAGATTTGTTAGGTCTTCTGTAAAGTCTTCAGGAATAAGATGTGAGTCAGCAGTAACCAGAATCTCAGCTTCTGTCACATGATAGACACTCAAGTGTATAACACTCATTTAATGTATCTGACATGGAGAGGGAGGAACATGAGGTGTGGGGGCAGATCTACTCCAGGACAGTCCACCAAGAGCTTTCAACTCTGAATCAGGTCCTATTCAAAATCTCCAATGTGAAGTGGTGAATAAGGCTTATTTTGGGTCATCTAGCATCAACCAGTCAGTCGCATGCCCATTCTACACCAAAGACAAGCAGCTGGAGAATTCTACATTCAGGAAGAATAAGACCTCCCTGGATGTGTTCAGCATAGACCCTGGCTGAGGTTGACTGTCACTTCATGGCAAGCATCTCCACTCACCCTTGTAGGCTGCCCAGCTTTAGTCTTCCCCTCAGAGAGAGGTGGACAGTTGAGAACCTCCCCTTACCTGGGGTCTTCCTACTCTGAGTATTGAATGCCATCTGGGATGGCTGCCCCAGTTCTGGCTGGGGTTTCTATTCTGATGCTGGCTATGGCCTCAGCTTATATAGCCCCTTCCCCCACTTATGGAACATACTCTGGAACACTGAACAGCCTAGATTGCTTCACATGGTGGCACAAGAATCTCCAATTGTCCACTCAGCCAGACAACTTCTAAGCCACTTAAAAACTAGTCCGCTGGGAGGGCATTTTTTTTTCCTTTAGATGCACATACCAAGTTCAACTGCTAGCAATTGAGGAAAGCACGGGTGACTCATCATCTAATCCCTCAGCAAGCCCATGAGGCAGTTCCTTCAGAGGGCAGGGAATTGCCACCCAGGCCAGAAGACCCTAGAGTAGGACCAGAGCTACAACTGGAGTAGGTGGGACTTGAATACACATCTAACCAAACTCAGGAATTTTAAGATTAAAAACAAGAATCAGGTGAGACTAGTGAGACTAGTACTTCAAATATAGATGGCTCACATTTTACTGGACAGAGCAACCTCACTCAAGGCTATTAGTAGAGAACGCCCTGTACTGAGGAGCAGGTGAATTTCCACATCTCAGAATGATCCCTCAGGTGGTACTAAGCAGGGTGACCTCAGGCAGTAGAAACTAACAAGACCTTGGCATGCCTGGTCTTTGCTCACTCCATTCTTCCCATTTGACCCTGGAAGGCTCCTGTAGTATTCCCAGCTCTCCCAGACCCCTGACCCTGAAATCATTTCATTTTCAAAAGCCAATGCCAATATTCCTTAGCTGATCCAGGCCGCCATTCTGCTGTGGTCCAGATACACTTACCCTGTTGATAGACTAAAATAAGGGTTTGGTAAGCAAAGGAACACTAGTGCAAGAAGATGTGGCTATGACTTCAGCACTCCTGTTTACTGACTATACAGCCTTGTTCTCAATCACCTGACCTTCTATGGTAGGTAGAACTAGAACACAAAATTACTTTGTTAAAATGCTGCAGATGTCAAACATGCCTGAAGATAGACCTACCTACCCACATGTGACACCTACTCTACAGTAGGAGTCACATGAGAGATGGCATTTCCCGCTTTTAAGTACAGCTATTTCTTGTCCAATACCACTGTCATTCCTGCACAGCAATCATTGACCAGAGCCAAGTAGCAGCTGCCTGTTGCTATAGATATGTGGTTATCTTTTGCTGCTATACAAATTAACCTCAAACTTAGCGGCTTAAAACAGCAATCACTTATCTTTCCAGATTCTAAGGGTCAGGAAAGCTGTCATAGCTTAGCCAGATACCTCTGGTTCAAGTTCTCAGGAAGACACCATCAAGCTATTACCCAGGAGGTAGTCTCATCTGAGGGCTCCACCAGAACAAAGGAGAACTTGCTTCCAAGTTTATTCACAGCAGCGGGCCAACCTCAATGTCCACAGTAGTCCCCTACTTTTGTGTGGGGTTTTGTTTTCCACAGTATCAGCTACCCAGGTACCTGCAGGCCAAAGTTAGACAGAATTCCTAGAGTAATCCTGTCATGTTTTCAGTTGCATGTCATTGAGTAGTGTGATGAGGTCTCATACCATCCTACTGTGGACATAGGACATCCCTTTGTCTAGGATTTCTACACCTTGTATACTATCCAGCTACTAGCAGCCATTTCCATTATCAAATCAATGGTATTGCAGTGTTTGTGTTCAAGTAACCCTTATTTTACTTAATTGTCACCAGTAGTAATGCTGGTATGTTATGGTTTTATTTCATTATTGTTAGCCTTCCTTTGCCTAAGTGTGAAGTTAAGTTTTGTCATAGATGCATTATGTATAGAGAAAAACAGTATATATAAGGTGCTTTAACTCTCAGCTGGCCTTCTGACAATGTCTTCATGGTTTTAGACATCTATGGGGGTCTTACAACATATCTCCCACACATAAGGAGGACTACTATGCTTCCAAGATCAGTGATATGCTTCAGCTGCTCAGACTGTCGAGTTGAACATTTCTCCTCCTTGCCAAGTTGGCTGCTGCATGGAGTGGTTTACCACATAGCTTGATTCTCCTAGTACACACATTGCAAAACAAATCGAGTGTAAGACCCAAGACAGAAGCCAGTCTCAAGCTCATTTGAGGGGCAAATCGTTTCCATTATCTATTTATCAAGCCACTACATCTACCCTCAAGGGAAGGGGCTTGAACATCAAGCAGCAAGGATGCCTGGGGGCTGGCTCACAGGCTGACTGCCCACTTGTGCTATGCCATCTCCTGCTCACTGGGTACTGTGATTCCTATTGTCTTGCATTTTGCCTTGTGTCTTTTTCATTCTACTTGCCGCATCTCCGGAGACCTCATTGTTAGGGACTCTGCTACTATTAACGAAGGGCATGAAAGTCTTAAGGGTGCAACAGAGGTTCTACTTGAGACAGGGGTTTGCCACAAGCCAGGATATGGGCCAGCAGTTGTTTCATTGAAACAGCTTTCCAGAACTCCAACCCATTACAGTGACATACACTGTAGAATGAATTTCACTGTGAGGCTGCTACTAAGATCATAGGCTTCACAGGAGATCCCTCCCCTAAGGATCACCGATACCTACCACAGCCCACATTGCCCACCTGGTCTCCATAGTTACAGGAGTGCCTATTCCAGGCAGCAGGAACTCATTTAGGCTTTACCTTCTACTATTCTCATCTGCTGAAGGCTCAGGGTCAGAGTTGAGGATATTCTGAGAAAACAAGCTGAGAGTTAAAGCACAGCCCCGTCCCTGAGCAGATCCCTTTAGTCTCTCTCCATCTTGAACCTATGAGAAGACTTGGACAAAACTGCTCCTGCCTGGAGACATACCTCAAAGGAACCTGGAACTAGGAGTCTAGAAGAGCTCTGCTATAGCCACTGCACAGGTTTTGGTTCAGTTCTAATTCCCTGAGAGGTTTTTATCCTTGTGGCAAAAGAGCATAAGATTGAAAGGACTCCCTACTTAAGTGGTGTTGGGAAAACTGGCTAGCCACATGCAGAAAACAAACTGGACCCTTTCCTTATACCTTATACAAAAATTAACTCAAGATGGGTTAAAGACTTAAATGTAAAGCCCAATACCCTAAAAATCCTAGAAGAAACTTAGGCAATACCATCCAGGACATAGGCATGGGCAGAGACTTCATGACTACAACACCAAAAGGAATGGCAACAAAAGCCAAAATTGACAAATGGGATCTAATTGAACTAAAGAGCTTCTGCACAGCCAAAGAAACTATCAAAGTGAACAGGCAACCTACAGAATGGGAGAAAATTTTTGCAAGCTACCTATCCAACAAAGGTCTAATATCCAGAATCTACAAGGAACTTAAATTTACAAGAAAAAAACCCATGAAAAAGTGGGCAAAGGATATGAACAGACAGTTCTCAAAAGACACTTTTGTGGCCAAACATGAACAAAAGACCACTGGTCATCAGAGAAATGCTAATCAAGCCACAGTGAGATACCATCTCATGCCAGTTAGAATGGCAATCATTAAAAAGTCAGGAAACAGATGTTGGCGAGGCTATGGAGAAATAGGAATTCTTTTACACTGTTGGTGGGAGTGTAAATTGGTTCAGCTATTGTGGAAGACTGTGGCATTTCCTCAAGGATCTAGAACCAGAAATACAATTTGACCCAGCAATCCCATTACTAGGTATATCCAAAGGATTATAAGTCATTCTATAAAGACACATGCTCATGTATGTTTAATGCAGTGCTATTTAAAATAGCAAAGACTTGGAACCAACCCAAATGCCCATCAATGATAGACTGGATAAAGAAAATGTGGCATATATATACCATGGAATACTATGCAGCCATAAAAAAGAATGAGTTTGTGCCATTTGCAGGGACATGGATGAAGCTGGAAACCATCATTCTCAGCAAACTTACACAGGAACAGAAAACCAAACGCCACATGTTCTTATAAGTGGGAGTTGAACAATGAGAACATGTGGACACAGGGAGGGTAACATCACACACCAGGACCTGTTGCAGGCTCAGGGGGCAAGGGGAGGGAGAGCATTAGGATGAATACCTAATGCATGCATGGCTGGTAACCTGGAAGAGAGGTTGGTGGGTGCAGCAAACCACCATAGCACATGTATACCTATGTAACAAACCTGCACGTTCTGCACAGGTATCCCAGATCTTAAAAAAAAGATTAAAGGTGGCCTTAAAGCAAAAGGTCCTAGAGCCTGACCCTACCTGCAATGAAAGGAGTGGGAGGGAAGTCTACCCTATGGTCCAAGCCATCTGGAACCTGAGGGAATAGCATTTGAACTCCTATTCAACTCAATCTATAGAAGTGACAGATACATAGACTACTCCTGCTATGTCCTTTATGAATTGTGGTGTAAGATACCTATAGACCTAATTCTTAATTTCTAGGTAAATTAGAAGAATGGAAGTTGATGGTATAGTGGCCCTATTGAATACTCCTCCAAACCTGCTTAGAATAAGCAGAACTTTAGTCCTACCACACCATCTCACTTGCCAAGCACATCCAGTCACTGAAGATGAGATTTTATCTGGAGGGCTCTATAGGAAAGGCAGCAGTTCGACAGGAAAGCTGTGCCAAGTGCTTCTACATGGAAAAGCAGGTCAGAGACTAGAAAGCAAATCCAATTCAAATCACTAGATATGAAATTGCTCAATTTGGGAAATCACTAGATATGAAGTCACTAGATTTGGGAAATGCAAAAACATGTGCTAGCTGAGACTGTTCCTCTTAAGTAGATACCCTGGGAAGCCCATTGACCTTCAGACCCATAAGATATAAGTAGAAATTGGAGTCATGCCCACCCTAAACTACAAAGTATCACAAAACAAGTAGTTGTGGCTGGGCTTACTGCTTCCAATAGAATTAGTTAAGGGAAGAATTGTTACCAGTTCTGACTAGATTTCACCATTCTCTAATATGGTTCTTGTGCTCTTCAATTCTACTTGGTGAGGTCCCAAGGTCCCTGCTATGCTGAGTGACAGATGCCCATGTCACTGCCATCCTGCCAGCCACAGTTCCTTCCACTTCTCCTTTCTGGATTTCTATGATACTTCCGTCTCCACATTTGGCACCACAAACATGCTGAGCTTCACAGAGTCTGGTGTGCACTGCCCTTCTCAGATGTGAAGAGGACCTGCTGCATGTGGCAACATGCTCAGCCACATACTCACCAAGTTGCAGATTTGGCAACAACCAGAGTATGCTGGTACACAATCACACCCCCTTCTTGCCATCAGTGGGACAAGTTGTTCCAGCATGTATGATGAAAATAGTTGGTGCTTCATGCGGTGCCCTTTCACTGAGTCAAGGCATTTACCACCCAGTAGCTAAGACTGCTGGCTGCTAATGGTTCCCAAGCCACTTCCTCTGGAAAACTGCCCTCAGCCTAGTAGAGAGACCTCTTCCCCAGAAGCCCACAGCCAGTACTGACTCTGGGAATAAAAGGCTTACATCGATACCTCAACATGGCACTTGCACTCTCAGAGCAACATGCTCTGTACCCTCAACATGCTTTGTAACCTCAGAGCTCCACGTGGGCCCGGATGGAAGCTGAACTCCAACATACCATATGCCTGCTTAGCTCCCTCCTCTGCCCCTCCCCTAGAAAGTCTTATGCAGGCACCTTGACCTACAACAGCATGGCTGACTTTCAGTTCATGAAAGGACAGAGTACAAGAAGCATCTCACAATGGCCTGTGGTAGGAAAATTTTTACCTTCTTTAAAGGGGCACAAGTTATGTCACAACAGACTTCTGACTGTTTAAGCTAACAGACAAGAACTACAATAAGCCATTTGATAGGCACTTGGATGTGTTAACATCAATATTACTTCTAATTCAGGAACACAATTTCCAATCTAACAAGGCAGATGGGGATTCCTCCACAATCGTGTTTGATCTGTTCAGCTGAAAAGGGGCTCCTAGGAGATAGGACAAGTTACTCTGCCAGTGACTCGGTTCTCACAGGACCTTGAGGAAAGCATCTCAAGTCATTTTCCTGGAAGTAAGAGCCCACCTGCAACCTTGGGGTTGACTGTCTACACTTGACTGTTGACTCAAGAGTCACACAGGACAGAACCTGATGAGGGTCTGCCCTGGCCTGCAAGTACAGCATCAGCATAAAATCCAGATCCTGCACGCTAGAACTCTCCCTAGGACTCCAAATAATGGAGGACAGGGCTCAGCCAAGGGTTAAGTTGGTGCTTGAAAGTTATGGGCATCTGTAATTTTACCTTCACTTGGAAGGGTTATCTTTTGTACCCCAACCGGTATCAGCTATCACTTTGTAGTACCTGAGGTACACCAGTGCCATGCTGTAGTTGTGGTTTCTATAGCTTAGATTTTTCCTCTGCTCATAGGAGCGATTTCCAGGGTCTTTAGCAATGTGACCTGGAAGAGGAAGCCATACACGTAATATACTTAGGGCTCACCTCTCAGACACCTGTCTCAGTATCTAAAAGTGGGAGTATGCACTCGAGACATAAGTTTCAAATGCAGAGACCTTAAGCCAAAGGAAGTCATCTGGATACAGGCAACCTACAAATACCTAGGGGAAGCCAGGGGAGTTGGACAGACAGGAAGGTTTAAAGTTCCTGAGAATAGTACACCAGATAGCAAAACACTGGAGTCCCCTGAATAGGTGTTCTGCCCATTGCTGACACCAGTGACATGACACGTTTTCCTCTAATTTCTAGGTACAAGCCAGCATGTTACAGCATTTTATGGCCCTAGATAATTATCTTCTATACTGCCATGGTTTATTCCCTGGTGTTGGCCCCTCACCTATGGAATTCTGTGTCTTTCATTGGTCCCATCAAAAGACGACTGTCTAGAAAGCCAAAGATAACCCTCCTTCCTGAATCCAGAAGCAACAATGCCCACGATGGTCTTAACCATGGTCTACATAGAGTCCAAGGATTAGCGTTACTGAATCAGAGAGCATGTCAACACGAGGCCAGACTAGTTGGGGGCAAGGAGATGCCAGATATCCCTCTTGCCACCAGGGGGATATTTGGAATTCTATCATCTTTCTCTGTACTGGTGGCATCTTCTACAAGACCTAGAGAAAGTGTAGATGAGCATCTTGCTTCTCTAAATTCAATGGTGTCTATGAAGATATACTGTATCAATTCAGATTAACTGGATTCCAGACTTCATGTAACACCTTAGCTATGTCACCCTAGGGAAGTAGTTTGCCTATAAATTCCCCATGCAGTAACATGCAGACTCTAACCCTCAAGAAGGTAGAACTATCATTGAATGCTTTAAGAACTGTAACTTACATCAAGTACCATAACTGTTCCTCAACATTCAACTTCTTTGGAAGAGCCACAGAACCAACAAGGTCAAGACAAAGTCCTTCCTGCCAAAGTCACCACTGGCACATTGATTGTATAGACTGGCAAAACTTTTCTACCCAAGCCACTATTCAAATTGAAGATGCCCCCACATGACCCTGTGCATGCACACCAGCATGTTCATCTGCAGGTGAATGCAGGATGTAGAGCTGCCCTATACTCTATGTCCCCACAAGGCCCATCTCACATGCTTACATTGCTTACTTTGCCATGATGTGTCACATGTCTTTCCTGCATTGAGAGAAGTTAAAACAATCCCAAGAGGCCTGGCAAGGCTCCTGTTTGAAAGAAAGTTTGTATACAATAAGGCACACTAGAAAGTGAAAGCATAGAAAATATAGCCATACATTTTCTTCCTTCTGATTCCTTTTTTTCTACACATAAGAGAAAATGTGAGCAAGTGTTTGGTTCTGCAAATGTTACCTTGAAAAACATACCATCCTCCAGCTACTATGACCCCCAGTCCACACTCCAAGGTGCTGGCCATTGACATAGAAAAGCTGGCTCTGGCTTCTCTGCATATTTGCTCTGCTTTAGACTTCAGCTCCTGTATTAGTCTGTTTTCATACTGCTATAAAGAACTACGTGAGACTGGGTGATCTATAAAGGAAAGATGTTTCATTGACTCAGTTCAGCATGGCTGGGAGACCTCAGGAAACGTGCAATCATGGCAGAAGGCAAAGGGGAAGCAAGGCAACTTCTTCACAAGCTGGCAGGAAGGTGAAGTACAGATGAAGTGGGAAGAGCCCCGTATAAAAGCATCAGATCTTGTGAGAACTACCACAAGAACAGAATGGGGGAAGCCACCCCCATAATTTAATTACCTCCACCTGCTCTCTCCTTTTACACATGGGGATTATGGAGATTACAATTCAAGATGAGATTTGGGTGAGGACACTAAGCCTAACCATATCACCTCTGTTCCACTAGAGGTCCTCTATCCTAAACAACTTCTACTTTGGATCCCCAGCTTTGAGATTCATTTTCCTTTCAGCTTAACCCATTCTCCTTCCCAAAACTGCCTCCCATCCAGGCCTGCATGCCCCAGAAGTCTCCTTAGGACTCTCAATCACTGCTTGTTCTCCACAGAATGACATCTCAGAAGTTGGCCAGCTGAGGCTCCAACTGACCCAATTTTCTCAGAAACTTAGGTTTTTCCTGTGTAACTCAGTGCTTCCATCTGGCCAAGACTGTGAACCTCAGTTCCCAAGGTGTCTTGGGTCACAAATGTACCAAGTGGAATCTGGATCTTGGAGGGGGCATCCATAGTCCTCACACAAGACCATTTAGAAGTAGGTAGCCTTGTAGAATGTGCAGACAGCCTTCAAGAAGCCTGGTAGAAGCATTTGTGAGTCATGCATGCTGCATATTTGGATGCCCTCCTTCAGGAGAAAGCATATACATGCGGGAGGCATCTCCATGGTACCACACCCCCAGTAACACTAATGGGTTCGGTACCAAGAGATAAAAAGAAGTGGTCCCTTTTTCCATCATTCCAAGTGAAGCATTGACGTGTTTTGTGAGTCATCCTAATGCAGGATTAACCACTCTGAAGAGAGGATGGACTAGTATACCCCGGGAGCAAGTAATATGAATGGAACCCAGCAGATAAAATGGGACATCTCCTTCAACTTCCTTGCCCCACTCCAAAAGATAAAGGCAAGCAGCACTATCTTGAAAAGCATATGATCTCTAGAAGTGGAGACCCCTCAGGCCAAAGATTTAGGTCACAGCACCAGGTAAGCACCAACCCTCAGCTGAGTTGACAGCTGAGGCCAAAGGGGATTTAGGGTAGATATTGGAGGAGACAGAGGATGAGAATTAGTTGTTACCCAAGATTGACTCCAGTCACAGGCGCTGCATTTTGTCCCAGAGCCTCTTGAGTTTACTCTGGAAGGGAGGCCCAAGGGACATGGAGTTGCTGCTCTGAGAACCTGTGTAGCCAAGTACCTCTGCGCAGTACAGCGGCTGACTGTGGTGGCTATTAAAGTGTTGCTTCCCACATCCTATGTCCAACCAATGCCTGAGTGTAGCAGGGGTGCTCAATCCAGCACATTCAGGACGCATGTGACTCCAAGGGGGCATTTGAGCTCTGGGGCTTACCAGCATCTTTGCTAAGACACTTAGTATCACAGCTCAGTCTAAACCACTTCCCACCTAATATTTCTTCCTTCGAGTCTGACATGCATGATCCTCTGGATCCTACCCCAGATTCAATTCCTCACAGAACTTCCTCAATCCCAAAATTTTTGAACCTCTGAATCTCCCTTAGCATCTGCATCTCAGAGTTCACAACAGTATGTAGTTTTTAGATGTCAACTAAAACTCGAGAGTAAAATCAGCACTATAGTAATTTGAGATGTAATTTCTACAGCTCTTGAATAAAGCCCCATGTGAAAGGCAGCATGTATATGCCCATGGACACTGCCACAGTCACTCCTGTCAGAGGGAGGATGACCATTTGTCTGGAAGGAGATGATTAGGCCTGATCTTGAGTTACCTTTACACCTTGGGCATTAACTTTATTACATATTGACCTGATGTCTGAGGTATCTTCACCATCCCTTCTAGGAGTTAGTCCCTATCTGTAACTTTAATATTTCACTGTTTGCCAAGTTACCACCTCATGCTCCAGGAAAATTGTTGGTTTCTTCTATTCTGGCTCTCATGTTCCTCTATGTGCCATTTCTTTCTGCTACTGACCCAGGTGAACTCATGACTACTGTAAGCATAGCCGTATACCCATGGCTCACAATGCCCCACAGAGGCTTATTACCAAGTGTCTAAAACTTAGGTGGCCATAGGACACAATGATCAGGAAGGCCAGAATTCAGATTTGTTTTCACTGGAGGCTCAACTGGATCCAGGCAACTATCACCTATGCTAGGGTGTGGGTTGGCGTTACTAGCCATGACACCTGTCAGTTACTCCTTCCATTTGCAAGATATTTCATGTGAAGCTTCTTGTTTGATTTCACCTTTCATTTCTGTGCAGAAGTTCCAGGGTGGTGGGGGATATCTAAATTTGTTAAAAGAATGTCATGAGCAACAGAAACAAGGCACCACCTTGTTTCTATGAGTGGCACATAGCTGGGGAAATAAGCATGTCAGTCACATGAATTCGGTATGATTTCCATGTTATGTTGGCTTTGGCACAGCCTTTCTAGCTCTCTTTAGGAGACGATTTCTCCTTCCTCATTTAAGCATTTAATCTGATAAGCCTTAGATGCTATTCAGTACTCTTATCTCTCCAAACTTGTTAGCTACAGGTTGGTTTTCATCCTGCAAGTGATAAGTTAGGTTCTAATATCCAGAACATTAGTTATATTTCACTGGGCTTCAAGTGTTAGGATCTTTTGATCACAACTAACCAAGGAACCTGCCAACTGCATTGGCCTAGTAAAAAGGAAATTAGCTCACCAACTGCAAATTCTACATGTAGTGTTGGTTCCAAGTGAAGCTGGTTCAACAGGCTCAGGTGCACCAAGAATCAGATTTCTTTGTCTCTTCTACCCTCCGTGGTATCAGCTTAACTCTCAGCTCCACCACCACCCTCTGGACAGGAAGTTCCAGGCACTCCCTTCATGACAAATGCTGTATACTTGAGTATTTTCTTTCAAATGCTCTTCGTGCTAGAACATCAGTTCTAGCAGTATCTTCCAGGGTTTCAGTGGCATGGCCATGTAGATAGCATGCCCATCCCTGAACTAGTCACTATAGTTAGGGGATGTGGGTTGTAGTATGGTATACCTTAATAAGCTGGAATGAGATCTGTGGGGAATAATTTCTCCACAAGGATGTCAGGTGTGTATTTGGCCAACAATGTGGGAATCAATGTTGAAGAAGCACCTGACAAGTGTCTCATGTAAGATGCTAACAATATCAATAAGCCTTCTGAGTTTTGGCCAACATATTCACCAAGGAGTTCCCTCAACAGCCTAGGTCCTGCTTTGACTTATTTTTCCTTGAGTTCTCAAAACATAGCCTACGTGATAGAAATAAAAATTACTATCTAGACATGTGGCCTTGGCATGCCAGCTCGAAAACACAAACAGCTTTCTGATCTGTTTCTGAGCAACTTACAAGGGTGGTATGACCACATAAGCAATAGCCTCTTAGGTAGTCAAGGAAAGAGCAGGTATATTCAAGTACCTGAGAGTACTTCATACCTATGCCAGAAGAACACCTGTGTTAATTGATCCTGCCTAGAAAAAACAAAAGTGATTCCACTGCATTTCTGATACAGTTTAACCGGACATCAGGCCACTTGACCAGCTTTTCCAAAGACTTGCTGAGTTGAAACCTATAATTCATGTGACTCAGGCATTGGAGTAGTTCATATTTCCCAGAACTCAGTGCAGCTGGGATCAGGAATCATTTAAGGAGCTTATTACCCTCACCCCATGGGAGTGTCCTGGGATTTACCACCAAATACTAGGATTCTCAGGTAGAGCTCTACTGGTCACAGGAACCAAGCTTGACTCAGATGTCTACAGTGAAGAGTAATTGCCCAGCAGTGTCCCCATCATGGCACAGCAGCCAGGCCTAAGGCAAGCTCATTGCCACAAAACGGGACCCCACTCTTCAGCAGCTTTGAGTCTAAGCCTCACTCTTGGCCTACCCAAAGCTCATTTCACCTCACTGTACTCTGAGGCTACCTGCCTTACTCCCTTACCTGCTTTGTGGGATGAATCCTCCCCCACAGCTTCTCATCTCAGTTGTCTGATAGATTCCTCCATGTTCAATCCTGTGTAGGCATTTTTTTCTCATAGGACCCAGCTCAGCCCTTGAACTCACATATTCTTCCCCTAATCCTGGGCTCAAGGACCCAGAAGCCAGCAAGACCCTTGTAATTCCCCCTCAACTACAATGGTTAGGTACTTGCCTCTGATACAGCTCTCAGTTTCCACCACACTTCTGCTTTATGCCAAACAATCCAAGCAGACCTAGCCCAGGAGCCCACACTTTATCTAGAAAAAATATCCTGATTATAGGAGTCCAACAATCGAGGAGACATGCGATCAAAATGATGAAGGCACTAACACTTGCATTTTATACACTGCCACTATCTGTAGTTCTGTGTCTATACCAAAGGGTCCCTGATACTCAAAATATGGAACAGGACTAAATATAAGGGCTGGCAGCAATAGCTCAGGCAAAAGCAAAGGGAGCTACAAAAGAGGCCTTGGGCTATGTCTTCTCCTGTATCCTCCTATTCAGACTGGTTCCAAGGAAGATCCATTCTACCACCTAAGGGCAGAGCATAGAGCTTCACTGAGCCACCAGCCCCTGTTGACAATCTTGAACAGGGAAAGGGAGCTTCTCCCTGATCACTAGGGAGATTCACGATGCCCCAAACCCACCCATCATGGGGATGATGCCTTCCATGCTCTAACCTGTGTCAAAGGAGCTCCCTCATCTCATGCAACACTATTCTGAAGGTACATCAGCACTATGTGTGAAACTTGCATAAAGCTCTTACCTTTTCCTACAAAACCTGGTCTTAGTTCCCTCCCAGAGGGGGGCAAAAATGTTATAGAAGAAAGTATATTTGGACAGAGCATTGTTTGACATGTAACACAGTTTTCTAGAGAGATCCAGCTCTTGCCTGCAATTTTTCATGTTCCTTAACAATGTTGATTCCTCTGAGGCACCAGATAGCAGACTGATACAGTTGAAAAAGGCAAAAAAGGCAGCCAAGTGGCATTTGAGTTGCCAGAAGGAAAACCACAGTTTGTTATTACCTCCTATAACCTTGTTTTACTATCGATGCCCTGGTCTGGTTTGGCTCCATCATTTGTACAGAAGCAGGCAAACTGTTCAATCAGCACCAGGAATACCACATACCAACTCAAAATGATTAATGTGTAAATACATTAGACTTCAGAGCAATCAAGTCCAAGAAGCATTTAGGTTGAGACCAAGTCAACCAGCAACACTAGGTTAGAAGACAAACATTATCAGAGAAAATAATATGCCTCAAAGACCCAGCTGAATTGAACCTCAAGAGTAACATCGCAGGCTATCAAACATGTAGGACTCAGAGTAGTTCCATTAAGTCCATCATTTGGGGTCTACTAGAGGACAAGCTTTAAGACTGTCCAATGTTGACTTTTCCCCAGTTATTAGAGACTAATGTCCCTGCCAGGAGACTGCTAGGGAAGTGTGGTGAAAGGGAGAAGTGTTTCTAGGCCAACCTGTCCCTTGCCCCAAAGGTGACCCAACTGAGCCTCCAGGGAGCATCCCTCAGAGACTGATCTAGCTTTGGGGATGCTTCCACACAATTCTCATCCTGTTGTCTGTTCAAAACATTGCAGCTCTTGGCACAGACAAGTTCTGAAACTCCAGAACCCTCAAGATGGGGCTGACATGCTGGACTTAAAAGTAACAGCATCTATCTGTTTAAGAATTTAGAAGGAGGTCAGCTCTGATGCTTCATGTTCACCCCTTCAGGACACCATAAGGAAATATCCTGACAGTTTGATCCATACTAGGTCTAAACGTTCATGTGTTCATTTTTATGCTGTGATTCTTTGACATAGTAGGTGAAAGGATGCAGCCACTATTTCCCCTTTCAGGAAGGAAGGATTTGTTCTGCAACCACTGGATGCCCCAGGAGTCTATTAGCTGTCGGCCCCTCCTAAGCTTTAGCTCAGCTGAAGAGAATCTCACCTAAGGCCACATCCCCTCCCAGGTAGCTGCCTTCCAGTGCTTGTCAATCTGGGAATAAAACCCAAGACCTCTCATCCCAACTCAGCTCTAAAAGGTCATCTAGGTATCACAACTCCCCACAGGATTGGCCAGAGCTTCTGTGGAAGCTGCATCACAGCTCAGCTCCTTCCTCTCCCTGGTCCTGCTTCCTTTCACAGGTGTGGAACCCCAGACCGCTCCCTGGTGAGTTTCCTGAGGTTTACCTCCGCCTGAGGATCTGCTTCCTGGAAGACCCCTCCATTTTGACAGCTACAGAAACATGAAATTCACTTGTCCAGTTAAACATGCTAGTCTATCTGCTGTTGTAACATGAAATGGAGGCCAAGGGCAGAAGCATCTTTAGGATAACCCCATTCTCAAGAACTTCTTTCCCTTTCTAGAAGAGATTCGCTGAAAGAAACATCTTGCATACACACACAGGAGTTTAAAGTGACACAAAGCAACACAGGACCACTGCAGCCAAAGGCTGTATATTGTCAGTGCAGTGTGTTTTATGACTTGAAGAGGTAAAAAAATAAATACAGGCCATTTCTGAGGTTTCATTCCAATCTCCTAACAATTCCCACATAAGTATCTAAGACCTTCAGTTGGGCCTTAGGTCAAATGATGTAACAAGGCTACTTTGAAAAAATGGCCTTCTTGGGATGAAGCCCCCGCTCAAACCTGCAAATCAAGAGGTGTCACATTCCAAGGACAGGCACATGGCAAAGGATGCCTGGAAGGGGTAGTGGTAAGGACAGCTCTGTGTCACTAATTTTGTGGTTAGAACTATGAGTGAATCACATTCATGCCATGCCTATAACCTCAGATTCCTATTAAGCATGTCTATCTCCTCAGCCCTACCTTGTGTGTGTCTTCAAGGGCAAGCACCTGCAGTCTTGGGAGCACTTCCCTTGGATTATTGGACCCATTTTGCATGCATACATGAACAGTTACAAGTGTCAGAGTTTAAAATGTCCCCCTACACCAAATCAGAGCCACCATGAATGACTCTCAGATACAGGATTGTGAAAGCTCATTCCACAACCAAGGTATAAAGTACAATCTTGCACTCCCCTGAGGGACCCAAGGAGCCTACAGATTGCAGGATTTTGATGGTTATCACAACATTGCCTGGCCTCCTACCAATCCCTGTGCTGCCTCCCACTCCTTCACTTGTTTCTTCTAGGAGTAATTCCTTAGTTCCACATGAATCTCTCAGGGTCTGTCTGGGGGAGTTCAAACAAACCACCATATCACTTGATTTCACCTTAAATCCATGACACTTCCAGTTTCTGGATCTGGGTCTTGATTTCTCAGCATTTGAAATGAAGAGACAGGATTTTCTTCGTTGAGCTCTGGGCTCCCAGGACCTTCCAGCAGAAGCTGTCAGTGCTTTGCCAACATCTCCTTAGGCCCCTCTCTCATGTTTGGCTTACCAGTGCCTACCTATATGACTGCCAACAGCCTGCATCTATGTTTGGGGCTGCCCTAAGGGAACACAAAGGACCTGGCAGTTTGTGTCCCCATAATGTCTGGCTTTATCCAGTATCAGACAGAGTAACAATAGATAAGTACTTCTGCTCCCTCACTGATTGAGGCAACTGTGATATGACCCATATAGCCTCTATGGGCCTGCCATATCAAGCTGTGCTCACCATCCAAGGGACTCTTGTTACATCCCTGCTCACCTCCCTCCTCCATCTCACTTCTCTACCACTAAGTTTTACTTGGCTCTATGTCCTCATCTCTCAGATTCTCATCAAGTCTACTTCCAAAGAATCTACCCCAAGACTTACTCAACTTCTGGGCAGCCACTGGTCCCAGGAAGTCATTCATGAGCAGCAGCTGCGCCTGAAAGAAGCTCCCATGTGCCCAGGATTATTTCTTACAAGCAGATGCTGTCAGCCACCTCATCAGTTTTCATCTGAGCACATTCTATCTTTATACTCTGTCATGGCATTTTTTTCATATGCTGCAGCCCTAGAGTGCTTGGACCACTTTGACGTCTGGTAGAAGAATGCTCTGAAAGCACCAAAGACACCCTGGAGTTGCTAGGTCAGCCCTTCAGCTGCACACTCCCAGAATGAACAGGGTCACACTCCACATGCCATGAACAAAAAGTCAACACACGGTGCTTTCTGAGTTCAGCAAACCATGTAAAAGCTCATCCATGTGAACACCTGGAGAACCATTTCCTGAAGAGGAGGAGTCAAAAGCCTCAAGATGAGTGAGCAGCTGACCAGACAGCCCCTGCAGGCTGAGCCTCAGGCCTGTCTCAGGTGGCTTTAAGATCAGTAGTGGGCCCATCTGGAAGCACCTGTGCCCTGCCACCTTCATTACCCTTTTCCCATCTTCAGCTCACCCTATTATCCAGGGTCCTAGTTCTCTGTGCCTCAAACTCTTTGGGTATTTAATTCAGCTGGTTTCATATCAAACCTTTCACACATCCAATTAAAGGCATGTTTGTTGGTTATACTGTAAGTTGGAAAGAACTTTTTTCCCCAGAGAAAAATGCATCCAGTACCAAAGGGCAGTGTAATGTGGCTCCTGTCACCATTGCAACTGGAGTCCCACCTGGACATCGACTGCTCTGTTCTATAGCTTCAACTCCAGTAGTGAGAACAGTCTCCCTCCCCACCCAGTCTTGCCTACCCCAAGAGAGGAATACTTCCTCTAGGAGACACTGAATGGGTTTCCAGAACACCTGTAGCTACTAGTGGACACTCGGGCATTTTATAGCAGTGGACACGTAGGCAAGGACAGGCGTTACTCTACAGGCAGTGGCAAATGATCCCAAGTGCTCATGAGGAAATAGGTTTCTGCTACAGAAAGAGGAATGTATATAGTCTTACATGTTGCTGCCACCAGTCGTGGTTCAACAGTACAGTTACTACAGCGACCATGGCCTGGCAGGGGCAAGGCACACAGGTGCTAGAGACCCCTCATGAGTCACTGGCTCGCCCTACTGGATAAGCCATCTAGATCACAGATATTGGCAAAACAGACATCTAGAATGGTGGTTAGAAGATGCATATTCATTACTATCTAGGGACTAGTTGAAGCTGTGGAGAGAGTAGCTTGTCATACTCATGTTATTCTAAAACTCTTTGTAATGGGTGATTCTTCAAAACGGTGACTTGTCAAACTAAGACATAGTGAACTCAATGTAGGGGCATATGTGGATCCAGGTGAGTCAGGTAGACTCAGCTCCACTTGCGTATTTGCTGAAGCCACCAGAGGTCCCCTGCAGACACGTCCACATGTTGTGTTCTAAGGCTCTGTCTGTACCCATATTCTCCTGCCACAGAAACATGCTTGCCTACATGCAGAACAGGCCAGGAGTGCTGACAGTTCATCTTCAGGAAGAGTCCTCAGCCAGTGAGGGGCAGGAGTGAGCAGCTCATCCCAGCCATCCACATAGACCATTCCTCAGGATTGTCCCAGAGGGTCCTCAGAATTGGCCCCAGTTTCCCACTGGGCTCACCCACTCACTGACACTTTCATGGTTTACCTGCCTTCCCAGCCACTTCCCCTCACCATGCTTCCAGGAATCACCTCCATTAAGTTACTTGTGCCCAATTTCTTGCCTTTCTAGAGAACCCAAACTAAATGGGAATGGAACCTGAATTGACTAAATTTACCTGAAAAGTTCTTAACACAGGGACTCAACTAAGTTGAGCTGGGCTCAGATGTTGAGACCATTTTAAGAAAGACAAAGGGACTTACACTTGTCCACCTTAATATTTGTTTATGTTATGCTGAGCCGTTCATTTCTTGCATCTAAGTGAGCATTGTTAGCCAGTAGAACAGTGCAGTTGCAGCATTGAGGCAGGGAACTTGACCCTGTTCCTCTTTTTCCCCTTATGTGACTTATAGAAATATTTTGGGTAAAGTTAGGGGAAGATTTCAAAGAGTCTATTTTACTCAGAGGTTTTTCATGTAAGTAACTCAGTTTTCTCTACATGGAGTACCAGTTTGGCTTGAATACATTTTAAGTTGTTTTTCACATACAACAGCTTTGGTGGTAAGTCATTACTGAGTCCTGAAGCTCAGTGGTGTCATCAGGGACCCAAGTTCTTTCCATGTTCCCATTCTCTCATCTTAACATTGACTGCCAAGATGCATGTACCTCAGGCTCAGAATAGCTTCTGACCTGCATATGTCACATAGATGTTTCAGGTACCATTATAATAACAGTGCAATGCCTCTAGTTGGATCAGATCAGTCTTTCCAAAAGCCCTTCAGTACAGATATTTGTTATATTAGTTCTTGCGCTGTCACCTATTGAGGTTAGATGGAACTTATGTTTAGCTTTGACAGCCTCTTTGAAGTCAGGCAATAGGGAGTGGTTGGCTAACCCTCAGTATTCATACCCAACAATGAATAGCATAGAGGCTTGAAACCTAATATGAAAGGCCAAAGCTTCAAGGAGTAGAACCTACCCCTTTTCCTAGGGCCTATCCTGCCCTACACTCAGGGCTTAGTTAACCTTTCTTCAAAGCAAAGAAACCAAAATTGCCACAGCTACCTACTGACCAAGGTTAATGGACTCATGGGTGCTGAAAAATAGGCCCACTATGCTTCCCTCATCTACCCTCTCAGATCAGCATTAAAATGTCTTTCTAGAAAGCACCAAATCTCTAAGTATACTAGAAGGGCTGCAGCAGGAAATAAGAGGAAGTTCCTTCCTGCTATTTTTCCACCCCTCACCAGAGCTGCTTAAGTAGCTTCGTACCCAATCCCTATTTTCACATTTCCATAGCCCAAGAATACAAGACACAATATGAAAATTTTACTACTATACCTTACCCAGGCCTTGCAGCTAGACAACATGATGCTGCTTTACCTAGATTCTGGTGAGGTACTGAAGACACCAGCCTCAGAGGCCAGAAAGTGCACAAACACCAATGTGGTGGGTGCTCCATAGGCCCATGAGTTCTTAGTGGTGGCCTCACATGAGGTTCTTAGAACACTAGAACTCTGCCTGAACCTGCCAGTAGCTAATGTGTGACCACTACACTCAAAGCTAGACAGATCTAAGCCAGGTAGCCAACCTCTAAGAAGTTAGACACCATCAATCTACCATGGGTGAGGCAGAGGAAACCTGATCAGGTGAGCTAGCACATTGTTACACATGTAGTTACATTTGGTACTAAATCTGAAGGATTTTCTTATCCTAGGTGGTATAAAGGACTAGTTATCCAATGCCCATTTTCTTCCTGTAGGTAAGAGTTCCAAGTTAGGTAGCCACACAGCTCCACCAGCCAAGACTATATGACTAGCCTCTCAGCTAGTTGTGACCACGTGATTAAATCCTGGGCAATGGGTGTGGACAGAACTAGTAGGCAAGTTATAGTTCAGGCGTTTGAAAGCAAGCTTCAAGCTGGCCATCTTTAGTCTCCACTTCTCCTTCCAAGAACAGAGGGTAGCCATGATGACTCACATTTGACAACTCAAATGCCTTGAGGGTTTTTTTGACCTAAGAGATCACAAATCCTTACTGTTGTGGGAAGTCAGGGACTCCCAAATGGAGGGACAAGCTGGAGCCACAGCAGAGGAACATAAACTGTGAAGATTTCATCTTAATATGGACATTTATCAGTTCCCAAATAATACTTTTATAATTTCTTATGCCTGTCTTTAATCTCTTAATCTTGTTATCTTCATAAGCTGAGGATGTACGTCACCTCAGGACCACTGTGATAATTGTGTTAACTGTACAAAATTGTAAAACATGTGTTTGAACAATATGAAATCAGTGCACCTTGAAAAAGAACAGAATACCAGCGATTTTTATGGAACAAGGGAAGACAACCATAAGGTCTGACTGCCTGCAGGGTTGGGCAAAGAGAGCCATATTTTTCTTCTCGCAGAGAGCCTATAAACGGACATGCAAGTAGAGATATCACTAAGTTCTTTTCCTAGCAAGGAATATTAATATTAATACCCTGGGAAAGGAATGTGTTCCTGGAGGGAGGTCTATAAATGGCTGCTCTGGGAAGGTCTTGTGTAGTTGAGATAAGGACTGAGATATGCCCTGGTCTCCTGCAGAACCCTCAGGCTTACTATGGTGGGGAAAAACTCCACCCTGGTAAATTTGTGGTCAGACTGGTTCTCTGCTCTTGAACCCTGTTTTCTGTTGTTTAAGATGTTTATCAAGACAATACGTGCACCACTGAACACGGACCCTTATCAGTAGTTCTGCTTTTGCTCTTTGCCTTGTGATCTTTGTTGGGCCCTTATCAGTGGTTCCACTTTTGCCGTTTGTCCTGTTCCCTGAGAAGTATGTGATCTTTGTTAGACCCTTATTAGTGGTTCTGTTTTTGCCCTTTGAAGTGTGTGATCTTTGTACCTACTCCCTGTTCTTACATCCCCCTCTCCTTTTGAACCCCTTAATAAAAACTTGCTGGTCTGAGACTCAGGCTAGCATCATGTTCCTACTGATATGTGATGTCACCCCTGGCGGCCCAGCTGTAAAATTCTTCTCTTTGTACTGTCTGTGTATTTCTCAGCCAGCCGACACTTATGGAAAATAGAAAGGACCTACACTGAAATATTGGGGGTGGGTTCTCCCAATACCTTATCTGACCTGAACAAGAACCACATGGACTGCTACATTTATTATTTTTTTTTAAATTACCAAATAGTTTGTCAGGATTCTTATGTCTATTCGAGTGAAGGAATAAACATCCCAAGGAGAGCAGATGTGTAACACCAAATGCCCATCTCACCTATACTGGTCAAACAAATGGATACTACTCAAGGACCCTCCAGTACTGTGCTTTCACTGACTACAGACCAGATTTCTGGCCCTTGGAGAAAAAAGAAAAATTGGTCTCCAATAGAACCTCCCACAGCAATCAGATGGAACCCTTCCAGGGAGGCTCACATGGTCATCTTTAGTTCTACTTGCAACAATTACTTCATGCCATGAAAACGCAAACTAAGCACAGCCCTTCCTGCCAGTTCTTCAGATATTGTTGGTG
This sequence comes from Homo sapiens, assembly GCF_000001405.40. Lineage (NCBI taxonomy): Eukaryota > Metazoa > Chordata > Mammalia > Primates > Hominidae > Homo > Homo sapiens. The sequence continues at coordinate 77,263,458 of NC_000004.12, read as the reverse complement.
CTGCCAGATGAGTTCTGGGGCCCATAGAGGTCACCCAGAACTGTGATCTATGAGTCACCCACAACTGTGGTCAGTATAGATTGGTTTGGTTATTTTTGCTCAAGGAATAGCATTACAGCTTCACTGAACAGAGGAACAACACTTGAGCACTGAAGCTCATGAAGAGGCAAGCATCGAAGAGAAACTTAGTTCACAAGGACATGAATGCTTAAGACCACAAAGCTAAGACAATGGCCAAAGTTATGGGGGAGGAATCTGAACACATATCAAGTTCTATGATCCCATATCTGAACAAGTGGTAGAAAATATTAAGTCTAACAGTATCTGAAGGTGTAGCGCAACCAGAATTAGAAGCAGCTAGCCAGCTTATGCAGATTACAGAGAAGCTCACAGGTCAAAGTGAAGGAGAACCAGAAAGAACACCACAATCTTTCCAAGAGGCATACAGACCCACTGGTTCTCAGATGCATCTCCTTCCATCTCCATATCCACTGAGCACACTATCTTTGGAGCTCATGCTATGGTGGTGGGAACAGTCAACATCTCATGAGCAGCATCAGCATGGACTCACTTGACTCATTTCAGGACCTCCTACCCCTTTTTTCCACGGGGAGATAGGGTCCCTGACCTTTCTGTGGTAGGCAGAATGATGGCACTATAAGACATTCTCACGTAAGTATTATGTTGTACACATCACACCCCCAGCATACTTCAAACTTCTTATTGTTTTCCCCACTACATGGAAGATCCTGTCCAAAATCAACAGTACCATAGACATATTCTAGTGCCCAGCTTCCTGTCAGGTCAGAAATGAAGTCTGTTTCAAACATGGAGTTACACATTAGAATCATAGTGATGGGCTAGAGGTAGTTTATCTGTCCTCATGTTCATAGTAGTGGGGAATAAATGTGGTCACAAGTTGTGACAGACTAAATGGGGGTTGCACATTCATTCACATGCATGAAGTAGAGGCACTTTGAGGCAGCCACATTTAAGCTAAGATCTAGAATCCAGTAAGATACCTTAACCATGGGGTTAGGTAGGATAAGATATACACCATGTCTACAAATGCACTTGTTGGCCAATAACCACAGCAAGTGGTCCACTGATTGCACTAAAGGAGCACTGATGAAGCCAAGAGGCATGGATGGCAGTCATCTAGAAATGCCCCACAGCACCACAAAATTTGTGCTTATGAATAGGGTAGGTGAAGTTAACCAGCCCAGTCATCTTTTCTAGTCTCTTATGTATGTAGTATACACGATTCTTTCAATGAATTCACAATTAGTTCTAGTCCAATCCATACCACTCCAAAATATCCCAGTGTGTACTTCTAAAGCTACATCTTAGAGGAAACTAGAATATATACAATCAAGAGGGAAAAGCCAAGATTCCAAGTCAAGCTGGGCCTTTACCCGGAAAGGAGACTCATCTCCTCACCTCACGGATGGGTCCAGCCAAGACATGGGACTCAGGTAGTAAGCCTCCCTGAGCAGAGAGCAAAAGGGAATACTCAAGGAGAAGCACATCAGTACTTCCATGCTTCTGCTCCATCTCCACCAGGACCACACCATCCTGGCCTGTCACTACAAGGCCTAGCTGCCTTTTCTACAGAAAGGGGACAGATGTGTCCTGCAGCTAGGTATGTTAGGCCTTATCCAAAGTCTTCAGGAATAAGATGCGAGTCAGCAGTAACTAGAATCTTAGCTTCTGTCACATGATAGGCACTCATGTGTACAAGCCTCATTTGACACCCAACATGGAGAGGGAGGTACATGGGATATTGGTGGAGGTCTACTCCAGGACAGCCCACCAAAAGCTTTCAACTCTGAATCTGCTTCTATTCCAAATCTGCAAGGTGAAGTGGAGAGTAAGGTTTATTTTGGGTCAGCTGGCATCAGTCAGACGTACCTCCATTCTACACCAAAAGACAAGCAGTTCGAGATTTCTACATCCGGGGTGAAAAAAGTAAGACCTCCCTGGATGCATTCTATTGCAGACCCTACGTGGAGTTGACTGGCACTTCATGGTAAGCCTCTCAACCCTCACCTTCACACCCTTGCAGGCTGCCCAGCTTTAGTCTTCCCCTCAGAGGGAAGTAGACACTCAACTTGCCCTTCCCTGAGTCCTTCCTACTGAGGACTGAATGAACCCCATCTGACAGCTGCCCCAGTTCTGGCTTAGGTCCCTATTCTAATGCTGGCTGTGGCCTCAGCTTACCCAGCCTGACCCCACCTCTGGAACATGCTCAATGGTCTAGATTGCTTCACTGGTGGCACAAGAATCTGCAGCTGTCCGTCATCCAACCTACAATGGGTACTTCTAGGAGCCAGACAGGTCATAAGTCACAAGCAGTCTACTGAGAGGGCATTTTTCCTTTAAGAACATATACTAAGTTCCCAAGAGCTGGCAATTTTTTTTTTTTAAGGAAAACATGGGTAAATTGTCATCTGATTTTAAACAAGCCTATGAGGCAGTTCCTTCATCAGTACGCAGGGAATTACTGCCCAGGCTAGAAGACCCTAAATTAGAACCAGAGCCACAGTTGAATAGGAGTAGATGGGACTTGAATCTCCATCTAACCCAATCCAGGAATTTTAAGATTGAAAAATAAGAGTCAGGTGAAATTAGACTATTAGAGTAGTTGAAATGTAGACAGCTCATTTTATTGGACAGAGCTACCCCATTCAAGGCTATTAGTAGGGAACTCCCTGTACTGAGTGAGGGAAGTCTCAGAATTATGATCTCTAGGGTGGCAATGAGTGTCAACTGATGCAGTAGAAACTCTAACAAGACCTTGGCATGCCTGATCCTGCTTACTCCATTCTAGTCTGACTCTACAAGTCTCTTGTGATCTTCTTAGCTCTCCCAGACCCCGAAATCCATGAAACCATATTCCATTTTCAAAAAGCCAATGTCAATGTTCCTTAGCTGATCCATTCTATCATGGTCCAAATGCGCTTATCCTGTTGACAAAAGTGAGTGTAAGTAAAGGGACACTAGTGGAAGAAGGAGTACTGAAGCCCTAGCAACATCTATTTACTGATTGAGTTTAGAGCCTTTTTCTTAATCACCTGACCTGCCATGGTAGATAGAATCAGAACATGCAATTAGTTTGTTAAAATGCTGCAGGTGCCAAAGCATGTCTGAAGATACACTGACCTACGTACCAGTAGGCAGCTTCTGCTGTACAGCAAGATTCATGCAAAAGTCTACATTTTCTGCTTTCAAGTATGGCCATTTCTTGGCCAATACCACTGTTATTCCTGCACAGCAATCACTTGCTGAAGCCAAGTAGCAGCTGCCTGTTGCCATAGACATGGTTTATCTATTGCTGCTGCACAAATTAACCCTTGCAGCTTAAAACAGCACATACTTATCTTCTAGGTTTTAAGGGTTAGGAATGCACTCATAGCTTAGCCAGACACCTCTGGTTCAGGTTCTCATGAAGACACCGTCTGTTAGCCAGGACATGTTCTCATCTGAGGGCTCAACTGCATACAGGAGGATCTGCTTCCAAGATTACTCGTAACAATTGGCTGATGCCTCAGAACCTCCACAGTGGTCCCCTTCTTATGCGTGGGGTTTTGCTTTCTGCAGTTTGCTATCTAGTCACCCACAGATGGAAGATATCCAGTGGAAAGTTCTAGAAATACACATCATGGGTTTTAAATTGCATGTCATTCTGAGTAGCATGATGAAGTCTCATACCATCCCACCTTGGAATTTTTTTTTATACTTTAAGCTTTAGGGTACATATGCACAATGTGCAGGTTTGTTACATATGTATACATGTGCCATGTTGGTGTGCTGCACCTATTAACTCGTCATTTAACATTAGGTATATCTACTAATGCTATCCCTTCCCCCCCACCCCACAACAGGCCCCAGTGTGTGATGTTCCCCTTCCTGTGTCCATGTGTTCTCATTGTTCAATTCCCACCTATGAATGAGAACATCGGGTGTTTGGTTTTTTGTCCTTGCCACAGTTTGCTGAGAATGATGGTTTCCAGCTTCACCCATGTCACTACAAAGGACATGAACTCATTTTTTGTGGCTGAATAGTATTCCATGGTGTATATGTGCCACATTTCTTAATCCAGTCTATCGTTTTTGGACATTTGCGTTGGTTCCAAGTCTTTGCTATTGCAAATAGTGCCGCAATAAACATACATGTGCATGTGTCTTTATAGCAGCATGATTTATAATCCTTTGGGTAGATATCCAGTAATGGGATGGCTGCTTCAAATGGTATTTCTAGTTCTAGATCCCTGAGGAATTGCCACACTGACTTCCACAATAGTTGAACTAGTTTACAGTCCCACCAACAGTGTAAAAGTGTTCCTATTTCTCCACATCCTCTCCAGCACCTGTTGTTTCCTGACTTTTTAATGATCACCATTCTAACTGATGTGAGATGGTATCTCATTGTGGTTTTGATTTGCATTTCTCTGATGGCCAGTGATGAGCATTTTTTCATGTGTCTTGTCTGCATAAATGTGTTCTTTTGAGAAGTGTCTGTTCATGTCCTTCGCCCACTTTTTGATGGGGTTGTTTGTTTTTTTCTTGTAAATTTAAGTTATTTCTAGATTCTGGATATTAGCCCTTTGTCAGATGGGTAGATTGCAAAAATTTTCTCCCATTCTGTAGGTTGCCTGTTCACTCTGATGGTAGTTTTTTTTGCTGTGCAGAAGCTCTTTAGTTTAATTAGATCCCATTTGTCAATTTTGGCTTTTGTTGCCATTGCTTTTGGTGTTTTAGACATGAAGTCCTTGTCCATGCCTATGTCCTGAATGGTATTGCCTAGGTTTTCTTCTAGGGTTTTTATGGTTTTAGGTCTAACATTTAAGTCTTTAATTCATCTTGAATTAATTTTTGTATAAGGTGTAAGGAAGGGATCCAGTTTCAGCTTTCTACATATGGCTAGCCAGTTTTCCCAGCACCACTTGTTAAATAGGAAATCCTTTCCTTATTTCTTGTTTTTGTCAGGTTTGTCAAAGATCAGATAGTTGTAGATATGTGGCATTATTTCTGAGAGCTCTGTTCTGTTCCATTGGTCTGTATCTGCTTTGGTACAAGTACCATGCTGTTTTGGTTACTGTAGCTTTGTGGTATAGTTTGAAGTCAGGTAGTGTGATGCCTCCAGCTTTGTTCTTTTGGCTTAGGATTTACTTGGCAATCTGGGCTCTTTTTTGGTTCCATATGAACTTTAGTTTTTTCCAATTCTGTGAAGAAAGTCATTGGTAGCTTGATGGGGATGGCATTGAATCTATAAATTACCTTGGGCAGTATGGCCATTTTCATGATATTGATTCTTCCTACCCATGAGCATGGAATGTTCTTCCATTTGTTTATATCCTCTTATTTCATTGAGCAGTGGTTTGCAGTTCTCCTTGAAAAGGTCCTTCACATCCCTTGTAAGTTGGATTCCTAGGTATTTTATTCTCTTTGAAGCAATCGTGAATGGGAGTTCACTCATGATTTGGCTCTCTGTCTATTATTGATGTATAAGAATGCTTGTGATTTTTGCACTTTGGTTTTGTATCCTGAGACTTTGCTGAAGATGCCTGTCAGCTTAAGGAGATTTTGGGCTAAGACGATGGTGTTTTCTAGATATACAATCATGTCATCTGCAAACAGAGACAACTTGACTTCCTCTTTTCCTAATTGAATACCCTTTATTTCCTTCTCCTGCCTGATTGCCCTAGCCAGAACTGCCAACACTATGTTGAATAGGAGTGGTGAGAGGGCATCCCTGTCTTGTGCCAGTTTTCAAAGGGAATGCTTCCAGTTTTTGCCCATTCAGTATGATATTGGCTGTGGGTTTGTCATAGATAGCTCTTATTATTTTGAGATATGTCCCATCAGTACCTAATTTATTGAGAGTTTTTAGCATGAAGGGTTGTTGAATTTTGTCAAAGGCCTTTTCTGCATCTATTGAGATAATCATGTGGTTTTTGTAGTTGGTTCTGTTTATATGCTGGATTACATTTGTTGATTTGCGTATGTTGAACCAGCCTTGCATCCCAGGGATGAAGCCCACTTGATCATGGTGAATACTGGCAAACCGAATCCAGCAGCACATCAAAAAGCTTTTCCACCCACCATGGATTTAAGTCATCCTTTGTCTAGGGTATCCACACCTAGCACACTACCCAGCCATTAGTTATTATTTGTTACTAAGTCAACTTCTGTGGCATTGTAGTGTTCGTCTTCCAGCAACCCTTATTTTACCTAAGTCCCAAGGTATACTAGTAGTGATGCTGGTATGTTATAGTTTTATTTTCTTATTAATCTTAGTGTGCCCAATTCATCTGTTAAGCTTTGTGTATGTATGCTTTGTGTATAGGTGCATATGTACAGAGAAAATACAGTGTATATAGGGTTAGGCATCTACAAGGTGGCCAGGGGGGAGTGGTTCTTGGATCATATCCTTGACATCAGGAGGACTACGATGCTTCCAAGCTCACTCAGTGGTAAGCTCCAGCTCTTCAGCCTGTTGGGCTCCAAGTTTCTGCTCCTTGCCATCATATGTGGGCCATTCAGTGGGGTGGCTCAAACACAGCAGCTTAGTTCTCCTAGAACACATGTTCTAAGACAAGGAGTAAGGGAAGTGATATGGTATTGTTGTGTCCCCACCCACATCTCATCTTGAATTCCCATGTGTTGTGGGAGGGATCAAGTGGGGGGTAATTGAATCATGGGGGCAAGTCTTTCCTGTGCCGTTCTCATAATAGTGAGTAAGTCTCATAATATCTGATGGTTTTATAAAGGGGAGTTTCCTTGTACAAGTTCTCTTGTCTGCCACCATGTGAGACATGCATTTCACCTTCTACCATGATTGTGAGGCCTCCCCAGCCACATGGAACTATGAGTCCATTAAAACTTCTTTCTTCCCAGTCTTGGGTATGTCTTCATCAGAAGCATGAAAATGGACTGATACAGGAAATCTAAGACAGTAGCTAGTATCTAACCATGTATTTGGAGGGACCTGCCACTTCTTCCATTGTCACTTCATCAAGCAGCAAGCCACTATATCTACTCTCAAGAGAAGGGGCTTAACACAAGCTGGAATACCAGGAGTCAAGGATCACTGGGGGCCAGCTCAGAGGCTTCCCACCTCACATGGACTATGCCATCTCCCACTCACTGGGTCATCTCTATTGTCTTGCACTTTGCCTTGTGGCTTAGCTATTCTAAGTGCCACACCTTTGTAGATCTCAGAATTAGGCACACTGCTATTGAAGGGCATGAAAGTTCTCATCCCTATGAAGGTCAGTCCAATTGATGTCCCACTTGAGAAAGAAGGGTCTGACATGATTTGGGATATTGGTCAGTTCTTTAAACATTGTGTTAACATGCAGCTTCCCAGAACTCCAGCCCATTACAGTGCTGTTATATACTGTAAAATGGATTCTACCCTGAAGCTGCTACTCCAGGAATCATAGGCTTCACAAAGGAGATCCCTCCCTTCATGATTACTCAAGTACCTACACAGCCCACATTACCCATCTGGCCTCCATGCTTACATGGGCACATATTCCAGGCAGTAGAAGTCCTTTCAGGTGTTTCCTTTTCCCATTCTCATCTGCTGAAGACTCAGGGTCACAGTTGAAGACATCCTTATTGTCAAGAGGCAAGTAAGGACTAAAGTACTACCCTGGCCTGAGTGGATCACTTTGGATTCTATCTTGTGCCTATAGGACTGGCACAGGATTTCTTCTGTCAGACATACCCTACCTGAGGAACCTGAAACAAGTGGCCTGGGATAGCCTGGCTACTGGACAGGCTTTGGATGGGTTGTGCTTTCCTGCATAGTGCCCCCCCACACTAGTGTGGCAAAAATACAGAAGGTAAGATTGAAGGTAGCTGTAAAGCCAAAAGCCATAAGGCAAAACTTATAAGTAGGATGTGAGGAGTATTCAAAGGGGCCACTCTAGTATTAAGTTGGTTTCTTCTAACTAGAAACAGAATAAATCTGTAGGTATCTTACAGTAAAATTGCTAGGAACACAGAAGAGGTGGTCTATGTCTCTTCACATCTGACACGAGAAGAGTGTCAGATGTGTTTATGTCCCTCTGACAGGTTTTCCACCTCCAACAAGTGCTCTGCATGCTCAACTTCATTTCAGTCTGTTTCCCAATAATCTAACCTGTCATACTAGGCAATAGGAACCTGGAGGAATGTGATCCCCCTTATCTATATAATTCTTGGTCATCATTGGGACGAAGTCACTCTCAATTCTATGAACTTTTCAAAGGTCACATGCTATCACCCAACCTCCTGAAGGTAAAATGCCACTCCTACCCAAGGGCCACATTCCCCTTAAGGTCACAGGATGTAAGAAATGACTTCTTGCCACAGCCAGCATATTTCTCTACCAGCTCTTCTGATTTGCTGAGCTGGGGGACCCAGGTAAACTTGGCACATACCACACAACCCATAGAATAAAGCAATGCTGTGAGGATGATACCTGAGGTCTTTCATGCTAACACTCTTCTAGCCTAATACTCTTGACTGAATTCCAGGCAGTTAAGGATTTGGGAAATGCTAAGACATGGGCTAGCTGAGACTATTCATTTAAGTAGATGCCCTGGAAGCCCACTGAACTTCTCCGCCCTGAGATTTAAGTAGAATTTAGTCTTGAGGCCACCCTAAGATACAGGGTATCACAGGACAAGTAGTTGCAGCTCGGCTTATTGCTACCCAACAGAAATGAGCAAAGGAAGAAGAGTTATAAGCTCTGCAATTAAGTTTTTAAGCCACCCCCTAGTCACTGATTACTTAGTCACAGCCCAAGTAATAGTAAGACGCTTGGGCTCTATTAATAGTGTCTTACTATTACCTGGGCTCTTAGATACTACTTGGTGAAATCGCTGGGTCCCTGCTGTGCTGAATGATAGATGCCCATGTCACTGCCATCCTGCCAGCCACAGTTACTATACCTTCCTCTGCTTTCTGGATTTCCTTGATATTCCTCTATTCATGTTTGGCACCAAAAACCTGCTGCCGAGTGGCTCAGCAGCATTGACAGCCTGGTGTGTACAGCCCTTCAAGTGTTAAGTAAGGCCTGCCATGTGTGGCAACATAAGCATGGCCAGGTGCTGACAAAGATGGAGATCTGGCAACAATATACTAGTTTGGAGATCCGGCAACAGAGTCAACTGGTACAAAGTCAATCACATCCCCTTCTTGCCGTCAGTGGCACAAGGTGTTCCAAGCATGGATAGTGGACATTGCTGGTGCTTCATGGGGAGCTCTCTCCAAGTCAGGGTATTTATCCCCTAGCAGCTAAGGTCGTTGGCTGCTAGTGGTTTACAACTGTCCTTTACTTTGGACAATGCCCCTCAGCCTAGTATTAACCTTCTCCCCAAGCAGCGCATAGCCTCTACTGACCCTGAGAATAAAAGCCTGACATCTGTACCTTAACATGGCACCAACTCGGCTTTTGCACCCTCAGAGCTCCCCTGGGACAAGATGGAAGGTGAATACCACCATGCCACATTCCTGCTTAGCTCCTTCATCTCCCTGCAAATCCTACACAGGGAACTTGACCTGCAACAGCATGGCCAACTTCTAGTTTGTGGATGAACAGGATGCAGGAAGCATCTCACACTGACCTGTGGTAGCACAATTTTCACCCCCCTCATTAAAGGGACAAAAGTTATGTCATGATAGACTTCTCACTGCTTTTAAGCTAACAGAAGATGTGAAAACTACAATAAGCTACTTGATAGGCACTCAAGTGTGATATCTAGCCTCAATTTTACTGTCACTTAGGAGCACATTAGGTTCCAATCTGTCAGACACGAATGCAGATGAGAATTCCTCCATGGTAGTGTTTTATCTGTTTCTTTGGCTGGAAAAGGGCTCCTAGGAGATAGGACAGGTTACCCTGTCATTGCTTCAGTTCTCATAGGACCTAGAGGAAAACATCAAGTCATGTTCCTGGAATTTTGAGTTCCTGTCTCTACACCTGACTGTTGGCTCAAGTCACACAGGACCACAGCCTGATGAGGGTGTACCCTGGCCTGTGAGTACAACATCTGCATAAAATCAAGATCCTACACAATAGAACTCTCTGTAGGACTCTGGATAACCAAAGATAAGGCTCAGGTTCTTTCAGAACTCCAGCCCATTACAGTGACATACACTGTAGAACGAATTTCACTGTGAGGCTGCTACTAAGATCATAGGCTTCACAGGAGATCCCTCCCCTCAGGACCACCGATACCTACCACAGCCCACATTGCCCACCTGGCCTCCATAGTTACAGGAGTGCCTATTCCAGGCAGCAGGAACTCATTTAGGCTTTACCTTCTACTATTCTCATTTGCTGAAGGCTCAGGGTCAAAGTTGAGGATATTCTGAGAAAACAAGCTGAGAGTTAAAGCACAGTCCCATCCCTGAGTGGATCACTTTAGTCTCTCTCCATCTTGCACCTATGAGAAGACTTGGACAAGACTGCTCCTGCCTGGAGACATACCTCAAAGGAACCTGGGACTAGGGGTCTAGAAGGGCTCTGCTACAGCCACTGGACAGGTTTTGACTCAGTTCTAATTCCCTGAGAGGTTTTTATCCTTGTGGCAAAAGAGCATAAGATTGAAAGGATTCCCTATTTAATAAGTGGTGCGGGAAAACTGGCTAGCCACATGCAGAAAACAAACTGGACCACTTCCTTATACCTTATACAAAAATTAACTCAAGATGGATTAAAGACTTAAATGTAAAGCCCAAAACCACACAATCCCTAGAGGAAACCTAGGCAATACCTTCAGGACATAGGCATGGGCAAAGACTTCATGACTACAACACCAAAAGCAATGGCAACAAAAGCCAAAATTGACAAATAGGATGTAATCAAACTAAAGAGTTTCTGCACAGCCAAAGAAACTATCAGAGTGAACAGGCAACCTATAGAAGGGGAGAAAATTTTTGCAAGCTACCTATCTGACAAAAGTCTAATACTCAGAATCTATAAGGAACTTAAATTTACAACAAAAAAAAAACCATGAAAAAGTAGGCAAAGGATATGAACAGACACTTCTCAAAAGACACTTATGCAGCCAACAAACATGAACAAAAGATCATTGGTCATCAGAGAAATGCAAATCAAAACCACAATGAGATACCATCTCATGCCAGTTAGAATGACAATCATTCAAAAATGGGGGAGAGTCTACCCTGTGGTCCAAGCCATCTGGAACATGGGGGAATAGCATGTTGAACTCCTATTCAACTCAATCTATGGAAGTGATAGATATATAGACTACTCCTGCTATGTCCTTCATGAATTGTGGTGTTAAGATATCTACAGACCTAATTCTTAGTTTCCAGTTTAATTAGAAGAATGGAAGTCGATGATATAGTGGCCCTATTGAATACTCCTCCCAACCTGCTTAGAATAAGCACAACTTTAGTCCTACCATGCCATCTCACTTGCCAAGCACACCCAGTCACTGAAGATGAGATTCCATCTGGAGGGCTCTATAGGAAAGGCAGCAGTTCGACAGGAAACCTGTGCCAAGTGCTTCTACATGGAAAAGCAGGTCAGAGACTAGAAAGCAAATCCAGTCCAAATCACTAGATATGAAATGACTTGATTTGGGAAATCACTAGCTATGAATTCACTAGATTTGGGAAATGCAAATACGTGTGCTAGCCAAGACTGTTCCTCTTAAGTAGATAACCTGGGAAGCCCATTGACCTTCAGACCCATAAGATGTAAGTAGAAATTGGAGTCACGCCCACCCTGAGCTACAAAGTATCACAAAACAAGTAGTTGTGGCTGGGCTTACTGCTCTCAACAGAATTAGGTAAGGGAAGAAGAGTTACCAGCTCTGTGATTAGCTTTTACCATTCTCTAATATGATTCTTGCGCTCTTAAATTCTACTTGGTGAGGTCCCAGGGTCCCTGCTATGCTGAGTGACAGATGCCCATGTCACTGCCATCCTGCCAGCCAGTTCCTTCCACTTCTCCTTTCTGGATTTCCATGATACTTCCGTCTCCATATTTGGCACCACAAACATGCTGAGCTTCACAGAGTCTGGTGTGCACTGCCCTTCTCAGATGTGAAGAGGACCTGCTGCATGTGGCAACATGCTCAGCCACATACTCACCAAGTCACAGATTTGGCAACAACCAGAGTATGCTGGTACACAATCACACCCCCTTCTTGCCATCAGTGGGACAAGTTGTTCCAGCATGTATGATGAAAATAGTTGGTGCTTCATGCGATGCCCTTTTACTGAGTCAGGGCATTTACCACCCAGCAGCTAAGACTGCTGGCTGCTAATGGTTCCCAAGCCACTTCTTCTGGAGAACTGCCCTCAGCCTAGTAGAGACCTCTTCCCCAGCAGCCCACAGCCAGTACTGACTCTGGGAATAAGATGCTTACATCGATACCTCAACATGGCACTTGCACACTCAGAGCAACATGCTCTGTACCCTCAACATGCTTTTGTACCCTCAGAGCTCCACCATGGGCCCAGATGGAAGCTGAACTCCAACATACCATATGCCTGCTTAGCTCTCTCCTCTGCCCCTCCCCTAGAAAGTCTTATGCAGGCACCTTGACCTACAACAGCATGGCTGACTTCTAGTTCATGAAAGGACAGAGTGCAAGAAGCATCTCAGTGGCCCGTGGTAGGACAATTTTTACCTTCTTTAAAGAGGCACAAGTTAGCTTGAACAGTCAGAAGTCTGTTGTGACATAACAGACAAGAACCACAGTAAGCCATTTGACAGGCACTTGGATGTGTTAACATCAATATTACTTCTAATTCCGGAATGCAAGTTCCAATCTAACAAGGCAGATGAGGATTCTTCCACAATCATGTTTTATCTGTTCAGCTGAAAAGGGGATCCTAGGAGACAGGACAAGTTACCCTGTCAGTGCCTTGGTTCTCACAGGACCCATGTCAGGTCATTTTCCTGGAAGTAAGAGCCCAACTTCCATCTCTGACTTCCTGTCTCTACATGACTGTTGACTCAAGAGTCACACAGGACAGAGCCTGATGAGGGTCTGCCCTGGCCTGCAAGTACAGCAACTGCGCAAAATCCAGATCCTGCACACTACAACTCTCCATAGGACTCCATATAATGGAGGACAGGGCTCAGCCAAGGGTTCAGTTTGTGCTTGAAAGTTATGGGTGTCTGGAATGTTACCCTCACTTGGGTCATCTTTTGTACCCCCACCTGTGCCATCTATCACTTTGTAGTACCTGAGGCACACCAGTACCATGCTCTAGTTGTGGTTTCTATAGCTTAGATTTTCCCCTCATGCTCATAGCAATTTCCAGGGTCTTCAGCAATGTGACCTGGAAGAGAGGCCCATTCACCTAATACACTTAAAGCTCACCTCTCAGACACCTGTCTCAGTATTTAAAAGAGGGTGTCAGTCAGCGTACCAATAGCTTAACCACATGTTGAGCCCTTAATCCAAAGTCAGTCATCTGGATACAAGCTATCTACAACACCTAGGGGAAACTGAGGGAGTTGAACAGACTGAAGGATTTAGGATGTTCCTGAGAATAGTATACTTGGTAGTGAAACACTGGAGTCCCATGAAGAGGTGTTCTGCCCATTTCTGGCCCCTTTATAACATGCCATACCATGGTTTCCTCTAACTTCTAGGTACAAGCCAACATGTTGCAGCCCTTTATGGCCCTAGATAATTCTTATTACACTGGCATGGTGTATTCCCTCGTGTTGACTCCACCTGTGGAATTCTTTCATCTGTCCCATTAAAACACAAGTGTCTAGAAAGCCAGAGATAATTCTACCTTCTGAATCCAGGAGAAGCAATGCCCACTATGGTCTTATCTACGGTCTACATAGAGTCCAAGAACTAGCATTACTGAATCAGAGAGGATGTCAACAGAGCCAGACTGGTTGGGGGCAAGGAGATGCCAGATATCCATCTTGCCACCAGGGGGTAGAGGGTATTTGGGAATTCTATCATCTTTCTCTGTACTGGTAGCATTTTCCAAGACCTGAGAAGTGTAGTGAGTGTTTTGCTTCTGTAAATTCAGTGGTGTCTGAAAGAACACTAGATCAATTCAGGTGAACTACATTCTAAACCTAGAATGACACCTCAGCTAAATTTCCCTGGCCAAGTAGTTTGCCTATAAATTCCTCATGCAGTAACATGCTGACTTTAGCCATCAAGGATGCAGAAAAATCATGAAGTGCTTTAAGAACTTTGACTCATATCAAGCATCATAACTGTTCTTTAACATTCTCCAACTTCTCTGGAAGAGCCATGGAAACAACAAGTTCTAGCGATAGTCCTGCCTATCCAAAGTCAACATTGGGACATTGATTGCAAAGACTGGCAAAACTTGTCTACCCAAGCCCCTATGCAAATTGAAGATGCCTGCAAGTGACCCTGTGGTTGCACATGAGCACATTCAGCTGCAGGCGAATGCAGGGAGGATGTCAGGCTGCCATGTGCTCTGTTCCCACAAGGACTTGGTCTCATGCTCACATTGTTTACTCTGCCGTGTTTTATCACGTGTCTTCCCCACATTGGGAAAAAAGTTAAACAAGCCTAAGAGGCCTAGCAAGGCTCCCATTTTAAAGCAAAGTTGTACACAGTAAGACACTGGAAGGTGAAAACATAGAAGATACAGCCATACATTTCTGCCTTCTGATTCCTTTCTATGTAAAAGTATGAACAAGGTGTTTTTCAAGGTAACATTTGCAGAACCTTGTCAACCCTCTACTCTTTGGCCCTCAATCCATGCTCCAAGGTGTTTGGCATTAACAGAAAAGCCAGTGTCAGCTCCTCTATTTTCACTCTGCTTTATACTTTAGCTTCTATTCCCACCCCCGCCACCCCTCACTGAGGTCCTCTGTCCTAAACAGCTTCCACTTTGAATCCCCAGCTTTGTGATCCATTTTCCTTTCAGCTTAACTCATTCCCCTTCCCAAAAACTGCCTCCCAACCCCACCCACACCTGCATGCCCCAAAAGTCTCTTTAGGACTCTGACTGTCAGTCACTACTACTCCAGAGAAGCGCATCTCAGAAGCTGGCCAACTGAGGCCCCAACTGACCCAAATTTCTCAGGAACTTCAATTTTTGCCATGTGACTCAGTGTTCCCACCTGGGCAAGATTGTGAACCTCAGTTCTCAAAGTGACTCAGGTCACAAAGATACCAAGTGGGATCTGGGTCTTGGAGGAGGTCATCCGTCATTATTACACAAGACCATTCAGAAGTAGCCTTGTAGAATGTTCAGACAGCCTCAGGAAGCCTGGCAGAAGCACTAGTTACTGGGTCAAAAAGGCTTCACACTTAGGATACCCTCATATAGGATGCAGTACATACATCAGGCAGGCTGTTCCATGGTACTGCAGGCCCAGCAGGAAAACTAATGGTTTGGGAACCAAGAAATAAAAAAAAAAAAAAGTGGGGGCCACTTATGCTTTTTTTAATCAATCCATGTGAACCACTGCGGGATTTTGAGAGTCACTCTTCAGGAGTAACTGACTGATCAGAGGGCTACTTTTATATTCTGAGAGGTAGTAAGAATGAATGGAACCCAGCTGATGCAACCGGGCATCCTTCAACTTCCTTGCCCCACTCCAACAGATACAGCCAAGCAGCACTATCTTGAAAACCTATGGTCTCTAGATCTTTATGCCCCTCAGGCTGAAGATCTGGGTCCTACCACCCGGAAAGCGTGAACCTTCAGCTGAGATCACAGCTGAGGCCAAAGGGAATTTGGCAGTGGATATTGGAGGAGAGAGGATGAGGATTCGTTGTGACCCAAGATCCCACTACAGCCACAGGAGCTGCATTTTGTCACAGCATCTTGAGTTTACTCAGGAAAGGAGGCCTGAGGGACATGGAGTTGCTGCTCTGAGAGCCTGTGTAGCCAGGTCCCTCTGTGCAGCACAGGGGCTGACTTGGCAGCCATTAAGGTGCAGCTGCAGTGCTCAATATGCCCATTCAGGACACATGTGACTCCAGTGGGGATTTGGGCTCTGGGACTTACCAGGATATTTGCTAAAACACTTAGACTGAGGTGCGATACTAAGCCACTTCCTATCTGACATTTCTTCTCTTTCCTCCCAAGTCAGACATGTGTGATCCTCTGATCTTCTCCCAGGTTCAATTCCTTATAGAACTTTCTCTTCAACCCCAAGATTCTTGAAGCTCTCAATCTACTTTAGCCTTTGCATCTCATGACACAATAGCATGTAGTTTTTAGATGCCAACTAAGACTCTAGGGTAAACTCAGCTCTATAGTAAGTTGAGATATAGTTTCTACAGCTCCGGAATAAAGCCCCATGTGAAAAGTAGCGTATACATGTCCATGACACTGTCACAAGTGCTCCATTCAGAGGGAGGATGACCATTCGTCTGAACGGAGATGACTAGGCCAGATCTTGAGTTACCTTCATACCTTGGGTGTTGACTTTCATGTTGACACGTTTGAGGTATATGGGTCATCCTTTCCAAGAGGGAACCCCCACCCCTCCCAACTGTCATGTTTCAGTTTGCCATGTTACTGTCTCATAAGTGCACCAGGAAAGTTATTTTCGATTCTCCTATCTGACTCCATTCTATATGCCATGTCTGCTACTAGCCCAGATGAACTTATGGCTGCCATGCACATAGCCATATACCAGAGGGCCTCAGTGCCCCAAGAGGCTCATTACTGAGTTTCTCGAGCATAAATGGTCAGGGGAACACTGACTAGGGAGGCCAAAATTCAAACTTGTTTTTACTGGAGGCTAGCTGGATCCTGGCAATTGTATCACCCATGCTAGCATGAGGGCTCGTGTTATAGACATGACACCCATCAGCTAGTTCATCCCTTTACAGTGTTTCCATTTAAAGCTTTGTTGTTTCAACTTTAGTCATTCCTGCACAGAAGTTCCAGAAGTGGTGGGGGCTACCTGACTTTAAAAGAATGTCTTGAGCAACAGAAGCTTAACATATCACCTTATCTTTATACGAGCGGCACATAAGGCTGCTGAATTAGAAGCAGGTCAGCCATAATTCAGCATGATGTCCATGTTACATGGGCTCTGGCACAGCCTTTCTAGTTCTCCTGAAGGCTTACTTCTCCCTTCCCTATTCTGAAGTATTTAATCTGATAAGCCTTAGACACTATTCAGTACTCCTAACTCCAAGCTTGTTAACTAGCAGGTTGGTTTTAACTTTGCAAGTGAGAGAAAACCCAGTTTATTCTAATATCCACATCCTTGGTTACACTCCATTGGGCTGCAAGTATTAGGATTCTTTTGATCACAAGTGATCCAGAATCCCACCAACTGCATTGGCCTAGTAACAAGGAAATTCATTAGCTCACGAACTGCAAAGTCTAAACACTGTTGGCTCCAAGTGAGACTGATTCAACAGGCTCAGGTGCACCAGGAGTAAGACTTCCTTTGTCTCTTCTACCCTCCATGGTATCAGATTAAACTCTCAACCCCACCACCCTCTGGATGGGAAGTTCTAGGCACTCCCTTCATGACAAATGCTTTGCACTAATCATTCAAGTTTTTTTCCCTTCCAAATGCTCTTCTGGAAACATCAGTTCTAGCAATATCTTCTAGGGTTTCAGCGGCATGCCCATCCCTGAACTAGTCACTGTAGTCAGGAGAGAAGGGTCGGGACATGGCATACCTTAAGCTGGAGTCAGATCTATGGGGAATGGTCGATTTCTCCCTAAGGATGTCAGAGTGTGTGTAGCTGCCAACGTGGGCATCAATATTGAAGTACCTGACAAGTGTCCTAGGTAAGGTGCTGACAGTGTACGATCAACTAGGCTATCTGAGTTTTGGTCAACCTACTCGCTAAGGAGTTCCCTCTTAACATTCAGGTCCTGCTTTGGCTTGTTATTGTCCCTTGAGACCTCACAACGTGGACTCCCTGATAAGAAAAATTTGGGGGACTACAAAATGTATCTAGCTACACAGCCTTGGGATGCCTAGTCAAAAAACAAAGATCCACTTTCTGATCTGAGCAACTCATGAAAGGGGTATATCACATAAGCAACAGCCTCTCAGGCAGCTAAGGAAACAGGTATCCTCAAGTACCTGAGATTATCTTTTTCGACACTCATACCAAAGAAGCAACCCTATTAACTTATCCTACAATATGTCCAGGAATAAGTGACTCCACTGAATTTCCAACAAGTTTTTTAGCCAGACAGAAGACCACTTGACCAGCCTTACCAAAGACTTGCTGAGTTGAAACCTACAACTCACGCAATTCAGGCATTTAAGTAGTCCAAGTTTCCCAGTGCTCGGTGCAACTGGGATCAGGAGTAATTTCAGGAGCCAATTTCCTTCAACCCCATGGGATCCAGACTAGCAACATGAGGATCCATTCTCTGCTTCAGACTTAAGTGGGTTCTAAACCCTCTTGAGTGCCCTGGGATTTACAACCACATCCTAGGCTTCTTAGGTAGAGGTCTGGTGGCCATAGGACCCAAACTCCACTCAGATGCCTGCAGTGAAGAGTAATTGACCAGCAGCATCCCTGTCATGGCACAGCAGCCGAGCCTAAGGCAAGCTCATTGCTGCAAAACAGGGGACTCCACTCGTGAACAACGTGATGGTTAATACTGAGTGTCAACTTGATTGAAGGATGAAAAGTATTATTCCTGGATGTGTCTGAGTGTGTTGACAAAGGAGATTAACATTTGAGTCAGTGGACTGGGGGTGGCAGACCCACCCTCAATCTGGGTAGGTACCATCTAATCAGCTGCCAGCATGGCTAGAAGAAAGCAGGCAGGAGAAGATGGAAGAATGGACTCACTGAGTCTGCTCTGGCCATCTTTCTCCTGTGCTGGATACTTCCTGCCCTCAAATATCAGACTCAAAGTTCTTTAGCTTTTGTACTCTTGGATTTACAAGAGTGGTTTGCCAGAGGCACTCAGGCCTTTGGCCACAGACTGAAGGCTGCACTGTCTGCTTCCCTACTTCAGGTTTTGGGACACAGACTGATCCACCACTGGCTTCCTTGTTCCTCAACTTGCAGATGGCCTATTGTGGGACTTTACCTTGTAATCGTATGAGTCAATTCTCCTTAATAAGTTCCCTTTCATATAAACATATTAGTTCTGTTCCTCTAGACAACCCTAATAAAAGCAATGATGAGTCTAAGACTTACCATTGGCCAACCCAAAGCTCTTGTTTCACTTTACCACAATCTGAGGCTACCTAGCTACCTTACTTCATTCTTCATTCTGTACTTTGTGAGATTAAATGCTCTCCTGCAGCTTGTCTAAGGTGTCATTTCTGATCAATTCCTCAATGCCCAACCCTGTGTAGGCATTTGCTTCTCCTAGGACCCAGCTCAACCCAAGAATTCATTAGTATTCCCTGTAACCCTGGGCTCAAAGACCTAGAACCCAGCAAGGCCCTTATACCACCCCTCAACCTTCATGGTTAGATATTTCCCCACCCAAATCTCATCTTGAATTGTAGCTCCCATAATTCTCACATGTTGTGGGAGGACCTGGTGGAAGATAATAAAATCATGGGGATGATTTCCCCCATACTGGTTTCATGGTAGTGAATAAGTCTCATGAGAACTGATGGTTCTGATGGTTTGATCAGGGGAAACCCCTTTCGCTTGGTTCTCGTTTTCTTTGCCAGCCACCATGTGAGACATCCCGTTGCTCTTCCTTTAGTCTTCCACCATGATTGTTGGAAGGCCTCCCCAAGCCATGGGGAACCGTGAGTCAATTAAACCTCTTTCCTTTATAAATTACCCAGTCTCGGGTATGACCATTGGCAGTGTGAAAACGGACTAGTAAACCTATCTCTGCTTTACACCAAATCACAAATCAAAGCTGACATAGGCCCAGGAGCCCATACTTTATCTGGAAGAAATATCCAGATTATGACAGTAAGGCCAAAGACAGGAGACAGATGATCAAAGTGGTAAAGGCACCAACAGTTCCATCTTATACTTTGCCAACATCTGTAGTTCCATGTCTACACCAAAGGGTCCCTGATACTAAAATATGGGACAGAACTATCCACAAGGGCTGACAGCAGCAATAGCTCAGGCAGAAGTAAAGGAAACCACAGAAAGTCTTTGGCTGTGTCTTTTCCTTCATTCTTCTATCTAGACTCTTTCCAAGGAAAAACCATCATACCCTCTAAGGGCAAAGCATCAAGTCGTACTGAGCCATTAGACACTGACGGCCAAGGGTAATTCAAGGGCACTTCTCATCCTGTACAGTGACTTTGTGTGTCAGCTGCATTTGACATTGACCATGCATAATAGCATGTAGCATTGTACCATCGCTCTGGAAGCATTTCCCTGTACCAGATCACCTCAATAAGCCAGACAGGACACCACTTAGCTGGCTACACACTGGCTATTGGAACGGACAAGTGCTGCATTGCTGTTCTACCTGATGACACTGCATACATGCATGGGTTTACCATGCTGTTTTTCACATCCTGATAACATTGCATTGGGATTCACGGGGCTATGTAAGAGTAAGCAGAGGATAGGTTTGGTGCCTTTAAAGCTGCTGCTGGGATTAGAGATCCATGCAAATTACCTGCAACTTCATGTTCAGGCTATGTGTCAAAGATAGCTGGCTATAGTTGGTGCCACAATGCCCTTGTTGATATCCTTTACAGCTTAAGTTGATGGCCTGGACAGCCACTGATGGTTCAAGAGAGCATATATAGCAAAAGAGTTGCAGATATACTTGTAACAGCTAGTAACTTGAAGTATTTTGAGTCTGCCCTGATTCTTATTTCCAGGGGTAATTGACCAAACTGATTTTGGAATGCTTGGAAGTCACTTGAAGCAACTGGACCCAAATGGTTTCCTTATGCCAAAGCCACACATCACCCAGATGCATTCAAGATCACGGAGACTCCTTTTGTTATACCTTGTGTCTGCCATATTCTACCACGCTGCCAAATTCTACTATGAGGAATTACCAGAAATGCAAACCAATACCTGGTAGGATACCAGAGAAAGCTTAGAGATGCTTACAGGAGAGAATTAACTGGTCTATCTACCTTCATGGACAAGCACTCTGCACGCATGTGGAGTCACACACCGAATGCTCCAGGCAACCTCTCAGGGGGAGAGAGAGGTGGTTCAATCAACCAAGACACACTAAAAATTCAGGGTATTTCTGAAGATTTAACTCCTAGGAATTTCCACATCACTGTCTTCCCTGCTGGGCCTGGGAAGAAGCAAACAGGCAACACCACAAGGCTATCTTGAAAGAATTTTGGTTTTGGGATAAAGCCCAAAGGCGAGCCTGCAAACCTTAAGCCGTCACATTCAGAAGATACAGAAGTAGCAAAGGTATTACTTGGAGACAAGGAGAGCCCTGTTGCCTATTCACCTATTCTTTTCTTCCTGTAACAAAGATAATGAACCCTATCTTGGGGCCATGTCCATATCTCCTCAAATTCCTTTTGCCATTTCTCTGTAATCCTCAACGTTGGATACCTGTGTCTTTAAGAGGCAGCATCTGCAGTTGTTCGAGCACCTCCCTTGAGTTACTGGACCTATTTTACATGCACACCAACAGCCAGAAGTGCCCAAGATTACCACCTCTTACCCCCCACTAGACCAGGACCACCAGTAATAAATGCTGTCATATTCTCACATATGAAAGCCCAGCTCAAGCAATGGTGTAACCTCCAGCGCTCCTCTGTGAGAGGCAAGGGGATTTTGTCTGTGATCACAGCCTTGCTTGACTTACCTATCCCCTTCTTACTCATCCTGCCTCCCCAACTCCTTCACTGATTTCTTAGAAATACGTTGGTATTTCTAAGATCTCTGGTCCTGAGGAGTTCGTTACAGTTACCATATAGTTGGCTTCATAATTCTTGACAACTAATGACACTTCCAGGGTTGAAAGTCGCCTTGATTTCAGTGTTTGGAAGAAACAGACTGAGGATTTTTTCCTTCAGGCTCCTGGCACCTTCCAGTGGCTGTCTATGTTCTACCAAACATCTCCTGAAGTCCCTCTCATTATCATGAACCAGAAGCTTCCATGGTGATAATCCTACCTATCTAAAGTCACCACCTGCACATCTAACAGTTGGCTAAACTTTTCTATCCAAGAGTCACTATGGAAATTGAAAATGCACTTAGAGGACCCTGTGGGTGCACGCCAGCAAGTTCAGCTGCATGAGGGACAGCTGAGATACAGATGAGCTGCATGCATCAGTTCAACCAGGCACACATCTCATGTTCACTAATTTGCCGTGCCTTGTCACTTATCCTCACGTTAAGAGGTTAGCATGATGCTTAACAGACCCAAGAAAACTATGTTACAAGGAAAACTATGCTGTAAACCATACTGATGGTGAAAGCATGGACACTAAAGCCTTATATTCATTCCTTCACTTGAATTTATGCATGAGAAACAGCGTTATCTTGGTTCTGGAAGAGGTACCTTGAAAGACATGCCGTCCTCCACTACTGTGGCAATCCACTCTAAGGTGTACACCATTCGCATATCGAGGAATTCACTGGCTTTTCTCTAGCACTTTGTCCTGCTTTACCCCTTTTTCTGTTTGCCATGGACGTCTGCTCATTCTGCTTTGTGTCATCTGCTTGGAGACCCATTTTCCATTTACATTAACCCATTCTTCAAAGCTCCCAGTTATCCCGAACTGTACACCCCAAGTGTCCCTCATAAGACCATTATAGTCAGTCACTGTTGGTTCTTGCTCTCTAAAAGCCCCTTAAGTTGCCCAGCCCAGGCTCCATCTGAAGGAGGTTGCTCAGGGAACACAGTTCTGTGATCGAGTACTGCCCTCTCCTGGCCAAAGCCCTGAACTCAGTCCCAGCGGGTCTGCCCCTCCAGTTCACCTGTGAGACTTGTCTGATTCTCCCCCAACCCACACCACGGCCCACCTGTACTGCCTGACACGAGGGAAGTACAGGACCTCTCACATCTAAGGCAAGGGAAACTGGAGAATCAGTTAACAGCGATGTCCTATGGACTCAGACCTCATACTACATTCCCTCAGAGGAAGCTCAAGTGTCACAGTCTACTTTCTCACTGTCCAAGAGTTGGTTCGTTTGAAATGTAGACATAAAATATAGGTCACAGAATGCACCGTTCTTGAACCTAATACCTGAGGCGGCTCACTGGATGCTTTCCTGTGGACACCCTACAGCCCACTGTAGCTGATGTGATTCTGAATGACGGAGGTTGTCTGATGCTATCTGCCTATGACTTAGATTTCTTTCCTCCAATGACACAGCAGTTCCCCACTCTGGACACAGATCAGCAATTGACCGAGGGGCTAGGGAGGCAGGCATACTATGTCCTCCAAGTGCACACCTCTTGTGAGCACTTAACCTTGGAATGCTAACCTATTAGGAACTTAACGAGATCAGCCTTCATGCTAAACTCGATACAGAGTCCTGAAAGGATATCAGACCTTTGATGTAACTTGTTGCTATAGATTTCTATCCCATCCTGTCACCACACTTTATCCAACAGGACTTCAGTTAAGGGTTTGCCACTTCAGATTTTCTGCCATCACCCCTCCACTGAAAAATGACAGCTGTCACTCAGTCTCATTACCTGATCCTCAGCATGAGGTCTGCCAACAGGCCTTGGCATTACCAATCACATCCCGCAATACCCAAGGGGCAGCTTATTTCCTTTAACTTTGCTGCTAAGACTCAGTTTTACTTCAAGAATTTCTTCATTATCAAGTAATCTCACAATATTTATTCAAAGGGCTCAGACACCAACAGCAGGTATCTTCCTGAGCCACAAACCTGGGCTCTGTAGGCATTTACAAGCCTGTGGCATCACTGAAACTGTGTTGGTATCAGGAAAGAGATCCCATTATTTCCCAAATGCTAGATGAAGACCATGTTTAAAGCATCTTGGCTGTACTCTGTGGCTGTGGCAGCCATGAAGATATGCCTCAGGCCATATACAGGAAAGTAACAAATCCAAGTGTTCCACCAAGAATTAAATTTGGTGGCAAAAGCAGCAGCTCAAGATTAGAATATGTATTGATGCCTGGGCAGTGACCAGTGCTTAAGCTACCTGGTCAGAGGCCTGGATAAAAAGACTGGAAAAATTAGAAGTCCAAGATGGGATGTATGGATGCTTAAGACTTGTAGATTTTTACATCACCTGTTAAGACACACTACAAGCCAGACGTTTTGTCTGTTTGGTGAACAGGCAAAATAGCTCTGCCACTGGGTATCGGCCAGGCTTTTTCAGCAGCTAATGGGTAAATGCATATTGTAGCCACGGTAGCAGACATGGAAGATAACATGTGTGCCCAACATGGACTGCCATTTCCTAGAGAAATTCTGGTTACCATTTCTTCTGAAAGACCCACTTGTCAGACATTGAATCTCAATGTATCAGTATAAGGAGACCAACTCACTACATGGTAGCAAGTTGACTACATTAAGCCCCTTCCCGTTCTGGGAAAGCCAGAAGTTCATGTTCACAGGAATAGATATCTCATGTTGATATGGGTTTGTCTCTCCTGCTTATGAAGTCTCAGCTACCTCCCACTCCGGGGACTCCTGTGCTTCATCCACAGGTATGGAGCCCCATACAGCAAAGTGTGTTACCACTGGATTGAGGTCACAAAAGATAGACAGGCCCCAGATCACAAGGTCTACCGGCCATATCACAAAACCATTTAGAGGCAGGGAGTCTCAGAATGGTGACACAGCCTTCAGGAAACAGAAGCATGGACTCCAAGTAAACATGCTGACATTTTGGGACACCATCCTTTATGAGGCAGTGTGTTAGAGGCATCTGTGTAATACTGTATCCCCTATAGGAAGACTACATGGATGCAGAAACTAAGAAGGTTAGTCATACTTTCCATCATTCCCTGTGAGCCACTGGGTTCACTGAGTTATCCTTGTGGGGTAACAGGAGGTGGTTTGTACATTAACATGTATGAATGAAACCTGGGTCATCTACTTGGGCATCTCCTGGTACTCCCTTGACCCACTGTAACTAATTCAACAACCTACCTTGAAAAGCTAGAGCTTACTAGTGGTTCAGGCCCCTTAGTATGAAGATTTTTATCCTACCAGCTAAGAACTAGCCCTCAGCCAAGGTTATAGCTGAGGGCTAAGAAAATTCAGAGTGGATAGTTGTTGTGGCAGATTAGTGTTCATTGCAACCTGGGATCAATCTAGACACAGGAGCTGCATTTCATCCCATGCATCCTTGAGTTCCCCTGAAGAGTCCTAAGGGACACAAAGTCACTCTTC
Source organism: Homo sapiens (assembly GCF_000001405.40). NCBI lineage: Eukaryota > Metazoa > Chordata > Mammalia > Primates > Hominidae > Homo > Homo sapiens. The sequence goes on along the minus strand of NC_000004.12, from coordinate 77,238,229 downwards.
TGTGGACCTGTGTAGAGAAGTAGAGCTGTATAGCACGGGAGCCAACTATGCTTATTAGAATGTCATTCTTCCCATGTGCTGCTTCATCCGATACTTGAGTGCAGCTAGGATGCTCAAGCAGCCCTGTTTAGGGCACTTGGGACTTCTGATGGGCAATTTGGGCTCTGGTATTTATCCTTGCCAAAACAATGTCACACACCTCAGTCTCAGCCCACTTCCTACCTAACATCTTTCCTTCAGAGTCAGGCCTGCATCATAGTCCTCTTCCCAGACTCTTCCAGCTCCCTCAGTTTCCCTCACAGAACTTTCCCCACCCCAAAGTTCTTGAGCATCTAACCCCACACCTTGGCATCTGCATCACAACACAAGCCAGCAGTATAGAAGTTTTGGGTTAAAACTACAACTTAAGTACTGGAGTAAGTTCAGATGTGGAAGTCAGCTTGTAGATCCCTATGGACACACCCAAGGCTACTCCATTCAGAATAGAGATGACCACCCATGCCAGGAGTCTACACCAATCCTGAATTGCCACAATGTGGCTTTTGGCCGTTTGCTTTATAAATTCCATGCTGACGTGTTATCTGAGGCATATGGATCCTCCCTTCCAGAAGTTACCCCCCACCCTTCCCAATTGTTTTACTATGTACCAAGTTATCTCACAATTGCTCAGATGCAGTTACCTTGTTCTGTTCTAGTCTTCTCACATTCTGTGTGCCATTTATTCTATTGACCCAGACGAACTCATGATTTTCCTGGGCATAGTTAGTTGTCTGTTCATGGCCCCCAAAGTCATCCTTAAGAGGTGGCTCTGAAAGCATCCAAAATTTGAGCGGCTGGAGGAACCCAGACTGAGCAATGAGGTTAGAACTCCGATCTGTCCCTTTGGTTTGGAAGCCCACGGGAACCAGGGTTCCCTGGAATCAGGTAATTCCAACTGGTGATGCCAACATGAGGGCTGCTGTTACTAATCACGACACCACTCAGTTAATCCCCAGTTTGGTTTGTGTTTATATTCAAAAGACTTAGTTCTTTGCTTTAACACTAGTCATTGCTATGGAAGTCACACAGGTGGTGATAAGCTTCTGAATTTGTATTCTCCAGGACATATTTGAGAGCAGTACTTTGTCTTTATAGATGTAGCATATATGCTTATGAGGTGGCTGCCAAGATAACGATCGAGACAGGTGTTCCTACCAGGAGGTAGTGCAAGGAGAGCAGTGTTCAGCAACAGGAAGGAGTGCCTATACCAATCCATCACCCTTGCCTTCATGACCACCCAGCTGAGCCCTCAGGCCACTTCCCTTGGACAGTGGTGAATCCAGCCATGGGGTTTCCTCCTGACAATTCTCGTTCTGCTCTGAGTCAAAACATTGAAGCCCTGTTGCCCCAAAAGGTACAAGAATTCCAGGACAAAGATGAGGTTGACTCGACTTCAACCAAATCATTTATCTGATTAGGACAGCCTGTGACTTCCTACTCACCACATAAGGCATGAAAATAAACCTTATTACTGCTTTTGAGGTTCATATTAGGTCTAGATGTTCAGTGTGTTTTCTGCCATGTGCTTTTACATAAACCTTTCAGGAATGAAAGGTTTGTTCTCCCAGCTACTGGATGCCCACAGGCAGGCAGGCAGATGTCAGCAGTCCGCCCCTCTTGGGCTTGGCTCACCAGAAGTCACACCTCTTCCTGGGTGGCTGGCATCCAATGTTCCACCTGAGATTAAAACTCCAGACCCCTCATCCCAATGCAGGCAGGATAGCTCTAAAAGGACCTTGGCTTCAAAACCCCCTGACAGGGTTGGCTTGAAGCTTCTTTGAAGAAGGCATCACAGCTCCACTTCTTCCTTTCCTTCGCTTTCACAGGTGTGGAGCCCAAGACCACTCCCTGGTGAGCTTCCTGAGGCTCACCTCCATCTGATGATCTGCTTCCTGGAAATCCCATCCATCCTCTGACAGTTAGAAACATGTGATTCACTTGTTCAGTGAACATGCTAGTCAAGCTGCTGTTCTAACATGAAATGGGGGCCAAGCACAGGAGTGTCTTCAGTAGGAACTGTACCTCCAGAACTTCAATTTCTACAGAAGATTCACCGACTGTTCCCCCAAAAAACAGTCCTGAAATCATGCCTAGGAGTTAAAGTGACTAAGAATGCAGCACAGGACCCCTGCACAGATAGGCCAGGTAGCCAAAGGTTGCCAATCATTGCATTACTGATGCTAAGGATTTTATTACTTGAAGAAAACCAGGAATAGGCTATTTGCAAAGATTCTAACTCTTGGGAATTCCCATATCACTATCTTCCAAGATGCCAGGTGAGCCGTGGAAAAGCAGACATTCCCATGAGACCATTTTGAAAGTTGTCTTGTTCTTGGAATAAAGCCCAAAGATGAACCTGTAAGCTGTGAGATGTTATGTTCTAAGGACAGTCAGGCATGTTGCAGAGCATAAGAATGATATAAATGGAGTCTGGGGACTCAAGGGAAGGGGGTGAGGGATAGAAGGCTACACATTGGGTATAGTTTATACTGCTCAGATGACAGGTGCACCAAAATCTCAGAATAACCACTGAAGAACTCATCCATGTAACCATAAACCACCTGTTCCAGAAACTACCAAAATTTTAAAAAGGGAAGAGTGCTCTACCTGCCACCTACTCTTTGTACTTTTCTTTCTAAATATGGTGTTACTAGTGAACCATATTTAAGCCATGCCCACTTTTCTCATTCCTTTTTACCATTTCCTTTCTCAGTCCTAGCCTCTGCATGACTTCAGACAGCAGCACCTGCAGCCATTTTGCAGCACTGCACTTGGGTTCTTAGACCCGTTTGCCTGTGTGCGCACACATATGCAGCCAGAATCACCCATTGCAGACCTTCCAAACCAGGTCACTAATGAATGGCTGTCAGTGTGATGAAGAGAAGATGCACAGCTGAGGTGTATCCTGCAGTCTAGTGCTGCCCTGGGGGATCCAAGGAGTCTGCATAGCCTGTAGTATGATTTTTGCTAGAGATCACAGCCTTAGCTTCCTTCCCAACCCCTGCTCTGCCTCCGTTTTTCCACTAGTTTCTCCTGAGAATGTTTCATTTGTTTCACATGACTCAGGTTCTGGGGAGTTCACACTGAAACCACATTGCTTGGTCTCGCTTTAAGTTCATGACAACCATGGCACCTCATTTTGAGAACGTGTTTGATTTCTTAGCATTTAGGAAGGAACAGACTAGGGTTTCTCCCTTCAAACTCCAGGCTTCTAGAGACCCCCCCCAAGAGACTGCCAGTGTTCTGCCAACACCTCCGTAGGTCCCTCTCCCATCTCAGGGACAATAGCTCCTGGTGATTTTACTGCTAACAGCTAGCATTGTTTCATCTCTCAGGGAGCCAGCCCAAAGAAAGAGAATTCAATGAGCCTGGGGTATGTCCCTATAGTGACTGGCTTTATCCAATGACAGAGAGAGGGGGTGTAAGTAATTTCGCTCCCTTGCCACTTACTGAAACATGTGAGGTATGACCTGTTCTCCCTCCAGAGTTCTTCAGCCATGATGAACTAGAGTTACCACCCATGGGACTATGCTTAGTTATCACATGTTTGCTCACCTCTTTACCCTCACCCTTCTCTACCAACTTAAGGATTTTTACATGGAATTTTACTTGGTTCTATATCCTTATTCCCTCACATTCTCATCCTAGGATCTATACTTTGAAAGCCCAGACTTAAGACCCACCCCAAATTGCTGACAGTCTTTCATATCACCTATCTTATCACAAGTTTCCATGCACCCAGCATCAGTCCACACAGGCTAAAGATGCTGTCAGCCCCTTGGCCCATTTGTACCTGAGCACCCCCTTTTCCTATGAGGTTCCTGGGCTTCCATTTTGACCACAAGGATGTGGCCCTGGCATTGTGCTGAACCCCTATTAACCTCAATAGGGAAGATATCATGTTCAGGAGGCAAAAGAGACCCAAAACTAGCAAACAAGACATGGAGTTTCACTGGGGGCTTACATACAGAATAAGCGGCAGCAGACTGGACAGAACTGCATTACATACAGATAGTCCAGTGGCGGTGGGCTGGACAAGATATCCACCTTCCTGCAGTCCAGTGGCAGTGGCTGGATAACACGTCTGCCTTCCTGCAGTCCAGTGGCAGTGGGCTGGACAAGGTAACACAGCCCAGTGGTGGTGAGCTAGGCAAGAAAGCCACAACCACTTGCTAACAGCATGCAGTTCACGTAGCATCCTCCCCTTAAGGATTTCCACCTGACAACTCATTTAACCCAAAACTCAGGGCCTCAATCCCCCATACAGCCCATGTTCCAAAGGCCAGGGGCCCTGAGGTTCCTCACAGACAGGGAACAAATCCCCCAGGTTGGCCACTCTTGGATTCCCTAGCTCTGAGCACGTTCAGGTGCATCTGCCACACAGTGTCTCACACTCAGGATATGCTCAAGTTATTGCTCTTAGGTGAACTTACCCTAATTCCTGGAAAGCATGAGCCACTATCTGGCAGAGGCAAGTTGTGAAAGCACCAAGACATCCTGAATCAGCAGTACCCTCTTCCCAGGAAGAGATGGGTTCCCACCCAGTAGGCCATAAATAGAAATCTGAACCACAGTCTGCCAAGTCCACATGTACTGGACTTGGCAAGCATGCAAACCCCTCACCCCTGTGAGTACCTGAGGAACCACTTCCGAGAGGTAAAAGGCACCAAGAAAATGAGCGAACACCTGGTAGATGGTTCAGGCAGTAAGAATCCCAGATGAGCTAAGAAACATGAGAAGCTTGAGCACAGATGGAGCCATGTGATCTCAGCCGCCTTCCATACTAGTTTTCCATTTTGGCTATTTACCCAGAGACCTAGTACTTTTGCTTTTGCACCTCAACTAGGGAGAGGTTTCCCCTGTTTTCATATCAACCCTTAAGTATCCCAGTAGCATATGAAGTTGTACTGTAAGTTGAGCAGCCATAACAGTATTTTGGCCCCCAAAACTATAGTATGGTGTCCAATAGCCAAGAAGTAGATGTATGGCCTCTGTCACATACTGGTGACCCACTTGGAGACTGAAATGCTTCCTGTCTCACAAACTTACCCCCATAGGATCAGAGCTGTTGATTCCCTAGAGGCAGATACATCTTTTAGGAGCTGTAGAATGGGTTAGGCATTTCATACCAGTAGACCATCAAGCAGAGAGGAGTTATTCTATTGGCAGGGGTAGTTGACGCCTATCCTGTTCAAGTAGGTTCTGTTATGTAAGGGAGGATTATATCTAGATATACGGGGTTCACCACAGTACTTTGTTGCCACCATGAGGTAAGGAACCAGATTATGCAGCAATGATGGTCTGACAAGTACAAGGTGCTCAGGCCTCTCATGAGTCATCGTCTGGGTCACTTTACTGAGTAAGCAATCAAGATTAGCATAGATATTGGCAGAGCATGGAAAAGCCTCTAGAATGTGTGGTTAGAAGAGATGGACATCGTTACCATCTCTGGATGAGTTGCAGCTGTGGTGAGTGTCACTTGTCACTCTTTTACTGCAGTTTCTTTCTAAAGGGTGGTTCTTCAAGATGGTGACCATTCAAGCTGAGAATAAGTGAACTCAATATGCGGCACAAGTGCATCTAGCTGCAAGTTACACCAAACACTCAGCTCCTCTTGGATATTTGCTCAAGTCACCCAGCGGTCAGCTGCAGACACATGCCAATAGCTATCCGTCTCTGCCTGTGCTCTCCTGCCATAGGACCATGCTTGCCTGCATGCAGGGCAGGCCGAGAGCACTTGCAATTAGTCCTTGGAAAGGACCATCAGTGAGTGAGGGGCAGGGATGTGTTGATTTCCCCCAGAAGTCCACCTAGACCATTCCTCAGAATTGGGCCCAGTTGCCCACCGGGCTCACCTTCTCACCAACGTTTTGTTTTACTTGCCTTGTCTCACTTCTGTCTCCCTCAGTGTGCTACTGCCATCACCCCCACAATTTAGTTACTTACACCCAAATCCTTGTCTCAGCGTCAGCTTTTAGAAGAACAAAAACTAAGTACATGTGGAAGAGTGAGTCAACTGGTTTTACCTGAAAATTCTTAACCTAAAAGTAATTCAGGTTTGTTGAATTTAACTGAAGTGTTGAAGTCATTTTAGGTAGAGAAATAAAGGGAGTACATCTTTGTCCATCTCAGACTAAGGATATTTAGGACTGTTTACCTTTGCCTCATCTCAATGACCAGTCTGGAGAACCGTTATGATACAAGTAAGCAGCCTGGCCTTGTTCTTCCTTTTCTGGACTACAGAAACTTTGGAAGAGAATGAATTAAGATTTGAAATTTAGAGTCTTATCCAGTGGTTCAGGTATGTATTTGGACGTACACAGTAACAGTTGGCTTGAACATCAAGGATTGTTTTCCATATATAGCAAGTCTGAAGACAGGCAATTACTGGTATTTGTACTGTACAGTGATGTCACCAGGTCCTATTCACCCTATGATCTTTAGGATATTTATCAACATGCTTGTACCTAAGGCCCAAGATGGCTAAGCTCCAGATATCATGGATATTTCAGGTACAAATACAGGGTAGAGCAGTATCTGCTATGCTATTTTTAGTCAAATAAATAGCTTTCCCAGGAGCCTACCAGCAGACTTATGTTTGTGACTTATCTCTTACATTCACCTTCTCTGGAGGCTAGTTTAGCAATGTATTCCTTTCACAGCTACTTTGGTGATGGAAAAGGGGTTACATATGGGTACTGGGTTAGCTAACTAGTAGTGAATCCCATAGTTTCTTAATCTAATAAAAAGCCAGGGCTTAAGGGAGTAGAACTTCACTTCTCCTAGGGCCCACAGTGTCTTACTGTCATGGCTTCATAACTTTAAGCCAAAGAATCCATAATTGGCACACCTACCTACTGACAAGTGATACTTCCCCCCTCAGTTTTGAAATGCTTCCCCAGAAAACACCAGATAACCTGATCTTTTAATGCTATTGTACCCCTGCTTTGTCTTGACTGATCTTCGACATATCATGCAACTGGGACTTCCAGTGCCAAGCTTCACACATCCATGTGACATTGCTCAAGGATCACGCGTGTAAGTACTGAATCCACCCCAGGGAATCCAGGCCTACCCAGAGGACCCACAGCAGGAAACAAAAGAGCTAGTTACTTCCTGCTACTTTTCTACACTTCACCAGGGCTGCTTGAGTAACCTCATGCCCAAGCCCTGTATTTACATCTCTAGCCCAAAGACCCAAGACAATACAAATGGCTTTGCTAATCTTGCCCAGGCCACACAATTGGATGACAAGCTGCTGTTTACCTGGATTCTGGTGAGGTACTGAATACACTAGCCTCAGGGGCCAGAACTTGCACAATGTGACAAGTGCTCCATAGCCCTACATGTTCTTGGTGATGTTCTCGCATGAGGTTCCTCAGCAGAACTGCACCTGAACCTGCCAGTAGCTAACATCTGACTACTACACTCAAAGCCAGATTGATGTCTAAATCAGCTGATCAACTTTAGAAGGGTTAGGCATGGTTGGCCCACCACACAGTGGGAGAAGCAGAGGCAATCTGATGAGGTTAGCTAGTATATTACACGTGTGGTTGAATTTGGCATCACATCAGAAGGGCTTCCTTTAAATACCAGGTGGTACAGACTACTGGTGATGGTAAAGATCCTCTTGCAAGTACTAAACTCTTGCCCCTTGATTAGCCAGAATACAAGTAGGCACCTAAGCTCAACTTGTAGGACACTTGAGGTTGGTAGAAGCTAACCTGACAACATATACATCCTATCATGGTAGGTAGGGCCAGGATTACAATCTGTACAAGGTTACAAGACTTTATTAGCAGTGTCACATTGTAGTTTTTATCTTTGACTCCCTTTCAGAATTCTGTCTTGTTTTGTCTGATATATGGATATGGTTTATAAGCTACAACCTCAGGCCACATACCTATGTTGTATTACATTATGTTAAACCACCATTTTAGAAAGCCTTGCATTTGGAAACTTATAGTTTTGGGTAACAGTTTTACTCTGCAACTCAAGTTTGGGTATTATATCCCAGTCGTACTGCTGCAATGGTGAAATAAAACCTCTCAATGCCAGAGGTAGTCCAGCATAAAAGAGGGCCTAATGTTAAAAGTTGAAGCCAGTGGAATATTGAAGTATTAGCCAGTGAAAGCCAAGTTACCTTTATGACTCATTTGGCTGAGTCCTACACCATGGCTACTCATGTATCTTATACATGTCTCCATCATTGGGTGCTTTTGAGTATGGCTATCTTTGGACCTGGACACTAGATCCCCTCCATTATGCTGTCTTTATGTTTACCCATATTCCCGGTAAGGATTTCAGGAGCCACCAAATCCTATTGATTACATCTCTTGTGTCCTTCAAATGTTTTTTGCATTTCCAATCCTGCCACCCTATTCCATTTCTCACCAAGACTTGGACACTCAAAATGGCTTCCCCTGCCCATGATTCCTGACATCTTTGTTTTCTAGAATGGCAAGTTTATAAAATTAAGTCTGATGACAAACACCTGCAAATCACCTGTAATTCTTAACAGCTTCCCTACTACATGTCAGGTCATGTCCAAAATCCTTGGCAAGACTAATGAGAATGTAACCTAGTGCCCAGCTTCCCCTCCCACTCTGCTAGGCTCAGCAAGTACAAGTCGGTGTCTGAAGCTTGGAGCCACACCATTAAGTTTCTGAGCATCTTGGGGAGCACATAGGGTGACCAGCCATGAAGGAAGATGACCGAAGGTGAGACAGTAACTTCTGAGCTGAAACCTAAAGCATAGTAAGAAGCCCCAACCCTAAAGCAATGTAGGGTGAAAAAACATGAACCATATCTAAAAATTCCCAAATTGGCCAGCAGCTCTAGAAGGTGGCCCATTGTAGCAGATGTGAGGATGACTGACCAAGCCCAGAGGCATGGGTGGCAGTGGTCTACAGAAGTTTCAGGAGAGATTAATCTATGTTAATGGGTGGAGGCAGGTGAAGAGGTAAATGGAATCCAACTCTTTTCAGTCTGTATCTAGTACACAGAATTCCCTCAGACAATTAGTCTGTGGTATGGATTGGAGTGGAATCCCCACCTATCAAGTCTTGGCTCCAAGGTATATCAGGAAACCTGGAGGATAATATCTGAAGAAAAGCCAAGATCCTAAATCTAGCTGTGCCCTTCATCTAGTGAAGATGCATCTCCCCCACCTCACAGATGGGCCCAGGCAGGACATGGGACTCAGGAGGTCCTAAGACTACCTGGGCAGGGAACAGTGAATACTCATGGGGGATGTACTTTAAGTGCTTCTATGCTTCTGCTCCCACTCCACCAGGACCATGCCATCCTGGCCTGTTGCTGTAAGGTCTAGGTGCCTTTTCCTAGGAAAGGGAACAAGAATGTCGTGCAGGCATATTAGCTTTTCTCCAGCCAAGTCTTTAGCAATAAGATGAGAGTTAGGAGTAAATCACAGCTTCTGTCACATGGTAGGCATACAAGTATACAAGCCTCATTTAACACACCTGACATGAAGAGGGAGCTACCTGGGGTGTGAGGGAAGTCTACTGTAAGTCTACCACGTTTCTTTCAACTCTGAGCCTTCAACTCTGAATCAGGCCTTCAAAGTCTCCAAAATGAAGTAAAAAGTAAGGTTTTAGTCATCTGGCAATTAACCAGTCAAATATACCTCCGTTTTACAACGACAAGCAGTTTAAGACATTCTACATCCAGAATCAAAGATTAAGACACCACCCTGGATACATTCTGCACAGACACTGCCCATGGTTGATGGGTACTTCATGTGGATCATCTCAACCTTCATCCCCTAGGGGTTCCCCAGCTTGAGTCTTCCCCTCAGAGGGAGGTAGAGAGTTGAGCCTGCCATCCCAAGGTCCTTCCTACTCTGGGGACTGAAATGTCCCACATCCATGGCAGCTGCCCCAGATCTGGCTGGGATCCCTATATTGAGGCTGTCTACTCCCACAGCTGATTTTACTCTGCCCTCCCCTGTGGATCATGCTATGAGACTAGTTTCCTCCAGGTGGCATAAGAATGGTTTACTCTCAGCCAATCTAAAAACCATATTGTAGGATTTTAGAAGAAAATGCCAAGAGACAGAACTAATGTGCAACTCCCACTTGGACAGAAAGAACAGTGTGGAGACTCACATCATGGGCTTTTACTCCAAGAGCCACTGCAGGAACATACCAGGAAAACAATTCAGACCCTTTGAAAGAAGCAGCTTGCTGCTGCAAAATCCATGAGACAGCCAAAAAACTGAGCTCCCAAAAGTGTGAGAGGGGGAGAAGCCTGCTTTCAAACACACATCCCCACTGAGGAACATGAAAACCCAGATCACAGGAGGAGGATTTAACCTTACCTAGAGCTGAAACTCATCTAGGGAGTGGAGTGAAATACGTAAGTAGAAGCAGCAACTAGAAGAGCCCTATAGGCACTCCCAATCCCCAGCTCAGGCCCAGGGAAGCCATTTCCTGGCCCTCTCACAGGGGTCCTTGGGGAAGGCAGCCAGTGAAATTGGAGAGGGGCCACAAGGTGAAGGAAGCTTCTAGCTGAAGTTTGTACTAAATTAAGCATAAATTTTCCTGAGCAGAATCCAGGGAGTTAAACAGGCAGTGCAGATACAAGTAGAAGCTACAGCCATTGGTTCATGAGCTGCCTGAGAGCCCTGCTTTCTCAGTGTAAAGGCTTATAGCCTGAGGCAAGATCTCAGCCCTGCACACCCGCTGCCTGGATATAAACTCAGTGCTGTTGGCAGGGCACAGCAGGAGCCAGAATGGCCTTGCCGGCTACATAGCAGCTGGGTGAGGCCTGTCACTACCAGCTTTCCCCCACTTCCCTGGAAACCTGTATGACACAGCAGAGGCAGCCATAATCCCCCCAGAAACAGATCCATTGGCCTGAAAACCACCCCCTATCCCCTCCCACAGTGGCTGCAGCAAGCCCCACCCCAGGAGTCTGAGCTCAGACTCACCTAGCCATGACCCCACCTGATTTTTTTCCTACCTGCTGTGATAACCAAAGAAACTCTTGGGAGCTCTATGGCCCCACCCATCACCTGAGAAACCCAAGTACTCACCCTGGCCAACACAGGGGAAGATTATATCCTCTTATACTACTGCAGCTGGTGCTCTTTAAAGTGCCACCTCCTGGTTGGAGGCTAATCAACAACCCATTACAGCAACTCATAACAGACCCACCCTGCTCCAGAGGAGGAGAAAACAGTTAATTCCACTGCCTGCACACCCTGGCTAACCAGAGGTCCCAAGTCTGTCCATGTGACGACTTCACTGCTTGCATGACCAGCATTGAAAAACCAGCTCACTATAGCCAAGGACTCCCAGAGTCCACTTCACTCCCCTGTCACCTCCACTGGAGCAGGTGCTGGTATCCACAGCTGGGAGACCTGAAGACACAGCACATCACAGGACTGTGTAAATATTCCCCAGCACCAACCCAGAGCCCAGAGCCCTGCTGGGTGGCTAGACCCAGCAGGGCAATAACAATCACTACAGTTTAAGCTCTCAGGAAGCCCCATCCCTAGGAGAAGAGAGTATCACATAAAGGGATCACTCTGTGGGACAAAAATCTGAACAGTAGCCCTTGAGTTCCAGATTTTTCCACTGAAACAGTCTACCCAAATGAGAAGGAACCAGAAAAGTACTTCTGGTAATATGATTAGAGGTTCTATAATACTCCCAAAATATCACACTAGCTCTCCGGCAATGGATCCAAACCAAGAAATGTCTGATTTGCTAGATAAGAGTTCAGAAGGTTGATTATTAAGCTACTCAAGGAGGTACCAGAGAAAGGTGAAAACTTAGACTATATTTTAGAACTTTTCAGACACCAAAAAGCCTTTAAGGTCACAACTGATATGCTTAAAGTTCATCGTTCCTTTTAAAACACATTCCTGAAGTGGCAGAACATCTTAGGGAAGCATGATTAGATAATCCAGTACATTCTCTTGTTAACAGGCAAGGAATTCTACATGGGCAGGAAATTTTTGAGCTAGGATCCACCCACAACTAGTAGTTGTGATTGACTACAAGTCCAACTAGATTCCATTTTAAGATTCGCTTGCTTTGTGTTTCTTAATGTAGCTACTAAAAGTTCCAGTTACACAGGTGGCTCACAATGTTTCAATTGGACAGTGCTGCCCGCCAGGTTATCAGTAGGTAGAGCTCCCTGTGCTGAGTGAGAAGAATTAAAGTCTTAAGAGGATGATGTCTACGATGGCACCCAAGGACAGCCATCTCAGAGTGCAGATGCTCTAAGGCCTCAGCATGCCTGTCTCTGCTACCTGGCATTCTGGTCTGACCCTGGAAAGTTCTCCAATTATATCTACTCCATTACCATTTTCAAAGAATGCACCAAGACTCCTCAGCTCATTCAGGCTGTTGTATCTTGATCCAAATAGTCTTACCCCATTCATTGACCAGAAGATGACAAGGGGAATTGGAAGAGGATAGAAGACAGACTTTGGTAGCATCTCAGCAGGCTTACTTGAGATTTAGAGCCTTAGTTTTACCACTTGGCCTCCCACAAGAGAGACTCAGAAGGTAGCATTACTTTATTAAAAATGTAATGTTGATCAAACATGAAGACTCCAGAGTCTACTATCATGTTACCTCTGCCCTATAATTTAGAAATCTAAATTTCTAGTTCATTGAGTTCCTTCTTAGCCAGAGTTGTCATTCTAATAGAGCAAATGGTTGGGTCAAGCTAAGTAGCAGCTGCCAACTCACATAGGCTATTGCTTGTCTGTTGCTGCCAAACAAATGATCCCAAATTAGCAGCTTAAAACAGTTTCCAAGGGTTAGGAACACAAGTACAGCCTAGGTAAATGCCTCTGGTTCACGTTCTCTCATGAGGTTGCAATCCAGCTGTTAGCCAGATAAGTTTCCATTTGAAGGCTCAGTGTCAGGGGGATCTGCCTCCAAGTATACTCATGGCAGCTGTCACACCTCAGAATGTCTACTTCCAAACTCACTCACAGGTGGTGAGCTTCAACTCCTGACAGGCTGTTGGACTGAGGGTTTCTGCTACTTGCTGTGACACTTTTATCCTCCATGGGGTGACTCATAAATGTAGCAGCTTGCCGTCTCCTTGAACAACTGATCAAAGAGAAAAAGACCAACTACAGAAGCCAGTCTCTATAGCCTAATCTTGGAAGTAATGTACCATCAACTTCTTCCATTAACTATTCATCACAAGGCAAGTAACTACATCTACCCTGAAAGTAGGGTGCTTACCACATGTGAGGATCACTGGGGCTCTCACAGGTTGCCCACCTCCCCACATGGACTGTGCTATCTCCTGCGTCCTATCACTCCTTATCTTGTACTTTGCCTCATGGCTCAGTTACCTTGGACACCTCTTAAGTTTTGACACCTGCTGTTGAAAGGCATGAAAGTTTTCATCTGAAGTCAAGAGATAATGGAGGTCTTGCCTGAGACAGAGGGTCCTGACACCACTCGGGATTTGGATCAGGAGTTGGTTTTTCCACATTGCAGTAACAGGCAGTTCCTAGAACCCCAAGGACCATCATAAACTGAATAGCCAATTTAGCTGTTTCGGAATGATACTAATAAAGTCTGTACCTATGGGATCCATCCTCTAACCTATCATTTTGGTACACCTCCACACAGCTCACTTGCGTCTCCCTGGCCTCTGTGCTTTACTAGCACCTGGTTCTAGGCAGCTCTGTCGACTCTTCTGAAAGCTCATTGTCAAAGTTACGACACATCAGGCAAGTAAAAATAAGTTAAAACTCCCACCCCTCTCATGGGTAGAGCCACTTTTGATCTCTTGCTTATACATGCAAGAAGACTGGGACAGGACTGCTCCTGCCTGAGGAGTACACCAACCTGAGGAACCTGCAACAGGTACCTAGAAAAGCCCTGCTCCAGGCGATAGACAAGTTCTGGCTTTGTTGTTCTTCCTTGGATAGGTCTTTCAGAGTGTCTGAGTGAAGAGGGTAAAGATGGAATGGCCTTAGGACAAGAGATCTTGAAGCTTCAGGCTACCTTTGACCAAGGCAGAGAAAAGTCTTTCAGGTGGTCCAAGCCATTTAGACTTACATTGAACTACCTTGATTTATACATGCTACGATCATCAGATGCAGAAAGGGCGTTTAACAGTTAATCTTTTCATGGAGAAAAGGGAATTAGGTATAGAAGTGTTTTGAACACAAAAGGCCATATATTGCAAGCCCACAACTAACATCATACTCAATAGTGGAAAGCTGAACACTCTTCCTCTAGGATCAAGCAACAAGACAGTTGCTTCACTACTTTTGTTCAGTGCAGTAGTGGAAGTCCTAGCCAGAGCAAGGGGCCAAGAAGAATCAAATGCATCCAAATCAGAAAGGTAAAGTAATGTTGCCGTTGTTTGCAGACATCATATAGAAAACCCTAAAGACTCCACTGTTAAAACTAATGAGTTCAGTCATGTTGCAGGATACAAACATACAGGAATGTAGCATTTCTATACACTACACTGCCCCAAAAAGAACAATCCCACTTAATCAAAAAAAGACTTAGGAATAAGTTAACCAGAGAGATAGAAGATCTTCGTACAGAAAACTAAACACTGAAATTTGAGATAAATGGGAAGATATCCCAAGCTCATAAGATGCAATATTAAGATGTCCACACTACCCAAAGCAGTCTACAGATGCAAAATTCATTTTCATAGAAATAGGAAGAAGAGTCTTAAAATTCATAGGATAGCCTGCTAGGAAAACTTCTGCTAGAACAAATCCGCTAGAACACTACCTGATCTCAGTGCCAGGTTAGTTATCCTAGCAGTATGATACCAGCATTAAAACAGACCAATGGGCCAACAGAACAGGACAGAAAGCCAGAAAAACTCAAACATATGTAGTCAACTAGTTCAGTGGTACCAAGATGACACCATAGGGAAAGGTTAGACGCTTCAATAAGTGGTTTTGGGAAAACGATTTCTACAGGCAAAAAAGGAATTGAACCCTTATACACAAGTGACTAATGGATTAGAGCCCTAAATCAAGTCCTGAAACTAATACCCCTGCAAGAAAACACAGTTTGACATTGGTCTTGGCAATTATTTCTTGAACAGGATACCAAAAAGTATAGGCAACAAAAGCAAATTTAAGTGAGACTACAAATTGAAGAACTTCTACACAGCAAAAGAAACAAAATGAAAAGGCAGCCTATGAATTTGCCGGAGTATTTGCAAACAATATCTAATAAGGTGTTAACATACGAAGTTTAGTCAATTCACATCTCAATATTAATAAAACAACCCAATTTTCAAAGTTGGTAGGAGCTAAATAGA
The DNA here is from genome assembly GCF_000001405.40 of Homo sapiens. NCBI lineage: Eukaryota > Metazoa > Chordata > Mammalia > Primates > Hominidae > Homo > Homo sapiens. The sequence continues at coordinate 77,222,893 of NC_000004.12, read as the reverse complement.
CATTTCTCCAAAGATGACATACAAGTGGCCAGATATATATGAAGTGCTCCACATCTCTGGTCAGGAAAATGTCAATCAAAACCACAATGAAGCATCACCTCATGTCTGTTAGGATGACTTTTCAAAGAGACAAGCTGGTGTTGGCAAGAATGTAGAGAAGGGAAGGAAACCTTGTCTGCTGTTGGTGGGAATTAGATTGGTGCAGATGTTATGGAGAACAATATGGAGCTTCCTCAAGAAGTTAAGAGCCCAACATTTCCTCTTACAGGTATATACCCAAAGGAAATGAAGTCACCACCTTGTAACGATGCCTATGCGCCCATGTTCATTTTAGCATCATTCAGCCTTAGAAGGCAATCCTGTAATTTGTGACAACATGGATGAACCTGGAAAATATTAAGTGAAATAAACCAAGCCAAGACAACTCATGATCTTATTGTAGAATCTAAGAAAACCAAATATTTAATACATAGAAACATTCAAACAGTGCTTACAGAGAACAGGGGGAAGTAAGATGTAAGTCAAAGGGGTATAAAGTTGCAGTCATGTAGGTAAAGTCTGGAGATCTAATATGCAATGTGAGAGCTATAGTTAATACTGTGTTGTACACTGATTTGAGACAGGGTCTTACTCTGTCGCCCAGGTTAGAATGCAGTGGGGCAATCTCAGCTCACTGTAACCTCAACTTCCCAGGATCAAGCAATTCTCAGGCCTCAGCCTCCCAAGTAGCTGGGAGTACGCCATCATATCTGGCTAATTTTTGTATCTTTAGTACAGTTTTGCCATGTTGGCCAGGCTGGTCTCGAACTTTTGGCCTCAAGCGATCTGCCCCCCTCAGCCTCCTAAAGTGCTGGGATTACAGGCATGAGACACCGCACCCAGTCCCACTGATTTGAGTAGATTTTAGGTACTCTCACCACACAGGTTTATACGTGCTACAGAAGTGACATTTAAAAGGACAGACCATTACTGATAAGTGTTCTATGATCGTCCTGAAAAGTTTGATTCCTACAGATTCTCCTTAGTTTGATTCTTACATTATATTTAACAGATGTTGGCAGTATATTAGCCTCTACACACTGTATCCTACTTGGAGTTGTTAAGGAGGCAGCTTTAGGCTAAACTTACATATTAAAGTTCAGCCTAAAGGTTTCTCTATACATTGTTAATTACAATAAGTGGAGTTATAACCAGACCACAGCCTACACTTGTGCCAGAGTTGGCCAATCAAATGTAGTCAACCATTCAAACTATTCAAATAAGCAAATGTCAAGCTGCAACCAATTGGCTGTTTCTGTACCTCACTTCTGTTTTCTTTATAACACTTTTTCTGTCTAAGTCTACTACATGTGACTACGCTGGGGTGTCTGAGCATACTTTGGCTCAGGAGGCTGCCCGAGTCGTGAATCATTCATTGCTCAACTGAACTCTTAAATTTAATTCAGTTGAAGTCTCTTATCAGAATAAAACTAGTCCTCATGGACTCTGTTGGCAGGTATCCAGTAACTAAAGCTCAGTTCTATTTCGGGTAGGGGGTGGGGGCAGGGGATGGGACATGCTCAGGAAAGGCAGTGGCCCTACTAGGAAAGATGTGCCGAGTACATTCGTGTGAGAGCGCAGGCCAGGGACTAGAAAGCATAGTCAAGTAACTGGGCACAATGGCTGTATGAAGTTCTGCCAGTTCAAGCCACCATGGAGTAACTGATGGGCCACATGCATGCCAGTGCTGTCTTGGGACTGGCCAAAGCATTTGTGCACCCACACCAGTTAGCTTTCTAATGCAGTTCTTCCTTTCCCATACCTTTAAACAAGTTCTCTAAGTACTCTTCATGGCAGCTCCACTTCAATCTGTCAACAACCCAATCTGCAACAATAAGCTGAAGGACCCCTTGGAATATGATCCCTCTCTACTTGACTAGAATGCCTGTGTATCATGACCAAGCCCTTCAATTCTAAATCTTCTCAGATGTGTGTACTGCCCAGTTCTGGCACATGTAGGATGTGCCATCCTTCCTGTAGTTCTCTAGTTTCTGGTTACATACCAACTCATAGCTCATTAGGACCCCAAACATTTGTCTTATCCTCTGGCATGACTTCTTTCCCAGTAATGGCTCCTGACCTAGGAGTTTTGTGCTTCTTTCACCTATCCAGCCTAAATACATGTCTAGATAGCCAAAATTCTTACTATTTTATTAAGAAAACACTGCCACTGTGGGCTCAATGGTTCAGATACCATTTCAAACTGGCTTTACACCTTTAGGGATGCCAGGAAGGATCCTAATGCTGAGCTTCCAAAATAATGGATACAAGATATCCATCTTCCCACCTACCCTTCTCGAAGGTGCTCAGAGAGAAATGATTGGAACTCAGTACTGCTACATCTTCCTCAGTACTTGAGTTTGATTCACTTTCTGCTTTTGTGAATTTAGTGGTATTTTTAGACACTAGACAAAGTCAGAACTACATTCTAAACCTAGTCCAAATTAAGAAAATGGAGTACATATACAATAGAGCACTATTCAGCCATGAAATGAGATCCTGTCACTTGCAACATGAATATAACCCTTAGTCAAGTAAGCCAGGCACAGAAAGACAAATTTCACATGTTCTTATTTGTGAGAGCCAAGAATTAAAACAATTGAACTCATGGAGAAAGTTAGATGGTTAGAGGCTGGGAAAGGTAGTGGGGATGGTTAATTGGTGTAAAAAGTTAGAATGAGACCTGGTATTTGATAACACAACAGGGTGACTATAGTCAGTAGTTGTACGTGTTATACTAGGAGTGTAACTGGATTGTTTTTAAACACAAAGGATAAATGAGGGAATGGATATCCCATTTACCACTATATCATTATCTATTGCATGCCTGTATCAAAGTATCTCATGTACCCCATAAACCTATGTACCCACAGAGATAACTAGACCTGGTCTAACACCTCAGCCAAATTACCTTGGGGGAAGTTGTTTGCATGTAAGCTGCAGAAGTAGTAACACACAGACTTAACCCTTGAGGAAGAAAAGTGTACTAGACTGCCTGAACCAGTTAAAGTATTGGAACTAGTGTTCAAGTTTGAGCCTCTACAAGAGGCTAGAGTTGGCCAAATTTGTTATGAAGGAATTAGTTCAATAGTGATAACCCTTGCTATAAGAATTCACCATCTCTAAAGTTTGGGAGTTGATTGCCAGAACTATCCAGAAGTTACTATGAAGTTGAGAGTGCACTGGGACGAAGCAGTGGGTACACCAGCAAATTCTGCTTTCAGGGATTTCAAAAGGATGTGCATGAGCTGCTGTCTTCTGTGTCTCTACAACACCTCCAACTCATGCTCATTGTTTTATCTGCTGTGCTTTAGTCACTCATCTTCCCTTACATTAGGGGAAAAGTCAGATGAGCCTTATTAAAAGTAATGGCAAAAACCGCAATTACTTTTGCACCAACCTAGTAAGAAAAGGTACCATGCTGTGCAGGGACAGGTACTTTTGAAGAGCATGTCATTCTCCGTTACTGTGACTCCCATCCATTCACCACAGTGTGGTCCCATTGACATGGGAGCTGACTGGCTTCCCTGGCACTGTGCTGTGCTTTAGCATCTGTTTCCCACTTAGGTTCTACTTCTGCTCAGAAAGCTTTTGATTTGAGTCATCTATTTTGAGATCCATTTTCCTCTTAACCTATTCTTTTTTAAAGTCTGCTTCTATTCAGGGCTGTGTACCCAAGGTATTCCTTTAGGACTATCCTAGTCAATCACTGCTGGGTTCTTCTCTGCCAGAAAGCCCTCTCAGACACTGCCCAACTTAGGCCACAACCCAGAAGAGGTGTCTCGAGAACAGCTCTGCTGTGTGAGTGCTGCCATCTGTTCACACAGAATTCAATTCCAGCATGTCTGCCCCAGCCATCAGCCCTGCGACTTGTCTGATCCCACCACCTGCACCAGCCAGGATGGGAGAGGTACTCAGCCACCCATGTCTTGAGACATGAGACTTAGACCATCATCTAACAGCAACGGCCTATGGATTCAGACAACTTGTCCTAGATACCGAGAACTATTCTCAAATATGAGGATCAAGTGCTCTAGTCTGGTTTTCTGACCTGGTCAAATGACCCATGAGAGAAGGGTCTATAGTAGTGCCTGCTATCCTTTAGGTGCATCTTTCAGAGGATTCCAGGCTGTGATTCTTTCTACTAGTTAAGATGGGGTTTCTGAGTGACAATGCTTCAGAAGGCAGACCTTATGGGAGACTCCCTATGAAGGATTGCACTTTGTTTATCTAAATGAGTAGATGGATTTCCCCCTGCTTTCCCTGAAGAAAACTGACAACTGTCAACATGTCTATCAAGGACCTATAACCCACGTAGATTTGCAGTTGGGTGATATGAAGCCACTGTTCTATGGACCTGTGTAGAAAAGTGGATCTGCACAGGACAGGGGCCAGTTATTTTGGTCACAAGTGACAACTGAGCTGTACTGACTTAAGTAAAAGGGAATTCATTGGTTCAGGAGTTAATGAGTCTGAATATAGCATTGGGTCCAAGTGAGGCTGCTTTAAGATGCTCAGTTTCACCAAGAACCAGATTTCCTCTACTTCCCTTCCCTGGTGTCAGATTTGTACTCAGTGTGCACACAGGGCCATACCACCCTCTGGGTGAGAGATTCCAGGTACTCCCCTTATGACACCGCAAGGCTCTAGACTATTGTTGATCACATCTCTTTTCTTCTAAAAGCACTTCTTGAAACAGCCAGTTCCAGCAATATTCTCCTTGGGTTTTTGTGGCATGCCCATGTAGATAGGTTGCACACCCATTCCTGAACTAGTCACTAGTCATGGGAGGTCGATAGGCACATGACATGCTCTAATAGGCTAGAGTGTCAGATCTAAAGGAAATAGTTTAAGAATGTCAGGAGCATATTTGGCTGACAGTATGGGAATAGATGTCAAGGAAGCATCAAGTGTGTCTTCTGTAAGAAAAATCAAGTGCAGAGTCAATAGGCCTTTTGAGTTTAAGAGTCTACTGTATCCCCTCACCCCTGGTCTTCATATGTCTACAAGTGCCAGCACCTTCACTTTTGCTGTTGGAAGACTGCCTTTTGAGTGTTGGACCCATCTTTTGCACACTCACAAGGAGCCAGAAGTACCTGAGAGTTTACACACACCCCTCAGAACCAGTGCCACCATTAACAAGTGAATGTCAGCTATGAGGATGCACACAACCAAGGTGCAACTCAGCCTATTGTTCCCCTTTGGGATCCAAGGGGTCTACAAAGCCTAGGACTTTGCCATCGCAGCCTTGCTTGGCTTCTTACCAGCCTCAGTTGTGCCTCTCCTCACTCCTTCACTGGTTTGTCTTGGAAGTATTTCCTTCATTACTTCCACACGAGTCTGTTTCTGAGGAGCCCTAATTAAATACAGTACTTGGTCTCGCTTGCACTTCATGAGTTAAGGCACTTCATTTTGTGGATGTGCTCATTAGTATCAGTGAAAGGAACTGACTGGGGTTTTTCCCTTTGAGCTCCAGGCTTCTGGGGGACCCTCCATCAGAGGCCATCAGTGATCTGTCAGCATCTCCTTAGGCCCCTCTCCCAACTCGAACTTACTCCCTCTTGGTAAGGTAATAGGAATGCAACTGCCAGTACCTGTGTCTTTTAAGGCTGCCCTATGAGCCCAAAGGGCATGAGGATTTACATCCCCATGATGGCTGGCTTTAGCCCATGTCAGATGGGGTGAGAAGGTGTAAGTACCTCCTGCTCCATAGCTGATTAAAAGCTGAAGTATGATCTATACTGTCTCCAGAGGGCCTCTGCCCAGCTGAGCTGTATTTACCTCTATCAGACTCTGGTAACACACCTTCGAGTCACCACCTCTTGTCCACCCCACTTCTCTATCACTCTATGGTGTTTTACTTGGTTATGTGGTAGCAATTCAAATTATCTTAAGGTCTGCTTCTAGATAGCAAAGTATGTCCTACTCCAAATTCCTAACAAGCCACATTTTCTATGGACACCACCTTGCTTCTGACCAAACTTCTGTATACAGCAGAATCATTCCACCCAGGCAGAGGACGGAGTCAACCATCTGGTCTACTTTCATCTGAATACCTATATCTTATCACCTGCTGGCTTTTAGTTTGGCCACAAGGATGTGGCCCTAGAAGGCATGAACTTTTTTCCTAGATCTGGCAGAAAAAGTTGTAAAGGTCCAAAGGCATCCCGAAGTTGCTAAGTCAGACAGCTGCACCCACTTCCAAGAATGAATGGGGGTCACACCCTGTATGTGAGGGAGGAAGATATGAACAAGATGCTACTGGATCCACATGCCCTGGGCTCAACAAGTCATGCAGACATCCATCCCTGTGATTTCCTGAGGCACCACTACTTCCTGAAGGAGGTGAGAGGCCTTAGGAAAGTGACCAACTTACAGTGCAGACAAGTGGCCCCAGAATAGAAGGTACCTTTTCTAAAAGCTCTACCTCAGGCACAAGTGAAAGCCACCTGAGCTCAGCCACCTTCAACACCAGCTTTCCCAGTCTTCAGCTAATACCCAGAGTCCTGGTGCTTTTGTGCCTCAAAGCAATTAGCGGTATGTTTCAGGTGCTTTCAGATAAGCCCTTAACTTCAATATATCCATCAAATTATACTTCAAGTTGAAGAAACTTCCATATAATATCCCCAAAAGCTAAGATACAGTATCCAGGAACCAAGTGGTAGATGTAACATGGCCCCTTCCACCACCTGCTGTGGACCCACTTGTAGAAGTGCTTCTTGTCCCACAGATTTAGCATGTTCAGAATTAGAGCTTCTGATCCCCTGAAGAACGCATCCTCTGGAGATACAGAGTGGGTTCCATAGAACCAAAAGCTACAATTTAGTCACTTAGGCTTTTTATACCAGTAGACCAGGAGGCAGACAGAAGTTACTTTACTGGCAGGGGTCAACAATCCTGGTTATGATGAAATAGGTCTCTGCTACACAAAGTGAGGGAAATACACCTGGATTTGTAGGGTTTACTGGGTGCCCCTTAGTGCAGCATTAGTGATGACAAAAGCAGTTATTGCAGCAACATAAGAGACAGTCTGAGATAAGTGAGTGCTCAGACCTCTTGGATAAGTCTGAGTGGCCCTACTGTGTAAAGCAATCTGGACCAGCAGAAATACTGGCTGAGGGTGGAGGGGAATCTAGATTGTACTGTTAGAGGGAGATGAATATCCATTAGTCACAGAACTAGTTGCAGCTGTTGGGGGAGTAGCTTCTCATGCTCATGTTATTGTAGTATTTGTAAAGGTTGGTTCTTCAGATGTTGACCTGTCAAGGCAAGACGGTGAACTCAACACTGGATCTGAGTGGGTCCAGCCATGTACAAGGTAGGTTGAGCAGACACTCAGTTTCTCTTGCATGTTTGCTAAGGGCATCCAGAGCTCACCGGCAGACACTTCCACATGCTGATAGATCATGAGCAGGCTGGAACTCATCAACTCAGAAAAGCTATTGTTCCTAAGCAGTCAGGAAAGATTCTACGCAGAATGGGATCCACGGGCACAGGTGATGCCACTGTCCACAGGTGGAACTTAAAAATAGCCCTGACATATCTGAGTCAGTCATAGTGACTCAGGTTGCATCAGGTTCAGGCTGTCCAGGATACTTTTAGTAAAAACTACATTGGTGCTTTAGCTACATGTGCAAGATACAACTACATTGTAAAACCCTTTCAAATCAACACTTGGATTAGTGTCAGCATAACTGGGCACTAGCCTATCTACTTCAGCATACCAGAAAAGCCGTCACACCTGGTAAGTAGGTTGGTGTATTGTTAGAGGAAGAGATCACCTGAAATGTGTTAACACATTTGAGAACCCACTTGGAGTTTAAGGAGTTTTGAAAAGCTGTATTAAAGATGTCTAACTATTCAACAGTATCTGGACATATACATTAGCAAGCTGTTCACTTATCTTAGGTGTGCTGTTTGTGAGAATAGTGCTGATAAAAATAAACATGACTTTGAAGAGATGAAATCAACCTAAATGCCCAGTGATAGACTGGATAAAGAACATGGTACATATACCATGGAATACCCTGCAGCCACAAAGAATGAGGTCATGTCCTTTTCAAGATCATGGATGGAGCTCCTGGAGGCCATTATCTTTAGCAAACTAAAGCAGGAACAGGAAACCAAATACATGAATCCATGCTTGCACTTAAGTGGGAGCTAAGTGATGAGAACACATGGCACAGGGGAACAGACACTGGGGCCCTACTGAAGTGAAGGAGGGAGAGGATCCAGAAAACTAGTGGGTACTAAGCTTAGTACCTGGGTGCCAAAAGCTGTACAAACCCACGTGACAAGTTTACCTATAAGAAGCCTGCACATGTACCCCCTGAAGTTTAAACATGATTAACAGAGCTTTTCTATTACCCCCCAGTACACAAACCATTGATATGCACGTGATTGGTTATCTGAAACCTCACTGAGGTTGAGTTGCTTTTTCAGTTGTCCAATTGGTATGCTATTTACACTGATCCAAATCAGTTGTATGGGACTCTTGTGAGACTGCTTTGGGGTAGTGTGGGCTGGAGAGTTGGGGAATGGCAAGACATCCACTTGGGGAAGAGTGGAAATGTGTGGAGTCACTCTGGCTCATTTAGTGCTTTTCTTGCTTGGGAGTTGGCTGAGGCTCTACCAGAAGGTGGTCAATGGTGGTGCTATCATGAAGTTTCCCATTCCTGAAGGGGCCATAACTTAGTGCCAGAAGCAGAGAGGGAGTGGGTTGTCATTCCTCAGCCAAAAAAATCATACCCCAACAGGCCCCTGTCTGTCAAGTCCTTGGTAGAGATTACCAAGCCCTGATTAAGTAGGTGTGAGTTTCCTATTGCTGCAGAATTACCATTAAGTGGCCTAATTTAACACAAACTTGTGTTTTTGGTAGAAAGTACCAAGTCTAACAGCACTTCAAGTTGCAGACAAACTATAGATAAATATCCTACAACTCTGCAGGTCAGGTCTGAAGTTAATCTCACTGGGCTAAAATGGAGATGTGGGCAGGGCTGTATTCTAGGAGATTCATCTTACCTCCTCCAGCTACTCTAGGCTGCCTGTATTCCTTGGTGCATGGTCCCCTTTCATCCTTAGTGATCAAGGGCCTAAAGGAACAGGATTTGAAGATAAGAAAATGAAGCCAAAGAGAATAGGACATGGATCTACCTGAGGAATTAGGCACAAGATCCGCACGCTTGTCTCAATGAGAGTATCTACTACAGAAGCAAGGCTCCAAGTATCACCTTGAACTGAGGGACCCATTGTACACCTGAGGTGAAAGACCTGATCACAGTATCCATCATCCTACCATATATACCACATCACACCGAAGCTGGTCTTGCAGGTATCTTCAAGGAAGGCATTCCTGCATCCTAATGTGCTGACTTAGTGACAGTCTATGCGCCTGTGGCACTGTCCTCCAGAATGCATCTACAAATTGAACCAGTGACTACATCATACATTTTTCCCAGCCCTGTGTGTCCTGTGTATTGGTGACAAAGCAATGATCACTTTAACTTCTTTTACTATCATTCCCAATAACCCACTTGAGAACTATGCCTGAGACTGAATGATTAGTTGTCTTCAAAGTATTTCAGGGAGCTTCCAGAGGACACAGTTCAATAAACCCACAATTAGGCTATCATTTTGGACTCCTTAAACCAGTAGTCCAGCAGGGACAGCACAGGTCTGCTTTGCTGATAGTAATTAGCCCTATCATGGTGAGTTTGCATTGCTGTTACTAGGTGGCAGCAGGAATTGGCATGTCTACAACTCAGGGGATTTGAAGGAGAGTGGTCTTGGTGCTCAGTGAATTGGCAAACTGCAGCAGCCATGACCTAGTAAAAGGTGAAGTAGCCAGAGGCTCAGATCTCAGGGATGAAGGTTTACTTTATTCCACTGGGCAAGATATTTGAAGAGGGACATTCTATAAAATCCCTCCTGAAAAAATTGCAACAAGTATAGAAGAAACATGGAAGAGCCTTAAAGCTTTAAGAGCTGAACACTAAACATTAAGTTTAATATACTATAGACCTCATAGCCATTGTTCATGAGTTATGTTACTACATATAGACTAATAGCTTTGTGGCACCTAATGACTTGGCCACAGGTACAATTTGAAGCACAGGTGACCTCAGACTTGGCTGAACACCCTTGTGAACTTCCTAGAACACAAGAGCATTAAGAGGCTTGTGAGGAGCTACTACAGGCCATTTCTCACTTAACTTCCTGATCTAAGGAGGCTGTCATGAACCCATTTCATTGCTTTTAGGGTATTCATGAAGTAATGGAGATCAGAGTCTACTAAGATGCAAACCGCTTGACCTAGCTCTTAGGGCATGGCATGTCAGTTTCTTATCTGTCCCAGACAGTAGTCAAGCTTGCACCAAGAATGGAGGGAAAAAATATTAAGAAGGAGCCAGCATCAGTCTAGGTCCTACACAAACAATGTGTAGGAAGAAAAGAGGGATAACCTTGACTCCTAAAGTGCAGGCCCAGATGGATCCAGTGGAGGTATCTCTTGGTAATAGAAATACTCAAGGGAGAACTTTGATTAGAGTGAAGGGTTTCTTATTCCTCAGCCACCAAACGTGGCTTACTGCTAAGGGAACAATGTTAAGTCAGCCTCTTCTGGCTTTTAAAGGCAACAAGCATTTGGGTGTGCTACTTCAGTTTGTCAGCTAACCCCAAAGCTTTGAGACCTGAGAAAAGAGCCTCGCAGCAGGTACAGCTTGGTTTGCTTGCACATTTGATGATTCAACTCTAAATTGGAGCCTATAAAATCTTAGGAGTCACCTTCCCTAGTAAGGGCAGGCTCAAATAAGTTCTGGAGACTTAACAGACATCATGGTGATTGTAGTTAGTAGTGTATCATATACTTGAAGTTTGGGAATACATCAAGTGTCCTACAAAAAAGTATGCAAGGTGATGGACATGTTTAATGTGGTAAACACCTCAGCATATATTGAAACACTTTGTACTTTGAGATGGAGTTTCTCTTGTTGTCCAGGCTGAAGTGATCTCAGCTAATGCAACCTCTGCCTCCCAGGTAGCTGGGATTATAGGCATGCACCAATACACACAGTTTTGTTTGTTGTTTTTTTTTTTTTTAAAGTAGAGATGGTTTCCTCATGTTGGTCAGGCTGGTCTCGAACCGCTGACCTCAAATGATCCACCCACCTTGGCCTCCCAAAGTGACTTTGAACATCTTAAATGCCATTTTTATTTGCTTATTATACTTCAATAAAGCTGGAGGCCTGAGGGGGAGGCTCACATGTCAGGCACTTCACAGTAAGATTTGGGGATTCTTTTTCCTTCTAACATGGCTGGCAGAAGTTATACAAATAAGCCATTTTTTCCACAAGGACCTTGTCGGGAGAAGCAAAGACTGGCTTCTGGTTTTATTATATCCAAGTATGTTCAGATCTAGTTAAAGAATGAGGAGTAGCCGGGACAAAGTGTCCTGAAGCAGAGATGAGCACAAAATGCATAGGGCAAAGAAAGCAAGCAAGCAACACATCTTCAGATTTTTCTAGGGCTATGCTTAGCAGGAGTGTCCTGGCTTAGGCACAGAAATACTGGTAAAATGAAAGGAGACTGTGAGCAAAAACTTGCTATTCATCTATTGCTTCATGGAGCTAACTGGACATGGCCAAGTCCATCTTGATTTTCAGTGCTCTTTGGGTACTCCACTTGAAGGGTGTCAAGGGCCATTTAGTTTCACACTGCTAGTGTGGCATTTCAGGTGCTGGGAAGGCTCAGTTATTCCCTAGTGTCTGTAGAGGACCTTATAGACCGGTTTTAACTTTTGACACCTTTGATATTAGGCATGACTGATGGGTTCCCTCTTAATAACTAGGATGGACTGCATTTCCCCTTGCCTCACTGGATCCTACCTGACATGCAGTCTTGAAACCCACTGTCAGGAAGCGGCATCACCCATGATGAACAGCATCCAGCCAAATTGGGAAACACCACTTGCTTTGAGGGTACAAGGAGCTTGCCTTTTACAGATTGAGGGACTTGAGGGCACTCCCTTTTTTACTCTGGCCAAAGCCATTTGGAAGGTGAAATCTCCTCACTCTTGCTGTCATCTTAATCTACTCTGGTCTGGCATTCCCTTTGATGGGACAACCTGATGCCTCAAGATCATGGAGGTGGCCATTCCTTCAGTTCATGTACTACGCCCCAGTATGCTTACTTAGGCCAGGTAGTAGAACCCAATTACAACATGGTAGAAAGCGATTATTAGTAATGCCTATCTTTTTCCTGCAGTATAGCTATCCCCAGAGTCATCACTAGCCTACAAGAGTAAGTGAGAGCTAAGTTCACAGTAGGCATTGCAGGTTTTGTGACTTAGAGGTTAAGGTTTAAGAACCCAGCTGGCTCTAAAAACAGGTCTACTCTACAAAAAACCAGCACACGAGGTGCCCCATACAATCTGGGAGATACTCTGTCAGCAAGCACAGGGGTAGATACTAAGCAATCATACCAGACCTCAGTTAGCAGACTCTTCCAACCTAGGAAACAACTAGTTGGGCTCTAAAACAGCCTAACATTGCCTTGGGAAAGGGGGAAGGGTAATTTAGCAAAAGGTTCCCCAAGACTATGAAAGAAGCCTTTCCTCTCCAGGAAGAGCCTGTTCTCAGGGGCTCCACTGGGATGTTTACACTCTAAAGCACATTTCCACAGCGCTAGCTGAAAGCATCGACAGGGTCAGGACATGGTCGGCTGGGTGTCTGTTTGCTTAGCGCCAAGTTCCTGGTTGGGTGCTCAGTGTTTGGCAGGGGTATCTAGGCAGGACACAGCCCAGAGAGGTAGTAGTGTACAGATACCCCGTATTGGCTTCAGTGTTATGACCAGGTTTGCAGTAGTGGTCTGTTTTAATCAGGATACTTTACAATTAATAGTCAGCTAAGATGTGGAGAAAGGAGTAAAACCAGAAATTCACCAACAAAACTCAAGGGAAAGGAGTCAGAAGGAAGGGATTGGAGGGAGAGAAAGATCCCAGGGCTAGAGATCAGAGGCCTACATACATGTTTAAGGACATTTGGGAGGATAAAGATTAAATCCAAGTAGGACATGGTGCAGATAGTTAGCACCAGCCATCTGAGGCAGTGTTTCAGACAGGGACAATCTTGCCCCACCCACCACCCCGCAGCACATTTGGTAATGTCCGTAGCCATTTTCGGCTGTCAGCAGGGAAACGGATGCTACTGGTAGCTAGCAGGTAGAGACCATGGATGCTGCTAAACATTCCACAATACACAGAACAGACCATCCCCCACCAAGAATTTTCCAGCCCAAAATGTCAATATCCAGCCTCAAATTTCAGACTGAGGAAATGGTAAGTTTTTGGCTGGGTCATTCAAATGGATATTAAGGTAGTCAAGGATAGCAGGATCTCAGGGCAGAGGATCCTTTTAAGGTGCCTTGATCTTCATCTCATCTCCAGGCCATTTTACTATGTTGACCAACAGTAGAAATAGTTCTTAGTAGCAAAAGCCTCAGTAAGAAAGCTCATAGTGTTTAAAACTAGGTTGAGTAAACTTCAGAACAATTTTTGGAGAGTCTAAGACTACTAAGCTCCTCTCCCAGCTCTAACAAATAACAGCCTTGTGAAGAGTTTCACAAGCGATATGCTTAGGTTTTAGTGACTCAAGTAATCTTGACAGTTGAAGAGGGTAGCTGGAGAAGCTGACTGGAGTTCTAGAGGCACAGCAGAAGGGAAATAGAAGTCAGTATAGGTGTACAGGACAGAACACTGGAGGCATATTAGGGTACCAGCCAAGCCTGTCAGTTGCAAATCCTGTTATGGTCAGTTACCTCCAAGTTCTAGGGGAACTCTAGGATTATGTTGTACTACGTAACTATGACATGGTACTCGAGTCTGAGGTGGCTATGAAGCTACAGGTGAGATCGGTATAGTTTTAGAAGTTCTACAGCTTATGTGCACCTGCTCAGATGTTCAACCTCACCTCTCCGTAGGCACTCCAACCACTTGCTCAGACACATTGGAGCTATTTTCTTTCTAAGTGCCTGCATGGTTTCAACTGGAGACCTCCCAAACCTGTGTGCAGTCCCTAGTTCTTCCTTCCATTGTAGGAGGAAGCACCACACCCTGACAGCTTCTGAAGGGTTCCATGTTACCAGTAGTTGAACATGGGTCACTCACCCCAAAGGACACACCAGGGCAAGCACCAACCCAAAGCAGGGGCTCCATGGCCCTCAGTGCATTAAGCATGAATTATTTAAATTCCCTTAGTTTGGAAGGGATGATGCAGATGCCTGGAAGCATCTAGTGCCAAAATTAACGTCCTGGAGAAACGCAGTTTGAGTTTTCTTCATGAGGAGCAGGGCACCATACAAGGGGTACATCCTGAGAATGTTGTCCATACCTTGAGAAGTGCCATGGTTCTAAAACCATCTAGTGAGCTTACTGATCCTTAAGTTCAGGAGAAAAGCATACCTGTAGTAGTTGCAGGTTGCAGCATAAAGGTGCCCTACTGCTTGGGCTAGGTGATCTAACATGGTGCTGGAAGTAATTGTGATGCATGAAGATGCCACATGACACCTCTGGAAAATCCAAACATAAAACCCTAGGTTTCTACTGCAAGGCACGATCTATGACAGAACTATTCTGCATTTGAGAAATAGGCCATGACTTAAAACTATTAGACCCCAGGGGAGACTGAGTCCTGAACATTTCGCACCAAGTAATATCCCAAACTGGAGCTCCCCATCATAAGCTAGGTTTATACCAGATCTAAATCCTAAGGTTAGGTAGGACAGTAACAACTCACTTTTCCCCTCCCAGATTTGTTCTTCTATTGTATCCTCTATTAGTGGCACTACCACACAGCAGTGCCCATACCAGAAGCCTGGAAGCTGATCATGTCTATTACTACCCACTCTTATGACACCTATTCCAATCCCCAAAGTCAGTTTTCCTACTTGAGATGTTGCTATGTTGAACATACCAGTCTGACCATGTTACTGTCTTGTATAACACTACGCAGTGTCTTCCCTGACCCATTAGGTAAGTGCTGACACTCTTGTAAGAATCTGCTCCCCTCCCTCAGCTTGGTACTGGCAAAACCAAGCTGCAAGTTTTCTTAAGCTTTGTTCCATGTATACGGACGATGCTTTTTCTAGACTTCCCCTTTCACAGAGCAGCAGTAAGGTTTACTTTATGCTTTCATTCCCTGACCCTACCTCCCATTACCAACTTTGGGAACACCTTTAGGGTTAACCAGATTGTTATTGCCACACTGAAGTTACTCAGATACAGTTCTACCTTCCGGTGCTCCCAGAAGCAGGGGTTCTCATGTCAAGACCTTGAGATATAGCTGGAGGACCTGGTTAGCTGAGCAGACAAGGGTTCTTAGCAAGTCTCCCTCTGCAGACATCCATGTTAATATACACTGAACTAAAGAATTCGTGAACCATCGGGCATAGCAACTGAGTTGACATTGCCATCTAGACACCCAGAGCATTATGGCCACAAGTTAAAGTACACACACACAGGAGTTACAACTATCTTCCATTTGAGAAATAGATTGCAGCTTTAAATTATACCCTAGTACAGACTGAGGAAATGGAGTTCTTGCAGATGTTTGGCTGACAGTTGGTCCACTAGGTCCGAAGACCCACCCAGAAATATTTCCCCTGAGTACACAATTGAAATTGATGTGCTTGTCATTTGAATAAATCCCTACGTTGGGTCCCTAGCCATGTGAAGTAACAGCATCACAGCAGGGCCAGTTAGAAACTTCTGAAACTGTCCCTACCCCAGCCAAGATATTAAGTCACAAGTATTGCACCCCTGTAGGGGATGGTCAACATTAGTGCCATGCTTAAGTATCAAGCAAATATGGTTGGTGGTCCTTATCTGTTCAATTCTGCATTCTAGCCCATGACGAAATTAGATACTAGAGGATAATTAAAGCACTACAAGTTCAACCAAGTGTCTGGCCTGGTTCCCAACGGGTCGGGTTCCACAAGCAGTATACCTGGTCAGCTACTTTGTATCACAAAGGGCCCAAGATGAGAATGCACATATACATAGGTGGTTCAATGGCATCACTTTCCAGTCAGCAGCCTGGAACAAAGGACTGAACGGTCAGAGACAAGATTTGGGTAGAGGAATGTGGATGGACATAGTAAGGCTATGTATGAAGTGTGGAGCTGTGTGTCTCACATTAACACCCACCAGGAAGGGTCCATCTTGGAAAAGGTACTGAACTTACTTGACCTGGCTGAGACTATTGCAGACCCATATTGCAGGGCAGGGGCTCTACCTGTTCTTCCCTTCCCTGGTTCCTTGCACAGGTGTTACACCTGTAAGACCTGAAGATTCTCCCTTGCTGCTCCTATTCCAACTCCCTTCCACCCCCCACCCCAAGTATTACCCCCACTGAGTCTCTTGCACTTAACTACAAAGGATCCAAACTGACACCATAGAAGTTGTTCTTCCTACCCCTGCTAGTATTGATTGCCTTTAAATGCATTCCCCAGGCCTACATTCAGCACTCCCCTAACCACAGGCCGAGATGCAGAATCTAATCCAAGGCAGACTCATCCATATACCTTGGAAACCCCCCCCAAAATTATGCTCAGGGTCAGAATTGACAAAGTTGGCCAAAATTCCCTAGATCCTACTGGTAAAGGGTTGCCTTCTATTTAAGATTGGAGCTGAGCAAGAATCCAGCCACAGCCCCATAGTCAAATTCACAAAGCTTCCTGAAATTTACCTGTGTTTAAGAGCTCCTCTAACCCTGTGCTGGGAAGTTCCTCTCACCCCTCAAAATGTTTGCTACTTCTTCCGGGAAAGCAGTGAGAGACTTCCAACTATCTGTTATCTTGCCACTCTAATTTCTCCTCCCCAGACTTCACCACAGAGGTATTGCTAGAAGCAGTTCATTTCTTCCCTTAGTGTAACCCACCCAATCTGACATTCCCACCAAACGAAATGAAGACCTTAGAGAAAGTCTTTCCTTCAAGCAATCCCTAGTTTGGACTCAGTACATCTAGACAAATGACTTCAGTATTGTATGGGAAAGCTGTGAACACCATCTGCAATTCTCACTGTGAAACCTGAAGATGCTTAATGTCCCAGGACCTTCTCATTAGACCAAAATTATAGACACTCATCTGTCTCAGGAAGTCAGGACCATTGTGTGCCAAACTAGCATGTGTGGGAGGAGAGGCTTACCTAGAGATTCTATCAAACAGCTTCTGAGACCCCACTGCCCAAGACACTCACTTCCATACGGAGCAGGACCTGGCCGAGTTCCACGTTTGTCTTGCCCTGATAGTGGTACTCCTCTCCGTGGCGGGGTAGGGGAGGAGGGGGCGGCTGGGGGCGGGGGGAGTCTGATCCTGTTGCTCCTAATGCCACACTTTCAGGGAACCTAGAAAGCCTTTGAAGACCCTCAGACTGGCCTGTACCTTTTACATGCCAGTGTGGAGCCCTGGATATGAGGCCATCAGCAATATGCAGGTAGTGTGCCACAGCAAGACTGCCATAGAAATTCAGGGCTTAAGTGTCTGAGGTACCATTCACCTCACTTTCCCCATGGGGTTCTGAAAGTAATTGGGAACTACACCTGAAATCAAGATCAGACAAGCTTTGTTTCACTGAATCAGAGGACCAAAGCTGGAAGTGGGCCCCCGAACTAGGCTGAGCAAGTCTTCTACCATTGAGTAACGTAAGCCCACTCAGTGAGCAATCCTTCCATATACATTCATGAAGTAAAACAAGTACCATAAAACTCATGAGGGCAGTTCTCTCTAGAAGGGTTAACTACATATGTGCCATGAGTTGTTCCTAGTCTCATTAACCCATCCAGGTTCTTTTCCCTTGGGTAATATTGAAGAGATAGAGAAAAGCAGAGACTAGATAACTTAAGTGTTTCAAAAATAGAAGTTACATAACTTCACATGGTATAAATCAGTAGTTGATATTGCACATCTACAAGACATACCTTTTGAATTAGAACATTGGATTTTGCTTTCCATCAAAAGATTTATGTATAGGAAAAATTCACATCTGGAATCCATTTGCTTTTCAGGAAGATAACTGTAGCCTTCTAAGATAAGCCATTGTAACTAGATGGTGATGAAGGATTAGAGATGAGTTTAAAATAAAGCATTACTTCATTTTAAAAGTTAAATATACCCCAATTCTGCTACAATAGCTTTAAATTCTTCTGTTCTGGTCAACATACTTCTGAGGGATGTGAGATTGGCCTCTGCTGTGAAAGCTATTAAAACAAAGCCTTTTGGTTGTTTTCCTCTGAGTAGCATTGCTATCACTCCAACCTAGATTCAGTAGGTTAAACAAGCTTATTTGTCACATGAAGAACTCAGTACATTAAGCACTATATGCACAATAGTCATTCTGTACAAGAACATTAACATGTACCTCAGTTACCTCTAGATAACTATCATTGTACATTTGTAGTCGTCACCTGTCACCTGTATGTTCTTCCAACGAACCATGTATTTCTTCCCCTTTGTTTGCTAGGGTGTGGGTTTAACAAAATTTGGCATTTTCTATTTATTGTGTTTTACAAAGTATTGGTCCATGGCAGATCAGAACCAAATGGGTCCTTTAGGTAGTCTCAAAAGCTAGTCGGGGTCATTTTAACTTTAACTGTAGTTGAGACCTATTAACTCACTAGAAGATCAGCCATTTCTAGGCACTAGGCTAAGGTCCTAAGCCTTCCATCCAAGCACAAGAAGGTGTTTAGGGAAACAGGTTTCTCAAAACCAGCTCAAGATTTGCAGCTATGTTTATTCTCATATACCTTGAGCAAATGAGAACAAAGCAATTAGCCTTGTGTGGAAGGAATGGAGGGATTGTGTTGATAATGCCAACCCTAGAAGCCATCTTAGGAGAAGAGGCAAGAGGCCCAAACAATGAAGCAAGGGTGAAGCAAAAGCTGCCAGAGAGGACCTAACGGGGCCTGCCCTCATGTTTGGAGCCTTGGACTGTTTCAGGAATTAGACACACGGGGTCTTGCCACTTTGAAGCATGGGGCACAACCAGTTTTAAACTGCCATCAACAGGGGGCGCTTAGTAACCATAAAAGCTTGACTGAGTTGCAAAGCCATGACTTTGCTAACTCTTGAAAAGTGAGCTGGACGTAAGGATGCTCCCCGTTTGGAGTGAATGCTTTACCACAGCAGCATAGACACCGTTGAAACATTTACTCAGAGTCGAGTAGAGTAAGCTACTTGGTCTCAATTTCATACTGTCTTCAAGAGCACAGGTGAGCCATGGCTATCTGCTATGCTGGTTAGACATGCAGTCATGTAAGCTTTTCTTAGGACCAGTTCAGCATAGTTGTGGAACTTTGTCACATTGGAAGGCCTCATGACCCCAGTTTGAGGGGTTTCTCCCATCGAGACCCATTATCCCAAGGGCTCTCTCCCAGAGTCCCTGCTGCTGCTAGGGACACAGTCACAGGACTTAGCCTCTAGCAATCAGAGACACCAGGACTATTTCAGAAAGGAACAAGGAGTCAGTAGGTGGAACCATTTTAGAGTAGGGCAGCTACTTAATTTGGTGGGTTTAATGTGGAGGAATTGGTGAGCATATGAGACCAGAGCAAATCAATCAACTCCTGCTACACTGAGTTCTGGACATTATCTCATGTTTTACTCACTCGTTTATAACCTGAAAGCAAGGAAAAACTTGTTACAAGAATAAAACAAAAGCTACATGTTTAGAAGGGCCCAAGTTTACCAAGATTGCCCAACAACCCTGTTTTTCTAGCTTCTCTCCCCTCTGCGAAATTTGGGAGTTGGAAAGATACATCAGAAGTCAGTGATAAGTTTAGAGACATGGTTCTACCATAGTCTAACTCAGCCAAGCCTTATCTTTCTAGTATTAGGACTAAGACATTTGGGATTCACGAAGGGTTGAGATTTACCAGAAAAAAAGCCATGGGGTTAAATAAATGAAAGATACTATAACAAGGAAATAAAGTCAATAAAGGCAACAGCTGGAATGAGAAAGTCTGTGGGTTGGAGATTTGTGTCAAGAGAAGTAGTCTTAACAGGCCTGAAGTGGAATGACTTGAACAAGAGACTTGAACAAGCTGGAGAGGAAGACGGGGTGAGTGAGACAAAACTGGGTTGTTTAGGACAAAGTACAAGGTGTTAACCACCTATTCATGAGGAATTCCAGTAGGAAGCAGTTGACAGGAAGGTGAGTCAGGGGATGGGGAAGGTGTTTTCACAACCATACTAACACCTCTTCTTGCAGAACTAGTTATCTGGCTGTGGACCCAAACCTGGGGTTCAGGTCCCAATACACTTTGTATAAGGAAGACCTTGTGCAGGTTTAGCTTCAGATTATCATATAGGTGATAACCACCAAGGACAGAGTAGTTGAGATGTCATATTCCTGGCAGATCCGGCCCATAAATGCTTTCTCAGGTATGTCAGGTTAAATAGAAACTGATTATGGTAACACCTCCAAATAAGATTTCTATCAGTTCTGGTTTGTCAGGTGACATACTAATTGCCTCACTAATCAGACAAGTATTGTTACGCTAGTCTAGATTTTTACTGTTAACAGGAAGGTATATGAATACATTGCTTGTATAAAACAAGCAGTCCTTAACTGGTTTTATTAAGGCACTCCCGAGAGATGTTAGGTGCAGTTAAGCCACAGGCCAAGAGAAAAGGGAGAAAAAAAGAACAGCAAGATATGCTGTAAATTATGACAGATTTACTCCACCCTTTTTATGTCTATTTGGTCATTTAGTCATAGACAATCAAGTACATGACTAAGCTCAGGACATTTAACCCATTACACCCTGCCACACCAAAAGCTTTTCATAGAAGCCCCATGTTACCCACCACGTTGACATTTGAGTCAGTGTACTCAAGAGCCAGGTAAGCACAGGGAAACAATCATTTCCTGTAGCATGAGTGGTCTTAAGACATCTAGCTTCCTGTTGAGCAAGGTAAGAATGACATCCACCCGACTATTTGATTTTAGAGGTTTAGCTTATTGATCCGAGTTATACCTGACCCTTAACCATAAAGCATTAAAGTGAGACGTTTGTTCTCAAGGCAAGCTATAGCAAGTCACTGTAAGAGGAGTAGTATATGGAAAGACTTCAAAACAACCTAAAGTGAACAATTTCCTAGGTTTGAGAGATTGTGAGGGTGACACTGAGCCTCAGTTTTTCTCTATAAAATAAAACCCTGAGGTAGTTACTCCTATAAGTGAACCAATATGAGAGCATTCAGAACAATGGCATGAAGTCAAGTCTGGGTGACTCTTGTACATACTATTCCTTGTCCACATTCATAGGTATTTTGCAAGTTGAGTCATGACTGGTCTGTTCATAGTCACCATGGTCCTATACATTCATGAATCAGTATGTATATGGTCTTAAATGCCTGCGACATTAAGAGGAAATCAGCTCACTACCCAACAACCTTAAAGCAAAGCAGTAAGAATTAAGGATAGGGAAATAGAACCTTAAAAGATGACAAGAGGTGGGTGGGAAGTGGTATAAGATTAGGCAAAAGTAACTAGTATGAACATGAAAATAGAACCAGAATGCTGAGAGAACCCAAAGAGATGGCTATATATGGAACCAGAGTGTTCTTAAAAATCCACCCCAAATTGACCAGAAGCATGGTAACTGGAAGTGACGTGAAACCACCTAGTAGAAATTTGAGCAGAAACTGCACAGCAGTGGGGAATTCACTATGAAGTATACCAATAAGTGTGGCTTCCTCAACCTGTAGAGGCTGTGTTGGTTCAAAACAATGTTGCATAGGTTTGGGGATACCCATGGCATTGTTTATAGTTCTACTTCCAAGTTCATCTGGGAATGTGTCTCATCTATTGATCTGACAAGTCTTTCTCAACCCTGTGAGAGGTATAGAAATCTTTGAAAGACATGCTAAAGATACCCAGCTCCTACAAATGGTGGGGGTGGGTGGAGAATAGAATAGCAAGCAACAGCTAGCATTTGTGAGAACTCTGATTTCTTATGAGCTAACAGATCTATTAGTTCAAATTGTACATGTCCCCATATAACTAGGGACATGCCTACTACCAGTAAAGTTGACAAAATGCAGTCAATCCACTTAGTACCTGATCATAAGCAAAAAACTTTAAAATGCAATTCCACGTGTTGAAATTTAAGACATCAAGAAAGCCCCTCTGAATCATGGTTGTGACT
Organism: Homo sapiens; assembly: GCF_000001405.40. Taxonomy (NCBI): domain Eukaryota; kingdom Metazoa; phylum Chordata; class Mammalia; order Primates; family Hominidae; genus Homo; species Homo sapiens. The sequence continues at coordinate 77,200,652 of NC_000004.12, read as the reverse complement.
GAGTATCTACTGGAAGAAGCTTCTATCACCAGGGAGGGTCTTTACCTATGCACTCAAATCCTATGGAGTCTTGGACAAAGCAAAATAGTCACTGAAATATTACACGGCAGGTGACAAACTGACAGCTGGGAGTTCAGCATGTTTCTCTCAGCCTAAGTCAAATGGACACCAGCGAGTTTTCCCGTGCATTGGGTCCTTTGCTGTTGCTAGGCTTTATTTCCGTCAAGACTGATTCATTATTCAAGGGCAGTTACAGGTGTATGTGTACAATAATTATCTTCCATTAGGTCACATGTCTGGCCAGTCTCAAGCTCATCTTTGGTCAAACTGTTCATGTCGCATTAGCTCAAGACCAGGATGGACATATGCAGACTCATCCTAGACAAGTGCTTTTTATGCTGGAGTAATAGCCAAAGTTTAGCTTGGGTGAAACATTGGATGCCTTTGCTGCTGAGTCGAGGGAATCACTGGTTTTTATTCTGAGACAAACTTTCCAAATACTCCTTGGTAAGTGAAATATGGGCAAGTTCTGCCTAAGAGAACAGTAACTAAGATCAAGTTGAGAAGACAGTTGTAGGAAGGACTGCTCCAATTACCATAAAGTGTTAGTTGCCTCCCCAACAGGCTAACTTGCTGGTAGAGGCTCACACAAGGTGAGGGAAACAACTCTTCCATCACACTCAAATCCAAGTGACAAGATAGCCAAGTCTGTTATACAAGCTAATTGGTTAAAGCAGAACACTTGCCAGAGGAGCTCAAGTATTTGGCTCACTTAAATGTCATACACAACAAAGCCAGACAGTGTTTGAGATTCTTCATTACCCTCAGTATCAGTCACAAATAATCTAGCATCATACAGAGAAAGCAGTGAGGGGAAGAGCACAGGAGCTTCCAGGTAATGGCCCTAGTTAACTCCGGGCCTCAAGTGGGTTCATAAACAAGTTGGTCCATGTTCTGGTTAGTATTTTTGTCAACTGCCCCCAAATCCAAGGGAACTGCTTCAGCACAGCCAATGCTACTGATTTGACAGCTTCCTACTTTCTAGATATGCCAAGGGGTTCTATTCTGAGAGAGCCAAGTTAAAAGTTCTTAAACATGGTGGCTGCTGCCTTTCTTCCCTAATTGCAGACACTGGCCTTGCAGCAGCCCAGCCCAGCTTCAGCCTGGGGCTGTCTTTCCTGCTCTTCAGCCTCCCCACAGCTCTGACACAGGTCAGAGGAATGGACACCCATCTACCTTCCTGTGATAACTCCACAAGACCAAAAACTTCCTTCTTGGCAAAAATCACATGCCTCCCGGATAAGCCATCCCAGCTGTCCTAAACCCCAATCCAACCCAAGTCAGTTTCCGTAGAAATAAGTGTTAAGCAGTTGTGTTGAAGACAAGAAGACTGCCCCCTCCTCTCTAGATGAGGTTTGATTAGGTTCAGGTGTTTACCACTGGTCCTTATAGGTAACACATCAACATCAAGTCCAAGTAAATTGAATAAGGTATATACTCCTGTTGGCTTAGAAAGCTAATATAGCACATCACTGAAAAGCACACTCCAGCCTGATTTAGGTATAATAGGAAGGGGAGTTGTGGGCGCTTGAGCTTTTGGGATAGGAATTGGGCACTACAGCATAGATGTTAAATGCTCTCAAGTACTTGATCTCTAGACACCTGTAACCTCTCAGTGTGTTGTCCAGGATCTAAAGAATACCAGTAACCCAAACTGAAAACTGGAAGATATTGAATGAGAGCTACTTGTATTCTTCCCATTTCCCGTGCTCAGGACAAATAAGTTACTAAAATGAGCTTTGGAATGGGTGCTTTAGATATAGATGGCATAGAAGATGCCAGGACAAAGCTTACCCACAATAATCAAAGTGATTGCTAGGGGTATGGAAAATGGTCATATTGCTGACAGAATGGTGTTTTACACAAAGGCAGTCATTCTGACAAAGTCCAAGTAATACAAGTGGTTCTAGCCTACTAGTTCCTGGAAGTTTCCAAGGATTTGCACTCAGACAGCAATACAGACACTACATTCTACCGTCATTTTAGATCAGCATTTCCCTAAAGCGGTAACAAATGAATTAAACAAAAACAAAAACTTAAAGTTATGTTTTATCCAGAGCTGTGCTCTCCAATATAACCACTATTCATTGAGCACTTGATAGGACCCATCTCAATTGATACACTAAGTTTAAAATGCATACCAGGCTCAGTACCAAGAATAAGCTGGGTTACATGTCAAAATAAGCATCTCTTGGGTTAAAGATATTCGTTTTTCTTTAATGGGACTGACTATATATGGCTTATACTTTTGGCTCGTGTGTCTCAGCACTGTTCTAGAGGCTCCTATAAATTCCCTCTAAAGAGGATGCACAGAGAACTTGATCTGGAAGCGTTCCAAACACATTTGCAGATAGGAGTTGAGAGCTCTTTAAAAAGAGGTGATTTCAGAACTAGACAAAATCACAAGACTGTTCTGTTTATATCACATCCCCTTCTATCTGGGAGTTCCTAACCCCAGTCCCAAAGACACATGGCACATTAGGTCCCTTTGACTGTCCTGTTGATCATGACGAATTTTTGCATCTCTACAAGTTCTCCAGACTGTTTCAGCAGTAAAATAGACCAGAAGTCATCCTGGGCTTTCCTAGGCTTCTTCCCCATCTCAACTTAGCCATGCTTCTACCAGGCCACCACATTAAGGAAGTAAGACCACATTGTCATCTACAGGGCTTACCTACTGAAGACAAGTTCCATCCCCCTCACTTTATGCTTCCTAGAGCGCCCAAACTTCTGTCACATAGTTGGGAAAGGTTATTCCAGATTAGACACCAGAATTTAGATACACAAAGGCACTGTAATGTAGCGTTTAGGCCAGAGCTGAAGTCTACTCCATTGAGAATTACTTCACAGGAAAAAACCCAGACTTGAAAGTCAGTTCCAATTCCCAGCCAGCACTCCCTCACCCATTTTCTATTGCCATTAAGTAACAAGCTACAGCTGGGTCTTCATGTTCCTTCAAGCTACGTTGTAAGTTCCTGGAGGGCAGGGACTCCCCTCTGGAGTGTGCTCAGTGTGCAAGGGTGTTAACTAATCTCTCCAGGCCAGTCAGACCAGTCCTGCACAAATGCTTCAACAGGCTCGTTTGCTACCAGCAGTTACTTGCTCCAGTCACCTGCCTCATGACCATTGCTAGGTAAAGCATTTCAGTTTGGGTGGCAGCCGGAGAAACCATTTAGCCCGAATAACCTCCAGCCACCGCTCTGCTCTCACTCAGGGGCTTTTTTAAAGAATCTATTCCCTGAGGAAAAAGATCCCAACCATTTGAAAGTCAGATGTCAGAGGGCCCGTTTGTAGGCACACTACAATTGCTTTATGGATCAGAGGATTCAGAAACAGTGAGGGCCCAGCTCCCTAGTGAGAGCACTTTCTCCAGCACCACCCCCAACTGAAGATCAGACCTACAGTACTGAAACTGATGTCATAGGAGCCGTGAGACCCAGAGTGTGAGCAGTAAGCTGAAATCTGCCACAGAAACAGGATTAAACCAAGATATGGCATCTCCCTATGGGTAGCCTGAGAATTGAGAAGTTAATCCTGTGACCACAGCTGCAAGCTTGAGGCACCTCCCTCATCAGGGACTGATTCGGAGAACTCTAGTGGGCAAGCACCTCAATAAGCAAAAGTATGTTTAGACCCCTCAGACTGTTCCAATGCCTCGGGGATTCTCTGGGCTCCTTGCGGCAGCAGGCCAGCAAGGGGTTCTGCTTACATGCTTCCTGCCACACCTAGAGCAGTCTTACTTTGCTAGATTATGTCAAGATTCTAAAGACTTAAAAGTTACTGGCCCAAATTAAACATGTAATCTGTGTAGATTGGGAGGAAGTGGGTCTTGATAAGTTACCTTTAACAAATCCCTCAAGAAATTAGTTTCTCCTAGAGTCAAGAGTTTCAGTACACCTGGTTCCAGTTTCTATCACTTAGTTCTCACCTTCGACCACCTGTAACTTCTCTCATCTGAATGGCTGACAATTAGGAAGAAAGTCGTCTTCAGCTAGGGACTGTTTTAGACAGGTTTGATGCCAAGAAGTGACATGGCTACCATCAGTTTCCTGGTAAAGAAGCCACTAGCCTCTGGCATCAAGCAGCTCTAGGTAGACACTAGACACTAAGCAGGAACCCCAAAAATAGGTTGAATCCGAAATGGTCTTGGCACAACTGAGGATTTTCAAAGTAATGCTATCCTAAGGGATAGTAAGGATTTGAGCTACTAAAAAGCTGGGTTCTCAGGCAAGCTTTAAGAGACATCAGGAGTTCAGATTGGAGTGAGGCCAGTTGCAAGACAGACAAACACGCATCAGGCCAAAGCTCAGAAGTACATAAGCAGCCTTAGGAATGGCGGGAGTGCCATTGACAAATCCTGCACTACTCCACATCTTGTTCTAAAAGGAAGTTGATATTTGAGATGTTTCAGCCCCTTCTACCTTGCTCTCCAGCCATAACTTTAAACTTGTCTCCTAAGCCATGTGAGTTTTTCTAGAACTATGTGGCATGCCCCAGAAGCCTATGCAATAACACCTACATATAGACATCAGTTCCATAGGACTCACCTGCAGTTGAAACTATAGTTAATTGGGTCGGTAGTAGATATTTTGCTCTGCCTGAGGTGGGAAAGATGAACTTTCCAGTGTCTTTACTGTTAGCCTAGGTGAAAAGTCCTGAAGACCCAGTGATCTATCAGTATTAGTTTGGATTTTTGGTTTTTTTCTTTGAGACGGAGTTTTGCTCTTGTCACCCAGGCTGGAGTGCAATGGTGCAATCTCGGCCCATTGCAACCTCTGTCTCCCAGGTTCAAGAGATGATTCTCCTGCCTCAGCCTCCAGAGTAACTGGGATTACAGGCACCTGCCACCACGCCCAGCTAATTTTTGTATTTTTAGTAGAGATAGGGTTTTCGCCATGTTGGCCAGGCTGGTCTTGAACTCCTGACCTCAGGCAATCCACCCGCCTCAGCCTCCCAAAGTGCTGGGATTACAAGCGTGAGCCACCTCACCCAGCCCAGAGTATTAGTTTTGAAGTAAAGTTGTTTATGTAAAGTTAGTTTTTGTTTCCCTCGGCTTTTATAGTGGTTGAAGTTTACAAAAACGGGAAAAGGATTAGGGAGATAAGGCATCCGTACCATGCACTTAAATTTGACCAAATTCTTATTTGGCAGGACTAAGTCACTGCTGTATTAGCTTCTGGAGTCTATAAAAGCAGAGAAAGTTTTGCTATCAGTAAAAGGACACAAGTACAGGTGAGAATGCTACAGGATGACTAATCAGAAGACTAGTTTTTAATGTTAAGCAACTGTGGAAAAACAAGGCCACCTATTCCCATCCTTGACCATCCTGCAGGAGCCTTCCCTGCCCCAGCACCCCAGCTCTAATTACAGCACTTAACTAACAGTGTTGGAAAGCCTTGGGCTTCGAGATCCCAGACCTGTCAAGTGACTCTTTGTCAAGTGGATTGTCAGCCTGGGAGACACATCCCTTGATCAGATTATCTACATGAAGGAAAGAACTCTGCTCTTCTCCTTGAACCCTGCTTTGTAAGGACAGTGTGAAGAAAGTAACTCCATGCTGATGGGGATGAGGGGAGAGTGCTTCATGTCCCTACCCATGTATTTATTCACCCTTGTTCAGGTTAAGGCAGGTGGACCTACATGACTGGACATGGTTTTAAAAAGCACTTTTCTGTAGCTGGCACGCAAGAATTACGATATTTAAGCTATGTAACTTGCTACCATCGCACCTGTGAAATTGTCAGTCAAGATAATGAACATATCCATCATGCTGTGTACTTTTGAGTCTGTCACTAAGATGCCACTTTATCTTTTCCATGACAGATGGTTTGCCTTTCCTAGTAAGCCTAAAGGAAGTGTCCATTCTCAATGCTAACGATCTGTTCAACTAGATGAAATTTCCTGTTTCAACTACTAAGTTTCTAACTGCTATCAGAAGTGCTTTCAGGTGTGTCAGTCTGACATTACCTGAGGCTTGCCAGTCAACGAGTCTCCCACCTCCACAACCAGGTGGAAGGTCAGTTGCAGCCCACAGGTTGCGTGTCTTCGAGGCAGACAGCTGCTTTCTGCTGAATATGATTAAGATCCTAACTTCCTAGTAAGGAGTCTTAAAAGCCACATGCTTGAAGTTCATTTTAGTTTTTTTTACTAATAGGTCACAAAGGGACGTTTCCTACCCTCAAAAAAAAACTAATTCAAAGTTGATCTACATTTTCTTATGGTTTTCATCGAAGTGGATCTAATTTTTAGTCTCTGAAGAGATGAGAAGCTAGCTTTTTAGTCACTTTCCACCATTACTCCAGACAGGTGTTTAATAGAGACTTTGGGATTCCAAATAGCTAAAAGGAAGTTCTAAAGATTGCTGCGCTTGCTTTAAACGTAGAACCTCTAAACCCGTGTATTTCTCTTGGAGTTTACGTAACTTCAGTAAGTTAGCTATAAGAGTGGCTTTGCTAAAGTCTATGGTAGAGATTAAACAGAAGTCAAGAGACAGGAGCCTTCTCAGCAAGTAAGGCTTGAGCATGAGAGAAGAAACCTCAATTCAAGATTGTATCTTAAGCTTCTAAAAGAACAAACTCTAAGAAAGCACAGTAACTGGAAGAGGCAAGCCTGCTAAAAACGACTTCAGGGAGTTGCTGTGACCTCCTAGGAGGTATTTTCTGCCCACACACAACGCCTAGTTCCCCTTCTTTCGAGTTCCTTAGTCCGCTTAAGTGCCCTCGCTTTTTTCTTCGTTCATCTTTCACTTCTAAAGCAAGCTAACCAAAGTTCCCCCTTGAGAATTACCAAGAGCTTGGTCCTTTCCACCCACCCCTCCAGCCACCAGAGAACTTCTTAGTACCTCGCAGGCCTACAAAGCTTTGGAAGAAACCCCGCCCGACCAACCCCAAACCATCCACCAGCGGAACAACCCACAGCCCCGCCAGGCTTCCTCGCCTTTTACACTTGAAGCCACGCCTTCCCCCTGGGTGAGGACCAATGAGAAAGCGTAGGAGCTACTTCAACTCCGCAATTGGTCCCAGACGGCTGCCAGGTGAAACCAAGCCTCTGGACGCCCCAGGGCTTTCTCTTGGGGCTTCCTACTTTAGACAGGCATTTCTCCCCTCCACCCGCTTTTTTTTTTTAACTACATTGTAAAGGCTGTTGAGTATTTTGAGAGAATAATTTAGAGTCACCTTCAAAAAGTGGCTGAATCAATTTCCCTTCCAGCACTTAGACAACATGGAAGATGTTTAGTGTGCCCTAAAGAATTTCAGAAGAAATATGAGTAGCTATTTGGTCAGACACTGGTGTTGAACACAAATATCCTTACCGTCAGACAACGCTGGTATTTCTCATCGCTCACCTGTGCGTGTTATGCATTTATTCGTTCATTCACAAGTATTATTGAGGAGGATGACTCAATGGAAGCAAGGAAGTAACCCAGTGAGGCTTTGGGTTTTGTCTGTGCTTCGCAAACGGCGGGCTAGAAAGTATGAGTATCCTCAGGACTCACATGTTTCTGGAAAGTCATTCCACTTGTACATTTGGGGATAAAAAGATTTATTTTATATTAAGACAATAGTAATCCAAACCAATATAAATAAATGAATGGGAAAAGAGATAAATCTTTCTTGCAGAAAAAGTTCAAATAATATATGTAACTCCCCACTCCAGGAGGTGGAGTTTAATCACCACACCCGTTCCTTGAGTCTGAGCAAGTTTTAGAGAATCCCTTCCAAAGAACAGAGTAGACGAAGGGAAAAGTAATAACTGTATAGTACAGAAACCTCAGCCGGGCGCGGTGGCTCACGCCTGTAATCCCAGCACTTTAGGAGGCCTACGTGGGCGGATCACGAGGTCAGGAGATTGAGATCATCCTGGTCAACACGGTGAAACCCCGTCTCTACTAAAAATACAAAAAATTAGCCGGGCATGGTGGCGGGCCCCTGTAGTCCCAGCTACTCGGGAGGCTGAGGCAAGAGAAAGGCGTGAACCCGGGAGGCGGAGCTTGCAGTTAGCCACGATCGCGCCACTGCAGTCCAGCCTGGGCGATAGAGCAAGACTCCATCTCAAAAAAAGAAACCTCGCAGGCACTATCTTAACCAAGTGATCCAGATTAATATGATCAAAGATAAACCATGTTGCTATTATGTACCCCCTGATATGATGAGAAGAGCACTTCGCTCCCATGGTATGCTTCTTCAAACCCCATACCCCTAACATAATCATAAGAAAAACATCAAAGTCAAACTGACAGCCATTCTACAAAATGCTGACCAGTAATCTTCAAAACAGTTAATCAAGGTTATGGAAATAAAGAAAGACTGAGAAAGTATTACATACCAGAAGACACTATAGAGACGTGATGAGTAAGTTCAATGTCATACCCTGGATGGGATTCTGGAACAACAACAACAAAAAAATCTATATTAGTGAAAAAAAAAAACTGGTGAAATCCAAATAAGTTTGGAGTTCTTAGCAATATACGAATGTTAATCTTTTCGTTTTGACAAATGTACTGTGGTTACATTAGATGTTAACATTAGGGGAAACTAGGTGAAGAGAATATGTTATTCACTTTACTATCCCTCAATTTTTATGTAAATCTAAAATCATTCCTAGATAAAACATTGATTTAAAATTTAAAAAAAGGAAATACATTGTAAAATTTGCATGAAATCTTAAGAAAACATGAGCCTTCAAAGAAATCTTATGCTTATCACAGACTGCTTTAAACTCTACCTTCCCCAGAGTTTCCAGAGGCACTTATCCATTATTAGAGGTATTTAGAGCAAAAGTTTTTGAAAAGCTGCAAGTTTAGCTACATGAATCCCATTGGAGGATAGATGTGAGGATGAAAAGAAGAGAAGCTGAGAGGCCAGCTGGAATCACACTGAGATCTAACCAAGTCTAAGGCAATAGGTCAATGGACAATGAGACACAAATTGACCTAGTTTATTCCTGCGACTGTCACCAGTGCTTTCCGGGAATTTACTGATGCTAGTCCCCTTCTTTCATCTTGAGTGTTCACATACTTGTAGTCAGGAGAAAGGAGATAGATACTCTTCCTTTAGGGTAGCCAGATAGAATCAACAAAATTGCCAAACATGCTGGAGAAGAACTGTTTAAAAAAACCTTTCGGCCGGGTGCGGTGGCTCACGCCTGTAATGCCAACACCTTGGGAGGCCAAGGGGAGTGGATCACTTGAGGCCAGGAGTTGGAGACCAGCCATAGGCAACATGGTGAAACCCCGTCTCTACTAAAAATACAAAAAAAATTAGCCGGTCATGGTGGCAGGCGCCTGTAGTCCCAGCTACTTGGGAGGCTGAGGCAGGAGAATTGCTTGAACCCAGGAGGTTCAAGCAGTGAACTGAGATCATGCCATTGCACTCCAGCCTGGGCAACAGAGCGAGCGAGACTCCATTAAAATAAAAAAAAAAAAAAAGACAAAAAACTTTCTCAAAAATTTAAAACACCTACTATGGAAGACTGGGTAAATAGTGGTCAAGAACACAGACTTTACAGGTAGACAGAAAAACCTGGGTTTAATTCCCAACTCTACTACCTACTAGCTCTGTGACCTCACACTAGCTAACCTCTCTAAGCTTCTGTTTTCTCAGGCTGTGAAATAGGGATACAAATAGTGCTTCCTTATAAAACTGTTGTGAGAGTTGGTTGATATTATGTTTGTAAAGCATCTAGAACTAGTTCATGGCACAAGCACATATAGCACTATTAACCAGATCTGTTCCACGTGCAATACATATTGACTCATTTAACTCTCACAACAATTCTATTATTGGTCTTCATGTCCCACATGAGGAATCTGAACCACACAAGGATGAAAAATTGGCCTAAGGTAGCACAGCCACAGTAGTGGACGTGGATTCAAACCCAAGCAGTCTGGCTCCAGAATCCTTACCTGTAGTCAGCACACTACACAGCACTGCCTGTAAAGGAAGGAAGAAGAAAGGAGACATGGCATCCTGGAAAGCCCAAGAAAAGAGGCACCCTTATAAAAGGGAAATGGTCAGCCCCACTTTGAAGTTGCAAATGTATAAATAATGCAGAAATGAATTTGGAACAATACCATGTTCATGTCCAAGGCCTGCAATGGTAGCACCTGCTTCTGCAGGCCCAAAAGTCAGTGAGAATCTTCATCTACAAGTCATACAATAACACTAAAAATAAAGCTTAACAAATAAGAGAAACCCACTCCCCGCATGTTTATGCCAGTGTTTTCTCAGTTGACTTCCTGGATAGAAAGCTCAACTACCTGATAGTCCAGTTCAAAATTAGACACATAACAATCCTCACTGTAGAGAAGCCAGGCAACATTCCACAGTTAGTCATCACTCTTCAAGGCCAGAGGATGGGGCCCTGGACCATGCCTGAGGATGTGATCTTGAGGCTCCCACTGCCCCCTAGCCTATGTAGCTGACAAGCACAAAAGTGGAGGCCCAGCTTGGACTCCTAATTTGGCCATTCCATCTCTAATTTACAGCCCAAAAATTAAAAGTTACCACCCTTTGGCTGGGCACAGTGGCTCATGCCTGTAATCCCAGCACTTTGGGAGGCCCAGGTGGGCAGATCACTTGAGGTAAGGGGTTGGAGATCAGCCTGGCCAACGTGGTGAAACCCCATCTCTACTAAAAATACAAAAATTAGCCAGGCACGATAGCACGTGCCTGTAATCCCAGCTACTCAGGAGGCTGAGGCACGAGAATCACTTGAACCTGGGAGGCGGAGGTTACAGTGAGCTGAGACTGTGCCACTACACTCCAGCCTGGGCGATGCAGTGACACTCTGTCTCAAAAAAAAAGAAGAAAAAAAAAGCTACCACCCTCTGCTTACTCTGAGCCAGGTACTCTACATACTTTGGCTTATTTAATCCCCCATTTGCCTCTATGAGATAGCTATTAATATTCCTATGTTATGAATGAGAAAAGTCAGGTTTGAAGGGATGAAGCAACTTTCCCCAAGTTACACAGCTGCCAAGAGGAATAGTCAGAGTGAGGATTTAAACCCAGGTTGTTTGGATTCCAAGGCCCTGCTCTTGAGCACTAAGTACTACAGCTAGGATTGTCTGAAAGTGAGTTTAGAGGGATGTATTGAGATGGTAGAGCCAGTAACCACTCCCTGTGGCCCTATTATCCCTTTTTTCCCGTGAAAGACCCCTGAAACCCACAAGAGAAGAAAGATAAAATGCTCTTCCTGCCACACGAGCTATCCTTAGGGATGGCGGCACAGAGAGAAGAGGTGTGGTGAAAGCACCCCAATTTTCTTTTCAATAGCTTTATTTCAATTCTATTACTTCCAAGCCAAGACAAACTGCTTCCGAATCCTAATCCACCCATCCCTTTTCTTTTCTGTCTCTTGATTCCCCCCAACCACAACCTGAGTCTGTGGAGGAGGAAACAGGGAGGGGAAATGAGGTTTGTGTAAAGAACAATTCTACTTCCAGTTTCCTGAACTCATATTCTGAGCTGGATTAATTTCAGTAGGTTATTCGCCAAAACTATCAGCAACTCTGGCTGCATTGTGAAGCCTGCCTGGATCCTAGTTCTGCCAGCATAGAAGAACAAAAGCATCCAGGGGAACAGGTGGTGAAAGGTGGCCACTGTCCACGCCAGCACAGCAGGAAGAACCCTCTGTGTTGGTGCTCTGCCCTTTGGAATCTGAGATTTGTTACTGTCTAACTCATTATTTGGATGGAGCTGGTGCTACTGCGTAGACAGATATATAATAGTATTTATTCTATCTTTTACAACATTAATAAGATATTGAACTCCAAAATGTACAAGCCTAATTTAGAATGTATACAGAGCTAAAACTTTCCAATTCCCTGCCACGGCTATATTTATACATCCCCAGTTTAAAATGAGAGAGCAGCTGCAAGTACTGTGGTAAAAAGGCTACCCACGTAGACCTTCTCCTGAGTTCTCCCTCGTCAGCATCCACTCTGCAACAACCCTAGTTTCAGCCCTCATTTCTCGCCTACCGCCTTGCTCTGCCCTCCCAACTGTTTTCACTACCTTCAGGGCCCACTCTCTAGGTCCTTCTATACACTGCATCCAGAGAGACGTTTCTAAAACACAAAAGCCTTCCCTGGCTTCCCATCACGTTCAGGATAAAGACAAAATTCCTGCAAAAAGAGTAGAGAAAAAAAGCCGTTTACTGCCTGAGCCAGTCTTCTACCAGTCTTCAAATTCCATCTCTGCTCTGACCCCCTTAGTTGATCCTCCTCCTAGCATTTTTCCAAAACTATTCCCACTTCTAGTACACTCTCATCTCTCTTTCATCTTCCCCATCCTGGCTAATTCCCACTTATCTTATTCCACTTTGACTTCCAACAGTGAAAGCAAAAGCAAGGTTTTCTTTTTTTTTTTTTTTTTCTGACACAGGGTCTTACTCCACAGGCCAGATGGGAGTGCAGTGGCACAATCACAGCTCACTGCAGTCTTCACCTCCTGGGCTCAAGTGATCCTTCTGACTTAGCCTCTAGAGTAGCTAGGACCACAGGCATGCACCACCACACCTGGCTAATTTTAAAAAAAAAATTTTTTTTGTACAGATGGGGTCTCTCCATGTTGCCCAGGGTGGTTTGAAACTCCTGGCCACAAGCGATCTTCCCACCTCAGCCTCCCAAAATGCTGAAATTACAGGTGTGAACCACTGCACCCAGCCAATTTTTTCTTCTTCAGAAAGCATTTCTCTGCTAGATCCCTGTCTTAGTCCATTCTGGCTGGTATAACAAAATAACATAGATAGGATAGCTTATAAACAATAAATTTCTTTCTCACAGTTCTGGAAGCTGAGAAGTCCAAGATCAATGTGACAATTCAGTATCTGGTGAGGGCCCACTTCCTGGTTCATAGATGGCACCTTCCTGCTGTGTACTCACATGGTAAAAGGAGCAGGGGAGGTCTCTGGGTTCTTTTTTACAAGGCTATTAATCCCATTCATGAGGGCTTCCCCCAGTAACCTCATCACCCCCCAAAGACACACCTCCTAATAACATCATCTTGGGGGTGACGATTTCAACATGTGAATTTGGGAAGTGGGTCGGGGCACAAACATTCAGACCACAGCTAGTCCTTAAAGAGAACTAAGGACCTCCCTCATGTCCTTTCAAAGCAAAAATGCTAACACTGCTCTTATTACAGCTCCATTGTCACCATCTGTTCATTTGTCTGTGTCCTTTGCCAGCAGTGAGCTCATGGAAAACAGAATGTATTATTTGCCTTTGTATCCCCAGTCCCCACAATAGTTCCTGGCTAGAAATGGTAACTCAATCATGGTTTTTGAAGGAATGAAGAGTTAAATAAATGGGTAGGTTGCTGTAACTAGAAATAGATGGTACACTTAAATGGTGTAATTGAGAGTTTAATAAAGGGACTATTTATGAAGGTGTAGACAAGTAAGGAAAATATATAAGAAGTAATGTAGCATCCCTGGGGCCAGCTACAGCAGGAGCTGTGACCACCTCTAGGCCTGAAGGTACAAGGAGAAAGAGTAGCTCTTAGAACCAGAAAGGGTAATTTCAGGGAAGGACCCACTGACAGGCGATATGGCCTTCAGTAGAGGATGTGTCCAACCTGCAGTGACCTGGGAAGATGGGGATAAATCTGAGGGGATAAATATCCTGAACTCACTCTCCCATCCTCCAGTCTTCTGCTCCTGACACTCACTGGCCAAACCATCCAGAAGCCAAAAGGCAAGGAGCCAGTGATGCAGTCAGCGTGGGTCATCTTCCCTAGGTGCACAGCAGGGTGAGGATGAGTGTGGGGTGGGAGGAGGGGGTCATATCTGGAGGAGCAAATGGAAAATATCCAACACAGTTTCTCTCCAAGAAAAGAAGAATTGCATTCTAAAGATTAAGGAGTTTAAGAACATGATCAGAGAAAAAAATTGTCTTCTTAGCATCTGATCAGAGACAGAAGAAATACTTTGATTACCCAGTTGTGATTTTAAAAAAAAAAAAAAAAGAGGCCAGGCATGGTGGCTCACGCCTGTAATCCCAACACTTTGGGAGGCCGAGGCAGGCAGATCATGAGGTCAAGAGATGGAGACCATCCTGGCCAACATGGTGAAACCCCATCTCTACTAAAAATACGAAAATTAGCTGGGCATGGTGGCATGCGCCTGTAGTCCCAGCTACTCGGGAGGCTGAGGCAGGAAAATTGCTTGAACCTGGGAGGCAGAAGTTGCAGTGAGCCGAGATCGCTCCACTACACTCCAGCCTGGCAACAGAGCGAGACTCGGTCTCAAAAAAAAAAAAAAAAAAAAAAAAAGAGCAATAAGCTGGCATCCAGGTTTCTTATGGTAGAAGCACATTTCTCAGAATAATAAAGGAAGAATAGGGAAGGAAAATGGGATTGGATGCATTCTTGGGGTAAGTTTAAGAGTAGGAGGAAGACAGTGGCTGAGGGCCAGGAGGCAAGAGTTAGAAGAGATCAATCTAGTAGAGATTTTTCAAGTGAAAATGTGGGCACTCTGTGTGATGAGATATCTCCCTATGATCATATGAACTCACAGTAAGGATGAAAAAAAAAGTGATAATATGCTCAGTGTGAATAGATTTCTTATGGAAGTTAATGAAGGAATTGAGTTTGTATCAATATTGGAATGGTACAGGGCTGCTGAAGGCATCAAGAAGAAAGACACATTGCTTAGATAAACAGAGAAGGAACTGGGGTTTGGAGAAGTAAAGTAGCCAACCAAAGGGCACAATGCCAGGAGAGACAGCAAGATCCAAAATCAGGTCTGTCTGACTCTAACTTCTGAGCATTTTCACTGTCAACCTCCCTCCTTCAATTGTATCTCTAACACAGAAGCAGTGAGGTAGGCATGTACAAATATTTAAGCCTTTCTGAATATAGAAACTATAGCTCTATAATTCTAATAGTTTATAGATACATACTAATATAAGGGCTAGAATTTAGGGAGTACATACTGTGTGCCAAGGGCTTTACACAGGTTATCTTGCCTAATTAAAGAAACTCAAGAAAGATTCTATTACCATCCCATTTTACAGATGAGGAAACATCCGAAAAGATGAAGCAACATTCCTAAAGTTGCATAGTTAGTAAGTTTGAATTCAGAATTCAAATTTAAGCAATCTGTATTTCTAGATAATCTCAGCAGCTGTCCTGAATACATTTATTCCATTTAAGCATTTAAAAAGAGAGGGTTTATACCTTTTTGAATGAAGAGCTGCAAATCAAGCTGTTTTTTGAAGCTGGGTTTCTTCCAGCTCCAAAGTACTATGGATCTATTATCACAAGTATCCCTTGATTTTTAGTCCCAATTCCTGCTGTCTGGCATATCACAATAGCTGCTGCCATTGGATTTTCACATTTTACTCTTTGAAATGAGACTACCAGTGGCAGCATTGGAAGGTCACAGCACTTCCTCAGGAACTCATATGTTAGAAGAGGTCCCCTATGATGATCTCAGCAGCAGCTTGTCTCTGCACTTGATCCTCTCTGCAGGTCTGCTTCAGGTCCAGGAGCTTAGAAATAGAGGAAATCTTATTGTAATAAAGGAAAAGAAGAGGAAGCATTGTTGTTCTCTGTAGTTCATGTTCCTAACAGGAATTTCTCCAGGCACTTAGACTTTGGCAGTATTTAGTCTCACTGTTACATCCAACAGGAGTGGTGTTCTGCCTTTATCTGGAATGTTCTTGATGAGCACTGTGGCCCAAAATGCTGGTTTGACATCTTTGACTTTTCCTTAAAACATTTTATCCATGGATATCAAAGCATTTCTTAATATTGTTATTATATTTCACATTATCTGTGAGTTTTTAGAAGGTAATATTATTCCATTTTATAGACAGTAACAAAATGTCACAGAGAAAATAAGTGACTTACCTAAGTTATAAGTCAGTGACAAAACTGGAACCAATATCCTGTGTTCCTCACTGCAGGTGAAATAAATTCATCTCCTAGAAATATTCTGTTTTTTCTTCTCCATATGTCCAAAGCCATCCTTTCCTACAGGATAAACTACCAGTCTTTTAGTGCTACATGTTAAGGCAAGAAGCCAGCACCAGCCTTCCATTATAACTTTATAACCCAGTACACAAAAGCATTTGGAGTCCAAAGAAGCCAAGTGTGAATATTAGCTCCATCACTTACTAACTGTGAATTCTTGGATCAATTCCTTCACATATATGAGTCTTAGTTTTCTGTAAGACAGGAAGCACTGCTAATTGCCTGCCCAATATCTACGCCTGTTTCTGTCTTCTACCAGAAACCTGATTTGGTTCAGGGCATCACTGTGCCCAGGTAGAAATGTCTGCTTCTCCAGACTCGCTCTCAGCTCGGGGTGCCCAACTACCATATGACCCAGTTCTGGGTAGTGAATCATAAACTGAGGTTTCTGGAAAGCTTTGCTTCCCTTAATAAGTGCCCACTCCACCTCCTCTGCTTCTTCCTGCTTGGTCTGCTTTCCTTTTCTTTTTTTTTTTTCCTCCAACACTTAAATACTCATTTCCCTATATTTTCCATTATGCTATTTCTTGGATGAAATAACTAGTTAACTGGTTGAAATGAGAACTCTTCTTCCTTCAATACCAGCCAAAGGTACGTTTCCAAACACCCTCCTCAACACCTCCCGGGAGAGCTCGCTGTATCCAAGTCTTACTTGAAAGCCTGAAGTTATGATTTATTTATGTTTTCAGAATCTCTCAAATTCTTAGGAACAAATTACATCATCTGCAGATGTTCCAGACTTAGTTTCCTTCTCTCTCTTTCTGGTTTTAGTCCTAGAGTTGTCCAGAACCATCTCTGAAAGAGGACAAACAAGGGAAGGGACACAGTGTCTTCTCTTTGTCCTTCAGACCCACTCTCTGCTCTTCTCCATTGTGCTTTCCACCCAGGAAACTGAGTTCATGAACTACACCAGTAGGCTCTTGTGCTCCCTGGCTTCTAGTTGGGCCAATGGGGAGCCCTGGCAGAGATTGGAGGGAGGGAGGAGTATGAGGTCAGTATATTTAGGCCCCTGGCTCTCAGGTAAGCTGTGTCCTCTCAACCAAGGTCACAGATCTTCTCAAGTCATCTTTTCTACGCAACTCTTCCTTTTGGGTTCCAGCAGCCATCTATCCTCCTTTTATCACTTTGGGCCTAATTTGATTACAGCTTCTCTGTTTCAAGACCTGACTTCACTATCCTTGAGGTTTCCCTACACCTCTCTTTTACCTTTGAAAATTGTCCTTTTATTAAACACTCTTTGAATTATCCTAATTTGAGCAAGTCATCTGTTTCCTTGACAACACTGATACAGATGAGAACATCAAAATGGTCCATTTTTGCATCTAAATAGTGCTCCTCAGATTTCCCAGTGTCTAGGGTCCTCACACTAAAGGGACAAGTGCCCAGAATTCCCACTACTACAGCCCAGCAACTCGGTATTCCCCACTCTGTCACTATTGTCCTCACACCATACTTTCTTCAACTATGTTTAAAACTGACCTATTCTGTATCCTTTTTCATGACTCTGTCTTCCAACATGACAACGAGTGAATTTCCTTATGGTTGCTAGTATGTCAATGGAAGAAAGTCGGCACAGTGTTTATCGGTCTTCTATAAACAAATTGCTTCTTTCTAGACAATGCCCACTGGTCCTCATAGTCTATATATTCCATTGCTGTCCTGTGGCCTATAATTAATCATACAGGGCTGATTCTCCTAAAAAGTACAGGCGCTGCTTCATTATTTCACTGCAGAAATTTTTTTTTTAAAGGTGACAAGTTTCAGGCTTTTGATATTTAAAAATTATTGCCAACTAGGATGTACAGCCATAGTTTGTCCTGGGGCTTGAATAAATGCAAACCCTCTTGCTAAGATTGGAACGCACAATCTCGGGAAGGACGCTGAGTGAGTGCACCTTGTCACCCTTTTCAGGCTTCGTCTTTCTCTGGCTTTTCAGGTCTCAAAACTCTTTTCTCAGAATACTCTGTGAATATTGATTTCACAAGGACTGGCTCACTCTAACCAAAGTATTAAGAAATTCACATGTAAAGTAGAATGCCAACTTACTCATTTATAATGAGACCTATTATATGGGAACTTGCTTGTGGGTGAATTACATATATTCTTTAAGTACATATATACTTTAAGTTACTTCAACCAGGCAATAAATGTATTATCAGTTAGCTGCAAGTAACAAAAACCAAAACAATAGATTAAACCATAAGAACATTTGTTAATAACATATTGTTTATTTACCAGGAAGAGAGCAGTCTCATTAATGTCATCAAGGAACTATATCCTTCAGCACATTTGCTTATGGCCTCTTGGTTGCAAGATGGCTGCCCCTCCAGGTATCAAGACGGCATTCAAAATTAGAAAACAAATAGCCGGTGCACGTATGTGTGTGCGTGCTTTCTTCGCATAAGGCTTTGTCTTTTTATCCAGTTAGCTTCTCAGAAGCCCCACTAGCCAGAACTGTGTCACATAGTCATTCCAATTGTCAGGGAGGCTGGGAAAGCAGGTATCAAACTCTCTGGCCACTATTCTATAGTGAAAGCCAGCATGGAATAAGAGATTTGGATCGCATGGCAGCTGTGGAGGTGTGCTGCGAAGATCTCCCTTTAAGAGAGAACTCACTGTTGCCTCTAGCTGCAGCATCTTCAACATATGCCATGTGTTTGAGCTGAGGCCCATCTCTTCCTGGGTAGCCCCCAGCCAATACCGTACAAGCTGGGAGTGCTCGGGTGTGGCCCTGTCTGCCCAGCATGGGACTCTTCTAATGGGGACTCTTTGTTCCAGAACTCCCTATTGCATAGGCAGAGATTTATGCAGATCCACACCATGGTCTGAAGCTCCCCTTGCCCAATTCTGCCTCTCTTTCTTTCCTTTCACAGGTGTCTAATCTGCATGGAGGTGTGAAGACTTTCATTGCCCAGTCCTGTTTCCTCTCCCTTCTGTCATGGCCATTAGCCCCCAATAAATTTATTGTACTCCTAATTCCATCTTAGCATCTGCTTCCTAGAGGAGCTGAACTGACAGCAAAGGGCAACATCAACATGTTAGTTACCTGTAACAAAGAAATCAGACATTACCCGTGCTAGGAGAATATAGGATCAGAAAGTCAGGTGCAGGCCTTCTGACTCTATATAGCATGAGTATTGTTTGATTACAAGCTTATGCTTGTAATCCCAGCGCAAACTGGCATTTAGGAGGCAGAGGTGAGAGGATCACTTGAAGCCAGAGTGTGAGACCATCCTGGGCAAAATAATGAGATCCTATCCCTGCAAAAAATTGCTAAAAAAGAAAAATTAGCCAGTCATAGTGGTGCTCCATGCCTGTAGTCCCAGCACTTGGGAGGCTGAGGCAGGAGGGTCACTTTAGCCCAGGAGGTCAGAGCTGCTGTGAACTGTGATTGTGCCACTGCACTCCAGCCTGGGCAACAGAGCAAGACCCTGTCTCAAAAAATAAAAACAAAACAAAACAGAAATATAGGATCAGAACAAGCTAGGGTACTCTAAGTAGTCCGGTCTCACCATAAGGGTGTTCCTAATTTGGTCTCTCTTCTCTCTTATTTCAGAAAGGACATCCAGGCCCCCAGCCTCACACTTGTGCACACTGGCAAAGTCGGTCTTGGATTCTCTGACTCGTTTTTCTGTTCCTGGTCAAATCATTCTCATTCTGTTGGCCTGCGCTTTCTTAGCCATGTTGATTCCACAGAGTACACTAGAACCAAGCCCTGTTTTTCCCACCTTGGGGCCCAGAAGACATTCTGTTCCCTTTTTTGGTCGGTTGTTTGCTTGTTTTGTTTTGCTTTAAGGAGAATTCTCCAAATATCTGCTTTGTTCCATTGTGTATTGACTTTATAATTCCAATTCTCAGAGTTCTAAAGAAGCATCACTGACACCCCTTTCCATTCTATACTGTCCTTTAAAATAGCATCCATTCTAGAGCATAATTTCCTGCGGGGAACCCTTCAGTAGCTTCATGTGTTTGTTAATTCCACCTTCATTTATTGAGCATCTACTCTGTGATGAGCTCTTTTCTAGGAGCTGGCCATAGCAACAATGAAGAAGAAGCTCACAGCTGGTTTTAAGTTAAGTAAAACTATTATTAAAAGGCAGAAGAGGGCTGGGTGCAGTGGCTCACACCTGTAATCCTAGCACTTTGGGAGGCCGAGGTGGGAGGATCATGAGGTCAGGAGTTCAAGACCAGCCTGGCCAACATGGTGAAACCCAGTCTCTAATAAAAATACAAAAAAAAAAAAATTAGCTGGGCATCATGGAGCATGCCTGTAATCCCAGCTACTCAGGAGGCTGAGGCAGGAGAATTGCTTGAACTGGGACCTGGGAGGCAGAGGTTGCAGTGAGTCAAGATCGTGCTACTGCACTGCAGTCTGAGCTACAGAGCGAGACTCCACCTCAAAAAAAAAAAAAAAAGGCAGAAGACGCCAGGTGTGGTGGCTCACACTTATAATCCCAGCACTTTGGGAGGCCGAGGTGAGGGGATCACCTGAGGTCAGGAGTTCGAGACCAGCCAGACCAACATGGTGAAACCCTATCTCTGCTAAATCCCAGCTACTCTGGAGGCTGAGGCAGGAGAACTGCTTGAACCTGGGAGGCGGAGATTGCAGTGAGCCAAGATCATGCCATTGCACAACAGCCTGGGTAGCAAGAGTGAAACTCAATATAAAAAAAAAAAAAAGAAAAAAAGGCAGAAGAGATAGATTCAAGCCAAAAGAGGAGTTCTTCACTCATCAGACCCTTTCTCTAACCTAAATATTTTAAGCTTTCCATCCTCCAAGAGATGAAACTGCAGAGATTGTCAGAACAGCATAGACTCTCTACAGGCATGCACTGGATATTAAATATGGGTGTGGCTTATTGTCTGCCAATTTATGCTGCTTGTCACTGTCTGGTGCCACCCTCAGATCTCCACTACTGATAGCTGCCTGCCTAAGATGGCCTCTCTCACCAGAGCTTGAAAAATGATGGAGCTGCCCAAATGGTGGTTCTTTCTACACCTGCTATACTTGCAGCACATTCCCAGGTACATTTGCCTTACAGTCTTCATCCTTGTCTTGGTTTCAGAATATATTTGTGCTGAATGTTCTTATTCCCATTAATTAATGCCCATCATTCCATTTTGCCACCGTAATTATTTATATAATCATTATCAGTTCTGTCCTTCTAAAGTAAAAATTAACACAGCTCAAGACAGACTTGACTGGATCACAGTCTGGATTGTAATCTAAAACATTATACCTAGAAATAATGACAGCCCTCTAGTCTGGGAATTCAGTCTAGTCTGGTCTTTCCCAAAAGACAAGAGTCTTGGGTGCTTCGGCAAAGCTATAGTGGACCTCAGAAAGTCACCTAGGTCACCTAGCCCAAACTCCTCATTTCATAAAGAACAGAATGGGGGCCGGGCATAGTGGCTCAGCCTGTAATCCCAGCACTTTGGAAGGCCGAGGCGGGCAAATCACCTGAATTCGAGACCAGCCTGACCAACACGGCGAAACCCCGTCTCTACTAAAAATACAAACATTAGCCAGGCTTGGTGGTGCACACCTGTAATCCCAGCTACTCCGGAGGCTGAGGCATGAGAATCGCTTGAACCTGGTAGGTGGAGGTTGGAATGAGCTGAGATCGGGCCACTGCACTCCAGCCTGGGCAACAGAGCTAGACTCCATAAAAAAAAAGAAAGAAAGAAAGAAAGAAAAAACAACAAAATTAACTCCAGATCAGTTAAGTTACTTGCCTAGGTCAGACAGCTGTGGACAAATCTGGGACTAAAACCCGAAAGCCCTCCTCCTGCCCAGGCTCTTTCCAACAGCTGTCCTACACAGAACTCGCCTGGACTCACTGGCTCCCACAGCTAATCCTCCCTCCATGTTTTAATCCCCACTGTGTTCTCTTTCTTTCATCTCATGTCACCTGCAGCTTCCTTTCTTTCCCTCTTCCTTCTCCTTCCACAGGATTTTTTACATTCCTGTCAGTCCTGTGTTGCTCCCTGTATGCAGAGCCTATGTTTTTTCTCTTTGCTACTAGTTACTAGTAGCAAAACTAAAAGAAGAAAACTAGTATGCATGTCTATCTTTGTATCTTCTACATTCAGTGCTTTTAAAAAATGCTTAATGTTTATGGAAATTCTGAACTATATTTAAAATTATAATTCTACAAATATACTATAAAGTCTACTGGGAAAATAATACTACCCAATTCCCAATACTAAATGCTTAATACTAAAGTACTTCTAGGATAGCAGAGTCGTTTTTGGAATGATTGCATCAGAGCTCTCAGGATCAAGAAAAGATATACAGTTTTTATACAGGAATTCTAGTCTCATGTAATATAATCAAACCAAAATGTAAAGGATGATATTAACTCTCTGTAGAAGCAATGGAAATGAATGACTGAGAGAGTAAAAAACAAGCAACAAAAACAACAACACCTCATGACCTTAACTGGGAAAGCTGTTTGGGGACAAGTAATGCTCAAAATCAAACCTACTGTTCTGTGGCCATGCTGCCCAAGCATGGACCTTCTGATTACCGTTCAATTTCCCATGTATTCTGCCAACAGAAAGAACATGTTTTTGATGGCAGGCATTAATATTCTAGATCCAAGGAAGGAAAATGCTCAGTATAAATTAATTACTTGGTATCCTCATTCTCTTTCAGTAAGAGGCTGTTCCACTCCGTGTGATAGATTCTAGCTCTGGGCTGGCAGAGCTGAGGTTCTCACCTTGAATTCTGGTGACCCCACAAAGGTGTGGTTACCATGAGCTCTGCCTCATGTCCAGCCAGCCTCCCTCTTTAGCATTTTAGGTCCCTCTCTAATTTCTTCAAGTTGATAAAATGATGCATATCTATTGAGCATAATTGCAGGTCTTGAATATAGTAGGTTACTTGCCCTCTAAGAGCAGACAATCTCGTTGGCTTCAACAAACCAGGAGTATGGCTTTTAAAGATTTTAAGAATTGGATAACTAGGTCTGCTTCTCTCTGTGCCATCTTTTTCATGTTTTTCTAACAGCATCAAGAAAGGGAAGAAAAGCAGTGTTGAGAGCCTGCTGGGGCTGGCCCTGGGTGAGCAAATGCAGTTCTCTCTGTGTGCCTCAGACAAAGGAGAAGCGTCTCTTGTAGGCTCATTTCATTCTTGCTTGAGCAGCCCTGTGTGTGTTCTCAGAACTCAGGGTCCTGGAAACTGCATAAAGGAGTCAAATCATTCAACCCCAAACAGGGCTCTTGCCCTAAGTCCAGACAACAGCTGTGAAGCAGCTGCACCATTGTGCTCTAAAGCTGCTTAGTGTAAGATGCAAAGGAAAAAAGGATTAGCCCTTGGAAACTATGTGAAAAACACAACCCCCTGCGACAACAGCTGGCAGGTAACATATATCATGAAGACATTTGCGGTATTAGAATGGATACATAAAAGATGAGAATTCAAACAGTATTTTAAAGTTTTTTTCCCCATGAAAGTTAATGCGCTCCAATCTTTTCAATTTAAGAAAATTAATAAGAAAAAAATGGAAAGAGAAGAACTACGGCAGCTGGTACAACACAGACATGGAGGCGGGTAAAATATGAGTCTGCCACCTTCACCTTTTCCCCCTCTCCAATGCCCCACCCGAAAATAACATGAAATGTTTCCCTGGAGCAACCAAAGATGAATGTCTGCTCCCCAAGCCAGGCCCCAAGTTCAGGCGCAGCACCACTTCTTAGAGTTGGCAGCTTTACTAGACTTTGATCATTCCTTCGTGGGACACATCAACCTTGCTCCTCCTTAATGTGCAAGATGAGGCAAGAGCCGAGGCCAGGCAGGTATAGCTGCAGGCAGAGCTTTCTCCAGTGCTGTACAGAAAGGCTTTTGCCTGCCCAGGCCCAAGGGGAGCCGTTGCAGTTGCTTGCCTCCCACATCCTATGGAAAGGAGTCCCCATGTTCTGGTGGCTTAGGATGTGTGTTTCTCAGTGGTGGGCGAGCTGGAACCTGGGACCAAAAGGTAGTCAGGCACTGCCTACTTTCTGAGCCCAGCTTTTGGGGTCTGTGCTTTTTCCTCCCATCCTTTTTAGTGACACCTTCCTCTGAATTCTTTAGGAATCGAATTGACCCCATTTGCCTTTCTGACCCTCCTCCCCCTTCCCCATCAAAATTACCTGTCAAGGAAGTAAGGAAACTGTCACTGAAAGGCATTACTGATGGGAATA
Source organism: Homo sapiens (assembly GCF_000001405.40). Taxonomy (NCBI): domain Eukaryota; kingdom Metazoa; phylum Chordata; class Mammalia; order Primates; family Hominidae; genus Homo; species Homo sapiens. The sequence continues at coordinate 77,176,428 of NC_000004.12, read as the reverse complement.
TAAATCTATATCCCCTTTCAGGGATGCAGGTCAACACAGTATACATTTTAAATGTACATTCTCTTGGACCCAAGATTTTCACTTCTAGAAATGCATCCTAAAGAAATTATTACCCAGGTAGGCAGAAATGTATGTGCAAGAATGTTTACTGCTGCTTTGATTTAAAATACTGAACAATTGTCAATAATACAGCCATCCATCAGAAAGAGATCAGTTAAATAAATTATCACGTAAGCATCCAACAAAACCCTCTTCAATCTTTAAAAATAAGGAAGTAGGTTTATATCTACTGACACTGATGTATGCCCCTGATATATTGTTAAATGAGGAAAGTGGGTTATAGAAGCATACATAGAGTAGGATCGTGCTTATACATTTTTTTAAAGTTTACATGTTTATACTTGCATAAAAAGAATGAAATGATAAATGTCATTCTGTTGACAGTAGCATCTCTGAGGAACAGTATTAGAGGCATTATCCACTTTCTCTATATTGCTTACATTTTTACAAAGGAGATATAGTAACAGAAAAATACTTTGATGTAGTTTTTTAAAACCTTCTCTAAGAACAATATATGCAAAGCCTTCACACTGACAACAACTTATATTTGCAAAGAGCTTCACAACTTTATTTTCCCCATTAACTTATTCCGTCTTCACAGCCCTGTGAGGTTGGGAAGATAGATCTTAGTATTTATTGTCAAAGATAAACAACCGTCCGTTAACGTGGTGAAAACAGATTTTATTCAGTAACTACTGAGAGTAAGAGAAGGAGCAGAGCTCAATTCTGATTTGTGCTGAGGTGACTGGGCGTTTTAAAGGGGAAGATGCGGGAGGAGGGAGGAGGAGCCTGTGGGACTCTGGTGAAGCCTTACAAACGGTTGGTGGGCATCACCATAATTAGGCCAGCTGCACGTGCTAGCTGGCAATTAACACCAGTTAGGAGCCAGGGCCCTATCCTTCCTGATAATTACATTTCAAAGGAATGGCTTTCAGATTCTTGAGAGAGACACTCCTGACTTGCAGGAGATACACATACATCTCAAAGAGACAGAGAAAGAATTCACAATTGTAAGCCCTGTTTGGTAAATGCTCTAAGTAAGGAGGTCAGGGGTCTATCTTCAGGTGTTGGCTGGAACAAACAGCAAATTCTTTTCACAGCCCTGAGCTTTTCCAGACAGGAACTTAAAAGAAGGCTAGGTTGCCCCAGGGACACAACCTTAGTCTGCTAGAAGCCGTGTTAAAGTTTGGTCAAGTCTGTTCGTGCAGAAGTTTGAAAGAAGCGTTTGTGCTGAAGGTTTTTGGCATTCTGAGTACCCTTTTTTCAGCTTAAAAAACTAGTTCTCGGTCGGGCGCAGTGGCTCATGCCTGTAATGCCAGCACTTTGGGAGGCCGAGGCGGATGGATCACCTGAGGTCAGGAGTTCGAGACCAGCCTGGCCAACATGGTGAAACCCCGTCTCTACTAAAAATACAAAAATTAGCCAGGCATGGTGGTGGGCGCCTGTAGTCCCAGCTATTCAGGAGGCTGAGGCAGGAGAATCGCTTGAACCCAGGAGGCAGAGGTTGCAGTGAGCCGAGATTGTGCCATTGCACTCCAACCTGGGCAACAGAGCAAGACTCCATCTCAAAAAAAAAAAACAAAAATGAAAACAAAACAAAACAAAAAAAACAAGAAAACTAGTTCTCAGAGAATTTACATGATGTGGCAGCTGGGAGGTGTGACACACAGATCTCCCTTCCAGGAAGATCTTGCCATTCCACCACCAGGAGGGCAGCAGCTCCCAGTCACCAGCTGCAGCATCATCAAACCCCACCTCAGCGTTTGAGCAGAAGCCAAGCTCTTCCTGGGTAGTTTTCAGCTTACAGCCTCCCCAGCTGCGAGGAAGTACAAGGTCAGCCCATTTCTGCCCAGCCTGGGACTCTTCTAATGGGCAAATTCTGCGCCAAAGTACTAGGTTAGCTGCATCTTTGTCAGATCTGCAATACAATTGCAGCCTCTCCTTGTCCAATCCTCTTGCCTCCCTTTTTCCCTTTTACAAGCATCCTCCCAAGAAACCCCTTCATCTCAGTATCTGCTTCATGGGGTACCTGAGCATGTGGCTTGCCAAAAACTACATTCACAGCTAACATATGCTCAAACCAGTTTCTGAATCCCATTAAAATGTAAGCCCTGTTAGAAATATTTGCATTTTAACCAGATTCAAGGTGTTTAGCTAAAGAAAAGGCATTCTAAAAGGGGGAATGGCAGAATGAGCTGAAGGGTAACAAGGATGTGAGGGGAACTGGGGAGAGGTTGGGCCCTCAGGGCCTCCCTTCAATGACTGGAATCACACTACATGGCCTTTTAGCTTCATCCAGAAGGTTAGGAATACAAGCAGAGGCAAGGCCAGAACACTAACACAGCACTATAGACAAATTCCTATTCCCGCATTTCTTACATTACATAGTAATTGATATGTCTGCCTCTCTCATTAGATTATGAGCTTCTTGAAGGTAAAAACTGTGCTTTAATTCCTTTTGGCATTCTCAGTGCCTAGGACATAACTCTGCATCATACTAGTTCAGTAATAGTTGAATAAATAATTGAGTCTTAGCAGGAAGAGAGACAAAAACGGGATGATAATTGTTACAGCCAGTATTTATTGAGCGCATATCAGCCACTGTTCCAAATGCTTTATCATATATCATCATATTTAAATACACAGTAACCCCACGAGGCAGTGGAGCAGGTGGTGTTGCCCAGGAAGCAGACTCTGAAACAAAGTTTAGGGTACACTGTGTTTATTAGGGAATACCCTTGGGATCAACACCCAAAACAGAGAGGGGAAAGAAGGTTGGGCTAGGTGTGGTGGCTCATGCCTGTAATCCCAGCACGTTGGGCGGTTGAAGCCAGACGATCACCTGAGCACAGGAGTTCAAGACCACCCTAGGCAACATAGAGACCTCATCCCTACAAAAAAATTTTTTTTTAATTAGCAGGCATAGTGGCACATGCCTATGGTCCCAGCTACTCATGAGGCTGAGGTGGGAGGATCATTTGAGCTTGGGAGGTCGAGGATACAGTGAGTGGTGATCGCACCACTACATTCTGTCACCAGGTGAGAGCTAGACCCTGTCTCAAAAAAAAAAAAAAGGAAAGAAAAGAAAGAAGCGAGATTGGACAGATTCACCTGGGTTGTCCTGTGTGGGCACCAAAGTGACCAGGACTTTATACCTCCTCCAACTCAGTCATTAGATGTGAGCCCTCCTTGGATGAGGCAGTACTCTGCCACTAAGGCAGTCCCCAGAGGGGCTGTCCACAGAAGGCTGCCTGCCAAGGGCACTCCCAGAGGCTGGGGCATCCGCAGCACACTACTATGTCCCTCACAAGTAGCTGTTATTAGTTCCTTTATGCAAATGAAGAAACTGAGGCACAAACACTTTAGTTAACACCTCGCCAGGTCAAACAATGAGTGGCCAAACCAGGACTCAAGGACTGGCCTTCTGGTGCAGAGCCTATGCCCATCACTACATCTTACTCTCAAATAGGTACAGGTGATTGTAGCAATGGGCAATGGCCTCCCAGAAGCCCTGTTAATGATCTGAAATCCTAACTCTGGAGAGCATGAATTTGTCCTCACGTGTGTTTACCTTTACAAACTATAACTCACTGCAACCAAGAATGGAAAAAAACATTGTCAGGTGTGATCCACGTAGAAAAATATTGACACACATTTTTACCCAGGATTATTATGCTAGGCACCCATAGGATATAAAGGAAGGAGACTGTATGGTCTCTTCTCACGAGAAGCTTAGAGTTTAGGCAAGGGGATAAACCACAGACATGTGAAATATTTATTGGACAAACCTCAGAGCAGTAAATGAGTAAGTGTGAGATGATTGCTACGTTGAATAATAGTAAAATAGCAAAGGGCAAGCAAGCCTTTAACAAAACGGTTGTCTGGGGTTGCAAGTTCCACCCACACTAACACTGAATTCCAACACTGTGAGTATTGGAACCCAGAATGATCAAGCACAAACTGTCATCAAAGTGTAAAAAGAACTAGACATACAGGGGCTGGGAAGACCCACAGGCTTGAGTACCAAGAGGTCCCGGGCAAATTAAAATCTCCAGCCCTTGAGGAATACCTATATTCTCTGCCACTATACTGTCTTGGATTTTTACATTTGTGTCCTATTTTGGCTTCTGAGAAAAAATATTTTAACTCTAAATCTTAGCCACCTTTCCTTTCTATGGGTGAGAGCACTTAAACATTGAACAAAAGAATTCTGTGATTTATTTTACTGGTATTATGAGTAGAATTTTCTTTATAAGAATTTTTATTATTTAATTCAATCAACAACTATTTGGTAATATCATCAACTTTTGGGTAATAGCTTAGCGTTGTGGTTAACAGGATAGTGTTTGGCAGAGAAATTTTGTTTGAATTATGGCCCTGCTACTTACTAGACCTGTGTCAAGGTACTTATCTTCTCTAATCCTTAGTTTCTTCGTATGTAAAATTGGACTAATAGTAGTACCTGTCTAATAGCAGTGTGGTGAGGATAAAATCATTCATGTAAGGTGCCTGAAACATATTAAGTGGCCAGCAAAGTTACTTGTTGCCAGTAATAGCAACAGCAGCATGAGGAGTATGGGCCAGATAATGTGCTGGGTGCTTGGCAGTCAACAAAGAACGAAAGAGACAAAAGGCCCTGCTGTTCCAGAGCAAACAGGTAAGGTTAGCAGATAAGTGGGACACACAAGCAAGATATTAATTTCTAGGATAAGAAAAAATGTAGGGTTTTATGGAAACATGTAACACTGACAAAGAGAGGAAAGTCAGGGAGTTCCAGAAAGATTTCTTGGAAGAAAAAATTGTCACAGCCTTTTAACATGATTTATTTATTTATTTGGTGGTGTTGTGGTTGAGATGGAGTCTCACTCGGTCACCCAGGCTGAGTGCAGTGGTGTGATCTTAGCTCACTACAACCTCTGCCTCCTGGGTTCAAGCGATTCTCTTGTCTCAGCCTCAGGCATCCGCCACCATGCCCAGCTAATTTTTTTATTTTTAGTAGAGATGGGTTTTCACCATGTTGGCCAGTCTGGTCTCAAATTCCTGACCTCAGGTGATCCACCCACTTTGGCTTCCCAAGGTGCTAGGATTATAGGCGTGAGCCATCGCATCCAGCCTGAACATTTTATTATTTGCCATGAATTTTTGGGTTCTGCTACTAGACTGTAAGTTCCTCGAGGGCAGGGATAGGGTTTGTTGTGTTTGGCATTCCATAGCAACACAAGTGTGCCTGACACACAAAGCATTCAAATATCTGATGGGTGAATGAGTAAGTCAATGAAGGGAGTCCTAAGGTAGTAAGTAGGTTTGCCAGATGAGGGTGCCAAGGTGTTCTAGCCAGAGGAAATGGTGTGCATCAAGGCACTGAAGTGAGCAAAAGCATGGTGAGTGGGGTGTTATCAAACAGAACTGGGGTCCACCCACCCGGCCCAGCAAGATCAGATAGCCACACTGAGGTTTGCAGCAGGAGAAAGGAAAACATTTATTTGCGGGGCACCAAAGAAGGATCAGGCATCTAAGACTTAAATCCCAATTTCCCAGATGGTTTACAGGTAAGAGTTTTTAAAGGCAGAAAGGCAGAGGTTACAGGCGAAGTCAGAAATCAATACATAGAGACTATACATTGGTTTGACCTAAAAAGGCAAGGCATCTCGAAGTGGGGGTGGATTCAAAGACTTTCTAGTGTGCGATTGGTTAAGGAGATGACGTTTTGTCTCAACATTTGAAATCTACAGAAAAAAATGTAATCTCTGGCTCATGGGCATGACCTCCTCCAGGCCTCTCAGGAAGAAATTTAGAACAAAGAACGGTGGTCAGAGTTCAGTCCTCAGCTCCCTCTTATCTGAGGTCTATGTGCTAGCGCATCCATTTGCTAGGGGTTCAGGTTTCTGGAAAACAACTCAGGGATATATATTAAGATGTTATCTGTAGTTTCTATAGGGGAACCAAACATCCCATGATTCTAACTTACTTGGCTATTGTTTTGAGCCGCTATTTGTTGCTTATCACATTTCTCTCTTACTTCTCAGGGCTAGCCAGATGCCTGGAATTTCTCTTGGAAGAACTCACGATTTTTTTTTTAATTTCCATGTTTGGGAGTAGGGAACAGGCCCCTAAGAGGGGTCTCTGACTCATCTCAGATGTAGTGGGCCTGGGAAATACGTGGATGTGGATGCCATGAAACAAGGCTGAAAAGGGAGCCGGGAACAAATCAAGCTGGGTCTTCTAAGCCGCAGTACGAAGTTGGAACTTGATGCTAAGGTGTGGTGAGAGCCATGAATTTTAATTAGAGGAAGCATATAACCAGCGTGTGTGTTTTAAAGTTCATTCTTTATTCTGTTAATACACTAATAATTCAAATCAATTTTAGGAAAAAAAGGAAACTACAGATAGGCATAACTTAAAAAAAACATCACCTGTAATCTCACCAGAGATAATCACCATTTGACCATAAATAACAAGCAATCTGTCTCACTTATCTATTACTGTTTAACAACCCTCCCCCAAAACCTCGTGGCTTAAAACAATAATTTGTTATTTCTAGTGAGTCTGTGGGTTGATTGGGATCGACTGAGTAGTTCCTCTGTTTTCTGTGGTGTAGCTGAGGATACACCCACATTCAGCTGGGAGCTTAAGGCTGGAACATCCAAGATAATCTCTCATCCTCAAGAGTCTCTCTCCACATGGCCTCTCATCTTTCAGTAATCCAGCTGAGCTTCTTTGCAGCATGGTGGCTAGCTTCCAAAAAGGATAAAAGGAAAGCTGCCAGTCTCTTAAAGCCTAGGCTTGGACATATACTAAATTTCTTCTGCTGCACTTCAGTAAGCAAAGCCATTCATAAGGCCAGCCAAAACTCAAGAGAAACAGACTCCACTTGTGGACGGGAAGAGCAGCATGTAGGCACAGGGATGGAAAGACTGACTGGCCATCATACTGGGAAACTATCTATCACACAATTTGATTTGCTAAACACAAAGTAAGTTATTGACCATTTCTGGTAGTAAATAGTTAGGAAAACTGAATTCCAGTAACAAATGCAAAATACCTTGTCCTTGTCCATATATGAATCTAAGTGGGTTGTCTCAATAAGCTGACAATTTGCATGTGTGATGAGGGAGGAGGGAGGTGGGAGGTAGCAGGAACACCATATTGAAACCTAGTGTTGAAATAAAAGAAATTGTAAAAAAGAAAAAGGCAGACTCTAGACAAAGAAAATGGTTAAAATTGTCACGAGGAGTGTTCTGAAGCCAATGCCTCTCTACAGTTAACCTGAGTATGTATTAATCCTGAGTGTGACAGGTAATTAAAACACATTATTTGTCTAACCACACTTCCTGGGAGGAGGAAACAGTAGCAGAGCCAAACAGATGAAGACCCAGGACCTAGGCACAATACTTCACCATGCGCAACAGCAAAGTGCGTGCACCACATCCTAGAAAATGACAGGATCAAAACCTGAAAGGTCAAATCTCTCGCCAAGTCAACGGGGGTAAGGATGAGGACAAAATGGTAGCTTTCTCCTCACCCTCTGCTCTGAAAAGGGCAGGGGCTTCTCAATTTTATTCATCACAGTCATGGGAAAGCCACCTGGTTGAATGGCACAGGAGGGTATAACCAGGCTCCTGGACTTGTCTGTGAGCCTCCTAATAATGCCCAAAGAGAAAGGATAGCGCTTCTCAATTTTCACCTCTCTTCCTCATCCACACTTCCACTGCCTTAGTTCAGTCAGACTGGTCTCCATGCTGCTACTCTATATTGCCCAGTTCATCTTCTGTATAGCTAACAGAGTTCTTTCTCAATACACATTTTTTAAGGTCTAGGAAATGACAAGAAAAAAAGGCCAGAGACAGGTGCAGTGTTCAGATTAGACAGAGACTTGTATGTCATGAATAGATTTTTCTCCTGATTGTGCGTGACCTACTCAACAATTTTTCAGGAGATAGTTAAAATTTTATTTTAAAAGGATATGTAGATAGGAAGGCAGAGACCAGGAGTAAGCCTGGAAGCTGAGGGATCACAAATATATTACAGTACCTCTGCTGATAAAGAGTACAGGTCTAAACCATGCCAATGGCAGAAAAAGGGGGGACAGAGAGATATAAACAGTGTAAACGAAATCATACAAATGATAGAGGCTGGTGACCTCCATAAACAGGCAAAAGGAGATGAGCATATCACCTAAGTTTCCAACATGAATAGATGGAATTATTCGCTGAGAAAGACATAAAGAACCAGCAGGTTTGGGAGTAATCAGAAACCTCCAAGTGGCATGGCAGGCCATGTGAATAAACAGGTTGCAAGCTCAGCAGAGAGGTCTCGACTAAATACACTGAAAACCACAGGGGGAAGAGATGAAGCCACAAAGATGCTTACCCAGGAAAAATATCCAGTAAGAAAAGCAATACAATCCTGCAGGAGCTAAAGAGAGTCTTGAGATTTGGTAAGCCCCAAACAACTTTTACATCTCAACAAATCAAAATCTGAAAGCAGAATATATTGCCCACTATTTACTAATATTATTTAGTAAGAGAGGAAAGGTCATCCTCAAGTAGGATTCTCCACTAGAAGGGTAGGAAAACATACCCCTATCTCCAGAGAAGAGGTGTTACATGAAAACCATATTCAGTGTACCTGATTTTCTAACTAGAGAAAACAAAGGTCTACAAAAATCAAACTAGACAGATGGGGAACCTATTGGGGTGGGGCAGGGGAAAGGACCACCACTTGCAAAACCACCTGATACTTTTGAGGTCCACAAGAGCCAGAAGCTGGCGGGGCCCTATCACAGCGAACACCCCATACTTATTAACCAAACAACTGATTAAAACTTGCTTTGTCTCCTGAAAGATCGTTCTAATCTGCCAACCTGAGCATTCTGTTCTACTTAATACCTGTTGCCTCTCACTGAAAATTAATAGGCATTCTGGTAATATACCAGTCTCTGAGAGCATACTTAATGAGTCCATCCCACAAAGAGGTCAATTGTCAAATGACAGATTCTCTTTCAGTATCTCCAAGGCACAGATGCCAAACCTAGAGAACTTCTGCTAGCCAGTTAGAAGGCTCACTCTGGAATCACTGTAGCCTCACCTAAAGTCTTCTCATTAAAATACATCAAGAACTTTTAACAGATTAAAAATTAAGATGTGATCCCAAACAAGGAGAATTCATTAATAATTTTATTTTGAATTACAATCTATTATCACTTCAAAAAGAGCCACTTCAGAAAACATCCAACGGATGTTGACTTACCAGTAAAAATGTAAGTCATCAATGTATGATTTATACTACAGAATACATAATAAATTATATTTACATGCAATGACTAGACTATCACACACAAGGTAAAAAAATACAGTATTTTATGTACATTTTAAAAGATTTACATGTTCATATACAATTTATAAAGTTAAAAATTCTCTGTACAAAATCTTACATGTACAGAGTTTATATAAGCCCCATTCTTATGGCTGTATCACCACACAGATTTGCTTAAAACTATAATACTACAAACACTCGGGTTCTTCATATTCAATCTTGGCACCCATATAGCAATACACTATTCTGAAATGTAAATTACAAAGGAAATAAAATGTAATCATGCAGACATTTTTTAATATAAGAAAATGCGATAAAATATACTACACCAGATCAACATTTATCAATTCCATAGATACTGAGTTTTCAACTTACTGCACTGTTTTCATATAAGTACATGCAAAACTAGCAGATTATGGATTTTTAAAGTAACATTAAAATAATACCATAGTTTGACAATACTTGGGCAATAGGAATGAAAACTAAGAGCCCTAGCCTAATTATTTCTGCCTTAACAGAAATCTCAATTAAGACATTACATATATAAAAATCACAGAAATGTCAATATTATAATTCCCAAATTTATAAGATCTGCATCACATCAAATAGACACTGATCATTTAAAAAACAAAACAACAAAAATGTGTTTGACATTTAAGAGCATACTCACTCTTCTGAGAAGGGGGGAGGGTGAAATCTATGATAAACCATTAAGGATTATCCACTGTCCCTGCTAAGGAAGCACTTGCATACTTCCAATCTGCTTAAAGACATCTGAAGGTTTTATAAAATGTTTAAGATAAGCTACACTAGTTATTTTTAAAAATCTTGAAAAGTAACAAATTGAAGGTATCAGCACCTTCCCTCCTCCCCAAAGTAGCTAAAGATCTACGAGAAAAATAAAGTGCCAATGTCTAAAGTACTGTTAATGGTTTAAGAGGCACTACCCCATTTGATGGCTTAGGATAAATATGAAAATAGGCCAGATCTGATCTGAATAACAAATAGAAGGTAGGTATTCCAGTATATTAATTCCTGACTAGATGGGGGCTAAACCAGGAAACTACCTATTCCCCCATTTATTGCTTTGAAACCTGTAAATATAAATTCTGACAGAACAATCAGATTTCTAAGATGGAAAGCACAGTGTTTGTGCCACTTTGAAGTTGAAAAAGAAGGTGCACTCTTGATCACTGGGAGGAGAGCTGCTGAGACTCTCCTCTCCACAACTCATATCTTCACAAGAGTCCTCACTAAAGAGAAAAAGAGACAAAAAAAGAGGATACCATTACTTAAAACACACTTAAATGTTTTATAGCCAAAATAAAGCTGCTATATCTCTAGTGAGGATTTTTATATTCAAAATTTATGCTTTACAGAGACAAAATTTATAAGGACTTCCTAAATGAAGTCTATAGTAATCTCATTGGAAAATATAGATTTTTTGGACTGGGTGCAGTGGCTCATCCCTGTCATCCTAGCACTTTGGGAGGCCGAAGTGTGCAGATCGCTTAATCCCAGGAGTTCAAGACTAGCCTGGGCAACATGGCAAAATCCCATCTCTACAAAAAATATTAATACAAAAATTAGCTGGGCATGGTGGCACATGCAAAAAAAAAAAGAAAGAAAGAAAGAAAATATAGGTTTTCTTAAGTTTAAACAAGTTACTATTTGCCAAACTATTATTCTTGTACCAATTAATAACTATCAGCAAGTATTAGAATTGTAGAATTCTAAGTATTTTAAATCCAGTAATGAAGACTAAAAACAACATACCTCCTAGCATATGGTCTATTTAGATGTATTTCTTGCATCAGTGATTTATTATACCACTTACACTGTCAAATATCAAAGTAAACTAACAAGCTATGAAAATGAAACTTCTGGCCCTTTATCTCTACGGCATAAAACAAACAAATTTAGCAAAGTTATTCACTTTACAAACAAAGTAATCAAATTCTGAATAAGACAACACCAATTGACAAACCTCTGAGAACATATATAGAAGTCTTCCCCATCAGTGGTGGTGATTCCCTTTATTTTCCAGGCACCTACCCCTCAATCTCTTCACCACAGCACAATATTAGGAATTCATACTAACATTACAAAGCCCAGAATTCTTTTTCAGTTTTGTTTTTTTGGGGTTTTTTAGCTGTATTTCAAGAGCAAGGGAAATAGGAGAAAGATGGAAAACAACCACTTTAAAAAGGGAAAAGAGGCCGAGTGCAGTGGCTCACACCTGTAATCTCAGCACTTCGGAGGCTGAGGCAGGAGGATCACTTGAGCCTGGGAGTATGTAAGACCAGCCCTGGGCAACATCGCGAGACCCTATCTCTACTCAAAAAAATATAAAAAAGAAAAAAACTAAAAAAATTGGAGAGGACCTTATAAATCATTACATATTAAAATACTACTTCTGGTTAATTTGCTTACCTGAAGAGTGGGGGCTTTAATTCTTAGCTCTTAGTGTAGGTGCTTGCTTTCTCTGATGTCTTACACTATTCCAGTTCTGAGTATAATAAACTCAGTAATATTTAGTCTAGGGAAGTTTAATTAGTCAAGGAACCTGCCTACCTTTCACTTTCATCAAAACAACCCCCCTCAGGTATCGTTGGCAGCTCAGGAACACTATAGTAGCTGTTGTGGAGGTTCTGGGCTGTGCGCCTTGAAACGATCCAAACCAACTTCTTAAGATCTGGTTTGCAACATTCAGGAGAAGAATACTCGGCTAGGCATTTAGAAACCAACTCTCTCCAGTAGAAGAACTCAGTGTCATTAATCTGAAAAAAAAATATTTTAAGAGGTTACGGCAATGTCTCCCAAATCTTGCTGCACCTTGGAATCACTAGGTGAGCTATGAAAAATATATATATATAGATGCCTGGCTCCCACTACCCGCTTCCACCCCTGGTATTCTGATTTAATTGACAATGAGTGCAACATGGGCATCAAGAGTTTTCTAAGTTCCCTAGGTGATTGTAATGTGCAGCCAAACTTTCAAAATTTGGGAACCACTGGTTTAGGAGAAGAGCACCGTAAGTATAAAACTACATAGGATTCAATACACAGAAAGCTTTGCCTATTCTAAGAAAACACTGACCTAAAAACACTCTGGGTCTGTTAATAAATCAGCTATCAAGTATAGTCCTTAGTCTCAATGCAAAGGAATTTAACATTCCTTTTGTTACAGAAACCAATTTGGGTTCCTGCAACAAGGCATTGTTTGGATTGCTGGTAATACACACTTATAACACCAGATACAAAACTAAAGAAGTTAGTGATATGAGAGAACAGGAATTTCCCAAAAAGGACATAGTTCCGCCACCACTGGGCAGTGCTCCAGTTTATTTCTTTTTTGTTTTTCTTTTTACGTATTTTTTTCCCTCCTCCTTCGGAATGCCTTCAGTTTATTTCAACGAATCAATTTTCACTGAAGATGGTTCCAGCTATCACTATCAATAAAAAGTTCAGATAAAAACTAATAAAATCATAACTAAAGCAAAAAGTTATCTGTTACAAACAAAATGCTTCACATGCACATATTTTCACCAGAAAACAGAAGATCTATTTTCTTGGCTTCCCATTTTCACCTAATGTAGCTACATCCTAACCCACTTGTAATCTGGTTTCTACCACTTCCTTCTCACTGCTCTACTGACATTACCTCTGACACACCCAATGACCTTCAATTTTCATTATATTGGATCTCTTATAAAAATTCAATACTCCTGACCACCTCCTTAAAAACCTCCTTCCAGTCTGACAGTGCTTCTACTTGTGGGGATGTACCTTTCTTCACTTGGCTCCTAATGTTGGGGGGAAAGGCCAACGCTGAAAACCCCAGAGCTTCAACTGACCCCTACAAAAAGGATTCCACAGCTTCTTACCGTTTCAACTACTGCTTCTTCATGAGAAATTCCAAACCTCAATCTCTAACTATAGTTTATCTTCTTATTCCAAAACGCCAAACACCTACTAGACACCCACCTGTGTACACAAGCATCTAAAATCATATTGCTCTCATCACAAATTAACTTCTCCCAAATTTCCTGCCAATTATGCTAATATTATATCCACCATTAGGTACAAATCTTGGTCATTCAAGACTCCTTGCCTCATTTCCATGCTTGGCTTCCAAAACCACTGTTTGAGTTGGACAGCCTTACTCCTGCTTGTGACTACCACCTAGACATTGTACCTGTAAGTCTACCCTAAAATGACTTTTATATCTGTCTAGTCCACCAATTTCTTGGCCGTTAAGCCTTCGCTGAAACTTTCACTGTCAAAGATTCTTTTGCTCCAAACAGGCTCCCAGTCATAGTGTTTCTCCTAGTCTGCCCTATTTCTTTGCTTAAAAAAAACCCAAAGTAAGCCGGGCACAGTGGCTCACGCCTGTAATCCCAGCACTTTGGGAGGCCAAGGCAGGTGGGATCACTTGAAGTCAGGAGTTCAAGACCGGCCTGGCCAACATGGCGAAACCCCATCTCTACCAAAAATATAAAAATTAGCCTGGCATGGTGGTGAGCACCTGTAGCCCCAGCTACTCGGGAGGTTGACGCAGGAGAATCACTTGAACCCGAGAGGCTGAGGTTGCGGTGAGCCAAGATCATGCCACTGCACTCTAGCTTGGGCAACAGAGCAAGACTGTCTCAAAAAAAAAAAAAAAAAAAAAAAAAATCCCAAAGTACTCTCTATATTCACTATTACCTGGCACCAAGACACAATAACAAATGACAGAACACACCACTTCATGTTAAGTTCCTCATTTCCCCAACTAGACTGAGAGTTTAAGAAAAAGTATTGTGCTTTTGTTTTATATCTCTTTGTGATGGTAAGACTTACTTTTACTTAGCTGGCCTAAAGGATTTGAAAAGACATTCGGGTTTAAAACATCAACATTGCTGGTGTTAATTGATGCTGCTGCTAATGGGATGACAGTTCAGTCCTACAGGTGTGATGGGATCCCATCCTATCCCATTAGTGTTTGTTCTGAGTCTACTACCTAGTATGCATTTCAGAACAATGCATATGTGGCAATGTAACAGCTGTACTATCATATGGCATGATTACTACAGAAGGGGCACCTATATGCAGAAAGAAGCTGAGCTAAGTGACCAGGTTCCCTTCCGGATTAATACTGTCTGGGTCAAAGCTGCATTTTGAGAACTTTAACACTAGAGATATAAGAAAAAAAACAAGTGTAAAAGTTAAGAGTCCCATAAAGTATTACTTAATGTTTAAGTCACCACAGAAAAAAATAAACATCAGGAAAAAAATTTGCCTTAAAGAATAATGACTGTAATTACCTTGGAATGTTTTTTAACTAGCAAGAGAATTTCCAGTAATTCAACAGATTTCAAAGTTTCCACTTCCAAATTGAGAAGGCACAAGGCTAATACAGATGGCTGTAAGAAAAAAGAAAAAAAAGAAAAATATTTTTTAAAAATTCAAAATACAAACTGTGAGATATATACATAAGCAAGGAATCGACTTACTTTTGCTTTTGAAAAGATGAGTCGGCAGTTGCAAGCTTTCAGCTGAGCTTCTAGTTTATCAAGGCTCAGTATTTCTTTCCTATACAATGCAAAGAACAAAGATTTATTAAACTTCCAAAGATTTAAATGATTTTAAATGATTTTAAATATTTGCCAGGGCCAGACGCGGTGTCTCACGCCTGTAATCCCACCACTTTGGAAGGCAGAAGCAGGTGGATCACCTAAGGTCAGGAGTTCGAGACCAGCCTGACCAACATGGAAAAACCCTGTCTCTACTAAAAATATAAAATTAGCCAGGTGTGGTGGCGCACGCCTGTAATCCCAGCTACTTGGGAGGCTGACGCAGGAGAATCGCTTGAACCCGGGAAGTGGAGGTTGCAGTGAGCCGAGATCACGCCATTGCACTCCAGCCTGGGCAACAAGAGCGAAATTCCTTCTCCAAAAAAAAAAAAAAAAAAAGATTTACCAATAAAGTCAAAGTTGAAAGTTTGAAGAAGGTAAAAATATAAATTTCATTGCCATTCCAATTATTTACTGTTAGCTATAGCAATGTTCAAAGTACAAAATGTATCTTTAATCCCACTGACCTTTCTGAAGTATGACAAAGTATAATAGTATGGTATAAGTGCAAAAAGTTTAAGGCAGTAGTAGCTTCCAATTCATAGTGCAATTTTTCTGAAATTATTTTTTCCATCCGTTTTATGTCAGAAGCAGTACATTTACACTGACTAATCCGGATCACATCATGAGTGGATGGAATATTGCAGTCTTCTTCAACTATTCTAGCAGCCAGCAAAAAAGAACAGACTCCAATGCAAGACAAATGTTTAGGTTTCACCTGAGAAAAAAACAAGAGGCTTCTTTTAACAACTGTCACTTTGACTTAGCAGATACTTAGAATATTGTAATGATGCTCCTATTCTTAAGACAGAACACAATCAAGTTGTTTCTCTTATATGTACTGGCTCTTTACCCACAATTATACACATTTTCACATTTTAGACGTTCTCGACCTCCCCCCCCCCCCAAAAAAAAAGGCAGCAGGGAACAGTGGCTCATGCCTGTAATCCCAGGACTTTGGGAGGCTGAGGTGGGAGGACTGCTTGAGGCCAGGAGTTTGAGAACACTCTGGCCAACATAGCAAGACTATTCTGGCCAACACAGCAAGCCTCCATCTCTATTTAAAAAAAAAAAAAAAAGTTTTTTGAACCTTTAAATTATGTAAATTCAAATGCAGGTACAAAAATTTCCATGCAGGTTCAAAAGCTAGATTCCTAGCACTAAAGTATAATTTGTATTTCAGACTTATGAAATTCATAATATAATCTCTCCCAAAATAAATTAAGCTTTTTAACACCAAAAAAAAATGTACTGGGATATTAAAATATTTTATACTTATCTTTTTACATAAAAATCTTTAAGAGTCATTCCATATTTCAATGTAATTTTGCCCAAGAGAAATATCACGAGTTGTGCAGAGTGGGACATATGTAAAAGCTGCCATGGACAGATGGCGGCCCTTTTCTTTTCAGTGCCCTGAGAACTGACCCAGCAGCTGACAGCAATCCTACTGGCAGAAGATTCCCCACATTTTTCTAGCCATTGCTGGTGACTGTTAATAAAACCATGGCTCCCTGCTTTGAAGAGACTTCTAGGGAAGGCAGCCGGTCATATTTAATAAACTGTTATACTTCATTTGTCATGCTTCAGTATTTTAAAAATCTGGCTTCAAGAGAAGCATGATGGCAGATGAAATCTTATATTGAGGACTATAAATATATGGCAAATACCTAAAAAATAGTAGTCTCTCTTTTGTCACATATTCAAGAGAAAGTACTTAAGAGGTAAAACCTAAGACACAACAGAAAAACCTAAGATACAACAATACAATTAATCTTGTAGTCTTATTCTGGCACTAACGATCACAATTCTGATTATAAATTTTTATGTACAGTGGACGTTATTATACCCATTCGATAAATATTTCTTGAACCCTGTGTGCTAGGCACTGGGCATAGAAAAAGGAAGACATATTTATAAAAATGATGAAATACCTTCATAAGAGCCAAGAACCTGTCCAAAATATTGACAGCCAGGACAAAAGTTTCAGTGCAAGATCCAAAAAAGTTGGCTAAACTCCTTAAATCTTCAACTTTGGCATTTCTCAATCCTGGACACAAAGTGTTATCATTCTGCAATAAAAACCAAGAACCAAGGTTTACAATTTTCTTAGAACCAGATGAAAAACACATACAGGTCCAAAGAATAAGGTTAATTTTTTCCCAAGAATAAGGTTAATTTTTTTCCCTCAATCTTCAAGAATATAGGTGGAAAGAGTGGTATCGCTTAACTAAAGCTATACACTTTATCATCTGTAAGACGTAAATCACTGCTTCTTAAAAATACGCATCATAAAAGAGCTTCAGCAATTCAATATAAGGTGAACTGTTGCAAGATTTCAGAGAGTTATAGCAAATATAATTCAATTCCCTTGGAATGGAGAGAAAGGGTTCTTTTGTTTGCTTTTCTAAAGTCATTTAAGATTCTACTATAAATATGTATTTCACAGGCAGAGGGTGTTTGCACAAATGAACTACTCAATTCACCCGGGGTCTCCCATCCTGAAGCTGCAGGCTGGAGTATGGGGGGCAGCGAGGAGGGTGCCACATTAAAAACAACAACAAAAAACCCCACTTCTCTAAAGTATCACTCTCATTCTTGCTAAGAAACAAAAGCATTAACCTGTAATAAGGTTTATCTTGGTACTCCAGAAAGAACAACTTTTAAGAAATTTTGCAGGCTTTAGTCATGATTCAACGGGGGCGGGGGGGTTACCTCCTCCAAGCCCCATCAGCTGCTTGAGCAAGTTATCTTTTCTGCCAACTTACCTCCGGGGTAGCCTCAATCAAACTCAGCCCTTTTTCTCGAGGTTGGAATCTCTCTTCTTGTTCCAGGTAGACGTTCAACAACCCGAGAAGTTGGACCCCTTCATGACCTGCCAAGTGCTCTGCCCCCAAATCCTTCATCTGCAGTAAAGACACCACACAGAGAATGTAATCTGGGGGTAAGAGGGGTGGGGAAGCGGGAGAAAGGGCTGAGGCCAGTACCTCCAGCAAGGGTCGCCCCAGCACACCCCGACAAGGAGCGGGTGAAGGGACCAGTCACGTCCGCCAGAGCCCCAGGGCAATCCCCACCACGGCCAGGGAGGTGTGGCAGGGGGAGGAGCCGTGGTCAGGTCCGCCGGCCAGCGCTGGGTAAGACCGGCCAGCCCTGGCCTCTTGGCGTTTCACAAACAGGAAACTGTCCGCGGGCGCCGGCGTCCCCTCGGTCTGCCCCACCTGAAGTCGCGCCAGGGAGGGCCTTCTGCCCAGGGGACTGCAGTGTGGCGAGCGACTGCAGCGGGTCCCGGGGATGGGGTGTTGCACAATAGGGGGGAGGGGAGGGAGAGTCTCGCGACTGAACAAAGAAGCGGAGGGAGGAGACTCCCGAGCCCCGCCCGCCCGGGGCGCCCAGCTGCAGAAGCCCCTCTCGGAGAGTCCCGCCCCCAGCTTTTCCCGTCCGCTGCTGCAGCGCCGATTCCGGACTTACCCGAGAGGCGGATACCCCCGTCCCAGGAGCCCTGGGGTGGCGCGGCACACCCGGCTACGGTCCGGGGAGAGAAGTCCAGTCCAGCCCGCCCGCCCCGCGCCCGTAGGGACAACACCCGTCCACCCACTGATGCCGGGGCCCCACAACTCTGCAGAGCCCCGGGGCTGTCAATTCGAGAAGCACCACGCCAGCAAGTCCCCGTGACAACACGAGCGGGGGCGGGGGGCACCGAGGCGGAGACTGCCCTTAACCTAGTCGCAACCTCCTTCCACCCCACGAGCATCTATCTGTCCATCGCGGGCGCCAGCTCCCCCCGGGGCTGGGGCTGAGGGCAGCACCCTGGTCGCTCCAGCGGATGAGGAGCAGGCAGCACCGAGGCACTCGCATGGTACCAACCTCCTCAAAGCCCACAGTCCCCACCACGAACAAAGAAACCCACGGCGGCCCTGGGCGGGTCCACTCACCGTGCCGGAGACGCGCCTCCACCCGCCCGCGGCCTCGCGGTCCGCACGGACTGGGCGCAGCGGGGGCTTCCAAACCTGTCTCGCAGGTCGGGGACCCACCGCCTCAGCGGTGCCCCCGGTCCGGCATCCGACCCTTCCTCCCAGGCACCGCCGCCTCGGCCTCACAGCCCCGGCTCCATCCCGCTCCCCGCGCGCCCACCCTCCGCCGCGGCGCAACGCCGGCCGCGGAAGACCAGCCCACCGCCGCACCCCCGCCGCCTCAGCGGAAACCTCCCCGAGCCCCTTGTTTTTGTTAAGAGTTTCGACGCCCCCAAGGGGGCGGGGCACGTGACTCCCCGCGGAGGGATCCTGCACTTCCTCCACGGACTTTAAAAAAGAGTCCCGCCCCTAAGCTGCCGTCTCGAGCCTCTCTCGCGGCCTCCCTAGCTCTCCTTGGCTTTGCCGAGCCAGTCCTCCCGCCTGGCGCTAGGGCGGAGAGCGGAATCTGGGCGTCGGGCTTATTCCGCGATTGATCTGCGTTGGGGAACGGGGGAAGACAGAGGGGCGGAAGGAGATCGTTTCTGGTCTCATTACGCCTTTTAAAGGTCCCCGATTTGTTTTGTTTTCGCTGTTTTGAAAAGTCCGCCCAAAGTAGCCGGCTCTCTGATTGGATGCGGGTGGGGCGATGGGCATGCTGAGGACCTGATTCACCCTCGAATCTGGATTGGCTAACTTATCAGTCTTGGAGCCCTCTGATTGGCTTTCTCCGTAGCCTGAGCCTCTCTCTGCCTTGGGGCCTTAGCAACTCCAGGGTCTGGATTGCGCATGCCTGGGTGTGCAGCGGAGAAGGTATTCAGTTACCTGCCCTGCGGGGCTGTGCCTTCTCGCCTGGCTGCCTCCGCCTTTCTTGGGGGAATGTCACGCTCGCGGCGCTTCTCCTAACAGCTAACCTTTGTGACAGCCTTTTCAGCCACGGGAGAGTTTTCTACATTCCTTCTTTATTTTGTCTTGGCGTTCCATTTTGCAATAACCCACCAAATTATTATAACATTGTCGGGGCGTTTACTAAAATATTCAATAAATGCTACAAGTTTGGGTATTTGCTTTAAAATTTTACAGTCCAAGAGAAAAAAAAATGGAGAAGAGAGGTGAAATAAGATAGGCAAAAAGTTGAGGGTCGAAGCTGGGTGATGGGTACTCGAGGCTGCATTACAGTATTCTTTCTAGTTCTGTGTCTTGGAATTTTTCCATAATTTAAAAAAATTCAGGAGGGACTGAAGGAGGGGCTTTTCAATAAAAACTTAGCACGCTGATGAGGGTACGTAAACATCTAATAATTACGGCGTACCTCCAGAGGTTGTAGTGCTGTTGTTTTAATGAAGACTCCCAGAGCTTCTTGGTCCTTGGTAACCCATAAATTATCATTTATTGTTCATTATAATTAGCGTTGTTATTATAGGCGACACGTCTCCCAGGACGGGACAAAAAGCAAACAAACCAGGTGCCTTAGGCCAGAGACACTTTCACACGGAATATCAATGGGGCATGTGGTTGACTGCCCTGGAACATTTATTTGTTTACTCTCTCCCTCCTAAATTAGAAAATACCATATTCGTGAGTTCTAATCTACATAATCAGATAGTCCCTGGGAAGAGATTTCTCCTTTCTGTTCTTCTATGTGTTTTCTGTGAATTATTTTGTTACTTGTGAAATATGGGAAGGCACACAACATAGCTTTGGCAGCGCTCTTCTTTGCGGAGCAGCTAAGGAATTTTAAAACTAGGTCCCTTTGCATATTAGCTCGGACTAAACACAGGCATCTGTTTGGAGCACAGAGCAACTGGGGGAAGGCAGCCCAAAAAGCTAACACTTATTTCAGAGAGGTGTGAGCTTGGTGAGGGTTTTGGAAAATAAGATAAAATTAGCACACCAGTTTTAAATGATTTACAGGCTACATAATTTTATCCAATGCTTGTTTTATCTTTTAAACATTAAGTGATAACTTTTATTTGACATAATCATCTTGCTGGAAATCTATGCTGATAAACATAATAGGAGCATGAAACTAACTTAGAGACTAGAGCTAAGATTAAAATTACAGAGATGACAGCTCATTGTACAGAGCATCAATAGGCTGAGTGGACAGGGCCCACAGACAGAAAGCAGCTCGACCAACTATCCACCATCAGAGAAATGAAGAGTTTGTGATCAAAGCATGAAGGAGACTGGGGATGTTTTTTTCAAGTAAGAAGGCAAAGGTAAAAAAGGAACATACGTTATTTTATAAGTGATGTGAAAGAGGAAATGCAAATTTATGTGGTAGAAGACTTTAAAAATAACAGACTATATAAAACAAAAAGGAAAAGATTTAGAAATTGTCCTTTGCTTAGGCTACATAATTTTATCCAATGCTTATCTGATCTTTTAAACATAAATAAGTGATAACTTTTATTTGACATAATCATCTTGCTGCTTAGCACTAAATGATATGAAGCTATACTAAATGTGTACTCTATATTTCATAACTGGTATTTTATGTGTCCTTTTACAGACAGCCTCTTGAATGATGTGAACAGTGATGGCTTTCTCTGAGAGTAAGACAAGAAAGCTTTGTAAATGGCGTTGAATTTCCTGCTCTTGGCAGGCCCTGCTCAGCACAGAAGAAAAGACTGATCAAGTTGTCCAAGATGGAGCCCTTTATCCACGTTAGTCCACTTATCTCTTTAAGATTAAAGGAAAGCAATCATTAAAAATACAGATCCAGTAATTATTAATACAGCATCCTCTTTTTTAAACACCTCATTTTAAGAATGATGATATTCTTAGGAAATGGGCTGGGGGATTATGTAGGTTTTCTCTGTTTACTTTGCAGAATTTTTTGTTTGTTAATATATCTTTTAAAAAAAAATTCTCCTCATTCTATTTGTCCTTATCACATTGGCTTACCTTGCCGGAGCTGAAAGTGTTATTTATGAAAAAGACATTATTCCCCTTAGGCTAATCAGGCTTTACCCATTAGCCTTTCCTGAGCTTTCTGGAAGGCAAATTTCCTGTATCATGCACACATACAAAATAAGGAAATCAGAAACTTGGCAGCCCCCAAGAACTTCCAGACAATTTAAGATACTTGGTTTTCTACAGCATGTGGTAGGGGTGCAGTGGGGTTGGGTGATACTGTCACCAATAACCCCATGAAAGCCTGATGTGCAGCCCATTGTCCTCAGTGACATGTGAGACTGAAACTAAAAGGTGCTCACAGAATGGGTAATAAGCAGGGAGTGCCCACACAGAAACACTGACTACATTCAGTGAATCCCTGACTCCTGACAAGTGTGCTGCAAACCTGCTCACACTTAAGCTTCTACCTTGAAAATAGGGCACTCTCATGGGACAGTTGCAGTGCTTCCCTAAATGACTTAGACTTCCCTGAACTTCATAAGGCATCAAAATTGCTACAATTTTCCAAATATCATCTTTCTCCTCAAAGATATGGTTTTTGACAATAAATCCTAGCTTTTTATTCAATCGAAATTTAGTGAATACACACTGAGTGCCAGGCATGCTACTAGGCACCAGGAATACAAAAATACATAAATAAAACAAGGCCCCAGCATATACCCTGGTATGTCTGAGGTGTAGGGCAAAAGCACTGGCCATGGATCAAACTGGCTTTGTGTCTCAGCTTTCCTACTCATTAGAAATGGTGCCTTGAATACCCTGAATAATTCCCATGGTCTTGAGCCTCAGCTTTCTAAACTGAGGAAAACAAAAAGCCAGAGGTAGTTGTGTCTGCTTCATATGTGATGACTGAATACAAACATTTGTGAAAGCAACTAGCTATATATTTCTAGGCTGCACCATGTTGTGACTTCATGAAGGGAAAGGAAGGGATCATCCCTAACCTCATCAAAGAAGTCTGGTGGAAAGCAGCCCTGAAAGGAAAGAACCTGAGGATAAGGATACGTAAAGCTGACATGAGGCCATACTCCCCCTCCCCGTCTACTCACTATTGCTGGGTCCCTGCCTGGGCTGTTTTCTGTCATTAGGCTGAGCACAGTGGTTCATACCTGGAATCCCGGCACTTTGGGAGGCTGAGGTGGGAGGATCACTTGAGCCCAGGAGTTCAAGACCAGCCTGGGCAACATAGCGAGACTTCATCTCTACAAAAAATTTTAAAAATTATCTGGGCGTGGTGGCATGCACCCGTAGTCCCAGCTACATGTGAGCCTGAGACAAGAAGATTGCTTGAGCCTGGGAGGTCTATGCTACAGTGAGCCATGATCATGTCACTGCACTCTGGCCTGGGCAACAGAGCAAAACCCTGTCTCAAAAAAAAAAAAAAAAGTGGTTTGCAGCCCCAAACTTCCTGCTTAGATAAGTCTTGCTTCACAGAACCTGCAATGGAGACAGGAATGCCTCTCTGAGGAAGAGAAACAGGGAAGGTATAGCATAGTAGCATAGGGTGCTATCTTGAAGTAATGCAGATTTTTCAACCAAGAGCTCATTTTTAAATCAGAACCTGGAAGAATGAGATGATTTATATAGCAGATGATTAATCTCTGTCTTCAAGCAATCAGCAGAATAAGTCAGTGAAACATCTCATATATTCTCCTTTCTGATTTTCCCACAAACAAGACCATCTCAAATTTGAAATCAACATTTTACAATCCATTTACTATATATTTTGTTGCTTTTGTTGTTAATGCTAGAAGCATGCCCTGTTTTTTTGGAAGAGTGTTTATGCAAGGGTTGGCCATATTCATAAACATTCATAGTGTTTATCTACGTAGGGTTGGCTTTGGAATTGTGGAAATTATCCACACTGTAGACACCATCTGAATGACTACAGCAAGAGGACCAGTTTTTCCAGCCAGCCACTTTAGTCCCTCCCAGTTCTACTAGCCTGCAAGAGAGTAGCCTTGTAGGAACTATCTCTGCAACCTGAGAACTTGAGAACTAAATGCTCGGTTGACTCTGAAGCCCGACTCAGTACTTTGTTATCCAGTGCTCTCTCTTTTACACGAATAATCAACTGAAATAAATGAAGTAGCTTTGACATAATGTGAAAAGCCTGGCAAAGGAGAGTGAACTGAGAATTCGGCAATGCCTGAAATCAGAACTAATCATCTCAAAATCATCTTAAAATATATTTTAAGTGGCTCAGGCTACATTCTGGTACATTGTACATGATTCTTTATGTAACACATTTTTCTTTCATGGTTTGTTTCAAGAACCATGACCTAACTCAGAGATTTCCTGTCTTTCCTTGACATCACAGTGCTATATGAAGTTGACACTGTCAGCAAAGAGTAACTTAGGATACATCTGTTGAATGTATCATCTTATTTCCAAAAGAAGTTTTACTGTCTGTGAGAGTCATGATCTCTTTTTTTATCTCAAATGAAAAGGCAATTGATGTTTAAAGTGATATGGATAAGTGGTATAAGCTTAAAATTTGCTTCTGTTAACATTTTAAAGTGTTTTCAAAATGAAATTTTTTTTTTAACTTTAAAAAGAAAGACTGCTGTTGAAACCCTGTCTCTACTAAAAATACAAAAATTAGCTGGGTGTGGTGGCACACACCTGTAGTCCCAGCTACTTGGGAGGCTGAGACAGGAGAATCACTTGAACCTGGGAAGTGGAGGTTGCAGTGAGCCAAGATCACGCCACTGCACTCCAGCCTGGTGACAGAGCGAGACTCCGTCTCAGAAAAAAAGAAAGACTGCTTTATATCAAAGATCCTCAGGTCTGTTTAATTACGTATATTTTTATGTTTTCAACCACATTCTGAATAAGAAATTGTGGCTACATGCAGAAGTAGAACCAGATTTAAGGTAGTACATTTGAAGCTTTACTATTTGGAGGGGCTCTCTCTAGGAAAAAAAGAATTTACAAATACAAAATTAGATATGAAAGTGAATACTTATTTAAAACGAGACAATTCAAGACAAAGTGTAAATTTTAAACAGTTGTTACATACTGACTGCTTCGGCTATCTACTGCTGTACAATGAATCACCCAAAACTTAGTGACTCAAAACAACAATAATTTTATTATCATCACCCACAGGTCTGGGGCGTTGCTTGAACTCAGCTGGGCAGCCCTTGCTCAGGGTTTCTTATGAAGTTGTAATCAGATGGTAACTGCGGCTGGCATCATCTTGCTGCCACTCACGTGTCTGGAGTTGTTGCTGACTGTGGGCTGGGACCTCTGCTGAGGCTGGTGGCTGGAACATTTATATGTGACCACTCCACGTGGTCTTTCCATTTCCTCATGGCATGGTGGCAGGGCCTGAAGAAAATCAGGTGAACACTGTGTCTCCTTTTACAAACCAGCCTTGGCAGTCAGATAGCATCTATATTAATTTCACACTGATGGTCTAGGAAATTACCACAAATTTAGGGATTTAAAACAACAAATGTTTATCATATTACAGTTCTGGAGGTCAGAAGTTCAAAATGGGTCTCACTGGGCTAAAATCAAGGTGTCAGCAGGGCTGCAGTCCTTCTGAAGGCTCTAGAGAGTATTCATTTTCTTGCCTTTTCCACCATCTAGAGGCCACCTGCGTTCCTTGGCTTGTGGCTCTTCCTCCATCTTTAAAGCCGGCATCATGGCATCTCCAGATCTCTCTTGACTCTGACTCTTCTGCCTCCCACTTCCAGCTATAAGGACCTTAGTGATTACATTGGGCCCACCTGAATAGTCCAGTATAGTCTCACCATCTCAACGTCAGCTGGTGCTTGCTTCAGCATCACATATATTAAAATTGTTTTTTTGTTGTTTTTTTTGTGTGTGGGGGGGGTTGTTTGTTGTTTGTTTGTTTGTTTTGAGATGGAGTCTTACTCTGTCACCCAGGCTGGAGTGCAGTGGCACGATCTCGGCTCACTGCAACCTCTGCCTCCTGGGTTCAAGGGATTCTCCTGCCTCAGCCTCCCAAGTAGCTGGGATTATAGGTGTGCACCACCACGCCCAGCTAATTTTTGTATTTTTGGCAGAGACAGGGTTTTGCCCTCTTGGCCAGGCTGGTCTTGAACTCCTGACTTCAGGTGATCTGCCCGCTTCAGCCTCCCAAAGTACTGAGATTACAGGCGTGAGCCACCACGCCTGGCCACATATATTAAAATTGGAATGTTACAGAGAAGATTAGCATGGCCCCCATGCAAGGATGACAGGCAAATTTATGAAGTGTTCCGTATTTTTAAGAAAAAGAAAAGTTTGGGCATGGTGGCTCATGTCTGTAATCCCTGCACTTTGGGAGGCCGAGATGGGAGGATTGCCTGAGCCCAGGGCTTCTAGACCAGCCTGGGCAACATGGCAAGACGTTTTCTCTACAAAAATTTTAAAAATTAGCCAAGCATGGTGGCATGCACTTGTAGTCTCAGCTTGGGAGGCTGAGGTGGGAGTATCACTTGAGTCCAGGTCAAGGTTGCAGTGAGCCATGTTCACACCACTGCACTCTAGGCTGGGTGACAGAGAAAGACCCTGTCTCAAAAAAAAAGAAAAGAAAAGAAAAGAAAAGAAAAAAAAGGTCAGCAGATTTGCAACCTTAATTCCATCTTGCTATATTACATAACATATTCACAGCTGGTGAGGAATAGGATGTGGACATTTTTGAGGGACCTTTATTCTGTCAACTACAACATCCTTTCAGCCACAGTCACATCTACTCAGGTTCAAAGACAGG
The DNA here is from genome assembly GCF_000001405.40 of Homo sapiens. Classification (NCBI taxonomy): domain Eukaryota; kingdom Metazoa; phylum Chordata; class Mammalia; order Primates; family Hominidae; genus Homo; species Homo sapiens. Next base: position 77,149,843 of record NC_000004.12, on the reverse strand, counting down.
GAACGTAGATTCCACTTCTCAATGAGGGATGTGTCAATCACCTTATAACAAGAGCATGTGGGATAGGAGATACTGTGATGACTGTCTCTGGAAAATAGTCTTTTACATTCACAAACATAAAAAATCTGGAAAATCCCATAATATTTTTTATTAATAAACTGCCTGACATATGGCTGTACAACTTTTTACCAATATTTTTGGCTGTATACTCTCTGATCACCTCTTCATATGATAATAATATATTAATATAATTTTCTGAAGAGAACTTTTTTTAAATTTAGTTTTTCCTTTAATATGGCTAATCAAATTTTGTTTTTAAAAAATTGTTGCTGTTTTAAAATGTTTATTTCAGTTTTATAATTCATTATTAATACCATAGTATATGTTATGGTTGATATTAGATTTGGGAAAATCTTTACCAAGTTTTTTTCTGCGTACAAGCTATAAAAAATCCAGGATACCAGTGAAAACGGATAGACTAATTATTTAGCTTCTCATCTGTTTCTTCATTGCAGAAGCATATTTTGAGGTTTATGTCATCTTTGTCAATGTCAGTATTTTGTATCAAATCAGCAAGAAATTTCTATATTTTGTAGGATTTTATGATTCCTTCCTCTTAATAGAGTATCAAACAATCCAAGACTTATCCATTACTTCTAAAAATTTCTCTTTTCCCTGTAAGGAAGCACTGGTTTTAGAATGATCTGGAAAAAGTGTTATACATAGTTTGCTTCTTCGTATCTGAACAAGAAGCAATGTCATCATGCATTTTTATCACTTTTATTTCATATCCCATTAACTTTTTATGTAAATTTTCTCTTAGTTCTTCAATAAAAGCACTTTTAGATAACAAAACAGAGCACCTTTCTTTTATATCCAAATTAGGTTTTTATAATTCCTCATTGTTTTATTGGAACAATCCAAAATGTGTTTTTAAATTTTAGTTAAATGATATGTTTTCAACTCAACTTCCCCTTAGATCCCCAAAATGCTGGTGGACACTCAAGCACCTCTAAATTCAAGGGAAAATGATACAGTGAAATTTGACATGGAGAAAGATAGCAGCCTTAACTGATTGTAATTAAAATCACTTACTTTCACAAAACTCAAAAAAATATATATGTGAACTGTATCAGTCAGGGTTCTCCAGAGAAACAAAGCCAATAGGATATATATAGATATAGTCATGCACAGCAAAATGATGTTTCAATCAGTAACGCATCACATATACAACAGTGGTTCCATAATATTATAACATTGTATTTTTACTGTAGCTTTTATCTGTTTAGATATGTTTAAATACACAACTATTTACCATTGTGTTAGAGTTATCTACAGTATTTGGCACAGTAACATGCCGCAAAGATTTGTAGCCTAGGAACAGTAGGTTATACCATATAGCTTAGGTGTGTAGTAAGCTATAGTACCAAAATTTGTGTAAGTACACTCTATGAAGTTTACACAATAATAAAATTGCCTAATGACGCATTTCTCAGAACTTATCTTCATCATTAAGCAATGCATGACTGTATATAGAAGGAGATTTATAATGAGGGATTGGCTTATGCAATTATGGAGGCTGAGAAATCCCACAATCTGCTGTCTGCAAGCTGGAGGCCCATGAAACCAGGTGGTGTAGTTCCAGTACAAGGCCCAAAGGCCTGAGAATCCCGGAAACCAATAGTGTTAAGTCCCAGTCCAAGTCCAAAGGCCTGAGAATCAGGAGCACTGATATCCAAGGCAGGAGAAGATGAATGTCCCAGCTCAAACAGCAAGGGCAAATTCACCCTTCTCCTCTGCCGTTTTGTTCTATTCAGGCCTTCAGCATAGTGGATAATGCCCACCCACATTGGTGAGTGTGGTCTTCTTTACTAGTCTACTGATCCAAATGCCCTTCTCTTCTGGAAATGCTTTCACAGATACACCCCAAGATGTGTTTTGCCAGCTACCTGGGCATCCCTTAGTTCAGTCAAGTTGACATAAAATTAACCAACACATGAACACTCTGCTAGGGCCACTCCTGAGAACTTGGAGAGAGTGTGCAAATGAGGGCCCCTGAAGCTAAATTTCATTAGCTTTATAATAATCTACATGTAGTAATCAATAATGAAGTTGTCAAGCACCGTATTCAGTGATTTATATGTCCTGACATAACTTTAATGCCTGTAACACACACAAGTGGTAAGTACCATCACACAGACCCAGAAATAGAGTCCCAGGGAGTTTATGTAACTTGATCCCACAGCTAGACAGTGGTGGAATCAGTGTTCAAACCTAGACAATCTGACTCTAGCATCCACACTCTTAACCACTATTTTACAGTGACATAGTTACTATGTTACATAGATCAAGTTTAACCACTATTTTACAGTGACATAGTTACTATGTTACATAGATCAAGCCTAGTGACTATGTTACACAGATCAAGCCTATATCCGAATTGTTTTATTTTCCTTCTTCTCGAATACCAGGAAGAAGACCTATTTGGCTGTATTTCCTACTAAGTTCACTCAAAATGGCTGCATCAGTAGTTTAGGTTAGTTTAAGCACAGGCAATTTGGATTGGGTGTTTTATTATGAAATTTAATCACTGGTCACCTGCATACGTGTGTGCGTGTGTGTGTGTGTTTCCTTTGTTTTTTGTTTTTCTTCAATAGAAAGCAAATATGCTTTTGAGAAATCTTAGACTTATCTCTGTCAAACTAATCTGAAAAGAAACTGTCCAGACAGATCAGGCCTGCCAGGATCAGCTACCCTTACCCTAGAGTTTTGAATTAACATGTTTCTTAAAAAAAGCCAGCCAGTTGTTTCAACACAGTCCCACCACTCAAATCTCAGGAAAGCCAGCAGGGGAAGAAAAATGAGGCTCCTTCTTTTCTGCCTGGGGGGAGATGTCTAAAGATTTGAGACATCATGTGAGTGTGTCATGTCAGTAGTTTGCAAATGTTTAGGGGCCAGAAAGAAATTGTGCTATGTTCCTATTTCTCCTGATAAGGACTATTTTGCAGACATGTGGGTTCTTTTCTACCTTATGACAAGGAAGTGTTTTTAAAGTCTTTAAAACAGAAGATGGCAATCAGCAAATACTCTGATGACTCTACTATTGTTAGCTCAGCTGCATACCATCATTCTAAGAGGAAGTCAAGGCCCTCTGATAACTCACTGCTAAAACAGCAGGTTTGAGGTTTACAGCCTGTGCTGGATTCTAGGAGGTAGAGATGGTAAGGGGTGGACAAAAAGAGTACATAGAAAATAAACTTTTTTAGAAATGTGCCAGAAGTTACCAATGTATTGTGCTTATTGTGTTGTGCAATGTTTGTTAAGTTTTTATGATGCACATAAATAATATGCTATCTCGAGATCTTGTATTTAAACAGGACAGAAACATATTGACTCATCCTGCGTGAAGATTAGCTTCCAAGAATATTCAGGTTTCTGTAGCCATGTGTCTTACAAATGCAGCATTTTAAAATCTTCATTGCTTCTTTTGTTCAGTTTAATAAAAGTTGTCTGGGCAGCTAATCTATTCCAGGCACAGTGGAGGAAACAGTAGACGCAAAATGGCTATGGTTTAAACCCTACCCTCAGAGAGCTCAGAGCCTAATGGGAGAGAACAGAATTGACAAATCACAATACTGTTATGCAAGTTTTGCAACAATAGCAGTGTGTAGAAAGGATAGCAGCAAAACAGGGAGAGAATAGTTATCTCAGGAGGGAGAGATTTCACTGTGTGACTGTCTTCTCCTTTCAACTCAGAATGTTACATACATTTTTAAGAATGAGCAGCTCTGCACAAGAACAGATTAACAGCATCTAAGCAACTCAAGAGTACATGTGGGTAGAACTTCCACCTTCAGGATGTCCTTTTGACACTGGTGCTTCCGGTATATTTGTGAAACCCATTATCCTAACTAAAACTACTTCAAGTTATACTTTTGACTTATTTAGGCTAAGTGAGATTATTGCCATTTCCCTGTAAGGGTTACTTATTTTACTTTATTTCTTCTTCTTTTTTTTTTTTTTTTTGAAACAGATCTTCGCTCTCGTTGCCCAGGCTGGAGTGCAATGGTGCGATCTCAGCTCACTGCAACCTCCTCCTCCTAGGTTCAAGTGATTCTCTATCCTCAGCCTCCGGAGTAGAGACCAGAAGAATGTACATTACCACAACAGCATTAGTTGTATTGCATTGTTTGGTTACAGGTGATTTTGTTTTTCTTTTTCCACATTTATTTTCCACATATTATTCCACATAGAATAATAAATCCTTGAGTGGTCTATTTTACTTCAGAGTAACTACATCTTTCATACTTTTTTGCTTTTTTGAGATGGAGTCTCGCTCTGTCGCCCAGGCTGGAGTGCAGTGGTGCAATCTCGGCTCACTGCAACCTCCACCTCCCGGGTTCATGCCATTCTCCTGCCTCAGTCTCCCGAGTAGCTGGGACTACAGGCACCCACCACCATGCCTGGCTAATTTTTTTGTATTTTTAGTAGAGACGTGGTTTCACCATGTTAGCCAGGATGGTCTCAATCTCCTGACCTCGTGATGCCCCCGCCTCAGCTTCCCAAAGTGCTAGGATTACCAGGCATGAGCCACTGCTCCTGGCCAGGGTTACTTATTTTAATCATGAAAGTAATAACAGCACATTACAGAAAATGTGGAAAAAGAAAAACAAAATCACCTGTAGCCAAACAATCTAATACAATTGATGTTATTGTAGTAATGTACATTCTTCTGGTCTCTTTTCTGATAGATAGATATATATATAAATATATATATTTATATCTGATATATATATATTTAATTGTATTGTAAAATACACAAACAAGAGAGTATACATATATTCAATGTAAAGACCATCAATAAAGGCTGGGCATGGTAGCTCACACCTGTAATCCCAGTTCTCTGGGAGGCCAAGGAGGGAGGTTCACTTGAGGCCAGGAGTTCAAGACCAGCCTGAACAACATAGAGAGACCTCATCTCTACAAAACTTTCTTTCAATTTGCCGAGCATGGTGGTGCATACCTGTAGTCCTAGCTACTCAGGAGGCTGAGGCAGGAGTTGAAGGCTGTAGTGAGTTATGTTCGAGCCACTGCACTCTGGCCTGGGCAACAAAGCAGGACCCTCTCTCTAAAAATATAAATAAATAAATACCATCAATAAAACAAGTAATTGTGTATCCACTACCCAAGTTAATCAATAGAATATAATCTGAAAGCTCTAGATGCTCTTCCTGGATCACATCCCCTACTCTCTCTCTCTGAAAGTAACCCTAGTACCAAATATTCAGTTAATCATTCCCTTCCTTTTAAAAATAGATTATCTGTATCCCTAAATAATGTATTGTTTAGTTTTTAAAAATTTATATAAGTGAAATCACACTGAGTATATTTTTCTGTGACTTTTTTTTCCAACTTTGTGTTTGAACTTCATCCATGTTTGCCTATAGCCATAGCAAATTTTATTGCCATATAATTCCATTGTATAAAAATACTATAATCTGGCCAGTTGTGATGACTCATGCCCATAATCCCAGCCCTTTGGAAGTCTGAGGCAGGAGGATCACTTGGGGCCAGGAGTTCAAGACCAGCCTAGGCAAAATAGTGAGACCTCCCCATCTCTAGAAAAATTTGTTTATAATATTCTATATGTTTCACTGGTAACATTTTATTTATATTCTTAATTTCTTTTTTTAAATAGCTCACATTTATTTTAATGTTTAATATTAGAAGTGTTTGAGATCTTTATTTAGAAGTTTGGTGATTTCTTGTGACAAGAAATATGCTGTAGAAGCTTAACTCTTTTTTATATCAATTAGCCTATGGTAAAATTCTTTTTGTTATACATCATTTCCCTTAAAGTTGAAGTTTCCAAGAATCTATCAATGACATTAAATAAGAACTTATTATATAGCTAAAATATAACATTAAAATAGAAAAAAGAAAATACATTCCATGTAATTTTAATCAGTTAACTACACAACTTCTAGAGTGGGTAAAATATGACGTTTTTGTGTGTGTGTGTCTTTTTTTAAATTTGTATAAATGTATGGGATACAAGTGTAATTTTGTTACATGCATAGATTGTATAATGGTGAAATCAGGGCTTTTGGGGTATCCATCACCTGAGTAATAGACATTGTACCCATAAAAAGTAATTTCTCATTATTCACCCCCTCCCACCCACTCCCCCTCTCCAGTTATGTTGTTAATTTCATTAAACAAAAATGAAGGGTCTGGACCCTGTAAAGCCTGAATAATCTGGATAATTATGAAATCTACATTTCATTTTGTACTATACAGACTTTAACTTCACAATAAATACACATATCCCAGACCTCGGCTGTCTAATAGTTAAAAGATCTTGAAACCTGGAATCAGCACACTTGGCTTTTTGTACTGGCCCTGACATCTGCTAGCTGAGTGACCCCTGAAAGCCCCCTCTCCCGCATTCGTAAAAATAAGATTATAACTACTGACTATCTCACAAGACTGTCTGGGAAGATTAAGTGAAAGAATGTATGTAAACACAATTAGTAAACCATAAAATACTAAGCAAATGTAAATTATTATCTTGGGTTCAAATTTCAGCTTTACTACTTTATCTCTATATGACTTATATGGCAAGCTACTTAGTTTTTCAAAGCCCGTTTCCTTACCTGAAAAATGGCAGTTTTATAAAGATTAAATGAGACAATATATAGACAGAGAGCTTAAGTGCCACATAGTTTGTGGCACATAAGGCCTTACACATAAGGCCTTGGTAAGTGTAACTAGTATTTCTTATTGTCACTTATCTTCTTACCCATATGAAAGAAAACATTGCTTTAAGTTGTTCTTCCAATAATTTAACAGTTTATTCCAAACTATTCACATGATCAATAACCCGTGCTTAGAAGAGACCTGAATTGGATAGCGTACAAGCTACAGCAAAGGAGCAGAGCTTTTCTCTGTACAGAGCTAACTGGCCAATATGAAAACTAAACCTTGTCCTTATTAGGTAATTGGATGAACCAACCTGGACACAAACTGTATAAACAAATTTTGCATACCAAGAATGTTGTTGCCAAGCCCAAGGATCAGCATCAATAAAATCTGATGAATACTACATTCATAAAACGTTTGGATAAGAATTAACATTGCCTGTTTATTTCTTACAAGGACATTTCAGTAACGACCTATTTCTTTCTCTTTGCTTTTGTTTTTATATCGCCCTGTCCTTGCAAATCTGAACTCTGTGCCCATTTCTACAACAGATGGCTTTGGCTGTTGCCACCCAGCCGTCTTTTCCTTTTTTGTTCTGAGAAGTGAACAAAGTGGGTCACCATGGAGGAAAGCTGCGTGCTACCCCTCACGGGCTTAATTTGATTCCCTACAGCCCTTGAGGTCAGAAATCCCCAAGCTGTTTATGACCCAAATTCAGATCTGCAATGTGCCCAGGAAACCTGACAGCTGTGTGGGCAATTCTGGCTCCAAATTATGCTAACCTTCCTGTGATTCCATTTAAGACAAAATGAAACAAAACAAAATGAAAACCTCAGGTGATACTCAATTGAAAAGTATAATTTTTTTGGTGAATGATGGTATGTAGCATATTGAGCAACAATAATGTAAACCAAGCAGTTATTGTTTTATTTCTTTATAAGTGTAGAGTGCCGTATGTTCTCAGAAGCCACTGAACTATGGTAACTTCTGATCTTATCCCAACCAGTTGCACAAGTACTGGGAATCAAACACCTGTTTATTTGTTAATGCAACTGAAGGAACTTGATCATTAGGTTTTAATGACTCTAAAATATGTACTGAAATTCTATTTCAGAACAAACTGCATTTTCTTTCATATACAGGTTTGTTGTGATAATCGATTTCTTATTTATAAGAAACAGTATGATTCGGATACTTTGCCTTACTGGGTTTTCTTTCTTTTTCTTTCTTTCTTTCTTTTTTTTTTTTTTCTGGAGATGGAGTTTCACTCTGTCACCCAGGCTAGAGTGCAGTGCCATGGTCTCAGCTCACTGCAACCTCTACCTCCTGGGTTCAAGCAATTCTCCTACCTCAGCCTCCCTAGTAACTGGGAATACAGGCATCCACCACCATGCCCAGCTAATTTTTTTGTATTTTTAGTAGAGATAGGGTTTCCCCTTGTTGCCCAGGCTGGTCTCAAACTCCTGACCTCAGGTGATCTGTCCACCTTAGCCTCCCAAAGTGCTGGGATTACAGGCGTAAGCTACTGTGCCTGGCCTACTTTGCCTTAGTGTTAATAATTCATTGTTTTTATTCTCAGAAAACAATGTAAACTCTGTATGAATACTATCAGTCAATTTCTGAGTTTCAGGAATTGCATGTGGTGTCAATAAATGACTTAGCATTCTTTCAGGGTGCAAGGCAATCAATTAAATGCATTACATTGCATTGTATCCTAGTATAGGACATATAATATTAGCATACACACTATATGTTAATTATGGATTCCAACCACTCCAACTTTCCCTGGGAAGAGTATTTTCCCCACTGCCCAAAGGTAGCTAGGCACAGGGCCAGTGTCCAAATGCAGCTGATGCTCTCTTGGTTATATATCAGCTGTTACTGTACCATTTCTGGAAGAGTTTTCTAAAACAGCGCAAGAATATTGGTGAGGAGAAAAACATTCACTTCACTTAATGAGCAACTATTGTGTGGCAGGCACCAGAATGGGCGCTTCAAAAAAACAACAACAAAAAAAGATACTGCCCCTTTCCATTCTAGTCAAAAGGCAAGCACATAAGTAGGTCATTCAAGTAAAACATAGTAAACGCTATGACAGAGCTAAGCACAGGGCCATGGGAATATAGAGGAAGAGCTAGAACAATCTTTCCTCAATTTCAGACTCACTAATCCAACAGCCTGCTAGATGTCATTAACTTTTCAATGCGTTAAATGTAGAACTCAGAAACCACGCCATCCAAATAACTGTAGCAGATGCTGTAGGTGCCCTATTGTTTCTCTCTGGCCTCCAGAGTCTATTCCTCCTATGTGTGAGAACAGCCCTCAGCCAGTAACTGAGTGGGTGGACACATAAGGCAGCTCTCTCCTTACTCAGGTGAGATAACTCAGAGGCAGGAGAATTCTCTTGTATGTTCTGCAGTGGTCCCATTGAATCTTTACCCATTGAGGACCATTATGGTAAAAATAGGTCAAGTGGAAGCCCCTGGAAATTCCTGCCCTTACCAGTGTTGGAAACCACAAGTGATACCTTATCCCTGATGGAACTTCAGAGATTAGCTTCACCATTAAAGATGTGACAAAAAGCAAGGGTAGTGATACCTCTCACATCCCCATTCAATTCACCTGTTCAGCCTATACAGAGCTTGGAGGGATCCTGGAGAATAACCACATGTTATCAAAAACTTAATTAGGTGACTCCAACTGCAGTTAATATTTAGATGTCGTCTCATTTCTGGAACAAATCAAGAGCTGCTGGCACTTAGTATGCCATTATTGACTTGCAAATATTTCTATTTCCATACTAGTTTGCAAGGACCACCAGAAGCAGTTTGTTTTTACCTGAAGTAGCCTAAGAACTATGTCAACTCTCCTGTGTTCTGCCATAATATAATCTGCAGAGATTATTATAATCTTGACAGTCCACATAAAATCACACTAGTCCACTGCATTGATACCATTATGTTGATTGGATCTGATCAGGACCTGAACAGGAAGCGGCAACTATTTCAGATGATTTAATAAGACCCATGTAAACTAGAGAATAGGAAATAAACCCCCATGAAAATTCAGAAGCCCATTACCTAAGTGAAATTCCTGGGGTTACATGGTATGGAACATCTCAAAATATTGCCACCAAAGTGAAAGATAAGTTGCTGCACCTTGCACAGTCCCCACTAAAGAAATTTAGTGGGATATTTAGTGTCCCCACTAGAATAGACATGTGTTCTGGATATGAATTTGCTTACCTTGTTTGTGGTGTTAGGTAGACCCATTTGGATTTTAGAGGTAATATAGCCTACATTCAAGTGAGCTACTTCAATTCCCATTTACAAGTAATCTTATTAAATCAATAAAGCCGCCAGTTCTGAGGGGGACCAGAACAAGTATAGACTGAAGTGTAAATTGCTCTTCTTTATAACCCAGTAGATGCAATGACACTTGGCATGTCTGTGGCAAGTAGGATGCTGTATGAAGTCTCTGCCAAACAACAACTGGAGAATCAACATGTAGAACTCAGGGTTTTGAAGCCAATCTATGACTCTTCTCAAGATAACCATTCTCCTTTCTAGAAACAGCTCTAGCTCGATCCTGGTACTGAATGCCTTACATGTAACCTGAGTTTTCCATTATGAATTGCGTGCCCTTCCTAGCCATAAAAGTTGGCTGCATAAAGTTGAGTGTGCACAGAAGCAATCTACCACCAAGTAGAAATAGTATAAAAGAGATTGACCTCACACACATCCAGAAGACCCAACTAAGTTACCTAAGTAGATGGCTTTACTCCTTCAACATCAACTATTGGCCCTTCTCCTTCAATCCATGCCCGTGGCCTCATTAGAGAGTTTCTTATTACCAGTTGAATGGGAGAAAGTTCAGGCTGTATTTACAGATGGCAAGACAGTGTTCTGGGGCAAACTGGAGTGGACAGTGCAGTAGCACAGTTCCACTCAGGAGTGTCTCTGGATGGTGGTAACGTAAAATACACGCAAGCCCAGAACTTCAAAAAATACACTTGGTTATCCACTTTGTCTAAACTCAGAAACAGCTATAAGTATGGACTACTCTGATTCATGGGCAGTTTCTTAGAGCTTGGCTGGATGTTCAGGGACTTGATAAGAATAGGATTTGAATATTGGTAAGAAGAGACCTGGGAAAGAAGTGTGTGGATACGTCTCTCATAATGAATACAGCATGAAGACACTTATATTTCATGTGAATGCCCTCCAAAGAGCGTCCTCTATATAGGAAGCTCTCAATAATAATGTAGAAAAAGTGTCATATTCTTATATATCACTCAGCTGCTTTCACCAGCCATCATACAGCTCACTGAATGAGCCAATGTGTAAAGTGGTCACAGTGTCAAGATTGGAGGTCATCCACAGGCTTAACAACACAGGCTGACCTGGCTACTGTTACTGATGAGTGCCAACAGAATTGGGATCATCTAAACTGATTATGGCTGGCTAATTCTAAATATATCTATATCTTCTTCTTTTTTTTTTTTTTTTTGAGATGAAGTCTCGCTCTTGTCCCCCAGGCTAGAGTGCAATGGCGCGATCTCAGCTCACTGCAACCTCTGCCTCCTGGGTTCAAGCGATTCTCCTGCCTCAGCCTCCCGAGTAGCTGAGATTACAGATGCCTACCACCACGCCTGGCTAATTTTTGTATTTTTTAGTAGAGACGGGGTTTCACCATGTTGGCCAGGCTGGTCTCGAACTCCTGACCTCAGGTGATCCACCCTCCTCGGCCTCCCAAAGTGTTGGGATTACAGGCATGAGCCACTGCGCCCGGCCTAAATATATATATATTTACACCAGAAAAAAAAAAAAGAAACAAAAGGGAAGAATGTGTATTTTTAGTGGCCTTTTCAGATAATTGTGGAAATGTTTCTTTGACAAATTAAAACTCAAAAAGTAGTAGTTACTTAAAGGTTAATTATAATGTGGAATCTGAAACCATACAGTGAACTTTAATAACTCTGTTACAATGAGATCCACTGGTCTATCTTGCATTGCATTTTGAGTGGCTCTTTTTACTCATGCATTGTTTTACAACATAAGACTTTACAAAGTCATCTGCAATATATTGGTTCACTGAGCTGTACAGATCTTCCAAACGTTGACATACTTCATTAGATAATATAAAAAATTATATCCACTAATATCATCACTGATCTCAACAGCAAAGTGTTAAAAGTATTGACAAACTATCAAGCTCTTAGTGGTGGGTACAAGTTTTCCAAAATTCTGATTTTCACTCAAATTTTAACATTGGCAATAAATACTGTATTATTTCAAGTTTTTTTCCTTGAAGTGACAGGCTCACTTCATTTACTTTTGAGATGATGTCTGCCAAATACTCAAGTCTCAACTGCCAATTTTTCTGCCAGCCATTCTCCCAAATAAAAATAATATTCTGTGAAAGCAGCAGCTAGTTCAGCTTGTGTCTCAAACAATTGCAAAAGTGCTTTTCCTGGTGACAGCTATTCTATGACCGTACGTAGCAGACACGCGTTATGCAGACTTCCTGTTTTTGTTTTTGTTTTTTTTGAGATGGAGTTTTGCTCTTGTTGCCCAGGCTGGAGTGTAGCGGCATGATCTCAGCTCACTGCAACCTCCGCCTCCTGGGTTCAAGCAATTCTCCTGCCTCAGCCTCCTGAGTAGCTGGGATTACAGGCATGCACCACCAAGCCCAGCTAATTTTTTGTATTTTTAGTACAGACGGGGTTTTATCATGTTGGCCAGGCTGGTCTCGAACTCCTGACCTCAGGTGATCCACGCCCCCCCCCAGCCCCCGGCCTCCCCAGACTTTCCATTTTTTTACATAGAATATTTTTAAATATGTAACCAAGGTCGAGATTTATAAAATCAATAATTTTATGACTCCATCATGGATATTGCTTTTTTTTCTTTCTTTCTTTCTACTTAAAAAACAATCTTTTTGCCTTAGGTGAGCAGATCACCTGAGGTCAGGAGTTTGAGACCAGCCTGGCCAACATGGTGAAATCCTGTCTCTATTAAAAATACAAAAATTAGCCAGGCATGGCGGCAGGTGCCTATAATCCCAGCTACTTGGGAGGCTGAGGTGCAATAATCGCTTGAACCTGGGAGTTGGAGGTTGCAGTGAATTGAAATCACACTGCACTCCAGCCTGGGTGACAGAGCAAGACTCTGTCTCAAGAAAAAAAAAAAGTTTTTGCTTTGGCTTACAATTATTTATTTATTTTATTTATTCTTATAGGACCTTTCTTCTGCTTAGAAATCAAGGACATTCTATTTCTGTGTGTGAGACAGACTCTCTCTCTGTTGCCCAGGCTGGAGTGCAGTGGCGTGATCTCAGCTCACTGCAACCTCCACCTCTAGGGTTCAAGCAATTCTCCTGCCTCAGCCTCCCAAGTAGCTGGTATTACCAGCGCATGCCACCACAATCAGCTGATTTTTGTATTTTTAGTAGAGACGGGGTTTTGCCATGTCGGCCAGGCTGGTCTTGAACTCTTTACCTCAGGTGATCTGCCCACTTCGGCCTTCCAAAGTGCTGGGGTTACAGACATTAGTCATGGTGCCTTGCCAAGCACATTCTTAAAACTTTGTTTTTACTGCTACTGCACTAGTGACAAAATACAATGACTTCTAGTATGGTCTGGTGCCACTGCCTTGAGTCGTACTCAGATGCCAGATTTTTTTTTTTTTAAATTTAAGAGACAGGGTCAGTCTCACTGTCTTGCCCAGGCTGGTCCCAAACTACTGGGCTCAAGTGATCCTCCCACCTCGGCCTCCCGAAGTGCTGGGATTACAGGTGTGAGCCGCCATGCCTGGCCAATGCCAGCAATTTTAACCACCATTTCTTTACACCATGAGTACAAAGGTCAATGAAGTTAAATAGTAAAAGATCATATCATCTTAGTATTATAGTAAAAATAATTTTGACCTCACCGACTCCAGAAAGGATCTCCCCAAACTCACATAGACCACTCAAAACTGCTGCACATGACAAATGAAAAAATACCAGGCCACAGTGTTCTTTTGAAAAGTTTGCATGTGAGTCAGGACCACATAAATGTGAAAGATTGGACCTTTCTCTCCTGTTCTAAAAAGAGATTTCCCCAGATCACTATGCTGGATACAAAAAGGAAAATAAAAAAGGAAAGAAAGGGAGAAAGGAGGATTTATTGAATGTTATATTAAACAAGACAGTCATGTCGATGGTCCCTCCTGGGGAGGCAGCACTCAGCTGCCATGATCTATCATGAGACCATATGGACCCTCCATAACACCCACCATCCACATCATCTCCTAGCCATGACTTTAGACTGAAGACATTCAATATAATGGCTCATAGAAACCAGGATATTATGAGGACATTAATGCAAGAGCTCTTCCAAAACAGATATTATCTAGAGAAATCAGACTCTTTCTCTTCAAAGTTTAAAAGAGCAAATATAAAAAAGAACCAGCCAGATGTAGATGACACACAAGCTGAGAGGGGAAAAAACACTTAGAGAAAATGAGGGTAGTCTGAGCTATGACAGGTCATCAGCACACAAAAGTTATAAGATGAAACTATAAGAAGGAGACATGGCTGGGCACAGTAGCTTATGTCTGTAATCCTTAGCAATTTGAGAGGCCAAGACAGGCCAATGGCCTGAGCCCAGAAGTCTTCAAGACCAGCCTGAGAAACATGGAAAAACACTGTCTCAAAAAAAAAGGCGCGCGCGAGAGAGAGACAATGAGTAAGAAAAAACAGAAAACAATGAGGTAGAGAAAAGAGACTGAATAGAAGGTGGACAGGAGAGGCAGAAGCAATAAAGGTGGAGACAAAGAGGAACCAACCCACTATAATTGTTAATTGTGGAGGGTCAGCAAACTTTTGCTACTGAATGATTAGCTAGAAAATTCAGGGCTTACAGGCTGGGTGCCACAGCTCATACCTGTAATCCCAGTGCTTTGGGAGGCCAAGGCAGGAGGATGGCTTGAAGTTGAAGTCAGGAGTTTGAGACCAGCTAATATATATATACACACACACACACACACACACACACATACACATACACACACACACATATATACACATATACATATACATATACATATACATATACATATACATATACATATACATTGAGCTGGGCATACTGGCATGCACCTGTAGTCTCAACTACTGGGGAAGCTGAGGTGGGAGGATTGCTTGAGCCCAGGATTGGAGGCTGCGGTGAGCTGTGATTGGGCCAGTGCACTCCAGCCTGGGTGATATCGTCTCAAAAAAAAAAAGAAAAAAAAAGAAAAATTAGGGCTTAGAACTGCAATGCCAGGCCTTAGCTTGTAGGTGAGATTCTTTTTGTCTATGTATATCTTTCTGAAAACCCACTATTAAAAAACAAAACAAAACGAAAACTTGAGTGAGCCTCTGTTCTTGGTATCCAATGGCATCTAAATCATATTTACTGGGAAAGGCAACCTGCCAGGTGCTTTCACATCACTATCTCGGTTTTAAACTGTTATTTTTCAATTTAAGCATATGTACCGATAATGGTTCCAAACATCAGCTGCGATGGGAGATAACAAAGTTGACATGGTTTTTATGTTCCATAATCCATATGGAGGACACAAGCCCAAGGGAACTGTATAGCTGAAGAATTTGTCGATTTTTCCTCCTCTTTCAAAAAGAGAAAAGGAAGTGAACTTCATAGCATTAGGGTGATAAAGAGGAGAAAATGGTGTATCTAGTTGGGAGCCTCTTAGTGACAAAAACCAAATCCAGTTGAATTAAGTGAAGCAAACAAGGAGAATTTATGATATGACTGCAGCGGTATCTGATGGAAGCATAAGGGACATGTGGGCCTGATTTCCTCTGTGCCTCCCATTTGTGTTTCTCTCTATGTAACCATCACATTCTTCTGTCCATGCACCCCAGCTTACTCTGTTTCCCTGTCTGCCTGGCAGAATAAGGCCACACACAACTCACAAGTGTGTAGATTACTGATCTGTCTCATAGGGAAATTGAATCAATCTCCCTCCTTCTCTTTCTTCATCCTTGCCTCTACTCCTTATCCACCTCAATTCCAAATTTGTAGAGTAAGTGCTCAGATTGGTCCAGCGTTGGTCAATAGTCACTCTTGGTACAATAAACTGCAGCTGGGAGGAAAAGTCAAGGAACCATCTTATACAAAATGGAAATGATGATGTGGTAGTGTGGGGTTGGGGAGGAGTTAGTCTTAGCCCCGTGGATCACCAGGTGTGGGTAGTTGAGTTGGGGGGGTCCTTATTAGTTCGCTGATGCCAAGGGATGTCCACTGGAAACCATGAACAATTTGTCTTCCCACATTAGGCAAAACAACTCTTAAGTGATCCCAAATAGATGAGGCTCTCTCTCATGGCCTTGGAAAAAAAATTCCAGATCTACCCTTTAGGCAGGCAGGTGGGCAGGCGGGTGGGCAGGCAGGCAAAAAGTTAGCTTGCTGTTGCCTGGCAATAATATCAAAATGTATTTGGATAAATCTCTTCCTTTTCAGATTTCTCACTGCCTAGTGCTTTATGCTTCTCAGAGCCCACTTTTGACACCCCACCAAGGTCTGCCATACCCCACACAATGCCCCATATTCCAGACCTGTTTCTTTCCTCTCACTCAAGCAAAATTTGTTTATCATAGTCTTTCTCTCCATTAAAACAGCTAGAAAAGAAACTTGTGTTACAGCTTTAATGGTCTGATACTTTTGAGCATTCTAAATAAGATAAATGTTTACTAGACATAACTTTTTATTTTCAAGAAGTGGTTTTAATGGTAGCAGCCAACTTAAAAAAAAAAGATAACATTAAGACAAGTTGTCAATCCCTACACTACTGACAATGCAAACCTTTTCCTATAAAATAAAGCACTTGGCCTTTCCTTCTGTTTTTTTTTCCAAACTGGCAGTCTTATATTTTCCAGACCTACTTGGCAACTACTGTCTCTCTATTTTCACATTGTAGCCATCATACTGTGTTCTTTGCATAATAAATAACATTATAAACCAGATGCAAGACATGCAAAATCCTAAAGAGTCTGCATTTGTGCAACACCTTCCAATACTCTAGGCAATGAACAAATTCCATTTTTAATAAGCTCTCTGGGAAATTTCAAAGATGAGAGTTTTCTAAAATTTGCAGTTTGTGTTCTCTTAAGATGCAAATATAAAAACATCCAGTAAGAACTGTTTTTTAAAAAGGAAACATTGGTATTTACATGTATTTTAATATGTGTTACTCATACTTTCAACTCCCTTTTCATTGAAGAGGTTGTAAATCATCCTAGAAACTGACCTACTTAATCTAAAATTCTGTCTGTAATTATAGTACAGTAACTAAGATGAGATTATAAATTATTCTGTCAGTCCCTCTAGCTCACTCTGTCAGCTGTAACATCTGTACTCAGAAGATCTTAAGTTTTGAGTCTTTTTTATTTCCCACACAAAAAGGTAGTATGTGTTAGTGGTTAGGCTATGGACTCTGTAACGACTCGTAACCAGACTTCCTAGGTTTAAGTCCTTCAGTCAGTAGTTGGAAGATTTTGGAAAACCTGCTTAAGCTCTTTGTGCCTCAGTTTCCTCATCTGTAATATGGGGTTGATAATTAGTTATTCATATGGTTACTGTGAACATTAAACAATAAGGCAAAGCTCTTAGAATAGCAGCTGGCCATACTAAAAGTTAGTTATTATTCTGCTAACTTGTAACCTCCATTGATTCTTAATTACTGCCCTGTCTTTATCTTTAAATAAGCAATCATCTCTCTTGCAGTTTGGGAGGAAAGGCACATTTAGGAGATGGCTCTAATATTTTAATTTTGTCTCTAATCATTTAATCTCGTATATTAACATTTAAGATGGTAATTGAATATTTATGCCTTAGCTAAAAAAGAGAGTTAAAGGGGAGAATACGATAGCTTGGGAAGAGACCAGCCTGCGAGACTAAAGAGAATGGCCAGGAGGAGGAGCCACCAGTAAGAAAATTTGCATTGATATTGTTCTTTATCATGCAGTCACAAACTCATTTGTTGAAATGCATGAATAAGGAACACAATAGCTGAATCACACAACACCTTTTTAGAGCTTTACTAAGTATGATTGCCTATACTATAAGGCTATCAGTTTCGTTCTATAGAGTTTTTGTTTGTTTGTTTGTTTGTTTGAGATGGAGTTTTGCTCTGTCACCCAGGTGGGAGTGCAATGGTGAGATCTCAGCTCACTGCAAACTTCGCCTCCCCGGTTCAAGTGATTCTCCTGCCTCAGCCTCCCAAGTTGCTGGGATTACAGGCACCCGCCACCACACCCAGCTAATTTTTGTATTTTTAGTAGACATGAGGTTTCACCATGTTGGCCAGGCTGGTCTCAAACTCCTGACCTCAGGTGATCCACCTGTCTCAGCCTCCCAAAGTGCTGGGACTCCACCTGTATATAGTTTTTATTCTATAATTCTGTAGGGACCATGGGGAGATGTTTTTTGAGTAAAATGGCTTTCAATGACCACACAATTGTGGGAAAGTGCTATCACACATATCATTCATGTAGTTACATATATATTTACCATTCTATTCTGATAATCCATTCCCTGAAGAATATCCATTCCTCCAAGAAATATTAACTAAAAGGTCACATTGCAAACCTAGATTGTTCAAGTACTGCAAGTCCTAGCTAAAGAAACCAGTCAAGAAAAAGAAATAAAGGGCATCCAAATTGAAAAGGAAGAAATCAAATTATCCTTCTTTGCAGAGGATATGATCTTATATTTGGAAAAACCTAGAGACTCCACCAAAAAAACTATTAGAACTAATAAATTCAGTAAAGGTGCAGGATACAAAATCAACATATAAAAAGCAATAGCATTTTTATATGCCAACAATGAACAATCTGAAAAAGAAATGAAAAAAGTAATCAAATTTACAATAGCCACACATAAAATTAAATACCTAGGAGTTAAACAAAATAAGTGAAAGATCTCTATAATGAAAACTATAAAACACTGATGAAATAAATTGATAAGAAAGCCAAAAAAAAAAGGAAAGATATTCCATTTTCATGGATTAAGAGAATCAATATTGTTAAAATGTCCATACTACCCAAAGCAATATATAGAGTCAATGCAGTCTCTATGAAAATACCAATGACATTCTTCACAGAAATAGGAAAAATAATACTATTTTTTATATTTATAAGAGATCACAAAAAAAAAATAGCCAAAGCTATCCTGAGCAAAAAGAACAAAACTGGAAGAATCACATTACCTGACTTCAAATTATACTACAGAGCTATAGTAACCAAAACAGCATGGTACTGGCATAAAAACAAACACATAGACCAATGGAACAGAACAGAGAACCCAGAAACAAATTCATACACCTACAGTAAACTCATTTTCCATGAAGGTGCCAAGGACATAGATTAGGGAAAGGACAGTCTCTTCAACAAATGGTGCTGGGCAAACTGGATACCTATATGCAGAAGAATAAAACTAGACCCCTATCTCTTGCCGTATACAAAAATCAAATCAAAATAGATTAAAGACTTAAATCTAGGACCTCAAACTATGAAACTACTAAGAGAAAACATTGGGGAAACTCTCCAATACATTGGTGTGGGCATATAGTTCTTGAGTAATACCCCATAAGCACGGGCAACTGAAGCAAAAATGGACAAATGGTATCACATCAAGTTAAAAAGCTTCCGCACAGAAGTGGAAACAATCAACAAAGTGAAGAAACAACCAACAGAATGGAAGACAATATCTGCAAACTACTCATCTGACAAGAGACTAATAACCAGAATGTATAAGGAGCTCAAACAACTCTATAGGAAAAAAAAACCTAATAATGTTATTTTGAAATGGGCAAAAGGGCTGGGCATGGTGGCTCACACCTGTAATCCCAGCACTTTGGGAGGCTGAGGCAGGCAGATCACAAGGCCAAGAGATGGAGACCATCCTGGCCAACGTGGTGAAACCCTGTCTCTACTAAAAATACAACAATTAGCCGGGCATAGTGGCGTGTGCCTGTAGTCCCACCTACTTGGGAGGCTGAGGCAGGAGAATTGCTTGAGCCCGGGAGGCAGAGTTTGCAGCGAGCCAAGATCCTGCCACTGCACTCCAGCCTGGCGACAGAGTGATACTCCATCTCAAAAAAAAAAAAAAAGGCAAAAAAGGCAAAAGATCTGTATAGACATCTCTCAAAAGAAGACATACAAATGGCAAACGGGTATGCGAAAAGGTGCTCAACATCATTGATCGTCAGATAAAATGGCTTATATACAAAAGACAGGCAATAACAAATGCTAGCAAGGATATGGAGAAAAGGGAACGAACCATTGTACACTGTTGGTGGGAATATTAATTAGTACAGTCACTATAGAGAACAGTGTGGAGGTTTTTCAAAAAATGAAAAATAGAGCTACCCTACAATCCAGCAATTCCTCTGCTAGGTATATACCCAAAAGAAAGGAAATCAGGGTATCGAAGAGATACCTGTACTCTCATGTTTAGTGCAGTACTATTCACCATAGCCGAGATTTGGAAGCAACCTAAGTGTCCATCAACAGACAAATGAATAAAGAAAAATGTGGTACACAATGGAGTACTATTCAGCCATAAAAAATAATGAGATCCTGTCATTTGCAGCAACATGGATGGAACTGGGGATCATTATATTAAGTGAAATAAGCCAGGCGCAGAAAGACAAATTTTACATGTTCTCACTTATTTGTGGGAGCTAAAAATTATAACAATTGAACTCACGGAGCTAGACAGTAGAAGGACGGTTTCTAGAGGCTGGGAAGGGCTAGTGGGGGTGGATAGGGAGTGGGGATGGTTAATGAGTACGAAAAAACAGAAAGAATAAGACCTGGGCCAGGCCCGGTGGCTCACGCCTGTAATCCCAGGACTTTGGGAGGCCGAGGTGGGCGGATCATGAGGTCAAGAGATCGAGACCATCCTGGCTAACATGGTGAAACCCCGTCTCTACTAAAAATACAAAAAATTAGCCGGGCATGGTGGCAGGCGCCTGTAGTCCCAGCTACTTGGGAAGCTGAGGCAGGAGAATGGCGTGAACCTGGGAGGCGGAGCTTGCAGTGAGCCAAAATGCCGCCACTGCACTCCAGCCTGGGTGACAGAGTGAGACTCCATCTCAGAAAAAAAAAGAATAAGACCTAGTATTTGATAGCACAACACAGTGACTATAGCCAATAATAATTTAAGTGTATATTTTAAAATAACTAAAAGTGTAATTGGATTGTTTGTAACACAAAGGATAAGCGCTGGAGGGTATGGATACCCCATTTACCATGATGTGATTATGCTGCATTGCATGCCTGTATCAAAGTATCTAACGTACCCCATAAACATATAAACCTACTATATACCCACAAAAATTAAAAAGAAAAAAGTTTTAAAAACTGGATTGCTGTCTTTAGAAGAAAAGATAGAGAAGGTGTGAGATAGCTCAATCATGTTAAATGTCCTTTAGATAATAGTGATACAGAACAGCTGGGTTCCTGGCTAAACCCCACCCTCAAGCCTGGACCCTCAGCCCTAGGTGAAAACAGCTGACGCTGATACAAAAGGGCTGGGCTCCCAGCTAAACCCCACCCTCAAGCCTGGAACCTTGGCCCTAAGTGAAAGCAGCTGACCCTGATACAGAAGGGCTGGGCTCTCAGCTAAACTCTACCCTCAAGCCTGGAACCTCAGCCCTAAGTGGAAGCAGCTGACCCCATTTCTCCACCCAATTGACTGCCTTTTCCGCCCACCCCATTCCCTACCCTGTGCCCATAAAACCAGACCAGCTGGCAGGAAAAAAAGAAGAAAAGAGCAACACAAGCAGCTGACCTGCAGGGATACAAGCTGCTGAGAGGCAAGCAGAGAAGCAGCCAACTGAGCGTTAGAGACTACGGATAAACGTGGCTAGCTTCAGATGGTGTGATTTCAGAGGGGAGCACAGCCAGAGACAGCTGGGCTTCAGGGAAAGATCACCTTCTTCCCGCACCATCCCCATTCCAGCTCCCCTTCCACCGAGAGCCACTTCCACTGCTCAATAAGGTCTTCCACATTCATCATCCTTCACACAGTTCGTGTGACCTGATTCTTCCTGGACACCGAACAAGAACTCGGGTGTCAAAAATGGCAGGTGCAAGAGGCTGTCACCCTGACCCTTCACTGAGCTGTTAACACTTAAACGTTCATGGACTGCAGACTGAGTGAAATAAGCCACTCTAGTTCCTGCCCACAAAGGGGGTCAAGGAGATCAAGGAAACATCCTGTCTCAATAGGAAATATTGGGGTATATAAAAACTTTTACAGATCTGTTATAGATCCTTCCCTAGACAATGTGTCTAGGAGACTTATCTATGACTTACAGCAACACTTCTTGTCTTAGGTTGGGTTTTGTAGAAGCAGAGCCTCAGGAAGGGGTTCTAGTGTCTGTACTTTGAGCGAATGCTCTTTAGAAAAAATCTGTAAGGAAAGGGAAGAGCCAGATAAAAAGGAGCTGAGCAAGGATATGGTTCCAGGAAAAGTCTGGGTTGGGACAGAAGAGTGTTGGAGAGTAGAAACAAGTTGGTCCTTGGTCACCCTTGGGGAGGAGGGGGGTATAATGTCTCAGGAGCCTCCAGTGAGGTGGATCCATTTAGCCAAAGTCAAGCCTCTGGAGAAAGTCACAGCTATAAGCTGTTGGCCCAGGCACATGAGCAGCTGAAGGATGAACGGCCCAGGCTATAAGGGGGATCTGGGCTAGGCAACAATAATGTCTAACACACTGTGGTTTGTTCTTCTTTTTAATACATGATAGTGAGAACTTCATTTTGCATATTCTTTGTATCTCCAGTACTTACCACCGTGCCTAACATATGGTAGGTTTGTAATAAATTGTTTCATTTATTTAAATTACATATTGAGAGCTACTTATCAAATCTACAAAACAATTTCTTAAAAGAGCCATGTAAATTCAGATTTTATTTTGTACTCTTGCTAAATAACATTGTGATGTTTTCCATCATACTCTGTGTTACCACACCAGCTGCTTCTATAATATATTCTTTTCTGCATACCAGTTGTAAAAGAGGAAGGAAGTGTGATCTTGTGGTGAAAAGAGTAGCTTGAGAACCCAGAGATCCTAGCCTTACACTTCTCTTATTGGAGGCCCAAGTGAAGTCACTGGACCTCTCAAAGGTCCTACAGTGTTAGGAAAGGGGAATAATAAATCCTTAAGTGGTCTGTTTTACTTCAGAATAACTACATCTTTCATACTTTTTATGTTAAATGTTTTTGGCCGGGCACGTTGGCTTATGCCTCTAATCCCAGCACTTTGGGAGGCTGAGATGGGGTGATCATCTGAGGTCATGAGTTCAAGACCAGCCTGGCCAACATGGTGAAACCCCGTCTACTAAAAATACAAAATTAGCCAGGCATGGAGTGCCTGTAATCCCAGCTACTTGGGAGGCTGAGGCAGAAGAATTGCTTGAACCAAGGAAGTGGAGGTTGCAGTGAGCTGCGATTACGCCACTGCACTCCAGCCTGGGCGACAGAGCAAGACTCTGTATCAAAAAAAAAAAAAAAAAAAAAAAAAAAAAGAGAGAGAGAGAGAAAAGAAAAGAAAAAACTTCATTGCAGACTTTACTCTCCTGGGCTGACGGGATCCTCCTGCCTCAGCTTCCTGAGTAGCTGGTAATACAGGCATGCACCACAACACCTAGCTAATAAAAAAAAAAATTTTGGCCAGGCACTATGGCTCACAACTGTAATCCCAGCACTTTGGGAGGCCGAGGCCAGTGGATCACCTGAGGTCAGGAGTTCAGGACCAGCCTGACAAACATGATGAAACCCCGTCTCTACTAAAAATACCAAAATTCGCCAGGCGTGGTGGCACATGCCTGTAATCCCAGGCTTGGGAGGCTGACGCAGGAGAATCGTTTGAGCCCAGGAGGCGGAGCACCTTCCTGCTGAAGATAGAAGTCTGGAAGTTCTGATGTTTACAGAACACGTTTCTGGAATCTTAGAATACTGAGATATTGGGCTTGGCACACCCTGCTGTGGATAGGGAAGAGGAGCCTAAGATGAGCTCATTTCTGCATATCTGCCTTAATGCACATGAAAAAATTGGCCTCATTCGGTATAGATATACATAAAGGAAAGGCAGAAAGGAACTGAGGTTGGAGTCTCATAAGGTTACTACCAAAGTAACCGTATTGCTTCAGTGAGAGAGCACAGAGCCTTCTGAATGCCTCTTTAACACTGTGGATTTCATCAAACTTTCTCCTAGACTTAGAGAAACTGTGTGGCAACCACTTTCTCTCTGTCTATAATCTTCAGGGAACCATGCATGTCCACAGAGTGGGGAGCTGGATTATGTCCAAGGAGCCCTATTTTTTGGAGGGAGAGGGATAGGTTGCTCAAAATATTACAGTATACTGAAGGTATGAAATCAGAAAATTGGGGAATAGAGACCAATGAGAAAAGCACAAAGATCTTTTTGCATAGGATATATAAGCCCAAACACTCGTAATGAAATTAATAGCCTAACAAAAAACATTTGCTCATCAATTACATATAAATTAAGCTATGAATCAATAAATGCTTTCATAACCATGAATTATACCAGGCATTTACCTCATGAATAATCATCTGGCTCCATCAGAGCTGACAAAGTTTGGACTTGGCAGAAAAAATAAAACAATTTAGAAAGAGAGTTTCTGAAGTTGACTCTGCATGTGTGTTTGTATTTGCACTCTGAGTGTAAATAACTGCATATGTGATGTGGGAGGAAAAGCTGGCATGGGGGAGGTGGAGATAAATAGGTATGAGATACTCTGGAAGCAAATAAACAGAATATTCACAGACCTCTAAAGATAAATCTTCCCAGCTGGGCACGGTGGCTCACGCCTGTAATCCCAGCACTTTGGGAGGCCAAGGGGAGCGGATCACAAGGTCAGGCGTTCAAGACCAGCCTGGCCAACATAGTGAAACCCTGTTTTTACTAAAAATATAAAAAATTAGCCGGGCGTGGTGGCAGGCGCCTGTAATCCCAGCTACTCGGGAGGCTGAGGCAGGAGAATTGCTTGAACCTGGGAGGCGGAGGTTGCAGTGAGTGGAGATCGCGCCATTGCACTATAGCCTGGGCAACAGTGCGAGACTCCATCTCAAAAACAAACAAACAAACGAAAGATAAATCTTCCCTATTTCCAAAAATTCCCTACATTGTTGTTTATTCTCTCAGGGACTAGCTAGAAATCAGATTCCCCTCTTCAGATATTGAGGCTCAAAAGATAACATTTATTGGCAAGGATGTGGAGAAAAGGGAACCCTTGAACACTGTTGGCAGGAATGCGAATTAGTACAGCTATTCTAGACTATGGAGGTTCCTCAAGAAACTGAAAATGTGACTACCATATGATTGAGCAGTTCTACTTCTGGGTATACATGCAAAAGAAATTAAATCACTATCTTGAAGAGATACCAGCAATCTCATGTTCACTGAAGCATTATTCATAACAGCCAAGACACAGAGTCAACCTAAGTGTCCATCGACAGATAAATGAATATATATACTTATATATGAATGCAAATGAATACATGTTGGAATACACACAAGTGGAATATTTCCCAGCCTTAGAAGAGAAGGGAGTCCTGCCATTTGCAGCAACATGAATGAACCTAGAGGACATTCTGCTGAGTGAAACAAGCCAGTCATAAAAAGATAAATGTCATATGATATCACTGTTAACTCAAAAGTATCTAAGGCCTGTCTCAATCAATTTAGGAAGCTTATTTTGCCAAGGTTAAGGACACACCTGTGACACAGCCTCAGGAAGTCCTGGGGACATGAGCCCAAGGTGGTTTGGGTACAGTTTACTTTTATACATTTTAGGGAGACATGAAACATCAATCAATATGTGTAAGATGTATACTCGTTCAGTCCAGAAAGGTAGGACAACTTGAAGTGGGGAGGGGTTCTAAGTTATAGGTAGACAGGAAACAAACAGTTGCATTCTTCTGGGATTTTGATGAGCCTTTCAGTGAATACACAACTTACATGTGAGAGGGGGTAGAGGAATTGTCATTTAAGCCTTAGTCTGGCTCAGTGAATCTGGATTTTTACATAAACAATGGGACAGAGGAGGCAAATCAGACAGGCATTTATCTCAGGTGAGCAGAGGGATGCCTTTGAGTTCTGTCCTTTTTCTTGCTCCTGTGAAGATAAGCCGTCAATTTACATTGCCAAGGTGAAATTCAACAGAACTGTTTTAGGGTAAAGACCTGGTGGCCCACAGGTAATCTCCTTCTGGGGAAATTGTGAGGGAAGTATTTAGCTTTTTATCTTTGTAGCTATCTTACTTAGTAATAAAATGGGAGGCAGGTTTGCCTGATGCAGTTCCCAGCTTGACTTTTCCCTCTGGCTTAGTGATAAGTCCCAGATCTATTTTCCTTTCACATCACTTACATGTGGAAGCTAAAAAGTTGCATTTATTGAAATAGAGAGTAGACGAGTGCTCACCAAGGGCCCAAAGGTTGGGGAAACAGGGAAGTGTTGGTTAAAGGGTACAAAGTTTCAGTTCTGCAGGATGAATAAGTTCTGGAGACCTAATGTACAGCATGATGACTATAGTTAACAGTAATACATTATATACTTGAAATTTGCTGAGAATCAATCTTGTGTCCTCACCCCTAAAATAAAAAGGTAATTATGTAAGCTTATGGATATGTCAATTACTTTGTGGTAATTATTTCAAAACATGTATGCATATCAAATCATTACATGCCTTAAATATCTGTACTTTTTTTTGTCAGTTTTACCTCTGTAAAGCTTGGGGGGATAAAAGAAATTGATGCTCATTGGCGAGAACTCCTCCACCATCCTCATTACCTTTCTGGACTGAACCAATATACATCTTACACATATTGATTGACGTTTCATGTCTCCCTAAAATGTATAATAGTAAACCGTACCCAAACCACCTTGGGCTTATATCCCCAGGACCTCCTCATTACACAGCGGCAAGGTCAGATGGGGAGTTCCACTACCCCACTGTAAATGCCCAATGGATTACCCTGCCCGCTGCCTAGACAGAACCAATTTATCAAGACAGGAGAATTGCAATGGTAAAAGAGTAATTCACGCAGAGCCAGCTGTTTTTATTATTACTCAAATCAGTCTCCCTGCGCATTTGGGGATCAGAGTTTCTAAAGATAATTTGGCAGGCAGGGGCTTGGGAAGTGGGGAATGCTGATTACTCAGGTAGGAGATGGAATCATAGTGGGTCAAAGTTAGATTTTCTTAATGTCTTTTGTTCCTGGATATGACGGCAGAGCTGGTTGGGCCAGATTACTGGTCTGGGTGGTGTCAGCTGATCCATCAAGTGCAGGGTCTGCAAAACATCTCAAGCACTGATCTTAGGTTTTAAAATAGTGATATTATCCCCGGGAGCAATTTGGGGAGGTTCAGACTCTTGGAGCCAGAGGCTGCATGACCCCTAAATTGTAATTTCTAACCTTGTAGTTAATTTGTTATTCCTGCAAAGGCAGACTGGATCCCAGGCAAGAAGAGGATCTTTTCCGCAAAGGGCTGTTATCAATTTTGTTCTGGAGTCAAACCATGAACTGAATTCCTTCCCAAAGTTAGTTCAGCCTACACCCACCCAGAAATGAATAAGGACAGCTTAAGGGTTAGAAGCAAGATAGAGTTGGTTAGGTCTGATTTCTTTCACTGTCATAATTTCCTCAGTTATAATTTTGCAAAGGCAGTTTCACCATCTATCATACCACTGCAGGTCAGATGGTAAATAGGTTTGGGGAAAGGAAAGTTGGTTCCTGCTGGCTTCTTCCTTCTCTAGCGTGGGAATCTTACCAACTGAAAGACTTAGATCCCTTCCGTATGTCATCCTCACTCTCCAAACCCTCTCCTTTCTTAGCCTCTAACTTGTCTCAGAGAACTTACTGATACAGAATGGCTGGGCTCCCGGCTAAATCCCACCCTTAAGCCTGGAATGCTGCAGTCCTAAGTAAAAACAGCTGACCCCATTTTTCCACCCAAATGTTGCCTTTTTGGCCTGCTACAGCCCTATCCTGTGCCCATAAAAAGACTTCAGCTGGCAGAGCAACACAAGCTGCTGAGGGTCAGGGGTATAAGCGGCTGAGCCGTGATCAGAGAAGCAGCAACTGAGCATGGGAGGCTACTGATAAAGGCGGCTAACTTCACACAGTGCGGCCTCAGGGAAAGGTCCCACACCATCCCCTTTCCAATTCCCCATCCTGCTGAGAGCCAATTTTATCACCCAATAAAATCTTCTACATACACTACCCTTCAATCTGTTTGTGTGACCTGATTCTTCCTGGATGCTGGACAAGAACCCAGGGCAGGGGCTTGGATGCTGCTGCAGGGCCCACACAGAGCCTGCTCCTGCCAGAGAGGAGTGATCAGCCAGTTCCAGCATTTGCTCCCTCTGGTTCCTGCACTCGCTTGCTTGTACACCCCCTCTCATGAGGAGTGGCCAACGGTGGGCTGAGTGAAACGAGCCACTCAAGTTCCCAACCATGAAGGGGATCAAGGTCAAGGGAATTATCTTGTCTCATTACTGCTAGGGTTAGTCCTCAGGAATGGGTACAGAGATAGTCATAAACAAGCTGAAGACCTTGGGGTCATCACTGCATGGGTGCATGGGTGAACATTAGAGGAGTGGGAATATGGTAGAAACTTACTAGTGCTCATCATAAGAGGTTTTCCTCTTCTCCCTGGACACAAAGGAAGATGCCCTAGCACCTCCTTTGAAGTTAAGCTGGGGCCGTGTGATGAGCTCTAGCCAGTGAGCTGGGAGTAAAAGTGATGTGTGTCATTTCCAGCCTATGGCAGTTAAGAGCATGTGTGAGTTCATCCCCTGCTTCAGTGTCCCTGAAAGCCTGTGTTCCATGTACAGTAGCTGTTAAGATGGACGCAACCCGTATCCCTCCATTACCACTTGGAAGGGAGCTTCCCTGGAAAGCTGCTGTCCCTATAGCGGACTTTGCATGAGTGAGTTGAGTGAGGTTTTAATTTGATCACTGCTGCAACACAGCACACCCTCTGCTGACTAATACAGGGAAGAACACAGAAAGAGATGTGTGGAGGTGCCTAGAGCTGGACTTGCTCTCCTCCGCACTTTACAGAACCACAAAGAAAAGGCCTCCAGAGGCCAGGCATGGTGGCTCATGACTGTAGCCCCAGCACTTTGGGAGGCGAAGACGGGCAGATCACCTGAGGTCAGGAGTTCGAGACTGGCCTGGCCAACACGGCGAAACCTCGTCTCTATTAAAAATACAAAAATTAGCCGGGTGTGGAACACACCTGTAATCCCAGCTACTTGGGAGGCTGAGGCAGGAGAATGGCTTAAACCCAGGTACTTCACATGTAATTTAAAAATTTTAAAGTTAGGAAGAAAGTCTTTGGGTAAATCTGTAAAGAAGTCTTCATAATTATGAATTTGAAAATTCCTCCCAATGTTTCTTCCATATATAGAAAGATTTATTTCGCTTACCAATTGCCCCTTTAAAAAAATAACTCAGTGAAATAGGATAAACAAAGTGAATTCCTGGACTTGATTCACCCAAATGCTGGATGCTGCTACTTGAAGACACCAGGTCTCCATCTGCTTCACTGGGCAGGTTGATGGTGTAGAACACCAACTTGGTCCAGTTGATCAGCCCTGGCTTTTTGCTCCTTCACAGTGATGAGCAATGAGACCCAAAACTTCAACAAAACAGGATGGTTCATGTTGATGAAGTGTATTCCCTGTAAGCATCCTGAAATGCCCTTTGGAAGCAGGCAGGATACAACATAAGTAAGATAGTGCCTAATAAGTGCTGCTAACTTGTAAAAAGTGGGGGGGGGGGGGGGGGTGATCACTCTTGTGAATAAACCATGAGAAATTAGAGAAGTTAGTTTGCATGCCTTCCGTAGACATTCCTAATATCATCATATTGGGGGTTAGGATTTCAACATATTAATTTGGGAGTGGGGAGACAAAAACACAAACATTCAGCCCATAACAATGTAAAGGAATAAAAGAAGTGTTTAAAAATATGAATTGAGGCCAGGCACAGTGGCTCATGCCTGTAATCCCAACACTTTGGGAGGCTGATGTGGATGAATCTCCTGAGGTCGCGAGTTTGAGACCAGCCTGGCCAACACAGTGAAACCCCGTCTCTACTAAAAATACAAAAATTAGCCAGGTGTGGTGGTGGGCACCTGTAATCCCAGGTACTCGGGAGGCTGAGGCTTGAGAATTGCCTGAACCTGGGAGGCACAGGTTGCAGTGAGCCAAGATCGCGCCACTGCACTCCAACCTGGGTGACAGAGCAATACTCTGTCTCAAAAACAAAACAAAAACAAAACAAAACAAAAAACCCATGAACTGGAAGGTAGACCTGAGGAAATTATATAGAATGCAGCATAGTCAAAATGATGGAAGATATGAAAAGGGGTTAAACAAAATGGAGGATAGAAAGAAAGTTCCCATATATACTTATTCAAAGTTCCAAAGAGGAGAGAGTACAAGTGAGTCAGAAGCAATATTTTAAGATATAAGATCTGATAATTTGTATGAACCAATGGAAAGGTACCAATCAATAGTTTAAGAATAATCCACGAATTCCCAATTTACATCAGGATATATAAGAAGAAATCCACACCTACACATATCATGTGAAACTGCAACATTCCAGAAACAAAGAAAATATTTTAAAATCTGTCCTTCCAAGGAGCGACAATTAGACTGATAGCAGACTTCTCAAGAAATGGATGGGCTGGGTGCGGTGGCTCATACCTGTAATCTCAGCACTTTGGGAGGCCAAGGCAAGCAGATTACTTGAGCTCAGGAGTTTGAGACCAGCCTGAGTAACACGGTGAGATCCTGACTCTAAAAAAAAAAAAAAATACAAAAATTAGCCAGGCATGGTGGTGCACACCTGTAGTCCCAGCTACTCAGGAGGCTGAGTTGAGAGAATCACTAAAGCCCAGGAGGTTGAGGCTGCAGTGAGCTGAGACTGTGCCACTGCACACCAGCCTGGGTGGCAGAGCAAGACCCTTCTCCCCCCACCCCACCCCAAAAATGTATGAAAGCCCGAAGACCATAAAATAATATCTGTGAAGATGTCAACCTAGAGTTATACACGTGGCAAAAAAAAATATGTCATTCAGTAATAAGGGTAAAATTAAGACATTTTTAGAAACAAGAAAAGGCAGGCCAGGCGTGGTGGCTCACATCTGTAATCCCAGCACTTTGGGAGGCAGGCAGATCATTTGAGGTCAGGAGTTCAAAACCAGCCTGGCCAACATGGTGAAACCACATCTCTACTAAAAATACAAAAATTAGCCAGGTGTGGTGGTGAGTGCCTGTAATCCCAGCTACTTGGGAGGCTGAGGCAGGAGAATCACTTGAACCTGGGAGGCAGAGGTCGCAGTGAACAGAGATTGTGCCATTGCACTCCAGCCTGGGTGACAGAGCGAGACTCTGTCTCAAAAAAAAAAAAAAAAAGAAAGAAACGAAAGGTGGAAAGAGTTTATCACTAATCACTAATACATCTCAATAGAGGACATTGCAAAAGATTGAAAGAGGGAAAGAGATGAAAGATGAAAAGTCTAAGATGCAAGGATAAATGATGAGTAAATAAAGTTAGCAAATCTACCAGTGACTATATAAAACAACAACAAATAATATCTTATTGGGTTAAAAATACCCAAGAAAAATGTTTGCATATGTCAGAGGAGGGATAATGAGAATAAACATGTTCCAAAGATCCTCCTGTTGTTTAGGAGGAAGTTAAAGATAGTATATAATAAATTTCTAAAGTAACCATTAAAATAATAGAAATGAAATGGAATGAGAAAAGTTTCTCAAATAATCAAAAAGCGGTCATGACAGGAAAAGAAAAACGGATGAAGTATGATACCCAAAAAGATGGTAGAAATATACTAGTAATTTCAATAAATGTAAGCAAATGGACTAAATGCTCCTTTTAAAAAATTGTAAATGATTAGACTGGATAACAACAATAAAATCCAGCCATCAGCTGTCTCCATGTGTGCTGGCTCTTCTCCACCCTTCTGTCTGGCTTTGTGTCCCACTCTGTACTCTGCTCACCTGAGCTCCTTTGTCCTTTAACTTCTAGTTGGGTTTGGCCAATAGCAGATTGTGGCAGAAGGTCACAGGGTGGGAGGAAACAGAAGCCAAGATATTAATTCTTCTAATTTCCCTCCCAGCTGGGCCAGAGTTCTTCAGTGGTTATCTCTATGTAAGACCACACCTCTTGCCAGGGGCCCCTCTCCCAGCAACAGCTTTTGCTAGGTTCCAGTAATACTCTTTCCTCTTTGACCCTTCAGGGCTACATGTATAAAGGCTTTTCCTTGTTACTAATGGCTGGGCATTTCAAAATCTTTTATTGGTTCCCTTAATGCTGTCCATAGCTCTCTAAAGAATTCCTTCATTAAACTCTTTTCATTTAACATCTTGTGTGCATTGCTGATATGGCTTGGCCCTGTGTCCCCACCCAAATCTCATCTTGAATTGTACTCCCATAATTCCCACATGTTGTGGGAGGGACTTGGTGGGAGATAATTTAAATCATGGGGGCAATTTCCCCCATACTGTTCTCATGGTAGTGAATAAGTCTCACAAGATCTGACAGTTTTATCAGGGATTTTTGCTTTTACATCTTCCTCATTTTCTCTTGCCGCCCCCATGTAAGAAGTGCCTTTTGCCTCCCGTCATGATTCTGAGGCCTCCCCAGCTACCTGGAACTGTTAAGTCCAATTAAACCTCTTTTTTTTCTCAGTCTCAGGTATGTCTTTATCAGCAGTGTGAAAACGGACTAATACAATTGCCCGTTTATTTCCTGCCAGGATCCTGATTCTTTTTCTTTTCTTTTTTTTTGAGATGAGTTTTGCTCTTGTTGCCCAGGCTGGAGTACAATGGTGCAATCTCAGCTCACTGAAACCTCCACCTCCTGGGTTCAAGCAATTCTCCTGCCTCAGCCTCCCAAATAGCTGGGATTACAGGCATGTGCCACCAGGCCCAGCTAATTTTTTTTTGTATTTTTAGTAGAGACAAGGTTTCACCATGTTGGCCAGCCTAGTCTCAAACTCCTGACCTCAGGTGATCCACCCGCCTCAGCCTCCCAAAATGCTGGGATTACAGGCATGAGCCACTGTGCCCAGCCCTGATTCTTATAACAAAAGACCCACCTAAAGCATAAGGATACTGAAAGGTTGAAAATAAAAGGTTAAAGAATGTTATATCTTGCAAATACCAACCAAAAGAAAACTGGCATCACTATATTAAAGTAGACTGTAAGGTTAGAATAATATATGAAAGATAAAAGAAACTTTATAATGATGAAAAATTCATTTCACTGGTACTATAACATTACCACCAAAGCCTCGAATTATATAAAGTAAAAAAAAATTGAGAAAATTAAATCTATCAAACAAAAAGGATAATAGTGATCTACAAATAACTAATTTTTAAAAACTATACTATATATTTAAATGGCTTTATAACAGGCCACTTGTTTTCCCAATTTCATGTTTTCTTAGAGTAATATTCCCTTTAGTGCGCACCTACTTGAAAATTTATTGGCAGCAAAGAAAGGTAAGTAGAAATGCAGGATGACCGAAAGAAGCTAGTTATGGCTTAAAAATTAATCTTTTTTGCAATAAATATGGCTAAGTGTTAATATCATTAACATATCCACCTAAAAATATTAAAATCCCAAAATATAAATGGCCAAAAATAATTTATAAAAAAAGAATTTATAAAAAAGAATTAACAAAAATTCCTTTAAAATTAGATATAACATTCAAAGCTGTTTAGAATAAAATAGACAGTGATGTTATATTGCTGGCAGGAATAAAAATTAAAAAATTATTTGGTTTATAACATTTGACCCAGTAATTCAATTTCTGGGAATCTCTCGCAGGAAAAGTGAATTAAAGACAAAAGTTCAAGTACAATACAAAAAGGGAATGTGACTGATAATATATTTTTAAAATTAGAAATGCTCTTCTTTCTTACCCTTGTTCCCTTCTATTTGGTTGTTCACTTCCCAAGTAATTCAATCCAAAACCTATTAGACTGGGGCCCAGCAAGGTGTGTGTCCCCATAGTGTGAGTAGGAAACCCATAAGGGATGCCAAAACCTCACTGGGGGTCCCTGCTGCGGTGTGATTCAGCTAAGGCTGAAGAAACCCCAGCAGCTGGAGGAAAGAGTGTGTGTGTGTGTGTGTGTGTGTGTGTGTGTGTGTGTGTAAAGAAGCGACTGGAGGAAAGAGTGTGTGTGTGTGTGTGTGTGTAAAGAAGCGACTGGAGGAAAGTGTGTGTGTGTGTGTGTGTGTGTGTGTGTAAAGAAGTGAATGATATGGTTTGGCTCTCTGTCTCCACCCAAATCCCACATCAAATTGTAATCCCATGTGTTGAGGGAGGGTCCTGGTGGGAGGTGATTGGACCATGAGGGTGGATTTCCCCCATGCTGTTCACATGATAGTGAGCTCTCATGAGATCTGATGGTTCAAGTGTGTGGCACTTCATTCTCTCTCCTGCTGCCTTGTGACGTAGGTGCTGCTTGCTTCCTCTTCATCTTCTACCATGACTGTAGGTTTCCTGAGGCATCCCAGTCATGCCTCCTGTTAAGCCTGCAGAACTGATTCACTTAAACCTCTTTTCTTCATAAATTACCAAATGTCAGGTAGTTGTTTATAGTATTGTGAGAACAGACTAATATGGCGGCCCACAGTAGGGAATCATAGCCCAAGCAGGGTAAGGAAGGAATTTTCAGGGTGAGAGGCGGGTGGCAATTAGGGGAACTGGTTACACAGAAGAGGACTGATCAATTAAGTACAATCACATGCCACACGATGTTTCTGTTAATGACAGACCACATATAGGATGGTGGTCCCATAAGGTTATAATACCATAGTTTTACTGTACATTTTATATGTTTAGATACATAGGTACTTACCATTATGTTACGATTGCCTACAGTATTCAGTACAGTAACATGCTGCACAGGTTTGCAGCCTAGAAGCAACAAGCTATACAATATAGCCTAGGTGTGCAGTAGGCTATACTATCAAGGTTTGTGTAAGTGCACTCTTTGATGTTAACACAACAATGAAATCACTTAATGATGCATTTCTCAGGATGTATCCCCATCATAAAGTGAAGCAAAACTGCTGGTTTCTAAACCAACAACTGGGCACTAGTGGGCTCTTTGCTATTGGGGTGACATTACTCCCAGGGTTTTCTCCCTTTCTTTAATTGTAACTTGTTTCTCTGTCAGTGAGAAACCTGGCTCCCTTATCCTTAATACATTTGCAGTCATACAATTATTGGAGTGAAGCATCACTGCAATGTCACCTTCCAATATTATCACTTATCAGAGTATATTATTTTAGTTTACATCTTTGCTTTCCCCTTGAATTAAACTCGTCAAGTTCAGAGACAGAATTGTACCCATCTTTGTATTCTCAGCCCTTATATAGGGCCTGACAAATAAAAATGTTCAATATTTTCTTCTGGGATGAATACACACCAATTTTAGATGTAACAGTTAAATAAAAATCCAAAGCACTTCATGAGTGAATCTGAAAATGAATGGGGCAGACAGTAAGTGGTCTTGTAGGCTCTGAGAAAAAAAAAAAAACTATAGCATTTTATGAAGGCTTTATTCTATTCTGGAGCCATTCCTTAACTCAAGAAGAGAATTTGATCAGATGACAGGAGAAAAAATTTACAAGTGCAAAAGGAAAGGGAAAGAACTGGAATGAGTATGGTGTGTTTATGGTGCATTAGGAAACTCTCCCTCTGTTTGATGTAGAGAGAAACATAAGCTGAGATTGGACTATATGGTGCGGGGGAGCAGTTTGTGGAGCACTTCAGAAGTCAGGTTGAGGAATTTATATAGCATAGGAAAAAGATTAAGAGCACGACTTTTCTTTTCAAGCTCAGTTTGCATCCTAGTACCACCAGTAGCTAGGTGATTCTGGGAGTTTTCTAAATGTTCTAAAATTCTTCCAAATGTATGTATAATTGTATATTTATAGGATTCTTGTGATTAAAATAATTAATCCATATAAAAAATTGTATAGCACCCAACATATGGCAAGTATTCTATGAAAATTAGTTGTTGACATTGTAATTATAATTGGAGCCATATTCTACAACTGCATGATATTAGCAATATTCTAGAAAAATTAATTCTCACGTAGGACTAGGCGAAGCCTGGAATTTGAAGACAAATTGACTATGAAAATAATCTTGGCCTATGATAAAAACAAACAAACAAACAAAACATTGATTAGAACAGTGAGAAAGAAAAGAACTCTGAGAAATAAGTTTAAGAAAAAATGTGGAATTCAATAAGTAATTGGAGTGGAGGAGCACAGAAAATAGAAGCATTAAAAAAATAATGTCGGTTGGGCATGGTGACTAACATCTGTAAACCCAGCATTTTGGGAGGCTGAGGCAGGAGGATCACTTGAGCCCAGGAGTTCGAGGCTGCAGTGAGCTATGATTACGCCACTGTACTCAGGCCCGGGTGACAGAGGGAGACCCTGTCTCAAAAAAAACAAAAACAAAATTTCAATGTTTTAAACTCTTGAGCCAAAGAGAACATAGTTACCATTGGAAAAAATACATAATGGGAGAAAATCTGGTACACAATCATCATGGCAGCGGCCGGGGCCCCGGATGGCATGGAGGAACCTGGCATGGACACCGAAGCTAAGACCGTGGCGACCGAGGCGCTGGCACGGCCCCTCAACTGCTTGGAGGCCGAAGCCACGGCAGGAGCGGGGGCAGGGACGGTGGCCGAGGACTCCGGCACCGCGCGAGGCAGCCTGCAGCCTGCAGCCGGCCCCAGCCCAGGCCCCTGGAGACCCCGTGTCCCAGGCTTCTGTCAGCAACGGCGAAGACTCGGGCGGCAGCGCAGACAGCGAGCTGGTGGACCTGAGGATCATCTGGAACAAGACCAAGCACGACGTGAAGTTCCCCCTGGACAGCACAGGCTCCGAACTGAAACAGAAGATCCACTGATTACAGGTCTCCCGCCTGCCATACAGAAAGTCATGTATAAGGGACTCGTCCCTGAGGATAAGACATTGAGAGAAATAAAAGTGACCAGTGGGGCCAAGATCATGGTGGTTGGCTCCACCATCAATGATGTTTTAGCAGTAAACACACCCAAAGATGCTGCGCAGCAGGATGCAAAGGCCAAAGACAACAAGAAGGAGCCTCTCTGCAGGCAGAAACAACACAGGAAAGCGTTGGATAAAGGAAAACCCGAAGATGTGATGCCATCTGTTAAGGGGGCCCAGGAGCACCTACAAAAGGTACCCCTGCCCAGCATGTACAATAAGTCCGGAGGAAAAGTGAGATTCACCTTGAAGTTAGAACAACACCGACTGTGGATTGGCAGTAAAGAGCGGACTGAGAAATTGCCCATGGGATCCATAAAAAATGTGGTCAGTGAACATATGGAAGGACATGAAGACTACCACATGATGGGTTTCAGTTGGGCCCCACGAAAGCCTCTTACTACTGACTAATGGGTGTACTGGGTTCCAACTCAATATGTGGATGCAATCAAAGACTGTGCTGGGGAAATGGCAGTATTTTTGAAAGCACTTTCACCTCTGGCCCAGGAGGCTGACCCAAAGTGAAGGACATCGCGGGGAGAGGCCTGCAGCATCCCTGGATTTCAGAGTTCTAGAACTTTGTTCACAAAAAATCTATACTCAATCTAAGGCGAGGTGGTGACTGAAGCCAGAGGTGATGTACTTTCACGATTCGCTTAATTTTAACTTAAAATGACCAGTTCCCTTTCTTGCAGTCAGCTTCATGCCATTTTTAAAGTCAATATGATGGAAATCAATAAATCTGAATTCCAAAAAAGAAAAATACATAATGGGAGAAAATCTAACTGGAGGGAAAATGAGAGGAAGGATGAAGTGATACTGGGTTTGAAGAGACAACTAGAAATCCATGTAAAATATGTAGCATCTGGTTGAAGAGATAAAGGACTGGAGTTTAATTAAATGATTAGGACAGCAAGTATATGTTTGAAAAATTATCTGAATAAAAGTAATAAAGTGGTAAAAAACTGATAAACCTTTGTTTAAAAAAAATTTGTCATGAGGGCAAACCAAGGTTCAGACTTCAGCAGCATCCATAGTTAAGGTATGCAAGAGGGGAGAAGAGCTAATGAGGGAAAGATGTCCTTCGAGGTCAGAGGAAATCAGGGTAGTGCCCTGCCATGAACGAGCTGTGTCCTGTGCTCTGAGAGATCAAGAAGAGAGAGCAGGCCATTATATAGACTACTTTTTTTTGAGACGGAGTCTCCCTCTGTCACCCAGGCTAGAGTGCAGTGGCGCAATCTTGACTCACTGCAACCTCCGCCTTCAGGGTTCAAGCGATACTCCTGCCTCAGCCTCCTCGCCTCGTAATCCCTGTAGTTGGGATTACAGGTGCCCACCATCATGCTCGGCTAATTTTAGTAGGTATTTTTTAGTAGAGATGGGATTTCACCATGTTGGCCAGGCTGGTCTCGAACTCCTGACCTCAAGTGATTTGCCTGCCTCTGCCTTCCAAAGTGCTGGGATTACAGGTGTGAGCCACTGTGCCTGGCCCTACATAGACTACTTTTAGTGAACTGATGTTGTACAGCCATTTGAGGAAGGCCTCAACCTTTCATGTAAAAATAAAGAATGAGGCAAGGTCATTTGCTGACAGTGAATGGAAGAAGATGGAGTTGAATGCTGTCTTGGTGGTGAACCCGACAGAAAAGATGTGGAACACTGAATTTGAACAGATTTTGTATAGAATTATGAGTAAGGATGAGGAATAATATAAGAAATAATGAATTACCCCATAACAAGTAATAGTAGGTAACTGGTACCATCCCTAAGCCCGAAGAAGCAAGAGGAGGAAGCAGTCACTGGGACCCAGGGAAAGCTTTGAAGCTTCAAGACGGGATCTATGGCCTTTAGATAAAGGGATATAGCCAATTTGTAGAAAGCTGACAGGGAGGGAGCTACAGGAATAAATAATGTGACCTCACTCTCTTCTCATCCTCAGGATTTCAGCTAAAGCCAATAGCTGAACCCATCTGGAAGCTAGAGGGCAAGGGAGCCAGGTTGTAGCAATCTGTATGATGACATACCTAGGGCACAGAGCAGAGTAGACAGGGATGGGGAATTAATCCAGCACAAATTCTTAAGAAAGAGTAGAAAAGGTTTGGCAATGCCACTGTGAGAAAAGGGCGGGGAGCCAAGAGATGAAAAAGAATGCTGAGCTTTATTAGGTCTGGTTGGTACTAGTCAGTACTTTAAAAATAAAGATACTCTTGTTGGGCCTGTTGGCTCACACCTGTAATCCCAGCACATTGGGGAGGCCAAGGCAAGAGGCTTGCTTGAACCCAGGAGTTTGAGACCAGCCTTGGCAACATACTGAGACCTATAGAAAATTTAAAAATTAAATTTTGGCCAGGCGCAGTGGCTTATGCCTGTAATCCCAGCACTTTGGGAGGCCAAGGCGGGTGGATCACGAGGTCAGGAGATCGAGACCATCCTGGCTAACATGTTGAAACCCCATCTCTACTAAAAATACAAAAAAAAAAAAATAGCCGGGCATGGTGGTGGGCACCTGTAGTCCCAGCTACTCGGGAGGCTGAGGCAGGAGAATCACATGAACCTGGGAGGTGGAGCTTGCACTGAGCGGAGATCACGCCACTGCACTCCAGCCTGGGCAACAGAGTGAGATTCTGTCTCAAAAAAAAAAAAAAATTAAATTTTACAAAATTAAGTTTTTAAAAATTACAAAAAATTTTAAAAACAATGTTTTTCAATTTAAATTTGAGAAAGTTACAAAAAAATTAAAAATTAGCTGGGCATAGTAGTACATGCCTGTAGTCCCAGCTACATGGGAGACAGGTGGGAGGATCACTTGAGCCTGGGAGGTCGAGGCTTCTGTGGAGCTGCACTCCGGCATGTAACAGAGTGAGCCTATCTCAAAATAAATAAATAAATAAATAAATAAAAATAAAGGGACTTATTCTATTTTTTTTTTTTTTCCGTGATGGAGTCTTGCTCTGTCGCCCAGGCTGGAGTGCAATGGTATGATCTTGGGTCACTGCAAGCTCCACCTCCTGGGTTCAAGCAATTCTCCTGCCTGAAACTCTCAAGTAGCTGGGATTACAGGTGCCCACCACCACGCCCAGCTAATTTTTGTATTTTTAGTAGAGACGGGGTTTCACCATGTTGATCAGGCTAGTCTCAAACTCCTGACCTGGTGATCCGCCTGCCTCGGCCTCCCAAAGTGCTGGGACTACAGGTGTGAGCCACCGTGCCTGCCCTAAAGGTATTTATTTCTATCTGATTACAAGAATGATATATGGTTACTATAGAAAATTCCAGAAGTATTATAACCAAAGAAGAAAATGTATTTGCTTTTTAAAAGAAGCTTTATTTAAATTAATACAGGAACAAAAAACCAAATACTGCATGTTCTCACTTAGAAGTGGAAGCTAAACATTGAGCACACATATGGACTTAAATGTGGAACCAATAGGCATTGTGAACTACCAGAGGGTGGAGGAAGCAGGAGTGGGTTTAAAACTACCTATTGGAGGCCAGGGGCGGTGGCTCACCCTTGTAACCCCAGCACTTTGGGAGTCTGAGGTGGGTGGATTGCTTGAGCCTAGAAGTTCGAGACCAACCTGGCCAACATGGTGAAATCCCATCTCTACTAAAAATAAAAAAAATTAGCCAGGCATGGTGGCACACGCCTGTAAACCCAGCTATTTGGGAGGCTGAGGCACAAGAATCACTTGAACCTGGGAAGCAGAGGTTGCAGTGAGCCGAGATTGCGCGACTGCCCTCCAGCCTGGGTAATAGAACAAGATTCCATCTCAAAAAGAAGAAAAAAAAAATTTTTTAAAAACTACCTATTGGATACTATGCTCACTACCAGGGTGACTGGAGTCACACTCCAAACCTCAGCATCATGCAATGTTTCCATGTGACAAATCTGCACGTGGACCCCCTGTATCAAAATAAAAGTTGAAATAAAAAAACAGAAAATGTCATCTTTATTGAGATACAATTCACATATAATTCACCCATTTAAAGTGTATATCCAGTGGTTTTTAGTATGTCACTGAGTTGGATGACCATCACCACAATCCATTTTAGAGCATTTTCATCACCCAAGAAAGAAACTCCATAACTATTAGCAGTTATTTTCAATTTCTCTCCTTCCCAACCCTTGGTCCAGACAATCACTTATCTACTATTTATTGCTATATATATTTGACTATTCTGTCTCTGTTTATTCTGTTTATTTGCATATTCTAGACTTTTTTTTTCTTTTTTGAGACAGGCTCTTGCTCTGTTGACCAGGCTGGAATGCATTGGTGCAATCTCCACTCACTACAACCTCCACCTCCCAGGTTCAAGTGATCCTCCCACCTCAGCCTCCTGAGTAACTGGGACTACAGGCATGCACCACCATGCCTGGCTAATTTTTGTATTTTTTGTAGAGATGGGGTTTTGCCATGTTGGCCAGGCTGGTCTCAAACTCCTGGACTCAAGCAATCAGCATGCCTTCCAAAGTGCTGGGATTACAGATGTGAGCCACCACGCCTGGTCTCAACTTTCTAACTGTAATTATACAACATCTCCCCATCCCCTCCCTCCTCCTAACCGCTCAAGCCTCTGGTAACCATTAGGTTTTTTAGATTCCACATATGAGTGAGATTATGCAGTATTTATTCTTCTGTGCCTGACTTATTTCACTTAACATGCTTTCCAGGCTCATCCATGCTGTCACAAATGACAGGACTTTGCTCTTCTGCATGACTAAATAATATTCCATTGTGTACATATACCACATTTTCTTTATCCATTCATCCATTGATGGACAACTAGGTTGATTCTATGTCTTGGCTATTGTGGATAATGCTGAAATAAACATGGGGATGCAGATGTCTCTTCTATATAATGATTTCCTTTCCTTTGAGTAGATTCCCAATAGCGAGGTTGCTGGATCATAGCATAGTTCTACTTGTACTTTTTCGAAGAACCTCCATACTGTATTCCATAGCGGTTGTCCTGGTTTACATTCTCACCAACAGTGCATAAGTGTTCTTTTCTGTATATTCTGGCCAACATTTTTTAAATTCAGGGGTACATGATACATGTGCAGACGTGCAGTTTTTTTACATGGGTATATTGCATGATGCTGAGGTTTGGATGCCTAATGATCCTGTCACCCAAGTAGTGAACATAATACCTTCTCCCCTTCCCTTCCTCCCCACTTTTGGAATCCCCAGTGTTTACTGTTCCCATCTTTGTGTCTGTGTGTACTCAGTGTTTAGCTCCCATTTATAAGTGAGAACATGCAGTATTTGGTTTTCTGTTCCTGCATTAATTCACTTAGGATAATGGCCTCCAGCTGCATCCATGCTGCTGCAAAGGACATGATTTCATTCTTTTGTATGGTTTTGCCAACACTTATCTTTTGTCTTTTTGATAATAGTCATGCTAACAAGTGTCAGGTGATATCCCATTGTGGTTTTGATTTGCATTTCCCTGATGATTATTGATGCTGAGCATTTTTCATATACCTATTGGCAACTTGTATGTCTTCTATGTCTTTTGCCCATTTTTAATAGGGTTACTTGCTTTTTTTTTCACTATTGAATTGTTTGAGTTCCTTGTATATATATTTTGGATATTAATCCCTTATCAGAGATAGAGTTTGCAAATATTTTCATCCATTCTGTAAGTTGTCTCTTCACTCTGTTGTTTCATTTGCTGTACAGAAGCTTTTTGTTCCATGTAATTCTAACCATCTATTTTTGCTCTTGTTGCCTTTGCTTTTGTGGTAATATCCAAAACACTCTTGCACAGACCAAAGTCATGGAGTTTCCTCTAATGTTTTCTTCTAGTAGTTTCATTGTTTCCGATCTTACGTTTAAGTTATTAATACATTTTGAGTTGATTTTTGTATATGATAGGAGATAAGGGTCTAATTTCATCTTTCTGCGTGTGGATATCCAGTTTTCCCGACAGAATTTTTTTAAGAGACTCTCCTTTCCATTGTGTGCTCTTGGTGCCTTTGTCGAAAATCAGTTGGCCATAAATGCATGGATTTACTTCTGGGGTCTCTATTTTGTTTCATTGTTCTATATGTCTGTTTTTATGCTGTTTTGGTTACTATAATTTTGCAGCTTATTTTGAAATCATGAAGTCTGATGCCTTCAGCTTTACTCTTTTTGCTCAAGATTGCTTTGGCTATTTGGTGCCTTTTGTGGTTCTATACAATTTTAGGATTGTATTTTCTATTTCTGTGAAGAATGTCATTGGCATTTTGATAGGGATTGCATTGAATCTATAGTTCATTTTGGGTAGTATGGACATTTTAACAATCTTAATTTTTGCAATCTATGAACACAGGGTATCGTTCCATTTATTTGTGTCTTCTTCAATTTCTTTCATCAGTGCTGTATAGTTTTTAGTGTAAGGATCTTTCACCTTCTTGGTTAAATTTATTCCTAAGTATTTCAATTTTTGTAGCTATTGTGTATGGGATTGTTTTCTTAACTTGTTTTTCAGACAGTTTGCTATTGGTATATAGAAATGCTACCAACTTTTCTATGATGATTTTGTATACTGTAATTTTACTGAATTTGTTTATTAGATCTAACAGTTTTTTTTTTTGGTGGAGTCTTTAGGGTTTTTTCAGTATAAAATCATTTCATCTTCAAAGAGGAATAATTTAACTTCTCCAACAAAGAAATTCAAATCACCAATAACACCAATCTTCAGTGATAATCACTTCTAATATTTTTTAAAATATACTTCCAGCCTTTTTTATAAGCACAAATAATTTTTTGAAACAAAATGGATTATGTTGCACATATTTGAATTATTTAAGATCCTTTGAATACAAGCAACTTCAATCAGATTGACTTTTAGGTATTAATTAAATAATTAATTCAATACTTATTGAGTACCTACAATATACAAATAATTTCATAGCATGAAAAAAGAAAAAAAAAAAAAACAGACAAACTGGCCAGGCTCAGTGGATCATGCTTGTAATCCCAGCACTTTGGGAGGCTGACGTGGGAGATCACTTGAGCTCAGGAGTTTGAGACCAGCCTGGGCAACATGGTGAAACCCTGTCTCTATTAAAAATTCAGAAAGAAAAAAAAAATGCTTCTGTTTTCAAGATATCGGGATATCAGGACACTCCCAAGTCTGGGTCTGTTTAGTAAACATTATCAATCTGTTCCCTTAACTGTAAACATCGAGAGGCTAGGAATACCTAACTTGCTGGGTACGCAGCCCAGCAAGTCCCAGCCTCATTTTCATAGTCCTTACTCCAGATGGAGTCGCTCTGGTTCGAACACTTGACAGTGGTGTGCACCTGTAGTCCCATCTACTCAAGAGGTCGAGGTGGGAGGACAGGCTGAGCCTAGGAGGTTGAGGCTGCAGTGAGCTGTGAACCACTTCACTCCACCCTGGGTGACAGAGCAAGATCTTGCCTCAAAAAAAAAAGAAAAGAAAAGAAAAAAGAAAAAAAAAGAAAGGCAAAAAAGGATCTCACATTTCTCACATTTGGAAATTTTTGTTTGATAGCCTAGAATTTAACTTTACAACACTATGGTAAAATGCAACCACATAAATGAACACAACCCTACAGTGTAGCATAGGTTTATTATGGTTTAAATAGACCATCTGTATGTGCTCAAGTTTGCAACTAAAATTAATAAGGTCGTGTTACAGCTTTAAAATCCATGCAGGAACGTTTTCAGGAAGCAAAGGGCTATGGTTTTGTCTAATGAGGCAGGCCTACAGCAGGGCTGCATTCACTTGGCACGATATGCTTTCTGTGTCCCGAGGATTCTCTTGGGACATATTGACTTACCTGGAGCAGGTAAACAAACTCACTGGAGAATGCAGCCTACACCCCAGACATGATTTTGCCTTTACACACAACCGCAGGACTGAGAAGCTGGGCTTGGCATAGGGCCAGGCAGACCGCTGACAGAAGGTTAAGAAGGAGAACTCTGCAAATGGGCCACAGAGCCTCAGGACTGGATCTACTCAGTAGCTTCCTAACATTCTGGCAGAGAGTGACATTCTTTATAAAGCAAGAAAGAAATTTTCCCTCATTTGGAGCTAGAAAGTTTTATGCCTAAAATAAATATGATTCA
The DNA here is from genome assembly GCF_000001405.40 of Homo sapiens. NCBI lineage: Eukaryota > Metazoa > Chordata > Mammalia > Primates > Hominidae > Homo > Homo sapiens. The sequence goes on along the minus strand of NC_000004.12, from coordinate 77,104,891 downwards.
TGTCCCAGGAAAGCTTGGTTCTGAAGAACTCTGTGTCCTTGGCTGACTTACACCTCCCTCACGCCTTAAAATCTGATTTCCGATTCCCAACCTGAGGTGCAAACTCTACCCTTTATTTTCAAGGTCCAGGAAGACCTGGACCCTCAGAAGGTCACTCAAGAGGAACCATTCTTTGGGACAGAATTATGCAGCTTATGTCCCAAGAGTTTGTTTGAGCTCCAGTTGTCAGAAAAGTGTGATAATTCTATGGTTTTCCCCCTTTTACTCTACCACTGGAAGTCCCCTAAATTTACTTAGCAGTATTTCCCTGAAGCTATAAAGCCAAGCTATTTTTTTCCCCTTAACTCAGGAATGTTTTAATATGTAAATATGAATTCCACAGAGATTTTGCTTGACTACTATAGTTTAAGCTGTCAAATTAGTTCAGTGATTTAATTCAGTAAACTCCATTATTTCTTTTTCTATTGCAAATTAATATGCAGGTCATCTCTTCAGATACGTGTGTTTTAGGCCGGGCACGGTGGCTCCCATCTATAATCCCAGCACTTTGAGAGGCCAAGGTAGGTGGACCACCTGAGGTCAGGAGTTCAAGACGAGCCTGGCCAACATGGTGAAGCCCCGTTTCTACTAAAAAATACAAAAATTAGCCGGGGGTGGTGGCAGGCACCTGTAATCCCAGCTACTTGGGAGGCTGAAGCAGGAGAATCTCTTGAACCTGGGAGGCAGAGATTTCAGTGAGCTGAGATCATGCCACTGCACTACAGCCTGGGCGACAGAGAAAGACTGTCGCAAAAAAGAAAGAAAAAAAAAGAGATATGTGTGTTTTAAACTTTATGCATAGTAGCAATCAATTATGTGATAAAACCATTAAATTGCTCAAAGAAAAAAGCATTCTTAACTCATAAGATTAACAAAGTTTCTTTAAACAAGGCCAGTTTTTTTAAAAATAGATCTGTCAAAATCTGTTTGAATAAAAAAATTTAAAAACACTAAAAATAAACAACAGGATATTCAATTCACAGCAACCAATTAGAAGGGGCCCAGTTTACCTGAGCCAGCATAAGGAAGTCCCCTTTGTTTTAACCCTGTAAGGAAACTAGCTCTGTAACAACCAATTCTCTTTTTGTTCCTTGTTTCTGCTTTCTTTTCTTTTTTTGAGACGGAGTCTCGCTCTTGTTGCCCAGGCTGGAGTGCAATGGCACAATCTCAGCTCACTGCAGCCTCCGCCTCCCGCGTTCAAGCGATTCTCCTGCCTCAGTCTCCCAAGTAGCTGGGATTACAGGTATGTACCACCACACCCGGCTAATTCTGTATTTTTAATAGAGACTGGGTTTCTCCATGTTGGTCAGGCTAGTCTTGAACTCCTGACCTCAGGAGACCCGCCCGCCTCGGCCTCCCAAAGCGCTGGGATTACAGGCATAAGCCACCGCGCCCTGCCTGTTTCTGCTTTCTTTAGCCTTCTTCTACCTATAAAGCCTACTTCCTGTGCTCGGCTAATCAGAGCACCTTTCTAATTTTAGAAGGGATGGGGCTCCATTCACTAATCACTAAATAAAAGCTAATTTGATTAAAATGAATTTGTCAAAAAAATTTTGACATATATATATATATATATATATATATATATATATATGCATGATACAAGTATCATAAGCACTTTGTAAAACAGATACACTATATGTCATAGAATATAGTAATTGCGGTGCCGCGTGGTGGCTCACACCTATAATCCCAGCACCTTGGGAGACCGAGGTGGGTGGATCACCCGAGGTCAGGAGTTTGAGACCAGCCTGGCCAACACGACGAAACCCTGTCTCTACTAAAAATACAAAAATTAGCTGGGCATGGTGGTGGGTACCTGTAATCCCATCTACTCGGGAAGCTGAGGCAGGAGAATTGCTTGAACCCGGGAGGTGGAGGTTGCAGTAAGCCAAGATTGCGCCATTGCACTCCAGCCTGGGCAACAAGAGTGAAACTCTGTCTCAAAAAAAAAAAAAAAAAAATATATATATATATATATAGCGGGGGGCGGGGGGTGGGGGGAGGAGGGGAGAGAGAGAGAGAAATTGCAGTATTTGGAGTAATTTTCTCACCAGTAATCTCATTAACCTTTTTACTTAAGTTGCATTTAGTATTCATTTGTTTATTTCTTAAGGAAAAATGACATCTACAGAGCATTTTTTTCTTCCAAGTAATGAAAATATCCTGTGAAATATTAGGACATTCATAACTATCTTTTGAGGTTTCTGATTTTCTGTTTAGTGGCTTATTCTTTCTAGTTATAAAATGGCTAAGTAAAAATATAACTTTATGACAAATTCCACTATTTACGTAAACACTTATAAACTCTGTATACACAATTCATATTTCTTCTTTCATACAGTGATAATTGTATATACATATACACCAAGCAAATATACCCTCAAAAAAGAGAAGAGATATTGTTAAAGTCTTATTCGCTGCAGTGATTACTTAGTTTATCTCAAAATGTGGTATTCAGCCTTCCTGGGGTTGTGTGCTAAAATGCAGATTCCAGGACTTCATAAATTCTGTTTCAATAGGTCTGGGGTGGACCCAGGAATCTGTATTTTAATAACATTGCCATGTTATTTTTATGCCCAATGAAATTAAAAAGCCATGTATTTAAAAGATATTTGTTGTGTTTTTTCTCATGAATCAATTTCATACCTAATTTTGTCTCCATAATTTAAAATTATTTTTTCTTTAAAAAATCTCCCAAGCTGTATAAGCTTTAAGCACCACAAAAACCTCAATCTACTCCTGCTGCAGGTGAGTTTGTAATTCATATTTTTATATTTCTAAATGATATCCACAGATCATGTAATTTAAAGAAACATGGTGGAAACCTTGGAAAATTTCAAAAGGAGATGTGAAGAGGCTACACCTAAAATAATGAGGTCTAAATGGAGCATATCTCCAGAAACTGATACCAGTGCAGCAGGGTCTACAGCCACCAATTCTCAAGCATGAGTGCATGGATGAGGTGACAAGTTATATGGTCATGGGAACAGCTGACCTGTAGTGCCCTTTGGAGAACCACTCCTAGTACAAATTAAGGTATTTGATTAGATGGTATTTTGTAACTTACCAGAAGTGTAACTCTCATACTATTGCAGGACTGACTTCACTCATCCCAAATTTGGTCTGAGGTTAAAAATACGAAAAAGAGATTGGGTATGGTGGCTCACGCCTGTGATCCCAGCACTTTGGGAGGCTGAGGCAGGTGGATCACTTGAGTCAGGAGTTTAAGACCAGCCCGGGCAACATGACGAAACTGGCTCTACTAAAAATACAAAAATTAGCCAGGCGTGGTGGTGCACACCTGTAGTCCCAGCTACTTGGGAGAATTGCTTGAACCTGGGAGGTGAAGGTTGAAGTAAGCCAAGATCATGCCACTGCACTCCAGCCTGGGCCACAGAGCAAGACTGTGTCAAAAAGAAAAAAAAAAAAGAGAGAGGGCCAGGCACGGTGGCTCACACCTATAATCTCAGCACTTTGGGAGGCCAAGGAGGGTGAATTGCTTGAGTCCAGGAGTTCAAGACCAGCCTGGGCAACATGGTGAAACCCTGTCTACTAAAACCAAAAAAAGTAGCCAGGTGTGGTGGCATGCACCTGTAGTCCCAGCTATTCAGGAGTCTGAGGCAGGAGAATCGCTTGAAACCAGGAGATGGAGATTGCAGTGAGCTGAGATTGCACGACTGCACATCAGCCTGGGCCACAGAGCAAGACTGTCTCAAAAAAAAAAAAAAAAAAGAAAGAAAGAAAAAATATTACATATGTACTAGATACATCAACCATCTTCTTCCCACCCACAACTCATTCTAAGAGAACCTGTCCTCTACCCGCAGTCACAGTGGTCATACTTGTCTCAGGTGACCCAAGATCCTGGTCACAACTGATTGGACCAGGGGTAGACACCTGATTCAGGGTGAGCCAATTCAATGTCCTCCTTTGAGAAACTGTACCAAAATAAAAAGATGGAGGCTGTTCCTATTGTGCAGAGAAGTTCTGATGTGTGGGTACATTGGGACAAACATGACACCACGGCAAATCAAAGCCTTGGGTCAGAGTTATGGGAGAGCAAACCTTGAGAACCTTGCAAAGATCAGAGAGAATGAGATACATGACAGTTTTCACAAAAAGCATTAAAAAAAAGAATGAGGTAGAGAAGGAACAAATGGACATATCTAGGGAAGCAGAGATGAGAGATAATCTGATCCCAAAAAGGGTAGCTCTTGGATAACTACTTCCTATGCAATAGGATTCTATATTCTGAAATTAGATTATCAGATATGCCCCTGAATTGCTTCAATAAATACCCTTCCTGCCTACACCCATAGAGCTGTGTTGAGGAAGTTTTGGTTCTTATCAACAGAGATCTCCATTAAGACAATGGTGTACTTATCAGCCACAGGTTTCAGAGTAGTTAAGGAAGGAAGCACACATCCTGTGGAATATGCTCAAGACTACAAGGCTTCCTGTGGAATGCAAGCAGCATGCTGAAGCTCAGACTGGCGGCATTAAAGGAACAAGCTGCTGAGATGGTGGATAAGGCATGCAGCTAGGGTGATGAGGTTCCTAAACAAGAAGACTCCCCGTGTACAAAGAGTAAAGTGAAGGGCACTCAAAAGTATTGAGATTTTAGCTGCCTAAGAAAGGGATACATTCAGCTTCCTAGTCTTACTAGGATTAGTTATATCTTTAATGTATTATAGCGTAAATGTACATTCAAGATAAAGTGATCAAAAAGTCAAAATCTGGCTATTTGTGACAGTCAATGCACAGGTTACATTTTTGGCAGGGACAAATGGCATAGGGATCACAGCATAAAGAGAGATCAGATCAAAAATCTTATTTTTCTTACTACCTCCATCCCCCTGCTCTGAATACTAGTGGGAACTTCCAGAGAACTAGGATGCAAGAACTGAATAGCCAAAGCACCAACTGCTAGTTACTGCCTTTTAAAAATTATTATTATTATTTTTGAGACAGGGTCTCACTCTGTCACTCAGGCTGGAGTGCAGTGGGCGCAATCTCAGCTCACTGCAGCCTCAACCTCCTGGGCTCTAGCAATCCTCCCACCTCAGCCTCCCCAGTAGCTTGCCTGGACTACAGACACGTGCCACCACACTCGGCTAATTTTTGTATTTTCTGCGGAGATGGGGTTTCGCCATGTTGTGCAGGCTGGTCTCTAAATCCTGGGCTCAAGTGATCCGCCTGCCTTGGCCTCCGAAAGTGCTAATATTACTGGCATGAGCTACCATGCCCAGCCTCTAAAAAATTATTTTTAAGGGACCTAGATGACTTTACAGCATGTGGGCCTGGTGCAATGGCTCACACCTGTAGTCCCAGCACTTTGGGAGGCTGAGGTGGGCAGACCACTGAAGGCCAGAAGTTCAAGACCAGCCTGGTCAATATGGTGAAACCTTGTCCCTACCAAAAATACGAAAATTAGCCAGGCGTGGTGGCACACGCCTGTAATCCTAGCCACTCAGGAAGCTGAGGCAGGAGATTCGCTTGAACCCGGGAGACGGAGGTTGCAGTGAGCCGAGATCATGCCATTGCATTCCAGCCTGGGTGATAGAGTGAGACTCTGCCTCCAAAGAAAAAACAAAAAATTATAGTATGTGGTAGACAGAGTTTGCTAATTATCTTCTCAATACCTTTATCTCTTTCTATACTAAGGTTGGAGCCAAATATAGCTAAAGGTTGCATAAAAAAATGGAATGTGGCTGGGTGCAGTGGTTCACGCCTGTAGTTCTAGCACTTTGGGAGGCTGAAGTGGGTGGATTGCTTGACCCCAGGAATTTGAGACCAGCCTGGGCAACATGGTGAAACCCCATCTCTACAAAAATACAAAAAATTAGCTGGGTGTGGTGGTGCATGCCTGTAGTCCCAGCAACTCAGGAGGCTGAGGTGGGAGGATCACTTAAGCCTGGACGGTGGAAGTTGCAGTGAGCCAAGATCAAGCACTGCACCCCAGCCTGGGTAACAGAGTAAGACCCTGTCCCCCAATCCCGCCCCAACAAAAGAAAGAAAAAAAAATGGAATGTAAGCAGAAGTAATATATGCAATTTCTGGGCCAGGTGCTTCATTCACTCTTTTCCCTTTAAGTGTGTTGGAATGAGGATGTGGTGTTTGAGCCATTTTCAGACACAAAAATGAAGCCAACTTCCTAAGCATGGGAAAGCAACAAGGGGGAAGGAGCTAAATTCTCTATGTTATAGAGCTATTTGGGAATCTTTGTATTTTTGAGTTTCTTGTTCCAACAACATAGCCAGTACCCTAATTAACACCTCATGCCTCCAGGCCAGTATAATGCAGACCTTTCAGATGATTCTCTCCACACACATTGGAACCTGACATAAGTAAGAGAAGAGCACAGAAGATGTTTAGAGAGATAATATGTATATCACTGCACAGTAAACCTAGATCAAGGGCAATAAACAGAGTCCTGGGAGGTGAGATAGATCCACTAGATCTGAATAGGATCTCAGAATAAAGACAAGAGCTAACAATGCTTAGGAAAAGTCACAGGACATGGTGGCTCACAGCTGCAATCCCAGCACTTTGGGAGGCCAAGGCCAGAGGATTGCTTGAGGCCAGGAGTTTGAAATCAGCCTAGATAACATAGTGAGATCCATCTCTACAAATATTAAAAAAAAAAAAAATTAGCCAGGCATGATGGTACACACCTGTAGTCCCAGCTACTTGGGAGGCTGTGGCAGGAGGATCACTTGAGCCCGGGAGGTCTAGGCTTCCGTGAGCTAAGATCACAGCACTGCCTTCCACCCTGGGCAACAGAGTGAGACCTTGTCTCAAAAACAAAACAAAATAAAAACCGAAGTGGGAACCTGCCATAAGGTGAGGTACAATTATAAGCAGGGTAAATGTAAGGGGAAATTGATAAATGCAGAAAATAATTGACAAGACAGAGTATCTTGGTGATGATAGTGTTTTGAATTTTCCCTTGAGGAAGAAATCACTTGGGGATCTCCAAAAACATTAAACATAATAAAACCAAAAGGCTAAGATCCTTGTTTGTCTTAGTCAGTTTGGGCTGCTGTTAACAAAATTACAACATAATGGGTAGCTTATGCAACATTTATTTCTTACAGTTTTGAAGACTGAGAAGTTCAAGATCAAAGCACCAGCAGATATCTGGTGAGGGTCTTTTCTTGGCTTGTAGACAGGTGCCTTTTGCCATATGTTCACATGGCTGAGAGATCATCTCTCTCACATCTTTTCTTGTAAGAGCACTAACCCCATTCACAAGGACTCTATCCTCTTGACCTAAGTACCTCCTAAAATTCCCACCTCCAAATACCATCACACTGGGGATTAGGCTTCAACATATGAATTTTGGGGGACACACACATCCAGTCAATAGCAGAGCTATCAGAAAAACAGTAGGAGGCATTTGACTCTACTATGTCAGAATAATTTCACATCAAAATACTGGAAAATGGTAAACTTGGCTATGAGGTTTGGGCATTTACTTCCTTCGCATCTGGTGTAGTTAAATCCTGAAGAGTATTAAGGCACAAACCTAACCCAACATTGGAATAGATAAAAAATGTCCTCTGAATTAAGTCCTATATGACTTCATGGGTAATTTCAATCCAGACATATGCAGAAATTTTCAATTATTTTTTTTTTGAGATGGAGTCTCACTCTGTCTCCCAGGCTGGAGTGCAAGTAGCACAATCTCAACTCACTGCAACCTCTGCCTCCTGGGTTCAAGGGATTCTTCTGCCTCAGCCTCCCGAGTAGCTGGGACTACAGGTGCACACCACCACGCCCGGCTAATTTTTGTATTTTTGGTAGAGACGGGGTTTCACCATGTTGGCCAGGCTGGTCTTGAACTCCTGATCTCAGGTGATTCACCCACCTTGGCCTCCCAAAGTGCTGAGATTACAGTCATGAGCCACCCTGCCTGGCAAGAAATTTTTCATTCTGTTACACAAAATATTTTTATAGCTGTCCCCAATTTTACCTTAAAATTGTGACCACTGCACAATAGGAATGCTGTGTTTGTAACATTATCTCCTGGTTTTGTGGTCAGCTTGCTACTTTAATTCAGTCCAAGGCCCTATATTGAGTTGGTGCTCAATAAATATTTGGATACTTGTTTATTGAATAAGATGGGGTCACACAACTCCAGCTTTTACTAGTAAATGGGGCTTGCAAAATCAACTGATACTAGCATCAGTCTGAACCACATACTGTATTATGTTGTGTTTAATTGCAGAAAAATTTATTGCAGTCTAGATCTTAAAAAAGGTACTTAAAATTCACTTTGAAAAATATCTAATGTCTGGAAGAAAAAGAAATGGGGACTCTACTCAAAAGGCCTAATGTCATCAAGTTATTGGCAAATACAACACAGAATGATGTTGCACTGGTGAGGATGCTTCATCCTGGGATATAATTCCTCCCTGCTGCTTCTCTGTGGGGCCTACCCAGAAAAGAAGCTTGAGAAAAAGGCAATTGAATGTTTGTAAGAAGCAGATAATTAAAACCCAGTTAATGCTGAAGAAACAAGTTGGTGGATCTAACTAAATAAAAAACTGTTTCTGACAGGAAAAAGCAAACTTAGACAACCAAGTAATAAAGACTAATTTCAAATATTGTCTTCAGGCACAATGCTTTTCCCTTATCTCTTTCCTAACTAACCGTATTAAATGAAGACTCTTCATTATTTATTTAATAGAATTTTATATTTATACTTCTTTGTTGACAGAAAGTAAATTTCTCTCTTAAAAAGTAAAAGTTACATGTAACAAAGGGCCTTTGCTGCAGTCTAGAAAGTAGAGCAAATTGGAGTAGGATGAGAGAGAGGAAAGGGAAAGAAAGTGAGAAAGAGGAGAATGCCTTGGAACCCACAGTAGTGAGTAGTGTGTTTGTAACATTATCTCCTGGTTTCTTGATCAGCTTGGTTTCTCTGGGATGACCTGAAGTGGGCAGGGAACTCACCCTGAATAGTTTTGAGTTAAAGTGTCCAGCTCCTTTCAGGGGTTGTTGAAGTCATGTCACATCAAATGTTACCTGACCCAGTACCACGGAAGTTGACGGGAGCATAAGAGCTAAGAACTGCAAGAAAATGTGTCCACATAAAATTTAACACTGAGCTCTCCATAAAAATGTAAAGCAAGGTGACCCTCTTTAGAAACCCATTAAAGGATTGTAACACCAGCAGAGACAGGATCCCACTTCATTCCACTCCCCCATTACCTAGAACAACAGAGACACTGACCTGAAAGGACTCAATCGAGCATCAGCAATGGGGGAGTGTGATGATTGGTAAGTATATACTATGAGGCAGCGGCCCCCTAGTGGCATGCCAAGGTCAGCACATATCTGAAGAGTGTCAGCAAGACAGCTGTGCCAAAGTGACCAGGCACGGAACAAAGAGATAGAGTTCTCTTAATGGCTGTCAAAAAGATCAAGTTGACTCTTTTGGGACCTGCCAAGAGAAAGAGGAATCTTGAGTGCTGGGAAGATTGGAGAACTGGGGTGCCAGTATTTACACAGGTGGGGGCTCAGAGCCAGAAACTCCTATTGTCGTACTACTACTCTGAAGCTGCTGTGGAATATGAGGATATACTGTGTATTGATTACTGTAAACTTTACTGAATTGTTTAATGTAAATTGGTTGACTCAATACAAAAAAAAGCCCCTCTACTCAAAAAAATCTTTTGAAAAGATTTCCTAATGTTAGCCTTTAACTCCTAACATTAGGGATAATTTTAACATTATGATAAAGTATCCTGGCCTTATCGGTTTAGAAAATTACATTTTATCTTGGCTCTTTTGTTTAAAATGTATATCAAACTTATAAAATCAGTATATACTATTTGACATTCTCATTATTATAAATGCAATTTTAATTCGGTGACTAACGAGAACTTGGTGAATAACTACCTGGGTTTTTGAACAATTTTAAGAGACAAAATAGTAATATATTTAAAGGCAAAGGCAAGTAACAATATACTATACATAAATATAAAAGCAATACTATTACTAACATAGTCTTTCTTTTTTCATATGGACAAGATCCAGTTCTTATAACCTTAACTGTAACTTTCTACAGTAAGGAATATGATGTGTGTATTATAATGCACGTGGGAGTAGCTGTCAAATGAAATCTGGTCTATGTTCTACTCAGCAATTCTCTGGGTGAAAAAAAACTGACTTGGCATTCATATCAGCCTTTTAATATTTATTGCCTATTTATATGTATATTGTAAATTCTTTTTTTTGGCGGGGGTGGGGTATGGAGTCTCGCTCTATCACCCAGGCTGGATTGCAGTGGCACAATCTCAGCTCACTACAATCTCCACCTCCTGTCTCAGCCTCCCAAGTAGCTGGGATTACAGGTGCACACCACCACACCCAACTATTTTTTGTATCTTTAGTAGAGACAAAGTTTTGCCATGTTGGCCTCGAACTCCTGACCTCAAGTGATCCACCCACCTTGGCCTCCCAAAGTGTTGTGATTATAGGCATGAGCCACCACACCTGGCCTGTATATTGTAAATTCCTGATAGTGGTCAAGAGGCCAAGTTTCAGTGAACCTACAAAAATTGACCGGGAGCCCTCTCTAAGAGGCATGATGGAGAATATTTGATATTTGGGGAGGAGGGAAAGATCTCATAGAATATTGAAGTTTCTGCCCCATAAAGATTGGTTCCTCTCACCATATTTCTCCACCATTATGTTTTTGTCTTTACCTTACCTTATCCTCAAGTGTTCAGAAGACACTTCAGATTCTGGAATAGAACAGGCTGAGGGTGGCGGCTCATGCCTATAATCATCTCAGCACTTTGGGAGGCTGAGGCAGGCAGATCACTTGAGGCTAGGAGTTTGAGACCAGCCTGCGCAACATGGGCAAAACCCCATCTCTACTAAAAATACAAAAAAAAAGCTCACATCTGTAGTCCCAGCTGCTCGGGAGGCTAAGGCATGAGAATCACTCGAACCCAGGAGGCAGAGGTTGCAGTGAGTGGAGATCACACCATTGCACTCCAGCCTGGGGAACTGAGCAAAACTCTGTCTTAAAAACAAAAACAAAAAGATTCTGGAATAGAAATTATCTCATACTTTAGAGTAGTGGATTTGGGAATATGATTAATTTTTTTCTTCAAAATGCAAGTGGTCATTAGTATAAGCAAGATTTAAGTCAAAATTAGCTGATCATTTTCTACATGGGTTAATCCAAAGAGTTATTTAGTGTGGTTAGATCTTTGAGTCTTATTTCCTGCTGTCATACAGTTCAAATGAGTAACCTATTAATAATAGCTTCCGGAACACAATTAAAAGGAGAAGAAAATTCCTTTGGAATGTGTTACTTAGAGAATTCACAGAATGCCCACACCTGGCAATCTTTCAAGGTAAAATAGGAGAAACTATTTTTCCAAGATGGTTTAATTTTATTAAAAACAAAAAGATGAATAAACTTTCAAAATCTTCTCTTGGAAAGCTCCCCAAGTGACTGAAAAGACCCCCTCTTGGCCAAGAGGACCACAGAGAAACCTTAAAACTACATTCCCAGGGCCATGATGCAATGGGAGATCCCACTCCTTATACCCTCTCCCTTGCTAACCACCATCAGGCTTCCTTCCCTACAGGCAAAACAGAAACCAGCCCTTTCAAAACAATGGCTACACTGCTGATTTTAACTAACCATCTGATGCTCACCCTCCCTTTTGCGGTTTCCACAAAACAACTGACCAGAATATGGATATAACCATAAAACTAGCTCCCAATCCTTTCACTCTGTTTTACACTCTATTATGAGGTCTCGGCCCCCATTTACTCTGCAAGTCTGGTTCTGCTTTTTCTTCTAGCTTATCAGAACTTTTGCTCTACTGGTTTTCTAGATTCTGCTTCCTGTTCTCTCCTAATAGGGTGTATGCATAGATTTATAATCCAGATCACTTTTGAGTGGCCTCATAACATTCTCCAGCCCACTCCCAATTACGTGTTTTCTCCTGCTGTTTCAAGTGGTCCAAAACAACAGTCTGGGACCAATGTGACTTTAAATTCTGAGGCACCAAGAAAAATATTAAGGTTTCCTGTTCTATGTTAGCTACAGAGAGAAATCTCTCCAGCATCAAGGTTGAAATAGCTTTTCTTTTATGCACTGCCTGCAAAGAAATGAAGCTTGAACAATATTTATACCTTTTGAATCTCCTAGTCCAGATGGTCTACAAACTGGGTCCTTTAGTTCTCACCTACATTTCTGTCATCTTTACTAAATTCACATTGCACTTTGGTAGAAGGGATATCTAAAAGTAAGCCTTGAAATAAGGCCTCAAAGAGAAAGAAAAAGTTAAAGTTAAGAAAGACTAAATAGGAGAGAATATACAATAAAGAAAAAAAGTATACATATATATGCATATATATTTTTGAGATGGAGTCTTGCTCTGTCGCCCAGGCTGGAGTGCAGTGGCACGATCTCGGCTCACTATGTCCTCCACCTCTGGGGTTCAAGCGATTCTCCTACCTCAGCTTCCCAAGTAGCTGGGACCTCAGGCGCCCACCATCACGCCCAGCTAATTTTGAATTTTTAGTAGAGATGGGGTTTCGCCATGTTGGCCAGCTGACCTCAGGTGATCCACCTGCCTTGGCCTCCCAAAGTGCTGGGATTACAGGCGTGAGCCACCACACCTGGCCAAAGAAAAATATTTTTGAAATCTAAGTCATTATATTGAAATACATGAAATGGCTGGGTGAGGTGGCTCATATCTGTAATCCCAATATTTTGGGGGGCCAAAGCAGGAGGATCATTTCAGGCCAAGAGTTCAAGACCAGCCTGGGCAGCATAGCGAGACCCCATCTCTACAAAAATTAGCATGTTCCTGTAGTCCCAGCTACTTGGGAAGCTGAGGTGGAAGGATCACTTGAGACCAGGAGGTCAAGATTGCAGTGAGCCAAGATTGTGCCACTGCACTCCAGCCTGGGCGACAGAGAGCAACCCTGTCTCTCCACCCCAAAAAAAGAAAAAAGAGATATGTAAAATGTATAAAAAATGATTAATTACTAAAAATATGTGGACCAAAAGGAAAAGTATTGAAAGGAAAAAACATCCAATTTGTCATGTGTCAAAATAAGGTTGAAAATCAAGCATGATAGGCAAATATTCCAACACACGTTCCCTAAAGAAATTAAACTATTCTATAGGACACCCACCCCACCTCATTCCTGCTGCCAGTATCAGATGATGAAGGTCAAATCTCTTAGAGAGCCACTGGTTAATTTTCATAAATCCAACAAAATGGCATTCAAGGACCTTTGCAGTCTGAACTGTAAATTGTCATTGTTGTATAAGGTAGTAAGACAGTTAATTTCATGTGTGAACTTGTCTGAGCCACAGTGCTCAGATACTTGGTAAAACATCATTCTGGAGTTTCTGAGTAGATGTTTTTAATTTTATTATTTTTTTTAATGGATGAGATTAACGTTTAAATCAGAATAATTTGAGTAAAGCGTTACCTTTTATAAGAGTAGGTGTCATCCAATCAGCTGAAGATCTTAATAGAACACTGATCTCCCCTGAGCAAGAAGGAATTCAGCTAGCAGACTGATTATGGCCTCGAAACTGCCACTCTTCCCTGGGTCTCCAGCCTAGACTGCAGATCTTGGATTTACCAAGCCTCCACAATTGCATGAGCCAATTCCTTAAAATAAATCTCTCTCTCTCTCTGTCTCTCTCTCTCTCTGTCTCTCTCTCTCTCTCTCTCTCTCTCTCTCCACACACAGGCACACCCACCCTCCCTGTTGGCTATGTTTCTCAGGAGAACCCCAACATAGAGATAAAATCAAATATTCTATAATCAGAAATATGGTTTCAGGCCCTGGATCTGCCATCTACTAATTGTATATATTGGGAAAATTACTTTATTTTGGGAGGCCAAGGTGGGTGCATCACCTGAGGTCAGGAGTTCGAGACCAGCCTGGCCAACATGGTGAAACCCCATCTCTACTAAAAATACAAAATTAGCTGGGCATGGTGGTGCATGCCTGTAATCCCAGCTACTTGGGAGGCTGAGGCAGAATAGCTCGAACGGGAGGCAGAGGTTGCAGCGAGCCAAGATCGTGCCATTGCACTCCAGCCTGGGCAACAAAAGCGAGACTCCATCACAAAAAACAAACAAACAAGCAAAGAAATAACATGGGAATAAGTGAGGCTGAGTGTGGTGGTGTACACCTGTAGTCCCAGCACTTTGGGAGGCTGAGGTGGGAGGACTGCTTGAGACCAGGAGTTTGAGACCAGCCAGGGCAACACAGTGAGACTGTCTCTACAAAAGACATTAGCTGGGCTCCTGCTTGAGCCCAGGAGTTGAGGCTGCAGTGAGCCATAATCACACCACTGCACTCAGGCGCAGGCAACAGAGCAAGACCTTGTCTCCAAATAGTAATGATAATAATGGTAATAAAATAAAATGGGAAGAAGTAATCACCTTAATTCTCTAGCCATGCTAGAGTGCATTCTATGTAATTCTCTTATTATCTCTATTCCTTTGTTTCCGCTACACCCTTTGCCTATCGTATCTGTTCTTGTCTACTTAGATAACCCTTACTTTTCTTTCCATACCTGTGGCAGTTTTAAAAATAGGTCCATGAATTATTTGATACTCTTCAAGTTTAATTCCTCTCCCATTCAGTATAGCCTGGACTTAGTGAGTTGCTTCTACTGAACAGAATATGGCAGCAGTTGCAGCTTCTATCTTGTCTCTCTCTGCCCTCCCCCACCATCACTTGTTACATGTGAAGCCAGCTGCCTGATCTTGGACAGCCCTATGGAGAGACCTAGTGCAAGGAACTGAAGCCTCTGCCAACAGCCACTGAACTGGGTGGCAGATTCTCCAATCCCTCCATGACTTCAGCCCCAGTCAACAAGCTCATTGAAATGTTACAGTAGATAGCTAGTCAGACATGAGCAGAGCAGGAGAGAGGCTCCCACAACAGGAATGTCAGGCAACCATCAGGTGATGGTCAGGCCGTTATTAAACTGTCTCTCTAAAATAATAATTGGTTGCAGCCAGTGCCAGGGAAAGAAAGTCTCCCAATAAACAGAAACACCAGAAACTTAGCAGCTTCCCAATAAGATCTCAGGAATTGGGCAAGTGGGCTCAAGCATGCACATTAAGAGGCAAAATGGCAGTTTAACTGATACATGACCTTCTATAAACATTTGACTGGTAAGGAAGAACACCTCAAGCGAGCATGCATACAATGCCAGTGAACACACTGAGCATGCTCCCCTCCCTAGCTCTGGCAGGCCACTGTGCGTGCAGACAGCCCACCCCAAGGAAGAATCAGGGGAGAAGGGACACAAGACCCCAGAAGCATGCCAACATACAAAGCCCTAAGTCAAAAAGTCAAACCGCACATTTCATCTCTCAAGTCGCCCACTTGAGCCTCTTCCAAGTGTACTTCCTTTCATTCCTATTCTAAAGATTTTTAATAAACTTTTTTTTTTTTTTTTGAGACAGAGCTTTGCTCATTGCCCAGGCTGGAGTGCATGGCGCAATCTCGGCTCACCGCAACCTCCACCTGCCGGGTTCAAGCGATTCTCCTGCCTCGGCCTCCTGAGTAGCTAGGATTACAGGCATGCACCACCACACCCGGCTAATTTTGTATTTTTTTTTTTTTTTTTTTTTTTTTAGTAGAGACGGGGTTTCTCCATGTTGGTCAGGCTGGTCTTGAACTCCCCACCTTAGGTGATACGCCCGCCTTGGCCTCCCAAAGTGCTGGAATTACAGGCATGAAACACTGCGCCCAGCCTGATTTTTAATAAACTTTCACTCCTGCTCTAAAACTTGCCTCAGTCTCTACCTTTGCCTTATGCCCCTCAGTCAAATTCTTTCTTCTGAGGAGGCAAGAATTGAGGTTGCTGCAGACCTGTGTGGATTTGCCACCACTAACAGTAACCTCATGAAAGATGCTGAGCCAGAACCACCCAGCTAGAGCTCTTGAGCCTCAGAAACTGTATGAGATAATACATATTTGTTGTTTTAAGCAGCTATATTTTGAGGTAGTTTGTTACACAGCAAATCATTAATACCTCACATACTCAAGCCTAGCACATAAAGACCTCTTGCAATAGTTAAGCTAAAAATGAGGGTTTCCTATGTGTCACACATTGTTCTAAGCCTTTTGCAAATATTATCCCACTTAATTGTCATAAAGACTCTAGGAGATACATCATTACCTCCATTTTACAGACGACGAAACAGGTCAAGTTATAGAAAGCTGAGTTGGCCATGCATAGGCCTACTCAGTAGGCCATAATAGGCCTGTAATCCTAACATTTTGGGAGACCAAGGTGGGTGGATCCCTTGAGCCCAGGAGTTTGAGATTAGCTTGGGCAACATGGTGAAACTCCGTCTCTACCAAAAATACAAAAATTATCTGGGCATGGTGGCACAGACCTATAGTCCCAGCTACTCCGGAGGCTGAGGTGGGAGGATCACTTGAACCCAGGAAGTTGAGACTGCATTCCAGGCTGGATGACAGAGCCAGACCCTGTCTCAAAAAACAAAAAACAAACAAACAAAAAAAACAACAACAAAAAGCTGAGTAACTTGCCTCAAGGTCACACGGCTAGCAAATGTTGCTCAATTAAAGAATGAATAATTACGTTTCTTATTAGCAGGTCTATATTTCATTCACCTTAGAATCTCTTTTAGTGCCTAACCCAGCATGCAACTGGGACTCAAATATCTGTTAAATCACTATCTCATAATAAAGGCAGCTTAGTCCATCTTGAATTAATTTTTGCATAAGGTGTAAGGAAGGGATCCAGTTTCAGCTTTCTACATATGGCTAGCCAGTTTTCCCAGCACCATATATTAAATAGGGAATCCTTTCCCCATTTCTTGTTTTTGTCAGGTTTGTCAAAGATCAGATAGTTGTAGATATGTGGCATTATTTCTGAGGGCCCTGTTCTGTTCCTTTGGTCTATATCTCTGTTTTGGTACCAGTACCATGTTGTTTTGGTTACTGTAGCCTTGTGGTATAGTTTGAAGTCAGGTAGTGTGATGCCTCCAGCTTTGTTCTTTTGGCTTAGGATTGACTTGGCAATGCGGGCTCTTTTTTGGTTCCATATGAACTTTAAAGTAGTTTTTTCCAATTCTGTGAAGAAAGTCATTGGTAGCTTGATGGGGATGGCATTGAATCTATAAATTACCTTGGGCAGTATGGCCATTTTCACGATATTGATTCTTCCTACCCACGAGCATGGAATGTTCTTTCATTTGTTTGTATCCTCTTTTATTTCATTGAGCAGTGGTTTGTAGTTCTCCTTGAAGAGGTCCTTCACATCCCTTGTAAGATGGATTCCTAGGTATTTTATTCTCTTTAAAGCAATTGTGAATGGGAGTTCACTCATGATTTGGCTCTCTGTTTTCCTGTTATTGGTGTATAAGAATGCTTGTGATTTTTGCACATTGATTTTGTATGCTGAGACTTTGCTGAAGTTGCTTATCAGCTTAAGGAGATTTTGGGCTGAGACGATGGGGTTTTCTAGATATACAATCATGTCATCTGCAAAAAGGGACAATTTGACTTCCTCTTTTCCTAATAGGATTAAAGACTTAAATGTTAGACCTAAAACCATAAAAACCCTAGAAGAAAACCTAGGCAATACCATTCAGGACATAGGCATGGACAAGGACTTCATGTCTAAAACACCAAAAGCAATGGCAACAAAAACCAAAATTGACAGATGGGATCTAATTAAACTAAAGAGCTTCTACACAGCAAAAGAAACTACCATCAGAGTGAACAGGCAACCTACAGAATGAGATCAAATTTTTGTAATCTACTCATCTGTCAAAGGGCTACTATCCAGAATCTACAATGAACTCAAACAAATTTACAAGAAAAAAACAAACAACCCCATCAAAAAGTGGGCGAAGGATATGAACAGACACTTCTCAAAAGAAGACATTTATGCAGCCAAAAGACACATGAAAAAATGCTCATCATCACTGGCCATCAGAGAAATGCAAATCAAAACCACAATGAGATACCATCTCACACCAGTTGCAATGGCGATCATTAAAAAGTCAGGAAACAACAGGTGCTGGAGAGGATATGGAGAAATAGGAACACTTTTACACTGTTGGTGGGACTGTAAACTAGTTCAACCATTGTGGAAGACAGTGTGGCGATTCCTCAGGGATCTAGAACTAGAAATACCATTTGACCCAGCCATCCCATTACTGGGTATATACCCAAAGGATTATAAATCATGTTGCTATAAAGACACATGCACAGGTATGTTTATTGCGGCACTATTCACAATAGCAGACTTGGAACCAACCCAAATGTCCAACAATGATAGACTGGATTAAGAAAATGTGGCACATATACACCATGGAATACTATGCAGCCATAAAAAATGATGAGTTCATGTCCTTTGTAGTGACATGGGTGAAGCTGGAAACCATCATTCTCAGCAAACTATCGCAAGGACAAAAAACCAAACACCACATGTTCTCACTCATAGGTGGGAACTGAACAATGAGAACACGTGGACACAGGAAGGGGAACATCACACACCGGGGCCTGTTCTGGGATCGGGGTGGGGGGAGGGATAGCATTAGGAGATATACCTAATGTTAAATGACGAGATAATGGGTGCAGCACACCAACATGGCACATGTATACATATGTGACAAACCTGCACGTTGTGCACATGTACCCTAAAACTTAAAGTATAAAAGAAAAGGCAGCTTAGTTTTTCAAGAATGAAGTCTTAGAAACCCTGATTGTGTATTATTTATTTATTTATTTATTTACTTTGAGACGAGTCTTACTCTGTCATCCATGTTAGAGTGCAGTGGCGAGATCTCTGCTCACTGCAACCTCTACCTCCCAGGTTCAAGTGATCCTCCCACCTCAGCCGCCTCAGACCCCCGAGTAGCTGGGACTACAGGCAGGCACCACCACCCCAGCTAATTTTTTGTATTTTTGGTAGAGACAAGGTTTCACCATGTTGCCCAGGTTGGTCTCCAACACCTGAGCTCAAACAATCCTCCTGCTTTGGCCTCCCAAAGTGCTGGGATTACAGGCATGAGCCACTGCTCCTGGCTTGATTGTGGATAATTTAAATTGACTCCCAAAACATAATTCTTTTCCTTTACTGAGAAGAAATAAGTGTTATAGTAAACATATGTGTGAGGAGACTAAAATAAAACTTGGAGGATTTTTACCCTTCTCTACACATCTTCCCCCGCAAGTGCTTGATAAGTGTGTGTTGATAGTCTGATTACATGCTGAATTTGGTGGTTCCTGCTTCTGTTAAATAAAAATTACAGGAGGCCATTGTTTTGGACTAAGCTCCTGCACTAGGCCCCAACGGACTAGACTAAAAATCAAAACAGTCACCCATGCTGAAGTTTCATGTCACCAAACTAAGTTGTTATCTGAGAAATCAGGAGAGAGAGGTAACAGCTAATCTTCCAAACAGGCCAGTTTTAATCTGCGTGATAATAAAGTCCTCCCTGGTTTAGTTTATTTTCATATTTATTTTTTAAGAGATGCGTTTCATTACCTTCCCCAGACTGACCTTGATCTCCTGAACTCAAGGAATCCTCCTGCCTCAGCCTCCCAAGTAGCTGGGATTACAGTGTGTGCATTCTACCACTCCCAAGAAAATTCCCTCTGTTGTAATCCTTAACCCCAAATAACTTGATGTTAACCAATCAGTCATTTTTCTACTGTTCTCTCTGTTCCTGCTTTACAAGGAAAGCGACTTTGAAATGACCAGTTCTTTCTTTGTTTCTGCTTCAGTCCTTCTCTGCCTATAAAGCCAACCTCTTCTACTCAGCTCACTGGGACAGTTAAATTGTATTTTATGGAATAAATAATAAATAATAAAATAAGTGTTGCCTGATTCTAGAATTTGCAGTAAAGCCAGTTGAGGTCTTTAAATTTGCTGTAACTTTGTCCTTTGACAATTCAAAACAGTTCTGGAAAAGAGTAAAATGATACTTTGTTTTAATGATGTATTTTTCTCCCAACTAAAAATAAGTAAATAAAATGTGAGAACTAAACTCTGACCTTTTTCTTCTCTTGCCCAAATTCCTACATAAGGGGCCTGGGGAGTCACGCCCTATAAACCATAAAGTTTCATTAGAGGGGTTTTATTTAACACCAGATAACATGGATTGCTTTCCAACCTAACTGGCATAACGTCACATGACAGACAAAGAGGGAAATCAAAATATTTTAATCCCAAACATGTTTCTTTGCCGTATCTAGAAACAGCCCGGCAAAGCTGTCTCTTGTGGGGAAAATCTACATTCTCTAGAGAATCCCCTTTCCTTTCCAGGACTTTTTCCTAATCCAGGAGAAAATCAACAGAAGTCTCGCACTTTCTAAAATCTGATAAGAAACACTTGCAGACCGTTTTCTCTGAAGCCTGCTGCCTGTAGGCTTTGCCTCATAATGGGAACCTTGGTGTCCACAACCCCTTATCTTAACCCAGACATTCATTTCAACTGATTCTAGGTTTCTAGACAACAATTTAACTCTTTCAACTAATTGCCAGTTCAAAAATCCTTGAATCGGCTGTGTGGTGGCTCAAGCTTTTAATCCCAGCACTTTGGGAGGCTGAAGCAACCATGCCAAGAGTTTGAGACCAGCCTGGCCAACATGGTGAAACCCTGTCTCTACTAAAAAAACATGAAAATTAGCTGGGCGTGATGGCACACGCCTGTAATCCCAGCTACTCAGGAGGCTGAGGCAGGAAAACTGAAAATCACTTAAGCCTGGGAGGTGGAGGTTGCAGCGGGGCTGTCATCGTGCCACTGCACTGCAGCCTGGGCGACAGAGTGAGACTCTCTCTCAAAAAAAGAAAAAAAGAAAGGAAGGAAGAAAAAGAAAAAGACAGAGAAAGAAAAGAAAATCCTTGAATTCACTTATTACCTGGAATCCCCTCACCCCCCACCCTCCTTGTTTCCAGTTATCCCACCTTTCTGGACAGACGAATGTACATCATACATGTATTGATGTCTTATATCTCCCTAAATTGTATAAATCCAAGCTACCACCCTAGGCACATGTTCTTAGGACCTCTTGAGACTGAGTCTTGGGCCATTGGTCACTCCTATTTGAATCAGAATAAATCTCTTCAAATGTTTTACAGACTTTGACTCTTCCCCTTGGCAAATGTTTCTACTGAAGTCTTTTGAGATACAACTTTCAAATAGGTGGTTGCTGTTTGATCTCCGTGGCTCCTCTTAATGAAGCATGAAACCAATGATCCCTTCTGGTGAGACTTTCCTAAATCACTCCTTAAATATGAGAAACCTAAAGCTAGTTTATATTGAGTGTTGGCCCAAGTTTAGAAAGCAGCTTGAGGCTGCAGCAGAGCCGCGCGGGAAGTGCGGCGCCATCACTAGAGCGGAAGCTGTAGGTGCGTTGTGGGAAGCACTTTATTGTCCAAAGCCAAACCGCCAGTGTGATGAAACTAACCTACAAGAAAAGGGCTGGGTTTTGTAAATGACACAGGCTCTAAAAAGCTTGGAAGCACTGCAACTTTTGGCAGGAATCAGGGTTAGCAGGACCTCAGTGTCTCAATGCTGCTAAGTGCAGGCTGGCTCTCTGGGTCCTCCAGCGTGAGCTAGAACTGATGTCTCTATGGTCAAGTAAACAGAGTGAGTGCTGTCTTCCCCATGTGGTGGGGTTGTGCCAGATCAGTAGCTGCTACACTAGAAAGACGGTGGATCAAGGGCAAAGAAAAATCCCTTTGGTTCCAGAAAATCTCCTGAAAAAGGTGAAGGCTTATCAAGCCCTCAAAGCCACCCAGGCAAAGCAGGCACTTTTGGCAAAGAAGGAGCAAAGGAAAAGAGCTCAGGTTTAAGCGACTGGAATCATTCCAACATGATTCCTGGTGGCAGAAACATGACAAGCTGCTTCTCAGACAACTAGAAGTGAAACCTCATGCCTTGGAATTGCCAGATGAACATTCCTTGGCCTTTGTTGTGTGCATCAAAAGGATTGATGGTGTGAGTTTACTGGGGCAGAGAACCATTGCAAGACTTCGCCTAAAGAAAATTTTTAATGGTGTCTTTGTAAAAGCCACCCCCAAGAACCTAAAAATGCTGCGTATAGTGGAACCTTATGTGACCTAGGGATTTCCAAATCTGAAGTCTGTCCAGGAATTTTGAATTTTGAAACGTGGACAAGCCAAGGTCAAGAATAAGACCATCTCTCTGACAGAAAACACAGTGATTGAGGAGCACCTGGGGAAGTTTGGTGTCATTTGCTTGGAAGACCTCATTCATGAAACTGCCTTCCCAGGGAAGCATTTCCAGGAGAGCTCATGGTTCTTGTGCCCTTTCCACCACTCAGTGGCCCGTCATGCTACCAAAAATAGAGTGGGCTTCCTCAAGGAGATGGGCACAGCTGGCTATCAGGGTGAATGCATCAATCAGCTCATCCGCCAGCTGAACCAGACCCAGGTGCCAAATGGCAGTAAATTTTTGTCAATGAAGTGGAAGCATGTGTTTTTGCTTTTTTGGAAATTTTTATCAAGTATCTTCAGAGAAGATTATTTCCTGCCTTATCTTCAAACACTGGAAAGGAAGGGTCAGAGACAGTAGCTGGCCGGAACAGTGGTTCACGCCTGTAATCCCAGCACTTTGGGAGGCTGAGGTGGGAGGATCACCTGAGGTCGGGAGTTCGAGACCAGCCTGACCAACATGGAGAAACCCTGTCCCTACTAAAAATACAAAAATTAGCTGGGCATGGTGGCACATGCCTGTAATCCCAGCTACTCGGGAGGCTGAGGCAAGAGAATCGCTTGAACCCGGGAGGCAGAGGTTGTGGTGAGCTGAGATCACGCCATTGCACTCCAGCCTGGGCAACAAGAGTGAAACTCTGTCTCAAAAAAAAAAAAAAAAAAGAAAACAAAAGACAGTAGCTTAGGTTCATGGCAAGCACCTCTCATCACAGTCCAGTTCCAAGGAAAAATTTCAGCGTTTTCTACATTGGCTGTCGCCTCATCTGAAATCAGCATATTCCATGGAAGAAGGAGTCCTGCTTTTGTTGCATCTTCTATCCTAAGGTTTAATGTTGGTAAATGAGTAACTCTAGCATTTGTACAAGGTTCCCTAAGACTCCTGCAGCAGTCGACCAAGCCCAGGGACACAATTGAATCTGGAGATTCCTGGGGCCTTGTTTTGAAAAAGACTTGAAATACACATAGGAAGAAAGGCACAAAAATAAATGTTCACTTGTCTCTTAAAAAAAAAAAAAAAGGCAGCTTGAGGCTTCCTTGACTTATTCCCTCTGAGCACTTTCCCCACTTAATATTAAGGAGGAGGTCTTTATATTATTTGGTGAATGGGGACTTTTTTTTCTCTTAATATCTTGATGCCAAGTTGGTTTGGGACATTTACTCCTCTTACATTCTATCTCTGTATAGATAAATGAAAAATATTTTAGAAGTTGTTAAAAGAATCCTAAAGTGTGGGCAGATGCTAAGTGATTATGACAGTAAATAATTTCCTTTGTTCTTGTAGGCTTTAACATCTCTCCTACAAGATAGTACCTTCATAAATTGTCTTGTGGAAACATTATCTAAAAATTTCATTTAGGACAAAGGAGAATAGAAGCTTCTGTCATTAAACATGAAACAGCCTTGCTTTCTTTACTCCTAAAAATGTAGGCAGTATTTCTAGAAATATTTAATGATAGCGAACCACTTCCTGGCCATCAATTTGATTCCCTTCCATTTTCCTAGACTTCTGAAGAGGTCTCACTTTACA
The DNA here is from genome assembly GCF_000001405.40 of Homo sapiens. Taxonomy (NCBI): domain Eukaryota; kingdom Metazoa; phylum Chordata; class Mammalia; order Primates; family Hominidae; genus Homo; species Homo sapiens. Next base: position 77,081,081 of record NC_000004.12, on the reverse strand, counting down.
CTATTTTGCATTACAGAACAGTCTTTATACTTCCTTTTTTTTTTTTTTGACACAGGATGTCACTCTGTCGCCAATGCTGGAGTGCAGTGGCGCTATCTCAGCTCATTGCAACCTCCGCCTCCCAGGTTCAAACGATTCTCCTGACTCAGCCTCCAGAGTAGCTGAGACTACAGGCACACACCACCATGCCCGGCTAACTTTTTGTATTTTTAGTAGAGATGGGGTTTCGCCATGTTGGCCAGGCTGGTCTCAAACTTCTGGCCTCAAGTGATCCACTCACCTCAGCCTCCCAAAGTGCTGGGCTTACAGGCATGAGGCATCACACCCGCTCACTGTCTTTATTCTGATAGCTGTTTCTCATGTGCTTCCTTATGCTGCTCCTCTTTGATTTGAAGCAAGGTATAGTTTAATTTCAAGATTTAATATTCTAGTCATGAAATAAAACAAGTCTGAAATCCTTTTCCAGTAAAAATCTACTCTTTAGACACACAAATAACTGCATATTAGATTTTTAAAAATATTTAAGATTAAACACAAGCCAAAAATCACCACAAGGTGACTATTTTTGTCCTAAAATTTACTGCAAGCCAGAAACTTCTAAGGGAGAGGCAGTAAAGAGTAGTGATTAAAAACATACCATGCTTTGGAGATAGTCAACCTGGGTTTGAATCCTGGCTGTGCCCCTCTAAGCTATGTGATGAATATTGGGATTTACTTTACCTCTTTATCTTTTGTAAAATAGGAACAACAAAAATACCTACTATAGAGGAGTGCTGTGGGGATAAACACAAAAGAATGCAATAAAAATGCTTAGTATAATGTTTGCTACATAGTGAGTGATCAACATGTGTTAGTTATTATTATTCTCTCTCTCCTTTTTTTTTCAGATACAGGGTCTTTCTGTGTTGCCCAGGCTGGTGCAAACTCCTGGGCTTAATGATCCTCCCAGCTTGGCCTCCCAAAGCAATTACAGGCATGAACTACCACACCTAGAAATGCCGTGTAGAATGGTAGTCTAACTTTACTATTTAGAATTACTAAATAGAAGTTATTTACCAATACGCGGATAATATGTTCTCTTTATATATCTTATTTATTTTCTCAGGGAATTTCATAAACTTTCGATTTTTTACAACTACAATTAATTGTAAAAACAATTATTAGTTATTAAAAAAAATATGGCCTGGCGCAGTGGCTCAAGCCTGTAATCCCAGCACTTTGGAAGGCCGAGGCAGGTGGACTACCTGAGGTTAGGAGTTCGAGACCAGCCTAGCCAACATGGTGAAACTGTCTCTACTAAAAATACAAAAATTACCCAGGCACGGTGGCACACCTGTAATCTCAGCTACTCGGGAGGCTGAGGCAGAAGAATTGCTTAAACCCGGGATATGGAGGTTGCAGTGAACTGAGATTGCACCATTGCACTCCAGCCTGGGTGACAAGAGAGAGACTCTGTTTCAAAAAAAAAAAAAAGTGAATTAAAGTATGGTCTTACAAATGGATACTGAAGAACAAGAATGTCCATATTGGCTGTGCACAGTGGCTCATGCATGTCATCCCAGCACTTTGGGAGGCTGACGTAGCTGGATTGCTTGAGCTCTGGCATTCGAGATCAGCCTGGGCAACATGACAAAACCCCGTCTGTACAAAAAATACAAAAGTTAGCTGGGCATGGTGGTGCACACCTGTATTCCCAGCTAGTTAGAAGTCTGAGGTGGAAGGATCGCTTGAGCCTAGGAAGTTGAGGCTGCAGTGAGCTGAGATCGCACCACTGCAACCTGGGTGACAGGGTGAGACCTTGTCTCAAAGGAAAAAAAAAAAAGAAAGAAAATATCCATACTTTTTGTTCAGACAACTGCAACTAGTTACTTACCCACCTATTAATTACTTGTAATTATATTTATAGTAGATTAAATTGTCACTGGCAATCTCATAGGCAGTAAGATAGTTTTAATAAGGATAAGTATATAATTAAATGGGAGCTCTTAAAGACTCCTGGTAACATTTTAATTGGTTTAATCTTCTGCCTTGCAACTGGCAACTGGTATTCAGTAAAAGCCATAAAAACATAATATTGTTGGACCTAGGAATAGCCCCAAAGAGGTTATGAAGATGTTAATTGAATTATTTTTGTTTTTCATTTTTTGGGTAGCAGCTTTATTATAATTCAAACACCATAGAAGTAATACATTTAAAGTGTACAATTCAATGGTTTTTAGTACAGGTTGCATATCCCTGATACAAAAATCTGAAATGCTCCAAAATCCAAAGCTTTTTGAGTGCCAACATGACACTCAGAGGAAATGCTCATTTTGGATTTTCAGACTAGGTTGCTCAACCAGTAAGTATATAATTTAATGCAAACATTTCCAAAACTGAAAAAAAAGTTTAAAATTCAAAATACTTCTGGTCTCAAATATTTTGGATAATACTCAACCTAAATATTCACAGTTGCGCAACCATCAACACAATCAATCTCAGAACATTTTTCTCACCTCAAAAAGAAACCTTCAAAAAATCAGTTGGGCATGGAGGCATGCGCCTGTGGTTCCAGCTACACAGGAGGCTGAGGCAGGAGGATTGCTTGATCCTGGAGGTCAAGGCTACAGTGAGTCATGTTCACACCATTGCACTCCAGCCTGCAGCCTGGGGGACAGAGCAAGGCCCTGTTTCCAAAAAAAAAAAAAAGAAAAAAAGAAAAGAAAAAAAGAAAGAAACCCCCATATCATTTAACTATCATCCCCTAATCCCATGCCTGCCCCTAGCCCTAAGCAACCACTTCCTTACTTTCTGTCTCTATATATTTGCCTATTCTGGACATTCACGTAAGTGGAATCATATAATATGTGGTCTTTTGTGACTGGCTTCTTTCATTTAGCATACTGCTTTCAAAGGTTATGCATGTTATAGCATGTATTAGTATTTTCTTTTTATGGCCCAATAAGATTCCATTGTATAGGTCGGTGTGACGGCTCATGCCTGTAATCCCATCACTTTCAGGCTAAGGAGGGAGAATTGCTAGAGGCCAGGAGTTTGAGACCAGCCTGGACAACATAGGAAGTCTCATGGCACCCCCATCTGCGCCACGGAGCCAGACCCCATCTCTTAAAAATAAAAATTTGATTGTACATAGATGTATCACATTTGATTTATACAGGCGCCAGCTGATGAACATTTAGGTTGTTTCATCTTTGGCTATTATGAATAATGCTAACGTTTGTAAAAAAGTTTTTGCATGGACAAATATTTTCCTTTCTCTTGGGTATATATTTAGGAGTGGAATTTGCATTATTCTTATTGGAGTGAAAATCAGAAGCAATTTCATGGTCTAACAATGGAATTATGTTACACTCTCAATAGTATTATGCAGAAATGCTACAGTCTCAAGAGTAACATGCAGAAAAATGGTGGCTTTTTTGAATGAAGACCATATAATAATAGGCTACATGAAGTGAAAAAAAGAAAAAAAAAGGATACAACCCACTTGAAATCCTCCTAGGGCTTCCCATTCCTTCTTCTGTTCTATGGCATCTGTCCTCTGCTTCCACATCCTGCCTCAGTTGTCTGAGGGCCAGCCACACTAGCTTTCAGAGATTTTTAGAACGTCTCAGCTTCGGAGCCTTTTCACATAACTTCCTCTGCTTGTATCATTCTTTGCCCAGTGGTTTCAAGTCTCATCTTAAATGTCACTTCTTCAGAAAAACCTTCTCTGATATCCCAAACCAGGCGGAAAGGCAAGCGTTTCCACAGCAGCCGGCGATTTTCCATCTTAACGGTTTTAATACCAGAATTGTTTACTTGGTCAAATATTGAGAGCCTTTTATACACAGGGATAGAGGGTGAAACATGCAAGATCCCTGCCGCCTGCGACCTTATATTCTAGGGAGGGGATACATGCACAAGTAAACAAGTAAATGTACTTGGTAATTTTACATAGTGATAATTAGCTCAATGGTTATCCTCTGTTTGGACTGTAAACTCCATGAAGGCAGGAGCTATGTCTGTCTTGGCTACTTCCAGTTTGCTGAGTCTGGCCACTAAATAAACTCAACACATATTTTTTCACTGACAGTTAAAATAACTATATAAAAAACAAATGGAAAAAACAAACGAGACTTCTATAAATGGTTGAGATCTAGCTCTTCCTCTTTCAAAACTCTGTAATACTACATATTTTTAAATAATTAAAACAATCAAAATAGCAAAAAGTTACCGTTTGTACTAACAGAACCCCAAATAAAACCCATTTATGTCACCACACATTCTTTAAGCACCTGGTAATAAAACCTATTCGGAAATACTCAGACGTGTTGGTTGAGTGGATAAAATCCCCTTGCCACATTGCCAAGCAGGTTCCTCGCCGTCAGCAGTATAATTTACAGTGTTTCACTGAGGCCTTAAGCACCCATGATTTGATTCTCCCTAATTTTCCGATTCCTAAAACCCTTTAGAATCTCCCTCCACCCACACAATGTGGCAGTGAGAAAAACCGCAATTCTATTTACATGTCAACGGTAAGAACACGTAATACTTTGCTAGGTCAACAAATCTGCAAGATCTCCACCCAAGAGATCAGTAGCCCCTTCCCAGTGAATCCTTCTAAGAGCCTGGGGACGAGTAGGGCTAGATAAAACCAAGCTGCTGTAAAGCTGGACCACAGGAGCGGATCGTGAAATCCCCTCCCCCAAGCGCAGCGCTCGGCCGCTTCTTTCTTCCCCAGGCGCATGCGCAGCGCACTCTCCGGCCACCGCACGCCCCCTCAGTGGGGGCCCAGAGACGCTGACGTCACCGTGCGGTCTGCAAGCAACCCTTCCGCTCCTTCAAGGAAAATGAGTCCACGGACCTTCGGCTTTTCTTAGCCACGAGAAAACGTCCTCCCTCCTTCCATCCTAGTGCCAACGACTTCCCCAGCCCGTCTCCTTTCGGCCGCACTTCTCTGTACTTTCGTTGGACCGGGAAGGCGGCGGGGAGGAACAGGAAGGGTGAAAGACCAAGTCCGCGTAGTTTACAAGGAGTGGGCGAGTCTAGGAATCGGTCCGCGAGGGCGGAGCCGAGGAAGCCGGCACTTCTTCCTCCCTTCCCCTCTCTTCCCCTCCCTCCCCAGCCTTCCCCGCGAGCGGACGCGGCAGCGCCTCTGTCTCGCTTTTTCTTATTTTTCCCCCCTTTCCCCTTTCTTTTTTTTTTTTTCTTTTCTTTTCTCCCCTCCCCCCCTTTCACCATTTCCCCTCGGAGGCGCTTTCCCCGGGCAGGGGCAGAGCCGGTCTCACCCCCCGCCTCTCCCCGGCCCCCGCCGCCCTATGGCGAGAGGGAGCCCCCTCCCAACCCGGGCTCGAGCGGCGGCGGCCTCAGGCCGGGGGTCATCATGGAACTAATTCGCTGACCGACCCAGCGGCCGCAGCCGTGCGTCCCGCTCGAGCGCCAGCGCCCGCGCCCGCGCCCCCCGATCCGCTTCCCCTTTCTCCCTCCTCAGTTGGCCGAGTCGTCCCGCGCGCACCGCCTCCGCGCGCCTATGAGAATGAGGTGGTAACGGGCCCCCGGATGACCCCGCGTCACCACTGTGAGGCCTACAGCTCTGCCGGGGAGGAGGAGGAGGAGGAAGAGGAGGAGAAGGTGAGGGGCGGGGGCGGGGGCGGGGGCTCGACGCGTCTCCGCGGCCGGCGTCGACGCGCTGGGGCCCCGCTGCTCCCCCCGCGCCGCCCCCGTGGCAGCGCCCTTGGCCGCGCGCTGCTCGCCGGAGACCCACCCTCCCGCATCCCCCAGCCCGGGGAACCTCGGGGCCGCCCTCTTCGTCCTCTCCGGCCCAGACAGACCCGTCACCTGCCCACTTGAAAACGGCACTACTGTGTTCCTTTTCGGGCCAGTTTTTCTGTCAGCGAGTAACTTTTTTTTGTGGCAGCGGCAAATTAGCTACTCTATAGTGCGTGTTGGAGGCTCTACGAGCCCGTGTTAATACACAAAGAAGGGGACACACCCCCACCCTCAGGTTGAACGATTCTCCGGGGACACCAGGAGGATTACTAACTTTGCACGGCAGACTGAATGCCAAATGAATGGGGTGAACCTCCGGTGCTGTGAAATTCGGGGGAGGGCAACGTTACCCAGGGCTTGGGGCGGGTGGGTGGGGGGAATCCGGGGGAGGTGAGATTTGAGTTGTGCTCTAAAGGCTAGATTAAATAACTGGAATTTGAAAGGAGGACAGAGGAGCCTCCGCTGGAGCTAGGGGGCTCCGTTACAGATCCTTTTGGCAGAAGTTGACAATTGGGTATCAAAACAGTGGAAGGTGTTTCGGGAGGTAGGATGGATTCAGACTCTGAAGGGGTTTGAACTAAAATGTTTATGTTTTATTCTGTCAGTGGGGAGCCACTCGACTTAGAGCAGCAGAGCATTACAGTAATGACGTTAAATAACAACATTTGATGAGGCTTATTATCTGCCAGGCATTCTCCTAAGTGGCTTGCAATTCACTTAATCCCCCCAAGGCTGGTAGTAGGAGCCTCATTTTACAGATGAGGAAAACTGAGACTCCACAAGATTAACTTTCTCCTTAGGTAACGCGGCTAAAACCCAGTAGCCAGAATTAAGTCTGATTCTACGCTGTGTGGTCTCTGTCCTGAAAATGAGTTTGTTGAAATAGCAGTGTTATCTGCTGCTAGCTTTTCCAGGTCATTTGTGGCAGATGAAATAGAAAGGATTGGACAAATAGATTAAGAAATAATGGACGGAATAGATGTAGATTGGCTAATCTGGGACCAGAGAATCTCCGAGAGATTCTGAGCCCCTCTACTAGAAATTTCTTGATACCGATGAAGGGCAGACTAATACAGTCAGCATGTGTTAGGGAAGTTCAGTAAAAATGATCTGCAGTTACAGGTAGTTTATGTGGTAATGTGACATCCTAGTAGGTTAGAATGGAGCTTAGCATGTGTGTTGGTCAAGATTGGAAGCTGAGTGTGTCCGTGTTTTGTTTTGATTGTGTAATACATTAAAAATGAATATTCATCTTCCTATGTATGTTTCTTCGTCTTTAAAATGGGCTTTATGGCTGAAATGGGGGTGTAGTAAGAAAAATAAAAAACTAGAAAAAAAGGGCTTTCCACAGTTTCATCAAATTGTGGGAACATTACATGAGTTAATATGGCATAGCGCTTTGAACAATAGGTAGTCAAATAGTAAGCACTCAGTGCTTTTACTTGTTAAGCTGTTTACAAGTGAAGCTATTAGGCATATGCTCAACTCTGGAGATTAACATCAAAGAATTCATTATTAGGAAAGGCAAGTTTACCAATAGTCTCAAAGCAACTAAATGTAAAGGTAGAATTATGTCCAAGTACAGATGTTGGAAGGCAGGGCACAACTGCACAAATCCAGAGAGTCTTACAGACTGATGGCTACTTTAGGAAGGGAAGTATGAGCTAGAGGACATTTCAAGTTGAAACAGCAGTGCTTGTACAGCCAGGGAGATTGGGAAAGAGCATACACTTGGAATTGCAAATACCTTTAATTCATTGTTTCTAGTGCATAAAGTCAAGGAGGGAATAGTAGAACTTCAGTTTCTTGTATGGCCACGTTAATCCCTCCTTTCAGAAGAGGAACTAAGATTCAGAAGTCAGCACTAGTACAGGATTATTAATGGAATTGGTGTGATGATGATAGCAAATACAATAATACATATTAGTGAAGTTGTTTATATTGTATACCCAGCACTGTGCAGCACTTTTCCTCAGAGGAGCAGGGGGCCCTGTATGTATATCTGTAATAGTTATGCTGTACAGTAAGCCTTTTATAAACTATTACCTCAGACATTAAGCTATTTGATAACCGTGGAGAAAGGAGAAGCGGCAGCAATTGAGAGGATGGGAGGAGAAATGTGAAACTGGCATAAAGTTTGATGTGTGTGGAATATGCCAACTAAAATAGTCTTTTGTTATTTCTTGCTTTTCTAAAAAAGCATGCAAAGTTGGATGTAACCAACAATAGGCATACAGTAACAAAACATAACTATATAGTTCTGTTAAAACTAAAATTGTATTTTAAATGTTTGCATTTTCTTAGCGGAATTTATTAATTCAACTCAAAATGTGCTTTACCCGTAGAAAATAGGCTTGTGCACTGTCAGTAAAAGAAAAGCCAAGCCCATGCTTTCTGTATCATAGTATGTCTTACTAGTCTTGTCTTTTGTTCTTTTATGTGGAACATACATTATGACCCTATACTGCTAAATATTTCACAAGAATAGTAATATTCTCTTACAGAATCACAGCAAAATTTTCAATTTTGGTAAATTTAGCATTTGATACATTGACTTGTGTAATCTACCGTCCCAATTATCTCATTTGACCCAATAATGACCTTTACACCATTTGTCTCCTTCCAGTACAGGATCTAGTTGAGGGTCAGGTATTGCAGTTTCGTTTCTTTTCTTTTTTTTTTTTTTTTTTTTTTTAAGAGATTGGGTCTCACTTTGTTACCCAGGCTGGAGTGAGGTGCTGTAATCATAGCTGACTGCAGCCTCAAGCTCCTGGGCTTACGTAATCCTCCCACCTGAGTCTCCTGAGTAGCTGAGACTACAGGCAGGTGTGTGACATCATGCCTGGCTAGTTTAAATTTTTTTTTTTTTTTTTTTTTTTTTGGTGGAGACAGGGATCTCGCTCTGTTGTCCAGGCTGGTCTCAAACTCCTGGCCTCAAGTGCTCCTCTCCTGCCTCACAAAGTTCTGGGATCACAAGCAGGTGCCACCATGCCCTGCCTTCTGTCCTGTTTTTAAAAGTTTAAGGAAATTTTACCTCGTTTTACTTTTTCTTTGTTAGCTTTCTCTAGAGTGAGCAAAGAGTGATTCTTTTTTTTACTATTGATAATGTATTGCGTTGATTTCTGAATCTTAAAACAAGCTTGCATTCCTGGAACAAATCCCACTTGGTTATGGTATATAATCCTTTTTTTAATATTGCTGGATTCAGTTTGCTAGTATTTTGTTGAGAAATTTTGCATTTATATTCAGAAGAAATACTAATCTGTAGTTTTCTAGTGATGTCTGTCTGGTTTTGGTAGCAGGGTAATAACTGGCTTCAACGAATAAGTTGGGAAGAATTTGTAAAGATTGCTATTAGTTTTTCTGAAAATGGTTGGTAGAATTAACCAGTGAAGCCATCTGGGCATGGATTTTTCTTTGGCAGTGCTTTAAAAAAATTAACTGTTTAAATCTTTGGTTTTACAAATACTCAGCTTTTTTCTTTCTTTCTTTTTTTCTGTTTTTGTTTTTTTGGAATCATCTCACCAGTGCAGCTTTTTACTTCCTAAGTTTTGGTATTTTGTATTTCTGGGAACTGGACCATTTCATCTAAAATTGCCAATTTAGTTGCACACAGTTGTTCATAAATTCCTTTATAATTCTTTTTATTTCTGTAAGGTAGGTAGTGTCTTCTTTTTAGTCTTGATTTTAGTAATTTGTCCTCTGTATTTTCGTGGTCAGTCTAGCTGGCTAAAGGTTTGTCCATTTTGATCTTTTCAAACAATCAGCTTCTGGTTTCATTGACTTTTCACTGCTGTTTTTGTATTCTCTACTTCATTAATTTCCATTCTAATATTTAGTATTTCCTTGCTTCTGTCTTGCTTTAGGAACAGTTTACTCTTCTTTTTCCATTACCTTAAGGTGGAAGATTAGGCTCTTGATTTGAGATATCCTTTTTTAGTAGAGGCATTTTCAGGTATTAATTTATTTCTAAGCACTGCTTTAATTGTATCTGGTAAGTTTTGGTATATCTTCATTTTCACTCATCTCAAAGTATTATCTAATTTCCCCTGTGACTCTTCTTTGACCAGATACCTTTGTTTTAAAAAAAGTTATTACAATATAAATATTTGAAAGTCATACTGAGGGCTTTAATTATAGGCAATTGGAGAACGGGAATCCATTGAACCTGATTTACTTCTTTTTACATGATTCTACTTTATGTGTCTCTTTCTGTACCATCTAAACCCCCTAAAAATAATCTTGAAACCTAGTGAAGGAACTTGAGTCACTAGTGACAGTCGGTTGTTGGGATAGCTTGTGAAGGCTGGTGGATCCATTTGGTTGTAGCTAATGGCGTGAAAGAATTATTAAAGTTTTAAGGTTTTTAATAGGAGTTTGGAAGAAACCTTAGAACCTATGAAGTCTAATCTTGACCCAAATAGCTGTTTCTTCTAAATATCTCTTGTCAGATGGTCATCTGGTTTACATTCCATTTCTTTTATATAAAGATTTTCACTGTGTTGCCCAGGCTGGTCGTGAACTACTGGGCTCCTCCTGCCTTGGCCTCCCAAAACTTCGATAGCTCCTCCTGCCTTGGCCTCCCAAAGTGTTGGAATTACAGGAATGAGCCACAGCACCTGGCCTACATTCCGTTTCTAGTGTTAATACTTATGTCTGCATTAGAAGAAATTATAGTGAGCTTGCCTACCAAATTGTTGAAGATCTGAGAAAGGCACCAAGGCAACAAAATTGGAATCTCAGAACATCTCAGCAGTATGCAACAGGGATAGAATATAACAGGATGACCTTTTTTCTTTTTTATAAAGAATATTTTTAAAGTTGTGAACAAGGATGTGTCAAAAAAAAAAAAAAAAAAAGAAAGTACCCAAACCTCGCACACAATGGGTTGGGGCAGGTAGGGGTAGAACTGGCTTAACAAGGAACCTGAGAAAGTCTCCTAAGAGTTTTTGTTGACCGTAAATTATATCTGAATTGATACCGAGGTGTGGTCTTCAAAAAAAAAAAAGCTAATGAGGGCCACGAGTGGTGGCTCATGCCAGTACTCCCAGCACTTTGGGAGGCCAAGGCAGGCAGATCACTTGAGGTCAGGAGTTCAAGACCAGCCTGGCCAACATGGTAAAACCTGCCTCTACTAAAAATACAAAAATTAGCCATGTGTGGTGGTGTGTGCCTGTAATCCCAGCTACTCAGGAGGCTAAGGGAGGAGAATCACTTGAACCCAGGAGGTGGAGGTTGCAGTGAGCCGAGATCGTGCCACTACACTCTAGCCTGGGCAACAGAGTGAGACTCTTGTCTCAAAAAAAAAAAAAAAAAGCCCATGATTTTAGACTGTATTTATGGTAAAATTAAAGCTAATTTAGAAGAGGCAAAATATCGTGAGGAGCTATCGAAGTTTTCAGCTATGGAAAAGATGAATTGGTGAGCATGATAGCACCCTTCAAAGATTGGAAGGATTGGTGTGAAAGAGATTAGATTTTGGTAGGTTAAAGTTGTGAACAAGGATGTATCAAAAAAAAGAAGGTACCAAAACCCCACACACAGTGGGTTGGTACAGGTGGGGGTAGAGTTTTTGGTTGTGTGTTTTTGTTTGGGGCACCAGTGGTTGAAACTGGAACAATTGGTTGGGTCTCTGTTCCGTCGAAGTACTGTGCTGTGGACACAGTGAGTAATAAAAAAAATGAGGACACTTGGACACAGGAAGGGGAACATCACACACCGGGGCCTGTTGTGGGGTGGGGGGAGGGGGGAGGGATAGCATTAGGAGATATACCTAATGTAAATGATGAGTTAATGGGTGCAGCACACCAACATGACACATGTATACATATGTAACAAACCTGAACTTTGTGCACATGTACCCTAGAACTTAAAGTATAATAATAAAAAAAATATATATATATAAAAATGATATTGGCAGATGTGACTGCATAGGGATTTCTTTATTTGGAGACACGGTCTCATTCTGTTGCTGGGGCTGGAGTGCAGTGGCATGATTTTGGCTCACTGCAACCTCAGCCTCCCAAGTAGCTTGGACCACAGGCACGTGCCACCACGCCTGCCTAATTTTTGTATGTTTTATAGAGATGGAGTTTCACCACATTGCCCAGGCTGGCGTCGAACTCCTTGACTCAAGCAATCTGTCCTCCTCAGCCTTCGAAAGTGCAAGGATTACAGGCCGGAGCCGCTGCGCCTGGCCAGGAATTTATAACGTAGTTGGGGAGTTAACAGAAAGCTGCTTTATGACATGATTAAAGAATCAAGAGTTTTTAGAAGAAATTACCTTTGAGATAGGTCTTTTTGGATTAATATTAGTTCTTTTTCCTCTCTATTTACCCCTTGTCATCTTAGTATGAAGATATTTTATGCTAATTATAGAAGATTTGCAAAAACTCAGGCGTTTAAAGACACAAAAATTAACAAAATCATAATTGAGTTAACCAGAATTAGTCTCTAGTAAGTTGAGAAGCAAATAGGTAGCATATGTGGAGTGGTACATAGGAAGGAGGATAGTAGCTGGAGTTGGGATAGAATGTGGAAATTAAAGAAGTGGTTTGCTATTTTTTGCTTTTCCAAATTTTTTATTTTTAAAAAAATTGGAACTTTTTACATGTTAATTCTGGATATTTAAAAAAATTCTTAGAGCCCATGAATCTGAAGTGTGTAATACAGATACATAGTTTACAGGTACATAGTTGAGAAAGTCAAATTGTTAGTGAAATTTATAATGAAAAACAGCATTCTCCTACGCTAGGCCTTTCTCACCCTTTTCTTACTCTGCAGAGGTTAACTACTCCCAACTCTTTCCTCCTTGTCCCGTTATTTAGCATCACATTTTCAAACAACTTGCTCTGCTGCTGTTTTTTGACATTTCAGTTTGAGATATTTATGAATTTCCTACTATGAAATGTAAAGACGTGGCTTTTATTTTACCCTCTTCCAATATCCATAGTTATGTCTCCACATCCTGCCAATGTAGTTTTATCATATTGCGATCCCTATCCAGTCTTTTCATTATTATTGCTGTATAAATATTGTGATACATTACTTTCTTAAATTCTTTTTTCTGAAGTTAATTACCTTTTTAGTTGCTTACCTTTCAACAAATCCAGCTAAGCCTTTTCACATTCTTTTTTGTTTGTTTGTTTGTTTGTTTTGAGACGGAGTCTTGCTCTGTCGCCAGGCTGGAGTGCAGTGGTGCAATCTTGGCTCATTGCACCCTCTGTCTCCTGGGTTAAAGCGATTTTCCTGCCTCAGGCTTCCAAGTAACTGGGATTACAGGTGCCTGCCACCATGCCTGGCTAAGTTTTGTATTTTTAGTAGAGACGGGGGTCTCACCATGTTTTGTCAGGCTGGTCTGGAACTACTGACCTCGTGATCTGCCCGCCTCCACCTCCCAAAGTGCTAGGATTACAGGTGTGAGCCACCGTGCCCAGCCACCTTTTCACATTCTTTAGCAGTTTCTTAATCCAATTTTCTACACACAGTCAAACCTCAAGTCTGTAGTTTGCTTCTTTTTTTTTTTTTTTTTTTTTTTTTTTTTAAACCTAGAAGCCTGCACGGTGGCTCACACCTGTAACCCCAGTGCTTTGGGAGGCCAAGCCAGGAGGACTGCGTGAGGCTGGGCAACATAGCAAAACTGCATCTCTACAAAAAAAAAAAAAAACCCCACAAAATTACCTGGGCTTGGTGATGTGCATCTGTAGTCCCAGCTATTTGGGAGGCTGAGGCAGGAGGATCACCTGAACCCAGGAGTTCGAGGCTGCAGTGAGCCACTACACCACTGTACTCTAACCTGGGCAACAGAGTGGGACTCTTGTTTCCAAATACATATAAACATAAAACCTAGAGACATTTCTCTTGGACTCTATGTTGTCTTGCACTGCTAAACTTGCTATTTAGACATGCTGCTCATTTTAGAGTGCTAGTCAATGTACTGTGGAGCTTTCTAGGTGAGCACTGTTCAGTAGAACTTACTGTATTAATAGGAATGTTCCTTTTGTGCACTGTCCGATATAGTATCCACTAGCCACATCTGGTTATTGAAGTAAGGCTATTGTGACTGAAGAAATACATTTTTTTTTTTTGGTTTGTTTGTTTTTGAGACGGAGTGTCACCCTGTTGCCCAGGCTGGAGTGCAATGGTGTGATCTCAGCTCACTGCAACCTCTGCCTCCCTGGTTCAAACGATTCTCCTGCTTCAGCCTCCCGAGTAGCTGGGATTACAGGCGCCCACCACCATGCCCAGTTAATTTTTGTATTTTCAGTAGTGATGGGGTTTCACCATGTTGGCCAGGCTGGTCTCCAACTCCTGACCTAGTGATCCACCCGCCTCGGCCTCCCAAAGTGATGGGATTACAGGCGTGAGCCACCATGCCTGGCCAATTTTTAAATTTTATTCAGCTCATAGTTAAATATCCACATGTGTAGCTAATGGATACTGAATTGGAAGCGCAATTTAAGATGATTTCATACTGGAGGGTATGGTTTCATACTGAAGAAGTGGGAATGGGTAGGATTTAATGTAATATATTTTCTTTTTAATGAAGGAAAAATGTTAGTGGTCCTTATCTGATTAGGTTTTTAAGAGGAATGTTTGGAATAACTACTTCTAAGAATTCCTGGTAAAAAAGCCAGTGACAAAGTTTTGACAATTTGAAACAGTAATAACATGTTTTGATCAGAGTCCAAAGGTTCCATCAATTACATGGCCTTGTTTTTATTCTCTTTATAACTGAATTTCAGATTTCAAGTGTGAATGTTTTAGATAACTGATTATTTTGGTATTTTAATACGATATTTTAAAGAGCTATAAAATCCTATACTGCCTCATAGCATTCTTATTTTGTTTTATGAGTTGCTTAATTAGTACTTTATATAATGCTACACTTATTCTATAACTAATTTTAAAACTTACTTGATTCTGTAGGTAGCTACAGCAAGCTGGGTAGCAGGCAGATCCAAAGGATATCATGAAGTTTCCAGGGCCTTTGGAAAACCAGAGATTGTCTTTCCTGTTGGAAAAGGCAATCACTAGGGAAGCACAGATGTGGAAAGTGAATGTGCGGAAAATGCCTTCAAATCAGGTAATGATTTTTCTCTTAAGACAGATGAATTTTATTAGAAATAAACATACTACTGCCATACATAATAATATCTTGACACTACATTGGAGGAGTGTGTACCATTTAAGGATGTGCTGTATTTGAGAGACTCTCCCTGTTTCTTTTTTGTGTAACAGGGTCTCACTCTGTCATCCAGTCTGGAGTGCTGTGGCATGATCTCAGCTCACTGCAACCCCTGCCTCCCGGGCTCAAGCAATCCTCTCACCTCAGCCTCCTGAGTAGCTGGGACTACAGGCGCATGCTACCATGCCTGGCTAATTTTTTGTATTTTTGGTAGAGATGGGGTTTCACCATGTTGCCCAGCCTAGTCTGGAAGTCCTGAGCTCAAGCAGTCCACCAGCCTTGGCCTCCCAAAGTGGTAGGATTATAGGCGTGAGCCACCATGCCCGGCCTCTTCTTTTTTAAAAACTCCTGCTCCTGCTGTGGCCTTTTCTTTCTGAAACAAGAGTTAACTGTTTTTGTTTGTTGACCTGTTTTGTTGTTATCTGAGTTACAGCTTTGGGAAAATAGTTAGGTTTGTTTTCTTTCATCATAATCTATACTAACAGTAGTAACCTTCTTTAGATATATAGTTTATAGTTAGCCACAGAGGCTGAACATCTTCATACCATTGTCTTTAGTCAACTAAAAACCTACTCTTTCATCATTAGCGGTAAGGAGTTCATGTGAATTACTAAGGTAATACCAATGTTGGAAGCTTTTTAGAAGATAGCCAGCTGGTCTCTTAACTACTGTTAGCTGCATAGTTTTTCTTTTAGAAATTTTTATACTTCTGTCATATATAATTATTTTTCACAAATAACTGTGAACTTTATCCACTCCAAAAGTTTATTGTATAAGATGTCTTATATGTCTTTTATCCTTAATATCTAACATGGTGCTTGGAAAATAGAATAGTGGTCAAATGTTCTTTTAATATGCATGAGTGAATGAATGGCAAATATGTAAGTTCCTCGTGTGTTGTTTTAGGCTATCCTTTGCTTATTGGTTTTGAAAGTATATATGCCTTTTTAATTCAATTCTAATTTTTCCTACTTATTCTTTCCCACAAGCTAAAGAAATACATTCTTCATTTACTGTTACTTGTCATTTTGCAAACTGATTAGTTAACTTGAATGAGGAGTGTTTATATATATGCTATCTCATTTAATATCTCATTTAATTCTTTGAAAAAGTACTCAGTAGTCCCAATTTGCTCAAGACTTTAATAAGTAATAGAATGATAATTTGGGCTGGACGCAGTGGCTCACGCCTGTAGTCCCAGCACTTTGGGAGGCTGAGGTGGGCAGATCACCTGAGGTCAGGCGTTCGAGACCAGCCATGGTCAACATGGCGAAACCCCATCTCTACTAAAAATACAAAAATTAGCTGGGTGTGGTGAGTCATTCCTGTGACCCAGCTACTTGGGAGGCTGAGGTATGAGAATTGCTTGAACCCAGGAGGCAGAGGTTGCAGTGAGCCGAGATCACGTCACTGCACTCCAGCCTGAACGACAGGGTAAGTGAGACTCCGTCTCAAAAAAAAAAAAAAGAAAAAAAATTATAATTCGATCCTTTTCCTAAGGTAGTCCTCTTCCTGTGATATTTTGTGTGTGTGTGTGTGTGTGTGTGTGTGTGTGTGTGTGCGCGCGCGCGCATGTGTGATTTTTAGATTAGTTGGGAATTCAAGTCATTTAGCAAATGTCTGCTGAGTATCTGCTATACTCTAGGCACTATTCTAGGTATTGGGGATACAACAGGAGAAAATAAATTCCTGCCCTTATGTTGTGACATTCTAGTGAGCCTCAAAACTTTTTTATAGCTGCTTGTAGGACCATTCCTTTCCTCCTCCTGCTATCTCCTTAAGTCAGCATGTAACCAACAATAATAT
Source organism: Homo sapiens (assembly GCF_000001405.40). Lineage (NCBI taxonomy): Eukaryota > Metazoa > Chordata > Mammalia > Primates > Hominidae > Homo > Homo sapiens. Next base: position 77,064,340 of record NC_000004.12, on the reverse strand, counting down.
ATTTTTACAGCCTGGTCTTTGAAGGTGATATTCTACCTAGATTGTAGTATATTGCTATATTACCAAATAATCTGACCTATTTCTTTTTTTTTTTTGAGAAGGAGTTTTTTTCTCTTTTTGCCCAGGCTGGAGTGCAATGGCATGATCTCGGCTCACTGTAACCTCGGCCTCCCGGGCTCAAGTGATTCTCTTGCCTCAGCTTCCCAAGTAGCTGGAATTAACAGGCACCCGCCACCATACCTGGCTAATTTTTGTATTTTTAGTAGGGACAGGGTTTCACCATGTTGGCCGAGCTGGTCTCGAACTCCTCACCTCAGATGATCTTCCTGCCCCAGCAACCCAAAGTGCTGGGATTACAGGCGTGAGCAACCACACCCAAATCTGGCCTATTTCTGTAGGTGATTTAATGAATACTGGTGTGGTAATACCAGAGAACAGAATAGTATCAGAACTTCTGAGAGAGATCCACTTCTTAAGGATTTGCCTTTAGTAATGCCAAGTAGAAGCCATATTTAATACTTGTAAAATTTGGGTGGCCTTGGTCTGGTGGGGATAGGAGTTAAGAATAGGGGTAAAAGGCTATAGGGGCTTGAGTTGCTTGCCAGGGTAACCCCCAGGGACACTTCTCTATTCTATTTTTTTTTTTTTTTGGAGACAGAGTCTTGCTCTGCTGCCCAGGCTGGAGTGCACTGGCGCGATCTTGGCTCACTGCAAGCTCCGCCTCCCGGGTTCACGCTATTCTCCTGCCTCAGCCTCCCCATTAGCTGGGACTACAGGCGCCCGCCACAACGCCCGGCTAATTTTTTGTATTTTTTAGTAGAGACGGGGTTTCACTGTGTTAGCCAGGATGGTCTCGATCTCCTGACCTTGTGATCCGGCCTTCCAAAGTGCTGGGATTACAGGCATGAGCCACCGCACCCAGCACCTTCTCTATTCTAGTTCTAACTCTTATTTTCCTCTAAGGGACTGGCTTTTTTTTTTTTTTTTTTTTTTTTTACCTCCCTTTCCACTGTTGCTCTGACTTTTCTAATTTGGTTTTGAAGTGTTGGTAAAAATGGAAAAGTAAGATATTTTTAAGCTTTCTCTTATGCCTTTTTCCTCCAGTTTCCTTCTAACTTCCCCCCTGCCCCAACTATATTTTGAAGTCAGTCTCTCACATAATTCTTGTTTAATTTGCATCCCCTATCCCCAAATTTAGGACAGTGTGGTCAGGCAAGAATATTATGCAGCTGTCACTCACCTTCTATGTGTTTCTGCCACACTCTGCTTCCCTTATGACAGCACAAAGTATTATAATTTTCTGGTGATTTGACTGTGAGTTTCCCTGAGGGGTATGGTGGTGTCATTTTTGTTTACTTGCATATAATAGACTCAAAGTAAGCATTTAAGTGAATGGTGATTATCATTTCTTTATGATTCATTCAGGTACCTTACTGTGTTCTTGGCACTTGCAGAGAACTTCTTTTATATTATGTAATAGTACTTTCAAGTTCATGATAATTTTGTTACATGAATTTGGGGAAAACATTGAAACTGGTCAAAGTGGCACATACTTTCAGATGTTCTCAATTTATTTTGCCAAAGTGCTTTTGATTTACAAAGATAAAACCCTGCCACAAATTGTTGATATACAGATGATTTTCAGTAGAATTTTAGAACTCTAAGGAATCTTAAAAAGAGGTTGTTAACAGCTTTTCTAGTCATTCTCAACTGGAGTTTAGATTTGCTGCTTCCTACTTCATCAAAGCCAAAAGGAAAAATTTAATTTTTTTTTTTTTTCTGAGACAGGGTCTTGCTCTGTTGCCCAGGCTGGGGTGCAGTGGCTCCATCACAGTTCACTACAGCCTCTATTTCCCAGGCTCAAGTGATCCTCCCACCTCAGCCTCCCAAGTAGCTGAGGTAACAGGCACGCACCACCATGCCTAATTTTTTTATTTGTGGAGATGAAGTCTCACTGTGTTACCCAGGCTAGTTTCAAACTCCTGGGCTCAAGCAGTTTTCCTGCCTTGGCCCCCTACAGTACTGGGATTACAATTGTGAGCCATGCCCAGAAATTTAATTTTTAAAAAAATGTTGAACGTTTAACAGGTGTAATGAGATGCTGTGGGAACATAGGAAGGTACTCAGCCCAACTTGAATTATCAGGAAAAGTATCTGGCGGGGAGTAACATCAAAATAGCTCTCAAGAGATACATAATAAGGCAGGTGAGAGAGAAGGGAGTGCGTTCCAGTCAGTAGGAGCAATATGAACAAAGGAGCAGTAACGTAAAATACCAGGGGCAAGGAAGGATCATCAGTAGAAGTTACTATTACAGCATGAAGTTTAAGACAGAAAGTGATGGAAGATGTCCGAGGTTAGAGAGGTAGGTCATAGCCGGGCATGGTGGCTTGCACCTGTAATCTCAACACTTTGGGAGGCCGAGGCGGGTGGATCACAAGGTCAGGAGATCGAGACTATCCTGGCTAACATGGTGAAACCCCGTCTCTACTAAAAATACAAAAAATTAGCTGGGTGTGGTGGCGGGTGCCTGTAGTCCCAGCTACCCAGGAGGCTGAGGCAGGAGAATGGTGTGAACCTGGGAGGCGGAGCTTGCAGTTAGCCAAGATTGCGCCACTGCACTCCAGCCTGGGTGACAGAGCAAGACTGTCTCAAAAACAAAAAACAAAAACAACAACAACAAAGAAGAGGTAGGTCATAGATTTGTATGCCATGCTGGGGAATTGTACTTAATCTTTTAGGTAATGGTGAACCTTTTAGAGTTTAAAGCTGGGGAGGTTGTATATTTTAAGGAGAAGACTAGCAGCATGTGGAATATAATATATATACAGAATATATATTAATAGCAGTCTATATTTTACCATGTTTGATCAATCCATTATAAATTCTCTTTAGGATTATTTGTTCAACTACTGAATCCTTCTAATCCTATTTAAGCAGTCCATATGAGAAACAGTTCACCTGATGGAATCAGGAAATACTGTTTTGGGCTTTTTCTTTTTCTCTCTCATTCTTTATTTTAGAGGAATAGGAATGAAATGAATTAGGCGCAGAACTTACTATTTGTAATGCTGTCATGATGATATTACTGTTTAGTACATATTTGAATTGATTTGAAAAAGTGACCTTAGACTCAGTATTACTTCAGTTAAATTGAGTCTTCTTAAACTGTTATCTTTTGGATTTTAAAAAAATTATTGCTGGTTTTGGCTAGTGATGATAACATTGGCTATGCAGGAATGCTTTTCTTGGCCCTGTTGTTAAATTTTACTATCTGGTATATGGGCCAAACATAGTGGCTTACACCTGTAATCCCAACACTTTGGGAGGCCGAGGTGGGAGGATTACTTGAGCCTGGGAGTTGAAGACCAGCCTGGGTAACATAGTGAGACCTCGTCTCTACAAAAAAGTAAAATTAGGCCGGGCGCAGTGGCTCACGTCTGTAATCCCAGCACTTTGGGAGGCTGAGATGGGTAGATCACTTGAGGTCAGGGATTTGAGACCAGCCTGGCCAACATGGCGAAACCCCATCTCTACTAAAAATACAAAAATTAGCCAGGCGTGATGGCACAAGCCTGTAATCCCAGCTACTTGGGAGGCTGAGGCAGGGAGAATTGCTTGAACCTAGGAGGCGGAGGCTGCAGTGAACTGAGATTGAACCACTGCACTCCAGCCTGGGTGACAGAGCGAGACTCCATCTCAAAAAAAAAAAAAAAATTAGCCGGGCCTGGTGGCACGTACCTCTGGTCCTAGCTACTTCAGGATGCTGAGGTGGGAGGATCACTTGGGGCTGGGAGGTCGAGGCTGCAGTGTGCCATGGTTGTGCCACTGTACTCCAGCCTGGGTGACAGAGCAAGACCCTGTCTCAAAAAGTATATGGAATATTAAAGTTCAAAGATATTGTCATGATTTCTTTCATGACTAATTGTTAACAGTGTTTAAAATAACTTCATAGATAATGTTTTGTAAATTTGTTTTTCTGACATTATTAGAGAATTGGGTAGTTTAGAGGTGGGAAAGGAGAACTAATATTTGAGTACGTTTGCATTCCATATATATGCTTTACATTAGTTATGTCATTTAGTTATAACTATATGATAATCTCCATATAACTGTATTCTCTTTTTTTGTATGTTACCTTTGTGATTCTTCTTACAATTGTATGTTTCTGTTATTGTTTAATGCCAAACACCAAATAGTGACATTATTTAATGTAATCTGTCATTCAGGGATTTTTTTTTTTCTCCCATACCCCACATTGTATCTCTAACTGAAGGTTAGAGTTAATGGTGTTCTTGTTTTCATAGCTACTGTAAGTCATCGTTCCTTTCATCTCCCTAAAAGCCTTCCCAGTTTCATCAGATTATAACATCACCTACCTCTCCTGGGAATTTATTTCCTTGTTGATGTGTTTGGCTGGCTTAGTTAACATTACTTTTCCTTATTTGTTGTGGCATTTTGGATAAAAGCTCATCTTGATAGGAATTTAATTTCTCTTGAATGCTTAACTCTTCATCCAGAAGTCTTGTGATTGGCTTTACTTGGTTCTCAGGGATTTTTATGGATCCTTAGTCCAGAACTAGATCTTAAAGTAGCCTGGATACAGAATTACAGCTAGATATGAGGAATAACTTCTAGTGTTCCATACCATTGTAGGCTTACTATGGTTAACTTAGGAAATACAAATGAACTATGATAACAGAATGATAGCCCATTTAAAAAACTGAAATCAATATTAATAAGTGAAAGTTACCAGGGGCAACAGATGAATTATACATTTAGAGATGATGAAAAAAAATATTGAACAGGAAATCAACCTGAAGTAAATGACTATTTTGAAAGCTTTCCACAAACACAAAACATTGTTGTTTTAATCTTCCTACATATTATTTGAGTATTCTCCTTACAGCTCTTTCAAACTGTTTGAAACTACAGTTTGAAAGAGCTGTAAGGAGAATACTGAATGTTCCCAAAATAAACAACCGGTTTTATTTTTTTAATGGCGACTCCAAAACTCAAGAGTAAAAGTTTTCTAATCACTATTACTTTAAAGTGTGTCCCTGCTAAAAATTAAGCTTATACTCAATAGGCTTACAACAACAATAAAACAATAATGTTTTGTGTTTGTGGAAATTTTTCAAAATAGTAATTTACTTCAGATTAATTTCCTGTTCAATATTTTTTCATCATCTCTAAGTGTATAATTCATCTGTTGTCCCTGGTATCTTTTACTTATTACTATTGATTTTAGTTTTTCAAATGGGCTATCATTTCCATTATCATAGTTCATTTATATTTCCTAAGATAAGTTAATGGCTACTTGCTGCGGGAGAAATTCACTGTATTTTCTTAATCTTAAGAGGTGGGGTAACTTAACTCCAAATTACTATCAGTTGATAATAGTGTTACTTAAACTTTAAAATGTTATATTCTCTGAGCACCTAAATTTAATTCAACTATGGATATTTGGTGAGATGACATAGTGAAAATTTTAATAAAGAGTAGGAGAATATTGGATATTGATATTAAATGTGATAATACATAAAGTTTTATTTCATGTGTCTCAAGTCTGATAGATTTTGAATAACCTTAACATTTTTAAATATATTTTGTAGTATTACCTAACCTTTTATGAGAGAGAATTCTAAACATACTCTTGATGATAGCTCAAACTTTGTCTTCTGTTTTCAAAATTGTTCCCTTATAGAATGTTTCTCCATCCCAGAGAGATGAAGTAATTCAATGGCTGGCCAAACTCAAGTACCAATTCAACCTTTACCCAGAAACATTTGCTCTGGCTAGCAGTCTTTTGGATAGGTTTTTAGCTACCGTAAAGGTAAGTGTTTTAAGATAGACTTACATATAACCTCATTTGAGTGTATGTATGCTAAACTAGAGGCTATTAGTGAACATTCTGTAAGGTAGAAAGAAGTGGAGAACTTTGCTGGAGAATGATGTATGTACCCATAAGAAGACATGGTGATGTCTTCTGCTATTGTTTATTTTATTTTTATTTTTTGATAGTTTTGCTCTGTTGCCCTGGCTGGAGTGTGTCTGCCTCCTGGGTTCAAGCAATTTTTGTGCCTCAGCCTCCCAAGTAGTTGGGACTGCAGACACGTGCCACCATGCCAGTCTAATTTTTGTATTTTTAGTAGAGACAGGGTTTTGCCGTGTTGGCCAGGCTGGTCTTGAACTCCCGACGTCAAGTCATCAGCCTGCCTTGGCCTCCCAAAGTGCTGGGATTACAGGCATGAGCCACCACTCCCGGCTTTCTACTATTGTTTAAAAAGCAGAAGTGTTTTTGGAAGTGTTTCTAATAGTATTCTGTAATTTTCTTTTTGTTACAAGTATTCATAACTTTTTAGCCTATGAAATTTTTTATCTCTTGATTTTAGCACAAACCGTATAGCATCAGCAGAATACTTAGTCATTTTCTAACATATTGGTGTACAGAGGTGGACAAGGAATCAGACTAGAATAAAGTATAAGCCTATTGCACGTTTTTCTCTGTCACTACTTATTGAATATCCATACTGTGTGGCTTTCTGAAAAACAAAGTGCTTTCTACGGGCTTACTTTGGTATATAACAAGATGTCATAAAGCAACTTTGGTATATTTTTGTTGAATGACAGCATACAAATAATTAGGTTTTATATTGTCCCCATTGCCATGTCATTGGCTGTGTCAAGTTAGTAAATAGGCCCTCAACATATTTAAAGCAGAAAATGAGCATTTATTTAATGGCAAGGCATGAAAAAGTAGCATAGTATTTAAACTTGTAGGCATTAGTATGCAAAAGAATATGTAAACTGGGGGAACTGTCAATTAAATGCTTTATTAGGTATACAGAATAGAAGCCAAATAATTACGGAGTGTAAGACTGAATAGCTGCTCAAACTTCTACTCTTAAGACACTTACTAAACATGACAGGACCCAATAAATAAGAAATATGAAAAAATGAGATATTTGGCAAAATTCTCTAATTGTTCCACAAATTTCTCCAACTTTGTTTCAAATGTTTAATAAACACAGCAAGAAACTCATGATAGAAACTACAACAATGTGTTCACTAATAATTTTTGAAAAATGTACTGTCCAAGAAAGGACACTAACTTTAAACTCATCTTTCTGTGGAATTATCTGTGAAAAGTAGGTTAGATGTAGTAGAGAGGGAGGGAGGAGTGATGTGGACTTGTTGCTGAGATAAAAGTAGGCATTTTTCAGATATCCCAGATTGCAAGCAATTAGCTTTAAAAAATGTTTACATACACAAAAAATTTTTTAATTTTGGGAATATTATTTATTAAAAACTTCTAAATCAAGCTTTTTTTCTGCTGGATAGAAATGAACTTTGGTTAATTGGCTTTGGTTGAACTTTGAGCAATGGAATTGATATTATTTTTGTAGAATATCATATGGCTAGGATTGTAATGCTAACAGTTAGCTCTCAGGCCGGGCACGGTGGCTGACGCCTGTAATCCCAGCACTTTGGGAGGCCGAGGCGGGCAGATCACGAGGTCAGGAGATGAGACCATCCTGGCTAACACAGTGAAACCCCCGTCTCTACTAAAAATACAAAAAAAAATTAGCTGGGCGTGGTGGCGGGCGTTGTAGTAGCAGCTACTTGGGAGGCTGAGGCAGGAGAATGGCATGAACCCAGGAGGCGGAGCTTGCACTGAGCTGACATCGTGCCACTGCACTGCAGCCTGGGCGACAGGCCAAGACTCCGTCTCAAAAAAAAAAAAAAAAAAAAAGTTAGCTCTAGACACACTTGATCTTGCAAGTGTACTTTCCTTCCTTTCATTACTGCTCTAAAGCTTTTTAATAAACTTTCTTTCCTGTTCTTAAAGTTAGCTCTGATCTAAAAAGTAATGAGTGGCAGTCACATTAATTGAATTCCATAGTATTTTGTGTATACCTGTCTCATCTGCATATCTAGGTTTTTAAAACAGTTACAAAAAGTTAAATTGTTTTTGAAAAATCACTAAAGTTGCTTTTTCCCTCTTCAAAATTTTAGGCTCATCCAAAATACTTGAGTTGTATTGCAATCAGCTGTTTTTTCCTAGCTGCCAAGACTGTTGAGGAAGATGAGGTAATAAATCCTTTCAAGATAATGTTTCTTCCGTGAAAATTTCTCTCCACATTTATTAACTTGCTTCGTTTGCTAAAACAAAAATCATAAATGAGTTTCTTTTCTGTCCTTTTCTCCCTGTCCCTGTTCCCCTTTGCTTTGGATAGAGAATTCCAGTACTAAAGGTATTGGCAAGAGACAGTTTCTGTGGATGTTCCTCATCTGAAATTTTGAGAATGGAGAGAATTATTCTGGATAAGTTGAATTGGGATCTTCACACAGCCACACCATTGGATTTTCTTCATATTGTAAATATACCTGAAGTCTTTTAGTTTCTTATTTGAGTGTGTAGTTTTCAGTAAATTAAAAAATAGATTGCCTACTCATTTATTTTGTACTGGAAATAGGAAAAAGAAAACTTGATATCCAAGGAAAAATTATAAATTAGTATATATGTCATATCACTGAAGCTTAATTCGCAGACTTAGAAATTGAATAGGTTAGGCTGGGCGCGGTGGCTCACGCCTGTAATCCCAGCACTTTGAGAGGCTGAGGCAGGCGGATCACTTGAGGTCAGGAATTTGAGACCAGCCTGGCCAACATGGTGAAACCCTGTCTCTACTAAAAATACAAAAATTAGCCGGGCATGGTGGCAGGCGCCTGTAATCGCAGCTACTCAGGATGCTGAGGCAGGCAGGAGAATTGCTTGAATCCAGGAGGCGGATGTTGCAGTGAGTTGAGATCATGCTACTGCACTCCAGCCTGGGCAACAGAGTGAGACTCTGTCTCAAAAAAAAAAAAAAAAGAAATTGAATAGGTTGCATCAATTTCTATATGTAATTTCCCAGATATTTAAATAAAGTTAAAATGATGTTCTTGTGATTTTCAGTTCCATGCCATTGCAGTGTCAACTAGGCCTCAGTTACTTTTCAGTTTGCCCAAATTGAGCCCATCTCAACATTTGGCAGTCCTTACCAAGCAACTACTTCACTGTATGGCCTGCAACCAACTTCTGCAATTCAGAGGATCCATGCTTGCTCTGGCCATGGTTAGTCTGGAAATGGAGAAACTCATTCCTGATTGGCTTTCTCTTACAATTGAACTGCTTCAGAAAGCACAGGTAGGTGTCAGTCTAATTAAATAGTGTTCTTTTTAAGTTTTTCTATTATTGGAATACATAGAGTTACCAAACTAAAAGACATTTCTCATGTTGTAATGGCAAACCATTCTTAAGAGTAGACAAGAGTAAAGTATATATTTTAAATTTACGGGCTAGGTGATCTCTTTTTTTCATATAAAACTTATATAGTATTTTTAAGATTCCTTTTAACCATTTCTCTTATTTTTAAGAATTCTAAAATGTTCATAAGATTGTCAATACCATATTGTCCTTTAGTTTTTTGTAAAGAAACTTCCTAGCTACATCTGTAGGTTTTAATGTAGTACTTCTTTACTTCACTCATTTTATAACGGATGTCAGGAACAAAAATTAGAATAAGTTGCTTTTTAGACAAGCAAATAATTTATTGTTGGCTAGTAAGTGAAGTATTTATACCAAACTGGCAGGTAGAAGCCACTTTTCTGAAAGAGGTTTTTCCCTGGCAGTTCCATTATTACCTAAGATTAGTTTGTAACTTGTATCTACAGATTATTATAAAATGTATAGGTTGATAAATTATCAACTACCTAAGTAAAATGTAAAGGTTCAGTGGAGAAAATTCTCATTCAAATGGAAAGTTGGTGAGAGTGCTGTATGTTAGCAACTACTTTGAGAGAAGGCTTACTGGTTCTATTCATGTCACCAAATAGAACTTACCGAGTTTAGATCTGCTGCAGACCATTTTCCTGCCACCTGAATCCATAAAAGACTCATGAACCTACTTTCCCTTTATATGGCTATTTATTCTTATTTAACAGTAGTTATTCTGATTTGTTTTATTGGATTTTACTTAGAAGATTGTGAAATTCTAAGCTTAACATTTTGCAATAAACTAATTGTAGCAAAGAACTGCAGTTATTGAGCTAAAAATTTAGATTATTATAAAAGAAAAACATAATAGTTGAATTTGGTGTTTTTCTAAGAAAGTTATAATTGATCTTATAGCAAACATTTTAAGAAGTATGTCTGAAGAAAATGAACCAGGCAAAAAAATAATTTTTTTTTTAAACAAGTATGTCAGTGCTTCCAAGAATTTTAGGCTCTAGTTTGTGAGCAGAGGGGAGCTCAGTCTTTTCATAAAAAGGTTGATGATCAGAGCAGTATGTTAGCTAGAGATCTACCTATGTAGTGTAACATGGGCTGTTTTTTGTTTTGAAGGGATATCTTAATTGTCTTAGATTAAAATAATTAAATGCTGTAATGAGAATAAATCCTAGGAGGTAGTTGCTACTTAGAATTTTTAGAAATTATGATAAACCACCATTTAAATGAATAATATGACACAGAAAATTTACTTTGCTCACCCTGGAGTGTTAGAAAGAAAAGTTGAATATTAATCACTCACATTAGACTGTGAAGTAGAGGAATAGGCTTAATAGAAAACCTCCTACATTACATTATTTTTATTGGAACAAATGACATCTCTCTAAATGCCTTCTGACTTATTCTCTGTGCTTACTCTCAAGATAGTACAGAAAAAGATTGCTTTAAAGTGTTAGTGTCAGAGGACAGATTTTGAAGCATAAATAATAATGTTGTAAATAGCATGTGTATTCTGTAGCTTTGAGATCATGTTTTCCTAGTGAAAAACACTGGAAAATCTGATACTCTTTTGTAAGTTTTCTGGTGCTAGAGGAAGAGAGTATTCACTGAAACTTTTTTTTCTTCTTAGCTGAAGGAGTATTGCAAACCTGGGATTTGACAGAATCTTTGGAGAAGTTATTTCATTCACCTCCTTTATTTTATAGCTCTGGTGTAGGGAACTGGAGACTTTCTTAGAGCCGTGTAGAGCTACTTAGTAGTGATTTAAAAGAACCAATGCTTTTTTTCATACCACACAAACCTTAAAAATTCTAGTTCAGTGGTTTTCATAATTTGTTTTAGAAGTGGAACCCTTTCCCAGTCCCCCTTCCCCAAAGAAAATCTTGTACACACACAATCCCAGAATATAGAATAGAAGAACGGAGCTATACTTGTGTTTAAGGGCAGATCTCCACTCAACATAGCGTTTTCCCTTCCATAGCTAGAAATCTACCTATGTAGTGTAGGTTTAGATTATATTATGTAGGTAGTCTTTGGACGTAGTTTGAAAACTGGAAATACAGTGAATTTTTTTTCTTTTTAAGAGATATGCCCCATGTAGTATATAATTGCAGTGGGGAAGTTAGTGAAGAAAAGGAAGGTCATAAATCTTGGTAGAGACTTTTGGGACTTGTTCTAGCAGTTCTCTAACACCAACCCATGTGGTCCAAACATGGATGGCTCCTAGTTCTTTAGGACTCATTTCTGTTTTTGCTAAGTTTGCTGTGTTCAGGTAGGGAACACCAGGTCTAATATCTTTGTGTTTAGACGTGTGACAAGGCCACAATATCAGATTTCTTCCTAGTTTTCTGGTTTTAATATAGGAAAGTCTTGCATCAGATTGATGAGATCATGCCAAAATTATTTGCGACATGATTCCCAGTGTCTTGGTTTGAGGAGAGTCCATCACAGACATACCGTGCTGTGAGGAGGCCACTCTCACTAGTTCTGCCTGAGCCCCCACTTTGAGACAAAGTATGGTGAGTGTTCCCAGGTTTGAAAGGCAATCTTCCTTTTGTCCCTGTTAACCTCCCACTACACCCCCTTAAGCTCTTGCGCCACCTGTTGGTCACCATTCTGGGATGGCTAAACCTCTTTCTCTCCTTAGCCTTATAAACTCAGGCTGTTAACTCTACCTAGATTAGTGTGGTGGTCTTTGTAGTTCCTAGCTGGGCAGTAGTCAAAGTACATGTTCTAGTTTAAAACTAGAGTAGGTGCAGCCATAAAACAGAACAAAATCATGTCCTTTGCAGCAACATGGATGCAGCTGGAGGCCATTATCCTGAGTGAATTAACGCAGGAACAGAAAACCAAATACCACACGTTCTCACAAGTGGGAGCTAAACGTTGGGTACACGCGGACATAAAGATGGCAACAGTAGAAACTGGGGACTACTAGAAGGGGGAGGGAGGGAGGGGAGCAAGGGTTGAAAAACTGTTGGGTACTGTGCTCACTACCTGGTTGACAGGATCACTTGTACTCCAAACCTCAGCATCATGCAATATATATCTAGTTAATAAACCTGCACATGTACCATCTAAAAGTAAAAAGAAGCAAATTTAAAAAAAAAAAAACAAAAAAACAGACCCCTCCCCACCAGTCTCCTGGTTCTTTTTGAAGGTGGCTGTGGTCAGACTATTCCAGCAGGTTCCTCAGTGCTTCATGCTGTTCATCAAACCTGGATCCATCTGGACCTACCATTTATGTCATTTATTGTTATAAAAAATAATACATATTCTCTTGACACCTTATAATTAGAGTTCATTTAAGTCCTTTTTATCAACTCCATTAGAGTACTTGTCTGGTGTCGAGAGTTTTGGTAGTTCCAGTATATGTGCTTGTTTTGTTTCTTCCACTGGATCTCAAGAAGGAACAAATTATTTTGGTGTCTTATAGAACAAATTCAGATTGTACTAGATTAGAAGGAATTTATTTTGATGTTATTTTGGAGAAAAGACTTACTTGGGACTTGGGTGGAAGTGGAGTTCATATGGATGGTTTTGTTTTGAATAATTTCTAAGGTCTTTTAGCTCTATCATTTCTTGTCAGTCTCCCACCGCTAAAATATAACTCTATTTACTTCGTTTTTTCACACAGAAAGATTATAGTGACATAGTCTTCCTCTTACTTAAATACATGTCTTTTTAGGATTCTGCCATAGTATTGATTCTGCCATGGCATTTATTATGCCCAGTGACCAAGGCATTAGAATATTTGTGGTACCTTTACCTTTTTAGGCCAATAAATATCATTCATTTGCTAAAGAACATTTCATTAAACGAGGTACAGTTGGCTCTCCATATCCATGGGTTTGGCATCTGGATTCAACCAACCGTGAATTGAAAATATTCAGGAAGAAATTTCACAGAGTTCCAAAAAAACCTGGAATTTGTGGCATGCTGAGTACTACATTGAATCTACACAGATGAAGTGATGTGTAGGCATTCTGTTAGGTATTATAAGTAATCTAGGGATGATTTAAAGTATACAGGACAATGCGAGTGGGTTATATGCAAATACTACATTATTTTATATAAGAGACTTGAGCATGTTGGGTTTTGTTATCTTTTGGGGGATCCTAGAACTAATCCCCCATGGATACTGTGGGATGACTGTACTTATTTTTTAGAAATAATTTCTACACTATAGCCCCTTTTTTACTCCCAGTTTCTTTCATTTTTTTTTTTTTAGGCTTCCTAAAATATTGGCAGAAGCTCCATCCTTTCTCTGTGCTTTGTTCCAATGTTTTTAGCATGTTTCAGCTTGTTCTACATCCCTGGGATATATAATAAGACCTAGCCTAAATGTAAGCTTGATAGTTCAGGGACTATCTTAAGTGTTATGTTAACTTTTTTTCTTTTAAGGGAGGGAGAACAAATTCTAATACTAGTTAATAGTGTCTTACCCACAGTGTGTTATCTAATGCCTTTCAAACTAGGGGAAAAAAATCAGTGAACATTATGGTAGATGCTAAAATCTGCCATTTTCTTGTATATTTCTGACAGTTTCAGTTACTTTGCATTTGTATTATACAATGACTAACATCAGCCTTTTACCATTCTTTCCTCTGGTATTTTTCAGTAACAAATAGTGAATGTATTTAGAGATAAAAATAATTTTGTGACCAAATGTGTTCTTGTAGAGTGCGTTATTTTCCCCTATTTTCTCTGTGGTATTGCAAACAGTCATGGTGAGTGCTGCAGGTTATATGAGGATAAGTAAGACTTGGTACAGAAATGTCCAGAATACTCAAAACTGGAAAAAAGTGATCCCTGATAGTTAAATGGTCAAGATAGGCTTCCTGAAGGTGATGGTGTTTAGCCAGTCCTGGAAGGAATGCGCAATACAATTTCAACAGGTAGAAATAAGATGATTAAGGGTAAAATAAGAAAGGGGAAGATTAGTGCATCATATAGAGCAGGACTGTTGAGCAAGAGTGTAGACCACAAGTTGAGGGTATGCTAGGAAATAAGGCTAGAAAAGAAGGTTGAGATCAGATTATGGAGATTCTTATTAATACTAAACTAAGCAGTTTAGCTTATTTCTGGTAGGCATTGGGGTGCCGCTGGAGAGAGCAGGGAAGGAATATATGATGCTAACTAAGGTTATTTTGACAATGCTGTAATTGAAAGTGAGGAAGAGAGACACTTTACTACAGGTAATAATTTAAAGGCCTTCCATGTACAGTCATTGTGCCAGAAACTTAGGGATAAAAAGATGAATATAATACAATGCCACACCTTTGGTCTTGTAGTCTATAATGGAAAGGCTAAATGGTTAAATAGATTATTATACTGAAATGTGGTAAATACGTTGAAAGGTTTTAGTGTCTTTTTTTTTTTTTTTTAAGACAGAGTCTTGCTCTGTCTGTTGGCCTGGCTGGAATGCAGTGGTTTGATCTCACCTCACTGCAACCTCCACCTCCTGGGCTCAAGCTATTCTCATGCCTCAGCCTCCTGAGTAGCTGGGATTACAGGCATCTGCCACCATGTCCTGCTAATGTTTTGTATTTTTAGTAGAGAAGGGGTTTCGCCATGTTGGCCAGGCTGGTCTGAACTTCTGGCTTCAAGCGATCCACCTGCCTTGGCCTCCCAAAGTGCTAGGATTACAGGCATGAGCCACCACGCCTGGCCATAAATATGTTAAAAGGTTGATATAGAAACAGATGACCGTGGCATTTAGAGTTTTGGGGTGTTGAGGGAGTCAGGGGTAACTCCAGAAAGGATTGATATCTGTGAATTGTCCTGAAGGGTAAGAAGGAATCAGCAAAACTCCCAAATTAAAAACTTTACCAAAAACATTTCATCTTAGTGCTAAGTCTACTATTTTCTACAAAATACATATTTCTAAATTTTTCATTTACTATTTTAAAATTCTTAGCTTCCCTCCTCATCCCTGATTAAAAAAAATTTTTTTTTTGCCCTTTGGCTTCTTACATTTTTAATGAATGTGTTTATGAGTACTTTGGACTCCACTGAAAAAAATTAGAAGAGGCCAAGAGAGTAGGATGAAGGGCCTTCCAGACAGGGGGAATAGACTGAAAAAAAAAAAAAAAAAAAAAAAAAACAGACGTTGGATACAAAAAAGTAGTTTCTGTTCTCATGTAAATGTTCAGCATACATTGCAAATACAAAACTCAAGTTCCAAAGATAATTATATTAGAAATACAGATTTGGACCTAATTTCTAAGATGATGTTGATGGATGGGTAGCTGGATAAATAAATGAGTTGGAGGTAGATGTGGGGAGAGAAAAGACTCAGCGGGGACGGAAAGCACAGGGAGGAAAAATGGCCACCAGAGATAACAGAGCAGCCTATGTTAATTAATGATCAACTGTGTGTGGCTTTTTTTTTTTCCTGGCCCAGATGGATAGCTCCCAGTTGATCCATTGTCGGGAGCTTGTGGCACATCACCTTTCTACTCTGCAGTCTTCCCTGCCTCTGAATTCCGTTTATGTCTACCGTCCCCTCAAGCACACCCTGGTGACCTGTGACAAAGGAGTGTTCAGATTACATCCCTCCTCTGTCCCAGGCCCAGACTTCTCCAAGGACAACAGCAAGCCAGAAGTGCCAGTCAGAGGTACAGCAGCCTTTTACCATCATCTCCCAGCTGCCAGTGGGTGCAAGCAGACCTCTACTAAACGCAAAGTAGAGGAAATGGAAGTGGATGACTTCTATGATGGAATCAAACGGCTCTATAATGAAGATAATGTCTCAGAAAATGTGGGTTCTGTGTGTGGCACTGATTTATCAAGACAAGAGGGACATGCTTCCCCTTGTCCACCTTTGCAGCCTGTTTCTGTCATGTAGTTTCAACAAGTGCTACCTTTGAGTGTAAACTAAGGTAGACTACTTTGGGAATGAGAACATGCAAAATCAGGAAAGGCTGTAGAAGGAAATATACCTTAACAGGCTGATTTGGAGTGAGCCAGAAAAAAAAAATAAAACTCTCATTATTTGTGTGGCTAATTATAATTCAGCGTTATTTAAGCACATAAAGACCAAAAAAAAAAAAAAGAAATCCAAAAGATCCAAACTTTTTTTAAACTTAAAAAATCTCTTTGTAGTATGTCAGTTGCACTTTTTTTCTGCCATAATGTAACGTAGCTTGCCCCGTCAAAAATTCAATTAAAATTCATGGCCAGCAATCCTGTTCCCCCTCAGCATCCTGATTTAATTTTCCTGTTGCTTTTGCTTGCTTCTCCATTTAATAGTTACTGAACTTTATGCATGTTGATCTATATTGATTTTCACTGCAGTTGAATGAACAAATTATTTCAGTGTGACAGCCATGACTCAAGTTCCAATTAGTCTGAAAAGGGTACTTTGGAATTGTCCCATATTAATCAGAGATGGCAAAAGAAAAAGTTCTCATATTACCAGGTTGATTTTGTGTCTCATTTCAAATTTTAATTTAAAATTATGGTTTTCATTTTTGTTTACCTTAAAGTGATGCTTAAAAGTGGCATGTAATTAGGACACTTAGGTTTGTTGAAAGCATTTTCGACATTTGTATAAAAGAATTTGTGATAAATATATCCAGGTGCTCACCAAAGAAACATGTATTAACAACTTAAATTAGATTTTTCTAACTGATAGTTTTCACTCATTTATAATCAGTAGGAGAGACTGTCTAGATGTTGGGGCAGCTCTATGATTTAAGTCTGTAACATGTTATAACTGAATTTAGTACCCTAGTTTTGTTAAGCTATTAGGATTTTCTAATAGAACTTACTCCCCCTGCCTCCCCAGCCTTATGTTTCTTTTAATGACTTCTGGATCCTGAGCTCCCTTTGCAGTCTGAAAAAGGTATTGCAGTCAGAACTGTGTACTGATGATAAAAGCCTCTGGTAGCAATAAAAAGTTGTCCTTAACTTTTGTTTTTGTGACTTTTTTCTGGTTGTGAAGAGGTACAGGTTCCTGATTGGCTAGGCACTGCTATTTCAACTAGAGAAAACAATAGAAAGACCAAGAATACACTTACTGAAAATAAAACATGAAGAGGATCTGAATGTGATCGAGGGATATAGGTTTTAGACATAAGAATTTTTCTTTCGTGATATTTTTTCACTGGTGCACTGTGAATCCTCCAAATAGTAAATTTACATCTTAATGTGACTGCTTGTGAGAGTAGGCTCAGACCCCTATCTTTAAAATGTCATTTTTAGCCATTTTGTAATGTTCAGATTTAGCAGAACAAGAGTATTTTCAGGTCATCATCTGATTTGTAAAAAATTCTTGTGGTAGGGTTGACTTACCTGTTTTATGACCTTAAAATCCAATTAAATGGGAAGCATTTACTCACATGTCAGTAAAGGGAGTGGGAGGGAAGATAGCAAAGGATTGGCTTCACAGATAGACATTTTAAAAATTTCTCATCCTGATCTTCATCTGTTTAATTCATCTGAATTGTAGGAGCTCTAAGAAGTTTACAACTGCATATGTTCATAGTATCTGTAAAATGATACAGATACTATGAAACTTCCTCCTATTTAACAGATGAGGACATAGTTGTGTTATGTAGACAGCTAGGGATAAAACTGAGTTTAGAGTCAGTATTTCATTTGTAGTCCAGTAGCTGCAAATTGAGCAGAATGTTAGAGGACAATAGGATTTTCACTTTTCAGTCTTAAGGTTTTCAACATTTACAAATTGCTGGTAAGTTAGTTTGGAACACAGCATTCTTCTCATGGGACACCGAATCAAGTGGGATAGTGGGCTGCTAGCCCTCATGCCTCAGAGCTTATTTAACCCATCGTTCAGTTCAGTGATAGTTTTGGAGACCTGGCCCTCAAAAGCACTGTTAAACCTTGGCCACCATTTCAGAGGACTGAGCCCACTTCCTCACAACTTACTGTGGGCCCTTAGAGAACTGTGGCTTGTGACAGAAAGAGCCTAGTATTCTTGAACAGTGTAGAACTTTTCATTAAGAATGTTCCGGTCGGGTGCGGTGGCTCACGCATGTAATCCCAGCACTTTGGGAGGCTGAGGCAGGCGGATCACGAGGTCAGGAGTTCAAGACCAGCCTGACCAACATGCTGAAACCCCATCTCTACTAAAAAATACAAAAATTAACCAGGTGTGTAATCCCAGCTACTCGGGATGTTGAGGCAGGAGAATCGCTTGAACCCAGGAGGCGGTGAGCCGAGATCGTGCCATTGCACTCCAGCCTGGGCAACAGAGGAAGACTATCAAAAAAAAAAAAAAAAAAAAAAAGTTCCTGCTGTTCAATTAGTTCCTTTTACCTGAAACTATTCTCAGCCTGTCCCAAGTTACTTGTGTTAAACTTTGGCATCACATCACAAACTCAAGATCCAGAAACTTGAGCACTCTGCATCATAATTGTCTTGTGCCTCCTGGTGGTTAAAAAACCTGTCGCTCCGTGAAGCCTCTGGAAAGGCAAGGGAATATACTTGATGGGGATAGTAGTTATTCTCTAATCCTCCATTCAACCAAAAAAAAAAAAAAAAAAAAAAAAACCTAAACATGTTCTAGCCCTTGAAGATCAGACTGGAAGCTAAATATTTTACTTCTTCATTCTCTACGAGATGAATATAAAGTTAGTTATATAGAGAACTATAAGTTTTCTCTACAGATAGACGATGTATTAGTTTGGAGGGAGAAGGGAAAGCTGGGAACGCAGAATGCTCCCAAATGTCAGTAAAAGGTCAAATATGACCAGTTTGTCATAAATGTTCCTGATGCTACCTTTGGCTGTGAAGGAAGGTAGAATGTAGCTCTTCACTCAGCCAAGTTGAAGAGAATCTGAACCTATGTTCTTGAGAGAATTAAGACACTGGTGTTTGTGCCCCCAAGAAATACTATGTATTTTCTCCTGTGTTATTAGAGTCAGCCACTTGTGTGTGTCCTCTGTGCTCTTTACAAACCTGAATTTTCAAGCTATTAAATTTACTCCTAGATTTCCTGAAGCAAGTTATGCTTGAGCATTAGTGCCCAAAGCAGCATGGTGGCTTTTCACTTGAGAAGAAAATGTGGTTAAGCTACTGATGTACAGCCAACATGATGAGGAGCTTATCTTTATCTAAAGTAGTTTGCACATTTTCAACTGGAAAGCGAAGATACTATGTCACAGGTTCTCACAACCAACCTGGCAGAATGCATCCCCAGTTTAACAGGGTTCAACTTCTAACTCATCTCAAACGTTTACCCTTTCTATTTGACATCATGAAGTTTTGTCTAACATGTAAATGTTACTTCTAAAGCCTCGAAAATTCTTTCAGTCTTTATGTTGAGGAGAATGTCTCCTATACCTGTTATCAAATAATGCTATGAGTTTTGGCCACTAGATGGTGCTTTTAGAAAAATACAGCATCTTTTTCAATTTCTGGGAGAAATTGAGTTGAGTTTACTGTATGTTAGTGAGCAGTTGAACACTCATCTGGTTGCTGAGCCAACTGTGTTGGCTTAGTTAGAAGTTCATATTACTTAAGGTACAGGAGGCCTGTGTGTGTGAGAGACAGGGAACTTTGGCAAGATCAGCCAGGGTTAAGGGGCAGATGGTGACTGGATACCACGTTTCAGACCAAGAAAAACCAGAACCAGTCTTACAAATCCCAATTAGTGAGTTGTGTGGTTCTGTAAAGTAGCCTAGAAATACAATTGGGAAGGCTTGAATATAGCCAAGTCCCAAAACCTTGCTGCTTTCAGTTTGAATTGGATTTGGCCAATCATTAGGAGAGAAAAATTGAAGAGCACGCTTACTTAGCACAGCTTGCATCAAGAAATAGCAAGTTTTCCCTCACCATATTTAGTGGCTTTTATGATGTACTCGTATGTAAGACCAATGTCAGACATAACTCTCCCTTGTGCCAGTTTTACTTTAAAAGGCGTAATAAGATAACCAAGAATGTCTTATCAGAGAAATTTGAGAAGAACTCACTTTTTTAGTTCCTAAGAGCCTCTGGAGTTAAGGATGAAATGAGAAGGATGAAATGCCTTTCTCTTAACTCTAGAAGTATAGCCTTCATACCAGATCAAATGCCAGAATTGTTGACCTTATTGTGTTACACAACAGTAAGGTTGTAAAAAAGCAGTTTGAATAGCCCTAGGCCTAGTGAACTGGTCTCCCATTTCTTGGAAATAGCTTATTTTGTTAGGCAATAGGACACTCCAGAATGAAGGCCAACTTTAGGCAAGCAGCCACGACAAAGTGACTGGTGGGGAGCAGAATCCTTTTTGCTTTTCAGGATATGATCTATCTTCAGCAAACGACTTAGCATAGAAAAGGCTTGCCTTTTCTTTCTTTCACTCTTAACGTTGCTGTGCTTATATGAGTTATACAAGTTCAATTCATAGTGCATGGCTAAATCCCCAGTACCTAATGTAGGCCTGGTGCAGTATACACAATAAAGTATTTGGAAAGAGGGAAGGAGGGGTTGGGGGAAGATGGATGAGTGAATAAGAAAAAAAGACAAGGAAAGCTAGAACTGCAACTCTCCAGAGTTCTAAACACATTGTTCACAGTTAAGCCCAGCTCTTTTGTTTATATAAGAGACAGGGTCTAGGTCTGTTGCCCAGGGTAGAGTGCAGTGGCACGATCCTAGCTCACTGCAGCCTTGAACTCCTGGGCTCAAGCAATCCTCCCACCTCAGCCTCCTGAGTAGCTAGGACTACAGGCACACACCACCATGCCTGGCTAACTTTAAAAATTTTTTTAAAGATACGGTCTCACTATGTTTCCTAAGCTGGTTTCAAACTCCAGGCCTCAAGTGATCCTTCCACTTCTGCCTCCCAAAGTGCTGGGATTACAGATGTTGAGCCAATGCACCTGTCTAAGCCCAGCTCTTTATGGAATGTTATTCTGCTCCCCGTTCCCCACCCTCAAACACACACATTTATTTGTTCTTTTGTGAGACAGGGACCAAAAAAATCTTGTTATAATAGCCTTTGCCTCCCCGGTCTAGGTGCCATAACTTTGGAAGAAACTTTCCACAATGGACTGAAAGGCTATTCATCTCACATCCCTACAAGTAACTGATTTGAGGCAGATGTGAAATCTTTTGTACCTCACGTGATGTTCCACTGACAACCAATAGGTCTCATTTATATATAGCTGTTAATCAGGAATAGCAAGGTAGGAAAGGGAGATGAGTAGACACCTAGGCTCCCAATTAGTCTTCTCAAATTAGCACATGCAACCTGGGCACAGTAGCTCATGCCTGTAATCTCAGTATTGTGGGCAGCTGAGGTGGGAGGAATGCTTGCGGCCGGGAGTTTGAGACCAGCTTGGGCAACATGAGACCCCATCCCTACAAAAAATAAAAAAATTAGCCAGGCATAGTTGCTGATGTCTATAGTCCTACCTACTCAGGAGGCTGAGGTGGGAGGATTGCTTGAACCAAGGAAGTCAAGGCTGCAGTGAGCTGTGATTATGCCACTGTACTTCAGCCTAAGCAACAGAGTGAGAGTCCAATAAAGAAAAAAAAAATTAATACAAGCAATCCCTTCACCAGCCCTGGGTATGCCAGTTGCTTGCTGGAGATTGACCTGAAAGACAGATG
This sequence comes from Homo sapiens, assembly GCF_000001405.40. Lineage (NCBI taxonomy): Eukaryota > Metazoa > Chordata > Mammalia > Primates > Hominidae > Homo > Homo sapiens. The sequence goes on along the minus strand of NC_000004.12, from coordinate 77,042,507 downwards.
GCATCCTTCGCAAAAACTAGATACCATGGTCTTAAAAATTCAAGCACTAGGAACTCTGAAGTGAGCCACACTGCCATCACTGTCAGTCTCCAGGTGGGAAGATAAGTCAGTTGTGAAACAAAAGGTTTTAAAGGTGGCTTAAAAAAACTTTAATAGTCTTTTGTGTTTTTTATTTTATTATTATTTCTGAGACGGAGATGTGCTTTGTCGCCCAGGCTGGAGTGCACTGGGGCGGCCTTGCCTCACTGCAACCTCCGCATCCTGTGTTCAAGCGATTCTCCTGCCTCAGTCTCCTGAGTAGCTGGAATTATAGGCACGCGCCACCATGCCTAGCTAATTTTTGTATTTTTAGTAGACACAGGGTTTTACCATGTTGGTCAGGCTGTTTTCAAACTCCTGACATCAAACAATCCACCGGCCTCAGCCTCCCAAATGCTGGGATTGCAGGTGTGAGCCATCGCACTTAGCCACGTATTTGTTTGATACCAGACCTGTTTACCCATAATCTGGGCCAATAGCAGGCCAAAAATAAATAAATAAATAAATAAATAAATAAATAAATAGATAGATAGATAGATAGATAACCAAATAAGAAGGAACTTGATAAGCACTGTTGACGGGAAAAGAAGTTCGGTCAATTATTGGGGGTGAGGACCTGTTTCTATCTGTCCAGCTCAGTGCATAACCATTGAGAAAGTTGGATCTCTCCTTTACACGTGTGCTGGGCTAATCTCAAGGAGACCATCTAGACTATGCTCGTATTAAGGCAGAGTCTGTATCTGAAAAGAACTAATATTTGTTTAAGATTGATGAAGAACAAAAAGCCTATTACCAATGGAAACAGGTTTAGATGGCTCACTTCTCCCTGCTTTGCTTTTCCACAATCTTGTTTGAGATAAGCCAGTAATTTTTATTGCTAGTAATTATACCCAAGATGGTTTCACATCCCTTACTTGGTCAGCCAGGAGAAAATCTACCAGTTTTATCAACACTAGAGAAAAAGAACTGCCTATTGTAAAATGCCAAATGAATGGCAATCTATCTTAGGGGAATTGAGATGGCAAGGCACTCGGTTGGCCAGAGGTGTACATGATCAGGTTCCCCTAGGTAACTGGACTGAGGCTAACGTACTGATAATATTCTCAGTTCCCCAACTCCTCCCATTAACATGGTTCATATTAACTTCCTCTACTCTGGGAGCTAAAACAGAAAAACAAAAAAGGAAATAGCAACAACAGACATACATTTCTTACTTAAATATTGCCTAATTTGATTTTTAAATACTGCTCAAAAAATATTTACAATCTGATGCAGAATTTGTTTTTAAAATGATAGAATAAAGTTAAAATATCAAAATAGGGAGTTTAAGAATAAAGTCACTTATATGTAGTGATGACAGTAGTCTCACACAACAGGAACTACATGTTTAACTTGCAAAACTGATGTCATGCTCTGGCATCAGCTGGTAAGGAGCTGCTATTCCTTTCCCACTCCACTGGTCACATTACTAGCAGATTTCTGTCCTTACAGATTATAGTGTAGAATGAAGGGGATGGCTTTTGATGCTGACATTTTGATCATTTAATGGCTCACATGTATCTGACTTTACTTACATTTACTTAGTTTCTAAGTAAAGAAAGCAGCTTGCCAACTTGTTCATCCAATTGCTCTAAATAATCTCTTTCCAGGAATCAAGTGATTCAAGAGGCAGGGACTGTTGCTTCTTCATTTCACTGTCTAAAGGAACCATATGTTACCATTCTTATTCAGAGGGGAACACTCCTGAGGATCTTGATTAAAGGCAACTCATGCCACCAACGGTATTTCTATGATCTACCTACTATGGAGCTGAAAAGTAAAGATGGAAATAAGCCTATCTACAAACAGGTAATGAAATTGAAAGATAACAAAATATATGTCCATGCTTTATAATACATACGATTTGAAAATTGTCCCTTCACTATGAAAACTGCCCCCAAGAAGTGACTGCTAACTAAAGTAATCTAGCCCTGAATCTGACTCATCACAAACAGGTCAGCATTAGAAATCAGAGGCTTACTCAACTGGCAGAAGTATGTGTTTGGATATGGATGTTATTTTAAGTGATCAAGTCTGAATGCTTTGATTCTCAGCAGGTTTTTTTGCAGATATTGTAGAGAAATCCACCTAGGTAACTCTGAGAAGACAATGTGAATCAGAACCATTGTTAATGATGCTGTTATCTGGGAGAAGAGACATGTACTTGTTTGGGGTTCATTTCCCATGGTCCAAGACATATGGGTCTTGGTAAAAAGCTGTGGACACAAGGTACAGAGCTTCACAACAAATAAAAAGGCAGGGATGGGCCAGTAAGTTATTTTAAGGTATCTTTAAATATAAATTGAACCCCAGAGGCAGAAAAGTCATCTACCCAACACCGGCACATTTTAAACATGATTAGGATTTGTAGGTCAAAATCCCGTAACAAAAAAGGGAAGTTTTTGGTTGTTTCCAAAACAAGGAAAGCATGTTAAACAGAATCTTGTGACTTAAACTTCACTCAAGTGAGCTTAAAACTGGCATAATTTTGATACCAAAAGTAAGCTGAATAACCAATACAAAAAACAGAACTAACTGGAGTTTTTCTCCCCCAAAACATAGTCCCAAATCCAAAACAACTTATATAAGGGATGCAAGTAACAGAAAAAGTCAAATAAAACAACAGTGGTTCCTGAATTTAAAGGAAGGATGCCCACTTCTCTCTCTCTCAAGAGGCAGATGGTCAGCTGAAAAATAAAAACATTGTATCAATAGAACACTCCAAAGAAAAAAAATTGCAGCCATCTCTGTTCATGCAATATCAAATGATTTTTTTTTTTTAAAAACCCCAAACACCAAAACAACCCATAAAACTAACAAAAGGAAGGAAAATGTTGCTCGGATCTTATGACCTGACGGTTGAGGATCCTGATCAGGCTGTTCAGAATGTGGCTCATGGGACAGAAAGGACAGGAGTTACCATGAGATCAAGTTTGTGGGCCCTGGGTGTGGTGGCCCCCTCAGGTTAGGGTACACGCTGTCTTCAGTCCATCAGTTCTTGGATCAGCAGCTTCAAGAACATGATAGTTCTAAGCAAGGGGATCCCAGCACAAGACCTTGGGTCTTGGCCCACGTTTTCTGTTTCAGTCAATTTCCTTTTTCCTTTTTAATTAATATTATTGAATATGACTATTTTTGGTAGTGGTAAGTCACTTCAGTATCCACTATGGGCAGACATTGACAAGTACAAACAGCAGTGCAATATTTGACCCAGACTTTAAAAGAACAGGAGGCGATGGTGGAAATGAGGTAACTCTTCCCCAACACGTGTGAACAGACAGCTCCTGCTCTTCTAATGCTCTATGTCCATTAGGAGAGAGTAGGGCTTGTCAACAGGATGGTTACATAAAGAAGAAGCTACAGAAGAGAAAAAAGAAAGGTTCAGATTCAAATTTGATTCTTAATGGCTTAAGAAAAGAAAAGGAGCTTCTCTACAACAAGCTGTGAAAGAACAGCAGTGTGTCAGTTAATGGGGTGACTTCCTCGAGCTCGACGGGAGGGTGAGCAGCAGCAGGGAAGAGGAGGCCAGTGAAGAAGACGATGCCTCAGCTGGGCACCAAGGCACATGAATTGGCAGGGTGGACAGGGACAGGCATGGGGGAAAAAGGGTGATAACATGATATGTGAAGTACAGGACACCACATGGCACGTATCTTTGAGAAACTGGTGTAACCCAGACGGCAGCCATTTGAAGTCTACCACACGAGGCAGGAAAGCATGAGACTCTTATCCCTATTTCTTTTATCCAGTAAGCACGTGTACATATGCAAACCAAGCAGTGACTAAAAAGAACTCACAAAAAAGGGCACACAAATAATGTTTGGGTAAAAATATATTTTCCCCCGCTTTATGTCTTGGCACTAGTGATATATGCATAGATTATCTGTTCACCACTCTCCTACCTTAACAGATGCCAAATTACCAAGCATGTTGCTAAGTGATCACTTTCATATTTGAAAAAATGATATGCTTCACATCAATACAATTACTTTAGTTTAAAAAAGACAAATGTCTAACATGCAGCTTACATATATGACAATTCTGCATTAACAATGAAAGTAGATTACACGACAGTTTTAGAAAACACATTGGTTATTTTCAAACAGCAAAATGACAAGGATCTACAACTACAGTTTAAGGCATATCAGCATATTTTAAAATTAAGAAATAGACAAAGTTCTAATGCTGTTCACAGCTTTTCAATTTATTTAAAAAATTCCCTTCATACCTACATACAAACTAGACTTTGTAGGTCTTAATTCCCACTAAAGAATGTGTCCTGTCAGTGGAACCAGGACTTTTCGAAGCTGAGACCTGACAATTCCAGACTCTTGCAAATGGCAAAGCAAAGGGGTGGGAATGGACAGTTTTTGTAGGACCACACAGAGACAGCAGGACGTGGGTCGGTAACAGCTGAAAAACCTCACCCAATAGTTTGTATGTGAAACAGTCATGGAAATGTCAAGAAAGCAAGGAAACCAAGTCTGTTCATTTGAGGTGCACAAGATGTGGATTGTGTGTGTTACTGCTGGTGAGTCACAAAGCAGAGAAGGAAGATAAGTAATCTGTGCCCACTGTTACATTAAATAATTCCCATTGTTGAAATGCCCTTTTTGGAGAAAACCTTAACCAATTAATAAAGAGCCTAAGTTGGGAAAACACAATCTGAACTGCCAATAAATTCTCATCAATGCTTTTCCATCACATTCTACAGTACATGTGTTATGGAGATCTAAAGTTCAGAAGAAGCAAAAAGATGGTATTATGTTTGAACAAAAGATATGGGGTAAGGCCAGCTAGTTATGTAGGCCCCTCAATCCCCAAAAAAGAGGTGGCCACTGTCAGCAGTTAGCACCAGGGAGAGACCATTAAACTAAGATTAAAAAATTAAGTGGTCATAAAGGCATCCTAGCATAAAAATTTTTCTCTTGGTTTTCTCTAGTAGAAGATGGTAATTTCTCATTCTGGCTTTATTTGCCTTGCCAGAATCAAGGGCCCTCTGAGCTATCCAATGATGCCCATGAGGCTATGTAGAGCACAGGCAGGGATTAATAATTTCTTTTTTTTTTTTGGAGAGTCTCACTTCATCACCCAGGTTGGAATGCAGTGGTGCAATCTTGGCTCACTGCAACCTCCATCTCCCAAGTTCAAGCAATTCTCCTGACTTAGCCTCCCAAGTAGCTGGGACTACAGGCACGTGCCACCACGCCTGGCTAATTTTTGTATTTTTTGTAGAGACGGGGTTTCACCGTGTTCGCCAAGGTGGTCTTGAACTCCAGGCCTCAAGTGATCTGCCCACCTCGGCCTCTCAAAGTGCTGGGATTACAGGCATGAGCCACCACACCTGGCCTGGATTAGTAATTTCGGATTTCCAAATTCAGGTCAAGAAGTGGAATTTATTATGTGGTTCTTGTGAAAAAAATATAAATGTGGCCTTTTAAATATATTTAGTCTTTTTTTTAAACAAAGGCTACTCAAACCATTACCTTCCTGCCCCCCTTGAAAAGAAAAAAAAAATCTATCCATCCCATTTGCTTTCTCTAATTTTGAAAAGTCAGAAAGATCTCAAAGGTTTCTTACTACCGTACTTACATGCAAAGGCGAAAGCACATCCAATTAGATTTGAGGGTATCATTTATTCCGTGCAGAGCCAAGGACTACTGTGAAAAAAAGGCATAGATACAGAAAGAAAAAAGAAAAGCAGCAATAACAAACTAAACAGGGCTAGGGAGCAGTGGCAGAAAAAAGTTCAGAAGCAATACATTTTTTAAAAAAAAAAGCTTCTATTTGTTTCTTTTGACTTTTTATTCCCTGACTCGCCATATGATTTATTTTGCTGGGAAAAATTTAATGCAAAAAAGTCAATCCAATCAATAATCTTGGAATCAAAAAGTCAGCTGGATGCCTTTCGTTGTTATGCTCATTTTAAAAAAATTTTAGTGATGCAAGAGACAATTTAAAAGTGTACTTTCTGTACAAGCCACAAAAATGCTCACACAAGCGGTGGTTGGAACAAGCATACAACACAAATATTCAAGCTTTTGTCTGATGCACAGCCTATGAGCAAATTCAGCCCATGGTTTGAATCAACATGCCAGCTACTATTTGGCTGCTCCACAGTTAGCTCCAGACTAGAATTATTTAAAAAAACAAAAGCAAAAACAAGAATGTTGGTCCAGTAGCTCCTAAACCTGTGAAGACTATGACTACTGCTGTGTCTAGTGTGTAGTTTCTATTCCAGCTTTGTTTAGGCTTCCATGAAACTAATTTCCTTACTTTGCTTAATTAAGCATAATCAGTTCATGGAAGACCATTCCTTCTTTCCTCTAAGTATGGTTGAGGACAAAGAAAAGGAGAAAAAATCTTTGCTGAAATCAAAATGGAGACTTGCTCATTCAAAAAAGAAAGTGTGTGTCAGGGGAGACGCAGCATATTCTATCCTATTTACTTAATCTCTAACCAGTGAGGAAAATGCAGAGGGGCAGTGGGTTCATGAGAAATGTTATCCTTTCTACATGTAGAGAGAAAGCTGGGAGGATCTTGTTAGTAGAGGGGAAAAAACAATCACACAGATGAAAGGATAAGCATCAGAAAGGAGCAGTATAGAAAAGAGATTAAATATGCACTCTTCCATACAAATTAGGCATTTAGTACAGGTTCTGGCATATGGGCCAGTTCTAATCCCTGATGAGGCAAGGGCCTTAGACAAAGAGCAGGTGGAGCTAGCCAAGGTGAGGAAAATTCCAGACAATGATTTGAGACTTCAGCTGTTCTATTTCTTCTTTCTTTTATTGCCAAATACTGAAAGGAGACTAAGCAAGGAAGCTGGATATGAAATGTCTACCTTCTTGACTTACGGGTCATGTTGTGGTCCTTCCTATTTCCACCTTAAAATTGACAAGGCCTCGCTCAAATTTGTGCTACCAATGATACAGAGTTTATAGCAAATTTTCTAAGGGAAGTATCTGTGGAAATTTTCTCATGATTCATGAAAAATGTTATTAGAAGTACAAGTATCCTGGAATCAGTCATCAGGTCCTCCCTCTAAGCCCACTGGGAACAAACTGAGGTGTGTTTATGAAAGATTCCTTACTGTTAGTGGTAAGCAGGCTGTAGAAAGCCCATCATCCTTAGAAGAAGATTCTTCTACTAAGCAATGTTACATGATCCAACCTTTAAGACCTCTATCTGTGAGAGGATCAAGGATGCACCAGTAAATGTGAACTAATCATAGTTTTCTCATACCAGTCTACTCCAACTTGGCCAGGATTGAAGGCAGGCATTCAGATGCAGTTTCAAACCATGAGAGGAGACAGTCTGAACAGACCCACAAGCTCAGGCCAAATAATGTTATTGATTAAAATGAAAATGTCATGCAAGGGTAAAAATAAAATATAATGCTTGCTCACCAGTCTGTCTACGTACAAATCTACCTTGGCTTAGGACAAGTGTGGAGAAAAGACAGTGAGTTCAGGGATTGTGCACTCATGGAGATGAATCATCAAGAAAATGCAAACTCTTGTCATGGCTATTCAGGTTTTTAGTTCAGCTGCTGAGGCGGTGAGAAGTTTTCATGTCAGACGTACAGGTAGCATTTTACCCCACTTTCCTCTGTCCAAAGCGACATACAAGTAACAGGCCTGCTTCGTGCTGCCATTCAGAACAGGCATAAAAAGCAAATCATTTACTTTCCGGAAACAGAGTCCAGCTGCACAGAGCATTCGCGGTTATTCCCTTGTTCTATCATTTTCTACCACCCAACAACATTCAGCAAAACGAGTTAATAATAGTTACTGGTGTTTGAGGAAGGGTAAAAAAATAAAATAAAATAAAATAAAACTAAAGAACACACATGGCAGAGATACGATATTACTGCAAAAGCAGGTGAATGCGGGAACATCCTTGGCTTGCCAGGCTTTATGTGAAGCTTGCACTGCAAGTTAAAAAACAAAACAAAAAAGTTAGAAATAATAATAAATTAAAAAGAAAGGAAAATTAGGAGCGACAGCACCAGCATTCAGTGATGGTGAATGCTCATGCAATGATTATGGAATTGACAGAAATTAAAACCAAAAATTTGAGAAGGCTACTCTACATGACAAGCCAAAGCAAAATTTAATACTGAATTAAAGACATATGGTTAGTTTCCATTTGTATGTAATTTAGAATTCACAAGTGACTTCTTGAAACCACTGCATGTCTAGTGGGAGGATTTACTGTTTGGCTTTTGTTTTCTCAAATAACACAAAACCATTATCTATTAGGTTTGGGTGTCCCATTAGTACTGAATAGGAGCTTCATTTTCCACTTCTGAGCTGCTGAAGGAGTCAGAGAATAAATATACAATAAATGCCTTTGTACAATTGACTTGAAGAAAAGGTCTAAAGCAGTTTAGGGATTGAAATTACATAGTGAATGGAGGACATGCTATTAATCTAGTTGGGTAGGGGGAAAAAAAGGACAATCACTGGAATGGTTACAGCTACAGCAATGCCAGGAGCTTTCCCCCTCTTTTAGGTACAAAGTAATGCCAAACCCACGGTCCACGTGTCTAATTTTAGGCAACTGCAAAACATGCAACCTTATTCCTTAGCAAGAATCAAAATGATTTTTTTTTAAAAGATGAGTGGATGGTTGGGTAAACTGTAGTTATTAGATGCCAAGTATGGTTTTAAAATGACGAATTTTAAAACTGTTTGCATCTTAACCAGCAAATGCCTGCTGGCAATTGTGCAGACAGTTTTCAGAAAAGAGGAACACTGTCCACTGACCAACTTACCCCTGGGCAGTCCCACCACTGTGGTATAGCCGCAAACAAGGAAAGTGACTTCGTGGCCAGAGATGGCAGAAGGTGGGGTCCAGCTAATGGCAGTGCCAGGGTTAGTTCTACTTTGCCTGTCATCTTAGGAAATGTTATACACTCTCATGCCACTACAGGTCAAGGAGAAGTATAAAGCCTTACCTACATTAAAAAAGGAGCGTGTCATTAGAACAGAAAAAAGAGAATTTAAAACTATTAGAAAAACTAAGTTAGGCTTGGAGGTGGAAGCATAGCAGGTAAATAAGTAAGCATCTGCCTTTTCATTTTCTACCTATAACAAAGTCAGTTCCTGAATGGCAACTCCCACATCTGTTCCAGCTATGCTAGGAGGCATCTTCCCAGCTCTTTTCAAAGTGCTGCTCTGTCTAGCCTGGCCACTGTCTTTCTGCGGTCCCTCTAACCAAAACACTCCACTACCACTGGCAGTAAGAGGTGTGATTTTTTTTTTTCTTGGACATTTCAGGCCTCCACTGGCAGTTGCTTTCACTGTACAAATGTAAAGTGTGGAAAAGGGTAAGGACCTAGAAAAAGTTATACAAAAAATATGTGCCATTGTCAGGTGCAAAACCTGGCGACTACTCTGAACCAAATTAAGTATAATATCCTTCAAAATAAATGAGAATATATAAATAAGCTAAAATAGAATCCACACAGGCTTCATAGAAACTTTGAAAGCATTACACATTGGTAAGGCCCCAGGATAGGAAGAAAATAACCTAACATGTTCAAAAGGGCAAGGAAAAACCTCCCTACACTGGGAAGTTTGTTACTAAATAAACTTTTCTAAAATGGAAGCACAATAATGATCAGCTCTTGGAATTTTTATTGCTTAAAGGCACGTCTAGTATACACGAAATACTCTTTTAACATTGCTGGTCTTTTGGAAACATTCTTAGTTTTAAAACTTGAACCTTTATGCACTGAGTGCCTCAGGGTGAAAAGAAAAACTTGACTTTGCATTTCCTAAGCTGTAAGTCAGCAGCTTTTTGTCTCATTCATACCTATAGATGTATGTGTACACACACACAAACACACACACACAGACACATACACACCCCTATATCCTTGGTTAGTTTAGCTTGGATTAACAAAGGTACAATGCCCAATGGCTTTCATCTGTCTTCACTGGAAGAGTCACTGTAATCTGAGTCTCTGCATGGGAAACATCACCATTAGTGTTAGATGCTCTCCCGACATGCATAGCTACAAAGGGTTTTCTTAGATTATAATCTATGTGCTTGTTACTCTCAGAATTAATCCAGCATAACTAAATTTTGGGCCTTGAACTCCTTTGGTCACTTGGATCTGTGCCAACTCCAAATAAAATCACAACCATTTCAATTATTGTTCAGAACATTTGCCTCCTCCCTTGCTCTGGTGATACATTTTCTGCTGTCTCAGAGCTCAGAATGTCAGTTTGTAAAGCATGATTTAAAACTCTCTCAGTATGTCATTGTAGCAGTCCATTTTTATTTTTACTGCAGGCAACATGAGATTCCTTAGGGGTGAGCCTACTGCACATTCACCAAGACTAAGTGGACAATAGCACTGTGCTCACTTTTCCCTATAACACATCTCAATTATTGTGCAGAGACTTGATCCTATGTACTCTATGTTTAAAGAATGTAATTCTTTATGTGCTTGAGCATCAATGTTTTTACATATGGTCAGCTTTTTCCCTAGAACCTTGGCATGTAAGGCGAAAGAGCAACACTTCCTGAAACAAGTTCTGAGTTGCTTTATATTAAATAGCTGCCCTAAAGCACCGTACATTAGACAAAGGAGGGTGGCATCTGCATATTTGTCATTGAGACACCACAAAGGTTTTCGTTAGTGGTATTCTTACCATCGTGCTTCCTGTCAAAACCGATAGCATTGACATAAAACTAGGCTTTATGATGATTCAAAGGAGAGCTTCAAATCACAGGAGAATGTCAAGGGAGGCCTAAATCTCCCACTGGTTTCAGGCAGCTGCTACTGGAGTATCACAGGAAGTGACCAACTCAAGAGCAGAATCTGACCCTTTGGCACATGACATTAAGACCCTATTTAAAAAAAACCTTTTATGAATGGGTTTAGGTTTGGCTTGAGGTTGGCAGAGGTGTCAACTGGATAGGCATTTGGATCCCATTTCACAATAAAACAATTCATCATATTGAATTTTGAGGAAACTAGTGGCCACTAGCAGCTCTTCCAAATGTTTCATTTTGGGAACGAGAATTTCAGTGACTGGCTTACGAAGTCTTACAACACAGAATAGGAAAATAATTTTAACAATTGTGATTTTAGGATGCTCTCTATCAAGAGTCATGAGAATTGTCTTCAGAGGGTGCTGAAGAGACATCAACCTGTCTTCTTTGAGACTCCTAGTGTTGGTGTGGAAGATGCTACTGGAGACAACAGGTTCCTCCAGGCCTGATTGCTTGGTCAATTGTGGTAAAGTTTTATAAATTAATCTTTGTGTACCTTTTAAAAAAATTTAAAAACCTTCATCATCTTCCCTGCACTGTAGAGAAAATACTTGCTTTTATCTTTCTGGTAAAGGACCAGTTTCCAGTCTGTAAATGGGAAAAGTAGAGACATGCAAGAGGAATAAATTGTTAGAGGTCCCCGATACAGGGGGGTGACACCTGCTTACTTTTTCTTATCCTTGTCTTTCTTGGTTTGCTGGGCCCCAGATTGCTGGGCCTGGGACTGTAGTAACTGAGCCGCTGCTTTCTTCTTCTGGAAGTTGTTCACCTCCTCCTCAAGCTCCTTCTTCTTGTCTTCCACTTTCTTCTTTTCTTCTTGGTGTGTCCGCTTTAGAAGGTCAAACTTCTCGTGAAGCTGGAGAGAAAAAGAAAACAGGCTTGGTGAATGGAATGAAAATCCTTTTGATGTAAAGTTCTTTGGATCTGTTCAAAAAACAAAACATGGCCAGGCACGGTGGCTCACGCCTGTAATTTCAGCACTTTGGGAGGCCGAGGTGGGTGGATCACGAGGTCAGGAGTTCAAGACCAGCCTGGCCAAGATGGTGAAACCCCATCTCTACTAAAAATACAAAAATTAGCCAGGCGTGGTGGCGGGTGCCTGTAATCCCTGCTACTCAAGAGGCTGAGGCAGAGAATTGCTTGAACCTGGGAGGCGGAGGTTGCAGTGAGCTGAGATCGTACCACTGCACTCCAGCCTGGGTGACAGAGACTCCGTCTCAAAAGAAAATAAAAGAAAACAAACAAATATGTGTCATGTGGCTGCACTGGCTTTAATACAGGTGTAAAGTACCATTTTGCTGACTTCCTGGAGGAGCTGAGCTGGGATGCTGAAGAGCATCCCTCAGAGTCCCAGACTCCTGTGACACTAGAACTCCTTGGGACTAAAAATTCCTTCGCTCTGTTGCCCAGGCTGGAGAGTAGTGACACAATCTCAGCTCACTGCAACCTCTGTCTCCTGGGTTCAAGCAATTCTCCTGCTTCAGCCTCTCGAGTAGCTGGGATTATGGGCATGCGCCACCACACCCAGCTAATTTTTGTATCTTTAGTAGAGACGGGGTTTCACCATTTGCCCAGGCTGGTCTCGAACTCCTGACCTCGTGATCCTCCCACCTTGGCATCCCAAGGTGCTGGGATTACAGGCGTGAACCACTGCACCTGGCCAAAAATAATTATGATCCCAACAAAAAACTCACCCTAGTGGTAAAAGTGGTTCTTTACCTCTGGTCCTTTTTCGAAATGTATAAAAAACATTTACTTAGAAATATATACAATGACTACATATATGTATGTGTTTGTATATATATACACATATATATGTGTATGTATATATGTGTGTATATGTGTGTGTATATATATGTGTGTGTGTGTGTATATATATATATATGCATTATGTATTAGCTACTTAAATAATGTGTTGGGAAATTTCTGGCCCTTGAGGGAAGGAAGGGGAAGAAGAAAAGCAAAGGAAGAAGAAAGAAAATGAAAAAGAAAAGGAAAGGAAGGAATTCTAGACAATTTTAGATTTTTTACCCAGCATCCCCTTGGTTCTTGAAGCCAACAGCAAATAAGGCTCAACTTTCTCTGCAGCAAAACCATCTTGAGTGCTTAGCTATTTAAATAGCCTCTAAATTTCAGTAGTTTTTAGACAAAATAAATTAAAACAAGAAAACGAGGAAATTTATTTAAATGATTTCACTTAGAAACATATAGAGACATTGGTCAAACACTTCAGATACTCATTATTGACCAGCAGAAATAGACATTATGCACACAAGCACACATACACACACACACACACACACTCAAATACAATGGGATGAATGTTATAGTATAAATCTATGTTAACTTCTAGGAAGCAGTTAATCTGGCCAGGGGAGGGGACTAAGGTAAGGCTGAAGCAGGGAGTGCAAGCCCCGTGAGGGCAGAAGCACGGGCGCAGATGTGGAGTGCAGGCTTTGTGTCAGATCGTTGTCCCCCAGACACTGCCAAAGTCTAGCTGAGTTGGCTGATAGACTAAGAAGATAATAATAGTCGCAGAATCCCAAATCTCATGTTTTAAGACTTGTAAATTGAAGAAACACAGAGCTACACAGGCCATGTGATCAGATCTGGAGACCTAAGATCTAGTTTTAGTCTCGGTTTTGCTGCTAACTAGGTATGTGACTGCAAAAATAGTTTTAACTTTTATAACCTGTTTATCATCTGTAAGACAGGGATGAGAATATCTGACCCATTTTCCTGGCCAGGTTGGCAGGTCACTCGTGACAAAATGCATGTAGAAAGTACTTGGACCATCATGAAGTCCTCTAAAGCGTGATGTATTTAGAAAATCTCTCTCTTACAAATCTTTCCCTTGAAGCAGGACAGATGGCTTACCTCTTTCTCTGCCTCCTTAAGTTCAGCTTCTTTCTCCTTCACTCTCATAACAAACATTTGTCTCATTTCTTCTTCTTTCTTCTGCAGTTCTCCCAGGAATTCATTCCTTTTTGCTTCATATGTCTCCTGAAGACTATTGAAAATCCACAAACGAAGGACAGCATCATGAAATTGTATACTAAGAAATTTCAGTTCACATAATTTCTACCTATCTACTTTCAAAACATAGATAAAGCTGCTGCTTGCCAGATCAAAGCATAAGTAGAATGACACTGTTTTGCTTTTAGTTATGCTGTGGTTGGAAAGACAAGTGCATCAAGAACTAGAAATCAGTCAGTAAGCACAACACAGCACTAAAGGTGTGTCTGTGACTAGCCAAGTTTTATCTTACATATATTCATACAAGGAAAACCTGGGCTGAGGAGGTGGAGGTGGTATAGAATTTGAGAAGATGGAGAAGGCCTGCTATAGGGGGAGAAATGAAGAGGGACTGGAGTCCCACAGATCCGGATTGGAATTTGGGCCATACTAAGTAACCGGCTGTTCTTAGAAAAGCACAGCCTCCCTCAGCCTCCAAGGTCTAAGACGTGGATACAGTGACACTTACCTTCTAGGGATATGACCCTGAGAATGAAATGAGGGGAAGGGAATAAAACATCGAACATATAGTCAGTGCCCAGTAAATGGTACCCTCCCCTCTCATCTCCCTCCAGCCCCCAATGTGGAAAATAGACCCAGCAAGTAAACTAAAGAGACAACATTACCTTTAAAGGTACTGTAGAAAATTGCTACTTTTCAAGTATATTACCAGTTGTAAACAGAGCAGGGAGAAGTTTAATTTTTATTTTCAATTCTATCCTCCTCCTGACTGTCTTGGAAGTTAGAGCCCAATATTCTACATTGAATGCTACAGCTCAGCTTTATCTCTAAGTCAAAACAAATATATTTACAGAGAAATCACTTTGGTAACACAGCTTAAGAAAATACACCCCCACTGCAACCCCCACATACACACAGAAACATTTGCTGATATTTTATAAAGTGCTATTTCTCTCTTTGTCTTGTAGTTTCCCTACAACAATTGTTGTATATTAACCATCTGCAGTATATCTGCCTTTCCCATGGACTAAATTCATCCAAAGTGTAGACTACAAACTGGATAGCCACTCTGCACGATCCCTGGCACCATGCAGACCACCACATATCATTTACATCTGTCCATTTACATGAAGAAAAAGGAAATTCAGGTGATAGGAGCATACGTGCATGTAGATACACACATCTATAATGAACCACACAACCAGTTTAGTATTAGAAAATGTATTAGGCCAAGCATGGTGGTTCACACCTGTAATCCCAGCACTTTGGGAGGCCGAGGCAGGAGGATCACCTGAGGTCAAGAGTTCGAGACCAGCCTGGCCAATATGGTGAAACTCCATCTCTACTAAAAATACAAAAATTAGCTGGATGTGGTGATGAGCACCTGTAATCCCAGCTACTTGGGAGGCTGGGGCAGGAGGATCACTTGAACCCAGGAATTGGAGGTTGCAGTGAGCTGAGACCATGCCATTGCACTCCAGCCTGGGCAACAGAGCAAGACTCCATCTCGAAAAAAGAAAACATATTAATCAGGCTGGTTTATACTTCAATAATTAACACGGTTATTAGTTTATTAAAAGTAAGTTCTCTTGCCCTTGCCACTATCAATAGTACCTGTTTATGAACAATCAAGTGTTTTGAGTTTCCAGAGGTACATTTCGCTTTCACATTATCTTATAAGATAAAAACATGCTTGGCCAATGTTAGTGTTGGCTAATATTAATAGCAATAGTTGGACTTCAAGTTTAAGATCTATAGCAATGGAGATATAGAGAAGTGTACTCATAACAGAACTATAAAATAATTCATGAAATTTTGCATATTAGCTTATAATAAACTCTTGATCACTATTATTTAGGTCAGAATTGCCAAAGGTAGAGGATGACTCGTCCCTCTTATGAAATTTTACAGAAAACTCAGTTTTTGTTGATTTTAGAATAATGAATATATCTCCCTCTTCTTTCTAACAAACAATGGAAACTTTGATAGAAACACCACCGAAAGTGTATTCCAGAGACCACCAATTTCAAGAAAGGATCTCCAAAAGAGGGGCTCCAACGTCAAAAGACGGAAGGGAGAATGGTGCCCCTGATATCCTTTTAGCAGATTCACAGTGCATGGTGGATCTCAACCTTGGCCATACAGCAGGGGCACTAGGCACATTTTGTTGCATACACTTCCCTAAATACAGAGTCCGAAGTTCAGTCCTGGAGAGGCTGATTCAGGATGTCTGGTAAGGCAAAATGGTCTAGTTTTAAATGCTTCCCAGGTCATTTGATGCAACTAGTTTGCTAGTTTTAAATGCTTCCCATGTGATTTGATATAACTAGTTTGCTAACTACTGCTTGTCTTAAATGCTCTGAGTAGCCCTTCAGTAAAAGAATCTATTCAACTTGATTGTCTTAGAATCCTCCAAATTTGTCTGATCATGGAAAATTTAGGCAGTTCACTGATAGAATGTGCTCTGGGTAATGCTACCCTAAATGCTGAGAACTCACTAAATGACTCTGCCTTATCCAGTCCCAACCACAAGCCATCTTATGAAACTATGAATCACAACTCAGTTGTGGGTCTTAACCAGTACGTTAAAAAGTTTAAGAGTAGGCATTACTACACAAAATGTGTATGCTGGATCATGATGGAAAATGCTTTTTATAGTGAAACCTGCAGTCCAAAATTGGAAAGCCTAGTCCCAGAGAAAGCCTAAGGAGCAACTTTGCCATTGGCAAGATTAGCTTCAGACATGAGTCTGGAAGCAGTTTTGACACCCTGGGCCAGAGCAGGCAAATGGGCTCAACAAATGCTACTTCTTATATCATTGTGTCTTAGGATGTGAGCCAGCTTTTGAACTCTGACATTGGAAACAATGATCAGGAACATAAGACAGAAGCCATAAAACCTTACCCCAAGGAATCATAACTGTAATTAGTTACTTACAAATAACTTAGAACCATAGCATCCACAGAATCAGATTCCCAGCCCCTCTGCCAGTTGAGTTGTCCACTAGAGATACCACAAGCCCTCACTAATATTTCCAGTCATTGAAGACCAGTTCAGAAGGAACTGGCTCATATTCAGTAAAGATATCCAAAGTGATTTTACATCTTTTTTTTTTTTTGAGACAGGTTCCTACTGTCTCACCCAGGCTGGAGTGCAGGAGCAGGATCATAGCTCACCATACGCTCGAACTCCTGGGCTCAAGCGATCTTCCCACTTCAGCTTTTCGAGTAGTTGGGACCAAACACAAGCATGTGCCACCATGCCCAGCTAATTTTTTTTAAAATTTTTTGTTGAGATGAAGTCTCCCTATGTTGCCCAGGCTGGTCTTAAATTCCTGAGCTCAGGTGATCCTCCTACCTCAGCCTCCCGGAGTGCTGGGATTTCAGGTGTGAGCCACTGCATGCATCCCTTTAGTGGTATCTTTTGCAACTTTTAGTTCTTCAAACTTAATTTTTAATTACAGTTATTAATACCCTTTTCTAAGTGAGAAATGTGTACCTTTTTCACAAGATTTTAGATTGATTTGAAATTGAGGATTTTATCTTATAATTTCCTCTTAACAGCCCTTGGGAGAGGCAGGTTTTGCTTGTTGAAGTCAAAGGAAGAGAGAACGAACACAGACACTTCAGTTCATCCTTCATTCTGGTGATTCACACAGCACGATTCTCTCTCTGTTCTTATCTAAAAGCATCTAGTGGAGGGCAGGCCAGAGTATGATCATCTCCACCAGCTTTTGTGGAGTGGAGCAATACACATGTGAATTCATTTAATCCTTACAACAACCCAATAAGGTAGCCATTACTATCACCTCCCACTTTATAGATGGGGAAACTTGGACACACAGGTAATTTGACCAGGTCACACCACAAAGAAGTAACAGAGCCAGGACTGAGACCAGGCTGCCTTGCTCAGATAAGAACTCCATCTCCTGCACTGCATGGCTGGTGTACAGAGGCCCAGGCACTCCTAAAAACAAGTGAGTCTCTGGGGCCTGGACCTCGTTGGCCTCTGAGAAAATGGTGGTAACTGAGTGCTTCGTGTGAGTTGAACGGGGGTGAAGCAAGGAGACGGTGGTGTTCTGAGGTGAGATGGGAGCAGCTTGGGCAGGTACTGTTAGGAAAAGCGCTGTGGCCTCTCAGGAGAAAGGAAGCAGGGAGTGGCTCATGGGAGACACGTGACGTCTCCTCTTCTACCCTATAATGCCAGCCAGAAAGGGGCTGGGGTCTGGAGGAAGGAGACGCCTGGGTCCAGGGAAGCATGGGTGCTCTGGGTGGTAGACGCATGAGTTTCAAGGCTTCAGGGCAGCAGCCGGGCATGCACAGGGGGCGGATAAAGATGGGCTTGGGAAAGAGCAGATGAATGTCTGGTTATATACATATTCTGCCACAAGACAATAAAGACGCAAGTGTGAATGCAGGCGGGTTTAAAGGCACCCCAGGGACGGGCTCCGCTAGCTTTACTGCCGTGGTGTGCTGCCAAGGCTTGAATACGGCGTTTCTGTGCGCGCGCTACTCCTCCTTTTGCCTCACACTGTGTAACATACACAGTGGCACTGCCTCTTACTAGACTTGGTGTTAGAGGTCACTCTCTGTTTTACAAACATGTACTGTAAACACAAGTGGGGCCCAGAGGACAAAAGGTGAACGAGGGTGCTCACTGGGAAGGATGAACTTCACTGCACACCCATGCAGAAATCCTGTGCTTTGAGAATATAATAAAACCTTAAGCCCTTGATTTATACTCCTCCAAGCTCAGCCTAAATTCACACGGAAGATCCATCTTCCAAGCACATCCAGGAATGGTGACTTTGCAGATGAAATTCTGGAAAATCACTTCAATCAACTGTGGCTTCTGCTTTTCCTTAACTCTGTCATCCTTCAAACAGAGTCACCTCACTCCATTCCTCCCGCTCAGGTGCACAGGAAGTGCTGAGGGTGCCCGAAATTCTTCAAAGGGAAAGGCCGAGCCCTTTTAAAAGTAGTGGTTTCCAAGAAAAGGAAAATCAAATTCATTTCTTATCACTATTTACCAAGACATGTGATTCAAAGCCAACTTTTGGTACCAAGTAATCTTCCCTAAACCAGGAGGGACATCAGAGTTTGAATGAGTGGTCTAAGAGGAGAAATTGTTTCCAGTTGAAATGGAAAACCTGGTTCCAGTTATCGAGATGTTGGAAGGTATTTATTTTTAGAAGGTCCACTTTTTTCTAATTTTCTTATATATGGAAAAAAGTAAAGGCCTTGGTAATATATATGTGTGTGTATATATATTATATGTGTATATATTATATATTATTATATAATTATATCATATATTAGTAATATATGATATAATTAATATATATTATTTTATATATATATTGTGTGTGTGTGTGTGTGTGTGTGTGTGTGTGTATACATTTTCCCTTTTCATCATCAAAAGCAAAACTCAGGCCAGGGGAAATGGATCCAAGTGGGGAGGGGAGACATGGATAAAGCATGCTCTCTAAGCGTCAGGCAGCCTCGGTGATATCCCTCACCAATCCTGAAGCCCCTGAAACAGGGAGAACAAAGCAGTGGGCTTGCCCAGCAGCTGTCCCTTGCAGAAGCCCTGCTGGGCCTACCCAGCTCCACCTCCTCCTGGTGGGCAGTTACTCTGGGCTTGCAGGAAATGCCTTAATTAAAATGCTGGCCACACAGACAACTTAGCAGGCTGTGCGTCTGCAGCAGCAGGAAATCCTCACAATCCCCAGGCTCCCAGGGATCCTAAGGAACCCAGTCAAGATGGTGGAAAGACCTAAGTGGCAAACTTAGGCCACTGGGCCCTTCCTGGTGGTGTAGATAGCTAAGGATAGCATCATAGACTCTTCAAATTCCACAGATTCCTGAGTTGAAAGAAACACAACTATGCCAAATGGCTCTGAACATTTTGAGAAGTAAAACACTTTGGGAGGTAAATGACCTCTAACAAACTCAAGAAGCAGTCACATGCATTCTAACTTTTGCAGGCAGTTCACAGGCTCCAAGTTATGATCTCGTCTAGGGGTTGGGAAACTACAGCCTGAGGACCAAATCTGGCCCCCCATCTGTTTTTGTAAATGAAGTTTTACCGGAACACAGCCATGCCCATTCATTTACAGTATGGTCTATGGCTGCTTTCGGACGACAAGGGCAGAACTGAATAGTTGTGACAGAGACCGTTTGGCCTGCAGAACCTAAAATATTTACTGTCTAACCCAGTATGGAAAAAAATTTTTTTTTACTGGATCTAATTATTCCCTGATCTGGATCAGCTCCTCATTTCACAGATGAAGAAACTCAGGCCCAGATGGGTTAAGAACTTGTAGCGTAGCAGGACCAAGAACTGAACCCAAACTCCTGACTCCTAGCCCAGTGCTCTTCAACACTGTCTGGATTTGAATGAAGGTGAGGGGAAAATGAATTCAATTTTATGGCAGTTCCTTTTGTTCCATATCTCTTTGCATGAAAACAAATATTTTATGTAATACTGAAGACGGCCTTTCCCACACAGAAACCATTTCATCAGGTTTAGTAACCATAAAGTGGACTTGATTTTGTAAGGATTATTTTCTGGTAAATGCATTTCAAGGTTCAATTAGCTAAACCTGTGTACACAAAAAGGTGTCCTACACCTCGCCTCAGAACATGACTTTCACATGGTTGGAGATGGTCAGTTTTGCAAGCCGTCAGGGCAGAAGTGAATGATGCAATCTTGGCTAGAAGTTAACTTCTTGGTATGCCCCTTGTCTGGGTTCTGCATTTGTTCTCACTGCATACACACATGCTCATGGAACTCCTCAGCAGCACAGTGCCAGGCGACAAGCCCAGGCATTCCTAAACTATCTCTAAAGCAATTGCAAGAAAATAAACTCCCTCCTACAGACCCACGGGGACAGAATCTGCTGTGCACAGGCTGCCTCCGGTTCTATTGTCAGCCAGCTTGTAGACATCAGAGTGTGTTGTAGGCCAAAGAGGAGAAAGACAGGTTTTTTTTCCCCAAGGAACTATGGCCCTCAGTTTGTAAAGGCACAGAGCCCAGACACACCTCACACCACCTGAATTCAAATCCCCATTAAGAAACAGCTTGGGGGCCAGGCGCGGTGGCTCACGCCTGTAATCCCAGCACTTTGGGAGGCCGAGGCACTCCAGCCTGGTGACAGAGCAAGGCTCCGTCTCAAACAAAAAAAAAGAAAGAAAACTGCTTGGGCACCATCTGGACAATCCTCTCCTCGACCAGGAGGTGGTGAACCTGGCCTGGCAGCCTCACCCCACAACTTTACCCAGAACCACCCCATGACTCACTACGGTGTGGGCAACAGCACCCCAGCCTTGCCAGCCCTATCCCTACCACTGGATTCTGACGGGGTCTGGGCTTCGGCTAGGATATTAATTCTACATCCATTTCTCCCCTTCACATTTTGCGTCTCCACCCGTCAGTGATATAAGAAAATACATAGATCTCCTAAAAGCTATTCTCCTTTCCTCCTGATTCTTTGTTGTTAGAATTTTACCGAACCACTGAAAGCTAATAGTAAAAGTGCTTGACAAAGGAAGAGCCTCCGGAAGTTAAAGGTGTTTGGCAAAAATGAATGGGGCAAACTGTAATCAGCAGCCGCACCTTTGTAAATATATCGACCAGGCTCTGCACCTCTGCAAGAGAACTGGCAGAAACCTGGGCTCAGGACCCAGATGGCAAGAGCTCAACACCACACCATTGTTTACTACTTGGAGGACCTTGGGCAGTTTGTTTACACTTTCAGTGCCTTTGTTTCCTCATCTGTAAAATGTGGATAATAATGACATCAACTAGGTAAGTTAGTTGAGATAATGCAAATAAAGCAATTATCACAATGCCTGACAACATATGTATTAATCTTCACCCACCAGATCCTTCCATCATCACCATCTCAATCCAGCAAGCATTTCTGTGATGTACCACCATGCCACTCTCGCCACTGTCTGGGAGACACCTGATTGCTAGATGCCTTCATACCTGAAGGGTTTGCTGTCAGGGTCAGTGTCCTTGAACCCCATCTCTTCAAGCTTACAGCGTCGGTACAATTCATAGTGGCGGGTGTGAGTCTGCTCTCGCAAGTCCTCCATGTTCACGCGGATCAGCATCTCTCGAAGTTTCACAAAATCGCAATGATTTTCATTCTCAACTACAAGAGAGGGGGGAAATGGCGGAAGTGGGATTAGCAATGATGTCACTGAAATATCTGCAGTGATGCTTCCAAGATGTTATTACCATCACTCCTGAAATCTCTGGGGTCTCAAGACCATCTGAAGATCCTTTACTGGATTCACCTTACATTCCTGACGAAGACAAGATTTCTGACAACATTGACCATAATACTGATGACAACGCTGACTGCTGAGTGCCTACTCAGCACAGAGCACAGAGGGAGGAGCTTGAAAACAAATATTGTCTTTACCCTTCATAATAACTCTGCCAACTAGATGTCATGACTCTTGCTTTGCAGACGCAGGAGCTTGGTGAGCAAGCTGACCTCCCAAAGAGAGGTAGCAGGGTCTAGATTCAAATGCCAGAACATCTGGCCCAAAGCCAGATGTATTTGTACCACTCCATGCTGTCTATAACTGTGCAGGGCCACTTTTACATACCACTTCATTTAATTTTATCAACAACACTAGGAAGAAAGGAGTTTTCTTATTGTAGAGAAATTAGTAAGAGTAAGAAAAATTGTATTTTTCCCAGGGATCTCAAAGGTACTGTTTCTTCTCACAGCTTTATTGCCTTTATTCAAAACAGAGGAAAAGGAGGTCTGATACATCTTAAACCAGCGAAGAACTTTCTTTAGCCATCCTGCTTAATCCATAGCACTGGATGTCCTCCTTCAGAACATAAGAGTAGGTCATAGAGTCCTTGTCATTCAAAGTGACACACGTGACAAGCTTTCAGGTTAGACTGTGGCCATGTCCCACAGTGCCAAATATAGATCAAATATTCTCCTAAGTCTCAGATTTACTAAGATAACATTTTATTAGAAGACATTTTTTGCATAGTTGATGGAGAAAAAAGTACCCTCTTGTTTGCAAGAAACTTTTTGCTGCTTTTTAATACTTGGCTGATGAAACGAGCTCCAACTCCTAGGGAAGAACTATTTTTCAATCAGGACTTTATATTAATTCCCTACACAACCCAGCATCCTTGAGGGGTTACCTCAAGGGCTTGGCAGCCATGTCTCTCCATTGTCTACCTAGCTGATTACTTTTTCTTTCTTCCTCACCTCCACGATTGTCACATGTGGAGCCCCACCACTCCCTCCCACTGCCAGCCCACTGTTGAGGGCCTCCCTAAACAAGACGGAAAATGAACAAACACGGCCATTCACATAGGGGCTAAATATGAAGACTCCATCTCCCATGCTGTGCACATACCCTGCACCACACCCCAGGGGTACTGCCTGGCCTTTGCCATCTTGTTGCCAATCTTCACCTCTTCGGTGCTGCCAACCACTGCAAATGGGAGATGGACCTGCCAAGCAAAAGGACAGAGAATAGTTACTTTCCCCTGCTCTGACAGACTGGTTTCCACCAGTCTCTATCTTCTCCCTCCTTCTGCAGGCCTCTACTTGGTGACAAGGGAAAAGCAGGCTGCAGTTTGGTGGGTGGATGTCACGTATCCCACCCCCCTTATAACCAAACACTGAGTATGAGACACGAGCTAGATTCAAGGGAAAAGTGTATGAGTCTTTGCAACTATAAAGTAAGCTTAAGACTTGTGCTAGCCGATGCAGTAGCCACTAACTATATGTGACTGTTGAGCACCTGAAATACAGCTTGTAGGAACAAGAAATTGAATATCTAACTTTTAATTAGTTTACATCTAAATTTAAAATGGAAGCAACGTAAAATATTTTTCAATTAAATGCAACTTTATTGTTTTGGCAAAACTGCATTTCACTTTGCTTCAAACTCAAATCTTCTGAAAAAGACCAAGGTAGATGGCAAGGTAGACACAAAGATTAAAGATAAAGTATCTTTTTGGCACTTATTTCATATTGAAAATCTTTAAGGTATGTTAGGAGAAACCTGTATGTAAATTTAACTTTTTAGCTGTGAATTTTACAAAATGTAAATACAGATAAAATATTTTTGGTGAAAATTCAGTCCACGATGAGATATGCTGTCATTGTAAAATATACACTGGATCTCAAAGACCTACATTAAAATATCTTTTTTTTTTTTTTTGAGATGGAGTCTCGCTCTGTTGCCCAGGCTGGAGTGCAGTGGCGCGATCTCGGCTCACTGCAAGCTCTGCCCTCCGGGTTCACGCCATTCTCCTGCCTCAGCGTCCCAAATAGCTGGGACTACAGGCACCGGCCACCATGCCCAGCTAATTTTTGTATTTTTAGTAGAAACGGGGTTTCACCGTGTTAGCCAGGATGGTCTCGATCTCCTGACCTTGTGATCCGCCCGCCTTGGCCTCCGAAAGTGCTGGGATTACTCCGAAAGTGCTGGCGTGAGTCACCGTGCCCAGCCTAAAATATCTAATAATTTTTATATTGAATACATGTTGAAATTATATTTTGCAACATATTGGGTTAAGTCCTTAAAATTAATTTCACATTTCTTTTTACTTTTTTAAGGTAGCTACTAGAAAATTTTAAAATACTTGTGTGTCTCACATTATAGTTCTATTTGAACAACACTGCTTTAGACAGTTGACTATTGCACAAATTTCTAAGTCCGAAACACACTTTAGCCCAAATTACTGGCTCAAGCTATGCACCCAGATTTATCTGAAGTAGAGATGGTGTCCAAGACAACTGACTCTTTCACATTGGTTTATTTGGTAGTTATCACTGCATTCTGAGTGAGGGAGGAAATAATAATCCTATCTTTTTTCTATTAGCATGTAAGAATAAGATTTGAAATAGCTGCTCCAAGAATTATTATTTAGAGTTCCTTGATCCAGTGTTCTTCCACCATAGATACACTGAGAAAGAAGATAAAGTTTTCAAGCCAATTCCTCTCCTACAAAGAACTTGGCATAATCATTGGCTCAGATTGCCCAAGTAGCATTTTGTTGGACGCTCAAGATATTGAAATGTTCTAGTTCATCTCACACCCTAAGAAGGAAAGAAAGCACATTATCTTTCTCAAACAAGTCTGAGTTTCAGACCTGAACCCTATTGTTTCCCCTGAAGTTGAGGAGCAACAGGACCTTTCTGGTCAATATTTTGGTGTAATGACCAAGGAAATTTCTCCACTCAAATGTAACAAAAGCAACTGCCAGTGGAATCTGTTTTCCTCAGACATTACGTGGAATTTGATCAGCAAGAATAGTTTGTAATGAAGAGCCTAAAAGAAAATTTCTTTAAAGAGCAGGATTAATTTGGAATGTCAGAGATTCAGTTCTATTAATCTGATAAAGAGAGAAAGAGAGCAAAAATTCTTGGGTATTTTATTTCCAATAAGTTTAACAAAGATATAGTTCCATGACTAGAAAATAATGAAAAATTATCTAGAAGGATAGGAATATAAAGAAAAATTACATAGCAGTCATTCATGATACTTCCTGAATCCCACACTGACATCCCAAATTACAGTTCTACAGCAGAATAAAGGAGTGCCATCTCAGTTTGAGATTTTGACCTTCCTATAAAAAAGTACAGACCTCCTGCAGTATCCACAGGGTACCGGTTCCAGGACTGTCCATGGACACTGAAATCTGCAGGTGCTCAAATCTCTGATATAAAATGGTATAGTATTTACAAATAACCTATGCACATCCTCCTGTATACTTTAAATCATCTCTAAATTACTTATAATATCTAAGACAATGTAAACACTATATAAATAGTTATTATACTCTATTTAAAAAAATTTTTTTTGTAGAATTTATTTTTTATTTTCTTGCTATGTTGACCAGGCTGGTCTTGAGCCCCTGGCCTCAAGTGATCCTCCCTCCTCGGCCTTCCAAAGTGCTGGGATTACAGGTATGAGCCACTGTGCCTGGCCATATATATATATATATGTGTATATATATATATATATATATATGTGTATATATATATATATGTGTATATATATATATGTGTGTGTATATATATGCTATATATATATTTTAGCATATATAATATATATGCTATATATATTATAAAAACAATAATACAAAATATATATATATGCTATATATATACACATATATATATATATTTTGTATTATTGTTTTTATTGTTGCATTTTTTTTTTCCAAATATCTTTGGTCCATGGTTGGTGAAATCCATGGATGCCGAGGCTGATGGTACACTGCTCTGCTCGGGCGGCAGTACACAGGGTGAGAGTGTAGCCTGACAGCCAAAGCCTGGGTTCCAATTCTACCTCCACTACCCACAGCCATGCAATCTTAGGTGCTGTGCTGCAGTCTCCTCATATATGAGGGAGGAATAATAACAGCACCTACCTATGCAACTGTTGTGAGGATTAAATGGAAAGTCTTGAACAGTTCCTGGTGCATAGTAAATGCTCCAGAAATGTGAAAAATGTCAGGTGCTATTATTATTATGTAGCTCTCAATACCCACAACCAGAGAATTTTAGAGGTGGAAGAGATCTTGCTTATTATACGTTCAATCCTGCTTAAGAATTCCTGCTACAGTATCTCTTCCAAGTGGACTGAAACAGGGTCTGTTATCTACAAACCACTGGCGATGGGAACTCACTACTTCCCAAGAAGTAAGGTGTATCTTCCATCTCAGTGGCTCTACTAGTTAAACACTCACTTCGTAATGGGACCAAAACCCCTTGGTGATCTTTTGTCCATTCATTCTTTTGCACAAGTCTAGCCATTTTCCCTTGTGGCAACCTTCCTTTCACACCCCATCATGCCTATTTCCTGGGAAGAATCTGCTTTCCAGATTCTTCCAACAATTCTAGAGCCTTTACTACTTTGAATTCCAACAACCATCACTGGGCCTCCACTATATGCAAAGCATGTGGCTTTCATGGATGTTATGCATTCCCAAAGGGAAAAAAAGATGTGCAGAGTCATTGCAGCTCACAGCTGAGCTATGGGCTGTGAGACACACAAAAGAGTAGTGAAACAGACTTGAGCATCAACCGGCAGGATGGAGACTCACCAGGAGGGATTACATCACAATCACACAGGGAACCACTGTCACTTTAATCATTTATCACCTGACTAGTTCCTCTCTGTGATGTGGAAATTGTATCCTCAACTGCCAGTTTACCTAATGATTAGAAAAGTATAGGGAAAATAGAAAGGAGGGAAGGGCAGGATCCAATCACCAAAGCAAAATTGGGACAAGCTAATGTATTTCTGCCAAGATTGGTAGAAACAAGCACAGATCTATTTCCTTTGAGCTGCTTTTTATGAAATGGTACTGGGCTGGCATTTCCTTCTCACAAGATTTGCTGTAGAAATCGTAACTGTTAGAGTGGGAAGGAAATTTGAGATCATCTTGTCTAAAGCTCCCATTTGACAGATGGAGAAACGGAGGAGCAGACTGGTTAAATGACTTGAAGTGGTGGCAAAGCTGGACTACAGCTGAAGTCATCAGGTTCCTAGTCAGTCCAGTGCTCCAGCCACTCTACAATGCTGCTACTAAGACAGGCGTTCATAAAAATCACTTGTTCCCATTTGACTTGAGGACTTACACTCATTGTTGCGTTAATCTCTGCCACCGTTTCTTCATCAGTGGGAAACTGATATATCTGGACCCCATTGCTGACCAGTTCACTCATGATCTTACTCTTGAATTTGTGCAGTTCATTCTTGGCAATGGTGTCAGCTTTTGCAATTATTGGAATGATGTTCACCTGTAAAACAGACACGTCCATTTTTACACAATTCCAACATAAGAAAAATAGACAAGTGAATAAAACATAGCAAACAAATAAAAATTGCAAAACCTTACTGTAAAAAATAAAGATGTTTCCTACTTATATCAAAACATCTCATGTACCCCATAAATATATACGCCTCCTATGTACCTACAATTTTTTTTTTTTTTGGGGTAGAGATGATAATGAAAATCAGACTTTCTACCTAGGTGAAAAATTAAGAAGACCTGAGATAAACTTTTAGTTCCATATTCAAACACTTTTACTTCCTCCCATCCTGCACTGAAAGTATACTTGTAATTTCCTCTCCTATGCTACCTCATTTTTCTTTACAGAGTAAAGGAAGTGTTACTCTTCTATGACAAATAGTGATAACAAAGGAACTTATTCTTTGAATGACCAACCACTCCTTTTAGACCCCTCCCATCTACTTTAGGCTCTTGAGTTCGCACCTCCTAACAGTATAACAGCAAAGTTTTTGTAAGAGCAGTGGAGTATTCAGTTCTATGCAGCCCAACATCCTTTCTTTCTTCTGATGACCTGAAAATTGCTGAGAGGAGAACCTATGTATTAGCCAAAACAAAAATGGTGTTGCCCACTGTAAAATTTTTCAAAATCACACCAACTAATTCTTTTGAAAATCAGTAATTCCATCAAATTACTCCTTCATGCCAGAATAAAATCGAGCGCCAAAGGCAAGGCTCACTTTCACAGCATCAGTTACAAAGAACAGGGGAGAACTCAGAATTTGACATTAGTGGCAGGAAGCCCAGAAAGGGAGCCAAGGATACCCCAGAGCACAACTTCCAAACCCCATGTGGACATTCTTTCCCCGGCTGCCCCCAGCCCTGTGCACAGGACACATTTCTTAAATTCGCATTTTAAGATTAACTTTCCCCTAATCCCTGTAAACACAGGTTTCAATAAGACGTTACTGACATCCGATATATAGAACTATGATCTTCACCCAGTTCAGGTGAGAGAAAACAGACTCGGTAAGGAAGCTGTCCTAGCCAGGGAACAGAGAGTCTTTCGGGAGGTGTTCAGGTCCCATCTGCATGCCTTTGCTTCTCCTTTTATCCAAAGGCCAAATTAGAAATCCTGATAAACCCGAATGAGATGACATGCTGAGAGAAAGACCTATTCTTCAACCTATTCCTCAACCTGCTCCTAAGCTCACCATGCTTGGGCTTCCTCCAGCAAGTTGCAGACTAAGAAAAACATCATTGATGGTGGGGGAAATGTTTGGATCAGGACCAGAGGAACAAGAAACTTCCTATTGTTCTTATTGGCTATCTTTGATACACATTTAGTATTTAATTAATGTCAACATAGACAAAATGGCAGAGATTCACTCTTTCTTGGCCAAATTGATCAGAGGAGATAGAGAAATCAAGCAATTTAGTTTTAAAACCTCTTTTTCCTCACTAGCCGGACTTGAAAGTCTTTTCTGAAATGACCATACATTTGCTTAACCCTTCCCTTTACTTGTATAAATAAAACTTTGATATTATCATTTTCAGATGCTAGCTAGCTCTCCAACTCTCCAACAATATCACTTCTTTGAAAGTTTAACCTGCTTTATGGTTGACTGTTTGCTTTTATTAGTTGTGCCTGTTTTGCCTTTTTCTTTTCCGTTTTCAATGAACTCTATTAAACATAATAATAGTGTTGGATATTATCCGGCTGGGTCTGCATACTCAGCCCTCGATTAGGAAGCCTCCTCACTCTACTTCCTTCAGAATGTCTGTGGAGAATGGGGCACTCTTGAGAACAGGGAGGTCTGCCCCTGCTTCCAAGGACACAACAGACCCGGAAGCGGCCCTCACTGCCCGTGATCTCTCCACTATCATGGCTAATGGCACAGCTCCCAGGGAGCTGAGGAATCAGATGGGATGAAGGAGGGTTTCTATTTATTCTGCGAAGAGTACTCTAGCTGCAGTGATCCTTCCAGGCCATTAGAAGATTTTTCTGTAAACTACTGTGTCTGTGCCTGCTGGAAGCCAAAGGAGCCTGGCTTGGCTTCAGCCTCTCCAGCCCTTTAAAGGACAGTTGAGACAGAGGCCTTGGGGACAGGCTGATCTTCTGAGCATTCTCTCACTGTTTTGTCCCTCTGGAGAGACAGCATCTTTATCAGTGTTGTTTAGATAAAATCATAGTAACAACACCCAGCAGAGTCCTCTAAAGAGCTTTATCATCTGATAAGACTTTTCTGTGAATGCAAAAGGGGTTTTGAATCTAACGGTAAATACCATCCACAGCTTAGTTTTGTGGTTGTTCTTGTTGCCATTTGTTTCATCCTTATTTCAGAATGTATTGTCTTCTATTTATTTCAAAATGGAAAGTCTAATTAATATATAGTAAGGTGCAAAATTTTATCAAACTTACCAGTCTCTTCCTTCATGTGTTGTGAAAAAGAGAAGGTATAAATGTGGCAAGCTCAGGGATCACACTGAAATTAAGACTTTGCTTTACTTGAACACACATGTGCAGTTCAGTTTTAAAATTGAAGAAGCTGGACCATTATCATCACAGAGACAAAAATTTAACCTTTTATTCCATTGTAAACTTTGAATTAAAACCAAACCTCTAAACACCTTTTAGAGAAAGTTTTTTTTTTTAAGAAAGTAAACAAACCTGGAAGTTATATTTCAACCTCCCATTTAAGAATTAAAAATACTTCCTGGAAAGCAACTTGACTTTTTTTTTTTTTTTTGCTAGTTTTGTTTTGTTTTATTTTATTTTTGTCTAACAGGCAAGAGGTTTTGAAGCGTTTTTCTCATGCTGTCAAACACTGTTCCTGTAATCCAGGAAAAAAAAAATCACACTGAAAGCAGAGAACAAATTAGGGCATTAGGATAAAGAAGATCTAAAAGGAGAGTGGATGATAATCAGAATGGCAGCAAGTACCTTACTGTCCAGCTTTTTCATGGTGACCAGATCCAGGGACTTTAGTGAATGTCCAGTAGGGGCAATAAAGTAGAGGCAGGCATGGATCCTCGTGTCATGGTAGTTGAAGAGAGAACGTTTAATCTTCAATTCCTCTTGCAGGTAGGCCTCGAACTGGGCATCAATATATTCTACTATCGGCTTATAGCTAGAATGCAGAAACAGCATGTTTCTAGTCTCAAACCTCTTTCACAGGACAATCCTCCATTCAACATCACAATGGCTTCTTCTCTCCTAAGGGCTAAAGCCCAAGTCCTTACCTAGGTATCCAGGCCTTCCATCACCTGATCCCTGAACAGCGCTCCAGGCTCACCTCTCCTGTCCCAGCCACGCCCAATCATTTGTAGCAGCCCGCCCCCCACCCATGTCAAGCCCTTATTTCCTCTGTGTCTTTGCTCACGCTGGCCCCTCTGCGAGAAACCTGTCTTTTTCCTACTCTTCTCCTGGCTAACATTCATCCTCTAAAACAGAGACTGTACATACGTGGAGCTGACTGCCACTCCCCCAAGGGGTATCCGTGGAAGATATTGCTAAGAGACTGTGGCATTCTTTCCTGCTGGGCCAAAACTGGGCCTCAAAAATCCATCTCAGAAAAGTGACTGTGATAGCCTCTCCCTACTGATTGCCACTGGTGCACAAAATGAAACTGGTGTGTGGTTTCAGGATATGACACCACCACCTACTGCGAGCTATTCCCTGGTCATCTGCCCTATTCCTCCAGAGATGGGGGCTGTCTGTGCTCCCATAGCCCTGTGCATAATCCATAACTCATCTAGGAACTGAGGCGCCTAGACTATTATGATCTTCAAGATTCCTTTCAACTCAAAATCTTCATGATTTAAAGGTAAATGTCGTAACCCTCTCTTCTCACCAAATCATTCAAATCTGTTTTGGATAATTATGTGTAATCCTATTAACTGACCATAAACACAATGACTAATAGCATATTGGGGATACACATTCCATAAACCACATGTCCAGGAAGTAAGTAGTATATTAGGTCATTGTGGGAAACCCACTAATTCTTTCTGGTCTCCAAAGGGACTACTCAGAAGAAGTTCGTTTTAGCAACAAAGAGACTGTTCTATTAGGAATACGAAGAGTTAATTCTCCCCAAACTTTATTGCCTTTCCGAAGATACAAGTTTTAAGAAAAATAAAAACCTTTCAACACCCAAATCCCATACCCATAAGTTAAACTGAAACCCTTGAAAGGGAACCACAAATCTTTTATAATAAAAATGACGCAGACATCCTAAGAAAAACAAACATCCCCAAAATAAACAATAACAACAAACAAACTTATGAGCAAAACTGAAAGCAGTCATAAAAAGCTTTTTGATATTTTTCTTTGGTGATTTTATCACAATATATTGGTTCAATTAGAGTAGACAAAATCTCTAGAGGCTTTAAAAAAAAAAAAAAGGTAGGATGTACCTCAGCAATAATAAAGTTCCAAATCATGACAGGCAAAATTCCAATAAGAAGAATGAATGAGCAATAAGATTCTTCTATATTTTCTAATCTTGAAATATAGACATATATTGCATAATAATAATAATATTTAATGAGATAGTTATAGAGGATGGTGGTTAGAAACATGGATTCAAGCCTAAAACCATAATACAGCCGCACAACTTACTAGCTGCACAGCCTTAAGCAAGTCACTAAACCTCTCTGTGTCTCAATTTCCTCACAGGTAAATCAGAGACAAAAATAGTAGTTCTATCAGAGAGCTATTGTGACAAATAAATGAGCCAATACATGCAATACATGTAAAGGGCTGGCACATAAAAGTCAGATATAACTATTTCATAATTATATAATAAACAACCACCACTATAGAATCAAGCCTGACTTTTTAGAAAAACCTAAGGAAAAAAAAAGGAACTTTACATTCACCCAGTTCTCTGCTGGTTATCTGTTCTGCTATGGAGCTCATGTCCAGTAGGGAAGTAGAGCAAGCCACTCCAGTGAGGTCCACCCATGCCCTTTGCCCTTTGAGTCTGGGGCTGATCCTTCTGTCTCCTGACACTGAGGCAGATTTGGGGATTAGGGCTCTTCCCCAGCAGCCTCTTATCCCAAAGGGTAAGAGAAGCAGCTCACAGCAATTGCTCCCCTGCCTCCCCTGTGTCTGATTTTTAGCTTTTAGCACCTCCTCCTCTCAATAGTAGTCCAAATATGGTTCTGTTTTCTATTAGTTTCCCTTCTTGCCTCTGGTTTTGATTCTGATCCTCCAAAGATAATGAGAAGCATAACAACACTCATTTTGCAGTGAGGAATGCTTTCCCCACTGGATTCAAGATATCTTTTGTTCTCTAATATCTCAGGCTTCCTTCTACCTGTTCTTATTAGAGAGTCCTGGCCAATCATTCAGTCTCCCTTCTTTTCACTCTATGTATTCCCTCTAGAAAATCATACTCATTCCTGTGTTCCACTCACCATCTATCTGATGACAAGTCATAAATCTCTACCTCCAACCCAGATCTTTCCTCTGAGCTTCAGACCCATCCACAATTGGTTATCCTATATTTTCAACTGCTTCTCCAACTAAATATGTCCAAAACTGAACTATTCATCCTGCCTTCAAACCCTCACTTTCCCTGTATTCCTTAGCATGGTGGGCCACCACCCACACCACTGGCCAAGTCAGAAACCTGGGATTCAACCTGGAGCCTCCTTCTCTTATGTCATACACATAATAAATATGAAATCCCATCTACTTTACCTTCCATACCATTATTAACCAATAAAAAGAAATGTATTCCTGGACAACAATTTACCAAAACCACTATTCCCTATGTCAAAGATTTAATTATGCTGATGAAATAATTTCTTCTTGATGAGACTCAAGCCAGCCAAGTGGTTTTGTACTCCTCATCATCATCCTGTAGATGAGATGAATTATCTGCCTCTTCCTCCAAATCCTTTCCACTTCTCCATCTAAAGTGAGAAAGATAGGAAGCTTAATCCCAACTTAGCCTTTTGCTAGCCCCATTCCTACTAACACTTATTTATATTTTTTTTGCCAATTAAAACTTCCCTGAATTGTGGCCATATCAATCAGAGGAAAGACAGGAGGACAAATCCAATCTAGCCCTTACGTTTTCACATCATTTTCTTTTAAGGCATGGAGATATTCCTTGTTACACAGCACTCATTTTTTTTTCCATATACCTCCAGCCATAAAACATACACACACACAAAAATGACAGAGGCTAACCCTAAAACCGATGGAAAAAGATACTTAGACAATGTGATCCATCCATCCAACCTACCCACTGATCATTCTTGCAAAATGGCCAATGCCATCATTCAGGGACTGACTTTCCACTTCATATACGACCAAATACTTACCATGTTTTTCCCTTATCTTGCTGTCTGTTAGCCAATTTTCCTTATCCCTTGACTACCTCCACCAGAAAGTGTGATTAAAAACTTAAAATTTAAAGGCCAAACAGTCCATCTCACTACTGTTTTATAACTCTGATAAAGATTTGGTGAGGTTGAAATTCCGTCTCAGGGGATTTCAATTATCTCTGCCTTTGAGGGCTAACTATCATTACAGCTAGTGATACGCCATGGACAGCTCACCTCCCATCTCCCCAGTGTGGGGCAAACTAATTATTCTATTTCCAATTGAACAACAAAACTTGCTTTCCCTTCTTCCCCAGGCCCCTTTCTTTCTCCACTGAAGAGTACAAACAGCCAAAACAAGGAAGCCCTTAAATAACAAAGAGTGAAATGTGCTTTTAAACATAACAGGAAACCTTACCAGATCTCTCTTCCTGCCTCCTTCTAGCTAGCCTGGTCTGAGGCAGATAATAATACAGGAATGTTGACATGTCCAAAGCCTACATAAACAAACTGGGACATTCTTGAAGTCTTGCATCTATGGCAGAAAAGCTTGCCTAATCCCCAAAGTAGGTAAAAATCAACATGGGCATAGAGAAATACCACATCCCTTTCCATATGGTTATATATTGATGCAGAAATGAATATCCCACTTCCAGTTTCTTGAGGGAGGCAGAGCCTGTCCAGATAACAATTTGTGAACAAGTAATTTGGCTTTACAGTCAACAGTGTCAACAATACCTTCTGAGGCACAGGGTAACAGAGAGTTTTAAGTGCCATTTAAAGAGGTTATGCAATAGCTGTCAAGAAATTTCAGAGGAAAAAAAATATTTGGTATCTAGGTTAAGTTAATATCACACTTCCTCTCTTCTAAATCTCCTTGGAAACTATTATTTGACCCAAATGAGTCAGATAATTTCTTAAGGAGGGCTCCAGCTGCAAATATGAGGATATGCATTGTGCTAACTGTTTGCTGCTGAGTGCTGATTGGGGAGTGAAAAGCCACCAGCAGCCCGAGGGAAAGTCCCAGTTTAGGGGAGAGGCAAAAATTGAGTGGCAGCACTGTGGCAACCCCAGTGAGCTGGAAGAGCACAGGGAATCTCAGCAAGAGGCTATGTGGAGGATGGTTCTCATTCCTTGGGGGAGGGATCCTGAAAAAGTACAGTTGCTGTCTTCCAATCAAGGAATGGACAAGCAAGATTTTTCCTAACGCCAGTGAGAAAATCTATACCAGTCTGAGAGATGGAGAACAGGCCTTGCTCTGGGTATATTCTGTGAGTATGCAATGATTGAAACCCCCGGCTCTCTTCCCAGCTCCCACAATGCACTTGTGCCCCTTTCCTTATGACCAGGCCTTTCTCTTCATTTACTGCTCTTGGCATTACAAACAGCCTTCAGGCAGGGGCCTCTCCATCATTCCCTGTCATTGAGGTCATATATTAAGAGCAACTGCTCAGCTGCAGTGTCAGAGCTGAACTTGTTCCCTGCCCCAGCACAATGTACAGATAGTCCATTTTGGTATGCAAAATAAAATCTTTCTCACTCTATCTACCAATTGTTCCTGTTATCACGGGACAATGTCTACTGAAGAGCATTTAAAGTGCTTTGTAGATAAAATAAAGAGCTTGGTGCTCAGCTAAAGAATGAATTAAACATTTATCTGTCATTACTGTGGTGCTCATACTTATATCAGGCATAGATAAAATATATCTAGGCATTTCTAGATAAAAATAGTCGAGTTCCTCTTTACAAAACACATGTGTATAATATACAGTTTTGAGGAATATGGGGAAAAAATCCTGATACAAGCAAAGTGTCTGAGCTGTAAGCAAACACACCCTAACTTACTGATTTGTTGTTCATGTCTACATGTTGGTCACACTAAGCAGGTAGACACTTATGCCCATAATGTTGTAACTGCTCAAAGATGTTTCTGGAAGCCCCATTCTACAATCACCTTTGGACCTGGGGCAGTTTTATTTTAACTTTCTCAAACTTCTTTTGAGAATGAATGTACTATGTAAAATAGTCATAAGACATCTGAGGTTGAGACTGATGAACAGAATTGGTGCTCTTGAGAAGGAATGTGAACAAAATCCTGAGACTAAGACTAACATGGGTTGTATGCCACGAAATTTTAAGAATTGAAAACTTCCCTCAAATAAGGGCAAAAGATAACTCATGGTAAAGACCCAAACTTACATGGTTTATAAATGGGGTACATTATAAAAACTCAGTGTACTATTTTATCATTATATAGCAAGCCATGGTGAAGGCATTTGATTACCTGGGGCAGATTTGGTGGAGCTTCTAGAGACCTCCCCTCTAGTGTCCTGGCTTCCCAAGCAGTATGAAGTGATTGATGGCTGGGGTTTCTGCTAAAACTGTTCTGTAGGGTGGCTGGGTGTTTCTCTAGATTGCTTTTCCTGGTAGGAAAGCCCCAAACCTGGTTTCATGGCCTTTGTGGAAAGATGTTGTAAGCTAATTTAGTCCCTCTAATAAAGCCCCTTTCTGATCCTACTAGCTGGGATCAATTTTGATGTCTGATTCTGACCTCAAGGAAGAATATTCTCAGAAAAATTCTCAGAGGACAAGAATATCACACCTTTTAGGCAATAGAGGACCAAGCCCCACAACTAAAAAATCCCCAAAACATTTGGCCTTTAAATTTACCTGGGATGGATCCTGCTATCTCCTCATCCATTCATGTCCCCCCAAAATCCCAAGATGTACCTGTCATCTTTATTTATCTGGTCTCCAAATCCCACGGTGTCAACAATGGTTAACTTCAGCCGTACATTGCTTTCCTGAAGCTCATAACTTCTGGCTTTTAACCGAACACCTGGTTCATTGTGAGTAGCTGGGTCACTTTCAAATTTGGTGTTGAACAAAGTGTCCATTAACGTGGATTTGCCAATGCCTGTCTCACCTACATAACCACAAAAGAAAAATCAGAGAATGTGTCAATGTCTCTCAGACATCAGTTCAATTCATCAGTATTTTTTATTAGTCATGATTATAAAGTTTAAAAAAGAAAAACTGTCACCAGAAATGTCACTGTGAAGAGATAATTCTTTCTATGTGTAATCTATGGAATACCTTCCTAAAAATGCCTCAATGAATTTCAGAAACTATTTAGCAGAGAGATTTCAAATTTACAGATCAAGAGATTCTTCTTTACCTCTGAATAGAAAAATTGTACTTGTAAGATTGCCTGTGCTCAGTTTGTATATTACAAGAACAAGAACATGAACTTTGTCTCTTTCTCTCCTAAATGTTAGAGTATAAATCTATATTACTTAAGGGATAAAAGACTATACTGTTGAATTTCTGTTACTTGAAACAAGTGATTCCATTTACACTGAATTACCTAAAAGATCAGTTAATTCAACATCAATATGATACCATGTCGTAGAAAAGAATTACATTATTCAAAATAACACTCTTGATGACAATAATCACTAACATCACTGAGTGCTCACTTTGTGCCAACCCCGGTGGCAAGAGCTTCTAGTGCATTATCTCTTTTATGTATGTATGTATATATGTATTTATTTATTCAAT
The DNA here is from genome assembly GCF_000001405.40 of Homo sapiens. Classification (NCBI taxonomy): domain Eukaryota; kingdom Metazoa; phylum Chordata; class Mammalia; order Primates; family Hominidae; genus Homo; species Homo sapiens. Next base: position 77,004,965 of record NC_000004.12, on the reverse strand, counting down.
TTTGAGACAGAGTCTCGCTCTGTCCCCCAGGCTGGAGTACAGTGGCGCGATCTCGGCTCACTGCAACCTTCATCTCCTGGATTCAAGTGATCCTCCCAGATCAGCCTCCTGAGAAGCTAGGATTACAGGCACATGTCACCACACCTGGCTAATTTTTGTATTTTTAGTAGAGACGGGGTTTCACCATGTTGGCTGAGCTGGTCTTGAACTCCTGACCTCAAATAGTCCACCTGCCTCAGCCTCCTAAAGTGCTGGGATTACAGGCATGAGCCACCACGCCCGGCTACATTATCTCATTTAAACCCTAGTACTACTCCCATGAAATAGGTACTACTGTTTCCTCCATGTTCAAGATGGAACACTAGGCTTAGATAAGATTTATGAGTAACTTGCCTGAAGTCATTGCTAAGTGGTGGAACCAGGGTTCTAACTCAAGTCTGTATGGTTCCAACACCTGCACTCAACCAAGACAGCAGCCTGATTTTACTATTACACAGAAAACTGACTGCCTAACATTTTCCAGTTATGGTTATATTAATCTCTCCATATTGTTTTTATTTTTCTTTATCCAGCTGGAGTCAAGAAGCCAAACATTTGTGGCTTCTTAGATAGTTTTCCCAGCTTCAGTGTGAAGTTTGTGACAATGAAAGTAAATGATGTCAAATGACCTTATTTACACTGATAATTCAACTCAGTAAGTGTTTACTGAGATCTCCCATGTGCAAAGCAGAGTAGCAGGTATCTGTAACCACTGTACCAATCACATGATGACACCCAAATGTGGGGCTATGAAGAACTGCAGCCCAACCCTCAAAATAACACCAAGCAAATTCTCTCTTAATTCTAATTCTTATTGTTGAGTCAAAGACAGTTGGCAATGAGAAAAAAACAGCCTTATGTTCGTGGTGGTGGTGGCTGAGCATATGATGATGGAGAGAAGCAGGTAGAAATCTAGAAACATTAGCCCTAGGGATACCTTTTTTCTTTCTTAATCTGGAAAATTTTTCAATTAGATTTCCAGCTCAATTTAAACTTGCCAATATAGAACAGCCCTTTCAACTACTTCTAATCCCAATATGTTCCTAGGAGCATCCCCTCTTCTAAGGACTGCTATAATGACTTTAAGGATGGTAGTGTTCTATGGAAAAAAGAAAAGCTCTGGGCAACCCTCCCACTATAATGACAAAATCTACTTACTAGTTATAAATTCTGTATTGTATACTCATTGCTTTCTAACATAATACAAAAGTGAAGGAGGATGAAGTCTTTCTGGATTTGAGCTTTCTCTGATTAGAAAAGCCTTATATGGCTTGCCTGTAACTATGATGATTCACTTATAGGATAAAAGTTGGTCAAGTATATTCATCTTACTCTTTAACCTTTCCTGTGTGTCCCTGAACATCTAAGATCACAGAATTTCCTCTTTAGTCAACCATCATTCAGCCAGTATTTTTCCAGTGCCTACTATATACAAGTTCTGTGCCAAGTTCTGAGAATTCAAGAAACTAGCCTGATAGGGTGTTCTCCCACATCTTAGAATCTGGTCTAGAACATGACTGAATAATACCAGTCAGACTCTAATTTATAATTATGGGAACACCATTCTAAGTGTTTGTCATAACCGCTTTCCTCTTATAAGCAAGACCATCCTTTACATCCATGGCCCTGCTAGTTGGCCACAGACAACCAGACCATGGCTAGGTCCCTGACCTCAAGGCAACAACAGAAGCCCAATCATTTCACTATGAGCTGGGGCTCCACATTGGAGAGTGGTCTATCTAATCACAGTTTTTCTCTTTGGGTATTTGAATGAGATACATGCAATCCCCACACAGCGTGATGGCATGAAAAAGAAACAATATACAAAGAGAGGTAAGTAAGCAGAAACCATGAGGCAGCAAAGGCTGTGTAAGTAAACAGAAGCCATGCTGCAGACAGAATGTAGGCTGGGAATACAGGAAAGAGCAGATAGATGGGGTAGAGCATCGGAAATCCATCATGAAATTAATGCTTGGGCGCTCACTGTGTGACAAGCATAGGTGCAGGGATGAAGTAATGAATAAAAACAGACACTGACACTGTTTGCACGTTTGTAACATCCTGAATGTCATTCCAGATCTCTATGGGGTCTGGCTGTGCAGCAGTTGAGACGGTTTCCTGTCTTCCTTACTTTCCTGAATAGTCTTACAAAAAAAAAAACCCTCCATAAAAGCAATATAAAACCAGTCTCTGCTCCCTAACCTGAAAGAGTTTAACAAGTTCACACTCACCATTCATGGCTTAACAAATTAACTTTGAGCAAAACAAAGTTACTGTGTAGTGGATACAGAAATAAAACAGAGTTCTCACTGCTAGTCAATACCGAAGGTACTTGAGTCATTTTAAGTACATGCTACAAGTGTAACATTCTCAAGCAGAGCCAACTTCTTTTCAGGATTTACCTATTTTTAGAACACAAAAGGCACAGAAGCAGATCTGCCCTATAAAAGTTTCTCCTTCATGGGAAAGGCTCTGTCAGTAGAAAGTGACCTACTTAACTTTCATCTTCTTCCCTAAGAATAGCAATAAAGACTTCAATTACATGGCAAGCATTCCAGGTTACCTGGACAAGACTGAAATTATCATCTTATTTTACTAGGTTGAAAATTGCTTAAGCACCCATGTGAATCAGGAACACCATACTTTTTAAAGGCATGGTAATTTTAATTATCATTTACATTAAGGTGGAAATTACAAACAATTAGCATACCAGGCCCTACTTACAGCACAGGGTTAATCAATGGGTTGAAAAAAACCACTGTTCCTCTAAACTTTGGTGTGCTTTGCTTTCCATTTCTATGGTCTGTGCTTTTAAGAGCTGTAATTAGACACGGCAACTCCAGCAGCAGTGTGATTCACCAAAAGCAGTTCAGCAGGAAATGACAGCTTTTGGAATAAAAGGAACTCTAGAAGAACTAGGGAAGTTTTTCAATGCATTAGCTTTTTTTCTTTAACAGACAGGGTCTCACTGTGTTCCCCATGCTAGTCTCAGACTCCTGGGCTCAAGCAATTCTCCTGCCTTGGCCTCCTGAAGCACTGGGATTAGTTTTTGAGGCTTCTCTCTAATCTTTGTAAGCGGAATCTCATCTATATTTTTGAGGACCCATAAGACAAAAATTTCTTTCTAACTGAATAACTAAAAGCCTACTAGGCATAGGTTCCAATTCAAACCAAACAACCATAACAATATTTTCAGAAAAGTCAATGACTAAAGTATTTCAAAACTCCCTAGCAGAATGCCTGGCACAAAGGAGACATTTATTAAAAGTTAATTGCAGGCCAGGCACGGTGGCTCACGCCTGTAATCTCAACACTCTGGGAGGCTGAGGCAGGCGGATCACCTGAGGTCAGGAGTTCGAGACCATCCTGGCCAACATGGTGAAACCCCGTCTCTACTAAAAATACAAAAATTAGCCAGGTGTGGTGGTGGGCACCTGTAATCCCAGCTACTTGGAAGGCTGAGGCAGAAGAATCCGTTGAACCTGGGAGGCGGAGGTTGCAGTCAGTGGAGATTGAACCACTGCACTCCAGCCTGGGCGACAGAGTGAGAGACTCCATCTTTAAAAAAAAAAAAAAGTTAATTGAAAACAAAAATGATCATGGTGATGATTTATACAGAGATATGCCACTGTGATAGATTTTTTTCAGAGTTTGTTGTTTATTTTATCATAAATTCATCTGCCTAAACACTCTATTGCTACAGTAATTAGAGACCTTATTAAAGTGCTATCTGGGACTTCTGTTTTTCCTATTCCTGCCAATGCTAGTAAACATGATGCCCACATCACAGGGGAAAGCAGTCCTACCTTTTCCATTCTATCCTCAGGCTTATTTAACCTACGAGCTCTAAGGTGAACAAGGCGGGGGAAAAACAGAGGGATTGTATTATTAATTAGAAGGTAACGGTAGATTGAACAAATTGTTGATCTGTGATTCAGCATCTTTCACTCTAATTGCCAAGACTGGCTACTTGAGTAAGTAACTGTGCATGGGGATCTGCCTGCCTTCCCTAATTATTCTAGATTTTACTCTTGGATGGAATCAGAGAGTCAGAAAGCTACATACCTAAGTTGCGTTGTTCTTGTTCCTCATAGAATCACCTTTGATGAAACATACTCCGGCATAAGATGAGCCAGCGTGTGGCACCTGGCATTTCATTAAACAATTGCACTGACTTAGAGGATGCCCAGGAACCCAGACCACTACATACACCAAATCTCTTTTCTGAAAATCCATGGAGAAATTTTTCCAGGTAAAGCTGTGTTTCATCTGGAGCAATCATTTTGTTTTTACTTTATAGATACTATAAATCTGTCGTATGTTAAACTTTTTGCTTGTGTTTAGCATATAACACATGCTCACTAAATATCTGCTAATGAATGAGTGAATTAATAAATTTTCTCCATGCTCTGACCACTAAGCTGAGAGAAAAATGTAATACTTCATCAATTAATTGCTATAGGCAGGCCTGATGGCACACTTTGAGTACTGACTCTATCCCTGGCTTCACCTTTATTTTCTGGGGTTAATTTTATCTTCATTCGTTTTACCCTATAAGCCATTTACATCCTTTCCTGGAAAAACAAGACGGGATAAAAATGTTTAAGATTTGATTATAAATTTCCACAATTTATGTTGACACTATAGCCTTGGCTAAGATGGCCTTACACTTACCTGTTTTCAATTCCTGTTCTCTCATCCCCTCAAAACAATTAAGGTTGAATTGTGGACAAATTTTCTATTTCAAAATGTATTACTAATTTACTTTGACTCTACTATCAAACTGGTTCTTCTTCAAAAGCAGAGATGTTACAGTATCTTATTTTCACCTTTGTATGTTTACAAGACAGCTGGATCAATGTGGATGAGGTTTTTTCGTAGAGTTAGTATCATTTTGGAAAATGGATGAGAAAGACATACAAATTTAAAATTATGAAAAAAGGCTAAATGCTAATTTAGATCTAATTTAGATTCTCTGGAGAATTACAGCATGGGTAAAATATGAAAGGCTTTATTTAAACTAAAATGTGGCTTCAGGAGTGATTTAGGTGTGTTGTAGCAAAACAGAGAGAAGGGGAATGATGAACTCCTGGGTGTTCTGTTATCTCATTTAACATCAGAATTCTCTTCCCAGTGAAATGAAAACTATTCTTCCTCTATTACATGCCTTCCCAGGACCAACAGAGATGGGTTCTAGCAGCATACATTTAATTCATTATCTCTGAAACTAGACTTAGTTCATGCCAGGACCATTTTCTGCCCTGTTTTATTTCCTCTGCTTTCTTTCAACCTACAGGTTCACGCCACAAAACAAAATTACAATTCTGAGACATTTTTGGTAAAAATTTTCCTTACCGGGATCATAATTTTATTTTTTTTATCCTTAATTCCCTCCCATATTTACCACAAAAATGTAAATTCACGCTATAAATATCACACATGTGCATACTGTGCAAAAAAATACAAATGGGCAGTAAGAGGAAGGGAGTAAGTAAGGAGGAAAAGTTACCATGGATGCTGTTAAGTTAAATATAACACCTCCTCCTCTACGAGGCCGTCCAAATATTTTGATCTACTTTTTATAGACTCTTATTTTAAAAATAGATGGACCATTGATTGACAGTAAGTTTTTTCTTATAAAGATATTATGCTATAAAATATGTATGGCAACGGGATTTGATATTCAACTCTCTGAGGATGATATTTAATGCTGACACTCCTATCTCCCAAAGAGCTCACGCTGGCCCCAAACAAGGGGCTCCAAAGGGTTATGGAAAACGACCTGGAGAGTTAGATATGCTGACAACGAAGGATATCCAGGATTCCTTGTGGAGCGAAAAAAGGAAAATGCACAGGATGAACAACATGATCTCATTTGTGTAAAAGCAAAACAAGAAAGCACCTATGTAACTGTGAGAAAGCTGTTTTTATCTGTCCAGTGTGTCTCTCTCCCAAGCCCTATCTCCTTTCTGATCCTGTCTTCTTGCCTATGGGGAACCTTGTATGTTTTGGAGTGAACTGACTCCATCTTCCCCCCAGGCTGAGCATGTAACTAAGTCCTGGCCAATCAGTGAAATCCTGACTGTTTGGTGAGACGTGTCAGGAATGCCTTGTTCCTTCCCCTGAGGTTGCTCGGCTGGTGATGCTGACAGAGCCAGACTGCTGTCATGAGGAAAATGCCTGAATGTGAAGCAAGCAGAAGCAGGATCAAGAACCACAGACAGAGGCCTGATGGGGCTCGTTGAACCCCTGCAGCCAGCTGCTCTTAATTACCCAATTCATGGTATTAGCTTTTCAGTGTGTGTTGGAGGGTGGGGGAGAGTCTTAACTGGGTTTAAGCTGTATTTCTGCAATTCTCTGTGGAAAATTTCCTGACACAAGAATACTAAAAGAGCGATGCAACGTGACTGGCTTTGAGAATGGATGGAAGGAGCCAAGAGCCAAGGAATGCAGGCAGCTTCCAGAAGCTGGAAAAGGCGCGCACTCTCCCTAAAGGTTCCAGGAAGGAATGCAGCCCTGCGGACCCATACTGGACTCCTACCTACAGAACTGTAAGCCACCAAAAGCAATTTCCTAATACAGAAAGATGTCAAAAGTTTCTAGAAGGATCCCACAGTGTTATCTCTGTGAAATGGAAATGGGGGTGGGAGATGAAAGGGAAGTGTTTTATAACATTTTAAACAACAAATATATATTATGTTCATTAGTTTGAAAAACTAATTTTAAACATGTTTAAGAATAGAACCTGACAAATATCTAAGAATCACAGGTATTGTAACCCACCCAGGAGACTCCAAATAGGGCTGCTTTACACATCTAACAGGGCAGCATCAATTTGGTCTCTGAGGAATTCAGCATCTGAATTGTCTTATTTAACACAAGGAGTCAGCCCCTCAGCCAGCACACCCCACTGCACACCACATACCCAGTTAAACCAGGATCCCACCAGAAGGCTTTCCCCTACCGTCCCCTGCAGGAGCCAGGACAGAACTCTCAGACATGTTCTTAGAGCTGATTTTGGAGACAGGGCTGGGGAGGCACTGAAGAGAAGCCAGAATAGTAATTGGCCTGCGATTACAATTTAGCATACTTTTCAATAGAAACCCAACAAATTGCCAACAAATTGCTATGCTAATGAAGAATTGCCCTGCTCTGCAATGAGCATTTATCATGAGAGAAAGGACAACCCATTCACGCCACTCTGTAGAACTAGCTGCCATTCGGGAGGTCTCCTGCTGAATTTTAAAAGGCTTCACGTAGGGAAAAGGGGAAAGCATGAGATGAGAGTTGGCTGTGTTCTCTCCAGTCTTTCTCTTATCCAGTGCTTAAGATACAATGCCAGGGAGCAAGTTGGTGTAGCGTGCCTGCCAATTGTGGCTTTCTACTAATGAATGCCCAGCACAGAGGCTACATGCAGTAGAGTCATCAAGAAGTTCAAGAAGTTTTTAAAAAAGAAAAATATCTGCACTCCCCCCAACTTCCATAACTGACAAATAAGCAAATGGTGGTTCTCACATTGAACACACACCTTTTCTAAATTCTCTTTGCTTTACTTGGACAAGAAAAGTAAGTCTGACACATTCTGCCAAGCTTAGGGAAAAGACAGTCCACTTGGCTACATACAGAATTCTTTGATCTGTCTCAAAGTGATGTCTCAGAGGGAAATGCCCAGAGGACAATGCCAACAGATCAACACAGCCCAAACCACTTCACTGCTGTTTCACCTGCCATTCATCAGGCGTGATGGGGAGAGAGAGGAACAGCCATCTGTTCCACACACACTTCTCCTTCAAACTAACAGGAAATTTATATTTTGATTTTCTTTATCCCCCTTCCTTTCCACCTTCCTCTTCTTAGTCCAAAAAGGATATGGCATACAAAAAATTAGCTGGGCATGGTGGCTACTGTAATCCCAGCTACTCAGGAGGCTGAGGCAGGAGAATTGCTTGAACCTGGGAGGCAGAGGTTGCAGTGAGCCAAGATCGCCCCACTGCACTCCAGCCTGGGCAACAGGGCAAGACTCCTCAAAAAAAAAAAAAAAAAGATATGGCTAGAGGGGTGAAGAAAAATACCAAGGCAGAGGCCTAGTCCAAAGTAAAATGTTTAAGGGATCTTAACAATATTGTAATGATCAGTTGCTTAACTGTGTGACAGAAATACTAATAGTAATTTGAGTAACATGACAAAACATACAACGCATTTACCTAAATACAGCTCTCAATCTTTATAACTTGTGACATGTATAAGGCAGATATTTTGCCTTGTTTTACTGATGAAAGAAAGAGAATAAACATGTCATTCTTATTTCACTGAAGCATGTCTCTCCGACAGTTACCTGTCAATATCTAAGGATCAAATTTCTTGCTGTGGGGTGATGAATAACTTACCAACACAAAGGATGTTGAAACAGAATCCTTGAGAAGTAGACTTGTTGACCAGCTGGTCAGGGAGGCTGTCAAATCCCACATGGCCAGACAAAGACAAGTTTCGAAGCTCTTCATTCTGCAATTTCAGGGGAGAAAGATTTGAGTGTCCATGAACCATGCCACCTGGATATCACATATCACAAACATTACATTCTTTCTTCTTCTTCCCTTGACATACATGGAAAAAGGAGACCCTCCACAGCTGCCTTGGCTTCTACACAGCTGAGGGCACTAACAACTCCAAAGCCAAGCTCTTTCCACAAAAGTCACAGTCTCCCAAAGCAGACCATCTCCCTGAGCATCTCATTCCTTGTTACAAGTGTACTGGTCCAGGGAAATTTGAGCTTCTAGAGGTGACTATTTCAGATATGCATTAAGTGACCAAAAAAACACAAAAACCTCCAGTCATTTTGATCACTTTCATTATTCAAGAAAAGCTTTCAATTTACTGTCAACTCATAGTGAAAAAATATTTAACACTCTTCCAGATACATAAAAGAACTTTGAAAAGCTCACAGTGGAGGATTCATACTCCTTACAATGATGACAATGCTCTACCTACCATAAATGCAGCATATTTAAAACTTCTCAGCACATGAGCTGGTTTCCTCTCCTCCATTAGTTTTACAGGTTTCTTGAGTCTTCTTCCCCCTCTTCACCCTGTAGCTCCTAGCACAGGCTCTGTAACTGCTGGAGTTTTGCAGAGTTTACCGATGTAGACTAGGGTAAGGTAGTTATCATACATTTTAAAATCACATAGGATATGGCTGGAAGCTAAAGTAAAATCACTGGGTGATTTATGCTGTTATATAAAATGGTACTGGCTGCCCCCACAACTTTGAATGCATCCCGTGGGTGTTGGAGATAATCTGTGAAACCTTTTTTTCTCAAGATGCAGAGATCAGCTACAGTCCCTCAGTTATAATATCATGGTTATGGTTTGCAATTTCAGAAATTAGACACTGAAAGTCTTCTCCTTGGAGACAGGACTCCTAGTGTTCTGGCTGTGTTGTCAATGAACTTTATATTCAAAATACTGGAGTCCAGGTGAGAAAATGATCCTCAAAGCTCCATTTTTATTTTTATTATTTATTATTTTTATTTTTATTATTTATTTTTTGAGATGGAGTCTCACTCTGTCGCCAGGTTGGAGTGTAGTGGCACGATCTCAGCTCACTGCAACCTCTGCCTCCTAGGTTCAAGTGATTCTAGTGCCTCAGCCTCCCGAGTAGCTGGGATTATAGGCACGCGCCACCACGCCCAGCTAATTTTTGTATGTTTAGTAGAGACAGGGTTTCACCATGTTAGCCAGGCTGGTCTTGAACTCCTGACCTCGTGATCTGCCCGCGTCGGCCTCCCAAAGTGCTGGGATTACAGGCATGAGCCACCACACCCAGCCATTTTTTTTTTTTTTTAGAGACAGGGTTGCACTGTCACTCAGGCTGGAGTGCAGTGGTGTGATCATAGCTCACTGCAGCTTCAAACTCCTGGGCTCAGCCAGCTTCAGCCTCCCAAGTAGCTGTGACTACAGGCATGTGCCACCACTCCCAGCTTCAATGTTCCATTTTATTTAAAAAAAAAAAAAAAAAAAAAAAAAAAAGCTTTGTACAGGATCACTTAGTCAATGTTTTCAAAAGACTGGTTTTCATCATCCTATTTTTATGTTACATAATCAAGAGGGTGATTTCTTTTAACAAGCAAGGACTAAGACCCCATTTCAAATGTTTGTGGTCACTATATAGGCACAGAAATGTGACTCCAGAAATGCAGTGATTTTAAAGGACTTCAATGGTTTTATTAATAATAAAATGTCTAAAGTCCATATCAGCTCTAAAATTCTGATTCTGTGAAATAAGACTAAAAGCCACCACACTGCCTGAATACCATGGTGGCAGCTGCAGATTTGAGGTCAATGGGACAGACAACAGATGTCTAGTCTATGAATAGTTTCCTTGAAACCTGCCAACAGTGAATATGAGACTCAAGAGTAGGCACTTATCCTTGACCAGGATGGCATGGTAGGCAGCTCACCAAACAGCTTCGAGGGCAGGCCCCAGTGGGCAGCAGTCCTTGTAGCTGGGCAAGCCTTCCAACAATACTGTACTTCTTCCAGCCCCAATCCTTGTACCTGCCCCTTCCTCTTTAGATACCTCAAAGGTTCAGACAGCAGGTGTTTTTAAGGTGTTTACCACATCCGCCAAGACTTGGGGGAGGAGGGTTTGAAATGAGTCCTGGGTTATTTTTAGAACTCTTTCCACCTAGCTGTGCAGTAGCTGTTGTGTATCAGGCTAGGAGAAGCCATGGCACCAGCCTTCATTTCTGCTACATCACTGACTTCAACCGTTCGTGAACGGTATGAAAGAGACAACGCAGGGCAGAACTATCATCCCACATTCCCTCTCTCCACCGCCACATAATTCTGTTAATTTCAGGGGGAGGGGAGAATGGTTTATTGCTCTGGATTCTGGATCGCTGGGTTTTTAGATACCAGATATCCACCTATGAACCAATCCTGGGAAAGAATCAGAGTTAGTAATTATAGCTCTCATCCCAGAACCCAAAGCTCAGCATCTCATATTCTCACCGTTTCCAAAACACGAGAAGCCACCCACACACCCACTAAGTATTTTTATACCCATTGAAAACCACATACAAAATGAAGGGTTATAAAACAGTTTGGTCTTGACATTTTTGAAATTTAAAGTTGTATCTTTAGAGTCTGTCTTCTAACACTGTAATATAGAATATGTAAATTTTATAATACAGTTTTTACATTTCATAATTTGAGCCTAATTCTCTGCCCAGTATTAAAGGAAACCTGAGAGTCACTGCCCATCAGTATGTGATGGGGGAAAGGGAAAAAGAAGTTCCTTCTCTGGTTTATGAACAGGCTTAAAAACTGGAGAGAACGGCACTGGAGGACATGCACAGGGCAGCTCTGAGCACCTTACCCAGTGCCTCCAGCACAGCAGCTGAACCGCATCCCTCCAGTCCAGCATTTTATAGCTCTTCCCTTAGCTACCACAAGCCAAGGATTGAGGGGTCTTTTTTGAGTCTCCAGGCCCAGTTTCAGGGAACTGCATATATTCCATGTCGTTAACACTAACACATCTGGAAACGACTCTCTGAATTTATCTCTAATATTGAACTCTGCTTGGCATCCAGTTCTGAATTTCTATCAGAGGAACACTTCTCTTGGGTTGTCCCATCTGTACTTCAAACTTGATGTTCATGAAACTGAAATCATATTCCTCTATCCCAAACTCGCCCCTTCTCCAGAGTTCCCTATTTCTGTTAACAGTACTTAGCCATGCTTGAGACCAGCTCCCCTCCCACCATCAACTCTGAAGTCTTATCAATACTACATCCTCCACATTTCTATTCCTACTAATTCAACAGCCTCCCAACTGGCCTCCCTGACTTGATCTCACCCTCTCTAATACTTCCTCCCTCCACCTTGCCATCAAGGGGATCTCGGTACTCAAGGTCCCCAATCCAAACTCCTTGGCCTGTCATTTCAGGGCCCCATGGGCTAACCTCAAGTCTCCATTCCTACTGAACCTCCCACTTCTCCCCAGGGAGCACCTTACACTGCAGTTAAATTAAATGACCACTCTTCTTGGGACAAACCCAGGTTTCTTCCCATCAGAATTTACTCACATTATTTCCTCTATGTGAAAGGCCCTTACAGCCAGTGTTTACATATCCAAATCTTCCAGATCCCAATAAAATTATACCTCCATCATTGTCTTTATTATGAAATCTTGGGGAAAATTTCACCAAACATTCTTCTGACCAATAAAAGGAAAATACTGATTGAAAAGCTGCTCAAGCTATTTGGAATTCCATCATGATAATAACAGCTAACATTTATCCCTTCCAATGCTCCAGAAAAGCCCTAATTTCTCTCTCTTAATAATTCTATAAATTAGTTACATTGTTACCCAAACTCAATTTACAGATGAGAAAACAGAGGCACCGTTTAGTAACTTGCCCAAGGTTTCCCAACTAGTAAAGTCAAGGTGCTGAAATTGGAACCCAGGAAGTCAGGTTCCAGAGTTGTCGAACATAGTCATTGCTATCTCATGAAACTGAAATTTATCTCATGAACTGAATATTAAGTTCCCAGGTAGCCCCAGACAGCATAATTATTTCAGCTGTTATAAAAATCCAATACATTAAAATAGAAGGAAAAAAATACTCTGAAACCATGATTCTCTGGCAACCTTAAGAGGTGGAAATTGAGAATTAGAACTGGCAAAGTAGCTCCAAGTATATTTTCGCTGATCCTGGCAATGCCAAGACCAAATATGATTTTTGTAGTGATGGCACATGAAACCTATAATATAATGCTTAGTTTTAACCATTTTTGAAAAGAAAGTGCCAACACAGAACCACTAAGTAAGTAACTATAAGACCTTAATTGATTTAGCCCTGCATTTGCTAATCTACCTAGTAAGGATTTGTAATTAGGTAATTTCTATAGCCCACTCCATCTTGAAATGGATTATGACTAACCTTTATGGTATAAAATAAACTTGTTTTTCACTTGACAATTTCACTTTTCTCTTTTTAGAACATATCCTCTTAGATACAATTATTTATTTGTTCATTCAAAAATACCCACTGCTCAAAGCACTAAGAAAGCTAAAATAAGTTATTTTTATAATTCATTGAAGAACACTGCAGTTCCGACCCTTAAGAGGTTTTACAATGTAGTAGTAGAGCTAGGACAGATGTAAATGTAGGACTATGAAGGATAAAAGTCATCAATACCATGGCGTCAACTACGGGAAGGCATGGAGGAGAAGTAGTTTTTGTCTAGGGAAATTCAGGGGGTACCTTTTAGGAAAGCTAAAGTTCCCCAAATCTATCAGTGAAACAAAAGCCCAGCTTGCAGAACCCTTCTGGATAAATGTTTCTATGCCCAAAAGGTCACTTTCTTATGAATGTATACCTGAAGTGTATAACTGGTAGTTTTTCAGAAAATTCCCAGCTGACTTCATTATTGAGATAATTATAAAACAAATTATGTAAGAATGTGTGCCACCACCTACATTCTGAGCGCTGCTGTAAAATATGTTCCACAATTCCAAATCTTGCTTCACCAGAGAAGGGCAGCAAAAGGCTTAGAGTCAGACAGACATGGGTTTGAATCCCAGCTTTGCTTTCTACTTGCTTTAGTCTCTATTCTGCCCTCAGTAAAAACAGGAAGAGGTGCTAGGCTCTCTCATACATATCTCCTTGGCAGGGTTGTTGGGAGGAGATAAAGAGGTATGGATGAGAGTGCCTAGCACTTAACAGGTCTTCTGAAACTTGGACTTCCTTTACCTACAGTAGTTGGGAGGAAGAGGCAACTATCATTTAAAAATCTGAAATTAATCAGAAGTTCTATTACAGCTGCTAGGCATTCCAGGAGAAGCTGCTGACCAGCAGGGCTCTCGGACATATGAATAAGGTAAAATCACAATAAAAATAAAGTGAACAGAAAGAAATAAAAAACGAGAATGATGATTCTAGCCTGAAGAAAATCCATTCCTAAAGAGAAAACTCATTTACAAAGCTGGAGGAAAAGCCACAAAATCACATTCCTGTTTGCAGAATCAGCAGTTAGCAGAATCCACATCCTCCCCAGCTGGGAAGCATTCTGGATTCCCCATCACTTTTGCTTCTGCAGTCATGCACCACTTTGTGATGAGGAAACATTCTGAGAAACATGCCAGTAGGTGATTTTGTTCTTGTGTGAACATTCTAGAGCAGTGGTCCCCAACCGTTGTGGCACCAGGGACCAGTTTGTGGAAGACCATTTTTCCACGGACAGGGTTGGTTTGGGGATGAAACCGCTCTACCTCAGATCTTTAAGCATTAGATTCTCATAAGGAACGCACAACCTAGATCTCTCCCATGCACAGTTCACAACAGGGCTCAGGCTCCTATGATAATCTAATGCCTGAAGCTGATCTGAAGGAGGCAGAACTCAGGCGGTAATGCTGACTAGCCCATCACTCGCCTCCTGCTGGCCAGCCCAGTTCCGGACAGGCCACGGACTGGTCTCAGTTGGCAGCCTGGGGATTGGGGACTCCATCCTAGAGTGTACTTGTGAGACGTGAAGCCAGCTGGCCTTCCTGGGTCGAGTGGAGACTTGGAGAACTTTTCTTACAAGAGGATTGTAAAACACACCAATCAGCACTCTGTAGCTAGCAAGAGGATTATAAAATGCACCAATCAGTGCTCTGTAAAAACACACCAATCAGTACTCTGTAGCAAAAGGATTGTAAAATGCACCAATCAGCACTCTGTAAAACGCACCAATCAGGAGGAGTCTAAAAGTAGCCAATCGCGGGGAGGATTGAAAAAAGGGCACTCTGATACAACAGAAACAGAACATGGCAGGGACAAATAAGGGAATAAAAGCTGGCCACCCAAGCCAGCAGCGGCAACCCGCTCAGGTCCCCTTCCACGCTGTGGAAGCTTTGTTCTTTTGCTCTTCACAATAAATCTTGCCGCTGCGCACTCTTTGGGTCCGTGCCACCTTTAAGAGCTGCAACACTCACCATGAAGGTCTGCGGCTTCATTCTTGAAGTCAGCAAGACCACAAACCAACCGGCAGGAACAAACTCCAGATACACTTACACAAACCTAGATGGTATAGCCTACTAGACACTTAGGATATATGGGATAGCCTATTGCTCCTTGGCTATAAACCTGTACAGAATATTACTGTACTGAATGCTGTAGGCAACTGTAACACAATGGTAAATATTTGTATATCTAAACATAGAAATGGTACAGTAAAAGTGCAGTTTTATAATCTTACAGAACCACGGTTGTATATGCGGTCCATTGTTGACTGAGAGTTTGTAAAGCAGTACATGACTGTATTTTAATCCAGCCCTGGGTCTACTGAAATTAACAAGCTCGGTGTGCCCAGATGGATTTTATTCACCATACTTAAACTGAAGTGATATCCCTTTTCTTTACTTTTAAAAATGAAGTGTTTCGGTAGATGTGGTTAGATAGGCCGTAGCCTCTGATCCTTATCAGCAGGCGGAAGCAAGACAGCATGTTACCAAGGTGATATTTGAATTGTTTAATCCAAACAAATTAAAATTACGTTTCCATTCGAAAGCAATATTTAATTTTTACCTTTAAAATCAGGTATTACAATTTAAGTTTAGAAAGATTTTTCTCTTTAAAATTTATTTTTTTTTAAATTTAAGAGATAACATTTATGTATTCAGGTGGAGAGCTGGAGATTTTTATTAACAAGACATGGTGATTACATTTTTCTCAACGCCTCAGATTATGGATAAATAAAGTATACTGATCCAAGTCACTTAATCCTCGGGCTTATGTTTCCTCCTCTGTAAAGTGAGGAGATTTAATCAAATTACCTCTAAACAAAGTCTCTGGTTCTTTGTTTTTTCTAATTCTAAGGCTTCTTAATCTGGATGTTAGAGATGCATAAATCCAATTCCGTCATTTTGCTTAAGGAAAGCCAACACAGGGTGAAAAATTCCTGGAAGCATATTTGCTCTGGCCAGATCAAGATGGCTCAAGTTTTAATTGACCCATGAAAGGGAGTTTCTATCAGTTATGCTGGGAAACTCCAAACCAAATGGAAATCTGTGTGCATAACCTCTGTGTTTTCCACCTCAACTTTTAATTTCTGCTTAACTACAATACATATGAATTAGCTAAGAAAGTTATGTACCCACTGTTTACAAATGCCCTGCTTAAAAGCAATTTCTTTTTGTTTGGCTACATCTCCAGTCATCCACGAGATTTTTGAAAAGTGGATTTATATCCTCAAAACAAAACCTAGGGCTGGGCGCAATGGCTCATGCCTATAATCCCAGCTACTTGGGAGGCTGACGCAGGAGGATCTTGCTTAAGCTCAGGAGTTAGAGGCTGCAATGAGCCAGGATTGTGCCACTGTACTCCAGCCTGGGTGACAGAGTGATATACTTTATCTCCAAAATAAAAAAACAAACAAAAAACCTAGGAAATGACTTCTCTGTATAAGTTAGTTATCTGTTCTCAAAAAGAAAAGCAAATCTTTATTCATGCTTTCATTCATTCAGCAAATATTCATCGAGTACCAGTGTGGGTAGAACACTGTGTTAAATGCTAAGGATACCATGATGAAAAAACAAAGCCTCCCCAACTCATGGAGCGTACAGGGTAATGGGGCACACAGATGTCAATCAAATAGTCACAAATACATAACCATAAAGCTATCCAAAGGACAGGATGCTGTGTAGCCTTATAACTCATGTGATTAACTACTCATTCTTTGAGTGAATTCACCAGCCTATAGTATGTAAAAATATGTATTAGTCCAAAGCACTGTTGAATATTAATTTAATAGGCGGCCCCTGTGTACAGCTGATGTGCAGGTTTCACATATTCAGATGAAAACAAATAGTCTTTCTGAGCAGCAGTACCTGATGGGAGAAGGTAGAAATATCAGAACTCAGGTTTCAAGGGAACAGATGTCCAATTTTAAAGAGAGCTGAGATGAAACCATGGGGCAGCAGAGGGCAGAGGAGACATGTACAGTACACTCCTTTGAGCTCTGTCTTTTCTCCTTACAGAATACCCACTTGGAAAAGAGAAGAAGTACATACCCCTTCATCTTAGGTCATGTCTTTTTCTGAGGTCCTATTTCAGTAGTACAGACGCCTCTGAGCTGAAGAGAGGTAAAGAAAAGAACATGCTGTCTCGCACACAAAATCTTTGACTGACCACCAGCCACCTCCCAGTATCTGGAGAAATTCTGGCCTCACGAACTGTCCGCAAAGTAAGTTTTATTTAAGTACCCTGATTAATCATTTCTGTAGATACACACTCTTATCTGACTGCATTCTAGAAAGTATTGAATTGGTTTCACATTCTCTTTTAAAAAAAGAAGGTTAATGGGAAGATGGGAAACGCCCTTAGTTCTCATGCAAAAGGGAAAACACTGGAATGCAAAGTTTTGACCCAAACCACAGCTATGAAGCCAGCATCGGGATGCTTTCAAAGCTAAGCATTGCTGGGGTAACTTTCATAATATAAAATGTCTGGACCATCTCATTACCAATGAGAATTGCATTCTTTAAAGATGATTTGAACAACATTTGCTACTCTGCTTGTCATCTATACCATGAAATCCCATGCCTAGAGCCAAGAAAACCCCCAAGGAAATTGTCTCACACAAGCAGCAGAACAGAGAGCGCCAGGCGGCAGTGAGGAACTGTTAAGAGAAAAACCATATGGTAATACAAGGAAAGAACAACTTCTCAGTGCGGCCCAGCTGGAAGCTGAGACTAAGGAGGAGCATCCAGGAGCCAGCCCCTAGGTCACAAAGCCAGGTAGATAAGCTCAGAATGCCAAACCCAGGGAGCCACTCTGGAAAACATATCATATAACCAAAAAAGCACTTGATTAATACTGAATAATTGTCCCAATTCCAAGTGCTATCTCCAAGTAACTTTCTCCAGAAGACTCCCAGTAGAGGAACACATTTTGCTTTTCCAGATCCTTACAAAATTAATGCCGTGTGGGGGTTTTCTTTGGGGCTGGTAAGATTTTCGGGAAATGTTACCTTTTAATTGTTTTGTTTCTGTAACATTTGAATTATTACAAAAGAAAAAAAAGCTGTAGTTTTATAATAGAAAATATATAAGATTTTTAAAATCCAGGAACATCAATAACAATAATACTAAATAAAGATCTTTTTTGAGGAGGTAAGCCCACAATATTTATTGTAGCTAATAGGTAGGTTAACAGAGTAAAATAGGAGAACTTAATTTTTCTAATAGTAGAACCAAGTCATGTTGAAAGTGACAGGAGGAATCGGAAAAGTGGAAAAGTGTAGTGGAAGGTGCCCAACATGTGAAGTCAAGACAAGAGCACCTCTTTCATAGTTTAGCTGTGTGACCTAGGGTATTTAACTTTGCCTCAGTTTTGTCAGCTTTAAGACACATTCTCTCACAGGGCTGTTGTAAAGAATTAATTAACATATTTATCTTTTGTCAGCTCATTTTACACACTTTTCTTGCCCATCCTTGCCCATGACTTTAATAGCCAACCATAAGCTAACAACTCCCTTTGTCATGACCCACACAGCCCAATCTCCTCTGCTGGGCTTCCTACTGTACAGCATGGCCCAGGCATCTCTAAGCCAACATCTCGGTGGAACTCAGCCTATCCCCATTCTCAATTCAAATAAGTCCTCCTATTTTTTTCACGCCAAATAGCAGCAATGTCTACTTCAAGGTATAAGAGAGTCCCCCAGAATAACATGTATTAGCATGCATCTGATAAAATCTGCACAGTTATAGACCTCCACCCTCTTGCAGGAGAAAAAAAGCCCACTGTTTAATCAGCTTAAACCCTCCCCTATCCTCTGAATTGGACAGTGAAGACTTGAAGTCATCAGTATCATGTTAGCTTTTCTCCTCTGTGCCCTGATGTATACCTCTAACATTTGCTGGTCACCCACCACACTCTTTTCGGCCAAATTTTTCCCACTCTGCCCTTTGGACATAACTACAACCAGTCTACTACCAGCTGGTTTCCATCCCTAAGCCCTGAAATCCAATGACTAACTTTGATATTTCTCTTAACGCTGCCCTCATTCGACTTCACCAAAATTTGTAAGCGCCTTGTTGTTTCAACAGAAGTCATACTCTCCAACCTTCTCATTTTCAGATAAGGAAACAGGTACAATGGCTACTTGACTAGTGTTCTTTATGCATGGGCCAGGTGGAGACAGAGTGAGGCGCGGGAGAACCCAGGACCCTGGTGCCTGGCCCACCTTCCCTCCATTACACTTAGGCCCGCTTTGCAGATAAGAACTCACATTGGTTGTGGATGAAGCCGAATCTAAAAGGCCTGGAAATACCATGCTGCATTCGTTCTCGTTCTTCCACCTAGACCTGCAGCCCCCTTTCTGTCTCTACAGCCTACCCAGGTTTACCTGGGACTAGAGTTTCACCTTCATTCCATCAGAAATTAAATTTCTCATATGCCCTTAGGAAAAACGCTGTTGAAAAGCAGTCCCCAGAAACAGGTATCCGAAGTGAACAGAGCCCCAGAGCTGCTTACAACCCCAGATAGGGGGAGGAGGGGAATCACTAGCAAAACAGCATTTCAGCAAACAACCACCAAGTGTGAAAATCCAAAAACTGTACAAAGCTAGAGCACTTTTTTCTTAGAGACAGAATGTTTTTCTAAAAGTCTGTGTAAACTCTTGAGAAGTTAAATCTAACTGGATGCCAAGAATTAACAACAACAAAAAAGACATTTTCTTCAGTTTCCAAAGACCACAGTCTCTCTCTGAGCACAAGTGACTAATGCCTGTAACAGCCGAACATTACAAAGTGCTGACCAGCAGAAAGTCTGTTTGGGAATGACAAGGTCCACGTGTGCATTCCAGGGACGCTTACAGATTCTGCAGTACTCCAAGGAAGACAGGGTGGGAGGGAAGCAATGTGACAAATAGGCAAGAAGTATTTATAAAGGCACGACCCAATTAGAAACAGATGTTGCAGCTGCTCTTTCGCACTGGCCCACATCAGAGATGATGAAAAGCCCGTCACCCAGCAGCCACCTAGGAACACTAATGAGCAAAGCAAGCGGGGAAGTGGGGAAGAGGTCATAAACCATTTCAAAACCCTCTTGCTGTCCAGTGGGTCCCAAACAACCCAGTTCCATTTAAGACATATCACGTCTCTTGCAGAGCATAAAACCACCCACTTGTCTCACTGTTGTTTATTTGGGTCATTTTTGTCCCTCCTGCCCTGTCTTTATCCTATGGAATATCTTCAAAACAGTGACGAATAGGAGGTCAAATAGAATTAAGAGGCTCAAAGCAGTTGGAAGTTTTTTCCTCAACTTTTTATGTCCTGTGCTACTCATATTCACACATCTATTCCTCAGTATTTCCTGTTTGAGAAATATTGTGGCTCAGTTCATCTATTTCTATTCACTGAATGCATTCATCAGCAAATAATGAAATATGGATGGGACGCTTCCTTCCCGATGCCACCATTTCTATCACCGGATATAAATTAGCCACTTCCTTTCTGAAAGATACCATATATTTCTGTGCCTTTCTGAAAAGGCAGGGGATTTTCAGTTACAGTAATGGCCATGTGATGGCAGTCTCTGTGAGAGAAGAAAAAAAAAAAATCCAATCCAGTTCCAAGCAAGTCATGAACAAAAGCACCAGGGCTGTTTCCCCTAGTCACAACCTGGCTGCTTTCTCCTCCCAAGGCATGTTCAGTTCCTAATCCAGGCTGACCTAGAACATCTGAGTCCAGTGACACATTTCCAGCACCTGAAAATTGAGGAATTATACCAGAAATGACCAAAACCATGATACATATTGAGGAAATAAACATACCAATTAACATCTGGTCTTGCTCTACAAATATTACTAAACAATTATGGCCAAAATCCTCAAGTCTTCCTAAGAGTTCTTTTTTTCTTTTCTTTTTTTCCCTGAAATGGAGTCTTGCTCTGTCGCCTAGGCTGGAGTGCAATAGCGCGATCTCGGCTCAATGCAACCTCCGCCTCCAGGGTTCAAGCAATTCTCCTGCCTCAGCTTCCGAGTAGCTGGGATTACAGGCACCTGCCACCACGCCCAGCTAATTTTTGTATTTTTAGTAGACACGGGGTTTCACCACGTTGGCCAGGCTGGTTTTGAACTCCTGACCTTGTGATCTGCCTGCCTCGGCCTCCCAAAGTGCTGGGATTACGGGCATGAGCCACCACACCTGGCCTCTAAGAGTTCTACTGTGTCTTAATCTCAACCCTGGATAAAACAATATCAGGATGGAATAGGGGTTGTTTACATAAATGTGGGGCATGTGCTAGTTTTCTACTGCCATATAACAAATTATCACAAATTTAGTGGCTTGAAACAACATCCATTTATTAGCAGTCAGTTTCATAGGTCACAACTTTGGGCATGGTGTAGCTGGACTTTCTGCCTGGGTTATCACACGGCTGAAATCAAAGTGTGGGCCAAGCTAAGGAGGTTGTCCTCTCAAGGCTCTGGGGAAATACCCTCTTCCAAGCTCATTCCAGATGTGGGCAGACTCAATTCCTTGCAGCTGTAGGACTGAGGGCCTTCTCTCCTTACTCGCTGTCAGAGGCTGCACTCAGCTCCAAAAAGTCACTGACGGTTCCAAGCCACGAGGTCACCTCTGTCTTCAAAGTCAGCAATGAAAAATCTCCCTGTGTCCCTCTCACATGTCAAATATCCTTCTTCAGGAACAGTCTGGTCCCTTTTAAGGGACTGCTTAATGAGGTAAGGTCCACCCAGGTCAATCTCCATTTCTAAACGACAGCTGTGCCATAACCTACCTGTGGGAGTGATATTCACAAGTTCTGGGGATTATGCAGAGCGTGTACACCAGGGGGCTGGGATCTTGGGGCCATTTTCGGATTCTGCCTACCAAAGTATACATTATTTCAACATCCCTATTTCTCCTGTGTAACTTTAGGATAAGATATAATAATGAATATTGGCATTTCCCCAGCTAAAAAAAAAACAAAAACAAAAAACAACAAAAAAAACACACAACTGTCTCCAGGAGAAAAAAGATAGATATTAGTAAAAGCATGGTAAACTAGATCCCTCTCAGGCTACCAAGGCAAACCTTTTACACTGAATCTGATAAGGGCAGCTAACCACAAACTAGCTAGCCTTTGGAGGAAGCCTTCCAAAAATGAAAGTAAACTGCAAATGTTTAGGTGTTGTGTTTGTAACAAGAATTCTAGGAAATACAAAAGATTCTTAAGGAATTTGAGTCTTATTAGGGAGATAAGTTATTGAGGTAAAATGGAAGATGATTTTGAAATGTTTCATGATGAAATATACTACAAAGATTACAGGGTTAGACAATGGAGATGAATGTGGACCAGAGCAAAAATGTAAAACTCTCTTAAAGCAGGTCAGTTTTGCCCTAGGTTATGGTAAGATGAAATAAGATCTGGGCCGGGGGTGGTGGCTTATGCCTGTAATCCCAACACTTTGGGAGGCTGAGGCAGGCAATCACTAGAGGCCAGGAGTTTGACACCAGCCTGGCCAACATGGTGAAACCCCGTATCTACTAAAAATACAAAAATTAGCCAGGCATGGTGGCACCCGCCTGTAATCCCAGCTACTAAGGAGGCTGAGGTGGGAGAATCGCTTCAACCCAGGAGGCGGAGGTTACAATGAGCCAAGATCACACCACTGCACTCCAGTCTGGGCAACAGCAAGACTCCATCTCAATCAAAAAAAAAAAAAAGATTTGAATAGTTGCAGAAAGGGAATGGAGATGGATGGAAAGAAAGAGGTAGAATCTATCAAGGAAGGCAGCAGGAAAAGGAAAGAGGCCCAAAGGGCAGGGAAATCAATGAACTAGGAAAACTAAGAGTAGAGGATGTAAGACTTTAAAACTGATTCTTTTTCAGTTTACTGGAAATAGTCCTTAAATGGGGAGCATTATGCCCAGGATGTGCTACTAAGTATTCGAGTGTCACTTGGGGGAGAGATCTAGAAACAATCACTGAGCAGCCACGTCATGAAAGACTTTTCTGTTTCCCACTCCCTAGTGTACTTACAAACATATCTTCCCACCAGACCAGCACACCAAGGGATCATGAGTATAGAATTGCCTCAGTCAAGGTTTTAACCCAGATTACCAGCTGGGGCAACCATCCAAATGGTAAGCTATTTGATGCAAACTTCTGCAGAGCATGAAAAAAAAAAAAAATGCATATCTTGCAGAGAAGCTAATAAACAGACTCTATTTGTTACCGCTACAAGTTCAGCCATTCTAATCAAGCTAAAGCTTTCTTACTCCTTCCTTACTCTGTTCTCCTTCTCAAAAAATAGGACCAAATAACCCCTAATAAATCAATAAATACTCCCACTAGCAGAGACAACTTTCTGCCTTACAGAAAGTTAACTGCACATTGTAGAAGCATCCACCTAGGTGTAAGAGAAAGTTGGTTTAGAGTTTTTCTCACACATACTGTTGTGCTTAGGAAAGCAGACCCAAGAGGCTGTATTACAATTTTCCTCTTTTCTCAAAGTTCTCCTATTGATAGAAGATTTTATATGCTGGCTTTCTTGTCTTGATCAGTTAATGCAAAACAAACCTTTTCACATGCTGCAGCTCACAAGAATGTTCCCACAGTCCTCTCCACCCCCTCCATTGTCCACTAAAAATGTCTCTTAAAGAGCCATTTTCTTTATCATTATCATCATGTTGATATGTCTGAATAATCAAGTAGGGCCCAAGTAGAACACAGGGAAAATGCAACTGCATACAACAATCCGTTATAAATCCCATCAGCTCTCAAAAAGAGATGATAAAATATGTGCAAGAGCACAGGTTACATTTTTACTCATGTTGTTACCACAAAGCACAAAAGGTTTGGGTCAGCAGCCCAGACTTCTCAGCAAGATCGGGTCCAATTCCACATCAATGGTCCTAGATTGATAGATTAAGAGTATGGGATATGTGAATGGGAATATGTTTCTGACAGTCTTGATAGCATGATTACAGGGAAGCATTAAGCTAAAATCAAAACTTGAAAGATTATAGCTTGGCAAGAGATCCTTGCTGTAATCCATACGATCTGTAGGAAGGAAAAACTGAAGTTAAATGAGACTCAGGGTGAAAGACAAACCAGAATTAGCAAAAATCTTAGGCACTGATCCAGGTGGCTGCCATTAAACACTCCCAAAGCCTAATGGTCCATTTGAATAATTATTACTCACATAGATAAAATGAATGGCAAGCTAAGGGAAATAAGTGATGATTACACTGGCAAAAACAAGAACTACTTTCCCATTTGAATTTGAGAAAAATCCAAGCCTCAAATCCCTTCCCACATAGAGAGGGTCAGACCACGTATCTCACTGTAATCATGGCTACACAGAGTTAAGCCTCTTTTGCCACAACTGCACCAAATGTACACACTTAGGTTGCTTATTACCGGGAGTGGGTTTAGCGCAATGTGGCAGCTGCAGCCACCGATATAAGGAAACAAGGCTTGGCAGCAATTCCCCACGATTCCTTCTCAGTTCCACTTCCTATCCACCCTTTAGCCCGGATATTAATAATTCAGAAGACAGTGTGACAGCCACAAGTCACATGCATGAACACCCAAGAAACAATCACTGTAAAACCTGATGTGTTTGGACAGACAAACTTGTGAAGCTTTAGTCCCCATGGAGAACAGAGCACCAATAAATGTACCTCATACTTCACCTCATATTCTGGGATCAAGGTGGAAAAGTAGATCACTATCTTTTCAAAGTATCAGTTTAAAGTTGCTGGGAGTACCTATATGATGAAGGTTAAAATACCCAGAGAAGGAAAAAAGGCAACAGGCTCTACCACTTTCTTATCCACAGAACAAAAAAAGAGGGGTCTGCCATTTCCCTAGATCAATCAATCAAAAAACAATTTTATCAAACATTTATGAAAAGACCACAATACTAAGTATGGTTTAGCAAAAACAAACAAGGCATTCAAAGGTCACCATGCTTGATGCTTGGTCTACCCTTCAAGCTTCTCAATATGTCCCTCCTTCCACTCCAGCCATCAGGAAAATAATGTTTATTGGGTGCTTGTTTGCCCCCACTTTTTTTTTTTTTTGACATGGAGTTTCTCGGCTCACTGCAACCTCTTTCTCCCTGGTTTAAGCAATTCTCCAGCCTCAGCATCCCAACTAGCTGGGATTACAGGCGCCCACCAGCACGCTCGGCTAATTTTTGTATTTTTTAGTAGAGACGGGGTTTCATCATGTTGGCCAGGCTGTTCTTGAACTCCTGACCTCAGGTGATCCGCCTGCCTTGACCTCCCAAAGTGCTGGGATTACAGATGTGAGCCACCATGCCTGGCCCTTTGTTTGCCCTTTTAAAAACCTTCCCATTTAATCCTTATAACTTGTGAAGTAGATACTATTGGCTCCATTTTACAGAGAAGGAAACTAAAGTTCAATTCATGGCAGAACCAGCATTCAAACCAGTTTTGCCAGATTCTAAGTCCACCACCGCCCATACACTAAACTGGACAACTGACTCTTTTCAAAGCATACCGACCTCTGCACAGAGCATGCCTCCACCTTCAACTCCACTTGTCAAATCCTACTCATCCTCAAAATTCCAGGCAAAATGCCACTTTCTTCACTAAGCCTTCCCTGGTTCCTTGAATTAGACACCATTGCTTCTTATTTTATAAAGGTCCACTCTATTTGGGTCCTTGGTCACATCTTGCATCTAGCAGTACACTTAGTTTCTCACTTGGTCAGGCCCCCAAAAGAATGTACATTTTTTGAGGACAGGAACCCTGTCTTATTCATCTTACTTTGAACTGTATGTACCATGACATCACAAGTAGCCAGGGCCATATGTTTAGGATGAATGAATGCAGCAACTTATTTCTCACAAAGTCTATACAACCTGACTTCCCCAACCAAAAACAACAGCCATGGAGCAGCAGTGCAGTGATAGAGAATTCATGGGAGGGAGCATTCACTATGGGCTGAAATGCCCATGGTATGTTTGATGGAGGAAGTGAAGTTTAAGAGGGCCCTTGGAAAATGGAGAAAAGGGATGTCAATACTCCAGCCACATGCTTCAGTATGAACCCTTCCCAACACTTAGTCACAATCAACTGCAGGGAGGGAGAGACACGGTAGTGAAGAGGTCAAACGTTGTAGGGGTGTTTGCTCTCAGGAAATAAACTATTCTGCTAAAGTTCACAAGTATAAAGCTCTTATTTTATACATATATGGCAGGCATTATGCTGAGTATTTTACATAGGTCTCATTTACTTCTCACAATCGCCTCTGAGGTGTGCACCGTTATTATTCCCATTTTACGGTGGAGGTCAGTGAAGCTCTAAGAGATTAAGCTGCTCAGGGTTGTGCAGCAAGTAAGTGGTAGGGCCAGGAGTCAAAGCCAAGCAGGCTTCCTCCAAAGCCCAGGCCACTACATTAGTAGAGCCTGGGAGTCTAGAAAAGTTACCTCTGGTCAACCTTTTATAAACCAGAGAGTGATGTGTGTGTTGGCCATCAAGGGACATGCGTGGCCCACCCAAGCACATCACACTACAGAAGTCACCAACTTCCAAGGTGAGAAATCGCTGGAGAGGTAGGTTGTCATGGTGCACAGGCCCTATTCCACCAAGTAAGAGCACACAAGGAAAGCAACGTGGGAGCTACGGGAAGTGGGAACAGCAGGAAACAAGAGAAGGAAGAATCCAAGAAGAGACCTCCACCACCAGCTGCTGGAGTGGATTTCTTATATTTCTCACAGAAAAGAAGCAGAGTAAGTCTAACCCAGAGAGTACAGATTAAGGTTAGGCAGCCTACAGCAATCACTCTTACTCTCTCTCACACTCTTCTAAGAGCAAGGATTATCAAGTCTCCTTTCTTACTTTTCTCTGGCAAAGCTGTAAGAATTAGTTGCAGAGAAAAATCAACCAAAGCTTACATAGAAGTTGCAAAGAAAAACAAGAAAGGATGCAGTTAGCAGTCCTGACTGATTAAAACCACATGACTAACATATCAGATATTCCCACCACTTCCTCCTTAGCTTCTTATAGACTACTGAGGAGCAAACACACATATGCTTGTATTACCAAAAACAAACAAACAAATAACCTTTCGGTAGTATGGGCTAGAGAAGAAATATTTTCTGTATCTCTACCTAGTATGTGCAAGGAACTGGTAAGCCATTTTATCAACTTAATCATCCTAAAAAAAAAAAAAAAAGACGAACCTTTTGGGATAAGAGGACATCCCCAGACTCACTCCTTCATCCTTTTTAGAAAGGCTAAAAATGCTCATTACCTGGTATTAAAATTAGACTAATGAAAAAAAATATTGATTTACTGATGAAACTCCATTATCCACTTCTGAGCTTATATTTAAAAATAAGTCTTTAAAAACTAGCAATACTTTTACTCTCAGGAAAACTAATATTCATTATTCTAAAGCCTACCCTGAGCTAGGCATTAGTTGGTAATTTCACTTGTGCTGTTTCACTTAATAAATACAATATTTACTTAGACCCCCATTTCTGAAGGCATTTTAATTACACTCACATTCCTTTACATGCACTTCTCTGCAACTTGCAATTTGGAACAAATGTTCAACCACTAGCCACCATGGCAGCAACATAAAATACCTGTTTTGTTGATTTCCTAACAATCCATGAGGTAATTACAAATAGTTTACTCAGGCCCTTGGAAACCATGTTCAGATATCATCTACTTAAGCAGTAATATTTTTGTAAGTGTAACAAAGGGGAGAGCATTCTAAAATCAAACTTTAAAAAATTCAAAGTCACATATTATTTACTGCCATATTCTCTCTCTCTTGAGCTTTTTACTATGGTTTAAATTTCTCTCCCACCAAAAATGCTTTCTTTAGAACACTATACTCTTCTTTCTCTACCTCATTCCATGTTATATTGTGTAGCTGGGCTTATCTACCTTAAGGCAAATAAGGAAAAAAACATAAAAACTACTTTAACCATTATATTCCATAGCTAAACATCCATCAGGGCTTCCAATCCTATTTCAGCTAGGTTGGCTATAAGTGACAGGGACCACCACTTCTCTGGTTTTCAGTATCATCATCTGTAACATAGATGGGTGGAGAAGGGTCATTGAGGAAAGGTACATAAACTCTAGTTGTTAAATTACGGGATTCTAACATTTGCAATGGGATAAAAGATTAAAGGCTGCCAGAGCCTATGTCAGAGTGGGTATCAGACTTCAAATAAAACCTCACTAGAGGTATTGGGTCATCAAAACAAAAGTCTAAAATGCTGACGCCAAGCAAGAAGATACTACAGAGTGGGATGGCTCCCAACATAAGTCAAATAGCGGGTTACCCTTTCCAAGAAGTGCAACTTTATGATTGTTTAGATACCACAAAATCAGCCTATTATCTAGTGGAAAGGAGAACAACCAACGAGTCTTTGAGGGCCAGGATCAATGTGACATAGAAGGCTTAGAACGGTTGAAAGCCATTGTCGTCTGACAGTCAAACATTCAGACACCAAGAAATCTCATCACTCTAGTCCCAAAGTTGAGCTTGCAAGTCTCCAGTTCTGTGTATTCATGCAGCAATTAGGGAATCACAAGCCTTGGATCTTATGTTAACACAAGTATAGGAAGTGAAAAATAATTCTGATGGGTGAGCCAGGTATCAAAAGGGGTATTTTAAAAAACTGGTCCTAGAAAGATGCAAGAGATACAAGCCAAAAAAAAGCAGAAAATGTTGAATACAAAATACAGTATTTACTGTTTCCTCAAGTACTAAAAACCAGAGGTTTCTTTAAGTATATAAGTAGATACCTCATAATCTTTTACAACATGTCCTTACCATGTAAAGAAAATAGAACAAACACTCACATACCCAACACCCAGCCCAAAAAACAACACATTAACAAAAGCTTTGAAGCCCCATGGTATCCTGTGAGATGGCATCACTCTCCCTCTGTACTGGAGGTAAACACTATCCTGAATTTGCCTTAAACTCTTTTCTTGTTTTTCTTTATAGTGTTACCTTATACACTACTATCAGGACACAGTCACTAACTTCAAAATAACAAAAGTGCTTACTTCCTTCTCCAAGTTATCTGTAGGAAATTCAGAACTCCTCCTTAGAGAAGACTGAAGGTAAAGATACAGAGAGTAGATGAGTTACTTTAAAGAAAGTGGTTCTCAAAATTTGGTAAGAGAATCCTTGGGTCCTCCCCAAGAACCTTTTAGGGGTATATAAGTTCCTCCTTTTCCAACCACATACCTATGTGAGGTTGGATCTTCAGGTACTTCAACCAAAAGAATACGCTGCATCAGAGTGAATGAAATACAGATCTGATGACCCAGCTGTCCATTAAGTCAGACATTAAAGAAATTTGCAAAATGTGAAACAATGCATCTCAGCTAATTTTTTGACTTGAAAAATGTATTTTTCATAAAACAATGTTATTTACATTAACATGTAATAAGTTTATTATTGTTATTTTAAGTGAATAAGTAAATATATTTCAAACTTGAAGTAATAATAATAGAAGCGGATTGAAGTTGCAACAAAAACCTATGGGAATGGCTACGGGAAGTACTTCATGTTTGTAGAAAGTATACCAACTAACCAAAAATGCCCCAAGCTGACATAGTCATAGTAAACACTTTGGGATGGTAGAAAGAGTTTTCCAACCACGTTCTATGTTGTCCGCAAGGCATTAGTTATTCTTTAGTCCTAGAGATACACACACGAGAGGCACCAAGAGTAACTCAAGCTGTGTTCAATAAGCCTTTTAAAAGGGCTTACATTTCTTTTTTTTTTTTTTCTTTTTTCTTCTTTTTTTTTTTTGAAACATAGTCTTGCTGTCACCCAGGCTGGAGTGCAGTGGCGCAATCTCTGCTCACTGCAACCTCTGGGTTCAAGCAATTCTCATGCCTCAGCCTTCTGAGTGACTGGGATTACAGGCACGTGTCACCGCACCTGACTAATTTTTGTATTTTTAGTAGAGATGGGGTCTTGTCATTTTGGCCAGGCTGGTCTTGAACTCCTGGCCTCAAGTGATCTGCCTGCCTCGGCCTCCCAAAGTGTTGGGATTACAGGCATGAGCCACCACACCCACCCAAGCGCTCACATTTCTTACAAAGGGTAGCTTACCATAAAATATCCAACTGCATTGAGGACCTAAGTTAAACTTGATTCATTCCATCTGCAGCCCAGCTCCAACAGTGAGATTCTTTTCACCATAAATAAACCAGTGTCCAGGGTCCTAAACACAAGATCGGTGACTAGAAGGGGAGTTTGGGTTTTCTCCACTTGGCAGTGTGAAACGACTGAAGAATCTGTCTACAAATGACCTATCTAGAACGCCTTAGTTCTACTGTCCTTGGGTTTGTAGTGTGGGCAAGTGTCAGGGGATTTGGCTCCAGTTCTGAGCCTATGGGTCTTAAGCAGGTCACTCACTCTCCTGGGTCTTGGCTTCTTTCTCTGTAAAATAAAAGGGCTAGATGAGATTGTTTCTTTGTGAGCCCTTCCTGCTCTAACACTCTATGAAATCTCCAGTAACAAAAACCTGAAGTGGTATTCACTTTGCCTCCCCAGCATCCGGTACAGGGATTGGCAGAGTGTTGAGGCACAACATGAGTCACTGACCTTTAAATAGTGGACCAGTACCATGGCAAAGGGGGATAATTTTAAGAAAGAAAGAGGACAACAGGAAAAGGAATTAGGAAGAGTCACGGGACATCTGGGATGTTTTTGTCCCAATTTCAACTGCTAGTGGGTAGAACTTATGAACACCACCAATATGAGAGGGGAGAGAAACCAATTCTTTAGGCTCAAATGAGGGGACAACATGTGAGTGATCAAAAGATTGCTGGAAAAGCATAGATCCAAAGCCAGAAGCTGTATTCTGGGGCTCAAATGAACCCTACTTCTCTAGAGACCACAAAATGCCTTGATTTATGAGGAGAGGTAAAAGTGGTATCAAATCACCAAAACTATTAGTGATACGAATATAAAATGTTGGTGGTGTATTGAAATAGTGCCAGGACCACCGCTCTGGAAATAGTGGCTTAGTGCTTTACATCTCTAAAACTAGCTAACATTCAGAAGGTATTATTTATATGCCAGGCACTGGTCTAAGGTGCATAAAAAATGCATTAAAGTGTACATCCTCGCAGATGTGGAAACAAAGTCACAGAGACACAAAGAAATTCGCCCAAGTTCTTAGAGCAAGTAAGTAACAGAGCCTGGGTTCTAACCCGCTTTAACACTATGAAATTATACCAGTGAATCGCTTCAGAATATTTCCAAATAAATAGATTTTGGTTTCTGTGCTGTTTGCTCGATTTGTGTCATACAAAAAGTAGTAGACAAATTTTCACCAAAATGTAAGGTTATGTTTGGGATGGTCTGAGGAAATCCATGCTGAGCTGTGTGGAGAGCTGAAGAGCTGATGAGGAACCTTGGGAGAGGGCCCTCCTCTGGGCATCAACAGCTGAGCTGCCTCCCTTGTGCTGCGCTGCGTGGCTGCTCCACACACACGTATGCTGTATCATGCACACACGCACTGCAAGCCACAGCCAGTTCCCTTGCACCAGAGTGACAGGTGGGTTTCTCTGGACCTGACTGACTGAAGGGATGCTGTGGAACAAGGCTGGGGCTGGAAAAGAGAGGCAGACCCGTCTGTCATCCTGGTGGGTAGCAGCAAAGCGAATGTAGAAAAGCAGGGACCCCAGGAGAGATGGAGCTTTGACTTTTTTGTTTCCCCCCACACAGGCTTTGAGTGATAAAGTCCTGCAGAAACTTTAAGAGCAACTAACTCTCCCAGGGCATGCCAACGATACTTGATTTAAAGCATAACAGGCCCCATCACTGACTTCAACTACTCACCACCCGGTTTCTTCTCATCTACTTTTTATTTTTAAAAATGTGTAACATCACATTTGGGCACCTGTGAGAGAAGAAAGAATTGACTTCAATCCTGGCACCATTTACTTGCCAGCTGTGGACTTTGGGAGTGTTAATTAGCCTTTCTGAGCCTGTTTTCTCATCTGTAAAATGGCATAATTATGGCATCTACTCATAAGTCTGTTGACAGAATGAGATCATGTATATGAAGTCCTTAGACACAGTGCCTAGCAGAATGAGTGCCCAGTATTATTACTTATTATTGTTTTGATGAGAATTTTAATCTATAAATCAGAAAATAACCTAAGTGAAAGGAGTACTAAAATGGGATATCTCCCCCAAAACAGCAAACATTAACAACCTTAGTTAACGACCCTATCACTAACTTAAGGGCTCCCTTGCTTGTTTTTCATCTAGCTCAGTTTGTACTCAACTGCTAATTACAAGTTAGGTGTTAATTACCTCATAAACATTTCTTCAAATCACAGAGCATTAATTGCCTGCCCCAACTAAAAAGGCTGGATTCCTGAGTGCTCTTCCTTTTCATGCCTTAGGTTCCAAGCTGTTTGCTTTCTTTGAGTTGCTTCTAATTTATTAGTTCAGTACTTCTCCCACTGGGTGAATGAACTGTGTTTCTTAGCAGTTGCTATGTTCTTGCCCCTTCTAAACCACCAAGCAAAAGACAAAACAGTAGTTAAATATAATTAAGTGAATTTCAGTGAAGAGTGATCTAGATTTCTAAAACAACACACCAAAAGTACAAACCAAAGAGAAAAGATGGCACAGTTAGAACTTCTGTGTAACAAGACACCAAAAACAAAAGTACAGATACATGACTGGCTAGGAGAAGATATTTGCACATACAATAAAGGATGAACCTCAACAAGATAAATAGCCCAATTGGCAGGGCAGTAGGGGGGCAGGTAGTGGAGGAAGGTAAGGATGTGAATACGTTATTTGCAGAGAAATAAATAGAAATGGCCAATAACCACATAAAAAGATGTCCAACCTCACTAAGTCATGGTAGTTGGGGATCGTAACAACCTGGAGCTTGTGGTATCTTGTGGATCCACCGGCCATCTTTAGTTAACAATTACTTTTAAAAAAATAGCTTACATCCTCATATTTTAAAAGGTCTGTTTTTAAGAAGACAATGCAGAGCTGTATGGGGCAGCTGTGACAACCATTTGGCATTTTATACCTAGACCTTCACCACGTTCTTTAAAGATGAACAGTGTATCAATGAATAGCTCCAAAGTTTTTTTATTTTAAAGTGGTTTCCTTTTTCCTGCTTTCTCAAGTGAATACTGCCCTTCTAAGAAGCTCATAAAGTCTTGGCATCTTCGTAAGTGTTGTGCTTAAGACAAGATTCAAAGGTCACAATTAAAAAGTACTTAGCTAAAACAACCTCCTCAATATTCTGATCACAATACGTAGAAAGATTTAAATCTTAAATCTAATCTTAATCTAAATCTAAATCTAAATCTAATCTTAAGCTAAAAATTAGTGTTTCCTTTCACCAGTATACATTGATGTCTGCATGAAGTCCATGTGCTATTCTTAAATTTAGTACTCAAATCTCAATATTTTAGGTGAAAGGCTAAAAAAAAAAACCTCTCCATAATTAATATAAAAAAAAGCAGCATGGAATAGTGGGATAAACATTGGCTGGGAGTCAGAAGTAAAGACTCCAGCTCTGCCATATTTTAGGGGAATGACTTTGGGGAAAGTTACTTCTGAGCCTCTATCTTTACTTGTAAAATGCATATAATATTAACATCTCATAGGTTTGATATATTAATGTATCATAGGTTTTTAATGGTTTCAACTGATTGGAACTATATTGAAACTATGAAGCACCTTGTATAGTCTTTCCCACATTAAACAATTCCACAGTAGAAAATATTTAAAATGTTGTTCTCTATTAATTCAACATCAATTCTGCTAGACATTTATGTATGTTTATGTAAGATATACATACAGATATCATATATAAACTTTTAAAATGTAAATACTTATTGTTCCAATGAATCCTGTTTCCCCACTTCCACAGGACAAAGATATCTAATGAATAATCACCTCTCACATTATTTCTAGAACTTTCATCAAGCATGTTGGTAGTTTTCTGGAAGCAAATAAGCAATGAAAATGAAAATACTGAAAGATGCCCACTAATTTCCATAAAAAACAGCTTCAGGAGTCAATCCTATACACATAATTTCAATTACTAAGAAAAGCCCAGGGGAAGGCCCTGAATACAGCATCAAAGAGAAATACCTATATCATTTGCTAAGGCTGCCTCACCAGTCACTGTAGTATTTTCTGATTGATAGGAGTAAATTATATTACACTCTGTCCAATCCAACTAGTATGGTCTGAGCAATCCAGGGCTGAGAAAAATTGGACTGAGACTAGAAAACAGGTGAAATGAAAATTAA
The DNA here is from genome assembly GCF_000001405.40 of Homo sapiens. NCBI lineage: Eukaryota > Metazoa > Chordata > Mammalia > Primates > Hominidae > Homo > Homo sapiens. Next base: position 76,970,614 of record NC_000004.12, on the reverse strand, counting down.
AATCTTAAGCCAATTCATTGCATGTCTTTATTTCTCAGCCCTTCAAAGCTTCCTGTTGTCAGATGCTCAACCACTAAATACTGATAACTGTAAGAATTCCTGGAGAAAATTTAGGAGATCGTTAAATTCTTTGTTCTGCAATCTCCTTTTAGGATGTTTTGCCACAGTAATGTTTTCTGACTAAGTCGCTCTACATAGCAAGAGACCTGAGCCTGTAACTGCACAATTACTTTTGAAGCATTTACTGAATAACTCCTTTGTGCTAGCCACTACTCTATGCTGTGTTTAAGATACAAAAATTAATAAGGCGTGAAAACTATTATGGTACAACACAGTATCTGCTGATTAGAGAAGCCTAAGAAAAATGGGAATTCAGAAAACTAGTCCTCCTAACTCTGCCTGGTTGAGAGTCCTGAAGGATGACTAGATAGAGAGACTGGAAACAGGCCAAAGAGAAAGGCATTTAGGTGAAATGCAAAAGCAGAGGTAAGCGAAGGGTACACACACAGGGCCCAGCAGGTAGCCTAATGGAGATTGTAGGAAGACAGGCATGAAGTCTCGGAAGGGCATGCATGTCATGCTGGGAGTTGAGCTGTTATTTATTCTGAAGGGAACAGAAGTATGGAAGGGCATTTTTGCAGAAATAAGAGAGAAAAAATAGATTTAGTCTCTCCAATACCTTTTTTCTTTTGGAAACCCCAAGAAAAGGGCCCTTTAGTTCTACAGTTCATACAAAAGTATTATGAAATGCTTTTTAAGAACTGGAGGAAAGCATCTGAATTTTTAACTAATAGTCAGAAAAGGGCTAGAAATGTCAGAAGTGAATTTTTAACTAACCCTCTGGTTTAAAGTAGTAGAGAAAAATCCCATTACTATGTTGCTGTTTGTGATGCCTCCTTGGTTGTGTTTACTCAGCTGTGATACACTCTAATCTTTATGAACCATGAAGTCGGTAGAGTTTACCCTACTCCTATCGACTGGATTGCATATGGACTTCTCTTTTCTAATTTCTTAAGAAAAATTCGCATGGATACATTTATTAATTCCCTTGATGCCCAAAGTCAAAGATTTATTTTATTTAGTTAGGGGCCTGAAATATGATTCAGAGTTCCCAACATTTTCTCAAATTTCTCTGTAACTTTCAAAGTGAAGTTCAAATGTCTCATATTTTGTACCTTTTGTAATCTCCAAAATGCTAAAATGCCACTTATTTTAAAAATTTGTTTGGCCAAACAAATATTCAGTGGATTCGATTTAGAAAACCAGCAGAAGAAGAGGTCTAAAGTTCAATACTGGTCTCTGGAGGCTCATTCACCCTGTCTCCCAAATCAGAATTAGGATACGATTACAACAAGACAATGTGTTCAAGAGTCCCAGATCCTCAATGCAAGTTGTAATATTAAGAACTACATATGAAACTATTGTGCTCATGACCAAGACTGAGCATGAAAAGAGCTCCCGCCGCCAACTTGCTTCTGTTGGCCTGAAAAATTAGAGACAAATCCAGCATCTGACTTTAGCTAGGGAGTCTTTTCTTCAAGGCAAGAAGACTATGTTTCAAGCCAAACATAACATGTGGGAAGAAGACTATTCCACATGTACACATGGAACCTTTAACTTCCAACTCCATATTTCTCAATAAAAATGCTCTGGCGTAACAGTGTTTGAGTAGAATAAATTGAGAGGGGTGGAGTGTTCAATGACCATGTAAAATGCCACGGATTTCTTTAAGAATAGGAAGATACATCAATACTCCTTATTACCATTTTGCTCAAGCTACCATCTTGAATCACATGAAGCTACTATTTTTGTAGTTGAGAAATGGCTGGATATCAACTTTCATGTGGTTCAACCCACTACTAGGACATTCTGTAAAATCAAGAGCAATTTTGCCACATCTTTTTCTTTTACTGTTAATGATCTCACTGGCTTTTTGCTTCTTAAAAAGGTTATGAAAGAGTAGGCTTCGGAAAAGAAGAGTCTCAAAACTCATAACAAAAACAACAGAAATTTTATCAATAAAAATGTTCCAATAATTAGAAAGACAGCCTAAATCAACCTTTTAGAAAGATGTTTTCTAAATAGTCTGCTTACAAAACATCTGCCTTTTTTGTTTTTCTGAGACTCTAATTGTCACTAATAGTTCGTAGAAGATGCATTTTTGTATAGGCAGGAAGACCGAAAAGAAGGGAGGATGCTGGGTTTCAGCTGTAGAGGGAAGGATTAACAGGAAATTTAAGCCTCAACTTAAGTCCTTAGGCCTCAATAAGGATTAATGGGAAATTTAAGCCTCAATTCCCCAGGCCTCAGTTTCCTCATCTTAAAGGAAGGTCCTTTATAAGGTGACCTTTGAAGGCCCTTCTGGCTCTAGCACTAATAATTTGTTGAAATTTGGTAACAAATTTTATTCTACCTATATCAACTTGCATTTTATATCGTCCCACTGCCGAATTCATAAATAATTTCATGGCCTATAGGAACAGCCATTAACTGTCATTGGAACTCAACCAAAAATAGAAAATCCAACCCCATTCACTATATATAGCATATGTTTTTGCGGAGCCACATTTGCTTGGCTACCACACACTCTAGAATTCCTCCCACTCCCTCAGCTGTGGGCCTGCTCACACCATACATCAACTTTTGGTTCTCCAAATTTGCTCTCTTATGGCCGGGCCTGTATTGGAGAAATCCTGTTACAGAAACAATTCAAAAATGTTGATGTTGTCCTCAACCAATCTATATGTTTTAATATCAGAGTTCAAGCACTTGCTTCACTTGTATTTTAAAAGCAGCCACATTTTCTGCACACACAAAAAGCTTAAATTGTTCAAATGTTAAATCATTCTAAAAGGCATACCAAAAAAAAAAAAACTATTAATGGTTCCTTTATTCAAATACAAGAAAAACAAATAAATTTATTTCCAATGGAAATCAGATTGCAAATTGGCAGACTCAACCAGCAAATGTGTTTATGTGACCCACACAGTATTTTTAAAACATTTAGTTGCCAACATTGTCAGATGTGGAAATTTCACATCAAATTCCAAATGTCCATCTCTTCTTTTGAAAAACTGAAGACTATGGCACCATCAGGCCCCCATTTCCTAGTCAGAGCCAAGAGGTGGCATGTGTTTTTCCAGCAGTTTAACTGAAGAATGTGGGTTGCCTTTTTGGTACTTTTTCTCCCTCAAATAAATAAGCTAAATAATGAAGCTCATTCATAGATGGCTTACACATTTGCCTCCCTTACTATCATCTTACCATGCCATCAATAATTCAACACGGAACCTAATTGAAGCTTAACCAAAACTGTGTATAAACCATTGGCCATTAACTAAAGAGAAAGTTAGATAAATTTCTATTTCTTATTAATGTTATAGCTACATCAGGTTAAGCACTTTTTCTTTTCTTTTTTGTGATGGAGTCTCACTCTGTCACCCAGGCTGCAGTAAAGGGGCATGATCTTGGCTCACTGAAACCTCTGCCTCCTGGACTCAAGCAATTCTCGTGCCTCAGCCTCCCAAGTAGCTGGGATTACAGGTGTGAGCCACCACACCTGGCTAATTTTTGTATTTTTAGTAGAGACACGGTTTTGCCATGTTGGCCAGGCTGGTCTCAAAATCCCGACCTCAAGTGATCTGCCCACCTCGGCCTCCCAAAGTGCTGGGATTACAGGCCAGGTTAAGCACTTTTCTAACTACAATAAAGCATAAGCATTAACTGAGATCTAGACTACTTAATATTTTTTGAGACAGGGGCTCCCTCTGTCTCCCAGGCTGGAGTACAGTGGCACAATCTCGGCTCACTGCAGCCTGAAACTCCCAGACTCAAGCGATCCTCCCACCTCAGCCACCGGAGTAGCTGGGACAACAGGTGAGCGCCACCACCTCCCAGCTAATTCTTGTATTTTTTCTGAGAAATGGGGTTTCACCATGTTGCCGGGGCTGGTCTCAACCTCCTGGGCTCAAGTGATCTATCTTCCTCGGCCTCCCAAAGTGCTGGGAATTACAGGTGTGAGCCACCATGCCTGGCTGATTACATAAATTTTTAATTTTTTTCAAGATGTATTATTGTTAGATTTAAATTTGGTCTATTAGAAAATCACTGGAAAATCTCCAAACTTTATACATTAAAAAAAAAAAAAGTCAGCTATACTCATCTTGTGGCTTCTTTGCTGAAAATAGTTGCTATATTTGCCTAATCAGGTCATAGTCATTTTACAAGCCTTAACAGTTTCCTGTCTCTATCCTGCATAAAAAGCACAGGATAACTAATTTGACCAAATATCTTCCTAAATCTTCTTCTTAGCCCTACTGTGGATTCAACTGTCTCTTGTCAAGTGGAGATAAAACTCATTTCATGAGAGAATTCTTTGCAAAACTAGCATAAATCTTGAGTTGTGGTAACATTAAAATGTAGGGCGCCATCCAACTACTTACTCTCTCCACTCACCATGGAATAAAGCAAACTGGACTAAACTGCAACACAGATGATGAGATGAAACACAGACTTTCCTTCTCTCCCAGGAACATAGTTAACAAAGCCTAAGGGAACACAAAGGGCAGACTCTGCTGGAGACAAAACCATGTAAAAGAAATGGCAGCCTCTTATAGCTGAAAGCTTGCAGTTGTCCATCAGAAAGTTGGTGAAAATTTCAATATAGCTCTTTTTCTAAAGCACATTATCTTTTTACATCAATAGACAGCTGAGCCAAGCCCTGAGAGCATTTCCGATGATACAAGATCCTTTTACCATCACAAAACCATTCCCTTTAAATCCTAAGATACCGTGTATAGGGTTCCAAATTTAGAATATACATATTCTGCACTCTGTCATGAGAGAAAATCACTATTGGCTCCTAAATTAAACTATAAAAGCATAGCAACAATTCTTGCTTTATGTTGTGAGGAAAACTGCACTTTTAAATATCATTGGTGCAAGCATTATTTCCTTCAATGTGTCTGTTCATATGACTAAAATGTACTTGATACACAAGTTTCTTTTAGAAATAGAAATATTAAAATAAGTATTTCCTATAATAAATTATATATAATATGTATTATATAGGCAATAATACATAATATTATACCACCAGTAATAGGCATAAATTCTAAGCCCAAAAGACAAAATTTGATAAATGACTCCTTTTTTTTTTTTTTTTGAAATGGAGTCTGGCTCTGTTGCCCAGGCTGGAGTGCAGTGGCACAATCTCAGCTCACTGCAGCCTCTGCCTCCGAGGTTCAAGTGATTCTCCATCCTCAGCCTCCCAAGTAGCCTGGACTACAGGTGCACGCCACCACGCCTGGCTAATTTTTGTATTTTTAGTAGAGATGGGGTTTCACCATGTTGGCCAGGCTGGTCTCGAACTCCTGACCTCAGGTGATCCGCCTGCCTTGGCCTCCCAAAGTGCTGGCATTACAGGTGTGAGCCACCATGTGTGGCCTGATAAATGACTCTTTTATACTATTAATGATGAAAACATTTCTCTCTAACAAGAGTATCTACAATGCCAAGCAAGCAGACTTAGGCATATCTCTGCTCTCAAAGAGGTCATAAGAATCTGTCATTTTAAAAGCTAGGTAAGAATGACTTAGCAATGCCAAGTTTTAACTCAGTGAATCAGTCGTTCTGGCAAGTGTGGTAAATGACAGGAAGCACTGGGCCACTTGATATGAGCTCAAATCAAGCTACTTCTCTCAGGAGCTAAGCTTTCTGAGGAGACTAGACTAAAATGATCCTCAGCTTTCTTTTGACCTTTTAAAGGTCCCATGACTCTACAGCACTGCTGGTATTCAATAAAGCTCAATGATAAATATTGCACAGAAATAATGTTTAAGTGTTTTAAATTATGCATAAACCCAAAGTTCAAGATAAGCACAGGTAAGCGAGGCCTGGCACAGTAACTTCCACGTGAGTTCCAACTTGGCTTTTTGATGATGATGATGGTGATGAAATAGCTCAAGCATACAGAGTATCACGTATCTGAATACTCATGACCTATCTTTGTTAAACCATAACTTTTACCATCCATATACTTCATCCTTTCTTTTTAAATCACAGATACGTTTGAAGATCCTCGAGTATCTCTCCTTGATCCCTTTCACTGCCCCTCCTTCCCCAGGTCACAGCTTGGCTCTTAAAACAAAAATGAGATCAGACAGTGCCTGTTATTTGCTTCAAAATAATTTGGGGAGAGGTGAGGGAAGAGGTTAGAGAAGGGAGCGAGGAGGCTAAAGAGAATGGTAAATAGACAATACAAGATTGGCTATGAATTTAAATGGGAGGGGGAGATGCAAAAAAAAAAAAAAAAAAATGATTGGCCAAGAATTGATGACTGGGCTAGGTGATGGGACGGAAGGGTTCATTATACTATTTTCTCTACTCTTGTGTATGTTTGGAATTTTTGTTAATTAAAAAAAGTTTTTCTTAATGTGGCACATATACACCATGGAATACTATGCAGCCATAAAAAAGGATGAGTTCATGTCCTTTGTAGGGACATGGATGAAGCTGGAAACCATCATTCTCAGCAAACTATCACAAGGACAAAAAACCAAACACCACATGTTCTCACTCATAGGTAGGAATTGAACAATGAGAACACTTGGACACAGGAAGGGGAACATCACACACTGGGGCCTGTTGTGGGGTAGGGGGAGGGGAGAGGGATAGCATTAGGAGATATACCTAATGTAAATGACAAGTTAATGGGTGCAGCACACCAACATGGCACATGTATACATATGTAACAAACCTGCATGCTGTGCACATGTACCCTAGAACTTAAAGTATAATAAAAAATAAATAAATAAATAAAGTTTTTCTTGGAAAAAAGAGAAAGATCAGACTATAAATACTTCTAGACTACATTCCTAAGCTGCACTATACAGTATGGTAGCCACTTGCCACATGTGGCTGTTTAAGTGTAAATTAATTAAAATTAAACAAAATAAAAATTTTAGTTGTACAGCTATCCCAGCCACATTTCAAGTGTTTAAAAGCCATATTTGACGACTGTGATGGCAACTATGCAATAGTGGAACATTTTCCATCATCATGGAAGTTCCAAACTGACAACAGTGTTCTGCAGCCTAGGGTGGTATCTCTACATGGTAGAAGAAGGTGTAAACAACAGTCGGAAGACTTGGCCTTAAGATCATCACTGTTTACCTTGGGCAAGTCTGAGTCCTGATCAATCAAAAAGGAGGTGAAGGTGTTGGGTGAAGAATAATATCCAACCAACCCACCTCACAAAGTTGTTGTGAAGATCAACTTTTACCCACTGAAATGTAATCACAGGAAAAATACGTGGAATTGCACAATTTCAATTAGGAAACCACTGCAGTGTGTGCAACGGGTTTAGTGGCAAAGCCAATGTGCAAGTGAAAACATTCCAAAAGTATATTTAAAGACCAAAAAAACTCTGAAATGACTCTAGTTTAAGAAATCACACATTTCAACTTCAAATTTGTTAAGTTTTCTCCTCCCACTCTCTTTATTGGAATAGAAAAACAACTTTCTACTTGCTTTTTTAACACATAATTTTTCCATGGTTGGGATTAAAAATTAAATCGAATTGCTAATGTAAGAGTAGCAAAGGATAGCTGGAATGCACCACTTGGGCCAAAAAGCCAAGTCACTTGAATGAATGCAAAAATCCAGGAACTAAGTGGTCCCAGCTTTTATCTACATATAATGAGAGAATTTCTCCTTCCCGGACAGATTGAGTACATCTTTAAGTTATCCATTATCCCATGTGGGGTATGTGAGTGTGTGTTTGTGTGTGTGTGACTGTGTGTATACCTTAAAGAAATACATTAAAAGATCACTAAAATAACTTTGCCTTTCCAAATGAGCTTATTTTGCTTCCCAAATCATATTTCCCCTTATTCTGGACTAACATAAGAGAAACTGATTAAACAGGCAGTATTTCCAATGTCCTTTTATCTCTAAAGCTAGTATCAGGAAAAAAACAAACACAAAAAAACTGATAACCAGTTACGTCAGGGTGTGAAAGGAATTAAATATAGGTAATGCCAAGTGAGACATGTGTACCTCAACCCAGGACAAACCAGTAATTCTCAGCCTTTTTTCCCGTTTCCCCATGTGGGGATAATTCCATACACACAATGATCCTAAACCAGGGGGTACGTGTGTTAGAATATGGAAATGTTTTGTTAAGTACAAGTCCCTTAAGCTAAGACTATTAGAAGCAGGAACTGGACATTTTATCTTAAAAGGCATTTAAAGATTGAGATTTTTAAAACGCTAGTTATAGCCAAAACATTTAAATTCACCTTAAAACATCTAAACATACATTCATTCACAATTTTTTGACAAAAGGCCAAGGCTTTTTCATCATAATAGGTCAGAGGAATATCAATAAGGGTGTCTTTCCAGCACAAACCCACAGGCATCATCTATAATTTCCAGTTTGTTTATTTAATGTGGAGACAGAACTTAAAAGTGTTTTCAATGCAATCTGAATACAGGCTCTTTTTAGATTCTTACAATTTTTGCTCCAACTTTTTGCAATTATCTTATGTATATTTAATTAACGGCAGTTTTATTTCAGCAAAATTTTTTACCTTTACTAAAACTTTCCAAAGCATCTCATTTAGAAGCAATTCAATTTTTGCACTTATATTTCATAGATTCACAAAACATTAAATTAGGCGATGATGATGATTACAACTAGTGTAAGTAGGTTTGAAAACAAACTACTGACCCAGTAAGCATAAAATTCTGTTGGCAGGTGCAGAAATGCATGTGCAGCTCTAAAACAGAACACGGACAGTCCCCAGTTACAATGGTTCAACTTACGATTTTGACTTTCCAATGGTACAAAAGTGATACGCATTCAGTAAAAACCACACTTCAAATGCCTATACAACCATTCTATTTTTCACTTTCCATACAGTATTTGGTAAATTACCTGAGATAGTCAACACTTTATTATAAAACAGGCTTGTGTTAGATGATTTTGCACAACCGCAGGCTAATGTAAGTGTTCTAAGCATATTTAAGGTAGGCTAGGCTAAGCTCTGATGTTCAGTAGGCGAGGTGTATTAAATGCGTTTTAAACTTAGATATTTTCAATATAATGTGGTTATCAGGACATAACCCCACTGCAAGCTGAGGAGCATCTGTACTAGTCTACCAGTCAAAAGCATGTGGAATGGTGCAGGCAGTCAGAATGTTTTGTAGCGGAAATAGGGCACAAATTAATCTGTCAGTGAGCCTGAAGACATTCCATCCAGATTCTAATAAAACTTCCCAATTCCCTTTGGTGTGCCCTTTTTATCCTCGCCTTAAACTAAAAAAATAAATTTCGAAAGATAGCCTGGGAAGAAAAAAAGCTGGAGGTTACCTTTCAAGGGTCCTCGAATTACATTATAAAAGGTAAAGAGAAGGGAAATAAAATGGGCCTTATTATTTCTGAATGCTAAGCCAAGTTCCTCATGTTTACTAAGAAAATGTGTTGGGCTGAATACTAGTTAAAAGAGCCTGACAAGATCCTCCCAGTCATGGAGGTTGAGCATTATCTGAGTCTTAGCCTTTTCTCCCCAGCTACTTTGTAGGCTTTCCAACAACATGGAGCACAGGACAAGTAACACAGAAGGTCCTCAAATATCTGACTGGTTGATGCTGCACAGTCATGAATGACTTGAGACAGGAGGTTGGAACGACAAAACACATCCTGATAACTCGCCCCTGAATTCAAACCTTATTCCAAAATTTTGAACCTTAGTGACAAAGAGATCCATTTTCCAAAGACAAATTTTGGTTCTGATTTGGTTTGGTGGGGGAGTAGAAGGATATGGTTTTGACATTGTCACTCATGCATGGTGTTAGCTGGGGCTCAATATTTGTTGACTTAATGAACAGGAAATAGGAAAAGCCACTGAGGAATAAAAGCATAAGTTTTTCAAGAAAGAGGAGATTTAGAAATATTCAGCAGTATCCCCAACTCTCCAATATCCCTATATAAATCTCCATTACATAAAGTCAATGAGAGTCTTCATCACCCCCAGCTTTGACTGGGTTATAAAATCCAGTTTAGACTTGGTCCTCTTCACATAGCTTAAATGTCAGCTTTGGAGCAGCAGCTAGTGGCAGCAAATTAATTATTAGTGATTTTGATACCTGAGACCTCATCTTATCTGCCTTAAGTTCATAAAATACCTTGGAATTTTAGTTTCTGAAGGAGCAAATTTGATTATCAACAACTAAAAGACTTCTTTAGAGGGCTCAGAGAGAAAACTGTGCTTCAACTTCAGACAATCCAACATTCCCAGTGGTTAAGAGGTTGACTAAGGATTGGAAAAGGCTTTGAAAACAAAGAGGCATGTGACAAACAATCAAATTATCAGGCCAAAGTACTAGTCTTAGACTGCCTACCCACGTAAGTCAAACCAAACACCTCAAAGAATGAGAGCAAAGGTGACAAACGTGAGGAGAATCTAAAAATGAATCAGCTTGGTTTACGTAGTTTCCATGACATTCTCAGAAACTGCCTCTGAGAATGGCTTACACGAAGTGCAGTGATCATTTGAACAATTCTCTTAAAAACTCTTGGGGTACATTTAAAAATAACTAAAAGAGTACAATTAGATTGTTGGAAACACAAAGGATAAATGCTTGAGGTGATGGACACCCCATTTACCCTGATGTGATTATTACACATTGCATGCCTGCATCAAAATACCTAATGTAACCCATAAATATATATACCTACTATGTACCCACAAAAATAAAAAATTCAAAATAAAATAAAATAAACACTCTTAGGGAAATACTACATTAATCCCCATCCTTAAAACTGTTCAATGTTAGCTAATTAAAGTTGTTTCTTATTACCCCATTTTTCCAATTTATGCAGACAATATAAGCCCAAAACTTTGATTATTTTTTTTCAAAAGAGTTTTAAGCTTTGTCCTAAGTTCATAGTTCATGTATCAAAACCATAATTTCCCCCATTCACTCTGGATCTAGATCCTAGAATATAAAAATGCAATTGACTTGAAATGGGTAAATTAAACCCATTACAGAACAAAATAGGCACTATAGATTCAAAAGCAAGTAGTGCCACCCTGAGAGATTATGAGTTCCATCCCAAAGAATCAGAAATGAAAATTATAGAAAAGTCTAGGTGATGCGATACAAATTTTTTTTTTTGAGTCTACTTTTTTAATCTGGCCATGTGCCCGTGGCTCATAACTGTAACCTCAGCATTTTGGGAGGCCTAGACAGGAGGATCACTTGAGGCCAGGGGTTTGAGACAAACCTGAGCAACATAGCAAGACTCTGTATCCATTAAAAATAATAATTATTATTATTTTTAAAAAAAAAAAAAAACCTTGTCTTGTCCAAGCTCAGTCCAGTGCTTTGGATCCGTTTCCATCGGTCGTTACAGTTGCTCATCAGACCCCAGCAGCCAAGAATGGTAAAACGATCAAGAGCAAGGTTGCTTTTCAGGAAGCCTTGGACACCGCAGGCAATAAACTTGTAGTTGACTTCTCAGCCACATGGTGTGGGCCTTGCAAAATGATCAAGTCTTTCTTTCATTCCCTCTCTGAAAAGTATTCCAACATGGTATTCCTTGAAGTAGATGTGGATGACTGTCAGGATGTTGCTTTAGAGTATGAAGTCAAATGCATGCCAACATTCCAGTTTTTTAAGAAGGGACAAAAGGTGGGTGAATTTTCTGGGGCCAATAAGGAAAAGCTTGAAGCCACCATAATGAATTAGTCTAATCATGTTTTCTGAAAATATAACCAGCCATTGACTATTTAAAACTTATTTTTTTTTAATTTACAAAAAACATAAAGTATGAAGATTATAAACCTAATTGCCATCTGGGTGACAATAAAACATTAATTCTAACAACAACAACAACAAAAACCGCGTCTTACAAATAGTAGTGAAAACCTGGTAAAAAGTCAGTTTGTTCTGAGTATTTTTTAAAACATCCAAAGTAGCTTAGTATATTACAAAATTAACATTCATACTCCCTTATTTGTATAAGGAAAAGACGAGCCCCACACTAGTAAACAAGGCGTTTTCATCTAGGTTTCCCCAAAATGCAAGGACTTGAGACAGGGACTTGCATGCATGTGAGTCCTGGGAAGTGACCCAGGGGAACAGAATGGGGGACAGGGAAAAGTGAAACAGGGGAAGAGGGAAGGCCACCCTAAGGGGACTGTAGAGTAATCACCCCTGAGGGCTGAGGCTGGGGCCCAGAGGGGAACTTCTAAGGAGCCAGGTCAATTGAGGAGCCATGTAGATCCACCATCTCAAGGGGGTTGCCCCCTGGGATGGCAACTCCTTTGGATGTCCAGAAGTGCACAAAGGTCAGAATAGCTAAGCAGAACCCAGGTGGCGATGGCAGAGAAGCCTGGGGCAGAAAGTGGACTTGCGAGGTCTACACCTACCGGGGGTTGACACAGCAACAGCCAGGTAGGCACACGTCTTAGACAATACGTCTTATCCAATTTATCTGAAGGGTGAATTTTCACTTATTGAGTCAAATGTTTATTGGTGGGGGGTATAGGACATATAGTCCTTTCCCTTAAGTCTGGCTATCTAGACTAAGAATGCAAGAATGTGGTCAAGGGCTAGTGGAACATATTGCTTATGGTAGGTAATAAGGTTTTTTTGTTTTGTGTTTTTATGTTCACAATTATATTTGACAGTCACTTTTTTTAAAAAAGGTAACTTAAGGAAAGGTGGGGTGGGGACTCCAGAGCACTATGTGGATGACACATAAGTGTTGCCAGCAATTCAAATAAATAAAAATCGCCAAAATTTTGGTGATTCATGGGTGGAGGCTTCATGGAGGGTATGCTTGATCCGTGCCTCTAAGGTGTGCTATGATTAGAAAATGGGAAGCCTGTGTGGTTCAGGTGTGCAAGAGAAGGGGCAATTGCTCAGTTCCCACTGGGGTGGGGTGGAGTGGAGTGGCAGTTCTGGTTTGAGCCCAGTCTTCAGTATAAAGCCATTACTATTTCAGCACCATTTTCCTCAGATAACCAACTTTTATTGAGGATGAATGTTCCAGGCAGCAGTGTAAGCACTGTGTGTGTACTAACTGGCTTAATCTGTAACTCTTTGAGGGAAGTACTGTTAGTGTTTTACAGATGAGGGAAGTAACTTGCCTAAGGACACAAAGCTTGTTAAATGGTAAAACCGATACTCTAGAACCGGAGCAACCTGGCTCCAGAGCCCACATTTTTCACCCAAACGCTATACACTATGGCCTCTCAGTAGAGAGAAAAACAGAGCAAGGGAAAGAAGGGTGCCATCTGATTCATCTGCATTTAGGGACATATGGCTGGGAAAGGTCCAAAGGGCCGAGGTCCCAAGGGAAATCATTCTGTCAAGCAGCTGGAAGTCCTAATGGCCTCAGAACCATTTCCCAGAGAGTACACTTCCACAGCTGAGGTCATCAGAGAGCAGCACAGAAGGCCTTTCAGAAGGTTACCACCCATGACTTACTTGATGGTGATGTCCCTGGAAGCTCATCACCAGTGAGTAGGAGAATTCACTCTGACTTCAATTCATTGTGGCTGCCTAACTCTTATCTCTCTCTGTCTCTGTCTCTGTCTCTCTCTCTCTCACACACACACACACACACACACACACACACATCATTCTACTATGCCCAGCTAGAATCAGAGCAGGCCAAATAGAGGGAGAAAAATCCTTACAGACAGGGATACAATTTTAAAAATAAAGACTTGGCTTCATAGTAGATTCCTTGACTAGGAATCTAGCCAACTGTTATTCAAAATATTCACTGCCCTCCCTAGAGGGGGATTTACTTCCCCAGCCCAAGGGTCTTTCAGAGCCACTCTTTACAGGAGGATTCTCTATCCTCATTCTTTTGAATTTAGGAATGACCATTTACTTTGGCCAATACAATCTGCATGGAAGTGACCCATCTAAGAGCTTGAGAAGCCAGCTCTTGAGAAGCCAGGGTTCAGCATGTCTCTTTGTCCTCTGCCACCAGGCTGGCAATGCCCAGATAGAGGATACTCCCTCAGCCTGGGTCCTGGAGGCAATGCAGTATGCAGCAGACCTCCGAGGGTGGAACAGCTGCATGAGAAATAAACCCTTGCTATGTAAGCCACCAAAACATGGGGCCAATTTGTTACCGCAACATAATTTAGCTTAACTGACTGAATCAGATGGGAGGTCTGTATGCATGTTGGTCTAAAAGCCTTTGGTTCCAAAGCCTAGCTCTCCCACAAATTTGCTGTAGCAGATTAACTGACAACTTCTTCCTGTCTCATTTTCCTTCTCTATATTACTTCTCAGGTATTTTGTGAGTATAAGGTGAGATAATTGTCTTGACAGTAATTTGAATTGAATAAATTTGAAAATCAAGATGCTGAACAAGCTTCCCGTGCACAGAAGTTTTTGGTCAAGCCTTTTGCCCTCCAACAGCAGGTCAGAGTAAGTTTAATGAGTACCTTAATGAGATTCACAAAATTTATACTGGTATGAAGACAGTACTCAAAGAGATGAGATAACTAAAACAGCATGAAGTCTTAAGTAAACCCTGGCTTTTAACAGACTCTTCTCCTGTTTTCATAAAATCCAATGAGTTTTTAATTTCCTTTTTGGAGAACACTGATTGCCACTTGAAGTCCAAGGTGGAAAGAGTCCTACCATCTTCCCCCCCAGCCCCACCACACTCTTCAGGACTCAGTTGCTTAGGTCTAAGAAAATAATAACTTCTAGTTCTGAATCCTGAGGAAAGGCTCAATGCATAAAACTGGGCAGAGGAAGATCTAGCATTGTCGTTGTCATATGTTGTCACTGGACTCTCCTTCTCTGTGTCCTCTGTCAGTCTTCATTTCCTCTATTCTTTAAGGGTTCAATTTGGGCATGAAAGGAATCAACTCCCCTGATCGTTTCTCAACTCTCCTATTGAATCCTGAAGAATTAGTAGTCTGCAGATTTTCTTTGTCTTCCTTCAACCAATTTCAAGGATCTGAGATATCTTAAGTTATGGGCAAAGGGTGGATGGAATATAAAGCATTTAAAGAGCTACACAGTAAATACATGCCTATAAAGAATGCACTGCACAACTGAGTCTCTTCCCACCTCCTCAGCCTCTTGTCTGTCCACTCTCCCTACCCAACCCTAAGGCTGACGTTCCTGCTACATTGGATTTCTTAAGAGTCTCTCCCTCACTTCCAGAGCTTGGCACATGCTGTTTCCTGGGCTTGGAACACTTCCACAACCACCTCCCCATCTCCCTTTCCTTGCTAAATCCTATTGCTTACTCAGCCTATAGAGAGATTTCATGAGAGCAGCAAAGACTGCAGTCAAGTACTCACCAACATAATTTCAGCACCTGCATATAGAAGGTACACAAGAAATGTCTGATAAAACAGGTGGGTTGGAAAGGCAAGAATGAGTACTGATGTGTTAGGGTGTTGAGGATTATTTTGTTTTTCAATCTCTAACCTATCCACATTATTGTGCCTCAACTTCTATAAGAGAAAAAAAATCAATTCTTCCCAAAGGAATGTTATTATCAAAAACAAGTAGGTAAATTTTAATGTTATGCTATATATATTTTCATTTCCTTTTTGTACAATAAAAATGCAAAAAAAAATAAATAAATAAATAAAAAAGAAATCACACACAGACAAGAACAAACAAAGCTCCCACTTGTCAGAAAAATGGTCCTTTTAGAATATGGTCTCTTTCCCACCTCACCACCTCAGCCTACCCCTCTCTCAATGTTTCACACTCCATCCTACCCAGTCACAGTTCAGCAGGTGGGCAGAATGTGTCCACAGAACTGGACTTCCTGTGCCATTTGGCTTGAGCGATGTGCTCACACTCATTGGCGTCGATCCTAAAAAGAGGTGGCTCTGGTGCCTTGGCTTTGTCATATCAGGGAACAGACTCCTGATTTCTATCTCAGGTCAAGCCTGGAACAATGTGAATTTCATTTTAGATCGCCCAGCAAATTCCTTTTAGAAGTCTGTCTCTATTACCTTAGCCCAAGTATTGTTTTTATGTTCAACAGCTGCTGCATTGATGGGCTGCCAGCAGGCATGAGTGGGTCAGGGGAAGTATTGTTATTTGAGAGTTTTCTGTCAATCCAGATTTTTAAAAAGGGGGCGGGGGAGGTTATCAATTATATTGTAAAGTAGATCTCCTTGGAAAAAAGTATAGAAGCTTTAGATGTGTTGGGTTTCATTTAAATAATGGTTCAGCTTTGCTAACCCCATTTGAGACAGGTCTAGCTAAGACTATGAAAGATGGATCCCAATAAAATGATAAAATCCAAGAGCAGCGTCTATCCCCAACCAAATTTAGAGTCCTATAAAGAGAAACACAGGCACAGAAAACTCTGTGGGCTGCGCCACAGTCTAAATCCGATGATCATGATCAGTGTGACATCATCATTGGGTAGAATATAAACACTTGGTCTGCTGGCAATCAATCAAGTAGGCCATCCAAATCAAGGAAACAGCAGAGTCCCACAATCATTTGTTCCTTTTGCAGACATAGGATGGCCCATGCCCAAACACTAAGCATCCACTTCCTTCATTTTAAGAGTATTATTCAAATGGTCACACAGGACTCATTCAGGCACACAGTTTGGTTTCTAGGTGGCAGTTTATACAAGATGGGTTATGTCTGCTCAAAAAAGTGGTGAAATAGACTAAACACCTAAGAACTATTATATCAGGATAGTGGGTTATGGGCAGTTTTGTTCTTTTAATCAATTCCTTGGGTCTCCTTTTCACTGTAATGTAGACACATCATTTTTAAAGATGATAATTTAAAAGATAAATTAATCTATAACTTTCGAAAGATTTTAAAAGGAGAGATTATTGTACCTCAGAAACTTCTTGCATTCCTTAATAACTGCTTATAGAGCCTCAGTATGTATAATTTATATCACTGACTAAAAAGTTCTAATTTTTGAAAACTGACCTGAGATGACAGTCCCTTTATTGTTTAGGTGGCCCTCCCCTGGACCTTTCTTGGCTCCATTCATGTTTCTCCAGGCACACCGACCACAGCCATCCATCTGGGGCCACATTTTCAAGTCACAAAAATGGCAATTTTATAACAAGGGAAAGTAACATTTTATTGGCAGTACTCCTCCACTTCCCACACTCCCTGCCCTCATCTTTAAGAATTGCCTATAATTATCCCCAGACAGATATGATCCTTCACCTGAATCATATTTGCTGAGTCAGCAATAGGCATATAATTCCTTTTCTCCCTAAATGATTTACACATTTACACTGAAGTCTGTCACTTTAATACACCAAATCTCTCAAACAATAAAGCTCCTGGTAAGAAGAAAACTTGTCCACTGCTATATCCCCAACACCTAGAACAAGTTCCTGACACATAGCAGGTGCTTAATAAATGGTGTTAAATGAGCAAATGGAAACTTGGTTTTCCATTTCCTTCAGCTCAACAGATAAAACAGCAATTAAGTGCATTTCTTGAAGGATATCATAGGGAAATCTCCACCACCAGTGAAGTTTAAACACATATTTTTTGTTAGGGATAAAGTAAGAAATATTTCTGCACTGGGGAGCAGGCTAACCCAAATGACCTCTAACGTTCCTTTCAACTCCTAGAGTTTTTAAACTGATGAACACCACAGCTTAGGAGAGGCCATCAGCTACATAAAGCCTGATTCCCAAGTAGAGTAAATTGCCATGTTCTGTTTAAAATAAAGATAATAGCTGCCCCGGGATTTGGACGCAAAAATGCTAATTCATCCAAAATGCAGACACATCCCTTGGGAGTAAAATGTTCTTGCTAATCATCAGTTATACTAGGCAAACAGCAGATGTGCTTCAGGGTCTTCTTAGGGCTAAGCCCAAAAACCATCAGTGGGGAAATGGAGAAGCTAGGGATCAAAATTAAAACTGAAATAAACAGTATCACACTAAATTGAAGCTTTGTTTTGCAGTCAACAACAAATCCACTTAAGAAACTTACCTGAATTTAGCCTTGAGGTTTGAATGGTTTGTAACAGAATATAACCATTTCATAAGATAGAAAATAGTGCATTTGACATGTAAGCATTTTTGCCCACTAAAATGTCATATTTACCTGGGATATCACACTCAGATGTTCCCATTCAAGAATATCAAAAATTTAGGGTAAGTTATTCAGATTGCATTTTTCTTCAGTCTGGCGGGGAGAGGTAGTTATCGCAAAAGGAGATATATGTCCTAAATAACTTTTTAAAAAATCTAATTAAATACCTAGGGAAATTCCATTCACACATAAATCAACTTCGGAGTGGTTCTTTTCCCTCAGCGCACCCTTCCTTTCTTTTGGTGAAATCACAGACTAGATAAGAAATGGGAGGGCCAGAGAACTCTTAACTTTAAAGGTGCAGTGTAGATTCCATGGAGCTGTGTCTCAAGAGTCTTCCCCATTCATTGACTTTGTTTTAAAGCCATAACTGCAGAGACCACACTTAAGACAATAGCCCAATGAACAAAGTGAAAGGATTCAACAATTATCTGTGAAATGTGATCACATATTTTCTGTAGACTTTCTAACTTTATAGTCAATTCCTAATCACTCGTACATTAGGTTTCCAAAAGAAAAGTCTTCTGTCTTTAGATTGTAATTTAATTTTAATTCCAGTGACAACAGAGTGCGCAGAAAGAAGTCACTTCCTCTGTGCACGTATACTTAAAAAAAATCTCCTCTATTATCTGAAGAGGGAGGTCTAACATAAGAATTCTGTGGGATTAAGCTCACATATGGTTGGCCGACTTGGTGTTGGATGTGATTACGGCCACACAACTAAACCTTAAATCCACATACTGTTCCTATTTAACTGACATATATGAACTAATTTATAGAAAATGTGCAGCTAATTATTTCTTCCACCTCCTCCATCCCTCAAGAATGCACCAGCAATAATACGTGTTACTGAAAAAGCCAAACACCCCCACTGAATATTTGCAATCCTAAACGTTTGCCAATTTATCTAAAGCAGATATTGTTATTTTAGTTCTCTGAATCTATGCCTGCTAATAAGTATAATGGGGGGCAGGGGGAGGAGTAATTTAACCAGATAAATTTCACCTCTATAGACCTCAATTTTCTCACCAAAAATAAAACGACTAGCCCAGAGACTATGCAAATTCCCTCAGTAACAATAACCTACATGTGACCACTAATTATCAAGAGCACAATTTATGTGCAAAAGAAGACCAGAATTCTTAAAAGAGCCATGTCATTAAATCGTAGAGTTGAAAAGGCCTAAAAGACAGTCATGATTCGATATGACCGCTGTGTTTTCTGACTGCAGAAAACGTCTTTGAAAGCACCGCGGGCAGCCGAACCACCAAATCGAATTAGAATCCGCAAAGGGACCCATGAACTTCTCCCGAGGGGGTAGGGTGCAAAAGGCGCGCGTATCTGGGGAGGAGTTAGGCGGGGAGAGGGGGAAGAGCCGGGAGCCTGAGAGCACAGCCTTGCATTTCTGGGATTTCCGAGCTTCCAGTATCTCAGTAAGTCTTTCGTCTGTAACTACAAAATCTCCCGAGCCACCACCTGCAGCTGCACAGCTGTGGGAAAGGGAAGAAGAAAAAGGGAAGAGGAGGTGATAGACAGGGAAAGACATCGCCCGAGGCGCCCCCAAAGCCAGTAAGGCGAGTGGACTGTGAACATCGACGATGAAAAGGGGAAAGGGAAAACAGGAGGACTCCGCCTTTCCCACCCAGCTCCGCTCCTTTCAAAAAAAAGGAAAGGCCGCCGCCGCCCCTTCCTCCGCCTTTCACTTGGGGATGCGGAGCGGCCACTGAACCGCACCCTCGGAGTCCCGCTCCCCTCCGGCCCGGCCCCGGGGCGCGGACCGAGTCTTGCAACCCAGTAGGCGCGGCGCCTTGGCCCACACACTCGGGGCAAAGGTATCTCCTCCCTCCTACTCTCCTCCCTCCCGCCGTGGGGCACTCGATTCTTCACGCACCCGCCCGCCCTTCCTCTTCCTCGCGTCCCAGCCTCCTCAGCCCGCCGCCCCCGGCCTTTCAGCCGCAGAACATTTCAGTCCTTCCACCCACACCACAAGGGAGCCTCCAGAAAACTTTGTGTGTGTTATCTGGGGCTTTGTCCACATCCTGGGCAGGGCCCGCTCAGCCGGGTGGATGCCCGAGGGTGTCCGGGATCTCACAATGCGCTGGGGAGGCCACCACGGAAATCCCACCCCTCTGACCTGCTTCTACAGCAGTGCCACACGCAGCACTTCAGCTCGCAATTCCCATGCCCTGAGCGCCCCCTCGGCGCGGGGGAGACTGGAGGAAAGCCCCGAACCCGGCGCCCTTCTGGCTGTCACGAGGGAAGAGGTGCGCGGGCAGAGGGAGGCGGCTGAGACACGCCGCGCCTCAAAGAATTATTTTAAAGGGAACAGGAGAGGGGTCCTTTTTCTTTCGCATTCCCAGAAGAGGGGCGCGACGAGGCGATCCACTGTTGCATCACGTAACTGAGCCCCTGGGCTCCTAACCCCGACCCCAGACGCGCGCCCAAATTCGTGCACACACCCACAGCCGTCGCCGCCGCCGCGGGGCCGAGCACCCGCCCGGCTCCCCTGTGGTCCTCACCGCACCCGCCCCAGAGCAGAGACCACCCGGCGCCCGAGGAGCAGCAGGCGAGGCCCCAGCACTCACAGACGGTCTCCCCACGGCCACGGCCATCGCAGCTGCGGCACCGGCTCCGGCTGCGCCCGGGTGCTTTACGCCGACTCCGGCTGCTGCTAGTGCTCGGGCTCCGGCTCGCCTCCCTCGCGCCTCCCTCGCGGCTGCGCTCTGCTCGCCGGCGTCCCGCTGGCAGCCAGCGGCATCTGCTCCCCCCACGCCGCCGCCCCTCCCGCTTTATTAGAGCAACATGGCCACCCGCCTGGAAGGGACCATTCGCTTCCCCAGGAAGGGGTGTGAGCCTGCGCGCCCGGCCGCGGTGGTGGGCGGGAGGATGGTGGGCGGGCTCCGAGCCCAGCTCCACTGGCCCCGGCCGCGGGGCTCGCCCCTCCGTCCCCAAACGACCGTCTCCGCTGCCATGAGATGCCGACAGCCTGTGCGCTGGCCGCCACCCCCTGCTCCATCAGGTGCTGGAATCTGAGTAAAAGCCTGGGCGCGAGCTCCCAGCCCCGGGGCCTGCCACCGGCTCCACGAAGCGGGCAGCTCCAGCGGCCGCCGGGAGAAGGAAGGGCGACCGGGGGAGACGGGTCGCAGGGACAGCACGTGGCGGAAAGTTAGCCCCGGACTAGCACGCCCCACCCGGAGAAGCCGGCCTGGAAGGGGCTGCGGACCACCAGGCGGAGCGGTGGGCGACCGAAGTGCGGCTGGGCTGGCCTCCTCGTCTCCGCACTGGAAGAATTGCCCTTCCGCAAGTCTTCCCTTCCCACATGGGGGCCCTCCAGGCCGCACCTCGGTCGCCCACCGCTTCCCTTGAGAAGGGAGACTAAAGACAGGCATCTGGAAGCTGTCACTGTGGCGCGCGGGCAGACAGGGGATCCCATTGGAGAGGAAGAGCCGTAGTAGTCGCTGCTGCCTTCGGCCGACCCAACGGCCGCCTGCTTGGGAGGAAGAAAAAGAACGCCCCCGCTGAAGAATTAAGGCAGCCATTGGTTGCTCTAGGGGTAAGGACCGAGGCCTCCCCTGGGTGTCACTGGAGCAGCCACACGTGGGGGATCAGCCGACTTCATTCGATCGCTGGCGACAGACCCGGCGACCCGTAGGAATGCGCGCTGGGGCTGCGGCTGGAGGGCGTGGCGACGGCAACAGGCGGGTGGCTCGAGTGGGTGCGACTCTGGGCGCGTGGGACTGAGAACTCCTCCGCCGTGGGGAAGATTTTTTTCCCAGCAGATGTTGGGGTGTTACTGCGTGTCTGAGGGGCCGGCGGAATGGAGGGGTCCCGGTGCGTGCAGGGCAGCGAGGTGTGTCAGATGAGCTGTGGATCCCTGCGGCCCCACGTGGGCCGGAGAGGGGGGCCCACGACAACAAGCGATTGAGGACAGCGATGGACAGGGCGGGGAACCAGCTGGGTGGAAGCACAGGGAGTGTGGTGAGGAGGGAAGGGCTGTGATCTGCCCTCGGTACGACGCCCCAAGGGACAGCCTGGCCTCCTGAATTAGGGAAAAGACAACCGGTCTCTTTAGACGGGCGCCTCAGAGTCTGACCTGAGTCTTCAAACGCCCAGATCCCCTGGGGCCTTGAGTCTCCCTGTCCCGCTGGCCCTGCCTCGCCTGCGCTTCAGGACTCCGACGCCCCCGCAGCCTTGGGCTAAGGGTCAGTCGTCCCCGGGCGCGGGTCCGGCTGCCCTGGAACTGATGCTGGATTTCGCTGGTAGGTGGGCTAGGGGCTTGGTCACCCCGTCTGAATTCCACTGTCAGGACAGCTGTGGAACCGCCAGAGAAAAGTCTGGCCATGAAAGAAAGGTGAGGGGCGCCGACGCAGAGCTTATTTATTCAGTCTGTGGGCGGACTCAGACGTGCAGAGCACCAACCTCTTCAATTTCTGCCCTCTAGACTCCAAATCTTTTGAAATTAGGGACCACCATTTTATGCCAAACATACAGTAGGCGCTCAATAAGTGTTGAATTAAGATTACACATAAATGGGCCGGGCGCGGTGGCTCACGCCTGTAATCCCAGCACCTTGGGAGGCTGAGGTGGGCCAACATGGTGAAACCTTGGCTCTAAAAAAATGCAAAAATTAGCCAGGCATGGTGGCGCTTGCCTGTAGTCCCAGCTACTATAGAGGCTGAGGTGGGAGAGTCGCTTGAACTCTGGAGGCGGAGGTTGCAGTGAGCCGAGATCGCGCCACTACACTCCAGTCTGGGTGACGCAGTGAGACCCTGTCTCAAAAAATATATAATAATAAGATTACACACAGATGGGTGCTGTGCAAAGGGAGGGGGAAGACAAATACTTTCTTCTGCAGCTCTGGTACATGGACATTTTGTCCTTTCTCCATAAGGAGGATCAGACAGCAGCAGCACTGCCCATGGACCAGAGGCCTCATGTAAGGCCTGGGAAAAGAGGGCTCCACACACCACCAACCGGATGTAAGGGCAGTTGCAAAGGAACTGTGTTATCTTGACCAGAACAGACTGTAGAATTTGTTTATCAAATTTTTTTTTTTTACTTATTTATTTTGTGAATGTATATGCTGTAAACTCATCTGCTTAGATTGTAAGAATGTGAATGCCCTACCTTGGTGGGTAGGTTAGTTTATTCTAATCAGCAAAACTTAACGTTACATATTCCAACATCTCATTTGGGATGTGAAGATGCTATGGGGAGGGTGGGTATCCTGGCATTGCTAGAATGTTGGAGCCTTAGCGAGAGAGTGGCAGAGTGGGGAGAACCTGGCACTTCAGCTACAGATGATCACTTATGAGCTTTGTTATATCAAATAAGTTAAACTTTCATCTCATTTTTTTTTTTTCTATTGTAAAATAGGGTAGTAACAGTGAGTCCTGGGGGAGGACGTGTTCTGTTAGCCAGATCCACTCTCCAACCTGCTGTCTGTCCTTTGGAGCCTTAACTCAAGAGACTTTCTTTCCCTCTAGCTTCCAGTTGAGTGAAGGCACTAGGAAGCAACAGCGATGGAACAAAGAGGAAGGAGTATGGTTATTTATTCCCCCCTGGCTCCCTTACTATGGCACCATTGCAGGCTGGTTGCCTCCCTCAACCAAAGGAAGCAGCCAGTATCCCTCCCTAGGGTGACCCAGAGTAAACCCCTATGGTTTCCCTTCATTTTGCACATACCTTTGCAGATAGTCTTTTTATAAAACTCTACTCACATTATCCAGTAGGAATGAACATCTCATTCCTTCACAGAATTGTTTTGAGAGTTAACTGAGAAAATACTGTATTATTATTATTAGAATGACCTATAATTTCTGTCCAAACTGAGAAACTTTTGAGGCTGGGAAAAGGGGGTTTGTGCTGATAGTAATGATGTCAGGACAATAGGAAAAACAAGGACTTATGGCCACCCCAGCTATTATTGCCAGTAAACTCTGCTTTAGACATATTAAGCAATCAAGAAGTGGTCGTACTATCACGCTTCTGTCACTAGACTATGAATGTCTCAAGGTAAGAGTGCTTTTTTGTCTATTAGCTTCTGTCACATGGTCTGGTATATTCAATAAATTTTGAGTTGGAGATGAGGGTAAAGACTAGGAAATGAATAATTTTTATTGCCATACTAAGGTAATGAAGAGTCAAGGAGGTCTTTAAGCAAAGAAAATTTGCATTTTAGAAAACAGCTATAGTGAATATTTGGCATTGTTAGTAATTTAGGGTCTATTCCCTTTTTAATTGAACCCCAATTTATTTGGAGAGCTTTTCCAATGAATGTTTCAACTTGGTAAAAAGTAAATGCCTCTTAAAAAAGAGGTTCTGGGCCAGGCGTACTGGTTCATGCCTTGTAATCCCAGCACTTTGGGAGGCCAAGGCGGGCAGATCACCTGAGGTCAAGAGTTCGAGACCAGCCTGGCCAACATGGCGAAACCCCACCTCTACTAAAAATACAAAAATTAGTGGGATGTGCTGGTGCATGCCTGTAATCCCAACTACTCGGGAGGCTGAGGCAGGAGAATAGCTTGAACTCACAAGGTGGAGGTTGCAGTGAGCCGAGATCGCACCAGTACACTTCAGCCTGGCTGACACAGCCAGACTCCATCTCAAAACAAAACCAAAAAAAGAGGTTCCTCGCTGGCTGTGGTAGCATGGTGTAGTCCCAGCTACTCAAGAGGCTGAGGCAGGAAGATCACTTAAAGCCAGGAGTTTAAGGCTGTAGTGCGTTATGATTGAGCCTGTGAACAGCCACCGTACTCCAACCTGGGCAACATAGCAAGATCTCACGTCCAAAAAAATTAATTTAATTTATTTTCAATAAGAGGCTCCTGAAGAGACGTTCCATCACACCCTTCCTTTCATCACCACAGTACATACATTCTTAAGAAAGTATGTGATCTAAGCTTGGCCAATTAGATGCTGTTACATTTGAATTTTGAATCAAGAGACACAAAGACAATACAAATTGTTACAGTTTATGCAGGCCATAAATTATTTTTTACTTTTTGGCAAATTGTTACAGTTTATGGGGTCTACAATTTATTTTTTTATTTTCTGGCTTAAGTTATCTAGGATTTGTTTCTGTGGTTTACAGTCAAAGAACCCAAAGACCAGATCACTCTTGACTACCATAAAAATGATTAATTATAAAGGGATACAAGAAAAACAGGAGGCTGGGCACAGTGTCTCATGGCTGTAATCCCAGCACTTTGGGAGGCCAAGGTGGGTGGATCACTTGAGGTCAGAAGTTCGAGACCAGCCTGGCCAACATGGTGAAACCCCATCTCTACTAAAAATACAAAAGTTAGCCGGGCGTGATGGTGGGCGCCTGTAATCCCAGCTACTTGGGAGGCTGAAGCTTGAGAATCACTTGAACCGGGGAGGCAGAGGTTACAGTGAGCCGAGATCGCACCGCTGCACTCCAGCCTGGGCAATAGAGCAAGACTGAGTCACAGAACAACAACAACAACAACAAACAAAAGCACACACACAAAACAGGTGATAAGTTAGCTATTGCCACTTTAATTTTGGATGGTTTAACTGACTGTCCTGAACTGACTGATCCTGAACTCCTTCTGCAACACAATATGTAAAAATGTTCATTAAAACATTGTAAAATGCATCTACATTTGAGAGGAAAAAGTAAAACTCTCTATTCACAGATAACACAAATATACAGAAAATCCTAAGGAATCCACTAAAAAATCATTAGAAGTAATAAATGAACTCAGCAAGTTTACAAGATACAGGATCCACTGAGATTCTGATAAACATGGAAGGCAAAAACATTGAAACCGTCATTTATAAACTCACATAGGCTCCAGTGATTATCTCTTCTTTTCTTTGTTAAAAAAATGCATTTAAAAATCATTCTAGAAAATTGTTAGGCAATGTTAAATTTACCAATAACTCTGACTCTTCTTTGCCCCTACCACTTTTTATTATCTTTGAAAATCAAGACAATATTTGCCCTTCTTCAATCTTTTATCATTTCTTATTTTTCTCTGGCTTCTGGAAAGTGAGTAATTACCTTTACGATCACTTATGAAATCTCTTGCATGGATAATTCATTTAGGCCTAGAAACTCATTTAAAGCAATCGATTGCTTGCTTACCATGCTGGATTTTAGTAGCCTTTAAATCATGTTTATTCTACCTTTTTTCATTAAAACATTAGTCTCTTTGGGAGAGGAGACAAATAAATTAAAACTTGAGTTTTACCTTTTCTTTGTCATCTGATAGCATTATGTCATCAGCACGAAGCAGTAGCTTCCATCCTTTCTTGTTCACCCTCTTGTGGCAAGTATTACTTGAAAAACAAAAAAATAAATTTAAAAAAAGTCTTTGTATTCTTTTTAAAGGCAAAAATTATCTAAGCCTGCAGGGACATTTCCATTCTTATAGGCTATGGTACTCTTTAAAGCACGCTGTTTAAAAAATCTGATTGCAATAAGTATGTCCTGTGAAGTGACATGCTCCTTAGAGTAAGATGACTTGGCTTGCTGGCCACTCTGTTTGGCAGCCAGCCCTGGAGCTGGGTCAGTTTCCCCTGGCTCTGGCATCACTCCTTCTCAGATAATTCCTTTCTCCCTGTGGCCAGTCATTGTGGTGACAGTTATTATTCTTTTTCATGAGCCTAGAAAATTTATGTGGTGGATGTCCCTCTGAATACTAGATACTGCCACTGAATTAGAAGAGAATCATATGCACTTGTATATTCTGACAGCCATGTCACTTACACCTTCTCACCTTTTGTCTCGTCCTATTTGCTATCTACCATTCTACCACTGTCCATTTCTACCAGCTGAATAACTCTCTGATGCAGGGGTTACTCTGCACCCTCATCTCCCTTACTGTAGACTTGTTCCTTTTGAATGAGATAAAATTTCCTTGACTTATAATATTTCAGTCATAATTTCCTTGCTACCTCATGTACCGATACCTATTGGATTATGTTCATTTTGTTAATTTTCCCAAGTTCAATTTGCTTTACCACTAATTCTCTCTTTCCAGGCTGAGATTTCAAAAGTCATCAGCATTATATTTCACCTTACTTCTGTCTGTTTTATTGAGTCCCATCTGAATCAGCAGAAGTGGCTGTAGGTTGGCTGGTATCATGAATTTTGGCAGATTATGCTTCATGAGTCATCATTCCACACTTTAGGAAGATAACGAACTAGCCGTTGCAAGACTGCCTTCCTACTCATCAGCAGAGAAAACATGGACTTGGAAGCCAGGACACTTGCGTTCGTGTTCCTACACTGTCAAACATCATGAGCTATGCAAAATTTTTAAGTTGATGTATTTGGATATAGGCGAAGCTGCTGTAATGGGAATATCCCAAGAGTCATTGGTTAAAGAAAAATAGATGGTTTTTTGTTTGTTTGTTTTTGAGACAGTCTTGCTCTGTCACCCAGGCTGGAGTGCAGTGGTGCGATCTCAGCTCATTGTAAACTCCACCTCCTGGGTTCAAGTGATTCTCCTGCCCCGGTCTCCCAAATAGCTGGGACTACAGGTGCAAGCCACCATGCACGGCTAATTTTTGTGTATTTCTAGTAGAGATGAGATTTCACCATGTTGGCCAGACTGGTCTCAAACTCCTGACCTCAGGTGATCTACCTGCCTCGGCCTCCCAAAATGCTGGGATTACAGATGTGGGCCACCGCACCCAGCCTAGATGTTTATTTCCGATTGTTACCTTATCTACTCTGATCAAAACAGTCTCACCAGCACCATATCCACATTCTAGCCCATGGAAAGGGTAAAGAAAAGAAAGTGGAAGATATTAGTTTCCATTTAAGGAAGTGACATGGAAATAATATAAGTCACCTGTGTTCACATTCCACTGGCAAAAATTCAGTCACAGGAATGTACTTAGCTGCAGAGGAGGCTAGGATATGCCCTCCAAAAACTCAGGGGGGATGTCCTACTTGTAAAAGGAAGAAATGAAAAATGGACACTGAGAGGAAATCAGCAGTCTCAGAGGTAATATACTTACACAGTTTTTTAAAAAACATAAAATGATGCAGAATGAAGTTTCCACTCTATTCACCATCTATCCAGTCCTCATGCCTCCCAACAAGAGGTAAATACTTTATTATTGTGTCATGTATCTTTCCAGAGTTTTTCTAAGCAATTTGCAACAGATATAAATATGTATCCTTATTTCCTACCTTACCCCATATTGTACATGAAAGAAAAAATATACTATGTATAACATTCTGTATCTTTTTTTCACTTAATATATTTTGCAGTTCCTTTTATATAGATACATAGTTACCTTCTTCATTCATTTATACAGCTGCCTACTGTTTCTAAGGCTATATCACTGATAAAGTCTCATGGATACACTCAAGGTTTTTTCAGTCTTTTATCATGATAAACCATGCCGCAATAATAACCTTGTACTAGTCATTTTTAACATGTGAAAGTATATCTGCAAGATACATTTCCAGAAATGGGATTAGCCAATCATATGATATTAAGCCAACCTTTTGATCTCTTTGAGCTGCATTTGTTAACTAATAAATTAAGCTCATATTTACCTCATAGGATCATTATTATAATGAAATAACCATATAAACAATTATTGTACAACAATATCAAAAACAAAATAGAGATAAGTTTATCAAAATATGTGTAAGATCTGTACTCTAAAAACCTATAAAACTGTGTTGAGAGAAATTAAAGGAAGCCTAAAGTAATGGAGAAATATACCATGATCATGGATTGAAAGACTCAATATTGTTAATATGTAATTCTCCCTAAATTGATCTACAGATTCAATATAATCCCAATTGAAATCCAAGCAAGCTTTTTTTAAAAATAGAAATTAACAATCTGATTGTAAAATGTATGTGAAAACACAAAAGACCTATGCTAGCTAGCCAAAACAATTTTGAAAAAGAACAAAGTTGGATAACTTACACTGTGCAATTTCAATACTTAACTAAAAAGCTACAATAATCAAGACATGGAATCGGCCAACATACAATCATATAGTCCAGTGGGAGAGCATATGGAAAGTCTACATATAGACACATATGGTCAATTGATTGTTGGCACAAGTGCCAAGATAATTCTATGGGAAAGGACAATCTTTTCAACTAATCATACTGGGACTATTGGATATCCATATAGAAGAAAAGAACCTCAAACCTTATTTCACCTATACACAAGATTGAATCCAATGGATCATAAACCTAAGTGTAAACAGTAAAGCTTTGTTTAGAAGAAAACAAAGAAAAACTCTTCATGACTGTGGGTTAGGCAACAGTTTTGTAGAGGAGACACAGAAAGCACTAACCAACTGGATATTATCAAACTTCAAATTTTTGCTCCTCAAAATACACCACTAAGAAACTAAAAAGGTAAGCCACAGACTGGGGAAAAATACCTACACTATTTGCAAAAAATAATAATGACAAAATATGTGAACATACACATAATAAAAGAAGATACATGTTTGGCCAAATGCATGTGAAATGGTGGTCAACATCATTAGTCATCAGAGAAATGCAAATTAAAGTACAATTGTATGCCTCCTAGTAGAATGGTGAAAATTAGAAAGACTGATGATTCCAGTTGTTCGGGAAGATGTGGAGTACTGGAACTCTGATGCCTTGTTGCTGTCTTTGTTTAGTGTTGGTATAACAGAATACCTGAGGCTGGATATTTTACTTTAAAAAAGAGGTTTATTGGGCTTATGATTGTGGTGACTAGAAGAGTCAAGATTGGGCAGCTGCATCTGATGAAGGCCTCATGTTGCTTCAACTCATGACAGAAAGCAGAAAGAGAGAGTGTGTGTAAAGATCACATTGTGAGAGAGGATGCAAGAGAGAGAAGCCAAGGAAGCCAAACTCATTTTTAACAACTTGCTATCATGGGAACTAATTCATTCTCTCAGAGCAAGAACTACTCACCTCTGTAGGAGGGCATTCATCTATTCTTGAGGGATCCATCTCCCTCACCCAAACACCTTCCACTAGCCTACCTCCCAACACCACCACACTGGGGATAAAATTTCAATATGCATTCCAGTAGGGACAGACCACATCCAAACCATTGCAGTTGGTGAAAATGCAAAATGTACAAGCACTTTGGAAAACAGATTGGCAGTTTCTTATGTAGTTAAACATATATTTACCATATGACTCTACATTTACACTAAAAAATAGTTACACGACAGAAATAATGAGTCCACAAAAAAGCATTCATAGCAGCTTTATGCATAGCAGCCAAAAAATGAAACAGCCCAAGAGTTCAACAACAGGTTAACTGACAAACAAATTGTGGTACCTATATTTACATAATAGAACCCTGCTTTGGTATAAAATAAACCATGGATACATGCAAAATGTAGATAAATCTCAAATACATTATTCTGAGTGAAAGACGTCAGACCCCAAAATTACAAATGGTATGATTCAACATATATGAAATTCTAAAAACACAAAACTGTAGTTACAGAAAGCAAAACAATGGTGGCTTGGGGTATCAGATGAGGAGGATGGACTTGAAAAGAGCACAGGATGGACTTTTGGAGTGATAAAAATCTGTATCATGGTTATAGTGATGATTAGATGAGTGAATGAATTTGTCAAAATTCATTTGTCTGTACACTTAAAATGGGTATGGTTGTATACAGGTTAAACATCAATAAAAAAATCTTAAATTGCTGTACTAATATTGTTTTTGTGATATCAAAACCTGTAAGAGTGGACCTCTTTCTCTACAAGTTATCACATGCCATCAAACTTTTGCTTAGATTTGTTGAATGCTTTTCTGTCTCAGGCACCATGCAAAGTATTTTGTATGCATCTCTCATTTAATCATCACAGCAATCCTCTGGCATTTCTCCATTTCTTGATGAGGATACTAAAGCACAGAGACAATAAGAATATTATCCACTTTGGGAGGTCAAGGCAGGAGGATGGCTTGAGGCCAGGTGTTTGAGACCAGCCTGGGCAACATAGCAAGGACCCATCTCTACAAAAAACAAAACAAAACAAAATCATCCACGTTATCCAATGTCTAATTACACTGTGAAATTAATAAGTGGTAGAGCTAGGATTCAAGCCCAAGTTTGTTACCCTACACCACCCACATCTCTCAACAAGCTATGTTGCCTCCTCAGCACTCATATCTTTCTTAATATAGCTCTTGGAGTTTCACTCACAAAGGCTAAGAGAATCACCTCCATTGTGAAAACACTACAAATCATAAGGTCTAGCATTTGAAGGAGAATCATTAGTTGTGAAGAGACAGCCAACCAAGGAGACCCAACTTGGTTCTTTTTTTCTTTTTTTTTCTTTTTTTTTTTTGTGAGACGGAGTCTCACTCTGTTGCCCACTCAGCTCACTGCCAGCTCCACCTCCCGGGTTCATGCCATTCTCGTGCCTCAGCCTCCCGAGTAGCTGAGACTATAGGCGCCTGCCACCACGCCCGGCTAATTTTTTGTATTTTTAGTAGAGACAGGGTTTCACTGTGTTAGCCAGGATGGTCTCAATCTCCTGACCTCATGATCCGCCCGCCTCGGCCTCCCAAAGTGCTGAGTTTACAGGTGTGAGCCACTGCGCCCGGCCCCAACTTGGTTCTTACTGAATATATGTTTAGCACAATCTAGTACATAGGAGGCACTATTATTGTTGTTATTATATTATTTTACATACCCCTTGGGATTCTCTTCTGTCTGCTGCCACTACTATATTGGCACTCAGGATCTGCTGATCCCCTTTAATACCCTGGCCCCAGTCCACACAAAGACTCTTCCTTGTTTTCCCCTTAGCAAAACTGAAATTGCTGGAACTTAAAAAAGCTTAATGCTAGTGGAGTACAAAAGGCAAACAAGAAAATACATAATTAGGATAAAAGCCACCTGGCTTACAAAATATATGTTTCTGAACTTAGCATTTATTCATTAAACATTTACCAATAGTGTATACTATGAAAAAAAAAACAATGTGTAAGACAACATGTATGCTGCACTACCACTTCTGTAAAAAGGGAAGAGAATGCATCTAAATGAACATGCATCTTCAGAAGGATGCACTAGAGATTGAGAATAGTGTTTGCTTTTGTGAAAGAGCACGTGCAGCAGGTGTGGGTCAAGGTGATGAACATTGTGAGTGACTCAACCACATCCATTCT
The DNA here is from genome assembly GCF_000001405.40 of Homo sapiens. Classification (NCBI taxonomy): domain Eukaryota; kingdom Metazoa; phylum Chordata; class Mammalia; order Primates; family Hominidae; genus Homo; species Homo sapiens. The sequence goes on along the minus strand of NC_000004.12, from coordinate 76,938,368 downwards.
ACACAAATGCATTTGGAAAATGGACTTTTTAGCCAGGGATGGCTCTGATTGTTACAGGTATGATTCCTTTCCCCTGACAGTGATTTGTTAAAGAAGAGATATGTGACCCAATTCTGTCCAGTGAATGAGAGGAGAGCAGAGGAGAGGTTTGCTGGAAGGTTCTAGAATTTGCTTTCTTACTCTAAGGACAAATTCACAGAAAGTCAGTTGGACACAAATAAGGAAGGATGAAGCCCAACTGTTTCCATTTGACAACTGTGAAATAAATTAGCCTTAGGCTGAAGCCCAGGCAGTAGAGAGCAGAGTAGAAAAACAGAAAGAATCTGTGTCCTTGATAATACGGTGAAGCTGCTAAATCAACTAACTGAACCCCATCTCGCATCTCTGGTAAGAGAGTGAATACATTTCCCTACCAGTCAGGTATGAGGTTTCTATTGCTTGCGGCTGAAAACAATTAGTGCAGATGGAGACTTACTTATCTTCTTTTATGTTTCTGTATCTTCCTTTTTTGAATTACGTGCATGTATATCTATTTTTAAAATTTTTAAGAGTTTATGTGGGCCGGGCGCGGTGGCTCATGCCTGTAATCCCAGCACTTTGGGAGGCCGAGGCAGGCGGATCACCTGAGGTCAGGAGATCGAGACCATCCTGGCCAACATGGTGAAACCCCGTCTCTACTAAAATACAAAAAATTAGCTGGGCATGGTGGTGCGCACCTGTAGTCCCAGCTACTCAGGAGGTTGAGGCAGGGGAATCGCTTGAACCCAGGAGGCGGAGGTTGCACTAAGCCGAGATCACGCCACTGCACTCCCACCTGGCTACGGAGCAAGACTCCATCTCAAAAAAAAAAAAAAAAAAGTTTACTTGTTCCAGGCATTGGGAAAACTCACTTTAATCTGTAGGGGTTTTTCTCAAGATGGGCTTTCTTAAGAAACTTGCTTCTTCCTCATCAGTGATCTCAACCACCCAAACTCCTCCAGGAAGATGTAGATTTACTCTTTAGAATGAATATGGGTTGAACTATATGAAATTGACATTTTTTTGTACCAAATATTGGTAATTTCACAGTATAAATCAGTGTTCAGGTAGAAGAAATTCACATGTTACAACCATGGGCATCAGTCCTCCCTGCCAATGCTCTTGGTCATCGAACTTTTCACTTGGTCTTTCCCCAGTTGCTGTTTATTTTAATCCTTTTACCCCTAGATCACAGAGAATTGATGGAGAAAGAAAAGAACCCTGCAGCTCAGATCACTATACGTTCATGCTGTCTAACCCTGTTTTTGTTTTCTCTATTACTTGTCATTTCCTCTAGCAGCTATATCATGCTTCCTGCTTACAGAGAAAACCAAATCTTCCCACCAGGGCTATCCTTATGCACCCTCATATACAAATTGCACCTCTGTCTATAACTCTCGGCATCCCTTCTCTTTCCCAAAGATGCTGTCCCAGACCCTGCACTCTCAATTGTCTGATGTTGGAGCAGCAGATAAAGCAAATAAATAACACTAATACATCATAATCTAGAGTATTAGTTAGCTATTGCTGCATAACAAATTATCCCCCAAAATGTAGTGGCTTAAAACAATCACCAGTGATTATCTCAGTTTCTGTGGGTCAGGAAATCAGAAGTGGCTTACCAAGTGGTTCTGGCTCAGGTTTTGTGGCATGGCAGTCATGATGCTGGCTAGGGCTGCAGTCATCTGAAGGTGTGGAAGGGGCTAAAGATCTGCCTCCAAGATGGCTCACTCACATGCATGGCAAGTTGACACTGGATGTTGGTGAGAGGACCCAGTTCTTCGCCATGTAGTTTTCACCATAAGGCTAAGTGAGTGTCCTTATGACATGGCAGCTGACATTCCCAAAACCAGTGATCCAAGACAGAGCAAAGAGCAAGGTGGAAACCACAAGGTCTCTCATGACCTCACCCTAGAAAATTATACTGTATAATTCCTACAATATCCTATTTGTTGTCATATTAGCTCTATTCAATGCAGGAGATGACTACGGGAAGTGTGAATACCAGAAGGCAAGATCACTAGAAACTATCATGGAGGCCGAACACCACAGGTAGTTATTATTATCTCCAGTATACAGATGAGAAAACCAATTCTCACTGGGTCTATAACATATGTCAAAGTCACACATCAACAAAACAGTGGTAGAGGCTGATCTGCCTCTTAAACCCATACACTTGCTACTGTCATCCTGCCTCTGGTGTGGTGGTGTACTATCCTGGAATGACTTTGAATTGTTATGTCACTGTTAAACTATTGTTTAATTTTTTTGCCTAACCATATTTTATAATTTTTCCTTTTTCTTACAAAGCTGTGCATATGGTAGACATTCAGTAAACAGTTATTTCTACCCAATAAGTCAACTTAGAAAAACGGAAGGGTTGGCACCCTTATAAAGGTTTGACATGGCTACTGTTGTCCAATGATATTCTAGTTTCAGTAGGAGCAAATTAATGATAATAATAATTAAGGGAGATAGAAGGATAACTGGACATGAATCATATTGGCCCTAGCAGAAGGGTTGGGGAGAAAAAAAGAGGCCAAGTTCAATTCTTTTTAGGGTTAACCCCACATTGGATCCCAAACTGGATCTGATCACCTTTCTCTCTGATTCTTCTTATCATCATCTTCCTCAATCAGATGAAGTTTCCTAATAGAAAGGGGTTGAATTTTAATGTATTATCAATTCATTCTCTGGTCCTATGCAATAACAGGGTTCATATTGGTATCTGGATTTAAATATTATTTATTTCAATTTGTTGATGTTTAGGTAAATTTTATATATATATACATATATATGTAGGTATACTGTTTATTTATAAAAATCTTAGAATCTTTAATAAGCCAACCTCTCAGAGAAAAGCACATTAATATACTGATGTATTTTCTTCTAAAACACTGAATATTTTTATATAATTAAAAGATGATGCTAAAAATAGCACTTTATCCTTTTTTACAATGTAACATTTTTACATTTTACATTATTAAAAATCCTTCAAGAACGTTACTTGATTCATTGATTATTTCTGATTACATATTACTAAGACCTCTTTGCAAAGAATTTGGAAATTTCTGAGAAATATAATGAGAAAAATAAAAATCACTCATAAACTCACCATTCAGATAGCAACTACCAATATTTTTATATATTCACTTCTAGATTTTTTGTATGCATACTTACATATATAGAAATGTATTTGTAAAAATGGAAGTGTTAGGTTGTTTTATAATCACGTTTTTACTTAAAAGTATATTAGAACATCTTTTCGTATTAATGCATACAAGCCTTCATTACATTTTTAATGACTGCTACTACCCATAATTATCTAGATTATTTCTATATTTTATTTTTATAAATAACTCTGTGGCCAATGACCTAGCACATACATCTTTCACTGCTTGTTTATTTCCTTAGAATAAATTCCTGGAAATGGAACTGGTGGATGTCACAGGAATTTGAGACAAATCTTCATTTTTTGGCTCCTTCCCCATAAGTTCCCTCAGTACTTTGTAATAATTCCCTCTACATTTACTTTGTAATAATTCCCTCTACCTTCTGGGAGTGTTGTAGAAATTCTTTTTATTTGTGTGGACTGCTATGTGTGAAGATTATAAAGTAGAAATATACCCATTCGGGTCATTTTATTGTTTTGTTTTGAACTCAAGTGGCAGACATAGACACTGGCTAAAGCCAGTAGAACCAGATAACGCCAGTAAAGCCAGTAAAACAGATATTCATTACAAGGGTCTGGGGAGCTTACACAGGAAGGGTTGAACAATCAGGCCACAGATAGAAGAACCACCCCTTCAGCAGGAGTCAGCTTTACTTCCCAGCTTTCTGACACTCTGTGGCAAAGTCTGGTTGGCCTGGCTTGGATTGTGTGCCCACCTTTTGGCTCGTGAGTGTGTGTATGTACATGTGTATGTACACATGCACCTTGACTGATCCCACCAAAATCCCAAGGCACAAACGTAGTTAATTTCCAAAAGGGGTAAGAGTCTTACCTTAGGCTGCTGTAACAAAATACCATAAACTGGCGGCTTATAGACGACGGAAATTTATTTCTCACAGTTCCAGAGGCTGGAAGTTTGAGATCAAGGTACCACTATGGTTGGGCTCTGGTAAGGGTCCTCTTCTAGGCAGTAGACTGCCAACTTCTCCATGTGTGTTCCCATGGCCGGAAGAAAGATAGCCAGCTCTCTGGCCTCTTATAAGGGCTCCATCCTCATGATCTAATCTTGCTCCAAAGGCCCCACCTCCAAATACCATCACATTGAAATGAGCATTTAAATATATGAATTTGGGAGGGGGATCACAAGCATTCAGTCCATTGCAACAGGCAAAAGCCACTGTGAGTACTACCAGGATGCTATTTGTATTATTAGGTTGGTGCAAAAGTAATTGTGGTTTTGCCATTACTTTTGCACCAACCTAATAGAATATGTGTATGAAATAAGGTTATAAATTGTTGCCTGTAGCCTTATTTAAATGATGACGGAGAAGATATTTGGTAAATGTTTCAATCTTTAAGCATAAGTTGGGTTCAAGTAAGGCTCAGAGGGAAATTATCTTTAAAACTAAATAAAACTCTTCCGTTAAAACGGGTGCCCAGAATCAGCTACCTGCTATATGGTTCCATGGAGCAGATGTAGAGGACAGGACCCCAACCTTGGTAAAAGGCCAGCAGCTGAAATTAAACAGATAGTTCAAATTTCCAGCTGCCAAGGTTCTATGTTAAGGCTGCAGTGGACCAAAACCCTGAGCAAGCCAGTCCAGGATGGCAGTTCAGAGAACTCTCCACTTCGGTGTTCCACAAAGGATATCCTCCCTGCCATCCATTCATCTATAACTACCTCCATCTGCCATCCTTAGAACTCCTTCTTTCATTGCCATGCGAGGGCCGGTTTTCTCTTCCTTTTCTCCCACTATCTTTCATGTGTTAGGGTCTGGTGGGTAGCAGGAGAGAGCTCTCTAACAAGCCATGTTGCGGGTCGGGTTCTCTAGAAACAGATGCAAAAATTGAGGTTGGGGTAAAAAACCTGTATTAGGCATCAAACCTGTGAAAGGAAGGGGGATGAAGCAGGACTGGGCAGAGAGAAAACATGAACCATGATGTGTACCCAATAAAGCTGGAGCCAACCCAGTGGGGAGCTCTGGAGCAAATAATGCCCATCAGTTGTCCCCTTCTGGCAGAAATGGCCACACCATTGCACCCTGGCTCAGTCATTGGATGTGGGCTACTTCTGAAAGCTGTGACTTGGTAAGGGGCGTCTCTCTACAGTTGAGGCAGACCCTGTAAAAGCTGACAGCTGAGACTGTGCTCACTGCACTCCCAGCAGCCAGGTAGTAAATTCTACTTCGAAGGGGATTTATACTGCAGATTTTGGTTTTCCATAAGCCACAGGTCCTTTTTCTATTTTTCCTGTTTCAAATCTTTTTTAAACTTGACTTTTTTTTTTTTTTTTTTTTTAAGACGGAGTCTCACTCTGTCTCCCAGGCTGGAGTCCAGTGGCACAATTTCAGCTCACTGCAACCTCCGTCTCCCAGGTTCAAGTGATTCTCCTGCCTCAGCCTCCCAAGTAGTTGGGATTATAGGTGTGTGCCACCACACCCAGCTAATTTTTGTATTTTTAGTCGAAACGGGGTTTCACCATGTTGGCCAGGCTGGTCTCGAACTCCTGACCTCAGATGATCTACCCTCCTCAGCCTCCCAAAGTGCTGGGATTACAGTTGTGAGCCCCTGCGCCCGGCCTAAAATTGACTATCATTTTTAATAACCTTTTTTGTACTTAAAAATGTTAGATTTACAGAAAAGTTTTGAAGATGGTATATACAGTTCCCATGTAACCCACACTCAATTTCCCCTATTATTAACATCTAAAATGAGTATGGTACACTTATTACAATTAATGAACCAGTATTGATATATTATTATTAACCAATAACTATTCAGATTTCCTTCATTTTCAGCCTAATGTCCTTTTCCTGTTCCAGGATGGCATATACAGGGGAGCCCGTAATGTTTAGTTGTCACGTCTCCTTGGGCTCCTTGAAGAGTACTGGCCAGGTATTTTGTAGAATGTTTCTCAGTTTGGATTTGTCTGATGTTTCCTCATGATTAGACTAAGTTTATGGGTGTGCGGTAGGAAGATCATAGAGGCAATGTGCCATTGTCGTCACATCATATCAAGGGTATATACTATCAACACGACTCATCACTGTGGATATTAACTTTGATGACCTGGCTCAACTAATGTGTGTCAGGTTTCTCCACTGCAAAGTTTCCTCATTTCCATACAGTGCTCTCTGGACGGAAGTCACAATGAGCAGCCCACATTAAATGAATAGGAATTATGCTCCACCTTTTTGAGAGTGGAGCATATATAAAAATTATTTGGTACTCTCCTGCATCATGGGAGATTTGTCCGTTCTTCCCACTTATTTATTAACAATTGTTCAATCATTTACTTATATCAGTATAGACTCATGGATATTTGTTTTCTGCTTTGGGCTATGATCCAATACCACTTTATTTATTTTGTTGCTCAAATTCTTCCACCTTTGGCCCCTGGGAGCTCTTTCAGTTGGCTCTGTTGTCCTTTTGACATACGCCCATCACTGGCAGTTTGCTTGTTTACTTGTTTTGAGCACTTCCTTACTTTCTAGCACTGCAAAACGCTCCAGGTTTATTCTGTACATCCTCTGTCCCAGTCCTAGAGCCTGCCATTTCTCTAAGGGTCTCTGGTTACTTTTACTGGAGATTGGTATTAGAAACAAGATCTAGGCACTAAGTGTGCTCATTGCTACAGGGATGTGGTTGCTTCTAGACCTTCTCAGCTGTCAGAGGAAGAAAATGTATGTGTATACTAACCTGTGTATATGCATTTATCTGTAAATATTTCTTTGCACATCAACCTTTCATATCTGTGAGTTCCACATGTGTTGATTCAACCAACCACAGATCAAAAATATTCAGAAAGAAGTTGGGTGCAGTGACTCATGCCTGTAATCCCATCACTTTGGGAGGCAGAGGCAGGAGGATCCTTTGAGCCCAGGAGCTCAAGACCAGCCTGGGCAACACAGCATGACCTCATCTCTACAAATACTTTTTTTTGTTGTTTTAATTAGCTGGGCATGGTGGCACATGTCTGTTGTTCCAGCTACTTGGGAGGTTGAGGTGAGGGAATTGCTTGAGCCTAGGCAGTTGAGGCTGCAGTGAGCCATAATCACACCACTGCATTCCAGCCTGGGCAACAGAATGAGACCCTATCTCAAAACAAAAAAAAAAAAAGAAAAGAAAAAGAAAATGTTCAGAAAGGAAAAAAACAAAAGAATGATGTGTCTGTGCTGAACATGTACAGACATTTTTCTTGTCATTATTCTCTAAACAATACAGTATGACAACTATTTACATAGCATTTACATTGTATTACGTATGATAAGTAATCTCGGGATGATTTAAAGTATGCAGAAGGATGTGCATGGGTTATATGCAAATACTATGGCATTTTATATCAGGGACTTGAGCATTCTGTGATTTTTCACATCCTTGGGGTGGGGCAGGGGGTTCAGGAACCAATCCACTCTGGATATCAAGGGATGGCTCTATCACCATTTGTATCTATGAGTTCATACTGATGTCCCCAACTCAAATCCATTACCACATAGATCATTCTAGCCTTCTTCTTGTCTGTAACCTCAGTCCAATAGTGATAAACCTAGCTCTCACCATCCACCATACATTTTCTTAATTCTTCCATTTTAGTATGTATGTATAGTAATTTCAGAATTGTTAGCATATACTCAATGAGAAACAATTTTATCAGGTTTTTTTGCCTTTAATGTATAGACTCCATTTCCAAAGGTACTTAGGTCAGCACCCTTTCCTCCCATCCTCTTCAGTGAGGTTATTTCATACATTTGTAATATAATAGATTCTTTTATCATAGTCTGTATTCCATCCTGTGATCCCCAACTCCCTACTTTATTTTTTAATTTGCATACATTAAAGTTCACGCTTTGTGCTGTAAAGTTCTATGGGTTTTGACAAATGCATCATGCCATGATCCATTACTTATATGATCCATTATGGTATATACAGAGCAGTTTTATAACCCTAAAATTCTCCCATATTACTATTCAATCCTCTCTAAACCCCTTGCAATCATTGATCTCCTTACAGATTCTGTAGTTTTGCACTCTCCAGGATGTGATAGAAATGAAATTATACATTATGAAACCTTTAAAACTGGCTTCCTTCACATAGCAATATGCACCACACTTACTTTTTATCCTTCAATATCTAACTTAGGATAGAAACATTGCTTCATAGAAAATTTTCAGAATTTTTTCTAAGAGATAGGGCCTTGCTCTATTGCCCAGGCTGGAGTACCCACTGGCATGATCACAGCTCACTCCAACCTCAAACTCCTGGACTCAAGAGATCCTCCTGCCTCAGCCTCCTGAGTAGCTAGGAACACAGGATGTGCTAATTTTTATTTTTATTTTTTGTAGAGATGAGGTCCCACTATGTTGCCCAGGCTGGTCCCAAACTCCTGGCCTCAAGCAGTCCTTCCACCTCTGCCTCCCCAAGTGCAGCTTGGTTAGGCAAAGTGTTGGAATTACAGGCATGAGCCACTGTGCCCAGCCAAGAAATTTTAATTTGCCTGTGAATTTTTTTTCAAAGCAATACACTAGGTAGAAACATTTGCACATTTTAAAGCTTTTGATACATACTGCTGTTTTACAGAAAGGCCTCTGCCCTCTTGGCAGCATTGGATATACTTTTTAAAAAATCTTTGCCATTTCACAGTAAAAAATGATAGTTTATAGATTAAAAAATTTAAATTTGACAATTAGTGATTAAGTTTTTTAAATGTTTACTGGCCATTTTTTTTCTTTCTTTGTAAATTTCTTGTTGATGTCATTTGTCTATTGTTTCCATAGGAAGTACTTAACTTTTTTCTTGAGCAATAGAAGTTTTTATGCCTGAAAAATGTCAACCATAACTATAGATAAATAAAATCATCTTCATGGCTGCAAAATTGTCCATCATATGAGGGCATCAAAACTTAATGAATTATTCCCTGGTTACTGAATATTAGATTGTTTCTAATTTTATTTTTTATTTTTCTTCTTTTTTCTCTCTCCTTCCTCCTCCTCTCCCTTCCTTTCCCCTTTTCTTTCTTCTTTCTTCCTTTTCATTCTTCCCTCCTACTATTATAAATAACACAATAAACATTTTTACACATATATATCTAAATTTTTATTTTTATTTATTTATTTATTTATTTTTGAGACAGAGTCTCGCTCTGTTGCCCAGACTGAAGTGCAGTGGCACGATCTTGGCAAATTGCAGCCTCCATCTACTGGGTTCAAGCGAGATCTCCTGCCTCAGCCTCCTGAGTAGCTGGGACTATAGGTGCATGCCACCAGCCCTGGCTAATTTTTGTGTATTTTTATTAGAGACGAGTTTTACCATGTTGGCCAGGCTGGTCTCAAACTCCTGACCTCAAGTGATCCGCCCGCCTTGGCCTCCAAAAGTGTTGAGATTATAGGCATGAGCGACTGTGCCTGGCCATTCTAATTATTTTTTAAAGAAATGTTCCTGAAAGTGATATTACTGAATGAAAGGTATACATATTTTAACACTCTTGACACATAGAGTTATTTTCCAGAAAGAACCAACAATATTTCTTTCCACCACCAATGCACTGGAATCCCAAGGCCACCATACTTTCATCAAGAAAAATGATTCCCTTTGTATGTACCTGGCACCACCAAGAGATGCTTTTCTGGTTTGGGAGCAACCTGAGGGGTTAAGGCTATGTCCATAAATAACAAAATGCTAGAGTGGTCTTTTCTGTTAGGACGTGCAGTTAAGAAGAGATAGTATTGAGATACCTACTGCTGCTTGCTGTAAGATTCATTCTGCTCCATTTCATCATTTTCAAAGATCTTTCAGATAAGCTGTGTACTTATATATGGAATTTCTTACAAGCCAAGAATGCATTTTAAACCGAGTAGTGACATATTAACAAACAACAACATACTTTTAAAATGCATTTGCCTAGGAAAGGTATAGATTAAGAAATGATTAAAAGAATTCAATCCCAGCACTGAAAGAAATACAAAGTATATAATATTCTTCTTTTAGAATTATCATATTAGATAATGTCAGATAAATGACCCATTCATGATTGAACAATTGTAGAATCATTGAGCAGTAGTCTTGCCTCTCTTTTTTTTTTTTTTTTTTGAGACAGAATCTCACTCTGTCACAGGGCTAGAGTGCAGTGGCTTGATCTTGGCTCACTGCAAACTTCACCTCTCAGGTTCAAGTGATTCTCATGCCTCAGCCTCCTGAGAAGCTGGGATTACAGGCATGCACCACCATGACTGGCTAATTTTTTTCATAATTCTTAGTAGAAATGGGTTTTCACCATGTCGGCCAGGCTGTTCTCGAGCTCCTGGCCACAAGTGATCCACCTGCCTCGGCCTCCCAAAGTGCTGGGATTACAGGCGTGAGCCACTGTGTCCGGCACAGGTTGTCTCTTATATTACTAATACTCTTCTACTTATTTCTTCCATAAATAGTACTCAATTAATGTTTCATATAGAAATAGAATTATGACTTCAGTATGAAACAATAAAAAGGAGAAAGGAGGAACTTAAAAAAAGAAACATCTTAGCAAATATTTTTCTATAACAAAATTTTAATCATACCTAAAGTTTCCCCACTTACAAAATTTTCTTTGCATCTGATATACCTCAGAACAGTATGAAATATGCTTTAGCAGGATGTAAGCATCACTTAACTATAGAAATACAACCTAAATATTACCTAGAACCACGAAATTCTGTTTCATTTGTCAGATATAATTATCATATTTGTTGGGGCCTTATTATAGGACCTAGTAGGTGCTTTATGTTCTCAATTAATCATCACAGCAATTGTCAAATGGGGTTTCCCAAAAACAAAACCTGAGAAATAAATTGTCTACAAGTAGTTTATTTGGGAGGTGATCCCAGGAAGCACAGTGATGTAGTGGGAAAAATGAGACAGGGGAGTGAGAGATTAATTCACAAACACAGGGTGAATGAATGAGCAGATTACTGCTATGTGCCTCAATCCCACTGAGGACCCACCGAAGAACTGTGTGACCTGTGCCTCTGAATTGTCCCATTGAGGGTCAGAAAGCTTCTGTCTCTCACTGGTGGAGGGTTTCACCTGAGGGCATTACATCTTTGGTACTTCTGGGCTGTACAAGTTCTTGTGGCATCTGAAAAAGCCCAGGGGCAGTGAAGGAGACTCCAGCAGGCCCAGTGGTGAACCATTGTCAGGGCGTGGAGCTGTCCCCTGTAGCTGCAGCGGAGCGAGCCGCTATGCAGCAGGACATCAACGGTGTCTGCTCTCCTATCATTAACCCTGTTTTAAAGTTGAATAAACTGGAATTCAGAAAAATTATCTGCCAAAGGTTACAATGAAGTAAATGGCAGAACTGGAGATCCGTCTGGTGTGACTACAATCCCGTGCTCATTACAACTATTAAAACATGTTAACATTGTAGGTATCTCTGAAAGTTATGGAATGAATCACAGAAATTTGGAGCTGGGAAGTGCATTAGGGATTCTTGAGTTTGTTCCCTAGGATAGGAAACTGAAATCCAGAAATGCTACACTAACTTGTTAGGTTGAGATCACAGAGCTAGATGGTTTCACAGCAGGGCATAGAATCAAACCCCTAAACTTCCATACCATGCTCCTTCAACTACAATGCACAGCCCTTTAGGTAAATACATTTAACCCGTTAGGAAAATAAAAGGTACATATTTATTTTATTATGAATGTAATATATGTTACATTTGAAAGTTAAAGTTACAGAATGGCCTCATTTCTTATAAATAGTGTCATAAGCCCTGTGCTTCATGGAATCTCGAAGATTGTTACATATTTGATTATTTCTCTTCTTGCTGCCAAATACTTTCTACTATGAAGTCATCCCCTAAATGAAAGTGTTACAGCTGAAATTAAATTAGCAATTAAAAATAAATGAACTACTTATTGTTATAGTCTCTAGGAACCACTTTGGATGAATTAAAGTGTTATTCAGTTAGCAAACTAAAAATTATCTGCACACTGTTATTCATGTTCACAACTTCCTGAAGGTGTTATGAACAGAGATTCATGTCATTTTAAAATATTAAGTAGGTGACATAAGATGTTTTCTATAGCACAAGAGGCAGTCTATAAATACCTATCATAAGACTATAATTGCAGTCTCTTAAAATGAAGACAAAATCATTATACAGTTTTTACCATGATTTAATGAACTAATGAAGTACAGTAAATATTCTCATTTGAAATAATACTAAAAATACTGCTTTCACTGCTTGCATCTACGAGTGAAAGAAGTCTTTTATTAAAAATTTAACTTGTAAATTAATGTTATATGTGGGGATTCTGACTTAGTAAGATAAAAGTCACAATATCCCAAACGATATTATTGCTCACAAGGAAGACCCTGTATCCACACACATTGACTAGCTCATTTCTTCATTATTTTTGCAGTTGTTTAAAAACACTATTTATACTCATTTTACAAATATCTAGGTTATATATGCCACATGAATTACCTTGAGTTTTGTCCTTGTCCAAATCTAAAAGTATAGTCTCTCTTTTCCCTACTCATTACCCTAAACATCAGGTAATAGTATCTTTTATTCCCATCTTCTTGAAATGATGTAGTTTTTTTTTTCATAATGGACTATTTCTCATTCCTTTAAAGTCTTGAGTATTTCTGCCATTGTGTATGTGAATTTCTAAGAATGTCCTTTTCCTATCTGGGGATGGAGGGTAAAAAAGTAGGAGGCCAAAGAGAAAGGAAGGTTCAGAGAAAGTATGGAAATAATGAACTCTTTCAAAAGAATCAATGTAATAAAAATATCTATTGAAGGAAATATAATGTGTCACATTCATACCAGCATTCACACTTACTTAGATAGCAGCAGCTGTTTGTTTCAAGATCCTTGCAAACTTTCTCCTGATGGAGATATATATGCTATATGGCTAAAAGAGAGCCTTCAGACAGATTTGCCGCCAAATAATTTTGGGTAAACAGGCCTCATTATCTTTGATAAGGTTACTAAGAAGAGAACGTGTCTTTTGAAAAGTATGCCAAGAAAACATTTGTATGTATGACTCCAGTCTAAAAATGTCAATATTTTTATCTCTCACTTGAAGAAATGCCTCAAAGTAGCACAACGGCTACCCTCTATCTATATTCAAGGTCTAGTGTTTCTGTACTGAGTACTTTCCTGCAGTGTCTCAAATGTTTTAGATAATGGCCCACTTTGCAAATGCTAAGTACTTCCCCCATACGCTCCTGCAATTCTCCAACACCAACTGGATGTCCAGCAGTTCCATTCAATTCTGAAACTAACTACCCAGAGGTAGTGCAGACCCCAGAGGGTAAAGGACTCAATCTCACAAGACTATCCCCACTTCAGATGCCAGATGCAGTCCCAGCGGTTACCCACACATCTTCCCAACTGGCTTGGCTACAAATTCAGGGATTCTCACAACTTCCCTCCAGGTTTGATAATTTGTTAGAATGATTCACAGAACTCAGGAAAGTGCTATACCTACAAGTACCATTTTATTATAAAAGATACAGCTTAGAAACAATCAAATGGAAGAGATGCATAGGGCAAGGTCTGTGGGAGAGGAGGCAGCAGCCTTCGTCCCATGGATTGGGGGCGTGCCATGTCCCCAACCCCTGCTTATATTGTCTGTTTACCAACCAGGAAGTTCTCTGAATCTCCTTAGAGTTTTCTTCAAGATTTCATTATGTAGGCACGATTGAGTAAACCACTGACCATTGTTTAAACCATTGATTGATTAAGCCATTGTGATTGGTCTCAGTCTCCAGTCCCTCTCCCCTCCCCAGATATGGAGGGATGGGACTGAAAGCTCCAACCTTCTAATTATGTGCCAAGTCTTCCTGACATAACCAGCCCCTCCCTTGAAACTATCTAAAAGTCTATCTTGAGTCACCTCCTTAGCGTAAATTCAGGTATGGTTAAAAGGAGCTTATTATGATAAGAAACTCCTATCACTCCAGAAATTCCAAAGGTTTTAGGAGGAACCAGAGACAAAGATCAAGTACACAGTCATGTGTCTCTTGTTCTCAAGGTGATACACTGGCAGTATAGTAGTATTATAGTCACACGTTGCTTAACAACAGGGATAATTCTGAGAAATGCATTGTTAGATGATTTTTGTCATCGTGTGAACATCACCGAGTATAGTGCACTTATGCAAACCTAGATGGTATGTATGGCCTACTAAACACTTAAGCCATATGGTATAGCCTGTTGCTCCTAGGCTACAAACCTGTACAGCATGTGACTGTACTGAATACGGTAAGTGACTGTAACACAATGGCAAATATTTGTTTATCTAAACATATCTAGGCATAGAAAAGGTACAATAAAACACTGTATCAAAGATGAATGGCACATCTGTATAGGGCACTTACCATACATGGAGCTTGCAGGACTGGAAGTTGCTCTGAGTGAGTCAGTGAGTGAGTGGTGAGTGAATGTGAAGGCCCAGGATATTACTGTACACTGTATACTATGGTAGACTTTATAAATGCTACACACTTAGGCTACACTAAATTTATTTTTAAATTTTTTATTTCTTCAACAATATATTAACTTTACTTACTGTAACTTTTTTGCTTTATAAACTTTTACATTTTTAAAAACTTTTTGACTTGTAATAATACTTAGCTTAAAATACAAATTATACATCTGTACAAAAATCATTTTCTTTATATCCTTATCCTATACGTTTGTTCTATTAATTTTTTTTAACTTTTTAAATGTTTCTGTTAAAAACTAAGACACAAACATACACATTAGTCTAGGCCTACACATGGTGCAGGATGATCAATATCTCTGTCTTCCACTTCCACATCTCATCCCACTGGAAGGTCTTTGGTGGCAATAACATGCATGGAGCTGTTACCTCCTATGATAACCATGCCTCCTTCTGGTATATCTCTTGAAGGACCTGCCAGAGGCTGTTTACAGTAAACATTTTTTACATATAAGTAGAAGAAATACACTCTAAAATAATGCTAAAAAGTATAGTATAATAAATACATAGAACAGTAACATGATCAAGTATTATTATCAATAACAGGCATATGTGCTATACATAATTGTATGTGCTAGACTTTTATACAACTGGCAGCACAGGTTTCTTTTTTTTACCACCAGTATCACCACAAACACATGAGTAATGAGTTGTGCTACAACATTACAACAGCTACAACATCGCTAGTCCATAGCAAAACCCCACTAAGGGGCTGGGCACAGTGGCTCACGCCTCTAATCCCAGTACTTTCGGAGGCTGAGGGGGGAGTGGATCACTTGAGGTCAGGAGTTCGAGACCAGCCTGGCCAACATGGTGAAACCCTGTCTCTACTAAAAATACAAAAATTAGTTGGGCATGGTGGCGCATGCCTGTAATCCCAGCTACTTGGGAGGATGAGGCAGGAGAATTGCTTGAACCCAGAAGGTGGAGATTGCAGAGAACTGAAATCATGCCACTGCACTCTAGCCTGGGTGACAGTCTAAAAACAAACAAACAAACACACCCCACTAAGGCTTGTTATATTAGCTGGGTATAGTGGGAGAATCCATTATGATTAGCAATATCTTTACAATTTTTTTTGCCTTATTTCCTTGTATAATTTCTATATGTTTGCTTTAATAATGTACATAACATTATAATAGAAGTACATGCATGTAATTTAAAGTTCAGGCATGCTTTTTTTTTTTTTCTGAGACAGGGTCTCTCTCTGTCACCTTGGCTGGACTGCCGTGGTATGATCACAGCTCACTACAGTCTCAAACTCCCAGGCTCAAGTGATCCTCCCACCTCCGCCTCTTGAGTAGCTGGGCCCACAGGTGTAAGACAACACATGTGGCTAATTTTTAAATGTTAATTTTTTATAGAGATGAGGTCTCCCTATGTTGCCCAGGCTGGTCTCAAACTCCTGGGCTTAAGCAATCTTCCTGCCTCAGCCTCCGAAAGTGCTGGAATTATAGGCATGAGATGTCATTCCTGGCCCATACCTCATTTTATTGGGCTTTGCTTTATTGCATTTCACAGATATTGCATATTCCACAAATTGAAGGTTTGTGGCAGGCAATCATACATCAAACGAGTCTATTGGTGCTATTTTTCCAATAGCTTGTGCTCATTTGTGTCTCTGTGTCACATTTTGGTAATTCTCACAATTTCTCAAACTTCTTCATTATTATTATATCTGTAATGGTGATCCACTATCAGTGATCTTTGGGGTTTTTTTGTTTTGTTTTGTTTTGTTTTGTTTGTTTTTGAGACAGTCTTACTCTGTTGCCCAGACTGGAGTGCAATGGCATGATCTCAGCCCACTGCAACTTCTGCTTCCTGGGTTCAAGCCATTCTCGTGCCTCAGCCTCATGAGGAGCTGAGATTTCAGGCGCTTGTCACCATGCCTGGCTAATTTTTGTATTTTTAGTAGAAATGGGGTTTCACCATGTTGGCCAGGCTGGTCTCAAACTCCTGACCTCAGGTGATCTGCCCGCCTTGGCCTTGCAAAGTGCTAGGATTACAGGCAGGAGCCACCGTGCCCAGCCCAGTGATCTTTGATGTTACTATTGTAATTGTCTTAGGGTACCACAAGCCACACCCATATACGATGGTGAAATTGATAAATGTTGTGTGTGTTCTGACTGTTCCACCGACCAGCTGTTCCTCCATCTCTCTTTCTCTTCTCAGACCTCCCTATTCCCTGAGATACAACAGTATTAAAATCAGGCCAAGTAATAACCCTACAATGGCCTCTAAGTGTTCAAGAGAAAGGAAGAGTCTCATGTCTCACTTTAAATCAAAAGCTAGAAATGATTAAGCTTAGTGGGAAAAGCACGTAGAAAGCTAAGGTACAGTGGAACATGCCTGTAACCTCAGCACTTTGGGAGGTTGAGGTGGCAGGATTGCTTGAAGCCAGGAGTTCAAAACCAGCCTGAGCCACAAAGTGAGACCTTGTCTCTGTAAAAAAATAAAACATTAGCTGGGGGTGGTGGCACATGCCTATAGTCCCAGCTATTCAGGAGGCTAGGGTGGGAGGATCCCTTGAGCCCAGGAGTTTGAGGCTGTAGTGAGCTATCTATGATAGTGCACTCCAGCCTGAGTGACAGAGTGAAATTCTGTCTGTATAAAGCAAGAAATAAAGGGGGGAAAGGAGAAAGAGAGAGAGAGAGAGAGAGCAAGCAAGCCAAGCTGACAGTTGGGCCTCTTGTGTCAAACATCCAAGTTGTGAATGCAAATGGAAAGTTATTGAAGAAAATTCAAAGTGCTACTCCAGTGAACACACAAATGATAAGAAAGAAAAACAATCTTACTGCTGATATGGAGAAGGTTTTATTGGTCTGGATAGAAGATAAAAGCAGCCATAACATTTCCTTAAGTTAAAGCCTAATCTAGAACACAGCCCTAATTCTCTTCAATTCTATGAAGGCTGAGAGAGGTGAGGAAGCTGCAGAAGAAAAGTTTGAAGCTAACAGAGGTTGGTTCATGAGGCTGAAGGAAAGAAGTTGTCTTCATAACATGAAAATGTAAGGTGAAGCAGCAAGTGCTGATATAGAAGCTGTAGCGGGTTATCCAGAAGATCTACTTCAGATGATTGAAGGTGGCTACACTAGAAAACCAATTTTTCAATGTAGATGAAACAGCCTTCTGTTGGAAGAAGATGCCATCTAGGACTTTCATAGCTAGAGAGGAGTCAATGCCTGGCTTCAAAGCTTCAAAGAACAAGCTGACTCTTGTTAGGGGCTAATGTAGCTGGTGATTTGAAGTTGAAGCCAATGTTCATTTACCATTCCAAAAATCCTAGGGCCCTTAAGAGTATGCTAAATCTACTCTGCCTGTCCTCTATAAATGGAACAACAAAGCCTAGATGACAGCACATCTATTTACAGCATGCTTTACTGAATATTTTGAGTACCTTGTTGAGACTTAGCACTTAGAAAAAAAGATCCCTTTCAAAATATTATTGTTAATTGGCAGTGCACCTGGTCAACCAAGAGCTCTAATGGAGATGTACAAGGAGCTTAATGTTGTTTTCATGCCTATTAACACAACATCCATTCCACAGCCCATGGATCAAGGAGTAATTTTGACTTTAAGGTTTTATTATTTAAGAAATATATTTCATGGCCAGAGCAGTGGTTCACATCCCAGCACTTTGGGAGGACATGATGGGCAGATCACTTGAGCTCAGGAGTTCAAGATCAGCCTGGGCAACATGGCAAAACCTCATCTCTACAAAAAATACAACAATTAGCCAGGTGTGGTGACATGCACCTGTAGTCCCAGCTACTCAGGAGGCTGAGGTAGAATGATGGCTTGAGCCCAGGAGTCAGAAGTTGCAGTGAGCTAAGATCATGCCACTGTACTCCAGCCTAGGCAATAGAGCCAGACCCAGAAGAAAGAAAGGAAGAAAGGAGGGAAGGAGGGAAGGAAGGAAGGAAGGAAGGAAGGAAGGAAGGAAGGAAGGAAGGAAGGAAGGAAGGAAAGAAGCAGGCAGGAAGGCTATAGCTGCCATAGATAGTAATTCCTCTGATGGATCTGGGCAGAGTAAACTGGAAACCTTTGGAAAGAATTCATCATTCTAGATGCCATTAAGAACAATTTGTGATTCATAGGAGGAAATCAAAATATCAGCATGACCAGAAGTTTGGAAGAAGTTGATTCCAACCCTCATGGATAACTTTGAGAAGTTGAAGACTTTAGTGAAGGAAGTAACTGCATATGTGATGAAATAGCAAGAGAACCAGAAGTAGAGCCTGAAGATGTGACTGAATTGTTGCAATCTCATGATAAAACTTGACCAGATAAGGAGTTTTTTCTTATAGATGAGCAAAGAAAGTGGTTTCCTGACATGGAATGTACTCCTGATGAAGATGCCGTGAACATTGGTGAAATGACAACAAAGGATCTAGAATATTACATGAACTTAGTTGATAAAGCAGTGGTAGACTTTGAGAGGATCAACTCCAATTTTGAAAGACATTCTACTCTGGGTAAAATGCTATCAAACAGCATCACATGCTACAGATAAATCTTCTGTGAAAGGAAGAGGCAATCAATGTGGCAAACCTCATTGTTGTCTTATTTTAAGAAATTGCCACAGCCAACTCAGCCTTCAGCAACCACCACCTTGATCAGTCAGTAGCCTTCAACACTAAGAACCTACACCAGCACAAAGATCTTGACTCTCTGAAAGCTCATATGATCATTAGTATCTTTGCAGCAAGCATTTTTTAGTCAAGGTATGTCAATTGTTTTTTTTTTTTTCCTTTTTTTTTATTTTATTTTATTTTTATTTTTTTATTTTTTTATTTTTTATTTTTTTATTTATTTATTTTTTTTTTATTGATAATTCTTGGGTGTTTCTCGCAGAGGGGGATTTGGCAGGGTCATAGGACAATAGTGGAGGGAAGGTCAGCAGATAAACAAGTGAACAAAGGTCTCTGGTTTTCCTAGGCAGAGGACCCTACGGCCTTCCGCAGTGTTTGTGTCCCTGGGTACTTAAGATTAGGGAGTGGTGATGACTCTTAACCAGCATGCTGCCTTCAAGCATCTGTTTAACAAAGCACATCTTGCACCGCCCTTAATCCATTTAACCCTGAGTGGACACAGCACATGTTTCAGAGAGCACAGGGTTGGGGATAAGGTCACAGATCAACAGGATCCCAAGGCAGAAGAATTTTTCTTAGTACAGAACAAAATGAAAAGTCTCCCATGTCTACTTCTATCCACACAGACCCGGCAACCATCTGATTTCTCAATTTTTTCCCCACCCTTCCCGCCTTTCTATTCCACAAAACCGCCATTGTCATCATGGCCCATCCCCAATGAGCCGCTGGGCACACCTCCCAGACGGGGTCGTGGCCGGGCAGAGGGGCTCCTCACTTCCCAGTAGGGGCGGCTGGGCAGAAGCGCCCCTCACCTCCCGGATGGGGCGGCTGGCCGGGCGGGGGGCTGACCCCCCCACCATCCTCCCGGACGGGGCGGCTGGCCAGGCAGAGGGGCTCCTCACTTCCCAGTAGGGGCGGCCGGGCAGAGGCGCCCCTCACCTCCCGGACGGGGCGGCCGGCCGGGCGGGGGGCTGACCCCCCCACCTCCCTCCCGGACAGGGCGGCTGGCCGACCCCCCCCCCCGCCTCCCTCCCGGACGGGGCGGCTGGCCGGGCAGAGGGGCTCCTCACTTCCCAGTAGGGGCGGCCGGGCAGAGGCGCCCCTCACCTCCCGGACGGGGCGGCTGGCCAGGCGGGGGGCTGATCCCCCCACCTCCCTCCCGGACGTGGCGGCTGGTCGGGCGGGGGGCTGACCCCCCCCACCTCCCTCCCGGACGGGGCGGCTGGCCGGGCGGGGGGCTGACCCCCCCACCTCCCTCCCGGATGGGGCGGCTGGCCAGGCGGGGGGCTGACCCCCCCACCTCCCTCCCGGACGGGGCGGCTGGCCGGGCAGAGGGGCTCCTCACTTCCCAGTAGGGGCGGCCGGGCAGAGGCGCCCCTCACCTCCCGGACGGGGCGGCTGGCCAGGCGGGGGGCTGATCCCCCCACCTCCCTCCCGGACGGGGCGGCTGGCCGGGCGGGGGGCTGACCCCCCCCACCTCCCTCCCGGACGGGGCGGCTGGCCAGGTGGGGGGCTGACCCCCCACCTCCTCCCGGATGGGGCGGCTGGCCGGGCGGGGGGCTGATCCCCCCACCTCCTCCCGGACTGGGCGGCTGGCCGGGCGGGCTGACCCCCCCACCTCCCTCCCGGACGGGGCGGCTGGCTGGGCAGAGGGGTCCTCACTTCCCCAGTAGGGGCGGCCGGGCAGAGGCGCCCCTCACCTCCCGGACGGGGCGGCCGGCCGGGCGGGGGGCTGACCCCCCCACCTCCCTCCCAGACGGGGCGGCTGGCCGGGCAGAGGGGCTCCTCACTTCCCAGTAGGGGCAGCCGGGCAGAGGCACCCCTCACCTCCCGGACGGGGCGGCTGGCCGGGCGGGGGGCTGACCCCCACCACCTCCCTCCCGGACGGGGCGGCTGGCCGGGCAGGGGGCTGACCCCCCCTCCCCCCTCCCGGACGGGGCGGCTGGCCGGGCAGAGGGGCTCCTCACTTCCCAGTAGGGGCGGCCGGGCAGAGGCGCCCCTCACCTCCCGGACTGGGCGGCTGGCCGGGCGGGGGGCTGACCCCCCCACCTCCCTCCTGGACGGGGCGACTGGCCAGGCAGAGGGGCTCCTCACTTCCCAGTAGGGGCGGCCGGGCAGAGGTGCCCCTCACCTCCCGGACGGGGCGGCTGGCCGGGCGGGGGGCTGACCCCCCCCACCTCCCTCCCGGACGGGGTGGCTGCCGGGCGGAGACGCTCCTCACTTCCCAGACGGGGTGGCTGCCGGACGGAGGGGCTCCTCACTTCTCAGATGGGGCGGTTGCCAGGCAGAGGGTTTCCTCACTTCTCAGACGGGGCGGCCGGGCAGAGACGCTCCTCACCTCCCAGACAGGGTTGCGGCCAGCAGAGGCGCTCCTCACATCCCAGACAGGGCGGCGGGGCAGAGGTGCTCCCCACATCTCAGACGATGGGCGGCCGGGCAGAGACGCTCCTCACTTCCTAGATGGGAAGGCGGCGGGGAAGAGGCGCTCCTCGCTTCCTAGATGGGATGGTGGCCGGGCAGAGACGCTCCTCACTTTCCAGACTGGGCAGCCAGGCAGAGAGGCTCCTCATATCCCAGACGATGGGTGGCCAAGCAGAGACGCTCCTCACTTCCCAGACGGGGTGGCGGCTGGGCAGAGGCTGCAATCTCGGCACTTTGGGGGGCCAAGGCAGGCGGCTGGGAGGTGGAGGCTGTAGCGAGCCGAGATCACGCCACTGCACTCCAGCCTGGGCACCACTGAGCACTGAGTGAACGAGACTCCGTCCGCAATCCCGGCACCCCGGGAGGCCGAGGCTGGCGGATCACTCGCGGCTAGGAGCTGGAGACCAGCCCGGCCAACACAGCAAAACCCCGTCTCCACCAAAAAAAAAAAAGAAAACCAGTGAGGCGTAGCAGGCTGAGGCAGGAGAATCAGGCAGGGAGGCTGCAGTGAGCCGAGATGGCAGCAGCACCGTCCAGCCTTGGCTCGGCATCAGAGGGAGACCGTGGAAGGAGACTGTGGAGGGAGAGGGAGAGGGAGAGGGAGACGTCAATTGTTTTTTTAAGACATAATGCTATCACATACTTAATAGACTACAGTATACTGTAAACATAACATTTATAAGCACTGGAAAACCAAAAAATTTGTGTGACTTGCTTTAGTGCAGTGTCCTGGAACTGAATGTGCAATATCTCTGAGATATGCCTGTAAATAAATTGCCCTCAACTACTTGGCACTCCGTAAGCCTGTTACAGTTTTTCCATAACTTTGTCCCTTTTTTTGGTTTGTTTGTTTTTTGAGACGGAGGCTCACTGTGTCACCTAGGCTGGAGTGCAATGGCATGATCTTTGCTCATTGCAACCTCCACCTCCCGGGTTCAAGCAATTCTCCCTGCCTCAGCCTCCCAAGTAGCTAGGATTACAGGCATCACCACCATGCCCAGCTAATTTTTGTATTTTCAGTAGAGATGGGGTTTTGCCATGTCAGCCAGGCTGGTCTCGAACGCCTGACCTCAGGTGATCCGTCCGCCTCAGCCTCCCGAAGTGCTGGGATTACAGGGGTGAGCCACCACACCCGGCCAGATTTGTATTTTGTTGCTGTTTTTCTCTCAGTCTGGTTTCTCTTCTCCATTTGGCAGAATCCTAATGATAGTTCAAGCCTTCTCCAATATCCAGAGACACCAATAATCACTCTCCTCACTCTTCCTTTAGAACATACCTCTATTATGGCACATCTGCCCTTGGGTTATACTGGTCTTGTTGATGTCTCCTCTGGTAGATTACAAGTTTCTGGAGGGCAAGGATCACTTTTAGTCATCATTTTATCCCTGATGCCATGCAGTCACAAGTAGTGGGTATACAATCAGTGTTCATTGAATTTAATCATCTCAGAACATTTAATGCCCTAAGCTTCAAACTGGTATTGTGATGGTTAATACTGAATGTCAACTTGATTGGATTGAAAGATACAAAGTATTAATCCTGGCTATGTCTGTGAGGGTGTTGCCAAAGGAGATTCACATTTGAGTCAGTGGACTGGGGAAGGCAGATCCATCCTTAATGTGGTGGGCACCATCTAATCAGCTTCCAGCGAATATAAAGCAGGCAGAAAAATGTGAAAAGCCGAGATGGGCCTTGCATCTTTCTCCCATGCTGGATGCTTCCTGCCCTCGAACATCCAACTCCCAAGTTCTTCAGTTTTGAGACTCAGACTGGCTCTGCTTTCTCCTTAAGCTTGCAGACGACCTATTGTGGGACCTTGTGATTGTGTAAGTTTATACTTAATAAACTCCCCTTTATATATATGTGTGTGTGTGTGTGTGTGTGTGTCCTATTAGTTCTGTCCTTCTAGAGAACCCTAATACAGTTATGATATATATCTCTCATATATGAATAGAAACAGAGGGCTATGGCTTTAACACAAGATTCTTCATTTCACATACAGCATTTTATAAATATGATTCTCAAAGTAAGGTCCATAGGCCCTCCTGACAGACTGTACATTAATTTCAACAAATGCATATCTTTATTCATATATGTGAATGATGTGTGATTCCACAGACCTTCCTTTTTACATGTAGCTAACGAGTATTTATTAGTAAGTTATTGAAATTTGATCTCTATATACTACAATTGGCACATATTTAAGGATTAGAATTCTAATTTTGCACTCTACTAAAAAGTCCAGCAGCCAGAAAAATGCTTGGCCAATGCACATATGCAGATAGTTGGTTTTTCTCCAAATTTCAAAAGGCCACTTTCTTATCATGTATCATCATCATCATCATCGTCACTGTTATACTGAGGTAGTTTAGGTTCTGATTTCAGTTCTTCTTGCTTATTAATTGTAAATTACAGTCACTTTAGTTTTATCATTATCAGTTTGTTCTGGGTTTTGTTAATTTGTTGCTATCTGGGCAGCATAGTTATAGAAAGGGGCTCTGGAGGCAGAGTGTCTCTCATGTAAAATCTAGGTGAACTCAGGCTAGTTATTTAATTTTTCTGAGCCTCAGTGTTTTCATCTCAAAATGAGGTGGGGGTAAGGGTACTTATCTTATTGGTTTGATGGGAAATCATTGAGTTAATGCATATAAAGTGCTTTCATGAGACAGTACTTGGCATATAGTAAGGGCTCAATAAATGTTATTTGTTGCAATACATATTTGCATCAAGAGTACTGTGGCTTGCAAGCAGGCAGACCTGTATGCATTGTGGTTTATGGGGGGCACAGGGAAAGTATGAATAGTAAATGAGAATACAAGTAAGACAGTTGAGAAGGTGCCTGGCACATAGTATATGGTTAGATTTGTTAGGATTTGGTTCAGCTAAAAGTGATAGAAGACAAATTGTGCCTTATTAAAATAGAAGTTTGTTTCACACCTAACCAGGGACAGCCCGAAGTTGGGATGACTGCAATCATCATATATCCAGATTCCTCCCATCTTGTTTTTCCACTATTTCTCAAAGTGGAGTTTTTATTCATAATCTAGATGACTATTCCAGCACAAGCCATCATATCTACATTCCAGCTAGTGTTTGGGGGGTTGGAGGAAGAAAGGTGAAAAGAAGGGCATAACCTCTCTCTCCAGGGATCCTTGTGAAAAGTTGCACACAACACTTCTGCTTACATTCCATTGGCCAGAACTTAATCACACTGCCACATCTGGCTGCAAAGGGAGACTAGGAAATAAAATCTTTATTTTGGATAGACATGTTGCCAACTGAAAAATGGGGAGTTTATTATTACAGAACTGATTTTATCAACTGGAGCACTATTGGCCTTTGGGCGGACAAATCTTTATTGAATGGGAACTGTCTTGCATATTTCAGGACATTTATACCTCCGGGTCCAAGACACTATCTAAATGCCATTATTACCCTCCCAGTCATTGTATCACATTTACAATTGCTCCTACACATTTACAGTTATCCTTAAGGGGTGGTGCTATCCTTAACTTTTAGGCTTCTGTGGCAGACATCTATTCTTGTCTGCCCAGTATGTCACTTTTCCAGGGAAACTCCTTCCCACACCCATGTGTTAGATGGCCATCTTCTTAGGCGACCCTTCTCTAGCTACAGAGATGAGAAAACAGGTCTGCATTGGTCACAGGCCAGGCGAAGTAAAATCCTTTCCCAGGTTTTAAAAAATTGAGCCTAGAGGAGAGTTTTGGTTCTTTCATAAGTGAAAATGTAAGATCTGGTGCTCTTGAATCCACTACTGGTGAGAATGTAAAATGGTGCTACGAATATGGAAAACAGTATGGCGACTCTGCAAAAGGTTAAATATAGAGATACCAAATGACACAGCAACTCTACTCCTAGGTGTATAACCAAGAGAAATGAAAACATATGTTCACACAAAAACTTCTACATGAATGCTCCTGGTAGCATTATTCATTATAGCCAAAAAGTGAAACAGCCCATCAGTCTATTGATAGATGAATGGATAAACAAAATATGGTATGTCTACACAACGGAATATTATTTGACAATAAAAAGAAATGAACTACTGATCCATGCTACAACATAGTTGAAACTTGAAGAAAACATGAAGGAAGCCAATCACAAATGACCATATAGTTTATGATTCCTATTTATATATAATGTGCAGAATAGGCAAATCCATAATAAAGGAAAGTAGATTACTGGTGGCTGGGGGTAGGGAGGAATGGTGAATGACTGCTGCAAGTTGAGTATCCCTACATAAAATGCTTGGATCAGAAGTGTTTCGGATTTCAAAATTTTTTTTGAATATTGAAATATTTGCATATACATAATGCAATATCTTGAGGATGGGACCCAAGTCTAAACATAAATTTCATTTATGTTTCTTAAACACATAGCCTGAGGTAATTTTATATAATATTTTAAATAATTTTGTGCATGCAACAATGTTTTGACTGTAACTTGTCACATGAGGTCAGATATGGAATTTTCCACTTGTGGTATGAGGTCTGTGCTCAAAAGCTTTGGATTTTGGAGGATTTTAGATTTCAGATATTTGGATAAGGAATGCTCAACTTCTAATGGGTGGAAGGTCTGGTTCTTTCCCAATAACCTGTAGCTATGTCTCTCCCAACCTGGCATTATTTAGTCTTAAAGAAGTCTTATCTTCTTACTTAAAATTAAATAAGATATATATATATATAGAGAGAGAGAGAGAGAGATTGATGGGCTGTTTCACTTTTTTTATATATATATTCATTATATTGAATATAATATTGAACATGAATATTATATGGCTATAAATATATAAAATATGAGTACATAGTATGTACATTTAATTTAATATAGTACATACATTTAATTTAATACATAATTAAATGTATGTATACATTTAAAATATCCCAACCTGGCATTATTTAGTCTTAAAGAAGTCTCATCTTCTTACTTAAAATTAAATAAGATATATATATAGAGAGAGAGAGAGAGAGAAAGAGAGAAAGAAAGAGAGATTGATGGGTTGTTTCACTTTTTTTATATATATTCATTATATTGAATATAATATTGAACATGAATATTATATGGCTATAAATATATAAAATATGAATATATAGTACATACATTTAATTTAATATATAATTAAATGTATGTATACATTTAAAATCTATAATTAAATGTATGTATACATTTAAAATATATAACATGTATATATGTGTTAATATATATTAAACATATGTGCAAGTCACAGTCAAATCTGTTGCATGCACAAAATTATGAAAAATATTATATAAAATTACTTTTGGGCTATGTGTATAGGAAACATAAATGAAATTTGTCTATATGTATATCAGCAATCATTGCTACATAATGATGATTCAGTCAGCAATAGACTGCATATACGATGGTGGTCCCATAAACTTATAATGGAGCAGAAAAATTTCTATCACACATATACTTATTGTTGTGCTACTATTTTCTGTCTTACTAGTCAGTGTAGTAACATGATATAAAGGCTTGCAGCCTAGGAGCAATAAGCTATACCACATAGCCTAGGTGTGTAGTAAGCTATACCATCTAGGTTTGTGTAAATATACTCTACGATGTTTTCACAAAAACAAAATCTCCTGACATATTTCTGAGAACATAACCCTGTTAAGGAACACATGACTGTATATGCTTAAGGAGGAGCTCATCATTAAAGAGGGATCATGTAAATTTCTATTATAAATGGCATTTTCCATAATTTAAAGTTTGCAGAGCAATTATTTTCAGATATGGCTAGGCAGTTATTGTTTTAAGTTTAACATTGCTGAAGGCACATACTAGGTGTATGTGCCAATCCCCTGGGCTTGCAGTATTGTTTGCTTGGGCTTGGAGTTCAGCATTATCTTTAATCTATGGTTTCTTTGTAAGAAATGATTTCAGTATATATTATAACTTTATTGCTATTTGTATGCTTGTTAAGTGGATTTACAGATTATATTATCTACTTTTAACTAAATTAATCTTCACCAAGGAGGCAAATGATTCATGAATAGGGAGAAAAACTAGGTTGTAGCTTGCTATGGTTTGAATGTTTGTATCCCCCCAAAATTCACATTCTGTAACCTAATCACCAATGGGATGGAATTAGGAGGTCATGGGGGCAGAGCCCTCATGAATGGAATTTATGCACTCGGAGAACCCAGAGAACTACCTTGCCCCTTCTATCATGTAAAGACATAGCTAGAAGACACCATCTATGAACCAGAAAATGGGTCCTCAGCAGTCACTGAATCTGCTGGCATTTTAATCTTGGACTTTCCAGTCTCCAGAGCTGTGAGAATTAAATTTCCATTGCTTTGAAGCTGCCCAGTTTATCATATTTTGTTATAGCAGCCCAGATGAATTAAGACATAGCTACATCTTGAAGATCTTGATCCTGTAAGCAATGAATAACCATTGCAAAATTGTTTTGGGGTTTGTTTGCTTGTTGTTTTATCAAGAGAGTAATATAATCTGATCTGGCTTTTAGGGTTACAAGATGGGCAGTACAATAGAGGATGGACTGGAGTTGGAAAAGACTAAAGCAGCAAGTTTGATAAGGAGGCTACAGCAATAGTCCAGGTGAAAGACGCAAGAGCCCAAAATGCAGCAGTGGCCAAGGGAATGGATCTGAGATAAAGTTCAGAAGATAGAGTTGGCAGGGCAGGTGAGGTAAGTGCTTGGGATAAATTCACATGGTCTGGTTGAACACCTGTGGGCTCTGTAATATAGGAAGAATGACTTTGGTAGAATGGAAAGATAATGAGGGCTAGTCTGGACATGCTGATTTAGGACCAAGAAAGACCCAGTAAGAAGCAAGAAATATGAGGCTAAAGTGTGGTAGAAAGGCCCAGGTAGAACTACATGTAATTAAAACAATATTTCATGTGATTTCTCCCAAGAAGAGGATATATTTGAAAGAGGGGTACCTTCTATCACTTCTTGGCTTTAAAACTCTGTTGGCCTCCTGTGATCTCAGAGATGGATTTCTCCAAATATCTTAATTTGATACTCAAAAGTGTCCCCAGTCTATTACCAAACTATCTCTTATTCAGTCATTTATTCAACCCATCCGCCTTTCTAGAGAGCCTGGATGTACTGCGGTGAGTGTTAGGGGCACAGAGATAAATAAGTGGTTGGTTTCTGCCCTGGAGGAGGTCTAGTAGGGGACAGAGACAACACAACAGACTATTAGGATTCGGTAAAATAAGGATAGTAATGAGGTTACCCATAGGTTTGTAGCAAGAATTAATGAGTTCATACACATAAAGCCCTTAAAACAGTGTTGAATATGCAAGAGCTATTATTATTATAGGAGGAACACGTGCTGAGACTGGGGGTATGGGTCAAGGATGACTCCCTTGATTTCGTGACAGCTGAGCTGAATCTTGAAGGAAATTTAATTTAGCCAGACTCAAGGGAGAAGGGGAGGGGTTGGAGAAGGACATCCCTGAACTTCTTTCAGTTTTCTTGTATAGTGAGTTGAATGATGGCCCCCAAAAGATGTGTCCATGTCTAAATCACTAGAACTGTGAATGCTATCTTATTTGTGAAAAGGTAAAGGTTTGCAGATATAATTAAATTAAGGATCTTATTTTTAGTTTATCTTTAATCCAGGAGAAGAGAAGAAGGCCACATGAAGATGGAGCAAGAGATTGGAGTGATGTGGCCACAAGCCAAGGAAGCTGAGGAATGAAGACAGCTATCAGAAGCTGGAAGAGGAAAAGAATTCTCTCTTGGGGTCTGCAGAGGGAGAACAGCCCTGCCAACACTTCCATTTCCAATGTCTGGACTCTAGAACTGTGAGAAAATAAATTCCCATTATTTTAAGGAACACAGTTTGTGATACTGCATTACAGCAGCTCCATGAAACAAATACATTTTGTTATTCCAAGTCCTCTTCACAACAAAGTCTTTGCTAGTGGTGAACCAAACACAGTCCCACCATCATGAGCCACTGTTCTGGATGAGGGGGCAACACAGTTCAGACACTGGTCATCTCTATTTAATGTCTAATGGGCATCTCAAACCTAACTTTCTCCCAGTGGAAATGCCTGGAGGTACGTGGAGATGGAAAGCTGACCTAGCCAAGGAGTTCAGCAAAGATCCCTGGGAGGAGGTGACATCTGGACATCTGCACAGAATAATGAGGCTGGGCTAAGGCAGTGACTGAGGGAGGCACTCTTTTTTGGTTTTTCTTTTCTTTTCTTTTGTGTAGGAAGGAAAGAATAGCCAGGAGAGATAGAGGAGAAAGAGGATAAAGATAGACAGGAAAGAGGTAACACAAGAAGTCAGGACCTGCGCTTGAGGGGCAGAAGTCAAGTCGGGCTAAGGTGAGAAGGCAGAACAGGGTTCAGGGTCTTTGAAGAGAAACAAGTACAGAGCTGGAACTAAGTGATGCTGACTCCAGACTAAAACCCTCTGGGTTTGAATCCTGCCTCTGCCACTTACTTATTCATTACAAAATAGCGAGAAATTACATTATCTGGATCTTGGTCTCTTCAACTATAAAACAAAAATAATAATAGCTCCTATCTCATAGGATGCTATTAGGAGTACTAAGTATATTAACACCTGTAAAGCACTTGGCTCAATGTCTGGCACTGCATATGCAATAAATGTCATTATTACTATTAACATTATTAGAAGAAGCAGCAAATTTAAAATCAGAATGTGAGCACTGGAAAGGACTTCAGAATCAACTAATCTAATTCCCCCATTGTACAAATGAACAGACTGAGGCCCAGAGAGGTTTGAAATTGGCCAAATTTAAGGAGATAGGAACAGAGCCGAGATGACAAAATTGCTTGAAAGTCTGTGCTTTTTCTAGGTGAACTATACATATATATTTGGGAATCATAAGAATATAAGCAGTGATTGAATCTGAGGAAATAGAGTTACTCAGGAAGAACACAAGAATTAGTACAGAATGCTGAAAGAAGAATGAAAATAGATTTGAAGTCAACTTGATTCAAATATCCCAATGTAATGGTATTAGGAAGTGGTGCCTTTTTGAGGTAATTGGGTCATGAGGGTGGAGTCCTCATGAGTGGGATTAGGGCCCTTATAAGGGGCTGAAGAGACCAGAGTTTTCCCTTCCACCAACTGAAGACTCATATAGAAGGTACTATTTATGAACCAGAGGGTAGGTCCTCAGCAGACACCAAATCTGCTGCAACCTTGATCTTGGACTTCCCAGTCTCCAGAAATGTGAGAAACAAATTTCTATTGTTTAAAAGCCACCCAGTTTATAGTATTTTGTTATAGCAGCCTGAATGGGCTAAGACACCATTAAACTTTGAAACTTGGTTTTTCCACATGTAAAATCAGGATACACGTAGAAAACCTGCTGATGCCTTTAAAAAATTTTAAACCCATATGTTCTAAAGTTGGTAACAGAGGAAGACTTTCCACAAGATGGAGGAAAGTCTTTTACTCCAGATCTTAAAATTAACCTTACTCTTGGGGTATAAGGTTACTCACACTAATGTCTGCTGGAGCCACAATCAGCAAACTGGCTTTAGGGGTACAAAGCATGGATTTTACAGTTTCTCTCATTGCCATAGTATGGTTGAGACAGCTTATAATATTTATGCAAGATACTACTAAAGATGGACCCCTCATGTTGGAGCTGGACATAGGACTTTTTTCTTCTCTTTCTAGATTTCTTCCATAGATACATTCATCTAATCCCATAGCTTTAAAATACCACCTCAAAGCCAAAGACTCAAATTTATACCTCTAGCTCTGACCTACTCCTGAGCTCCAGACTTATATGTCCAATTGCTTGCTCTAGATTATTACTTAGATATCTAATGGTCATTCAAATATAACATTTCCAAAATGGGATGCTTGACTTCCTGCTCCCAAACCAGTTCTTCCTGCAATATTCTCAATCTTGGTAAACTTATATCCAATTGATATAGTTTGGATATCTGTACCCACCCAAATCTCAGGTTGAATTGTAATCCCCAGTGCTGGAGGTGGGGGCCGGTGGGAGGTGATTGGATCACGGGATGGATCTCTCATGGCTTGGTGCCGTCTTCATGATAGTGAGTAAGTTCTCGCGAGATCTGGTCATTTAAAGGTTGTGTGTACCCCCCTCACCCTCCCTCTCTCTTGCTCCTGCTTTTGCCACTTGAGGTGCCTGCTCCCCTTTAGCCTTCCACCATGATAGGAAGCTTCCTGGGGCCTCCCTAGAAGCCAAGCAGATGCCAGCATCATGCTTCCTGTAAAGCCTACAGAACTGTGAGCCAATTAAACTTCTTTTTCTTATAAATTATCCAGTTTCAGGTATTTCTTTATAGCAATGTAAGAACAGCCTAAGAAATCAATCCATCAGCAAACTCTCTTAGTTCTACCTCTGGAACATTTTGCGAATCTCAATCTTTCTCCACATCTGATGCCTTAATATTCCAAGCCACTGCCATCTCTTACCTCCCCTTCTGTGGTAGTTTCTCAGCTGGATTTTCTGTTCCTACTTTAATATCCCCTACAATCTACTCTCCACACAGCAGCCAGATGGTCTGTTTACTACATAAATTATGTGTCACTCTCTTGGTTATAAACTTCTAATGGCTTCCCATCACACTTAGATTGAAACTCTAACCCCATTAGGCCCTGCAAGACCCAGATCCTGCTTACTGTCTGACCTCACCCCACACTTTCCTTGCTCATCATGCTCCAGATTCGAGGCTGGATTGCTTTCTGTTCCTCAAACACACCAAGCTCCTTTCTCTTTCTATCTATCTATCTATCTATCTATCTATCTATCTATCTATCTATCTATCTACCTAATCTATCTATCTTTATCACAAGAATCAGAGGTGAAACCATGCTCATTTCTGATGTAACCTCAGCAGTTCCCTCTGTCTGGAAGGCTCATTCCATCCTGTTCCCTCCTCCCCATCTTCACTTGGCTGCATTCTTCTCATCGTTGTGGTCTCTGCTTATTTTTATGTTCTAACAAAGGCCTTCCCTGCCTGTCCTTGCTAGAATAGCTCTCTAGTCAGCCTCTATCATATCAGCTGGCTTTTGCATCTGAGCATTTATTGCTACTGATATTTCCTTGTTTATTTTCTGTCTATTGTCTGTTTCTTTCTCACTAGAATGTAAACTTTCTGAGAGCAGTGATTCTATCTGTTTGGTTTACCACTGTGTTCCCAGCCTCAGAAAAGTGCATATACCTGGTGGGCCCTCAATTAATATTTGATGAATAAATAAATAAAGGTTCAAATAAGAGAA
Organism: Homo sapiens; assembly: GCF_000001405.40. NCBI lineage: Eukaryota > Metazoa > Chordata > Mammalia > Primates > Hominidae > Homo > Homo sapiens. The sequence continues at coordinate 76,905,405 of NC_000004.12, read as the reverse complement.
GGGAAGTAAATGCAGGAAGCACCATATCATTAGATTGTCTGGCACATAAATTAGAATCCCCAACTTCAGCTTGTAGTTCAGCATGAAAATGCATTTCCCTTGCTATGTCAGAATGTCTAGACTTGTGGAAATCCAAACCTGAACAAAGGACAGTGAGGACAGAGGGTTGGCAAGCCCCCTGGTTTTCTCTCCTGCATTTCTACATTCTACCTTTGCTACGGTTTCACCTGGGTGTTAGTCCATTTTGCATTGTTATAAAGGAATACCTGAGACTGGGTAATTTATAAAGAAAAGAGGTTTATTAGGCTCGTGGTTCTGCAGGCTGTACAAGACACATGGTGCCAGCATCTGCTCAGCTTCTGGTGAGGCCTCAGGAGCCTTTACTCATGGCAGAAGGCAAAGGAAGCCAGTGTGTCACATGGTGAGAAAGGAAGCAAGAGAGAGGGAAGGTGATGCCAGGCTCTTTTTAACAGTCAGTTCTGGTGTGAACCCATAGAGCAAGAACTTTCTCATTACCATGAGAAAGGCACCAAGCCATTCATTAGGAATCTACCCCTATGACACACACACCTCCCAGAGGCCCCACCTCCAACACTGGGGATCGAATTTCAACATTAGACTTCGAGGGGACAAACATCCAAACTATATCACCTGGGGATCTACCCACTGACCTGGATGATTAACACTGGGCAGTTCCACCTTCCTGAGTGGTGATATCACTCCACATCCACAGTAGAGGTTTGGATGGAAGGCAAAGAATAAGCTCATCAGAACATCCTACAAGAAATACAGACTTATTAATAGCAAGGAGAGCTGCTTTCTGCAAGATAATTGAGTTAGTTTGTTCAGGCTGTTTTAACATAATACCATAGACTTGGTGGCTTAAACAACAAACATTTATCCCTCATAGTTCTGGAGGCTGAGAAGTACAAGATCGAGATGTTGGCAGATTTGGTGTCTAGGGAAGGCCCACTTCTTGGCTCATAGACAGCTGTCTTGTCACTGTGCCTTCACATGGCAGAAAGGGGTGGGGGAACTCTGTGGGTTCTCTTTTATAAGGGTACAAAGCCTATTCATAAGGGCTCCACCTTCATAAGCTAATTACTTCCCAAAGGCCCCATCTCCTGATACCATCACATTGGGGGTTAGGATGTACAACATGTGAATTTAGAGGATCACAAACATTTCATCCATAACAGTAATGATCTCTGTTCTACACACTTCCCATACTTGTTCTGATGATCTGATAAAGAAGTGTGGTCTGGAACATGACCCACATGTGTAAATCACTACATTATTACACTATTTGCTCCTCATCACTATGTGTTGATGAGGAGCAGAGCAAATACTCCTGGCAGAATGCCATCAGTGTTCCTCATACCACAGTACTAAGGACTTAGACAATTTTTGTTGTCCTCTCCATCCTAGATAACTCTGTATCCCTGTATAAGACTCATTCAACACCTGGTCTCACCATTCTATGGTATCGTCATCTTCAATATGCCTCTCCCCTCCACCATGCTTCATTCATGTGGTCACACTCTGAACCTTGTCATCACTCCCAAACTATTCCACTTTGGAAACCTCAAGCCTCAAGACCTGGGAATAACTGATGTTCTGCTCACAATGTCCTAACCCTCTAGCTCTCATATTCACTTACTCCCCTTGTGCCTGCTTTTCAACCCCACCAAGACTTCCTCAAACCTTTTCTCCCTATCTCTTAGGCCCCTTCTGAGCTGACTTCCTTCACTATTCATCCATACCACTTCCTTCTTCCAAAATCTTAATTTTCATGCCCCCACCTGCCAACCCTCAACTCTGGAACAGTCTAGCGCCTGCCTTTCCTGTTTCTAAACACCCAGGGTACTGTGCCCTCATGGAGAAAATAACAGAGTGGTTTGATCTGGTGACACCATAAACTTTCAAAATAAGTTGTTTCCTTTGGCCAAATGGCAATCCTATATGCTTCTCCCAATTGCCCTAACTGATGCATGAACTTTATTCATGCTTCTTTCTCTCTCATACATATTCATACTCAGTGAATGGCATCCTTTTCTATACCATGAGGAAAATGGAGGTCTTCACGCATAAAACCTCTCAGCTTTCTGCTCTCCATGTGCAAATAAAGTGAATGTATATCTACAGCTATGGCCAAGATGAACTGCTGTTAACCAGAATCTATTCCTCCCTTCCTCCTGGACATGCAGCTCCGCTACATTTCTCAACCTCCCTTGCAGTTAGGTGTATCATGTGATGAAATTTTTTGCCATTGGAATTTGAGCATTAGTATTGTCTACCACTTCCATGCCTGGTCTATAAAAATGTTTCACGTGCACATCACCGTGATCTTTCCCCTTCTGGCAAGCTGTTTGATGATATGAAAACCATGTGTTAAAGATGGCAGAGCTGCCATCAGCTTTGTTCCTTAAATAACTGCATGGGAAGTAGCTGCCTGCCTGTCTTTAAAAACTGCCCTAAAAATGATGTAAGTGAGAAATAAACTTTATTTTTGAGTCATTACGAGTTAAGGTTTATTTTTATAGCAGGTTAGCCTATGCTAATGAATACAATAGCTATTTTTCCTCTCTCAGTTCTTAATGGGAAAAATGGCTCTCCTCTCTCCTGTCCCAGGGAATCCCTCTACCTGAACTCTGGACTCCAACCCCACCCCAAGCCCTGTTTCATCAATTATTTACTCTCTCCTCTAGGTCTCAACTTATCCTCTCCTGGCTCTTTTCCCTCAGCACACAGACATGCTCATATCTCTTCTAACAACTATACAAAACAAATCTTACATTACATGATCTGATATTCTCCTTGTCTAGAATTCTCTTTTCTCCTTCCTTTCATGCTCAAGGCTTTTTTCATCCCATTCTCTACCCCACTTACTCTATGACCTGGTCTCTGTCCCTACCACCGTTGTGAAACTGCTCCAGATTGGGCCCCAGTGGCCTAACAGGCTATGGTCATATTTCACGTCTTATCTAACTTGGCATCTTGGCATAGAAAGCTGTTCTTCCTCCTTCCTTGGTGCTCCTCTTCCCCTCCAGCTGCTCCTTCTAAGTCTCCCTGACAGGTTTCTTTTCCTCTCTCTTTGGTAAATGTGGATTCACCCTCTACCCTCATTTCTTCCCACTGCCTATATATCTCTTTCTAAACAATTTTGTTATTGCCTGTGGTTTAAATGACCATTATTTATAGATGCTAATGCCACACATCCTTGAGCCTTGAACCTATATTACCAACTGCCTCCTAGATATTTCTATCTTTATGGCCCATAGGCACCTCAAACTTAATATGTCCAAACTGAATTGATCATCTTTCCCATTTCCAACAACGACTGCTTTTATATTTTCTACTGAGGCGGATGGTAACAATTGTCCATGGGTAACAGTCATCCACTAACCCTCTGAGCTGACTTCCTTCACTATCCATTCATACCACTACACTCTTCCACAAGCTTAATTTGTATGCCCTAACCTGCCAACCCTCAACCTGGAACAGTTCAGTGCCTGCCTTCCCTGTTTCTAACCCCCCAGGGTATACTGTTCCCTAATGGAGAAAAACACACAGTGGTTGGTCGGGTGGCACTATATCCAGGCACTCAAGCTAGACACATGGGAGTAAGCCAACCTGGTCTCTCATCCTCAGACTACTCTGGCTCCAAATCCTATTACATGTATCTACTGAACACTTCTCCAATACATCTGTTCGTCTCCCTTTCTTGGCCACTGCTGAGCTCAGACCTTTTTCATCACTTTCTTAGATCATCTCAGTAACTTCTGGACTATTCTTCCTGTGGGCAGCCTCACCTTCCTCCTACAGCCTAAAGACTTGATATTGTCTCTTTCTTTGTTGATATTCATTTATGGGATTCTTTTCGTTAGTGTCTTTTTCAAACTAAAAAGTAATATATTCTCATTGTAAAATAGTTTATAAGGCTATTTAAAAAAATTAAAGTCACCCCGTATCCAGTCCTTAAATTTTACCCCCAAATACATATACACATAGTTTTTTTCTAAAAATAGGATCTTATTACACATGCCATATTTCTCTATGCCATATTCTATTTTAGGAGGAACTTTTTTCCATATTTTAACATCTCTAAAATCACAATGTGTCATACAATCAATGGTTCTTAGGTTTGGTTACATACAACATTGTTCTACAATGTACTCTTTTTACTTATTAATATTGGTCATGATTCCAAACCAACACTTACTTCCAGGAGATCTTTCTAAAGTACAAATCTGGTCAGGTTGCTACCCTTGGGAAAATTCTTCCAAGCCGCCCCTGCCCCCAAAGCCCTTCATCTTCTGATTCCCATCTACTTTTTCCCTTTCCAGCACATCCACACACATCGTCTTCCTTAAAGCCAAACAGGCCAAGCAGATCTATTGGCAGTTCATTCCCCAAATAGCGATGCTAAGCCAGCTCTTTGCCTTCGCACCAATGTTTTTTCTGCCTTAAAGCCTATTCTCACCTTTTTACTCAAAGTTAGCTCTTTTCTTTTCTTTCTTTGTTTGTTTTTTTTTTTTGTTTTTTTTTTTTTTGTTTTTTTTTTTTTTGAGACGGAGTCTCGCTCTGTCGCCCAGGCTGGAGTACAGTGGCGCGATCTCGGCTCACTGCAAGCTCCGCCTCCCGGGTTCACGCCATTCTCCTGCCTCAGCCTCCCGAGTAGCTGGGACTACAGGCGCCCGCCACCACGCCCGGCTAATTTTTTTGTATTTTTAGTAGAGATGGGGTTTCACCATGTTAGCCAGAATGGTCTCGATCTCCTGACCTCGTGATCCGCCCGCCTCAGCCTCCCAAACTGCTGGGATTACAGCTGTGAGCCACCGCGCCCAGCCCCAAAGTTAGCTCTTACTGGAAAATTGTCCTGATCCCCCAAGCTGAGCCTGAGTTCTTCCTTTATGCACCTCCCCTCAACTTCACCAGTATGTGGTGCATGTCTCTGTTAAATCACTTAGCACTCAGGTTCATGCCATTTCTCTTGTTGCTCCTTACTAAATAGAGAGAAATAGTGAATTCTCAAGTACACTTTCTTCTTTATACCCATTTCCAACAGTGTCAGGGTAATGTAGGAGCTTCATAAATATTTTTGGAAATAATGAACTGTATATGTGGGAGGCAGGAAAATTCTCCCTGAGATAATGTAAAGAGCTTTCCAATTAACCACCTCTTTATCCTGGGACAAGAGAGAGAGAGAGGAGAAGGTCTGGACACCAAAGTACCTGGGAATCCAGAAATCTAAAGCAATCAGATTTTTTTTTCTTCTTTTTGGCTCCAATCCTATTAATTCCACCCTCAACTAAAAATGATCTGATTTCAACAAACAGATGCTTTATAATCTCCCCTCACCTGGCCCTCCACTTTCTTTCACTCTAGTCTTTTTATTTCCTTTGAGTCGAAACCTCAGTCCATATTATGGCTCTCTTTTGCAGTTAGCCCCTTATTTTGTAACCAGATGTTTTAAAAAGTAGCAAAGAGGGATTCTTTCCACTTGCCATTCTAAAATGCCCACTTGAGTCTTTCATTTGGTGTTCCTCCTGCCTTAGGTATGGACTCACCTTACTCAGTCCCAACAAGACTCTATACCAGCAAATAAACTCAAAAGAAAGCTGAAATTTAATACAAAACCTTAATTTTAAAAACTATCCTAAAGGCTTGATGTTATGTAGAGACATCAGTGAAAACCACTATCCCTCTCTCAACCCAGTATTGGGTTTGGATCCTAGAAAATGCCAAAAATAGACAAAAATGTTTCCAGTTCTTTTTTTCTGACCTAGATAATGTAAAACCAAAGATTCATTCCTGGAAAAGTGCTAGGGTATTTTTGGGGATTTAAAATCAAGCTCAGTTAATGTGGTCTATAGGGCAGTCACTAAGATTGGTCCATGCTAAAACATGTCTTTGTCAACAATTGTAGGGCCAACACACATACTTTCAATACTCTTTCTTGGCGAGAAGTATAGGAACTATGAGTAATCAGAAATAGAAGAGCAAAAGGAAAAGTGAAAAGATGAGAAGAGTCCATGAGAAAAGAGAGGCAAATTACAGGGAAGGAGAAAATCGAGGTTTTTGAATGGGAAATACAGTGGACATGAGAGGATCTGAGAAACAGACATATTTCCTGTCAGTAGAGGCCGAAGGTAAACAAGGATGTCGTGTAACAGAAAGAAATGGGAAGGCCAAGTTAAAGAAAAGAATGAGAGAAGGCTTGGAACTAAAACAGGTAAAGAGATAATGACAGTGAAAACTATCTCAGGCATGTCAACAGGACTGATAAGGAACAGTGAGGGACATCCAGGATCTCACATCAAAGACAGAAGGGTCAACATGTGGAGAGAGAAAAAGGAAGAGGGATCCCAGCTGTTAGGGGGAAAAGGTGCTGTTAAAGACAGCTCTAGTCTGCATTTTGAACCTTACATTCTGAAAGGAAGCACTTCACCAAGCCAATACAAAACACTGTACAAATCTCTGCTGTTCACAAATTTTAGAGTAAATAAAAGCAAACTAATGCTACACATCAAATACCTTAACTGGCGAGACATAATTCCTAGTTCATTTTAGCCGCCGGGGGCAAGAAGCTATCAAAGTGATTTTTTTTTTCCAGCACCTTAATGTGAGACAAGTATGAAGGAAAGACAAGTATGAAAGAAAAAGTCCCAAACCAATATTGCCCAGTAGTAATTTTCAGAGTGATTTCTCTTTTCAGTATAGACTTGGATGTATTCGGACCCCTTGGAGGGGGCGCCGGAGAAGCGGCCCAGAAAGTATTTCTATATTAAGAAAAATTTAGTTTGGATGCAAAGTGAGTTTTGCGGACCTCAATACAGCCTCGAGAAATCTGAAGTACTCCTCTACAGCGTTAATAAAGAAAGATAACTCAGATTGCCTGTTAACTTGCAGCTTCTCCTCCTCCCCCATCGGCTTCAGCCTGAACTCATCAAAGCACCGGAGGACAGGAACGGACCTTCTATCGCTTTTGTTTCCTGCGTGGCGGAGACTTAGAGGAACGGCCGGTCGCCTACCTGCCTTCCACTTCCCCGGCCGCAGAGCAGTTCGCTGCCGGCTCGGTTCGCCGCCAACCTCACCTACCGGCTGGCTCTCCGGCCTGACTCTTCTGGGATGGGTGGCAGGGGGTGGGGGAGACCTCAGGGGGCGGAGGGACACGAGGAGGCGGGCCTGACCCTTCCCCCAGAGGCAGGGAGGAGGTGCCGCCAGGGCGCAGGTGAAACCGACTCGGCCCTATCCCGGGAACTTTCGCTGTGAGGACTCGTTGCGAGAGGCTAGAGTCGCGCAGGGGCGGCCTCGGAGCCGCCCTCTCTCACGCAGACTGCCGCGGGGACTCAGCCTTGGGGCCACCCGGAGGGGACCCACGGCCCTCCTGGCGCGCTCACGGGCTGCGGGCAGCGCTGGCCTCCGCGGCTGATGGGGGCGGCTAGTGCCGCCCCGGGCGCAGGTGACACTCGCCCGGCCAGGGTTTCCTCTGGCTGGGGAGAGCCCCGGGAGGGCGAGACTCAGACACCTCTGGGGCGGAGGACAAGGCAGCGATGGCCCGAGAGCTGAGCCAGGAGGCACTACTGGACTTTCTGTGCCAGGCTGGGGGCCGCGTGACCAACGCTGCCTTGCTGAGCCACTTCAAGAGCTTTCTCCGAGACCCCGACGCGTCCCCCAGCCAGCACCAGCACCGCCGCGAGCTCTTCAAGGGCTTCGTCAACTCGGTCGCCGCAGTGCGCCAGGACCCCGACGGCACCAAGTACGTGGTGCTCAAGAGGAGATACAGGGACCTTTTGGGGGAGGAGGGGCTGCAGCGACCCCGCGAGCCGCCCGCGGCCGCCCCCAGTGCAGGGGGAGCTGCGCCCTGCTCCCCGCGAGGCGCGCGCCGGGGGGAGCCGCCCCAGCAGCAGCCCAGGCGGCGGCGGCGCGAGAAGGAGCCGGAGGAGGAGCCAGCAGGTGCAGCAGCCAGAGCCGCCGACGCAGCTTGCAATGGACTCCCGGGCAGCGACTCCCGTAGGGCGCCCGGGAAGGGCGGCGGATCGAAGGGCAGTCCCGGACAGAGGCCGCCGGTGCCCGCAGCTGCAGCGGCAGGGGCCCAGGCGAGAGCGAGCTGCGCGGCGGCGAAGACGCAGGGCCGCTGCTGCTGGGAATGCCTCCAGAACAACCTGGCTGTACTGCCGGGAGAGCTCGGCGCACTCCCGCACTCGGCCACCGCGGAGGAGAAGCCGGCACGGGCTCTGCCTGCCCAGGATGACCGCGGGGCTTCCAGGGAGCGGGAAGAAGGCGCGCTAGCTGAGCCGGCGCCTGTGCCTGCAGTGGCTCACTCGCCTCCCGCCACCGTCGAGGCTGCGACAAGCAGGGCTTCCCCGCCTGCTCTCCTGCCCGGCCCCGCTCCCCGCGGAGACCGGCCGGAGCTGCTGACCCCCAGCTCCCTGCATTATTCGACCCTGCAGCAGCAGCAGCAGCGCACTCGAGAGTGGGTGGCCAGGCACCCGCAGGTGCCCGAGGCCCGTGATCAGGGCCCTATCCGCGCCTGGTCGGTGCTGCCAGACAACTTCCTCCAGCTGCCCTTGGAACCCGGCTCCACGGAGCCTAATTCAGAGCCGCCAGACCCCTGTCTTTCCTCGCACTCTCTCTTTCCTGTTGTTCCGGATGAGTCCTGGGAATCCTGGGCGGGGAACCCTTCATTGACTGTCTTTCGCAGCATTCGTTGTCAGCTGTCCCTCCAAGATCTGGATGACTTTGTGGACCAGGAGAGTGATGGCAGTGAGGAGAGCAGCAGTGGGCCCAAAGACTCCCCGGGGGCTTCTGAAGAGGGGCTGCAGGTTGTCTTGGGAACCCCAGATAGGGGGAAGCTCAGGAATCCAGCTGGGGGCCTTTCTGTATCTCGGAAGGAGGGCAGCCCCAGCCGGAGCCCTCAGGGTCTCAGAAACAGAGGGGATGGTCACATCTCTCAGCAGGTCCCTGCAGGGGCTAATGGCCTTGCAGGCCACCCCCTGAAGCCTTTGCCTTGGCCAGTTCCTAAGTTAAGGAGGTCCCTCAGGAGGAGCTCTCTGGCAGGGAGAGCCAAATTGTCCTCCTCTGATGAGGAGTACCTCGATGAGGGCTTGCTGAAAAGAAGTCGGCGCCCACCTCGATCCAGGAAGCCCTCCAAGGCAGGAACGGCACCCAGCCCAAGGGTTGATGCAGGTTTATCACTAAAACTTGCAGAGGTTAAGGCTGTTGTGGCCGAGCGGGGTTGGCGACACAGCCTGTGGGTCCCCAGTGGGGAGGGGTCTGCAGCCTTGGCCCCCCACAGAACTTCTGAGCACAAATCATCCCTGGTTCCACTAGATGCCAGGGAGCATGAGTGGATTGTGAAGCTTGCCAGTGGCTCCTGGATTCAGGTGTGGACTTTGTTCTGGGAGGACCCTCAACTGGCCTTGCACAAAGACTTTTTGACTGGGTACACTGCGTTGCACTGGATAGCCAAACATGGTGACCTCAGGGCCCTTCAGGACTTGGTGTCTGGAGCAAAGAAGGCAGGGATTGTCCTTGATGTAAACGTGAGGTCCAGTTGTGGATATACCCCGCTGCACCTTGCAGCCATTCACGGCCACCAGGGGGTCATCAAATTGCTAGTGCAAAGGTTGGCTTCTCGGGTAAATGTCAGGGACAGCAGTGGGAAGAAGCCATGGCAGTATCTAACCAGTAATACCTCTGGGGAAATATGGCAGCTGTTGGGAGCTCCTCGGGGCAAGCCCATTTTCCCTGTCTATCCCTTAGTTGGAAGTTCTTCCCCTACCAGAAAGGCCAAGAGCAAGGAAATATCTAGAAGTGTCACCCGAAAAACTTCCTTCGCTGCACTACTCAAAAGTCAGCACAACAAGTGGAAACTGGCCAACCAGTATGAGAAATTCCACAGTCCAAGGGAAAGAGAAGAGTATAGTGACTGAGGTGGGTCTCTCTGTCCAACATGCAGGCAGCACTCCCTCATCCTGCTCAGTGAGAGAATTCAGGGGGAATAGAAAAGCTGCTGAGAGTTGGTAAAGAGGATGGTCGAGTGAGATGGTGTTGACCTCCCTGGATCTTATGTCACTACATCCTGGACCTCAAGAGGGTCATCCAAGCTTTTTGAAAGCTGAACTCCTTGACTGGAGAAACCTAGACAAGAGGCGGGGCCAGGTGCTTGATATCTAGGAGGCATTCTTCCTCTTCCCTTGCCACCATGGAGCTGGGCACAGTAAGCCATATTGTTTCCTGAAGCAGGAGTCCCAGGCCTTGGCTAGAGAGGGAACAGATGTCTAACAAAAAGAGAAGCAATTCGAGGAATTGATGAAGCACAATTAAAATCCTCTCTGGCTAGTAGCTCTCTGGCTTCTGTTCATTTGAAGAATAAATCTTGGCTGACAGTGGGAAGCACCAGGTTTGAAATCAGATGGCTTTATTTTTCTTTTTTTGGCATTTAAATCAGTGAAATAAAATTATTACTGGAGAGCACAGTTCGATTTAAGAGATTCCTCAGCCCTGTTCTCAAGTCTTCTTTTGAATTCCATGCATGGTGGTTAATGGGTAAAATGATTAATGCCTCCTTTGGGTCTTCTCACTGATCAGAGAAGCAGCTGGGTAAGATCCAGTTATGACTTGGACTCCATTCCTAAGAGGAATGACTGTCATTCAGGCCCTGCTTTTTTGTATCAACCCGAAGGGAACTTTCCAAATGTAAAAACCATGTGGCTCATTTACATAGTGACTGAAACCATCTTTCATGGAAACTCCCTGTGTAACAAACAGAATTATCGTTACTAGTTTTCAGAGGTTTGAATGGCCAACGTTTGTACTCATAAAAAGAGAGAAATGATTTCACTCTGGGGAAACAGTAAGGGTTAAGAGAATGCATCCTTACCAGGACTATCTAAGCCGCTAAATATAATTGTATTTGCACTAAACTTGTTGCCAATTAAGATTAAATATTAGCCTTTAAGTACTCTATATCTAACATGAAGTGCTCCTTTTTAATTGCTTTTGAAGAGACCGATAACTTGTGAGTTCATGGAGTGAGAAAATGGCTAGTCTATAAACGTCAGTAGAGCATCAAGATTTCAGAATAAGTTCAAAGAGGGCTGAAATACATGTTCAAGTGGAAATTGTTAATTTTTTATGGGAATGTTTTCATGAGATGTGACAATGATGCTGTATTTTAAGTCTTTTTGTGTTTCTTCTGGTTATTTGCCCCCATTAAAAGATCAATAGATCTTTATAATTTATTATACTTATGCTGATTACTGTTTTCTTCTTTACAAAATTATGTCTCAGCGAGTGCCAAATATTATTGTTTCTTTGATTTTTTACTTTATAATTTTGCTGAAATAAATACATCTCTTCTACTAGAAAAATAAGCATAATAAATAAATCTAAGAGCTTTTTTCCCAAAAGACCTATATAAGAGATGAAACTTTGTCAAATCAAAGCAAGAAAAATGGCAACCACAGATGGGACATAGTTTGAAGAGATAAAAAATTAAAAGAATACAATAGACATCTATGCAAATACTCTGGTAAACTAGTAAAAATTGTAAACTACTAGTAAGCTAGTGATATTTCATGGAAAAAATGTCAACTTTCTAAAAAAATCCAATGAATGCTTTTACTTTGTCATATTGTTATTACTACATCAATTTATTCAACAGATGTGTTTTGTGTAGTGCTGTGGGATTTATAAAGATGAGTGGGAGATGACCCCTCCTGTCTTGAAATTTAAAATCTGACAATATTACTGATTGCTTTATACCCTTTTTTTTTTTTTGAGACAGAGTCTCAAAAAAAGTTGAGGCTGGAAGTTGCCCAGACTAGAATGCAGTGGTGTGATCCTGGCTCACTGCAACCTTCGCCTCCCAGGTTCAAGCAATTCTTCTGCCTCAGCCTCCCGTGTAGCTGGGATTATAGGCAACCACCACCACTACTGGCTAATTTTTGTATTTTTAGTAGAGACGGGGTTTCACCATGTTGGCCAGGCTGGTCTCGAACTCCTGACCTAAAGTGATAAGTTGTATGTTTCAATATTCCCAAAGTGTTGGGATTACAGGTGTGAGCCACTGTGCCTGACCTGTACCCTATCTTGCTCCCATGATGTCTTTTAAAGCTGCATTATATCAGAAAATAAGCTTGTAAAATCAGGCAAAGAGAAAAGAAAGATGGTACCAGAAATGAGGACAAACAGCAGCAATGCAAGAAAAAATTTTCAAAAGTGTCCTAAGTACAAAATACATGCTCTGGAGAGAGCACTTGTTTCAGGAGAGAGAGGGAGAGGGAAAGGGAGAAAAAGAGAAAGAAACAGAGAGAGAGAAACAGAGAGAGAGAGATCCTTTCGGGCTGGGAAAATCAGGGAGGGCTTCGTAGAGGCCAGGAATCTTTTAATTGAATGATACTAACTTTCCCAAGAAACCAGCTCTGTTAGTCCTACCACATTCTTGACTTCTGCTTCAGTGTGTGATTTACATAGCACTAGTGTTGGCTGATTGTTCACTGGTTAGAACACAATCGTAAGTCTCAAGTTGATTCTTATGATGATTCATCATGTCCCTCATACCTGCGTCTGGTCAACTCTTTTACATGGTCAATATGCTATGTTGGGGAGGAGTCAGGGGAGAAGAGGGTGTAGAGAGCTGATTAAAACACACATCTGATCCTGACACCCTCTTACTCATCTTGTGAAGTCCAGGCCAGGAGGGCTGCCAGGACTAGCGTACTTTCCCAGCTTTCTGCCAGCCACTCCCTGCCATGAACCCTAAACTTCAGCTACAGCAGACCCATTGGGATGCTGGTGGCCCTAACCTCTCAGTTTCTGTCTTGTGCTGGATTTCTTTTACTTAGAAAACCCTTTTTGCTATTTTCCTGGTAATCTTATTCCTCAAAGGATAGCTCAAATGTCACAGCCTATATGAAGATTCCAGGACAAACACCTCCAAGCTGGAAGCTTTATAGCTCCTTCATCAGAATTCTTACAATACTGTGTACATAACTCATTTACAATTTTTGCCACATAGTATTCAAGTAAATTGTATGTCTCAATATTCCTGAAGATTTTGAACATCTGGAGATTAGTGAATATGTTTTCAATTCATCTAGATTTCCAGATATTTATGGAGCATCTGCTATGTGATAAAGACATAATTCCTGCCTTTAAGAGCTCATAGTCTACTGTGGAAGGAGATGTGAGGGTTGTGTCACTGAAAATTGCTTCTAGCACAGTGAGGTAAGTGCACAGATATGTGTGTGTGTCAAGACTCTGAGAATTCAGAGAAGGGGACGTTTGTGAAGCATTTTCTATGTGCCAGTCTCTTTGGTTATGCTGGAAATAAAACATTTAGTAGAATATACCTATTTCCTGCTCTGATTATGCTTTTCTGGATTGGGGAAGTCAGGAGGGAAAGAGGAAGTTAGATGAGCTTTGAAGGGTGAAGTGCAGGAAAGAGTTCTGGAAGAATATCCCAGGAGAGGGAAGGGACATGACCAAAACCACAGAGTGGTTTGGGGATACTGAGCCACATAGTGTGGCAGAAGTGAGGCAGTGTAGAAAGAGATGAAACTGGAAAGGTCATTTAGGACTAGGTTGAAAGAAGGGTCTTTTTGACCTCAGGAAATACAGGCATTTTCTAGGAAGCCAAGCATTGTGAAAACTCCTCCCAGAAAAACTTAGTGTTATTCCAAATCCAGGTGTTTTCCTGAAGTCTTAATTTGAAGACAAAAAATATTTCAAAGTATTAGATTAAATGTGCTTTAAGTTCCTCTTTCAAATTTTTCTTAGGTCTTCAGTGTTGTTAATGCTTATTTGCTAGCACATAGTGGTAAGCAACAAAGTAATTTAACAAATGGCAATTTCATTTTAAAACCAAACATTAGAAATTGTTGATAAGCTTAGCTCAACACTTTTTTTTTCATTTTAGCAGTTGTATGAAAGCTTGTATATAGATTCATTTATTCCTGTATCTTCTCAATTGTTTCTTTCTTGTATTTGCCCTTTTTCTTTCCTACTTGGCAAGATTTGGCTTTCTGTTCATGGATCTTTTTATGGTCTTTGTCCACTTTTAGCCTAGTGATAACCACTTTGCTGGGGTGAATGCCTACACGGACAGTTGTACCATTAGCCTTTTGCTGCTGCACCCATTCAGTGTAGATGACATCTTTCTTCCTGTAAACCTTGAGTACGTGGCCAATTTGCTGACCTTTACAATGTCCTTGCACAGTCTGAACATCATCCTTCCGGATGGTCATGGATCAAACGTCGTACTTCTGTCTTAGCTCTTTGGAAACGGGGGAAGACATAATCTTCTTCCAAATGTGTGAAAGCGCATTGAAATGCCTTTTGCAGTTCTTGCTTCGGTCTAGTCTTATCTTATGATATTAAAATTGCTTATACTTCAACATTTCAGTGTGCTACACATAGCATGCTATGAATTCCAGATGCCTTGATTCCTCTATACATTTTTGGGTTTTTTTGAGGCAGGGTCTCACTTGGTCACCCAGGCTAGACTGCAGTGTTGCCATCATAGCTCACTGTAACTTCAAACTCCTGGGCTCAAGAGATCCTCCCACCTTAGCCTCTTTAGTAGCTGGGACTATAGGTATACACCACCACACTCAGCTATGTTTTTTTTTTTTTTTAGAGACAAGGTCTCTCTGTTACCCAGGCTATGTTGCCCAGGCTGGGTCTCAAACTCCTGGCCTCAGATTCCCAAAGCACTGGGATTACGTGTGTGAGCCACCACACCTGGTACCCCGTACATGTTTTTTGTTGTTGTTGGGACAGGGTCTCCTGCTGTCACCCAGGCTGGAGTGCAGTGATGCAATCTCAGCTCACTGCAGTCTTGACCTCCCAGACTCAAGCCATCCTCCCACCTCAGCTTCTGGAGTAGCTGGAACTATAGGCGCACACCACCACACCCAGCTAATTTTTTTATTTTTTTGTAGAGATGAAGTCTCACTATGTTGCCCAGGCCGGTCATGAACTCCTGAGCTTAAGCAATCCTCCAGCCTCAGCCTCCCAAAGTGCTGGGATTACAGATATGAGCCATCATGCCCAGCTCCCCCTATACATTTTAAAAAATAACTTTACAATTCAATTCACCTATTTTAAATGTACAATTCAATGATTTTTAGTATAATCACACCTATGCAACTATAACCACATTAAGTTCCTGTATAAATCTGAGAGCCACTGATCCAGGCAATAGGAAGCCATTGAAGGTTTAATGCAGGGGAGTGACATATAAGATGGGGTGAAACAAAGATTCTTCTTGCTGCAGTAAAGGAGATAAACTAGAAGCAGAGATCAGTGAAACTATTGTAATATCTTAGTTTCATATTGGGAATATCAGGAATGTTGACTCAATAAGCTGGATAAGGTGTCATCCATTGGATTGGATATATACAGTGAGGAAAAAAAAACTTTCTTGGTGGGGCTGATTTAGTTGATAAGAATTAAGAATTAGGTAAGATGTAAAAGAGTTTCTCCATTTCCTCTCACCCTCAAAATACCCTGGTTTTGTCAATTTTTTTTTTTTTTTTTTTTTTTTTTGGCAAAGTCTCGCCCTGTTGCCCAGGCTGTAGTGCAGTGGCATGATCTCGACTCACTGCAACCTCCACCTTCCGGGTTCAAGCAATTCTCATGCCTCAGCCCCCTTAGTAACTGGGATTACAGGCGTGAGCCACCACAACTGGCTAATTTTTTTTTTTTTTTTTTTTTGGAGACAGAGTCTTGCTCTGTCACCCAGGCTGGAGTGCAATCTTGGCTCACTGCAACCTCCACCACCCAGGTTCAAGCTATTCCCCTGTCTCAGCCTCTGGATTAGCTGGGATTACAGGTGTGTGCCACCACATCCAACTAATTTTAGGTTTTTTGTTTGTTGTTTGTTTGTTTTTGTTTTTTGAGACGGAGTTTTGCTCTTGTTGCCCAGGCTCACTGCAACCTCCGCCTCCCAGGTTCAAATGATTCTCCTGCCTCAGTCTTCCGAGTAGCTGGGATTACAGGCCCAGCTAATTTTTTGTATTTTTAGTAGAGACAGGGTTTCACCATGTTGGCCAGGCTGGTCTCCAACTCCTGACCTCTGGTGATCCACCTGCCTCAACCTCCCAAAGTGCTAGGATTACAGTCGTGAACCACCACACCCAGCCCTAATTTTAGTATTTTTAGTAGATACGGGGTTTCACCATGTTGGCCAGGCTGATCTCAAACTCCTGACCTCAGGTGATCCGCCCGCCTCGGCCTCCCAAAGTGCTGGGATTACAGGCATGAGCCATTGTGCCCGGCCTAATTTTTGTATTTTTAGAAGAGATGGGGCTTTGCCATGTTCACCAGACTGGTTTTGAACTCCTGGCCTCAAGAGATCCGCCTGCCTCGGCCTCCTAAAGTGCTGGATTACAGGGGTGAGCCATCATGTCTGGCCTGGTTTTATAATTAAATTACTTCATTCCTGTCATGACCATCTAGGTTCATGGTGGCACTGAATCCAGAGTGTAAATTCAAACACTGTACAAGCTGTTTTGCATAGCAGTGCTGCTGTGTACACTTGGGTTTGTCAACATCAAAACAAATTTAAAATGTTTAACGAAAGGTTGTATTATGTAAGTACTTAAGCTCATGGCAATGAAGCTAGGTTGCCTGGTTCCTGTCCTGATTTGGACAAGACCTTCAACTTCTTAGTTTTGTCATTTGTAAGATGGAAATAATAGCAATAGAAAATGGGTTTCCTGAGAGGATAAAATGAATTTATACCTGTACAAAGTTCATAGAAAATGCCTGGCACATAGTAGATCCTCACTAAACATTTGGTATTATTATTTTTAATACCATTCAAAGTATACAGTTCACTTAAATTTCCATCTATGCAGAAAGCAAAGAAATCTAGTTGATTCAAAAGGTGCTGATAAAAATTTATTGATAAAGCTAAATAATTTTCATTATGCTTCTACACGAGAAAGATGTCTGGGTTTCTCATTTCAAATGAAAAAGACTATTTAACTATCTCCTGTGTGTAGCAATCATTAGCTATTATGTCATTAAACAGAATTATGTCCAATTGAAGTCACATAAACTAATACCAGTCAAATTAGAAGCGCTGATGTTGCCCGGAACTGAAACTCAGACAGAGCTCTGAAGGATTCAGGCTTATGGAGAGGTGAGGGGTGTGTGTGTGTGTGTGTGTGTGTGTGTGTGTGTGTGTGTGTGTGTGTAATGCTACTATCACTCATGAATTGGAAAAATCTAAATGGAACCATGCAGTAAACTTTATCAAATTTCTGCTAAATTTGGTCACGATGAAGTCACTGAGTTGGGTTAAAAAGTATTGACCTGACTATTCTTCCTTCATGATATGAAAATGACACTTCCTGATCTCTAGCTACCAAGCTTGACTCCTATTTTCTACTTTTTTGGGGGGTGGGGTGGGGTGGGGGTTGATCCTTTCATTTATTCAGACTTTACTCATCATCACATTCTGAGCCCCTTTCTGCATCTAACTCAGCGTCCTCACACAACTCACAGGCTAGAAAGGACTTCAAAGTGTGATCACAGCACTGAGGGGTCCCAAGTAAGGCAAAAGCGTCTGGGGGAGTGGTAAGGATCCAGCAGGGCCTCATAAGGTGACATCTGAGCTGGGTCTCCAAGAATGAGCCACCACTTAGCTAGGCCTCTGTTTCCATATTGAATCACTGGAATACAATTTGCTGAATTCAACAGATTGATGACCTGGGTTCAGGTTAATTAGCTTTGTTTATGTTTTACTTTTGTTTTCTCTGTCTCCCCCGCTAGACTATCATCCCATAAGAATGGAGACCTCTGCCTGCTTCACTCCCTGCCGTGCTTCCATGTCTGGAGCATGCAATAGGACCTCAGTGAATGTGTGCTGGAAGAGGGAACACTGATCGGAATTTGTCCTCTGAATTTGTCCCCTCACGCTGCAGTGTCAGCTCCTTGAGGAGAGCAACGTCATCAGTCCTGTTGATCCCTGGATCAGCACCTAGAAGGGTTTGGCACATGGTAGGTGATCACTGACTGGCTGATTACAACAGGACACAGCAGCAGGCCTTGAAGCTGGGAGTGAACCCCAAATCCTACCTTCAAGCAGGAAGCCCTGTTCCTTTGTATTATGCCTGAAATGGGGCCTGTGAAGGAGGCGGCAGGAGAGGGGAAGAAGTGCTGCCTTGGGTTCTTGTGTACACAGAAGACAGTGGCGTGGGAGGACATGAGCAGGCATATCCAGGAAATGAACAGAGGGCTCGATCCTGAACCTGCTCTCTCAGGTGTCACACCCTCTCCCACTGGAAGCAGGTGAGCAGCTCCCAAGTTCCCTTGGAGATAGAGGCCACATGACCTCAACCTGGCCAATCAGCAGAGCCCATTCTCTTCAGCCATAGTGATTGGCTGAGGTCTGGGCACGTAACCAGTCGGGTGCCAAAGGTCAGACCTCCGGGTTGGAACCCTGGGGGAACAGAAGCTCTATTTCTGTTAGGTTGCTAGAATGGTTGGTGCCATCTTGTCACCTTGAAGGGAAAGCCCACCCAAGAATGACACCAACACAGAGGGAAGTAAACATAGCCAAGAGGTCAGCAGAGGTGGTTCCTGGTGCCATTATCCAGCACCCAGCTACAGACCAGGTGAAGTTGGCCGGGCACATAGTCACAGGCACTGGAGTGATCCATAGGTCACACACGAAAGTGTGCAGAGCAACTCCAGCTGTGCTCTTTCGTTTTCACAGTTAGCAACGTTTTTATAGGTAGCATTCTTGGTTAGCATTCCTAGTTAGGATTTGTAGCTAGAAGGTTACCATGTGGCAGGGCCTTACGACCATCTCTGCTGATGAGGAGACCCTTACTGATCATTATAGGCTCCTCGAGATCATCAGCCAGGACAGCTTCACCAGGGTGAATGAAGTTCACCAAGTACCTTCTCACTGGGCAGCAGTGAGACTCTAGACTCCCTCTAGAGTCTATTCCATGGGGTCACCCCAAGGTCATCAAACTCTTTCAACACCACAGACACTTTGTTCTTAGCCATGGAGTACGGCCAGCAGAGCAGAGCTGGTCGACTACATCCTAGAGTTGGGCTACATGAAGGCGGAAGAGGCCTGAAGCAAATTCCAGCAGATAGTATCAGCCCTCTAGTACCACCAACAGAAGGGGGATATCCATAGGGACCTGAAGCCCAAGAATTTCCTTGTGGTCCATCACAACATAAAAATAACAGACTTTGGATTTGATACCAGGTTCACTGTAGGCCAGAAGCTGGGCACCTTCGGTGGGAGTCCCTCTTATGCGGTCCTGAACTCTTCCATGGCCAAACATATGATGGGCCCCAGTGGACATGTGGAGCTGGAAAGTCATTCTTTACACCACAGTAACCAGGTCCTGCCATTTATTGGGCAGATTTTGTGGCGCTGAGGAAGCTGATACTGTGTGAACAATTGTACAAGATCCCACTCTTTGCTTTTCATTTCCAGAGAGCTTCATAAACCTATTTCTGACTGCAGGGAGAGGCCTATACTAGTCCACGTCATGGAACACCTATGGATCAACACTGGTCAGGAGGAGACACGAAGGCCATACCGGGAGCTGCTCTCTGATTACCAGGACTCCTGAAACACAGAGCTCATGGTGTCCGTGGGATATGAGGCAGACCACATCCAGTCCTTGTTAGAACAAAAATTTGATGATACCATGGCCTGGTACTGAATCCTGGGCTACAGGAAACCTGATGCAGGGCTCCATCATCACAGCAAAGTCTTTGCCTTCAGTGGATCCCACCCAACAGCTACTAGCCTTCCCCATCACCTGAAAGAAACTCTTATGCTTTAACATACAAAACTTGTTAAAAACATTGGGAAAAGGTGCACAGTTCGTATGTTCTTCATTTGTTCACTCTTAAGGGTACAAAGTGTCTTGTCATTCGTGCTGGTCTAAATATTGTGGGTTGACACAAAATTTGAGGTATAGTAAGGCCAACAGGTCAGGAAACAAGTATTGTACAACTGAAAAGATAATTTGTTGCCCACAGTTCCCCAGAGGACAGGCACACAACATGCAGGACCACACAGAGAAGCACCGGTGGGGGTCAGTAGGCAGAGGGAGTGGGAGAGCTGTGGGCAAGAACCTTTGTTGTGCTTCCTTCTCGGTTTTGCCCAGGAACAGCTCCTTGGCGACAGCTTGGATGGGTGGACTGGTGTACAGCAGGTGCCAGCACATGGTGAAGGCCACTGGAGACTGGCAGGAATGCACCTCACTTGGGGTAGGCTGCAAGAGCCCAGTGCTGCTCATGCTGCCCTGGTTGCTGTGGCCACTACTGCCATTCCCTGCTCAGCACATCAGCATCTGGTCTGTGCAGCCTGATGATGCCCTCTCTTTTCTAGTTTTAAGACTTGTGCGTTTTGTAAAGGCCTTACTGTATGTAAATTAGTTCTCAATTTAAAAAGAAAATACCAAGACAAGTAAGGAGAAATATTTTTCAAATGCCTATTGGGGCCAAAGCCAGGACTGTTTTGAAAGTGTCTAGTTCTTCCAAGTACTCTCTTTTCTTTCTTTCCTTCCTTTTTTCCTTTCCTTGTTTCCTCTTCTTTTACAACAGTGAACACTCCCAAATCTAGCACCTACTAACAGCTATTTCTGTACCATCACTTTTTCGAAAACTATAATTATTAATCTTACAGGATTTGAAGGTTTTTTTCTATTTATGTCCCAAAATACAATTAGCTTCTAGTGAATTCTTATCTTTGATGTCAGCTAGGGAAACACTTCAGAGACATAAATATTGTGAGCCAAGTGACATGCCACCATCCCACAGTGGGTCTCACTGCCTAAGAGAATGGGCCAGTCATGGTAGGGGTAAGACAAGGATTTCAATCTATGATCCTGCTAATGGGCCAGAAATAGTCCAATTTTCTTAGTTATTTGAGGACTGAGAACTTCTCAAGACTTAGTGAATCGCATAAGGGTGTTCAGATCAGAGTACAGTATTCAGAGTTTCTGATTAAAACTGACTTTTAAAAGTGAGCAAAATGAGTATTCTGCGCTGACAGCTTTGCCTGCACTAATGGTCCAGGGAGAGTCACATGGATTTTTCTTCCTGGAAAGGGCCACAGGAATAGCCATGCCTTTACAGTGTTTGCATGTTGTTGAGTGGATGTTCT
Organism: Homo sapiens; assembly: GCF_000001405.40. NCBI lineage: Eukaryota > Metazoa > Chordata > Mammalia > Primates > Hominidae > Homo > Homo sapiens. Next base: position 76,884,245 of record NC_000004.12, on the reverse strand, counting down.
TAGTTTTCCACCTGGTTTGACCCTAATAGGTTATATGGCAAATATAAAACCTCTGTGAACCTTGATTTTTCTGGGGAAAGGAGAGAGGAGGAAAGAAAAAAACATACCAATAGTATCAAATCAGCCTCAGATCTTCAGGACAGACAGCGCTAAAATACACAATATTACTAATGAGTAGCTGCAAATGGGGGGTGGGGGAGAACAGAAGGCTGATTTTGCTTTATCTGTAAGCCATATATTCTCACAATAATGACTTTAACTCTGGACTCCTAGGGGGCATGTTAACTAAGTAATGTTTCATAGAAATATGTAATTAACCTACCTGTGGAGCCTCTTTCCGTGCATTCTGGAAAGATCACAAAATATTGCCCTGGATTTATTGGGCAAGATTCCTGATACCTGTCATAAATTCTTGGGAAAGCTGAGTCCTAGAACTACTTTTCAAATTTTAGGTTTACACATTTCTTTCAGGAGCAGTGTATCTAATATGGATGATCTTACACAAGCATTTTCTCTTCTGATCTTTGTTCTTATTAGCTAATTGTAAAATTCAATCAGGAACTGACAAAGGGGTTGAAACTCAAGTTTACTTGCTACTTGTTAGAATCTTTGAATTATTTGAGGTTTTAATCATCAGTGTTGTATTAGTCCGTTCTCACACTGCTATAAAGAACTACTTGAGACTGGGTAATTTATGAATAAAAGAGATTTAACTGATTCACAGTTCTGCAGGCTGTATAGGAAGCATGGCTGGGAGGCCTCAGGAAACTTAAAATCATTGTGGAAGGCGAAGGGGAAGCAAGCACGTCTTAACCATGGCAGAGCAGGAGAGAGGGAGAGAGAGGAAATGCCACACACTTTTAAACCATCAGATCTGGTGAGAACTCGCTATCATGAAAACAGCAACCGGAAAATCCACCCTCATGATTCATTCACCTCCCATCAAGCCCCGTCCTCTGACACATGGCGATTACAATTCGAGATGAAATTTGTGTGGGGACACAGAGCCAAACCATATCAAGTGTGATTGATATTTTATATCACTCCATTCTACCCACCCATGCGCCCCTGCCTCCAAACACACACATATACTGTAGCACAGATAATAAAGAATTGAATTGTAGCTATATTCTTATACCATAAGATGTGTTTATTTAAGATGTCTCTCAGATTTTTAGTAAAGGAAAGCATCTGCATGTGGCCGCTAACTCTGAGACCACTAAAATTCCTAATCCTGTGAACAGCCTGTGATTCTTTGAGAAGGGAAAAGGATTAATCCCCTGGACATGGGGCAAAGACAAAAACATCTGCATGCAGAAGTTGTATTAGGTGTCGCCTGACCATAACCTTATATCCTTGTATGTGTCACACCTTCTTGTGGTCTCTTGGATCTAGGTGTTTTCCTGCTAAAAGCTTCCTCAAGGCCACCTGGAGAAGCAGAATGGCAGAGCAGGTGGAGTAGTATCACCTGGTGATCTCAGCATTCTGGACACAGGCAGGGCTCTTCAGGCTGCCCTCATTAATGTTTTCCCTGTTATTGTCGTACATTTCTGACTCAAATTCAGTTTTGGAGGCTTTTGTGAGGTACTTCCTCAGGTTCAAAACTCCTTATGTCTTTATTCACTTGAATTGAGTAAAAGATAATCCTTATTCCTTATAAATTGAAAGCCACAGCATTTAGATACTGGCTTATGATGGAAGTTATGGACTGTTGGTGTTCCTAAAAGGAAATAGAAAGTTAATATGGGGAGAAGTAAATAAGTATTTTGTGTTGTGAGAAGATACCACATAAATACTGCCATTATCTGGTAGGTTTAGGAAATGGATTATTTTGATGACAAATTATTCGAGTTGAAAGGAATTTCTCACATATGTTTTACATGATGAACAGTTGTAAGAAAATTTAAAAACTACAATGAAATATATTCAGCACTAAACACAATTTATGTGTCTCAAAAAACAATGAAAGATTCTTAAGTGCTTTGTGCTTATTGCATTTTAGATGCACAAAAGTCAGTTGATAAAGGTTGTGTTTTTATAAATTTTACATCTATTTTTGCATCTTGAAGAATTTTATATTTATACAAATAATACATGTTCATTGCAAAGAAAAATCAGTTACACAGATAAAGAAAAAGAAGAAAAAATCTGTCACTAATTTCGCTACCTTGAGCGATCACTGATATTTTATTGTATATATACACTTTCAAAACTTATAACAAAACCAAAACCATATTGTACATAATTGCCAATCTATTTTATTGTTTGATATGTCACTATTTTTTTCCTTTTGAACTGGAATTCTATACCGAGTTGCGGATAAAGTTTAGGTCTTTAGATGACTAAAAGTGGAGCAGCTGAGAAATTATTTGTAGACCACGCTTTTGCTTCAATGCCATTTCCCTTCTCTGCAGTCTATGGGCAAGGTCCTAAATGAGTTAAGTTTTAAATTATTTTAAAAATTATTATTAGCATTCATTTGACTTGAAGCCATAAATTTTCTTTTGTTTTTAACCAGTTTCTTTGCCCAGTGTTCTGGGTGCATGACTTTTCAGGCAGGTGGCTCCTCCTCCAGGAAACTGGTTCCCTGTTCCCACCCATAGCAGGAAGACAAGAGGGAACTCGCAGCTGTGACCAACCATCTCTCACCTGTAGCTTTTCTGTTTGTTTATGGGGCAAAGGAGACACTGAGACAGGTGTGGGCCAGTTATGATTTAGGAATGTTTACTATGCTTGATTGCACCATAAAAGGGGCTAGATCTACCAGTACTTTTACTCTTCTTAATGCTAAGGAGAGACTATATTAGAACTACTTTATTTAACATAAGGCTAGGGAAGGAAACATAGAAATCTAAAATATACATTTTTTTCCTGGTCATACAGATCTTTTAGTTAAAGTATTGTCTGAAGATGAAGATTGGTGCTAGTTTTACTTTTCAATAATTTTTTTTTTAGCAATTCAAACATATTCTCAGAAGATATAACCTAACGAGCAATAGATTTTAACCATTTCCAATCCCATATATTCCCTTTTAACTTTTGATTGCATAAGTCTAATCAGCATGCATATTTTATTTTAGCTTCTATTTTATTTAACAGCATATCCCATATATTAAAATAATTTTCCTTTTTTACATTTTTTATAGCCAGAAGGTCTACCATGATTAATATATTGTAGTTTGTTTAGCTATTTCTTTAATCTTTGACGTTGAGTCATTTCTCACTATTACAAATACTGTAGTACTGATATATCTTTTTTTCTCAAATTACAATAGCAGCAAGAAGATATAGATATCTTGTAAAAATAATTACGAGGTTCTTTTATTTCTTGGCTATTTTCCCAGCTGCAGTTTTATAGCTTTTGTTACATTTACCAACTTGTACTTCAGAAAATTGAATCATGTTAAAGTGCCACCAGCAGGCATGTCTCCTGAAAGCCATACTAAGAGTGGGTTTTATGTTATTTGCTCATTTTAATGGGTATGCAGAGCAGCTTTTACATTGAGTTGCATATCTATTTGTTGCTAGTGAAACTGTCTTGTTACATTTTTTTAAAGTCCTTACTGCCACACACCATAAAAGTAATATTGTAATTGCTAGTTATTTATTGCCATGTAACAAATTACCTCAAAGCTTAGCAGTTTAATAAAAAAGTGAAACAGGGCTGGGCACAGTGGCTCACGCCTGTAATCCCAGCGTTTTGGGAGGCCAAGGCGGGCGGATCATGAGGTCAGGAGTTCGAGACCAGCCTGGCCAACATTGTGAAACCCCGTCTCTACTAAAAATACAAAAATTAGCTGGGTGTGGTGGCACCCGCCTGTAATCCCAGCTACCCAGGAGGCTGAGGCAGGAGAATTGCTTGAATCAGGGAGGTGGAGGTTGCAGTGAGCTGAGATTGCACCACTGCACTCCAGCCTGGGGGACAGAATGAGACTCCATCTCAGGGAAAAAAAAAAGTTAAACACTTATCATCTCATAGTTTCTGTAAGTCAGAAACAGCTCAGCTGAGCAGTTTTGGCTCAGGGACTCTCATGAGGTTGTAGTCAAGACGTCAGTCATGGCTGTAGTCATCTGAAGGCTTGCCTGGGTCTGAAGGGTGGTTCTCGGATGGCTCACCCACATGGCTCTTGGTAGAGGCCTCAGTCCCCATCTAGAGGGCTGACTGAATGTCCTCACAATTTAGTGTCTTGGCAGCTGGCTTCCCTCAGAAATAATCCAAGCAAAAGAGCAAGGAAGAAGCCATGGCATCTTCTATAATATAGTCATGGAAGTCACACGCAATCACTTCTGTGACTCATTAATCCAACCCACACTCAAGTGGAAGAGAAGAAGCTCCAGCTCTTGAAAGGAGTATCAAAGACTTGTGAACACATTGCAAAACCATCTGATGTACTAATTCATATAAACAACAGTGGAAAAATCAGCTTCTCTTGACCTTTGTTTCTGGTCTGGCTGATGTTTTGTTACTAACTAATGAAGTGTGGGAGCACTTGTAGAAGAGCCACTTTCCTGACAGTCTCATTTGGGTTTGTCTTCTTGGTCTATCATTAATGATGTATGGAGTCATATTATTAAAAAGAAAGGAACATATGATAAATTGTTTGGCATATCCCTTCAAGTAATCCTTTGTCTGCCTGAAAAGAAGATTTCCTTTCATTTGGCAGAGTGAAAAACAAGACGACGGGTTGTGATTGGATACTTGGAGGTAGGTGACTAAGGGAGTAGGATACAGGCAGCATGGGCAAAGTAGGAGTTCAGGAAGAAAAGGAGATCAGGAATAGAATGGAGGTGCCAAGGATAAAACTTCAGAAATACTGGTACAGAAACCAGGTAGAATGGTAGAATCTTTGGGAGTAAAATGTCAAGGGCATAGCAATAAATCCACTTTAATCACTCAGACTTATCCAAAAGCACATCTCCAATGATGCTTTCTTAATGGACTCCTATATATAAAAACAGTCTCTGTTGGCTTTAGTTTACAAATAGAAACCAGTTACAAGAGACAAGACTGCCTCATGTCATGTAATTCAAAGTAATATACTGAGTGTATTAGGGTTCCCTAAAGGGAGAGAACTAATAGGATAGATGTATATATGAAGGGGAGTTTATTAAGGAGTACTGACTCACACAATCACAAGGTGAAGTCCCAAAACAGGCTGTCTGCAAGCTGAGGAGCAAGGAAGCCAGTCCAAGTCCCAAAACTTCAAAAGTAGGGAAGCCAACAGTGCAGCCTTCAGTCTGTGGCCAAAGGCCCGAGAGCCCCTGCCAAATCACTGGAGTAAGTCCAAGACTCCCAAAGCTGAAGAACTTGGAATCTGATGTTTGAGGGCAGGAAGCATCCAGCATGGGAGAAAGACAAAGGCTGGAAGATTCAGCGAGTCTGCTCATTCCACTTTCTTCTGCCTGCTTTATTCTAGGCACAATGGCAGCTAATTAGATGGTGCCCACCCAGATTGAGGATGGGTCTGCCTCTCCCAGTCCACTGATTCAAATGTTAATCTCCTTTGGCAACACCCTCACAGACACTCTCACAGACCTAGGAACGATACTTTGCATCCTTCAGTCCAATCAAGTTGACACTCAGCATTAACCATCACACTGATGTTATTGCTAAATATTGATGAGTATTTAAAAATTTTTTTGGCCTTACTATTTAAAGATTAGAAAGCATTGCTTATTGGATGCTAGTTATATCCATACCAATTATTCACTTTATAAGGATCCTGAAAAACATTTTACTTGGTAATAATATCTTACAAATTCTTTATTGACTAGGCTAAATATGCATCTGGTGATACTGAAATAAGCCAGTAGGCGAGGATTTCATGACCAAAAACCCAAAAGCAAATACAATAAAAACAAAGATAGATAGCTGGGACCTAATTAAACTAAAGAGCTTTTGCACAGCAAAAGGAACAGTCAGCAGAGTAAACAAACAACCCACATAGTGGGAGAAAATCACAATCTATACATCTGACAAAGGACTAATCTTCTAGAATCTACAACTAACTCAAACAGATCAGTAAGAAAAAAACAAACAATCCCATCAAAAAGCAGGCTAAGGACATGAATAGACAGTTCTCAAAAGAAGATATGCAAATGGCCAACAAACATATGAAAAAATTCGCAACATCACTAATGATCGGGGAAATGCAAACCAAAACCACATTGCAATACCACCTCACTCCTGCAAGAATGTCCATAATCAAAAACTTAAAAAATGGTAGATGTTGGCGTGGATGTGGCAATCAGGGAACACTTCTACTCTGCTGGTGGGAATGTAAACTAGTACAGCTGCTATTGAAAACAGTGTGGAGATTCCTTAAAGAATTAAAAGTAGAACTACCATTTGATCCAGCAGTCCCACTACTGAGTATCTACCCAGAGGAAAAGAAGTCATTATTCAAAAAAGACACTTGCATGTGCATGTTTATAGCAGCACAATTCTTAATTGCAAAATTGTGGAACCAACTCAAATTCCCATCAATCAATGAGTAGATAAAAAACCTGTGATATATATATATATATATATATATATATATATATATACACAATGGAATACTATGCAGCCATAAAAAGGAATGAATTAACAGCATTTGCAATGACCTGGATGAGATTGGAGACTATTATTCTAAGTGAAGTAACTCAGGAATGGAAAACAAAACATTGTGTGTTCTCACTGATATGTGGGAGCTAAGCTGTGAGGACACAAAGGCATAAGAATGATACAGTGGACTTTGGGGACTTGGGGGGAAGAATGGGAGGGGGGTGAGGAATAAAAGACTACAAATATGGTGCAGTGTATACTGCTTGGATGATGTGTGCACCAGGATCTCACAAATCACCACTAAAGAACTTACTCATGTAACCAAATACCACCTGTACCCCAATAACTTATGGAAAAATAAAATAAAATAATGATAATAATAATAAAAGAAGCCAGCAGGGAACATAACAGATACCCATTAATTCATCATTTTCTAGTGTTAGAAATGTTAGGGACCATTCACTGAACTCTACTACCCTGCCCTATCTACCCGACTCCTTGCTGGGGTTATGTGATGTTCCAAAATGCTATGCCTGGAGTTCCCACCTGCATCGTCCTTGCAGGGTTCTTAGCAGTCCCTCCTGGCCTAAGTAGAGAAAGCCTAATTTCAAGCACCTCAAACTTATCATTATGTATACTTGATTTACTTGCAAGTCAGGTTATCATAAAACCCTTTCACCAAGAAATTCCTCTTCTGAGAATTTATCCTACAGAGATATGCATGGGTACAAAATTGCTAAGTAGAAGCCTTTTCATTCTAGCATTGCTTATAATACTAAAAAAAATTGGAAAAGACATATATGTTACTGAGAATCAGTAAGAGACCAATACAATAAAATACCTTCTGGCCATAAAGAAGAATGAGGAAGTTTCAAATATTGATATGGATCAATCTCTCAAGATATGGACAAACAAGCCAGGTTTGTCATGATATGTATACTATTCATATAAAAGTGAGGGGAAGAAAAAAGGGAAAGTATATGTATTTTTTTGTATATGAAAAAAATCTCTAAAAACGAAACACAGTAAACTGCTAACACTGTTATTTCCCAGGGAAAGTAACAAGTTGAATGTGATCAGGATGGGGAGGCTGCTTTTCACCATACACCCCTCTGCTTCTTTTCAACTTTGGACGATGGGAATCTGCTACCTAGTTTTAAAAATTTGATATAAAATAAATTTCACACAATCACAGATCGATTTTTTAAACTTGTGTACAGAAGGAGAAATGTTTCTATTAATAGTTTTCAGCCCGGGGCGGTGGCTCACGCCTGTAATCCCAGCACTTTGGGAGGCCGAGGTGGGCAGACAGGAGATCGACACCATCCTAGCTAACACATTGAAACCCCGTCTCTACTAAAAAGTACAAAAAATTAGCCGGGCATGGTGGCATGCATCTGTAATCCCAGCTACTTGGGAGGCTGAGCCAGGAGAATTGCTTGAACCTGGGATTTGGAGGTTGCAGTGAGCCGAGATTGCGCCACTGCACTCCAACCTGGGCAACAGAGCAAGACGCCGTCTCAAAAAAAAAATAGTTTTCATATCTCAGGTTATAATTTTTTTTTAAGATAGGGTCTCACTCTGTTGCCCAGGCTGGAGTGCAATGGCATGATTAGAGCTCACTGTAACTTCGAACTCTTGGGCTCAAGTGATTCTCCTGCCTCAGCCTTTTAAAGCACTAGGATTACAGGTGTGAGCCATGCACCCAGCCTAATATTAATTTTTTAATGGATTAAAAATTATGTTAAATCAATGGGCAAAACTGGAAGAATCTTAGCAACAAAATAAAATAACATTGGATTATAACTCAAAGCATAAAATAAATATCCAGGAGCCCATGTCACTATAAATAACTAATTAAATAAACTAATAAATGAAGAGAAGAGACCAATCTTTTCTGCAGAATAATTCAAATTAATTATGTAGATGCTCCACCCTTAAGGTGGAGCATACTTCTTTGCTCCTTAAGTGTGGGCTGTACGCAGTAACTTCCATTCAAAGAGTACAGTATGGAAAAGGAGGTAAAGAGTAACTTTACAGTAGAGAAACTTGACAGACGCTACCTCAGCCAAATGATGAAGGTCCATATCAGCAGTGAAAAGTCATCTTTTATTTATTTATTAATTTTTTTCCATAGGAGTGAAAAGTCATCTTGATAGTATGTACCCTTGATATGATAATGATGAGAATGGTACTTTACTGCTGTGATCCAGTCTAATAATGAGAAAAACATCAAATTCCAATACAGGGGCATTCTACTACATACCTGACCAGTACTCCTAAAAACCGTCAATAGCCAGGTGTGGTAGCTTGCACCTGTTGTCCCGCCTACTTGGGAAGCTGAGGTAGGAGCATTGTGTGAGCCCGGGAGTTCAAGGATGCAATGAACTATGATCATGCCTGTGAAAATCCACTGTACTCCAGCCTGGGTGACATAGTAAAACTCCATCTCTAAGAAATATATAAAAATAAAAATAGTTTTAAAAGCCTGCCAAGGTCATCAAAAGCAAGGAAAGTCTGAGAAACTGTCATAGCTAAAAGGAACTCAAAGAGACATGATAAGTGTGGTATCTTGGATGGGATGGGGAAAGAGAAAAAGGACATTAAGTAAAAACTATGGACATCTGAACAAGCTATGGACTTTAGTTAATAACAGTGTATCAATAATGGTTCATCAGATGTAACAAATGTACTATACTCATGTAAGATGTTACTAATAGAGGAAACTGGGGGGTGTATTTGAACCTTATGTACTAGCTGCTCAATTTTTCTGTAAATCTACAGCTGTTCTTAAAGCCTATTAATAAAAAAAGAAATAGGAGGAGGAATACAGAGCAAAAGTAGTAAAATGTTAACACTTGAAGAATAGCAGCAAAGAGTAAACAGGGGTTCTTTGCACAGTTCTTCCAACTTTTCTGTTTGAAATTATTTCAAACAAAAAAATTTTTAAATGTAACTATCCCTTCCTTGAACCACATCTAATCTAAATGGCTTCTAATAGTTAATTTCTTTTTTTTTTTTGAGACAGGGTCTCCCTCTGTTGCCCAAGCTGGAGTGCAGTAGCACGATCATGGTTCACTGCAGCCTTGAACTCACAGGCTGGAGCCATCCTCCTACCTCAGACTCCGGAGTAGCTGGGACCACAGGTGTACACCACCACACCCAGCTATTTTTATTTTTTATTTTATAGAGACAGGATCTCTCTATGTTGCCCAGGCTGGTATAGTTAATTATTCAACGTAATAAGGAGATATTCTCTTTAATATTAAATAGGGTTAGTCCCAGCCAATGGGAACCTCAAATGGCCTGTTACTAGGCAGAAGCTGGATCCTGGCAACAGGGAAAGTTTCAGAGCTGATTGAAGATAGCCATGGGCAGGGGGTGTTTCCCAGCGCGGTAAATAAAGGTATAAGTGCCATCTAAGACATATATTCTGGCAGCCACTGCAGTTTTAAAAGGGAATCTTGACCCCTGTCTCCTCTGCTGGTGGTATTCCAAAGGCTCCCCCTTCCCTATAGTCTGTTGCCCATGGCCTCCTTTCCTCGATTCTCCCTTTCCCCACCAAGTTTGTAGAGGTGCCTCTAGGCCAGGGAAAAGGGGGATACTTACCTTGGCACCAAACCCTTAGCCAGTTGCAAAAAAACAAAAAAAACTCACACACACAAAAAGAAGGAGTTAAATTATACAGTGTAACAATAGCGGCAGCAACACAGCAGTTAAAGACAGGTTTACTGAAGCAATTTGTTTTATTTTATTTACTTATTTTTGTACAAGCATTTCTTTATGAGTGACTTGGATTCTTGAGGAATTTTTGTGCCTTAGTTAAATGTCTGATGGAGAGGTAGAACTCAGGACTTGCTACAAATGGAATAAAATTCTCTTTAGAATTAGGTGAAAGCTTCCAACATAGATTTCCTTTGCTTTCCAGCAGAGATTCCACAAGCATTTAGATATTTATTTGGCAAATCCTAGGATTGTGAACATATGGAACGTGTGGGTATCCTATTTTCTCACCTCTGGGGCATCTTTGGGAGAGAAATCCCTGCCAGATAGCAAGACTCTCCAAATTTTAAGATGTTAAAATTATGTTGATGTGCTGATGAGATGGTGGTATCATTGCTTATCCAACATCCATATCCAAACAGTGACTGAATAGCAAAGGTTCTTGGGATTAGGAAAGAAAGTTTAGAATAGTTCTGTAGCTTGTGTTTTATATTGACAGACCTATCAAAGTAGTCAGTTTAGAAATGGTAAGTGCAACTGCTTGGTTTTGTTTGTTTGTTTTGTTTTTGTTTCTTTTTTCTTTTTTTTTTTTTTTGAGACAGAGTCTCTCTCTGTCGCCCAGGCTGGAGTGCGGTGGCATGATCTTGGCTCACTGCAGCCTCTGCCTCCTGGGTTCAAGTGATTCATGCCTCAGCCTCCTGAGTAGCTGGGACCACAGGCTCACGTCACCATGCCCGGCTAATTTTTTTTTTTTTTTTGTATTTTTGTAGAGATGGGGTTTCATGTTGACCAGGCTGGTCTTGAACTCCTGACCTCAAGTGATCCACCCACCTCAGCCTCCCAAAGTGCTGAGATTACAGGTGTGAAGCATTGCACCCTGCCTCGACTGCTCATTTTTTGTATTATTGTCTCAAGGTGCCAGACACAAACATTCATTAGAATTTAAAGCATAGGCATTTCCTGTCTCTTTCTTTCTATTTTTTTTTCAATTTCTATTTTTCCCTAAGGGCAATCAAACTAATGTGAACTTCCAACTTCAGGTAGCTGTTCTGTATGTAAATTGATGCATTTTGCAGAATTTATCTTCCATAGCAGAGCTCATTACAATGGCCACTTCTGAATTAGAGACAGGTTAAGACCTTGGAAGATTATGGAAAGCATGTTTTCTCACATGTGGTCTGTGGCTCATCTGTATCATTGCTTTACTTGTTAGAGAAAAATGGCAGATGCTTGAATTCCAGCCCAGATTTAGTGAATCTGATTTTCTGGGGCCAGGACTGAGGAATCTCATTTAATCCAAGGCTCTGGTAATTATTCTGCTCACTGAAGTTTGAGGATGGACTTCTGCTCTACATTCTCCAGGCATAGTATAATAGAGAAATGGAAAGTTTTAGATAAGAGTGCCAAACTGTCTTGAGTCTTAGAAACAGTTAATTTTTCCATTGATTTGGACTAAAGCATTTTCTGAATTGGCAGTTGCCCTCCAGCATCTCATAAAGCATTATAAATCTTTGTTGTTATACTCTCAAAATGAAAGTCCTAAGCAAAAACCTCATCAGAGACATCCGTTTTAGTCATGTAGGCTTTCAAAAAGTTTTTATGTTATTTGCTTTGATGTTTATTATACCTTTTAAAATTATAAAGGTAATAAAATCACATTTAAAATTTAGAAAATAGAAAAAGGGGGGAAATTACGTGTTGTCCTGCTACATACCATAACATGGTTAGCATTTTGACATACAGTTAGGTGCCACGTAACATTTCAGTCAATGATGGACCACATATACAATGGTGATCCTACAGGGTTTTCATACCGTATTTTTACTGTACATTTTTCTTGTTTAGATATATAAATAGTTATCATTGTGTTACAATGTCTACAGTATACAGTGCAGTTCACATGCCATACAGGTTGTAGCTTAGGAGCAGTAGGCTATACCATATAGCCTAGGTGTGTGGTAGGCTATATCATCTAGTTTTGTGTAAGTACACTCTATTATGTTTGCACAATGAGGAAATAGCCTAATGGTGAATTTCTCCAAACACATTCTGGTCATTAAACAATGCATGACTGTATTTCTTACCATGGAATTTCCCCCATAGATTCAGGGTTACCCCCTCCTTTTTAAATCATTGCACAGTCACAGTATATTACGGTCTCTATTGCATTATTCTTTTTTTTTTTTTGAGATGGAATCTCACTCTATCACCCAGGCTGGAGTGCAGTGGCGTGATCTTGGCTCACTGCAACCTCTGCCTCCCAGGTTCAAGCGATTCTCCTGCCTCAGCCTCCTGAGTAGCTGGGATTACAGGCGTGTGCCACCATGCCTGGCTAATTTTTGTATTTTTAGTAGAGATGGGGTTTCACCATGTTGGTCAGGCTGGTCTCGAACTCCTGACCTTGTGATCCACACGCCTGGGCCTCCAAAAGTGCTAGGATTACAGGCGTGAGCCACTGCACCCAGCCTCTATTGCATTATTCTAACTTACTCTTAAACATTATCTTTTATGTCTGTAGAGTTTAGCTAGCCATTCCTCTATTTTCTGTTGATGAAGATTCTTTCTAATTTTTTATTATTTGTAAATATTCTGTCAGTATCTTCATGCATTAAAACATTTTCTGCATTTATGGTTATTTCCTTATGATTTTCAGAAGTGGAATTACTTGGTCAAAGAATAGCAGTTGTTTCTTTTTTTTATTCTTCCACTTTTAAGTTCAAAGGTACATGTGCAGGATGTGCAGGTTTGTTACATAGGTAAATGTGTGCCATGATGATTTGCTGCACAGATCATCCTGTCACCTAGGTATTAAGCTCAGCATCCATTAGCTATTATTCCTGATGCTCTCCCTCCTGCAACATGACCCCTCTGCCACACCCCAATGTGTGTTATTTCCCCCCATGTGTCCATGTGTTCTCATCATTCAGCTTCCACTTATGTGAAAACATGTGGTGTTTGGTTTTTTGTTCCTGCATTAGTTTGCTAAGGATCATGGCTTCCAGCTCCATCCATGTCCCCACAAAGGACATGATCTCATTCCTTTTTTATGGTTACATGGTATTCCATGGTGTATATGTACCACATTTTCTTTATCTGGTCTATTGTTGATGGGAATTGAGGATGATTCCATGTCTTTGCTATTGTGAATAGTGCTGCATTGAACATATGTATTCATATATCTTTATAATAGAATGATTTGTATTCTTTGGGTATATACCCAGTAATAGGATTGCTGGGTCAAATGGTATTTCTGCCTCTAGGTCTTTGAGGAATCACCACACTGTCTTCTACAATGGCCGAACTAATTTACCCTCACACCAACAGTGTAAAAGCATTACTTTTTCTCCACAACCTCACCAGCATCTGTTGTTTTTTGATTTTTTAATAATAGGCATTCTCACTTGTGTGAGATGGTATCTCATTGTGGTTTTGACTTGCAATTTGTCTAATGATCAATGATGTTGAACTTGTTTTCATATTTTGTTGGCCAAATGTATGACTTCTTTTGAGAGGTGTCTGTTCATGTCCTTTGCCTGCTTTTTAATGAGGTTGTTTGTTTTTTTCTTGTAAATTTGTTGAAGTTCTTTGTAGATTCTGAATATTAGGCCTCTGTTGGATGGATAGATTGCAAACATTTTCTCTCATTCTATAGGTTGTCCGTTCACTCTGATAATAGCTTCTTTTGCTGTGCAGAAGCTTTTTAGTTTAATTTGATATGGTTTGGCTGTGTCCCCACCCAAATCTCACCTTTAATTCTAATATTCCCCACGTGTCAAGGGCGGATCCAGGTGGAGATAATTGAATCATGGGGGTGGTTTCCCCCATACTCTTCTTGCAGTAGTGAATAACTCTCACGAGATCTGGTGGTTTTATAAATGGGAGTTCCCCTGCACAAGCTTTCTAGCCTGCTGCCATGAAAGCATGTCTTGCTTCCCCTTCACCTTCCATCACGATTGTGAGGCCTTCCCCAGCCATGTGGAACTGTGAGTCAATTAAACCTCTTTCCTTTATAATTACCCAGTCTTGGGTATGTCTTTATTAATGGCACGAGAACAGACTTCTTGGAGGCTTTGTTCATATTTTCTTATTCTTTTTTCTTTGTCTTTGTTGGATTGGGTTAATTCAAAGACCGTGTCTTCAAGCTCTGAATTTGTTTCTTCTACTTATTCAATTATATTGCTGAGACTTTCCAGAGTATTTTGCATTCCTAAAAGTGTGTCCAAAGTTTCCTGAATTTTTTTTGTTGATTTTTCTTTAAGCTATTGAATATTTCTTGATAATCCTTGACTATTTCTCCCCTCACTTCTTGTATCATGTTTTGGATTTCCTTGCACTGAGCTTTGCCTTTCTTTGGTTCCTCCCTGATTAGCTTAATAACTAACCTCCTGAATTCCTTTTTTTTTCTTTGAGACGGAGTCTCGCTTTGTCACCCAGGCTGGAGTGCAGTGGCATGATCTCAGCTCACTGCAAGCTCTGCCTCTCAGGTTCACACCATTCTTGTGTCTCAGCCTCCCGAGTAGTACAGCCGCCTGCCACTATGCCCAGCTAATTTTTTGTATTTTTCAGTAAAGATGGGGTTTCACTGTGTTAGCCAGGATGGTCTTGATCTCCTGACCTTGTGATCCACCCGCCTCGGCCTCCCAGAGTGCTGGGTTTTTTTGTTTGTTTTCTTTTCTTTTTCTTTCTTTCTTTTTTTTTTTTTTTGAGAAGGAGTCTCGCTCTGTCACCCAGGCTGGAGAGCAGTGGGGCGATCTTAGCTCATGGCAACCTCTGCCTCCCAGGTTCAAGCAATTCTCCTGCATCAGCCTCCTGAGTAGCTGAGATTACAGGTGTGCACCACTACATTGGGCTAATTTTTGTATTTTTAGTAGAGACAGGGTTTCGCCATGTTGGCCAGGCTGGTAACCTCCTGAATTATTTTTCAGGTAAATCAGGGATTTCTTCTTGGTTTGGATTCATTGCTGGTGAACTAGTGTGATTTGTGGGCGTCGGGGGAGGGCGCTGAAGAGCCTTGTTTTGTCATATTACCAGGGTTGGTTTCCTGGTTCCTTCTCATTTGGGTAGGCTCTGTCAGAGGGAAGGTCTAGGGCTGAAGGTTGTTGTTCAGATTCTTTTGTCCCATGGGGTGTTTCCTTGATGCAGTACTGTCTCCCTTTTCCTATGGATGTGACTTCCTGTGAGCCAAACTGCAGTGACTGTTGTCTCTCTTCTAGGTCTAGCCACCCAGCGAGTCTACGCGGCTCCAGGCTGGTACTGGGGGTTGTCTGCACAGAGTCCTGTGATGTGAACTGTCTATGGGTCTCACAGCCATAGATACCAGTGCCTGTTCCAGTGGAGGTGGTGGAGGCAATGGACTCAGTGAGGGTTCTTAACTTTGGTGGTTTAATGCTCTCTTTTCGTGCTGGTTGGCCTCCTGCCAGGAGGTGGCACTTTCCAGAGAGCATCAGCTGTGGTACTATAGTGAGGAACTGGTAGTGGGCGGGGCCCTAGAACTCCTAAGATTATATGCCCTTTGTCTTCCCCTACCAGGGTGGATAGGGAAGGACCATCAGGTGGGGGCGGGGCTAGGCATGTTCTGAGCTCAGACTCTCCTTGGGTGGGTCTTGCTGTGGCTGCTGTGGGGGATGGGGGTGAGATTGTCAACTCACTGGAGTTGTGTACCTGGGAGGATTATGGCTGCCTCTGCTGAGTCATGCAGGTTGTCAGGGAAGTGGGGGAAAGCCGGCAGTCACAGGCCTCACCCACCTCCCATGCAACCCGAAGGGCTGGTCTCACTCCCACCGCGTCCCCCTACCCCTCAAGAGCCCCCAGACCGTTTCCAGGTGGAGAGCAATATGGGCTTGAAAACGTGCCCCAGGCTATCCACCTCCCAGCTGCGAAAGAAAAGGGCTTAGTTCCTCCCCTGCCTGTGGAGTCTGCGCACCAGATTTGCATCCTACCCCGAGTTCAGGCTAGGAGGCTTCTCACCCCGTTCAAATTGTTACAAAGTTCAGCTATAGATTTGCTTCTCCCCGTGTAGTTTTACTCTATGCTTCTCTCCCGTAACCTGCGAGCTCCCAGGGCCTTTCTGCTGCTTCCTCTACCCCTGTATTTCACTCGGGTCTCCAAATTGACTTAGCTCCAGGTAAAGTCGGAAACTTCTGCAAACAGACCTTCACCTTCTCCAGTGGAGGTGTGTGTTCGGGAGAGGAGGGTCTCCCTTTCCCGCTTCCGCAATTAGGGCACTCACAGTTTTTTTGTTTTGTTTTGTTTTGGCGGGGGGTGCGGGGGTGGTCTCCTGGGTTCTGCAGGAGCAGTCCACTTCTGTCAGAGGGTCTGTGGTTTCTCTCAGTATTGCTGGTTTGTTCTTGCAGTTGATCTGGAGCTAAAATTCACAATGCAAGCTGCTGCCCACTGCTCTGTCCAGAGCTGCAATCTAGTCCTGCCTTCTGTCTGCTATGATCTCTCCAAAACCTCTTCTTTTATTTTATAATTTTTAGAGACAGTCTCGCTCTGTCACCCAGGCTTTAGTGCAGTGGCACGACCATAGCTCATTGCAGCTTCTAACTCCCGGGCTTATGTTGATTCTTTCTCATCTTTGTGGGCTTTTCTACCTATGGTCTTTGAGGTTGCTGACCTGAGTGGGATTTTTATGGGGTATTTTTGTTGCTGTTGTTGTTGTTGTCTTCTGTTTTTCTTTTAATAGACCACTCTACCAAAGGGCTGCTGTGGTTTGCTGGGGGTCCACTCCAGACACTAGTTGCTTTGGGTTTTCCCATACCTGGAGGTATCACCAGTGAAGGCTGGAAAACATCAAAAATGACAGCCAGCTTTTTCCTCAGGAAGCTCCATCCTGGGGGTTACTGACCTGTTGCCAGCCTGAATACACCTGTAGGAGGTGGCTGGAGACCCCTGTTGGGAAGTCTCGCCCAGTCAGGAGGAACGGGTTCAGGGACCCACTTAAAAACGTAGTCTGGATGCTTTTTGGTAGAGCAGGTGTGCTGCACTGGCGGGGACCCTTCCTCATCTGGATTGTCTGTGGTCTCCAAAACTGGAAGGCTGGAATGGCTGAGTCTACCGAACCACAGAGATGGCGGCTGCCCCTTCCTCCGGGAACCCGAATCTGTCTCAGGCAGATTTCAGCCTGTTGCTATTGGCTGGCTAGAATTCCAAGCCAGTGAGTCTTAACTTGTGAGATGTCATGGAAGTGAGGCCTGCAGAATGATGCTGCTTGGCTTCCTGGATCAGCCCCCTTCCTAGGGATATGTACGGATGGATTTCCCACCTTGCCAGCGATCCTGGGGCCAGAGTATGTAAAACTCCCGTGTCTGTGTGTATGCCTAAGTGGCTGCTCTGCGGAGGCTCCAGAGACTCTGAGCTCTGTGTATTGAACCCAAGACCAATACACAGCATGGGCTCATGAGGGGATCTCCTGACCTACAGGTTGCAAAGATCTGTGGGAGAAGTGTGGTTTCCCGGGCAGGGTCGCATAATCACTTACTGCTTCCTTTGGCTAGGGGTGGGGTTCCTTTGGCTCTGTCCTGCTTCCAGGTGGGCCATCGCCCACTCTCCTGCTTTTCTTCGTTCTCTGCAGGTCGAGTTGTTTGCCTAGTCAGTCCCAATGCAAGAGTATGGATATTTCATTTGAAGGTGTTGAATTCACTCACTGCTTTCGTTCCTCTCTGTGAGTGCCGCAGAAAGCAGCTGCTTCTGATTGGCCATCTTGGATCCTCCCAGCAATTGTTTCTTGAAACATTTGTACATATGAATATAATTTCAATCTTGGCGTAATAGATGGTCCCTAAATTTTATTATTAAACACTTAAAAAATCAGTCAATAAAATACTTAGTCATGAATATTAGTAATATACTTATGTATACACGTGTATGTATTCTCCAATGTTATTCTTCAATAACTCAATTCATTTATGTAGACTTTCATTAGTGGAAGAATCATGCAGCAAAGACTTTTGTTGCTTTGAGTAGAATAATGCGGTGATTCTTCAATCTAACATTCCTCACTGCATGCCTCCCAGATATCAGGATCTGTGCTAGAGAATGATACCCACATTACCTCTCAACAGAGCTCACAGACTAGGGAGAGAAAACCAAGGAAGACAAGATAATATGGTAAATGCTGGGATGGTATTCTCTACCTCAGATTTTAAGCATATCTAATTTAGAGGTAAGTGGTCAGGGAAGGCTTTTTAGAGGAAGTGATGTCTAAACTGGGATCTCAGGGGATGAATGCTCCAGACTAAGGAATGGCACATTCAAAATAGTTTAGGGGCCGATAAAAACATCCTAGAGGGGAAACAGTTGGGCAGCTTCTCCAAAAGCTAAATAGAGAGTTACCATAGGACCCAGCAACTCTACCGTTAGATATATAGCCAAATAATTGAAAACGTGTTCATGCAAAAATGTGTGCACGGATGTTCATGTCAGCATTATTAATGATATCCAAAAAAGTGGAAGTAACCCAAATGTCCACCAACTGATGAGTAGATAAACAAAATGTAGTATATCCATACAGTGGAAAATTATTCAGCCATAAAAAGGAATGCAGTGCTGATACATACCACAACATGGATGAACCTTGAAAACCTTATGCTAAGTCAAAGTTAGACACAAAAGGCCACATGCTGTATGATTCCATTTATATGAAATGTCCAGAACAAGTAAATCCAGAGAGATGGAGTAGATTAGTGGTTGCCTAGGGGAATAGGTAAAGGGAGGAATTGGGAGTGACTGCCAATGGGTATAGGGTTTCTTTATTTTTCTTTTTTCTTTCTTTCTTTTTTGTTTGTCTGGTTTTTGTTTGTTCTGAGACAGAGTCTAGCTCTGTTACCCAGGCTGGAGTGCAGTGGCACAGTCACAGCTCACTGTAGCCTCGACCTCCTGGGCTCAAGTGATCCTCCCTCCTCAGCCTCACGAGTAGCTGGGACTACAAACACACACCACTACACTTGGCTATTTTTTTCTTTTTTGTAGAGATAGGGTGTACCTATGTTGCCCAGGCTGGTCTCAAACTCCTGAAGTCAAGTCATCCCCCCACGTCAGCCTTCCAAAGAGCCGCGATTATAGCTGCAAGCTGCTGTGCCCTGCTGGTATAGGGTTTCTTTTTAAGGTGATAGAAATGTTCTGGAATTAGATAGGGATGGTGGTTGCACAACATTATAAGTTATACATTTAAAATGGTTGAAATGGTGAATTGTATCTAATTTTTTTAATTGCAAAAAAAGAAAAAACCTGAAGGCTAGAAAGAGCTCAGCCCTTTTGAGAAACTGAAAGAAGCTCTGAATTACAGGAAAGCCTGAAACAAAAAATGAAAGGGGAGTGGTCAGTTATGAACTGAAAAGGTAACAGGGCCAGTTCTCAAAGGTCCATAAAAACTACATTAGGGAGTTTGATTTTATCCTGAGAGCAAAGGGAAGCCAATGGAGAAGATTCAGTCAGTCTTTTAAAAATTAATTAATTAATTAATTTACTTTTTGATTCTGTCAGTCTTGACCTACCTTGAGGATGTGTGTTTTCCAGTGATCTTCTGATTACAAAGGAAGGGGACAGTGACAGGGAGGTTATTTTATTCAGGGATTGTCGATCGGTTCAGGACAATTGCTGACTGACCTGGTCATGCACAGAACTTAGGTTCTTTTTGGAAGATAACAGTAACTGCTCAAGAAGGTTAAGTAGGGAAACAGTTACCTACTTGCTTTCTTCCCAACTCAATCACCATACGTGGATAACTGGTTTTAATAAAAGTCAGTCTTAGATCAAATTTGCAACATATTTTTAAAAAGAAAAATTCATTTTTTTGAATATAGTTTATACAACTTGTTCTATAACAAGTAATGCGGTTCCCAGTTCTCCATTTTTTTTAGGTACTCAACCACGCCTTTCAACAACACCTTGCATAAAATGTTCACTTGAGGCACACTCAGTCTCCTTCAGTCTTCTCCAATGGTACTATCTTATATAAGTATAGTATAACATATTTTAAAGTAATTGCAAGAACATATATATAGTGTTCAGGAGACATACATAATGTCTTTCCTGCTGTCATTTACTACAATTTAAAATTTAGTGCTAGTATGTTTTTATAGTTGATATTATAATAAATTATTCTCAATAGCATCACTATAATTTTAACTCTTTACGGCATTATTATTTATTACTTTATAAATTCTAGCAAATAAAATTTACTTCCATATGGTATTACAATTTTTACGTGTTTGAAACTTTTTGTAAATGGAAAATGTAATGGAATATAGAAACACATGTCAGTGTTGTTCCTGGAATATAATGGACTTTTTGTTTCTATTACAGAGGAGCTCAGATTCTTTACGGGAGTAGTGGGTGATTTATAAGATGCAAAAAATTGAGTATCCTGATAATGTAACTGTTTCACTTTATAGATCAAGAAAAATGCCTTGTCCAAGATTACCCCCACCTGAAATTGACCCATCTTCTGATTGCCAAGACATCTCTCTATTCACTATCCATGACTGAACTATCCAGCTCATTCTTTCCAGTTCACCAATGAGATGCTTGTTTATGCATCTCTCCTTCAACAAAAATATATGCCAACCACCATTCTAGACACTAGAACATAGTGGTGAACAAGATATACAAATATGCCTGTCTCCATGCGGCTTATATTCTATTGGAGAAGAAAGGCAATAAACAAAGATAAATAGGTAGAATATACAGTATGTTAGATTTTTCTAAGGAAAAAAAGTGTGGACAAAGGTAGAAAGTGTCAGGGCAGTGTCGAGGTTTAAATTTTTTAATAAGATGGTAAGGGAAGCTCTCGCTGGGTAGACCATAAATTCCTTGATGTCAGCATCTTATCTACCATGTCCTTATCATGTTTATGTATGTCGTACCAGGCTTAGCACAGTGCTTTCAACATAGAAAGCATTCAACATATATGTTGAGTTGAATATTTTCATGTATTGACATTTGAAATAAAAAACAAAGCCACCCCTTTTCTTCCCAGCAGAATGCAAAGAATCATAGAATTTCCATAAAGCTAGATAGATATTTAATTACGGA
Organism: Homo sapiens; assembly: GCF_000001405.40. NCBI lineage: Eukaryota > Metazoa > Chordata > Mammalia > Primates > Hominidae > Homo > Homo sapiens. The sequence goes on along the minus strand of NC_000004.12, from coordinate 76,862,941 downwards.
ACAAACTTTGATCATGAGTTATTGTTCTCCTTATTTTTATTTTTTCTTAGGAGTTTCATTTTAACAAATGTGCTGTATTTGATAAGTATATTTGCCAAAATTTACATTAAGAAAGAAAGAAGTATGTTTTGATAATTGGCAGAGTAACTCCTCATATAAACAGTATAGGTTAAGAATTTCTCTTCTGAAACTCTAGAAAATCAGTTTATGTGGCATGCCTGAAGAAAAGGGAAGAACTTTCCTCAGAGATGTACTTATAATAAGCCAGATAAGGCCGGGTGTGGTGGCTCACTCCTATAATCTCAACACTTTTGGGTGGCCAAGGCAGGAGGATCACTTGAGCCCAGGAGTTCGAGACCAGCCTGGGAACATTGCAAGATGCCATCTCTACAAAAAATAAAAAATAAAAATTAACTGGGTGCAGTGGTGTGCACCTGTAGTCCCAGCTACTTGGGAGGTGAGGCAGAAGGGTGCCTTGAGCCCAGAAGTTTGAGGTTGCAGTGAGCTATGATTGTGCCACTGCACCCCAGCCTGGATGACAGAGCAAGACCCTGTCTCAAAAATAAATAAATACATAAATAAACCAGACAAGAAACATATATGGGAAGATTTCCAATCCAATAAGACCCACCAACCTGCTCTGATTCCTACTCCCAAGCATCCCTAGGGAGGAAGGGATGACAATGACCCAAAAAAGAGTTTGTTAAACTTATTTTGCCAGTAAGACGTTTCTCTTATAGAACCAAAGACCTAGGGTATTTACGCAGCAGATATTTATTAAGAGCTTATTATGTGCAGATTCCAGTGAGGATTATGACAATATAGGAGGACTATCTGAGAGCTATTAACAGCCTTGCAAACTATTTATGCCTGTCCCCTTTCTTTGTGTATCTCCAATAAACAGTAGTTTGTGATGGCTAAAGCGTTTCCTTTGGTGTAGTATGGTGGAGAGTCCCCTGATCTCACAGCCGGAATACCTGCTTCTTGGCTTCACCTCTATCTTTAAAAATGTTTTGAGATATAATTCACATATCACACAATTTATCCTTTTAAAGTATATGTGTGAGTGGTTTTAGGGCAATCACAAAGTTGTGCAACCATCATCATAATTCAATTTCAGAACACTTTAATCATTCCAAAAAGAATCCCATATCTGTTATTATTCACTCCTATTTCACCCCAAAGCCCCTCTACACTAGGCAATCACTAATGTACTTTCAATCTCTATCATGATTTTCCCTGTTCTAAAAATTTCATATAAATGAAATGATTTCTGGTCTTTTGCATCTGACTTCTTTTACCTAGTATAATGTTTTCAAGGTGCATTCGTATTGGAGCACGTATCAGTACTTCATTTCTTCTTTTTCTTTTCTTTTTTTTTTCCAAGACATGGTCTTACCCTGTTGCCCAGGCTGGAGTGCAGTGGCACGATCATGGCTCACTGCAGGCTTGACCTCCCAGACTCAAGCAATCCTCCCACCTCACCTTCCCAGGTTGCTGGCACTACAGGCATGCTCCACCATGCCAGATAATTTTTGTATTTTTTGTAGAGACAGGTTTTGCTATGTTACCCAGGCTGGTCTCAAAACCCTGAGCTCAGCCATCTACCTGCCTGGCCTCCCAAAGTGCTGGGATTACAGGTGTAAGACACTGTGCCTGGCCTACTTAGTTCCTTTTTATGGTTGAATAATTTTCTACTGTATGGACATATCACATATTGTTTATCTACTCATCAGTTGGTGGACAGTTGGGTTTTTTCCAACTTTTTTGGCTATTATGAATAACATCATTATGAACATTTGTGTACAAGTTTTTGTGTGAACATGTTTTTAATTCTTTTGGGTATATTCCTAAGAGTAGAATTGTTAAGTCACATGGTAACTCTATTTTTAACATTTTTAGGACTCCAAACTGTTTTCCAAAGTGACTGAACCCTCTATGTTTCCATCGGCAGTACATAAGGGTTTCAGTTTCTGCATATCCTGTTTACCAACAGTTGCTATTGTTCATCTTTTTGATGATAGCTATCTTAGTGGGTATAAAGTGGTATTTCATTGTGGTTTTAATTTGCATTTCCCTGATGATTAATAATGTTGAGCATCTTTTCATGTCCTTATTGGCCATTTGTATATATTTGAAAAATATCTATTCAAATACATTGCCTGCTTTAAAATACTGTTATTGGTCTTTTTATCATTGGATTGTATGAGTTCTTTATATATTTTGGATATTAGTCTCTTATCAGATATATTATTTGCAAATATTTTCTCCCATTCTTGGGACGTCTTTCCACTTTCTTTTCTTTTCTTTTCTTTTTTTTTTTTTTTTTTTTTTTGAGACGGAGTCTCGCTCCGTCTCCCAGGCTGGAGTGCAGTGGCAATCTCAGCTCACTGCAAGCTCTGCCTCCCGGGTTCATGCCATTCTCCTGCCTCAGCCTCCCAAGTAGCTGTGAATACAGGCACCTGCCAGCACGCCCGGCTAATTTTTTGTATTTTTAGTACAGACGGGTTTTCACCGGATTAGCCAGGATAGTCTCAATCTCCTGACCTTGTGATCCACCCGCTTCGGCCTCCCAAAGTGCTGGTATTACAGGTGTGAGCCACCATGCCCGGCCTCCACTTTCTTAATAATGTATTTTGAAGCACAAAAGTTTTAAATTTCGATGTTTAATTTCCTTTTTTTTTGGTCAGTATGTTTTTGATGTATTTAAGTATTCACTGCTCATGAAGGGCTACTTCTATGTTTTCTTCTAAGAGTTTCGTAGTTTTAGATCTCACATTTCAATCTTGGATTGTTTTTGTGTTAATTTTTGCATATAGTGTGAGGAAGGGTTTGTAGGGGAGCCAGAGATCTTCTCCAACCCCTTTTGGTTCTTAGCAGTTCTTCAGCTGGGTCTAGAAACAAAATTGACACCAGGCAGATTAACAAGAGAAAAGTATACAAATTTTTATTAGTTTTACGTGTACACGGGTATCTTCACAAGAGAGTGAAGTCTGAAGAAGTGGCCAAAGCAAGCTGATTTTATACTTTTTAGACAAAGAATGATAAATTTGAGAAGAAATGACAGTACAAATATAATTTAGCTCGAGACAGTAAATTTTCCTGGGGAGTCACTAGGAGATATATGGGGTGGGGGCATAATACTAGCAGAAGATAAGGGTTACTTCAGTAAATATGTTTATTCAGGCACATTGCAGGTCCAGTTCCAAGTCTGTGATGGAAGGGCTACTTTCTTACCCTGATAAGGTGAAGGTACCCTTCCCAGAGGAAATGGCTTACTGCATGGAGGAAGAGACAGTCTAGCTAGCCCTTTCTGAAACTGCAATTTCTCCAATGTTTTCAACTTGAAATAATCAATACACCTATCTAGGATATTTTGAGATGACATGTTCTTCACTCCTTCAGGTTCTAACTTCATTCTTTTTATATAGATATTCAGTTGTCCCACTACCTTTTGTTAAAAAGATGATTTTTCCCCATTGAATTGTGTCAACATCCTTGTCAAAATCAACTGACCATTAAGTGTAACAATTTATTTCTGGAACAATAATTCAATTCCATTGATCTATATATCTCTCCTGGTTTTTTTGTTGTTCTTTTTTCTTTTCTCTTTTTTCTTTTTTTTTGAGACAGAGTCTCACTCTGTCACCCAGGCTGGAGTGCAGTGGCGGGATCTCAGCTCACTGCAACCTCCGCTTCCCGGGTTCAAGCAATTCTCCTCTCTCAGCCTCCTGAGTAGCTGGAACTACAGGCACCCACCACTACACCTAGCTAATTTTTGTATCTTTAGTAGAGGCAGGGTTTCACCATGTTGGCCAGGCTGGTATTGAACTCCTGACCTCAAATGATTCAATGATCCACCCACCTCTGCCTCCCAAAGTGCTGGGATTACAGGCGTGAGCCACCGTGCCCAACCAATGTTATCTCTTGTATGCTAGAACCACACTGAATTGATTACTCTACCTGTGTAGTAACTTTTGAAATTGAGAAATGTGAGTTCAATTTTGCTCTTCTTTTTCAAGAATGCTTTGGCTATTCTGGGTGCTTTGCATTTCCATGTAAATTTGTCAATTTCTGCAAACAGGCAAGTGGGATTTTGATAGGGATTGCATTGAATCTGTTGATCCATTTGGGAGAGTATTGCCATCTTGTCCATATTAAACCTTCCAATCCATAAACACACGATGTCTTTCCATTTATTTAAGTCTTCCCTGGGCTCTTGCAGAGCCTTATCATTTGCATCCTTCTAGATTTCTAGAAATATGTGGAAGCTTTGCAAAGCCCCCTATGAATATTTCATTCCCAAGCTTTTCCTTTTAAGTGTTTTTTGGTCCACTTCTTGTTTGTCTCAACTGTTATGGCTGCTTCAAGCAGTTGTAATGTTAAACAATTGCTATTGATTGCTTTTGACAAATGGCCCTCGGGAAAAGGCTGTTCTGAGTCAGGTCAAATAAAGACAAGGCTTTAGAACAGAATTTTCCAGGGAACTGCCAGATTTGTCAAAAAATGACAGCTCTCTGAGAAGAATGTTTTTGGGAGTTCCCAGCCCATTTTGCCCCCTCCAGTGGCTGCTAGGCTGCTGGTTTTCACCATGACTGGGGGTCTGTTTGTTCTCCAGCCTCTGCTGAGCTAAGGAGGAATAGGAATAGGACAAATTAAAATTCCACAAAGTTCACTGTGCTTACTGAGATCACCTTTTTTGTTGTTGTTGTTGTTGTAAATAAATACTTCTCTTTGGTTGATTTCCAGAGTTCTAAAAAAGTTGTATTTGACTATTTTTGGCAGTGTTCCCACTACTTTTATGGAGGAGTTGTATTCAGAGGTCTTTATGGTTTCCATTATCACCTGTTACCCTTTCCATCCACCTCTGTCTTACATTCATTTTTGAGCAAGTCACTTTGTTTCTCTGAGCATCTGTTTCTTTTTGTTTTTTTCTTTTTTTTTTTTTTTTTTTTTTTTTTGAGATGGAGTCCCACTCTGTCACCCAGGCTGCAGTACAGTGGTGCGATCTCGGCTTACTACAACTTCGGCCTCATTGGTTCAAGTGATTCTCCTGCCTCAGCCTCATGAGTAGTTGGGACTACAGGCGCACACCACCATGCCCAGCTAATTTTTGCATTTTTACTAGACACGGAGTTTTGCCATGTTGGCCAGGCTGGTCTTGAACTCCTGACCTCAAGCAATCCACCTGCCTCAGCCCACCCCAAGTGCTGGGATTATAGGCATGAGCCACTGCGCCTGGCCCTGTTTCTTTATTAGGAAAAAAACAGAGATAATCATTCCTCAGAGAATTGTAAAGATCAAATTACACACACACACACACACACACACACACACACACACACACTTCCACTGAAGAAACTACAAAAAAAAATACAAATAGGATTGCAACTGCTGTGCCCACTATTAGAAAGGCTGTAAGTCCCTCTGCATTCTATCTGATGGGAATCCAGTTATGTGAATCCATCTCATTGTTTTTGGATATACAAGCAGTTTATCACTTTAGATAGTATTGATTACTGAAAATCCTCTTACCCTAGAGTCCAAACTGTAGAAAACTGGGAAAGCCCCTTTGTCTCCCTTTGCTGTAGAATGAAGGATAAATCAAGAATTTGAGGCAAAGAGCAGGTAAGTGATTTGTTTAAGGCTATGCAGCTGATAATTTACAGACTCAGTATTGATTCCCCAGCCAGACTGACTTGCTATTTCAGTTATGTCATTTTGTCTCGCAAAAGACCAGAGAGTGGGAATAACAGAGTGCTTTTGGTACAACTTGTTCTTCGTCATTTGTATTATTTTTAGAGACAGTGTGGAAAGATGGGTAATCTGACCCAAAGCCATAAGATACAAATAATATTTTGTTTAGAATTGAAGCGTTATTAGTCTCAGCTTAGTGAAAATAAGCCAGGAACTTACTTATCTTTAAGAAAAAATCCTATTAGTTTATTGTAGATTTCAGACAAGATTGAAGCACCCTTACAAAGCGGATTAGGAAATGTTCCCAGAAATCTATACTACTAAGCTGTTTCCAAGATCAAATTACTTGCTTCCTTTCAATGTATTATTGTTTATTTTATTTCTCAGTTTGCCAAGTATGTCTTAGAGTAAGTTTTTCAGGGATACTACAAAGTTGTAGATTTTCTGGGCCCTTACATAGTTGGAATGTGTTTCTGTTGCCTTCATGCCTGAACCAAGTAGACTCAGCTGGGCATAGACATTTGGGTTACAAACATTTCCCCATTTAAGACACAGACATAGTTCCGTTTGTTAACATAGAGTTGCAACATTTTACAGGTTCCAGAGAAAGGATCTGTATAGATTACAAAAGGACCTCAGGCTGCAGTTTAGGTGTTTTAGATGCTTCTGAGGGCATCCACTAGTGTCTTTTAAAAACCTACTGACTAGTGACTCTGCACTGGAGGGTATGGAAAGAAAGCTGGAAAAAGGATCAGTTTCTATGGCAACTGGATAAAGCCTCTTGAATAAATTGCCCTCCTTTTATTGCAAGTTCAGGTTCAAAGGTCCCCAAAGTACAAAGATCTGAGGTCTAGACTCCTGCCAACAGTGGAAAGGCATGCAGGCTGGGGCCCAGTCAGACTCAGAGGAACATGACAGCCCGAAGTTTATTAACCCTTGCAGTGGACATTCCAAGGCCAATAAATGCCAGAATACTTTAATAAGTCACATCTATTTCTATGACATAATGAGTGCATATTTCTCAGTAGACTGTACTGCAACAATAATAATAGCTAGTGTAAGATAGTAACTGTGATATCATTCCTGTTTTATAGATGAAGGAACAAAGACAAAGAAAGGACAGATCATTTGCCCAGGGTTACACTCTTAGCAAGTGGCGGAGCCTACAATAAAACTGATTGAAGCTGAAATCAAATAATTTGCTTCTCCCCCCACATTATACTGACATGACAACGTGGTACAGCTTCGTCAATGTAAATTTCTTTAAAGTTTTGCTATTGTATTCCCTGTGAAAAAGAGAGTTTGCTGATTCTGACCATAAAGAACATTGTAGAAAATGTTTAGTGGGCACATTCATGAATACACACGTTGATTATTTGGCTTGAGGTAATTGGACAACCCTCTTACCTGGGTTCAACTGCTTTTGCACCTGCTGTTACATCACTTTTTTCTTTCATGACTACTTCACTTATTTGTAAACACAGTTCTTAACATTATATGTACTGTAAGAGAGTTTAGATGAGATAATCACTCAAGTTCCTTCCAACTCTAAAATTCTGTGATTCTGTGTGATTAGTTGTTAAAGAAAGGTGTTATGCCTATTAAAATCATCAAAATAAGCTGAAGTGATAAAAATATATTGCATGTCATGAGAGGAAACAGCTGTACTCATATATTATGTAATTCATTTGTTAAATTTTTTCTTGAGAGCAGTTTGAGTATGTGTATGTGTGTTTGTGTGTGTGTACATGCGTAGCTATAAAAATCTGGCATTTCTGGCAGGGCGCGGTGGCTCACGCCTGTAATCCCAGGACTTTGGGAGGCCGAGGTGGGTGGATCACAAGGTCAGGAGATGAAGACCATCCTGGCTAACACGGTGAAACCCCGTCTTTACTAAAAATACAAAAAAAAAAAATTAGCCGGGTGTGGTGGCGGGCACATGTAGTCCCAGCTACTGGGGAGGCTGAGGCAGGAGAATGACGTGAACCTGGGAGGTGGAGCTTGCAGTCAGCCGAGATCATGCCACTGCACTCCAGCCTTGGCGAAAGAGCGAGACTCCGTCTCTTAAAAAAAAAAAAAAAAAAAAAAATCTGGCATTTCTATTTTTAGGGGCTTATGTCAGTTAGAAACGCTTTTGACCACAAATAACAGAAAACCTGACTTACACTGGCTCAGACATAGAGAGGTTTCTAATTCTGGCCTACCAAGAGGTCAGAGGCCGGCAGTTGCCGAGGTGGGCACAGCAGAACAACTCAGCTCAGGATGGACTTCTAGGATTCTCTTGACCTTTCTAGTTTGGTAACAAGAAGGCCTACCGTAGCAGCTATATTAGGCCATTCTTGCACTGCTTTAAAGAAATACCTGAGACTGGTTAATGTAGAAAGAAAAGACGTTTAATTGGCTCATGGTTCTGCAGGCTGTACAGAAAACATAACGCCAGCAACTGCTTCTGCAGAGGCCTCAGGAAGCTTCCAATCATGGCAGAAGGCAAAGGAGGAGCAGATGTCTAACACGGTGGGAGCAGGAGCAAGAGAGATAACCAGCGAGGTGTCACATGTTTAAACAGCCAGATCTTACGAGAAGTCACTCACTATCTCGAGGACAGCACCAAGGGAATGGTCCTAAGACATTCATGAGAAATCCACCCCCATGATCCAATCACCTCCCACTAGGCCCCACCTACTACATTGGGGATTATATTTCAACATGAGATTTGGGTGGAGCCAATATCCAAACTATATTAGCAGCTATAGAAACTTGTCACCCAGATCTGTTGCTGTGGGGAGCAGAAATGACCTGAGTTCCAGCTGTTGTGATCCACCACGGCCTTCACTCAGGGTTGCTTACAGCCAGTGACTGAACACAGTGGGGGTTACAGTAGAATTCTGTTCTTGCAGGATGCTCTCAGGACATTAGTGGGGCCATTGGCAACATTGAATAAGGTCTTTATATTAAGATATAGTAGTGAATCAATGTTAATTTCTTGATTTTGATAATTAAATTGTGGTTATGTAAGAGAATGTCCTTGTGTTTAGGAAATACGCATAGGAATGTTTAGGGGTTAATAAAGTTACTCTTCTATATAAGATTCTAAGAGTCATATGCTTTTACTTTTCTCGTACAGGTCTTTAAACAGTCTGGCTAAAGACTGTTATGAGTCTAATACCATGTTTTCCCCAAAGTTAACTATTAGGTTGGTGCAAAAGTAATTGCAGTTTTTGCCATTAAAAATAATTAAAAGCAATGGCAAAAACCACAATTACTTTTGCACCAACCTAATAATTGTCCCAGTACCACACACTGAAAAACATCTATCCTTTTCACCTGAAACTAACATGGCTGTACTGAAATAAAATCAAGTCTGTATACGTTTGGGTTTATTTCTGAGTTCCCATTGATTGGTTTGTCCATACCTTTGTCAATACCACTCTGTCCTAATTACTATACGTTTACGATAATTTTTGATACTTTGCAGGTCAAGTCCTATCTTTTTTTCTTCAACATTGTATTTCTCTTTAATAAAGGCTACAAAACATTTTAGATAAAACTTGTCAGGCTCCTGGAAAAAAATTGGAATTTTATTGTAACTGCATGAAATTTATTTATCAATTTGAGATTTTGACATTTTTATGATATTGAATCTTCCAAAAAAGAAATGTTTACAGGTAATGTGATACTATAGATAACTTACTCTCAAATGGTTTAGAACAAAGTATATAGGGAAGTACTAGTGAGACCCCATCTCTACAAAAAATTTTAAAAAGATAAAAAAAGAAATTAGCTGGTTGTGTTGGCATGTGCCCATAGTCACACTTACTTGGGAGGCTGAGGTGGGATGATTGCTTGAGCCTGGAATGTTGAGGCTGCTGTGAGCTGTAACCACACCACTGCACTCCAGCCCAGTGACAGAGCGAGACACTGGCTCAAGAAACAAACAAACAAAGTATATAGGGAGAGGGAGAATGGTAAGGTAAACACGGGAGCTGTTAACATTTGGAGAATTTGGTATACAGAAATTCTCTTTTGTAAATTTTCTATAAATTTGGAATTATTTCAAAATAAATGAAGCATATATTTTAAAAAATACTCTGAGACTCAAACGAGGCCTCAGAATGGCTACAAATTTGTCAGGTTCTATGGCATAATAAAGAGGAAAAATGGTATGTTGTTACTAGCTTACTATATTTTGTATTTTATTTTCTTACCACTTAGAACTTTTCATGCTAAGTTGTCTAATGTCAGCAAGAGCTTGCTGCTCTTCAATGTAAATCTAGAAATAGTAGCAGCTTTTATTTACTTATTTTTATTTATTATTTTTTGAGATGGAGTGTCACTCTGTTGCCCAGGCTGGAGTGCAGTGGCATCATCTCAGGTCACTGCAACCTCTGCCTCTGGGGCCCAAGTGATTCTCCTGCTTCAGCCTCCCGAGTAGCTGGGACTATGGGTGTGGCCACCACGTCCAGCTAATTTTTGTATTTTTTTTAGTAGAGACAGGGCTTTCCATGTTGGCCAGGCTGGTCTTAAACACCTGGCCTCAAATGATCTGGCTGCCTCGGCCTCTCAAACTGCTGAGATTACAGGTGTGAGCCACCATGCCCAGTGAGTAGCAGCTTTTTAATGTCCTATTTTTATAAGGGAAAACCAGCAGGAAGCAGAATTTGGTGGTTCAAGTGTAACTCTGCTGGGGCTGGGGGTTCCTGCACTCACCTGCCACACACTTTTCCCTCTGCTTAGCCTCTGACCCTCTGTGTCTGATCTCTAGGCTCTGAGTACCCAACCTTAGTTTTCGTCCATTGGTCACTTTGCTCTAGTGCTTTGTGTTAGAGCCTTGAAGCTACTCTACATTAAACTTTGGTTAAGGTTTTCTCTGCCCACAGTATCTCATTTCCTTAAATTATATCCCTTGCCTGACCCTGAACCTTAGAACCAACCACTCTCCCCTGTCCCTTGACTCAGCCAGCTACAAGCCATACTTCCCTCTTCTCCCTCAACTGGTCAGAGAGAAAACAAAACCCATTTATTCATCCCATTGACAAATATTTATTAACGGTCTGCTAACTACCAGACAACTTTTTAGACCCAGGGAATAAAATAGACAAAACTTTACCCTCATATGGAGCCTACGTTCTACTAGAGGGAGATAGAAAACAAAATAAATTGGCCAATATGTAATTTGATAGATGGCAATAGATTGTTATTAAGAAAAATAAAGGTTGTCTTATGCAGCCTGTGGGTCTAGACTCAAAAAGCAGTGACTGGGAATAACAGAATCTACTGAGCCATAATCTCTCTGTTGTGGATCCAGGTAACTGGTATGGTCACAAAGTTTGAGAATTGCTGCTCTTTTCCATACCTGGGATTTCCCAGTGCTTTTATAAAAAAGCCACCTGTTTACCAAACTTCCCTGACGATAAGATGCAAGAAGTACAGGTTCATTGTGAATTCTGAGAGGTGACCAAAGAACACTTTTCTTAATGGAGAATCAAACGCCTATGGCACTAAATCAGGCTAGTGCAAATCAATTCAGTTCTTTCTAGGAAGGAGAATAAGCAAAGTGTAATTGGACCTTCTTGGAAAATAAGCAGTGTGATCTGATAGTAAAGATAAGCTCCCACTGAGAAATAGCATCTTGATTTCAGGCTGATGTGACATTAATGAGGAAATTTCAGAGACTGGAACCTCTGGGGCATAATTTGTTGTCTTCACCAAGTTTCAGTCCAAGCTGCAGTTTACAAAGGCATTTACAATGTCATGTGGTTGAGAGGGCTGTGGCTTTCACTGGTTCAGTTATGCACTCAGCGTGAGATTTGGGCTAGTAGCACTTGGTGGAGTTTTGACCCACCCTGAAAGTTGATGAGGATTAGAAGTTGAGGCTGGGCACAGTGGTTCACGCCTATAATCCCAGCACTTTGGGAGGCCGAGGCGGGCGGATCACCTGAGGCTGGGAATTCAAGACCAGCCTGGCCAACATGGCGAAACCCCATCTCTATTAAGTAAAGTACAAAAATTAGCTGGATGTGGTGGCGGGTGCCTGTAGACCCAGCTACTTGGGAGGCTGAGGCAGGAGAATCACTTGAACCCAGGAGGTGGAGGTTGCAGTGAGCCCAGATTGTAGCACTGCACTCCAGCCTGGGTGACAAGAGCAAGACTCCATCTCAAAAAAACAAAAACAAAAACAAAAAAAAGTTGATGATGGGCTGCCATCATGAGGAGCTGAGGGAAAGAAAGGGAAGCTTCCCTGTCTGCGCCCCTCCTGTCTCACTTTTACCCCAGCCACAGTTCCTAAATATCCCAGAGTTGCCCTTAAGCTTGCTGAAGGCCTGCATTGTGCTCTGCCTCCCCCCATAGCAGAGGTAGCAGAGCCTGCTCCAAAATTGTTCTGAGCCCACTACTTACCTTTCATTTATTTTTTCAAAAAAAAATCTGTTCTTTGATGGTAGGGAATCTCAGAATCAAAACACTTTGATGATAGAAAAAAACAAAAGAAAAGAGAAAAATCATCTAATAAAACCATCTTGGCCAGGTGTGCTGGCTCACATCTGTAATCCCAACATTTTGGGAGGCCAAGGCAGGCAGATCATCTGAGGCCAGGGGTTCTAGACCAGCCTGGCCAACATGGCGAAACACCATCTCCACTAAAAATACAAAAAATTAGCTGGGTGTGGTGGCAGACACCTGTAATCCCAGTTACTTGGGAGGCTGAGGCAGGAGACTCTCTTAAACCTGGGAGGCAGAGGTTGCAGTGAGCCGAGATCGCGCCATTGCACTCCAGCCTGGGCAACAATGGAGTTCCCATCTCCAGAAAAAATTTAAAAAAAACCATCTCATCTTGGCCATTCTCAAAGTTGAGTGTACATATTAATTGTCTGGGGAATAAAACGGTGATTCCTGGGCTTCAGGCCAGGTCTACTTAGTCATAATCTCTCTGTGGTAGATCCAAGTAACTGGTATGTTCATAAAGTTCAAGAACCACTGCTCTTTTCCATACCTGGGATTTCCCAATGCCTTTATAAAAAAGCCACCTGTTTACCAAACTTCCCTGATGATAAGACACATCTGGGGCCTTGTTAAACAAACAGATTCACAGGCCTCTTCAAATACCTGAATAAATTCCAAGACAGAAGCCTGCGTATCCGTTCTTTGATCAGCCCCTTGTATGTTTTATTTTTAATCATCAGAGAAGTCTGAGCTTGCTGCTCTGGAGGACTGCCTATCGGTATATTTAACAATAGGAAGCCACCGTTAGACTCACAGAAAATATGCCATAGATCAATCATGGACTGTCTACCCTTAGATTAAGTATCCTGTTTCAGTTCAATCTGCTGTAGCCAGTTAGGATAGGGTTACATGGTATAGAATATGACCATCCATACCATTTTTCTCCTGGGAAAAAAATGGCAGTTCTGGAATTATAACAACAAAAAGCAAAGATGTAACCTAATTCCTAAGTAAAGGCTTGAGTGGTTTTCAATTTATTGCAAGAAAAATTGGCAATTCTAATATGAATAAAACAAGACGACAGGATGTGAAATAAGGGGAGTATAAGATGAAAACTTATACTACAAATACATGTTACATTCTGGGTTTTTAGCGGTTGTCTTTGTGTTCACCTTTACTTGAGCTATCTTGAGTGGATCTTTGATCTTTACAATCCATGAAGCTCTGCCTGTCGAACAATTGCTGAGAATTAAAGTGTCTTAGACTGTTTTAGCTGCTATAATAAAATACCATAAACTAGGTGGCTTATAAGCAACAGAAACTTATTTCTCATAGCTCTCGGGGCTGGGAAGTCTACAATCAAACTGGATCTGGACAATAAAGGGACAGGGAAGACTGCAGGAATCTTGTCTAAAGCATGGGGCTAGAGCATCTGAATTTCAATACATAAGCTTACATTACTCACTAGAAAGTAAGCTTCACAAGAACAGAATTTTTGTCTTTTTTTGTGCATGGATTTATCCCACAAGTAAGAAAAAATGCCTGACACATTGCACCAGGAGATTCGGGCCAGAGGACCTGCTTTCTGGTTCATAGACGATGCCTTCTAGCTTGGTCTTCACATGGAAGGAGTGAACAAGCTCTTTTGGGCCTATTGTGTAAGGGCATTAGTCCCATTCAGGAAGGTGGAGCCCTCATGACCTAAACATATCTCCAAAAGTTCCACCTCCTAATACCATCACCACGGGGGTTAGGATTTCAACTATATGAACTTTGAGGGAACATAAACATTCAAACCATAGCACAAAGGAAATGGATATATTATAGAAGCATTGATTTCACATTGCTTTCCTCATAACATTTCTAAAAATATTTTGATGAGGTGATAATCTCTGAATTTGAATGTTGAGCCCACTTATATCCAGTGACTACCTGGTATTTTGCAGAGGTGTTGCCAGGCATGTCATGTGCTTCTCTAGACCAGAGATTCTCCTACTTTTTAGTTTTAGGATCTTTTTTCCTATTAAAAAATATTGAAAATTTCAAAGTGCTTTTGTTATGTGGGTTATATTTATTGATATCCACTGTATTAGAAACTAAAATAGATACATCTTTAATTTATTCATTCATTTAAAAGTAACAGTCAATATATATGTTAATATAAATTTTTTTAAAAAAGTTAGCAATAGGACAGTCAATGTCTTACATTTTTGCAAATATCTTTAATGTCTGGCCTATTAAAGACAGCTGGATTCTCATATCTGCTTCTGTTTTTGTTCAGCTGCAACATCACATGTCATGTGGCACCTAGAAAACTCCACAGCACCCTCAAGAGAGAATGAGAGTGGGAAAGCCCTCATCGACTACCTCAAAGGGTTTTGGAGATTCCCTGGTGTCCCCAAACCATACTTTAAGAACTGCCACACTAGATATTACAGTTAAATAGGAATATACCCCAGTCCTTGGAAAACATAAATTATTTTTTCTTCTTGAATGTAAACATTCCGTTACAATATCCTGTTAATGTCCAGTTTCCTAACCTTCTCCGTCCCCTCATTGAATTCATTGTCCACTTCTATCAGCATCTAAAAATAATGAGATAACATTTCTTGAGCAGTTTCTGTATGCCAGGCTCTAGACTAAGCATTCTAAGTGCACTATCACTTTTAATCTTTATACCGACTCTAGGAGCCAGGCTGTATTGTTATCTATATTTTATTGATGAGGAAAATGAGGTGTGGAGAAAGGAGTAATATGCCCAAATTATAGAGCAAGTAACTTAAGAAACTGGGAATCAAATCTAGGACCATCTGACTCTAGACTTCATGCTTTTAATTATTTGCCCATTTCAAACTCAAATATAATTTTGAAACAAAATTTCTCCTTTTATACATTCCATGTGTGTTTTAAATTGTTCTCAGTTTTTGGAAATTCAATCCAGAAGGTTATGTGTCTATTGGGAACCCTACATTTGCAGTTGTCTCTTTTCTTTTGTGTTGTTCTGGAATGACTTCAGAAAGCTTTGAGGCTTTGGCTACATGTTGGTTTTTGGGAGTCATGGTCCCTTGAGTTTTTGTTTTTGTCACTGCTCTTCTATCCATTTTGTGGTGGGTTGAAAAGTGTCATCCAAAAATTTGTGTCATAGTCTCATGTCCTGGAACTTCAAGATATGACCTTGTTTGGAAACAGGGTCTTTGCAGATGTAATTTAAGATAAGGCTCAAAATGGGATCACACTGGATTAGGGTGGGCCCTAAGCCCAATGAGAGTGTCCTGACACAGAGAGACATAGGGAAGAAGGTCGTTGGAAGACAGAGACAGAGATTGGAGTTATGCTGCCACAAGCCAAGGAATGCCAGCAGCCACCAAAATCTAGAAGAGGGAAGAAAGGATTCTCCTCTAGAGACTTTGGAGG
The DNA here is from genome assembly GCF_000001405.40 of Homo sapiens. Taxonomy (NCBI): domain Eukaryota; kingdom Metazoa; phylum Chordata; class Mammalia; order Primates; family Hominidae; genus Homo; species Homo sapiens. Next base: position 76,847,392 of record NC_000004.12, on the reverse strand, counting down.
GAGTGTGGCTCTCCTTGACACTTGTGGCTCCAGAACTGTGAGAGAAATAAATTCCTGTTGTCTTAAGCCACTCAGTTTGTAGTAATTTGTTATTGCAGCCCTAGGGAACACCATCAACACCATTCAAGACCTGGACCCAAATTCACCTCCTTTCCAATACCTTCCCTCATCAGCTGAGACAGAGTTCCTGCTGTCTACACCAATGCTCCAAAACCTAATAAAGACTTAAGTTTTTATTGTGCACATATCATCTTCTCCAGAAGGAAAGTTTTTTTTTTTAATCATTCCTTGAGCCTATGCTTAGCTCCTAGTCCAGTGATACACAGTAGTGCCCTCCTAACCACCGTTTTCCTTTTTTGTGCTTTCAGTTACCTGTGATCAACAGTGGTCTGCAAATATTAAATGGAAAGGAAGAGAAATAAACAATCCCTATGTTTTAAATTGCTCACTGTTCTGAGTAGTGTGATGAAAGCTTTGCTGTCCAGCTCCATCTCCATCCTGTCAGGGATGTGCATCAGCCCTTTGTCCAGCGTATCGAGGATATAGATGCTACCCACCTGTTAGTCACTAGCCATCTCGGTTATCAGATTGACTGCCAAGGTATTGCAGTGCTTGTGCTCAAGTTACCATTATTTTATTTAATAATGGCTCCAAAGCATAAGAGTAGTGATGTTGACATATTATTATAATTGTTCTCTTCTATTATTAGTTATTGTTGTTAATCTCTTACTATGCCTAATTTATAACTTAAACTTGATTATACATATGTATGTATAGGAATAAACATAGTATATATAGGGTTCAGAACTATCCATGGTTTTGGATATCCACGGGGGGGAGGTTGGAACGTAAGCCTGGTGGATAAGGGGGACTACTGTACATATATTAAGTATCTAATACGTAAGTGTTGAGTATATGGTTTTCCTAATTCGTCCTTTCCATTCAATGAATAAATTCAGAAGGTTAATTAATCCAAATATTTATAGAATGCCTGCAATGTGTCAGGCATTTTTTTTTTTTACCTGTGGGATAAATCCATACACAAAAAAGAAAAAAATTCTGTGCTTATGAAGCTTACTTTCTAGTGAGTAATGTAAGCTCATGTATTGAAATTCAGATGCTCCAGCCCCATGCTTTAGACAAGGTTCCTGCAGTCTTCCCTATCGCTTTATTATCCAGACCCCAGTTTTCAAGGCTAGGACTATTCTTGGCATCCTTACAGATCTTCCTCTTGATTGTCAAGGCTTGGGGAGTAGAGGAGGGAGTGAAATGACTTGAGAGGCATCTCAGTTCTCTCAGAATTGTTCTCTCATAAGCCATCCTGTGCCCTGAACTTCTTTCTGCCCAGTTACACGTTTGTTAGCTGTTTTGGAGCCAACTTCTGGAGACAGTATTTGCAAGTCTGCATGCAGGCCGAGAAAACGGAAAGGCACATGCCTTCCTGGCATAGCATTAGCCAGAACTCAGTGCTTTGGTCTAGTCCCAGAGAGGTGGCTGGTGCCACCTTTGCCAGGACCTGTGGCTGATCAGCTGCTCCCTATTGTTGCCACAATAAAGGATTCTGGCTTTTCTAAGGAGAGAGAGATGCCAGATCCCAGGCCCACATGTTTGGGATAGGTGGTAGTGTGTATTTTGATAGGGGATGTGTGTAGAACAAAGAATGTGTTCTCTAGTCTCATTTTGACTTTCAGCCCCCAGTAAACCTTATTGCTATGAGAGCCAGTCTCTCTGTAGCTAATTTGAGGCATGAAGGTGGCTGGTGGTGGAGGAAGAATGCCAGTGTATCATTCAGACTGTCCAATAGGCAAACACATGTTTGAAGAATAATCCTCAGTTGTTTGGGAGTGTGGTAAAATGGCACTCTCCTACACTGTTATGGGAGGAGATAAAGCAAATTGATACAAACTTGCTAGTGAGCGTTTTGGCAACATGTATCAAAAGCCTTAAAATGTTCATCCTCTTTAATCAGGTAATTCTGTTTCCAGGAATTTATCCTGAGGATATAATTTTGTATTTGCACAAGGACTTATTCAGAAAGAGCTTTTTACAGGGTTATTCACAATAACAAAAGACAATGCAAATGTTCATCAATGCAGAATTGGTTAAATTATCAGTGCTACATCTATGCATGAAAATATGAGACAACCATTAAAAATTATATTCAAAGATTAGAAAATGTTAATAATTTTTAAGTAATGAATGCATGAAGGTTCATTATGATATTCTCTTTCCTTGTAGTATGGTTGAAATTTTCCGCCATAAAAACTAAAAAACTCTTGTTCTCAAAGAATGTTTATATCTAACGGAAAATTTTATAAGGCAAATGTTTATAAGGCTTTATTAAGTGGTAAATGCAGGTTATAAAACAGTATGGATAAATGTATGATAGAATTCCATAGGATCCTAACTTTGTAATACAGATAAAAAACTCTGACACACACATATATACACTCATACATATATATTCGCACATATGTAATAATATCTTTATGTTGCTTATATGGTTTATTAGGGTTCTCTAGAGGGACAGAACTAATGGGATATCTATATATCTATATATCTATATATATCTATAGATATATATAGCTATATATATCTATATATATATCTATAGATATATATAGCTATATATATCTATAGATATCTATATATATCTATATATATTATATATAGATATAATCATGCATTACTTTTATAATCAGCAAAAATAATCGTTGAATATTAAATGGGAAGGTAATCTTTTTAACGAAGGGGAAGAATCAGATAGGTCTGGATCCTGGCTCATGACTTACCAGCTCTGTGACTTGGTATAGATATAGATATAGATATCGATATCGATATCTATAGATATATATATATGGAAGTTTATTAAGTAGTATTAACTAACACGATCACAAGGTCCCACAACAGGCTGTCTGCAAGTTGAGGAGCAAGGAAGCCAGTCTGAGCCTTTCCAAAGCTGAAGAACTTGGAGTCTGATGTTCAAGGGTAGGAAGCATCCAGCACGGGAGAAAGATGTAGGCTGAGAGGCTAAGCCAGTTTAGCCTTTTCACATTTTTCTGCCTACTTTATATTCTGGCCTCACTGACAGCTGATTAGATGGTGCCCATCCAGGTTAAGGGTGGGTCTGCCTTTCCCAGCCCACTGACACAAATGTTAATCTCCTTTAGCAGTACCCTCATGGACACACCCAAGATCAATATTTTGCACCCTTCATTCCAATCAAGTTGACGCTCAGTATTAGCCTTCACATATGTGTATATATGAGACATATATATGTATATATAACTTGAATAGAAAGATATGTTAGCAGGTCTATCCCTGGGTAGTGCAACTATGGGAATTTTAGATTTTCTTTTTATAAATCTTTATATTTTCAAAGATTTATTTAATAATCATGCATTACTTTTATAATCAGCAAAAATAATCGTTGAATATTAAATGGGAAGGTAATCTTTTTAACGAAGGGGAAGAATCAGATAGGTCTGGCTCCTGGCTCATGACTTACCAGCTCTGTGACTTGGGGCAAGTTTCTTAACCTTCATAACTCTCAGTTTATGTGTCTATAATAAGAAAAAAAGTACTGCAAATTTGTGGGGTTTATATGAAGTTTAGATAAAACAATGCAAATAAAGCTTTTAACATTGTATCTAATAGAGATAAAGGCTCAAAAAAATTTAATAAAACTTCAGTCTGACTCTGCTGTGATCATGATAGCATGACTGGTAGTTCATTAGCCTTCCAGCAATAAAAACAAATTAGAAAACTAGACAAAATATATGAAACAACTATCTTCAGACATCGGACAACAGGCATGCAGAATTTTGATTACTGAGAGAAGGAAAACAAATTCAGTGAGCCCTCCAGCTTCCCTGGCTTTCTGGACTACAGTACAAGAAAAGGGATTACTAACAGAGTATGATAGCCTCGCTGAAATGAGGAGACACAGATCAGACTTTGGGGAGGTCAAGACAACAATAATTTATAAGGCAAGTTATCAGAGAGAAAGAGTATGCAGGCCAGGTGTGGTGGCTCATGCCTGTAATCCTAGCAGTTTGGGAGGCCGAGGAGGGCAGATCACCTGAGGTCAGGAGTTTGAGACCAGTCTGGCCCATATGGCAAAACCCCGTCTCTACTAAAAATACAAAAACAAAACAAAACAAAACAAATTAGCCAGGTGTGGTGGTGCGTGCCACCCAGCTACTCGGGAGGCTGAGGCAGGAGAATCACTTGAACCCGGGAGGCGGAGGTTGCAGTGAGCCGAGATCAGGCCACTGCACTCCAGCCTGGGCAACAGAGCGAGACTCTGTCTCAAAACCAAACAAACAAACACATAAAAACATTAGCCAGGCATGGTGTCAGCTGCCTGTAATCCCAGCTACTCGGGAGTGAGCCGAGATAGTGCCACTGCACTCCAGTCTGGGTGACAGAGCGAGACTCCATCTTAAAAAAAAAAAAATAAAAGGATCCAGAGAAGGGATTGCATAAGTATTCATAGGTGTCATTTTGAGTCTCTAGCCAAATACCAGACTGCATATGCGTAAGGTGAGACTCCGTACGTTGGGCACATAAAACAATTATCAGGGAAAGAAAAACTACCAGGGAACTGCAAACTGAATAATAATTGGAACTTACAGAAAGTTGAGAGACACTCAGTAGGGCCCAGAAAAGGCCACCCCCTAGGGGTAAGGCCAGAGTGGTCATAAAATAGAGGGTACTTTAGGCCCTCCCAAACAAAGCTTAAAAATAAGCCTCAAAAAGACTAAGCTAGGCTGGGCATGGTTGGTCATGTCTATAATCCCAACATTTTGGGAGGCTGGGGCAGGATGATCACTTGAGCCCAGGGGTTCAAGACCACCCTGAGCAACATGGTGAGACTCTCATCTCTACAAAAAATTTAAAAAATTAGCCAGGTGTGGTGGCATATGCCTATGGTTGCAGCTACTTGGGAGACTGCTTGAGCCCAGGAGACTGAGGCTATGACCACAACACTGTACTCTAGCCTGGGTGAGAGAGCTAGATACTGTCTCACACACAAAAAAAAAAAAAAAAAAAAAAAAAGACTAAGCTGATTCCCAACCAAGTTGACTGCCTGCAAGAATCAAGTACAACAAGGCCGGGCATGGTGGCTCACACCTGTAATCCCAGTGCTTTGGGAGGTCAAGGCAGATGGATCATTTGAGATCAGGAGTTCGAGACCAGCCTGGCCAAAGTGGTGAAACCCCGCCTCTACTATAAATAAATAAATAAATAAATAAAATTAGCTGGGTGTGGTGGTGCATGCCTGTAACCCCAGCTACTCAGGAGGCTGAGGCAGGATAATTGATTGAACCTGGAAGACGGAGGTTGCAGTGAGCTGAGATCATGCCACTGCCCTCCAGCCTGGGCAACAGAGTGAGACTCCATCTCAACAACAACAAAAAAAGAATAAAATGTTACAGTTTTTAAACATAAAAGGCCGAGCATGGTGGCTCATGTCTGTAATCCCAGCACTTTGGGAGGCCGAGGCGGGTGGACCACTTAAGATCAAGAGTTCAAGACCAGCCTGGTCAACATGGTGAAACCCTGTCTCTACTAAAAATGCAAAAATTAACTGGGCATGGTGGTGCATGCCTATAATCCCAGCTACTTAGGAGGCTGAGGCAGGAGAATTGCTTGAACCCTGGAGGCGGAAGTAGCAGTGAGCCAAGATCGTGCCACTGCACTTTAGCCTGGGCGACAGAGTGAGACTCCATCTCAAAAAAAGAAAAGGAAAAACATAACATTCACAATGTGAAAATCCAATAAAAACATTACTAGACATGAAAGAAAACATGAAAATGTGATCCTTAACCAGAAGAAAACCAATGAATAGAAATGGGCCCAGAAATGATATAAACAATGAAATTAGCAGCCAAGAACTTTAAGAGAATTATATTGTGAATATGTTAAGGAATTAACATATAGTGAGGATACAAGTATTAAAAAATAATACCAATGGAGCTGGGTTCAATAACATATGTATAAGTAAAAGGTATGACAAAGGCAGAGTAGGGAAATCAGATTGTTATAAAGGTCTAATATGATATATGCAGCAGTACAATTTTATTTGAAGGTAGACTGTGATAAGATAAGGATGCATATTGTAAACCCTAGAGCAATCACCATAAAAATAGACTAAAGATGTATAAACTGGCCGGGTGCAATGGCTCATGCCTGTAATCACAACAGTTTCGGGGGTTGAGGTGGCAGATTTGCTTGAGTCCAGGAGTTTCAGAACAGTATGGGCAACATCGCAAAACTCTATTTCTAGAAAAAATACAAAAACTAGCCAGGCATGGTGGTGAATGCCTGTAGTCCCAACTACTCAGAAGGCTGAGGTGGGAGGATCACTTCTTTAGCCTGGGAGGCGGAGGTTGCAGTGAGCCTAGATGGTGCCACTGCACTCCAGCCTGGATGACAGAGCAAGACCGTATGTATTGCCAAAATAAATAAATAAATAATAAAAAATAAAATAAAATAAAATAAATAAGTTATAAACCAATGAGGGACATTAAATAAAAAAAATCCAAAAGAGGCCAGGCATGGTGGCTCACGCCTGTAATCCCAGCACTTTGGGGGGCTGAGGCAGGCGGATCACGAGGTCAAGAGATCGAGACCATCCTGGCCAACATGGTGACACCCTGTCTCTACTAAAAAAGCAAAAATTAGCTGGGCCTGGTGGTGTGCACCTGTAGTCCCAGCTACTTGGGAGGCTGAGGCAGGAGAATCGCTTGAACCCAGGAGGTGGAGGTTGCGGTGAGCTGAAATCGTGCTACTGCAGTCCAGCCTGGTGACAGAGTGAGACTCTGTCTCGAAAAAAGAAAAAAAAAAAAAGAAAATAGGAAACAGAAAAAAGTGAACAAAGAAGAGCTGAGACAAAAAGCAAAATGGTTGCTATAAATTCAACAATTGCATTAAATATAAATGGACTAAATGCATCAATTAAAAGCAGAGATTATCAGATAGGAAAAAAAAACAAGACACATACATGTCTTCTAAAAGAAACACACTCTAAATACAAAAACAGAGGCTGAGTAATCTTAGCACTTTGGGAAGCCGAGGAGGAAGGGAACACTTGAGCCCAAGAGTTCAAGACCAGCCTGGGCAACAGAGTGAGACCCTATCTCTACAAAAAAAAAAAAAAAAAAAAAATCCAAAAAACTAGCCAGGCATGGTGGCATGTGCCTGTAGTCCTAGCTACGGTGGAGGCTGAGGTGGGAAGATTGCTTGAGCACAGGAGGTTGAGGCTGCAGTGAGCTGTGATTGTACCACTGGAAAGAGAGAAAGAGAGACAGAGAGAGAGAGAGAGAAGAGAAGAGAAAGAAAGAAGAAGAGAAGAGAAGAAGAAACTAATGTAAAGACGGAGTTTTAAAATAAATGAATCAAAATACACCATGCAAATATTAATCAAGAGAAAGCTGGCCGGGTGTAGTGGCTCATGCCTGTAATCCCAGTACTTTGGGAGGCCGAGGTGGGTGGATCACTTGAGGTCAAGAGTTAGAGACCAGCCTGGCCAATATGGTGAAACCTCATCTCTACTAAAAATACAAAAATTAGCTGGGCATGGTGGCAGGTGCCTGTAGTCCTAGCTGCTCGGGAGCCTGAGGCATGAGAATCACTCGAACCTGGGAGGTGGAGGTTGCAGTGAGCCGAGATCGTGCCACTGCACTCCAGCCTGGGTGACAAAGTGAAACTCCATCTCAAAAGAAAAAAAAAAGCTATATAGCTATATGAAAGTGAACTTTAGGACATAACTATCATCAACAATAGAGGGACATTTCATAATGAAAAAAGGGTCACTTCATAATGATATATGTGTGTGTGTGTAGCTATTCTAAATGTGTATGCATTTAATAACATATTCAAAATACATGAAAAACTGACAGAACTGAAATAGACAAAGCCACAATTATAGTTAGAGATTTTAATAATTTATAAAATAAATAGATAACCAGTAAGGATATAGATTTGAAAAAAAAACACTATCTACCAACATAACCCAGTTGGCATAGATAAGCACTACACCTAACAGTGGCAGAATACATATTCTTTCCAAGTACATACGGAATATTCATCAAGGGAGACCATAGGGTAGGTTATGAAGTAAGTCTAAATAAATTTAAAAGAAGTATATCTTCTGATGATAATGTAATACAATTAAATGAGAAAAATGTATCTATAAAATCTCTGAAATATTTGGAAATTAAACAAGGCACTTCTAGGCTGGGCGCAGTGGCTCACACCTGTAATTCCAGCACTTTGGGAGGCTGAGGCAGGCAGATCACCTGAGGTCAGGAATTTGAGACCAGCCTGGCCAACACGGCAAAACTCCGTCTCTACTAAAAATACAGGAAAAAAAAAAAATTAGCTGGATGTGGTGGTGTGCGCCTGTAATCCCAGTACTCAGGAGACTGAGGCAAGAGAATTGCTTGAACCCAGGAGGCGGAGGTTGTAGTGAGCTGAGAAGGCACCACTGCCCTCCAGCCTGGGTGACAGAGCGGGACTCTATCTCTAAAAAAAAAAAATAGAAATTAGAAGAGAAGTTAGAAAATATTTCCACTTGAGGCTGGGCATGGTGGCTCACGCCTGTAATCCCAGCACTTTGGGAGGCCGAGGCGGGTGGATCACCTGAGGTCAGGAGTTCAAGACCAGCCTGACCAGCATGGAGAAACCCTGTCTCTACTAAAAATACAAAATTAGCCAGGCATGGTGGCACATGCCTGTAATCCCAGCTACTCGGGAGGCTTAGGCAGGAGAATCGCTTATACCCAGGAGGCGGAGGTTGTGTTGAGCCAAGATTGCGCCATTGCACTCCAGCCTGGGCAACAAGAGCGAAACTCCATCTCAAAAAAAAAAAGAAAAAAAAAAGAAAGAAAGAAAAAAGGAAATATTTCCACTTGAATGACAAGGAAATATTTCCACTTGAATGACAATGAAATATAAAATGTCAGAATTTGCAGGATTCAATTAAACAGTGTTTAGAGGGAAATTTATAGCTTTAAATGTCTACATTATAAAAAAAGTTAGTTCCAAAATCAACATCTAAGCATTCCACCTCAAGAAGCTAAAAGATTAAAAGAAGCTCAAAGCAAGTAGAAGGCAGGAAATAATAAAGAACAGAAATCAATGAAATAAAAATGGGCAAAAATAGAAAGCCCAGTTAAAACAAAAGTTGGGTTTTTTTTTTTGAAGGTTCAATATAATTGATAAATCTTTAGCTGAGCTGAACAAAAAAGGTGGGGGGAGCGAACACGCATTACCAGCATTAGAAATGAAAGAAGTGCTAGCACTACAGACTATGAACATTTATGACAATACATTTGACAATTTAGGTGAAATCAGGAAATTCTTTAAAGACACAGGTAACTAAGATATAGCAAGAAATGGAGCAGAATGTCTCAGATCCTGGGCTCTGGAGTCAGGCTGCTAGGGTTGGAATATGTGCTCCTTCACCCACTAGCTGTGTGAGATTGACCAAATTCCTTAACTTTTCTGTGCCTCAGTTTCTTCTTCTGTAATATCAGGATAATAGGGTTTTTGTGAAGATTAAATTATTTTGTTAAGATCCATGCCTGACACTATGTAAGGGTTAGCTTTTATCGTTTCTTAAATCTTATATGATTTTTCTGGGTTGAGACTTACAATTGGTTCTCATGGCTCAAATGAAAGAAAGTTGATGCTACTTGGGAGGCTGAGGCCAGAGGACCACTTGAGGCCAAGGAGTTCGAGGATGCAGTGAGCTATGATTGCACCACTGCACTCCAGTCTGGGTGACGGAGTGAGACCAGAGAGTTGAAGATCTTGGGGCAATGCTAGAACTTTTCTTGGTCAATAAGATAGGCTATTAATGGATATAGCTAGAAAGTTCATACATATAGTTCAAAAGTCTATTGGTGGTTTGTTTAAATTCAACATAGAAAATCAATCAACTTCAAAAAGAGAAAAGCCCTGATGAAACATACTCCCCTTTGCCACAACCTCCTAGCCCCTGACATTATTCACTTCCCCACACGATCCTGAAAGAGAGTTAAAAGGTTGACCTCATGGTATGCTGAAAGACTTATGTGTTCAGTGGTCAAAGGGCAGCCAAAAGTAACTCTTGGAAAAAGGGCACTCCTGGGTCAGTTAGCAGATTGGGGGAAATGCAGTTTATCTTCTATGGTTTCCAATTGACGAGGAACAGAGTTTCTCATCCTAGGTTCTGAAACACCAGAAGTTTCTTGGCCATCCAGTTTCCTTCCTCCCATGGGCCCCCTGAGTCAGAGCCATGCCACGCACTCCCTCTGGTCACCACTGTGCAGTGGCCCCACCAGCCTGCCACCATCCATCATGCTGAAAGCCTTGGTACAAGGATTGGGCTCTCAGCCAGCCAAGACTGGCAGCCAATGACACCACCCACTGACCAAGGCTGGCTTCTCCCAAGGGCTTCTGCCTGCTGCCTGGGAAGCCAGATGTTGTCTCCTCCAAGTTCCCCGCTCAGAAGGTCTCTTGTCCTCAGTTGTTTCATTGGGACTCAGTCCCCACCAAGCATCAACTGGGTAGCAATGCCTCAGGCAAAGAGGTGAGCCAAGAAATTATCTACCACAAAAGAACATGAACCCAAGCTGACTTTGAGCATCTGTTTCCTATGTGATGCCCTTCAGAAAGCATGGTATTATTTTCCAAATCAGTTCCCAGGAATCCAGGGAAAAAAGGTTTTCAAAACCAAATAGCCATCAGTGTCTGAGGCAAGACTGGGTCTTCTCTAAGAGGTCAGTAGTCCTTTTCTCTGTGCCTTGGGATCCCCAGGGCTCATGTAAAGGTCCCACTGACAGGTGTCCCAGCAGAGTCTATGAATCCTGCTTTTCTTGAGAAACCTGGAACTCTCCAAAAAGGGGAGAGAAGTAGGCATGCATTTCAAATCCCTTGTAAAATTTGGGAAAGGCTTGAGTAACTCCTTAAGAGAGAGCATAACGATTAATTTTAGAATCTGGACCTGCTGTTCTGGTGAACATTCTGTAATCAGAGATTCCACAACCACATTGGCCAGAGCCTGGGCTTGGGGTTACACGGAGCTGAGTTCAAATCCCTGCCCTGGAATTTATGAGCCATGTGACATTGGGTAAGTAATGTAATTGCTTGTAATTACTTGAAAATAATAATAATGGGTTGTTGTGTAGATTCAATGACCAAGCTATTTGCAAAGCATCTGGGTGGTGCATGACATTCAGCAGATGCCTAACATGGCTAGCTATTATTATCATCATTATTAGGCTCATCTAATCATCAGTCCACGCTCATGAAACACATCCTGTTTGGTGCATTGGTAGTTTTTTTATAGTATATAGAAATATGGGGCCAGGCTGGGCCTGAAATCCTAGGCTTATGCCTGCAATCCTAGCAAGTTGGGAGGCCAAAGAGGGTGGATCACCTGAGGCCAGGAGTTCAAGACCAGCCTGAACAACATGGTGAAACCCCGTCTCTACTAAAAATTCAAAAATTAGCCAGGTGTAGTGGTGTGCAACTGTAATCCCAGCTACTTGGAAGGCTGAGGCAGGAGAATCACTTGAACTCGGGAGGTGGAGGTTGCAGTGAGCCAAGATTGCACTGTACTCTAGCCCAGGCAACAGAGCAAGACTCTGTCTCAAAAGAAAAAAAAAATTAAAATTAAAAAAAAGAAGTATGGGGCCAGATGTGGTGGCTCATGCCTGTAATCCCAAAACTTTGGGAGGCCAAGACAGGAGGACTGTTGACCCCAGGAGTTTGAGAGTTTGAGGCTGCAGTGAACTATAATCGCACCACTGCACTCCAACCTAAGCAACAGAGGGAGATCCTCTCTCTAAAAATAAATAAATTAATTAAATTAAAATTTTTAAAAATGTATTTTCTGCCTTTGAAGAATTTATATCTTAGGAAATTTAATTTGGCCTAACCCAAAGAGTAATACTAACTGGTTCATAGTGATGGGAAATAGATCAGTAAGGAAAAATTTTGAAGGAAGTGGACAGCAAGATCTTCAGTAACACTATGATGATCCCTCTACAAATTTTCAATTTCATTCAAATTATTTATTCATTTATGTACCAACAATCAAATTTATTTACCAATATTTGCTAAGGTCCCTTCTGTGTAGGCCCTTCATCTTCAATGTCAAGTTGGCATCAGACAATCAGAAACCCTCATAAACCAATGGCTTGTCATGGAACTAATTAGTGAGCAAGCTAAAGATTCAGGCTCAGGCCTCACTGGATTTTTATACCCTATTTATGTAAGGACAAGGAGTACTTTTATGGTATTTTTCTAGCCACTCTATGTACCTTGAATACTGTTAATTTCACCAGTGGAAGCCCATTTCTGATATCAGTGGTGCTCATTAAAACACAACTAGTTTGCCAATAAAACCCCATCTCTGATATTGAGTATATTTATTTGAAACTGCTGTTGAGGTACGATAATTCAAAGACCAGCTCCAGAGGAGGACACTTTCTGATATAACACAAGCTGCTTACCCTTTCATTGGACATTCTTGATTAGTTCTAGGGTTTTTGCTTAACTTAAGAAACACACAGGTAATATCACATTGCAAATGCTAAAATACTTTAAAATAAATTATAGACACTATTACCTGTGTGTGCAGAGGACTCACAGCATGAACTCAATATCATCTAGGATCTGACCATCAGTTTCCTGGGCCAGACATCTGATTTTGTCCTCACACCACAAGGGAAAAGCTCAAATTAGCCGAGCTCATGGAGCCTCGCGGTATGAATCCAGAAAGTCAAGTGTTTGTTTATAATGATAACTCAAACTTTTGTGCAGCTTTGATATTGATGGGATAAGCATATTTTCTCCCTGGACACCAATTTAAGGGGAAGTTATCGTCTTAAAGCTGCTTGTTGAACACTGAAATATGAATAAGAAAAAGCTGTGATTGGCTGATCTGTAACAGACATAGACCTGCCAGAGGTATTTGAGTCTATAAGCGAGGACACTTTCTCTCCTTATCTGAGCTTAAATGGTCATTGCCAGTTTCTGACTTTGAGTTTCATGCTGCAGGAGGCTGTTCACACAAAAGACCATTATTCAGGCCACTATATAATTCATTACACTTCTATTTATTAAATTACTATGATATTCTAGTCCTAACACTCTAGAAATATCCGCTTTTCCTTTATAGAAGTTTGGAGTAGAGTCAAATTCTTCTGTTATGCATTGATAGGAAGATGGTTTATCACGTTCCCTTTGAGTGTGTAGATTATACTGATTAAAATTTTGGGGTTAAAATTAAAATTTGGGGAGGGGGTTAAAATTTTGGGGAGGGGGTTATTAGTGTTCGATGACAGTGTTCTTTTAACCACAAGAAACAGAAAACCCAACTCAGAATATGTAAAGTTTCTGTCACAGCTGGATCTCAGGGTTCAGACAATGCCATTGACCTAATCCTTTCAATCTATTCTATTCCACATTGGCTTCATTTTCAAGTTCGCTCCTGACAAGTAGGTGGCTCCTGCCCTACAGTTCCAGGCACACATCCTCCCAGTTTCAAGACCAGTTGAAAGTCTCTTTTTCTTGATATTTCAATAAAAACTTCTAACGCTAAATCTCATTGGCCTGGCTTGGGTTATGTGCCCATCCCTAAACTAAGAATGGAGTCCAGGGAGTTGAAATACATGGATTGTCTAGATCTTGGTTACATGGCCAGGTCTGATATCTGGTTTTATACATGGATTGAGAGTTAATGTAAAATAATGGTGCTATTACCAGAAGAAGGTGGGCAGAATCCAGGTAGGCAAAACCAGTAGAAATCTCCTTGGGAGGCAACCTTATTTTTCTTATCTCCAAGTTCTGAGTAGGGATATTGGGGCAGGGAGAGTACATTTCTGTTGTGCCATGTATGTCAAAACCAGGTAGTATGGATGATGTAAGTTATGGCCTGTACCATCCAGGAACTCAGTCTAGCAGTGAGAATAAATATGTGCACAAATGACCACAATAAATGAACAAAACAAAGTAAGTATCACAAACAGTATAGGGGGAAAATGGGACTTACCTAAGTTCAGAGGAAAGAGGAACCTGTTGTTTAAAAAGGTAAAGGAAGACTTCATAGAAGAGGTGGCACTTGAGGCTTAAAGGACAGGTAGGGTTTTGATAGGTACAGACAGAGAAGTTGACATTACAAGGGGAGGGAACTGCATGAGCAAACCCACTGCAATTGGAAAGAGGATAGTGGGCAAGTCTTTTGATGTCTTCTGGAATTGCTTCAGACTGTGTCTGGAGGGTGCCATAAAAGTGATGTGATTAAGGTTGAATAGCAGGTAGTGGTAGATTTAGGCAGCTTACTCAGGAGGAGGGCCTTCTGCAGACAATAAAGGTAGGTGAGTTTTAGGAGCTGTGATGGTGTCTCATACACAGCTTCTGTTTCAACACTTCTTTTTGTTTGTTTGTTTTTTGTTTTTGTTTTTGTTTTTGAGACAGAGTTTCACTCTATCACCTAGGCTGCAGTGCAGTGGCATGATCTCGGTTCACTGCAACCTCTGCCTCCTGGGTTGAAGAGATTCTCGTGCCTCAGCCTCCCAAGTAGCTGGGACTACAGGCACATGCAACTATACCCAGCTAATTTTTTTGTATTTTTGTAGAGATGGAGTTTCACCATGTTGGCCAGGCTGGTCTCGAACTCCTGACCTCAAGTGATCCGTCTACCTCGGCCCCCTAAAGTGCTGGGATTATAGGCGTCAGCTACTACACCTGGCCCTGTTTCAACATTCTTAATCAGAAGTGTGATCCAGGATGCTTTTCAATATGCAGTTTCCTGCACTGATCCCAGACCTTACAGAATCAGCAACTCTGAGCAAGGAAGTCCTTATGCTTTTCTTCTAGGGCTGAGCCCAAATGAATTCCCAGGCATTCCCCAAGCCCACATTCAGCTCTACGTTCCATTTTGACAGGAAATGCCCACTTTCAGTCACACTACTTTAAAAAAAGCCCATAGCCCTTCCAGACTAAGTCTCCTCTGCCCCATCCTGCCCTACTGGACCCAGTGCCCAGGTGCCACAGCCTTTGGGCTGAGAAAAGGAGAGCTGAGCGTGGATCCAGGAAGAGGCAGGGTACAGGCCTCCTTCAACCCTAAGGAAGAAAACAAGAGTCTTATCAGATCCACAGGACTGGCCAAGCAGTTCTTCCTGTAACTGCTCTTTATGGGTAGACCCAGAGGAGAAGGTTTCAGGTTTTGTTTGGAAAAAGCCAGACTGCATGACGTCCCTCAGTACTGAATCTCCAAAGGCTGTGAGTATTAACAGGCACAAACTGCAATTCAGGGGCCTCCAGCCCTTTGTGGGAGTGGGTGGGCTTACACTCCAGGCAAATAAACACGTCAATTCAATTTAGCACACATCGCCAATAGCTCACTTTATTTCTTTATTTATTTTGGGGCCTGCCACTGTGCTCTGTATTGAGTAGCCTGCACAGTATTCTTCTACATGAAAGGACACGTCCTCTGAAGCAAACTTTCACAGTTCACAGTACTCTGTACATCTTGGGAACTGTGTCAGCATTTTTGGAAAGGATAACAGTGGACTACGATGTTTATATCATTTAAGTTGAGAGATCGTCTCACTTAAAACTTCCAAAGCTCTACTGGAAACTGAAGAGATAAGTAAAGAACAGAGACCCAGATGAGAGCCTGGTCATTTTCTTCTATTGATTATAGGGGTTGGTCTCAGCTGCCATACAGTCTCCAGCCCTTCCACTGCTCCACACATCCACTGCCTGCTTTGGAGCTGGGATGAATTAGCAGAGCTGCCTGGAATCCTCTTCCTAAGAACAGGAGAAGAGCACCCAGGGGGCTGCCCTTGTCCCCTGCCCAGTAGGCGAGCCCAAGGTCCCCGGCTCAACTCCCTCCCTGAAGGACTTAGGAGAGTTGTCCAGGGAGCCTGCCTTTCCAATCCCCGTCCCTACCTCCTATGTACCTTGCCGTTCCCGTTGGCACCAGGCTCATGCTGCTTAGTGCAGGGCAGGCAAATTCAGGCTTCAGCTCCCAAACCACAGCATTTTGAGCCCAAGAACTCCTTCTGGAATGAGGCTGGCCTCCCTCAGGCTGGCGTGGCAGTTGTTTTCCTTCCCTCACTCTGCATCCTTCCCCATCCCCATTTCATTTTACTCTCAGTTTTCAATCCCTTTGGAGTAGAAAGTGTGACTCTGATTCCTCCTGTGTGGCTCCTAGCATGGCGATGACTTCTTTCTTTCCACTTCCTGGCTCTGCTGACGTGACCTTTGGAATTTCTTGGCTCACTGTCAGAAACCCTAGTTTTTCCCAGCGTCTGTTTAAACACCGTGCTTCCGGTGACAATGCCCTTTGCCTTTCTAACCTTTTTGTCATCTGGCTTCAAGTTCCAAAGGGGATTTTACTGCCTGCTGGGTCAGTAACAGTGCCCTGTGACTAGAAGAAGCCTTCATAATACATTTCCTTTGTATATGGAGTTGCCAAAGTTTTAAAGACTGGCACTTGGGGAAATGTCAGGGCTTTTCTTGACCTGTTGAAAAGCTGCAGCCTGTAGCCTGGCATGGGTGCGCTCCTCGGTGTGTGCGAGCCTGCCTCTCCAGCCTCCCCTTCCACCACAGCTCCTTTCCTTCAGCTTCTGCTTAGACATCATCCAGCTCTCTTGCCTCCGGGCTTTGCTTAAGCTGCTACCTCTGCCAGATCCCCTTTTCCTATCCACTTTCCTATGTCTGTATGGCACATATTGTGTGTCTGTGCCCACTCCAAAAAGCTTTCTAGATCCCTACCTACCTGACTTAGTCTCTCTCCCAGCCCCCGCACTCCCATTACGCTATTCTTATATATTTTTTATTTTGATTTATTTTTATGGCTATCTAGAAGGTGTATTCTCATATTTTCTTGACTCTAAGTGGCAGAGTTCTCTTATTACAGCTATACTGTAGTCCCCTTTTATCTGCAGGGGATGTGTTCCAAGACCCCCAGTGGATGCCTGAAACCACAGATGGCACTAAACCTCATATGCATTATGTTTTTATCCTATGCATACCTATGTACATACCTATGATAAAGTTTCACTTATAAACTAGGCACAGTAAGAGATTAATAACAATAGAATAATTATAACAATATACTATAATAATAGTTATGTGAATGCTGGGCACGGTGGCTCACGCCTGTAATCCCAACACTTTGGGAGGCCGAGGTGGGCAGATCACGAGGTCAAGAGATCGAGACCATCCTGGCCAACATGGTGAAACCTCATCTCTACTAAAAATACAAAAAATTAGCCAGGCATGGTGGCATGTACCTGTAGTCCTAGCTACTCAGGAGGCTGAGGCAGGAGAATCGCTCGAACCCGGGAGGCAGAGGTTGCAGTGAGCTGAGATCGCGCCACTGCACTCCAGGCTGGGCAACAGAGAGAGACTCTGTCTCAAAAAAAAAAAAAAAAAAAAAAAACTATGTGAATGTGGTCTCTCTCAAAATATGTTATTGTGCTGTGCTCACTCAGACCACAGTTGACATTCCATGCTCATGGGTAGGAAGAATCAATATCGTGAAAATGGCCATACTGCCCAAGGTAATTTACAGATTCAATGCCATCCCCATCAAGCTACCAATGACTTTCTTCACAGAATTGGAAAACACTACTTTAAAGTTCATATGGAACCAAAAAAGAGCCCACATTGCCAAGACAGTCCTAAGCCAAAAGAACAAAGCTGGAGGCATCACCCTACCTGACTTCAAACTATACTACAAGGCTACAGTAACCAAAACAGCATGGTACTGGTACCAAAACAGAGATATACATCAATGGAACAGAACAGAGCCCTCAGAAATAACGCCGCATACCTACAACTATCTGATCTTTGACAAACCTGAGAAAAACAAGCAATGGGGAAAGGATTCCCTATTTAATAAATGGTGCTGGGAAAACTGGCTAGCCATATGTAGAAAGCTGAAACTGGATCCCTTCCTTACACCTTATACAAAAATCAATTCAAGATGGATTAAAGATTTAAACGTTAGACCTAAAACCATAAAAACCCTAGAAGAAAACCTAGGCATTACCATTCAGGACATAGGCGTGGGCAAGGACTTCATGACCAAAACACCAAAAGCAATGGCAACAAAAGCCAAAATTGACAAATGGGATCTAATTAAACTAAAGAGCTTCTGCACAGCAAAAGAAACTACCATCAGAGTGAACAGGCAACCTACAACATGGGAGAAAATTTTCGCAACCTACTCATCTGACAAAGGGCTAATATCCAGAATCTACAATGAACTCAAACAAATTTACAAGAAAAAAACAAACAACCCCATCAAAAAGTGGGCGAAGGACATGAACAGACACTTCTCAAAAGAAGACATTTATGCAGCCAAAAAATACATGAAAAAATGCTCATCATCACTGGCCATCAGAGAAATGCAAATCAAAACCACTATGAGATACCATCTCACACCAGTTAGAATGGCAATCATTAAAAAGTCAGGAAACAACAGGTGCTGGAGAGGATGTGGAGAAATAGGAACACTTTTACACTGTTGGTGGGACTGTAAACTAGTTCAACCATTGTGGAAGTCATTGTGGCGATTCCTCAGGGATCTAGAACTAGAAATACCATTTGACCCAGCCATCCCATTACTGGGTATATACCCAAATGACTATAAATCATGCTGCTATAAAGACACATGCACACGTATGTTTATTGCGGCATTATTCACAATAGCAAAGACTTGGAACCAACCCAAATGTCCAACAATGATAGACTGGATTAAGAAAATGTGGCACATATACACCATGGAATACTATGCAGCCATAAAAAAGGATGAGTTCATGTCCTTTGTAGGGACATGGATGAAATTGGAAACCATCATTCTCAGTAAACTATCGCAAGAACAAAAAACCAAACACCGCATATTCTCACTCATAGGTGGGAATTGAACAATGAGATCACATGGTCACAGGAAGGGGAATATCACACTCTGGGGACTGTGGTGGGGTGGGGGGAGGGGGGAGGGGTAGCATTGGGAGATATACCTAATGCTAGATGACGAGTTAGTGGGTGCAGCGCACCAGCATGGCACATGTATACATATGTAACTAACCTGCACAATGTGCACATGTACCCTAAAACTTAAAGTATAATAAAAAAAAAAAAAGGAATTAAAAAAAAAAAAAAAAAAAAAAAAAACTATGTGAATGTGGTCTCTCTCTCAAAATATGTTATTGTGCTGTGCTCACTCAGACCACAGTTGACCATGGGGTAACTGAAAACTTGGAAAGTGAAACCATGGATGGATAAGGGAGAACTACTGTATTGAGCTACTATTCACATATTATAAAATTCACCTATTTAATGTGCACAATGTAATGGTAGAAGTCACAGAGTTGTGCAACAATTCCCACAATCAATTCTAGAATATTTTCATCACCCTAAAAAGAAATCTCGTGCCCTTTAGCTGTCACCCACTAGTTCCTCCATCTTCCCTAGCCCTAACAACCACTCATCTACTTTCTGTCTCTATAGATTTGCCTATTCGGGATACTTCATACAAACAGAATCAGACTATATGTGACCATTTTTGTCTGGCTTCTTTCATTTAGCATAATGTTTTCAAGATTTATCAATATTGTAGCATGTATTAGTAGTACTTCATTCAAGAGGCATCTTTTTAAAACATTTTAACATCTCTGCAATAAAGATGCATCTTCTAATCAATAGTGAGCATAGTTTAATTAGCATCAACTTTTATTTCTTAGTAATGCTTAGAATAATTATGTATCTTCCAGTGGATGGGATCTAATTCAATGAAATGCTACATTTATGTCCCCGGGGTATTACCCCTTATCACAGTCAGCTTTGTGGCCAAGTAATTTGCTTATGTGTCAGTCTTGTCTCCTAAACTTCAGGCTCCAGAGGAACAGAACTATGCCTTAACTATCTTTGTGTCCTTTAAAAGACCTAGTACAGTCCGGGTGCAGTGGCTCATGACTGTAATCCGAGCACTTTGGGAGGCCAAAGTGGATGGATCACTTGAGGTCAGGAGTTCGAGACCAGCCTGGCTAACATGGTGAAACCCCGTCTCTACTAAAAATACAAAAATTAGCCAGGTGTGGCGGTGTGTGTCTGTAATCCCAGCTACTTGAGAGGCTGAGGCAGGAGAATCGCTTGAACCTGCCTATACACTTTTAATTAAAATGATAAGTTTTTGGTGACTGGTATAGTTAATTACCTAAACATATGAGCACCTACTGTATGCCGGGTCCTGTGTTCTAAGCAGAGAGTGTTATAAAGACGGTCAAAATATAGTTCCTCTTCTAAGGAATTCATATTTTGGAAAGACATTTCTATAAATGTTATAGAACAAGGAGAATGGGTAAGTGTGACAAAGGGGCTAACAATGCTGTGTGAGAGAGAGATAGGTGGAAGAAGGTTTTGAGAGGATAGCACATGAGCTAAACACATAGGTGCTAAGAACACAGGTTTACACTCTGACAGTCCTGGATTCTGCCAATTCTTTGGAAATTTGGCTTGACATTGAACTCTCCATGTCTTGTTTCTTGATCTGAAAAATGGACATAATAAGAGTGTGTATCTCTCACAGTTGTTATAAGAATTAAGTGAGACAATGAGTGCCAACTATCTGGCATAATCGTTTGTGCTGAAATAAATGATAGTTATTTGTGAATTTCAGATCATTTTAGAAATTATTTAGTCAGCCCTCTCCTGCGCACACCTAATTTTATGCAGTAAGATCTTAGCCCTAAGCGGCTTATGTTTCAGCCAGAAGAGGGGAAAGCAAGATTCCTGGAGCAGAGACATTTGAGGGATGAAACATTAAAATGGCTGAGAATTTTCAGTAAGTGAGATAAGCACGTTAGAGGTGAGTTTGAAGAGGTCTGTTCCTCAAGTTCAACCCACCAGCTCTCCTTTTTTCCTCCTCATGGGCAGCTACTTCATTTATTTTAATGGAGTCTTCATATATATATATACGTATATATATACGTATATATATATATATATAATATGCCCAGTGTTTGAATAGCCTTTAACAAGAAAAATCCCAGTCCAGACTTGATTATAAGCTGTAGTTCCTTCCCTGGATATTATTTTTCTGTTCTCAGCAAAGCTGTATATTTCCTGAACTGCCAGGGGCTGAGGTTTCTGCATTTTTATTCCCTGGTTATCTAGCATGATGGGCAGGGTTCTACTTAACAACTAGAACTTTTTTAAACAAGTGTTAAGTAGAACTCTGCCCATGATGCTAGATAACATTTAACATGCCTGTGTTTGTGTTTTTTTTAAAAATGTTTTACTTGAAAATACTAATGTCTTGTTGAATGGAAGAATAAATCACTGCTTTTTGGGGTTTTGTTACTTTGCTTTCTTTGAGACAGGGTCTTGCTATGTCGCCCAGGCTGGAGTGCAGTGGTGTGATCCTAGCATACTGCAACCCCTGCCTGTCGAGCTCAAGTGATCCTCCCATCTCAGCCTCCTGAGTAGCTGGGACTATAGGCATGTGCCACCACACATGGCTAATTTTTAAATTTTTTTATAGATATGAGGTCTCACTATATTGCCCAGGCTGGTCTTGAACTCCTGGGCTCAAGCAATCCTCCTGCCTTGGCCTCCCAAAGTGCTGGGATTATAGGTGTGAGCCATTGCTCCCAGGCTGAATCACTATATTTTGAATGAATAAATGAACAAACAAATGGTTACAGGGTTGTTTATAACAATTAACCACTGAAACAAATTATATTTATTTTTCAAGGGGAAAATCAGGTATAGATTAAAGCTAAAAAATTGTACTCATGTATTAACATTTTTTCAGTTTTATGAATAATATCATATTCATATCACTGTTTAACCAACAGAGCTACAATGATTAGGTTTACATAGTTTACTTTCTAAGTAGACAGACAAATAAAGTTGTTGATACCATGGCTACCAGTCTTTGTCTAATAGAAGATGCTGAAAGATATGCAGAGCTAAGAAGCCCTACTGGGAACTGAGGCTGGACTCTTCTCTCCCTCTGGGTGGTAGAGCAAGGGATGGTGCTCTGCTTCAGGACACTGGTCTCTTCAACCTGGGTCACAGCACAGGCAGGCCCAAGTGTGCATACATCAGAAGTGGGATTGTATTAACCAGGGGCATGAGTGTTAATTCAGTTAACAGAAAAGACAAGATAATTTTTTTTTTTTTTTGAGACGGAGTTTTGCTCTTGTCACCCAGGCTGGAGTGCGATGGCTTGATCTTGGCTCACTGCAACCTCTGCCTCCTATGTTCAAATGATTCTCCTGCCTCAGCCTCCCAAGTAGCTGGGATTACAGGCGCCTGCCACCACGCCCGGCTAATTTTTGTATTTTAAGTAGAGACGGGGTTTCACCATGTTGGCCAGGCTGGTCTTGCACTTCTGACCTCAGGTGATCCACCTGCCTCAGCCTCCCAAAGTGCTGGGATTATCGGTGTGAGCCACCGCGCCTGGCCTAAATCTAAATTAATAGTGGCTTAAGCAAGATAAAGCTCATTTCTCTCCCACTTAAAAGAACCCCTGATGCAGATGGCTGAGGGCAGGAATAGCTCCACAGCACTGGCTCCTCTCAGCTCTCTGCTCCAACATCCCTATGTTGTGGTCCTCCAGTTTCCAAGATGGCAGCTGGAGCCCTAGCCACACATCTGGAGGGGACAAATAAGTGACAAAGGAGGAGGCCAAAATCTCACATCATTTGCTTTTAAGAAGATTTCTCAGAAGTTGCCACACAGCACTTTAATACCTCATTGACCAGAATATAATTATGGAGACACCAGGCTCCAAAGGAGAATGTGGGAAAGGTGGTCTTTATTCTAGGTAGTCATGTGCCCTGATAAAAACCAGTTTCATTACTGAGGAAAAAAGGGAAGAATGAATATAGGGATAGCAACTGTCAGCCTCTGCCATGAGGGTATACAGTCCCAATTCCTGCCCCTGAGGTTACAATACACATGGACCTAGGACATCCATGTCCTCGGGAAAGTTCTTTTGTAGAACAAGCCCGTGGAAAATGTCCCAGGATGAGCAGCTCTCCTTTCCTTCCTTAGGAATGGTTCACAAGGCTTTGCCCCCTCATCTTGAAAGTCTCCAAGCCCCCACATTAGGGTCTCCTTTGGATGCAACTGGGATATTATGTCCCTCTACTTTACCCATTACCCATTTTCCTTTGAAACTAAATTTGAGACTAGGCTTAACCCTTGGTAAATGTATAATCTTGGGCAAGTAATTAAACATTTCTGTCCACATTTTCCATACCTCTGAAATGTGAATAATCTGTAATAATGATCCTCAAGTCTGACACAAAGTTGGTGCTTAAAAAATGTCAACTTACTTTCCCAACCAAAAGGGCTGTGTGAGAGTGTGGACAGCCCAGCATCCTAATACACTTTCTTGAGATATTTCTAATTTAATTCATACTCTAAATCTAATCTTTATCCAATTCTAATTTTATTAATAGAGTTGCATTTACTGAGTGCATACTATGTGTCAGGCGCTATTCTAAGTGTTTTGCCTGTGTTGACTCATTTAAACCTCACAATAATGCTATGAGCTATGTACCACTTTACAGAGAGAGGTTAAATAACATGCTGGAGGTCTCACACTCAGGAAGGGATAAAGAGAACTAAGACATGAATCCTGGTAGTCTGGCTCCAGAGGCTGTGAGTTCAACCATGAGTGATAAATCTTCCCTGTGGAGCCCTCTGTCTGCCCTCTCATCTGTTTAAGATCTGCATCAAAGCTTTGTACATTTAGCAGGATATAAATAAACCTTTTGAGGGCCCAAAATCCCTCCTATCCTCCCCATCTTTTATCTTCTTAATTTTCATTCTCTTACAGAATTCTTTTTACTGGGGTTAATGATCAGTTATTCAACAAGTATTCGTGTTAAGACAGTCTTTGGAGCTAGAGAGGAGAATGATCCTTACCAGCGGCTGGGAAGGGTGTGTGGGTGGGAGGGGAGAATGAAGAGAGGTTGGTTATTCCACACAAACGGCCAAGTGCAGTGGCTCATGCCTATAATCCCAGTACTTTGGGAGGCTGAGGTGAGAGGATCACTTGAGTCCAGGAGTTTGAGACCAGCCTTTGCAACATAGTGAGACCCCTGTCTCTACCACCACCACCACCAACAACAAATTAGCTAGGTGTGATGGTTGTGCATCTATAGTCCCAGCTACTTGGGAGGTTGAAGTGGGAGGATCACTTGTGCCCAGGAGTTTGAGGCTACAGTGAGCTGTGATGGCACCACTGCACTCCAGCCTGGGCGAGAGAAGGAGATTCTGTCTCCAAAAAAAGGAAGAAGAAGAAGGAAATGCGGACATATACTACCACATAGATGAACCTTAAAGACTTATGCTAAGTGAAATAACCCAGACTCAAAAGGACAAATACTTTATAATTCCACTTATGTGAGGTACATAGAGAGTGGTCAAGTTCATACAGACAGAAAATAGAATGGTGGTAGCCTGTGGCTGAGGAGCGAGAAGAATGGGGAGTTATTATTTAATGCTAGGGAGTTTCAGTTTAAGGAGATGAAAAGGTTCCAGAGACGGATGGTGATGATGGTGGCACAACACTGTGAATGTACTTAATGCCACTGAACTATACACTTAAAAATAATTAAAATGATAAATTTTATTTATGTTTATTTTATCACAATATAAAAAAACAATTACAATGCAGTGAAGTACGTGCTAAAAGGCTGCAGAGTCGAGGTGCATAACCAGGGTGACCTGCCTGCTCATCTCTTGGGTCACTGGTATGACCTTTGCTTAACTCCTCAAGTCCTTTTCCTTGGCTGGGCTCACAGCATTCCTTTCTCTTGGCCCTCGCGCTAGACTGTGCAACGGAATGGGAGAAGTCTGGTAGAGTAGCTTATTACCATGGAGTGCTGTAGAAATGTCGGTTGTGGAGGCCTGGGCTGGGGCCAAGTCTAGGCAATCTAGTAGCTGGGAGTTGAGGCCTTCATGGCTAATACATAGCAATCCAGGTGAGCGAAGATGGAGTCCCGAACTAGATGAGGGCAAGAAGAGATGGAGAGAAGTGGAGGAATTTGAAAAAGGTTTTGGATGCAGACTTGATGGAACTTAGTGACCTATGGGAAAATTAGCATGAGAAAAAGAGCACCCAAGGAGGACACCCAGGCTTCTGGTTTAGGTGATGGGTTGGCAGGGAGTGCTACTTCTGAGACATGGAATAGAGGAGGATAAACATATCTGTCAGGGGACACGATGACTTCTATTTTTTATCTTTGGACATGTTGAGTATAAGGTGATTGCAATATATCCAAGCAAGCAGGCAGCTACCCTAAAGAAAATATCAGTTTTAATTTTCTTCAAAACTCGGAAGGATCCACTACAAGAACAGATTGAGATTTAAAGAAAAAAAAAAGTGTTGCTCAGAAACCTTCCAAAGAGAATGTAGGACCAGATGTGCAGCTTGCATAATTCTGGCATCTTCCTAAGTCTCATTTCTGATTTATGTTTATTTTCAGCAAGTAACCCACACTCAGTTTGATTCTCTTGTTCTTACTGGAAAAATCACTGATTGGGATCCAGAACTAGTTATGTGGTCTTCCTGGTTGGAATCCAAGCCATTATTTCCAGTGCTTGAAAGGAAGGAATAAAATTCTTTAGCTTTGGGGGATTATAAAACACAACCCCCTAATTTTATGTTATTAGAAATGGTCTCTGTTTCTAAACATGACTCACCTTCAAAAGGACTGCCATTGGGGAGATATTTCCATCATTTTATTTGCTTTGTTTTTAGATTATATTTACCTCTCATTTTAAATCTACTAACCCTACAGCTACAATCTTCAGACACTACTTTTGGAGACACTGAATTGGCCTTACCCTTTCCAGTCTGTTCCCCTCTTCTCACAGCCCTCTGAGGCTTGAGGATATACCCAGATAAACCATCAAGCTCATCCCTAAGGCTTTCTCCCATCTGCCTAAATTTGGGAGATCTCTCTTCACACGTTAGGCAAGTTTTCCTTCCTCTTTCCTCAGTGGGGAGAACACTGAAGAGTTGAGATGCCTTGGGTTTGGGTACTGCTCCTTTGTTTATCAGCTTGTGTGGCAACAAACAACCAGAAACACTCTCGTGCACATTCATTATCTTATGATAATGGCCCTTAATTTCTTCATCTGTGAAATGGGGATAAACTTATCTACTCACCTTTTCTACTTCACACCTAATATCAGAGCCCCTGGGAAGCTATCATAGCTGATTTTAAACGACATACTTAAGTTCCTGACTCTAGGCTCTGGCTTCCAGATGGCATTTCTGGGCCCACCTGTGACTGAAGAGCCCTTGGGCCTTGAGTGAACCTTGTCAGTAGCCAGGAAGTAGTCACTGCAGGTGTTGGTGAGACCCAGTGCTGTGCTGGCTTCAAGTCTGACCCAGCGCAGGCCCAGGGGTGGTGGCTAGTATCACCCCTCCTCCAGCTCCAGGCAGCTGAGCATGGAGAAAAAGACTCTGTTTGGAGGAAAGTAAAGGAAGAGAATAACAGTCGCTGCCTGGTAATCCAGAGAATTCTCTTTCATCTTACCAAAGACCACCAAGGCGGTGCCTCTACGAGTCTGCAAGAGTCACAGTGTTACTGGGCTTGGGTTGCCCTCTAATGCAGATACTGCTACAGTGACCAAAGATGTAGATCACAACACCCAAGTATTCCCTTTGAATACTTTTTAAAAAATGTTTTATTTTATTTTTTTTGAGACAGGGTCTCGCCCTGTTGCCTAGGCTGGAGGGCAGTGGCATGAACATTAGCTCACTGCAGCCCGAACCCTAGGCTCAAGTGATCTTCCCACTCCAGCCTTCCAAGTAGCTAGGAACACAGACAACGTGCCACTGTGCCTGGCTAATTTAAAAACAATTTTTTTGCAGAGACAGTTTCGCCATGTTGCCCAGCCTGGTGTCAAACTCCTGAACTCAAGCCATCTTCCCTTCTTGACCTTCCAAAATGCTAGGATTACAGGCATGAACCACCATTCCTGGACCCTTTGAATACTTGAAAAGCCTTCTCAAGAAGGATGGATACAAACAAACCCAGACTGTGAAGACTGTAATAAATACCTAACTCTTCAATGCCCAAACATCAGCAAACATCCACAAGCATCAAGATTATCCAGGAAAACATGACCTCCCCAAATGAACTAAATCAGGCACCAGTGGCCAATCTGGGAGAAACAGAAATATGTGAATTTTCAGACAAAAAATTCAAAATAGCTTTTTTGAGGAAGCTCAGTGAAATTCAAGATAACACAAAGAAGGAATTCAAAATCCTATCAGATAAATTTACAAAGAGGTCGACATAATTTTAAAAAATTAAGTAGAAACAATGGAGCTGAAAAATTCAATTGACATACTAAAGAATGTATCAGTCTCTCAACAGTAGAATTGATCAAGTAGAAGAAAAGATTAGCTTAAAGATAGGCTATTTGAAAATATAGTCAGAGAAGACAAAATAAAAAGAATTTAAAAAATGAAGCACATCTATAAGATCTACAAAACAGCCTCAAAAGGGCAAATCTAAGAGTTATTAGCCTTAAAGAGGAGGTCGAGACAGAGACTGGGGCAGAAAGTTTATTTAAAGGGACAATAACAGAGGACATCTCAAACAGAGAGAAAGATATCAATATACAAATAAGTATAAGAAGGTTATAGAACACCAAACATATTAACCAAAATAAGACTACAACTAGACATTTAATAACTAAACTCCCAAAGGTCAAGAATAAAGTAAAGATCCTAAAAGCATCAAGAGAAAAGAAACACATAACACAAAAGAAGCTCTGATACATTTGGCAGCAGACTCTTCACTGGAAACCTTGCAGGCTAGGAGAGGGTGGTATGACATATTTAAAACACTGAAGGAAAAAGACTTTCACCCTAGAATAGTATATCCAGTGAAAAGATCCTTCAAATGTGGAGGAGAAATAGAATTTTCCAGACAAACAGAAGCCAAAAGATTTCATCAATACCAGACTTGTCCTACAAGAAATGCTAAATGGAGATCTTCAATCTAAAAGAAAAGGACATTAGTGAGCAATATGAAATCATCTGAAGGTACAAAACTCACTGGTAATAGTAAGAATATAGAAAATTAGAATATAATAACACTGTAACTGTGGTAAAGTACTCATATCTCAAATAGAAAGACTTTAAGATGAACCTATAAAAAATAATAACTACAGCAACTTTTCAAGACATAGAAAGTATAGTAAGATATAAATAGAAACAAAAAGTTTAAAAGTTGGAGGATGAAGTTAAAGTGTAGAGTTTTTATTGGTTTTCTCTTTGCTTGTCTGTCAGTTTTTGCAATCAGTGTTAAGTTGTCATCAGTTTAAAATAATGGGTTATAAGATGTTATTTGCAAGACTCATGGTAACCTGACATCAAAAAACCCACAATAGATACACAAAAAATAAAAAGCAAAAAATTAAAACATACCACCAAAGAAAATCACCTTTAGAAAAAGGAAGACAGGAAGGAAGGAAGAGAAGACCACAAAACAACCAGAACAACCAGAAAACAAATTTTTAAATGGCAGTAGTAGATCCTTACTTATCAATAATAATATTGAATATAAATGGACCAAACTCTCTAATCAAAAGGCATTGAGTGACTGAATTGGTAAAAAAAAAAAAAAAAAAAAAAAAGCAAACCAAGACCCAGCCATCTCCTGCCTATAAGAAACACACTTCACCTATAAAGTCACATGTAGACTGAAAATAAAGGGGTGGAAAAAGATATTTCATGCCAATGGAAACTAAAAAGGAGCAAGGGTAGCTAAACACATATAAAACAAAATTGATTTCAAGACAAAAACTATAAAAGAGACAAAGAAGGTCATTATGTAATGATAAAGTGGTCAATTCAGCAAGATGATATAACAATTGTAAATGCATATGCACCAATACTGGAGTGCCCAGATATATAAAGCAAATATTATTAGAGCTAAAACAAGAGAGAGGCCTCGATATAATTATAGCTGAAGACTTCACCACCCCCACTTTCAGCATTGGACAGATTATCCAGACAGAAAATGAACCAAGAAACATTGGACTTAATCTGCACTACAGATCAAATGGACCTAATTGATGTTTACATAATATTTCATTCAACAGCTGTGGCATATACATTCTTCTCCTCAGCACAGGGATCATTCTCAAGGATAGACCATATGTTAGCCCACAAAACAAGTTTTAAAACATTTTTAAAAAACTGAAATAATATTAAGCATCTTCTCTGACCACAATGGAATAAAACTAAAAATCAATAACAAGAGGAATTTTGGAAACTGTACAAACACATGGAAATTAAACAATATGTTCCTGAATGACCAGTAGGTCAATGAAGAGAGTAAGAAGGAAATTGAAAAACTTCTTGAAACAAATGAAAATGGAAATACAACATACCAAAACCTTTGGGATATGGGAAAGTAGTACTAAGAAGTTTATAACTATAAGTGCTTAAATTAAAAAAGAGGAAAAACTTCAAATAAATAACATAATGATACTTTTTAATGAATTGAAAAAGCAAGACCAAACTAAACCCAAAGTTGGTAGAAGAAATGAAAGAATAAAGATCAGAGCAGAAATAAATGAAATTGAAACAAATAAAACAATACAAAAGATTAATGAAACAAATAGTTGTTTTTTTGAAAAGATAAACAAAATTGACAAACCTTTAGCCAGACTAACAAGAAAAAAATAGAGAACAGTCTGGGAAACATTGTGAGACCCTGTCTCTACAAAAGGTAGAAAAAACTAGCTGACTGTGGTGGCATGTGTCTGTAGTCCTAGCTACTCGGGAGGTCAAGATGTGAGGATAACTTGAGCCTGAGAGATGGAGTCTGCAGTGAACTGTGATCATGTCACTGCATTACATCCTGGGAGACAGAGTGAGACCTTGTCTCAAAAACAAAACAAAACAAAAATGGAGAGATGATCCAAATAAATGAAATCAGAGATATTAAAAGGAGACATTACAACCAGTACTGCAGAAATTCAAAAGATCATTAGAGGCTACTATGAGCAACTCTATGCCAACAAACTGGAAAACACAGAATAAATGAATAAATTCCTAGACATATATAACCTACCAAGACTGAACAATGAAGAAACCCAAAACCTGAACAGACCCATAACAAGTAACAAGATTGAAGTTGTATTAAAAAGTCTCCTAGCAAAGACCAGGACCCAATGGCTTCACTGCTGAATTTTACCAAACATTTAAAGAACTTATATCAACTCTACTCAAACTATTCCAAAAAATAGAAGAGGAGTACTTCCAAACTCATTCTGTGAGGCCAGTAGTATCCTGATACCAAAACTAGACAAGGACAATCAAAAAAAGAAAACTATAGGCCAATATCCCTGATGAACATTGATGTAAAAATCCTCAACAAAATACTAGCAAACTAAATTCAACAAAACATTAAAAAGATCTTCATTATGACCAAGGGGGATTTATCCCAGGGATGCAAAGATGGTACAACATAGGCAAATCAATCAATGTGATACCTCATATCAACAGAATGAAGAATAAAAACCATATGATTGTTTCAATTGATGCTGAAAAAGCATTTAATAAAATTCAATATCCCTTCATGATAAAAAAAAAAAACCTAAAGAAACTAGATATAATAGGAACATACCTCAACACAACAAAAGCCATATATGACAGACCCACAACTAGTATCACACTGAGTAGGAAAAAACTGAAAGCCTTTCCTCTAAAATCTGGAACAAGACAAGGATGCCCACTTTATTTATTTAATTTTTTAAAAATTTTTGTTTTACTTTAAGTTCCGGGATACACATGCAGAATGTGCAGGTTGTATAGGTATATGTGTGCCACGGTGGTTTGCTGCACCTATCAACCCACCATCTAGGTTTTCAGCCCCGCATGCATTAGCTATTTGTCCTGGTGCTCTCCTTCCCTGCACCGCACCCCCTGGACTGGCCCAGTGTGTGTTATTCCCCTCCTAGTGTCCATGTGTTCTCATTGTTCAACTCCACTTATGAATGAAAGCATGTGGTGTTTGCTTTTCTGTTCCTGTGTTAGTTTGCTGAGAATGATGGCTTCCAGCTTCATCCATATCTCTACCAAGGACATGATCTCATTCCTTTTTATGGTCGCATAATATTCCATGGTGTATATATAATACATTTTCTTTATCCAGTCTATCATTGATGGAAGGATGCCCACTTTCACCACTGTTATTCAACATAGTACTGGAAATCCTAGCTAGCGCAATCACACAAGGGAAAGAAATAAAGGACCTCCAAATTGGAAAGGAAGACATTAAATTATCCTTGTTTAAAGATGATATTATACTTGGAAAACCCTAAAGACTCTACTAAAAAACTATTAGAACTGATAAAAAAATTCAGTCTAGTTGCAGGATACAAAATACAAAAGTCAGTGGTATTTCTATATGCCAACAGCAAATAATTTAAAAAAGAAATCAAGAAGGTAATCTCATTTATAATAGCTACAAACAAAATACCTAGGAATAAACTTAACCAAAAAAGTGAAAGATCTCTACAATGAAAACTACAAAAGATTAATGAAAGAAATTGAAGAAGACACAGAAAAATTGAAAGATATTCTATGTTCATGGATTGGAAGAATCAATATTGTTAAAATGTTCATACCACCCAAAGCAATTTACAGATTCAATGCAATCCTTATCAAAATACCAATGTCATTCTTCACAGAAATAGAAAAAATAATCTTAAAATTTCTATGAAACCACAGAATACCCAAAAGAGCCAAACCATCCTGAGCAAAAAGAATGAAAGTGGAAGAATTTCATTACCTGACTTCAAATTATACTACAGAGCTATTGTAACCAAAACAGCATGGTATTGGCGTAAAAACAGACACATATACCAGTGGAACGGAACAGATAACCTAGAAATAAATCCATACATCTATGGTGAACTCAATTTTGACAATGGTGCCAAGAACATACACTGGGGAGAAAATAGTCTCTTCAATAAATGGTGCTGGGGAAAGTGGATATTCATATGCAGAAGAATGAAACTAGACCCCTATCTCTCACCATATACAAAAATCAAATAAAAATGGATTAAAGACTTAAATCTAATACCTGAATCTATGAAACTACTAAAAGAAAACATTGGGGAAACTCTCCAGGAAATTGGTCTGAGCGAAGATATCTTGAGTAATAAAAAGCACAGGCCACCAAGGCAAAAATGGACAAATGGGAATATATCGAGTTAAAAAGCTTCTGCACAGCAAAGGAAATAATAAACAAAGTGAAGAGACAATCCACACAATAGGAGAAAATATTTGCAAACTATCCCTCTGACAAGGACTTATTAACCAGACTATATATGAAACTCAAACAGCTCTATAGGAAAAAAAACTAATAATCTAATTTTTAAAATGGACAAAAGATGTGAATAGATATTTCTCAAAAGAAGACATACAAATGACAAACAGGTATATGAAAAGTTGCTCAACATCATCAGTCATCAAAGAAATGGAAATCAAAACTACAATGAGATATCATCTCACCCTAGTTAGAATGGCTTATATCCAAAAGACGGGCAATAACAGATGCTGGCGAGGATGTGGAGAAAAAGGAACCCTCATGCACTGTTGGTGGCAATGTAAATTAGTATAATTGCTGTGGAGAACAAGTCAAAGGTTCCTTAAAAAACTAAAATAGAACTACACTATGATCCAGCAATTCCACTGCTAGGTATATATCCAAAATAAAGGAAATCAGGATATCAAAGGGACATCTGCACTCCCATGCTTACCGCCAGCACCACTCACAGTGGTCAAGATGTGGAAGCAACCTAAGTGTCCATCAATGGACAAATGGATAAAGAAATGTGGTACATATACACATTAGAGTACTATTTAGCCATTAAAAAACAAGGTCCTATCATTTGTAGCAACATGGATGGTCATTATATTAAGTAAAATAAACCAGGCACAGGAAAGACAAACTTCGTATGTTCTTACTTGTTTGTGGGAGCTAAAAATTAAAACAACTGAACTCAAGGCAATAGAGAGTAGAAGGTTAGTTACCAGAGGCTGGGATGAGTGGTCAGATGTAAGCGGGGAAGAGGGGATGGTTAATGGGTACACAAATGCAGTTTGAAAGCATGAATAAAATCTAGTATTTGATAGCAAAATGGGGTAATTACCGTAAACCATAATTTATTGCATACTTAAAAATAACTATAAGAGTATAATTGGAATGTTTGTAACACAAAGCAATGATATATGCTTGGGGTGATGGTTACCCCATTTACCCTGATGTGATTGTTATACAGTGTATGCCTAGATCAAAATATCTCATGTATCCCATAAATATATATACCTATGTACCCATAAACATTTAAAAAAATTACCTAAGAGACATAAATAGGCTGGCTCATGCTGTAATCCCATCACTTTGGAGGATTATTTTAGGCCAGGAGGAGTTTGAGACGAGCCTGGGCAACATAGTAAGACTCAGTCTGTTAAAAAAAAAAAAAAAAAAAAGACATACAGCATCCAGCTGAAAGCTTGTGTTTCCAAAGCTCCTCAATAGCTAGTTTCCTGGTTTTGTTTCTTTGAAAGTATCCGACAGCTATTCCAATGTTCCCTTTACATGAATAATATTCATTATAAAGAGCTACCGTTTATCAAGCACTTACTCGAGTAGATAATAATTGCATTAAGAGTGTCGTTTAATGCACTTTGGGAGGCCAACAGGGGTGGATCACTTGAGGCCAGGAGTTCGAGTCCAGCCTGGCCAACATGGTGAAACCCCCTGTCTACTAAAAATACAAAAATTAGCCAAGTGTAGTGGTGCATGCCTGTAGTCCCAGCTACTCAGGAGGCTGATGCAGGAGAATAGCTTGAACCCAGAAGCGGAGGTTGCACTGAGCCGAGATCACACTACTGCACTCCAGCCTGGGCAACAGAGGGAGACTCTTTCTCGAAAAAGAAAAACAAAAAGAAAAGAAAGAAAAGAGAAAAGAAGAGTCTCACTTAGTTTTTAACTTAGATAAGCAGATACAATTATGCCCATTTTACAGATGAGCAAACAGAGCCTCAGAGAAGTTAAAACAGACAACCTTAATTCACAAGTCAATAAGCCGCAGTTATAGGATTATAAACCAGGTTTGAGTGAATCTGGAGCTCCTGTCTTTAACCATTACAATTTATTGACTTACTAGCTTCTCCACTTTTCTTGTCTTTGTTGTTGTTGTTTTTTGTTTTGTTTTTTTGGGACAGGGTCTAGCTCTGTCACCTAGGCTGAAGTGCAGTGGCACAATCATGGCTCACGGCTCACTGGAGCCTCAACCTCGTGGGTTCAAGTGATCCTCCCACAGCAGCCTCATGAGTAGCTGGGTCTACAGGCCTGCCACTATGCCCAACTAATTAAAAAAACATTTTTTTTTGTAGAGACAGGGCCTCATGATGTTGCCCAGGCTGGTTGCAAACTCCTGGTCTCAAGTGATCCACCCACCTTGGCCTCTCAAAGTGCAGGGATTGCAGCTATGAGCCACTGTGCCTGGCCTGCTCTACTTTCCAATGCCACTTCTTTCTTTCCTCTTCCTCCTCTCCCTTCAATATCCCTTTTCCTACCAGTATCTTTAACTCTAAGCTTTGAAAGCATCTATTTTGGAAACTGCAAAGAAAATAAATCTGTTGGGATGCTCACCACAGACTTGGGGCAAGTCATTAGCGTGGGAAGGGGAAGTGGAGAGGGGGCACAGGGAAGTGAGGGGCTAACAGGTTGCAGGAACACACATCTGAGTGTGTTTGCTGCACCCCATCATCTTTCCCAGACAAGAGGTGACAGATCCATGGAACAGGCTTCCAGAAGAGGGGAGCTCCCCCTCAGCTTTTCAGCTTCTCATCCTCTGGATTCTTCTTTTTTGACAGTGATGTTTTCCACCCGAAATATTGTCTGGACTGCGGGTCGGCCGAAGGCGGGAGGGAAAAGGGGCCCAAACCGGAAAGGGGGGTGGGGGGAGGAAGAAGAAGCAAAAAAGAAAAGCAGCTGGAACTCGTCTCCTGGGGACCAGCCAAGGAGGCCCAGGCCCTGGGAAATCTGCTTGTCTCCTGCTAAGCAATCCCTCTCTCAGCTTCCTTTTCAGTCTGTGTGACCCCCGACTCAGACCATGTGTGGCAGCTCCCAACAGCAGGCACTGCAGATGTCCCAGCAGAGATGGAGACCCCCACTGGGAGAGGAGACCTGCTTCCAAGCTGTGAGGAGCCAGCTGCCAAAACTTACAGATGTCCTTCCAAGTGTCAATGTTGCAAATCAGAAAAAAAAAAAGTCCATGGGTATGCATGACTCCAGCCAGGAGGGCAGTGTGGCCAGCAGATATGTGGATTCTTAGTGACAGAAGGATAATAAAAGTACTGGACTTGATAGAAAGAGGAATTTTAAAACTTCAGCACTCTTATTTCTGCAGGATTCTGGTCTCCAGATTGCTCAGCAGAGGGTAGGCGCCCTCGTGGAGGGAAGGGAACCAGGAAATGAGTTTCATTGAATGAATGTGGGGGAGAGTGAAAGAATTCTCTACGGAGGGTCTTAAAACCATTCCGGGCTTGTTTTAAATTTAGAGAAAATTAAGTCATTCTGCAATCATTTTAGGGCTGTGCATGAGGTCAGGAGAAACTATTTTGGAAAATAGATTATATCATGTCACTTCTCTGCGTAAAACCACTGGGAACTTCCATTAGAATAATGGAAGCCAGGCAGAGCAGCATGCTCCTGATCCGAGCTACTCAGGATGCTGAAGGAGGAGAATCCCTCCCTTGAGCCTAGGAGTTTAAGACCAGCCTGGGCAACATAGCAAGACCCTTTATTTTTTATTTTTATTTTTTTTGAAGAGTGAGTCCCGAATGCCCCGCCACAACCTGCAGACCTTCCTGGCAGACCCTTGTCTATATTTCCCGCCTCATCTCCCATTCAGTAGACTCCCCACATGCTGGTCTTCTTTTGATCCTGCAAGCTCCAAACTCAGGCTCTTTATTGAACCCCTCAAAGGGAACCTGCTGTTCTCTTTTCCTAGAAAAGTGGTGTTCCTGGCCTTAGCTTACGAAAATGCTTTTCAAACTACAGATCATAACCCATTAGTGGGTGGTGAATTAATTTAGTGGGTCACAACTTACTTTTCTTTTTTTTTCGAGATGGAGTACCGCTCTGTCACCAGGCTGGAGTGCGGTGGCACCATCTTGGATCACTGCAACCTCTCTCTCCCAGGTTCAAGCCATTCTCCTGCCTCAGCCTCTCAAGTAGCTGGCATTACAAGCATGCACCACCATGCCCAGCTAATTTTTGTATTTTTAGTAGAGATGGGGTTTCACCATGTCAGGCTGGTCTCAAACTCCTGACCTCAAGGGACCTGCCCGCCTCAGCCTCCCAAAGTGCTGGGATTACAGGGATTACAGACGTAAGCCACTGCAACTGGCCCATAACTTATTTTTCTAAAAAAAAAATGTGTACATGTATATTCTGGATACTGTAAAATAAATTTCTTGCTAATGGGTCTTAGTTCATAAATGTTGACAGCCAGTGGCTTAGGAGTTGGTGGTGGATAATTCAGGCTTTGTTTTTTGTTTTTTGTTTTGAGACAAGGTCTCATTCTGTTGTGGAGTTCAGTAGCATGATCTCAGCTCACTGCAACCTTCACCTCCTGAGCTCAAGCAATCCTCCCACCTCAGCCTCCCAAGTAGCTGGGACTATAGGTACATGCCACCACAGCTGGATAATTTTTGTATTTTTTGTAGAGTCGGGGTTTTGCCATGTTGCCCAGGCTGGTCTTGAACTCCTGAGCTCAAGCAATCTGTCCACCTTAGCCTCCCAAAGTGCTGGGATTAAAGGCGTGAGCCACCACGCCAGGCCTTTTATTATTTTTTTCCCCTAATAGTGCAGAGGCACTATAACCAATGTTTGATAGAAGTGAATTGCACCTGGCCTCAAAGATCATTAACCAGCTTAACGAATTTTTGGTGTCCTATGTAGTGGAAGAAAAGAAGTGTGGGAGTTAACAAAATGAGCACAAATTCTTCCCTTCCCTGCTCTCTTGCCCTTGCAGTGTGATTGCAGCTCCACCTATCATGAGATGGACTTTATTTCTCGATCTCTGGAATCTGGGCCGAGCTTGTGACTTACTTTGATCAATGGAACAGGTAGCAAATATGACACAAGCAGAAACTTGAAAAGTCCTAGCACATTAGGGCTTGCCTACTCTTCCTACTCTTGAGAATCCCGTAACAACCACCTTATTTATAAGCCTCAGCAAGCCTGCTGGAGAACGAGTGACACGTGGCCCTGTTACCCCACTGCCCTAGCTGACAGCCAGCACCAACCACCAGACATGTGAGTGAGGCCATCCTAGGCTAAGTGCCCTCAGCTGACCCACTGATGAATTGCAAACACATGAGCAAACCCAGCTGGGATCAGCCAGGCCTGGCCCAGATCAGAAGAACCAGCCACTTGACCTGCAGACTTGTGAGTAACAATACGTGACTGTTGTTTTAAGCTACAAAGTTTCAGGATGGTTAGTTATTGCATCAAAAGCTAACTGATACAAGGAAAATGGGAATGGAAATGGAAGTTAAAAGAGGAAATAGATGAAGGCCAGGCACCCTGGCTCACACCTGTAATCCCAGCACTTTGGGAAGCGGAGGTGGGTGGATCACTTGAGGTCAGGAGTTCGAGACCCACCCTGGCCAACATGGCGAAACCCTGTCTCTACTAAAAATACGAAAAATAGCCGGGCATGGTGGCGCACACCTATAATCCCAGCTACTCAGGAGGCTGAGGCATGAGAATAGCTTGAACCCAGGAGGCGGAAGTTGCAGTGAGTCGAGATCATACCACTGCACTCCAGCCTGGATGACAGAGCAAGACTGACTCAAAAAAAGAAAAAAAAAAAAAAAGAAAAGATAAATGAAACAGATGTGAAAACGGAAGTTACAGTGAAATGAGAGGCTGTTGGCAATATTTATCCCTTCTCTCCAGGCCTACAGGGAGGCTGAATTCTTCGTCCTGCAGAACAGTAGGTCCATTCCTGAATCTCAGGGATGGTATTTCAAAGCCTAGCTCAATGTCTAACTTGTAGAATTATCCTCAGTAAATATTTGTTGAATAAATCAATGGCTTGGAGATAATTTCTTCCCTTTGAATTGTAAGATAAAGCTTGGAAATTGGCTAGCAGCTTCCAGTCTCCATGTTGTATACATTTGTGATTGACATAGTTTGGATATTTGTCCCCCCAAATCTCATGTTGAAATGCAATCCCCAGTGTTAGATGTGGGGCCTGATGGGAGGTGTTTGGGTCATGAAGGTAGATCCTGCATGGCTTGTCCTTGCAATAGTGAGTTCTCAGGAGATCTGGTTATGTAAAAGTGTGGCACCTCCCCCCATCACACTCCCACTCTCACCATGTGACACACCCATTCCTGCTTCACCTTCTCCCATGAGTAAATGCTCCCTGAGGCCTCCCCCGAAGCTGAGCAGATGCTGGTGCCATGCTCGTACAGCCTGCAGAAATTGAGCCAATTACACCTCTTTTCTTTATAAATTACCCAGCCTCAGGTATTCCTTTCTAGCAATGCAAGAATGGCCTAACACAGTGGTATTAATAGGAGCGTGGCTATGTATGGGATGCATGATTAAAAGTTCCACAGCAGGCACTGCTGTTTAGTCAACCCAATATCCTTTCCTAAACTCCCATTTCCTTGTCATGTTTTACTACAGAGGCTTGGAAAAGTTAATATTCCATTTTCCAGACTCCCTTGCAGCTAACAATGGCCAAATGATGAAGATCAATGAGATATAAATGAAAGTCTGCTGGAATGTTGCTGGAAAAAAATTTGCTTTTCTAATAAAAGCAGCTCTGGGGCTGGGCATGGTAGCTCACACCGGTAATCCCAGTGCTTTGGGAGGCAGAAGGAGGAGGATCACTTAAGGCCAGGAGTTTGAGACCAGCTTGTGCAACATAGTGAGTCCCCCGTCTTTATAAATACAAAAAAAATTAGCCAGGTGCGTGGTACACACCTCATACTTCTGGCTACTTGGGAAGCTGAGACAGGAGGATCACTTGAGCCCAGGAGTTTGAAATTGCAATGAGCTATGATTGCTTCGTTGCACTTCAGCCTGGGTAACAGAGTAAAACTCTGTCAAAAGAAAAAAGAGAAGAGAAGAGAGAAAAGACACTCTGGTTGGCATTGCCTACACTGCTCCTTTTCTACCTACTTTGAATGCAGATGTGATGCCTATAGCTGTTTGGATCAGCAGCAGCCATCCTTTGATGATAAGGGAAAGTCCAGAAAAATCACGGAGAACTTGGCTTTGATCATTGGGAATTCTGCAAAGTCTGCCGTGTCACATTTGCTGATTTCCCAATGGCTCAGAGTTAATATAGCAGAGGACCAAAGAAGGGTGTCGATACCAGGAAATGTGATTCACTGGAGCCATTAATATAACAATATACCACTACCTTCCTCAAGACACTTTATTTCCATCTGTTGAAAAATTGCTGTAGTATCCTCTTTTTATTAGAATAAGACATTGGACTTATCTGCCAAAAACTGTAACAAATACACAAATCTATGATGCCTAAAATGTGAACAGTACCTTCTCAGATGGCATTGTGGTGCAGTGCACAGCCTGCACAACCATACCTAGTGGCTGTAGTAAATCTTATCAGCCTACTTTAATTATGTGTTGAGGACTGGGTTCAAGTTTTATGTCTTTTTGGTGCTTCACACTTAATACCATGCCTACCATTTTATAAAAATGTGTCTTCTGTCACTTTCTATAAATTTCATTTATCTATAACAGAGCCCCTCTAAACAGTATTTATTACAGCGAGATCTCCAGACCACCTGCATAAAAATCACCTAAAGAACTTGATAAATGCAGATTCCTGGGCCCCACCCCAGACTTACTGGCCTAAAAGGTAAAGCTTCAACTTCTTAGCATGGTATCTGATATGGTTTGGCTCTATGTCCCCACCCAAATCTCATCTTGAATTGTAATCCCCACGTGTCAAGGGAGGGACCTAGTGGGAAGTGATGAGATCATGGAGGCAGTTTCCCCCATGCTGTTCTCCTGATAGTGAGTTCTGATGAGATCTGAGGGTTTTATAAGTGCTGGTTTCCCCTGCTCTTCTCTCCTTCCTGCTGCCTTGTGAAAAAGGTACTTGCTTCTCCTTTGCCTTCTGCCATGTTTGTAAGTTTCCTGAGGCCTCCCCAGCTATGCGGAGGCCTGACTCATTAACTGTGAGTCAATCAAACCTCTTTCCTTTATAAATTACCCAGTCTCAGGTATTTCATTATAGCAGTGTGAAAACAGATTAATACAGTGTATTAGTCTGTTTGTGCTGCTATAACAAAAACACTGTAGACTGGGTAACTGATAAACAGAAATTTATAGCTCACAGTTCTGAGGGCTGGAAAGTCCAAGATCAAGGTGGAAGCAGATTTGGTGACTGGTAAGGGTTTGTTCTCTGCCTTATAGATAGTGCCTGGTTGCTACATCCTCACATGGTGGAAGGGGTAAATGAGCTGCCTTCAGCTTCTTTTATAAAGGCACTCATCCCATTCATGAGAACTGAGCCTGACTTCCCAAAAGGCTGCCTGTTAATAGTCTCACATTGGGGATTGTTTCAACATAGGAATTTGGGGAGACACATTCAGAACTTTGCCTTCATCTTGGTCTTTCCACTGCCCCCAGCATTCTCCCAGGCAAATGCACATCCTGCACGTACACACAGCTGTGCTTAGCAAACTTCAAATATGCTAGACACTTATCTTGGGGCCTGAACTCTCACCATTCCTCCTTGGAATAACTCCACCTCCTCCTACTTGTCTAGTCTGGTGAAATTTCTCTTATCCTTCAAGGCGTAGCTTAAAGGCCAGCTTCTCTGAAAAACCGTTCCTATTGCCTCTTCCTCTGATTGGAGTCTGCTCTCCTGAGCTTTTCTTGCTACTTAACAGTGCTACTCCAAATGTACCAGTAAGTCTATAATTATTTTTCTTACATCTTATTTGTTACAGCTTCACATTTAGTAAGTCTTAATAAATGTTTTTCAATGAAGTCAACTTCTTTAAAACAATTATAATATTTTTAACATTAAAAAAACATAGTTTAATAATAAAATGGGTCTCGCTAGCCCAGCATGGTGTCTCATGCCTGTAGCACTTGGGGAAGCTGAGGCAGGAGGATTGCTTGAGTCCTGGAGTTTGAGACCAGCCTGGCCAACATATGGAGACCCTGTCTCAAAAAAAAAAAAAAAAAAATTAGCCAGGCATGGTGGCACAAAACTGTGGTCTCAGCTACCCAGGAGGCTGAGGCTGCAATGAGCCGTGATTATGCCGCTGCATTCCACCTTGGGCAGCAGAGCGAGACACTGTCTCAAAATCATCATCATCTGGATCCTATATCTCAGATTGTGCTAAACAAACCTCAAACACACACACAAACATACCCCCAGAAAGCCAGACAAAAGTTTTATTTAGGAAATAGTGGTAAAGGTTTTTCTCTCAACTTACAAAGAGAAATTAATTCAGAACATTTTATTTTGAGATGCAGTCTCACTGTTGTCCAGGCTGCAGTGCAGTGGCACAATCTCTACTCACTGCAACCTCCACCTCCTGGGTTCAAGCGATTCTCCTGCGTCAGCCTCCTCAGTAGTTGGGATTACAGGTGTGCACCACCACACCTGGCTAATTCTTTGGGATTTTTTTTTTTTTCAGTAGAGATAGGGTTTCTCCATGTTGGCCAGGTTAGTCTCAAACTGTTGACCTCAATTGATCCACCCACCTCGGCCTCCCAAAGTGCTGGGATTACAGGAGTGAGCCACAGCACCCAGTCCAGAACATTTTATTCTTAATGCTAGTATTTAGAGTAAATTTAGATCCAAGAGCATCTTACTTATATTTTATTTTTGTTATGGAAATGTCTAACATACATGAAAGTAGAGAGTCCAGCAC
This sequence comes from Homo sapiens, assembly GCF_000001405.40. Classification (NCBI taxonomy): domain Eukaryota; kingdom Metazoa; phylum Chordata; class Mammalia; order Primates; family Hominidae; genus Homo; species Homo sapiens. Next base: position 76,805,361 of record NC_000004.12, on the reverse strand, counting down.
AGTGATTCCTGAGTACCTATCACTCAGTTCCAACAATTGGATCTGCTGTTCTTTCAAATGATGCTAATTCTAAAACACTTTTATTCATTTAAAAACAGAGTTAAAAATCAATTAATTTAAAAACACCCTCGTGTGTGGGGTTGGAAAACCAGTCATGGTTTTAAAAGAATAACGTTATTAACAATCACCATCTGGTCATCGGTGGACACCTGAAGGTAGAAAGCCACCGTTTTCAACTGAGTGCCCTACTGGGGGAGAGGGGGTCTCAGACTGCCCAGGCAGGGGAGAGGACTGGCAACAGAGGAATCAGTACTGCCCTGCTGCTCAAATTCCCCAGTAGCTAGTTGAGCCAAGACAAGAAGAGCAATATGTGGGCCACAAGGTTCTTCAGGGGGAAATGGACATCAGAGGTTTTGACTGGGGTCCCAAATTCACAAGGAGCTTCATATTTAGACTTACATGACATCTTTAGTTACATTGTTTTGTGAGTGTGTGTTAAGGGACAATTTTTTAGTGTAAACACCTAAGATATTCTACAGTTTGTGTGACTTTTTGGCATTTATCAAAATTTTTTTTAAAAAGCGGTTCCGGGATCCTCTGTAAAAAGAAGTGGCTTGAGGTGCTCTTGACCGCTAGAAGACTCTGATAGAGGTTAGGTTAAAAACAAGCAGCACTTCTCAATTTTGGCCAAGATTTTCTTCACTACTAGCTCCTGGCTGAAGCTGATTGAAATAGCGTCAAGGATAAAATTGGGTTCAAGAGTGGCAAAAATGGAAAAAGAAAAAAAAAAGACCCAGAAGCCAATTAAATAAGGTGGTTGGAAAGGCAGGAAGGGAAGCAAAAAGGAAAAAATAAGAGATAAAGATAGGGTGGAGCACACTGCGAAGAGACCTGGCCGAGAGGAGAGGAGCAGTGTTCTCTTGGGGTCCACAAAAGGAAGTCTGGACTTAATTTTATTTAATCCAAGTGCTTTTGGCTTTCTTAGAAAGCAGGAAGCCAAGGCACAAAAAGTCAGGATCTTGATAATTAAATTTTTTTAAACCGGAAAGCAAATACCAGGATTTTCCCTAGAGACACACTCACCACAGGACACATGGGCGAGGGAGAGCCTGAATTGCTGTTTCTTATATAAACATTAAAACCCAAGGCTTTCCATCTGTCCCCACCCCTCACCCCCAATCCCCAACTGGTAGCTGTGAGAGTCCTCAATGAGACTCCTAGGAGGGCTTCCCACCGTCTGGGGCCACTCTGCTTCTCTGTAAGGGGGAAAACAATGAGAGGAATTCAGGGTTCCCTACTAGGCTGGCGCTGACCCACGATGGGGAAGCAGCCTCTTGGCGAAGAAAGGAGGAAGAAAGAAGAATTGCTGACTTGATTCCCCTCCCTCCCAAGGAACCCGGGAGGAGGGCATTGAGAAGTTGGTAGCATCCTGGAGAAAGGGTGGCCTTTGTGAAAAGTGCAGGCTCCACTGGATGCTTGAAATGACTGCTCCTGCCACCCTTTCTAAGGTCTCCTCCAGAAGGAGGGAGGAGCGCAGTGAGAGTGGGATGAGGACTTACTTCATCACACAAGGAAGGCTGGTGAACCAGTGACCACTGGGTGAAGAAAGAGAACTAGGGTCTGGAGAAGAGCCAATCGAGAAAGCCTGTGGGGCGGCTCATTAATGAGCTCATCCATCCAGGCAGGTTAAATTGCAGGCAACTGGGTTGCCCAGGAAGCAGCTGAAGTTTAGAGACTAAACAATATGCAATCACGATAATTTCCTCTGCCTGTGACTCATCTCGGAGGGTGTCCAGGTGATGGTGCAAAGATAGACTGAGAAAGAAGGCCTTTCTTTTCTAATAGCAAATGCAGAGAGAGCAGGAGCAATATTGTCAGGAATGCATTTCTCAGAAATCTAAAGAAGTGTTTTGTCACTTTATTTATAACATTTCAAAACTATTTTTGACTCGCACTACCTAATTACTTTGATTTTAGGTAGTGCAAAGCTCTTTGTAATACATAATAAACACACGCTTCCTCCCGCACCCCACTTAGGGAGAAAACAGAATGTTGGGCTTTTGCAGCCTGACAAGTTTATGTAACAAGCAGCATCCTTTTTGCTGTTTATGCATGAAGGGAAGCCATGGGAAAAATGGATGAAGTGTGGAATTCCAAGATTTTAATAAATATCAAACACAAGAAAAACTCTCCACTTGGTTGGGATGAATCGTGTTCTTCGTCAACTGCCTGTTAAAGCATTTTGATTCCATCTCAGGGAGGAGGAGGGAGGCAAGAAGGAGGAAAGAAACATCTTCAGGGTGCTCTTAGCAATGCATTCTTGCTTCCCGGCCCATGGCCTCTTTTCTCCTTAGAACTGTTTTTATCTTTTTTGGAGAACAAAGCCTCTTTCAACATTCCTTAGCTTACAGATGGGTAATGAGGCAAGAAGGAGGTGAAGTATCCTCACCGGCACCCAATATGAACCCAGTTCTCAAGTCCACTTATTTTTTTTAAACCTCACTGTCTCTGTTGTAGGGTTAATTCTCCTCCCGCCGCCTCTCTCAGGCCACTTCCCCTCCCCTCCCTGTGTATTTGCAGTCACAGAGCTCGTCTCAGAGGGGAGAGGAGAAGAGCTATTTGATCCTGGCCTCATGTCCATCAGGGGCCTCACATACGGCCTTTAGGCCTTATCTCCAGATGAGCTTATGCAGGCAGTCATTACAGTTGCATGCGTGTAAACAACACTGGTAATCAAGGCGGAGCTTTAAAATACAGCACAATTACAACTTTTTGTAGCTGTTTGGCATGTCTTCATTTAAAAAATACATTTAGGGCTTCAAAAGAAGTGGCTCAGGCCTCTTTCACCCGAGAAGCCTTGCGTGCACTGTTAGCAAACTCACACAAGTGAAGAGGGACCTTTCTTTGCTACACAGCGTCCTCCGTGGCGAGCTGGAGGGAAGCGCTCTCAGCAGAGAGGGTCGCCCTCACCAAGAAGCCAAAGGGAAGAGGACAGAATCTATCTTGTAGGGACGCCCTTGGTCTTCAGAAGGAACACTTTTTCTGTTTCACAGAGATCTGTGGAATGTGTGGGTTCCCTGAAGAGGTGGACGGACCCCCGGGGTCGCGCGTTTTCTCAGCCCTGGGCCCGTAGCGGAGCTCGATCCTTCCAGAGCTCAGGGCCAGAAATGTTGCGATTCCGAACACTTTGCCTTTCTTCTGAGAGGAGCCGCCCGGCAGACGCTCATCATTAAGAAGCAACGTAATTAACAACGAATGTTTCCCCTTGGCGCTAATGCGAACACCCTGGGGAACTGCCAAGTCTGGTAGGGGAATCGCAGCCGGGGGTGTCTGGGGGAAGCCAGCGTGGGCGGGCGCGGTGGGCCTGGGATTGCTTTTAGGCGCAGCAGCAAGGAGGGCGAGGGCGAGTGGAACAGAGGTCGGAGACCTTGCTAAGCTGCTGGCCTTTTCACGTTTCGGACCCTGAGAGTAAGCTGAGAGAATGGATGGGGTCAAGGCTGGGACAGGCTGTTGGCTACTGCCGGTGGGAGGGAATCCGGGCGGGAGACTGAGACCGGGCGGAAAGGAGGGAGACAGAGCACTCCCTCTAGGCGCTGAGGTCCGACACCCGCTTGATTTGTCAGTGCCGCCAACAGCCCTCCTCCTGTTGTCAGCAAGGACAGTCGGTAGGGCCTGCTGAGGGCCAGGCACAGTGCAGGGGCGAGCGCCCAAAGGTAGGGATCAGCCGCTGGTCTCTGTGCCCAGGGGTTCAAGGCCTGGGAGGAGACAGGCTTTGAAGACTTATAAAACAGTTGTGGGTGCTAATTTAGACATATTCCAGACATAGTCACAGGGCAGTCCCGACCAGAGGAGTTTAAGTCAGTGTTGTTACAATGCTTTATTTAATTAATATTATTTTTGGAAGGCTGTGTGCACCTGGAGGAGGCCAGCGGCTGTGTCTGTTTTGTTCACTGCTCTATCACTCCCACCTGGGATAACTCTTGGCAAATATGATGACAGCACCCATTGACGAGGTGCTTAAGATATATAAGGTTGGTGCAAAGTATTTATACGGTGCACCATATAAATACTTTATATTTGGCAGTCATCTGATCCTCAGCATAGCCTCGAGAGAGATTAGCCCCATTTTACAGATTATCAAACTAAGGCAAAGGATAATAGTGAATCTGGGTCTGAATGTAGTCCGTCTGGCTACAAAACCTGTGTTTTAAAATCATAGGCATAAATTGACTCAGAACTTGAAGAATGACTAGGAGACCAGGAGGGGTTGGGTCGGGGGAATTTTTGCTTTTATTTTCATAGTTTTGCTTCTCAGGTGTTGAGAGTAGTGCACCCTAAAAGTCCCGCTCATGTTTTGGTTGCCTGTGCTTGAGGGATATTACTCAAGAAACCTTTGCCCAGTCCAATGTCCTGGAGCGTTTTCCCATTGTTTTCTTGTAGTAGTTTCATAGTTCGAGGTCTTAGATTTAACTATTTAATCCATTTTGATTTGATTTTTGTATATAGTGACATGGGGTCTAGTTTCATTCTTCTACATATGGATATCCAGTTTCCCCAGCACCATTTATTGAAGAGATTGTCCTTTCCCCAATGTATGTTCTTGGCACCTTTGTTGAAAATGAATTCACTGTAGATGTATGAATTTATTTCTGGGTTCTCCATTCTGCTCCATTGGTCTATGGGTCTGTTTTCATGCCAATACTGTGCTGTTTTGGTTATAATAACTGTGTAGCACAATTTGAAGTCAGGTAATGTTCCTCCAGTTTCATTCTTTTTGTTCAGAATAGCTTTGGCTCTTTTGGATCTTTTGTGGTTGCATATACATTTTAGAATTTTTTTTTTCTATTTCTATGAAGAATGTCAATGGTATTTTTATAGAGATTGCAGTGACTCTCTAGAGTGCTTTGGGTAGTATGGACATTTTAACAATATTGATCTAGTCCATGAACATGGAATGTCTTTCAATGTTTTTGTGTCCTCTTCAATTTCTTGCATCAGTGTTTTATAGTTTTCATCATAGAGATGTTTCATTTTTTGATTAATTCCTATTTTATGTGTACCTATTGTGAGATTACTTTCTTGATTTCTTTTTCAGATAGTTCAGTGTTGACATATGGAAATGCTACTGATTTGTGTAGATTTTGTATCCTTCAACTTGACTGAATTTATCAGCTCTAATAGTTTTTTGGTGGAGTCTTTAGGTTTTTCCAAATATAAGATTTTATCACCAGCAAATAAGGATAATATGACTTCTTTCTATTTGGATGCTCTTTCTTTTGTCTTTCTTCCTTCCCTCCTTCCCTCCTTCCTTCCTCCCTTCCTTTGCTCTTTTCTGCCACTCATGTTTTATATTCACTGAGGTTCAACAGGTTTTGGCCCAATTGCCTGTCTCAATTCTGAAGTAAGCATCTCAGGCACTATTGTTCATGATGCAATGAGTGAACAAATGAGTGAACAATGAGAGGCATTGTTCATGATGCAATGCATTTGTTCATGATGCAATGAGAGGCAATGAGTGAACAAAAAGGGGAAAACTTGGTTCTATCCCTGTACAGAATTATATACAGTGTGAAAGCTAAGAGATGGGGCCATATGCAGTTGGGCAAATGTAAACCAAGTAAAGTTTATTTTTGCTGCCCTGTGGAATTGTACATTCTCTCATCTAGGTCTTTTTAATCTCTTAGATACCTAGCTGCTTTCTTTTTGTCTAGACCTGTACGGTACTTAGGAAAAGAACTGTAACTCAAGCACAGTAGGTGCAAATAGCTAATATTTGTAACTTCAACAAGCATTTAATGAGCTTACCCTTGTTAAATCAAACTAAAATCTGGCCTGAGAAAGTCTCTGTACTCACATAGTTGAGTCCTTATGGATAAACCGTAAGCTACCTTGGTAGGTAGACAAACTATGAACCTGATTTAGGAGTATGTAATAAGAGCTGAGTCTTAGCCAATCCTGAGGCAGAAGAATAGGGTCCACTCACAGGCGGCCAACTGTTCAAATTGTGTCCAAATAAGGCAAAGGCTGAGCTGTAACCAGTCTGGCTGTTTCTGTACCTCACTTCCGTTTTCTATATGTCACCTTCCTTTTTCTGTCCATAAATTTGCTCTGCCCACGTTGCATTGCTCGAGTTGCTCCAAATCTGTAATTCTGAGGGCTGTCCAGTTTGCGAATTTTTTTTTTTTCTTGCTTCGTTTTTACAGTGGGAAAGAGGAGAGAAGAGTGTAGGTTTTTAGAAAGGAAATAGGAAACTTATGTCTTTTAAGACCTTTTAGTGATTAGAAGAGAGCATGTATATGAATAACTGGGTTCTAAATCTTGGATATTTTGAGATCGTAAGTCAGGCCTTTTCTCTAAATTCTTTTCCTCCCCCTATCTAGGGCAAGGGATCTGGCTGAATGGGGAAACTAGGAGGAGGCTGCAACCCTTTATGGCTTTTATGTTTAAAAGTCCAAACTCTTAGGCAAAGGAAATTCCCTAGGACAGATGATCCCTCTTAGAAGAACAGAGGAGAAGAGCTAGTGCTCCCTAACACCCTAAAATCTACCAGTTTCTGGAAACAGAGGGGCTCCACTGGCCTGCTGGCTTGCATGAATAAGTAGTAAGTGCTCAGATTAGAAATGTTTGTGTGTGGTTCAGGAGTGGGTGGTCACAAAATTTATTGGCCAAACCAGGATACATTTGACAGAGAAAGGGGGCACTGTTAATTACACTGCAACAATAAGCATGAACTAGCACCGTCCCAGGCAGACTGGGATATACAGCAGAATGAAACATAGGCAGCTTCAGAAACTATTAGAATGCCCTAAGCAGGATGCAGAAGTAACCAAACCACTGGGCCTGAAGGGCCATGCACATAGGAGTGATGGGTGGATAGCCCAGTGTAACCTGGGTGATAATTAATTGCTGACTCCTGGAGCCCTCTCCTTTCTCTCAGGCAATAACATGATTACTGTTTATTCATTAAACATGGAAAGGATAAAGGAGGGAAGGAGCAACTAGACTGTAATAAACTGTAAGCCTTGAAAGAGCAGGGATTATGTCCACTTTGTCCATCTACTTCTAGCAGAGGGATTTCAAAGTAAAACCCAATAACTATTGAATGAATGAATGAGGTAAATCTGTATCCTAGGAATAACGGTGGTACTAATAACAGATATAGAGGGTTTAGGAGGGAAGAGAGTTTTGGTTTTGAAAATATTGGCCTTGACCAGGAACTGTGGGTCATGCCTGTAATCCCAGCACTTTGGGAGGCCAAGATGGGAGGGTCACTTGAGGCCAGGAGTTGGAGGCCAGCCTGGGCATCATAGCAAGAGCCCATCTCTACAAAAAATAAAATAATTAGCTGGATGTAGTGGCACACACCTGTTGTCCTGGCTGCTCAGGAGGCTGGAGCAGGAGCATCGCTTAAGCCCAGGAGTTTGAGGCTGCAGTGAGCTATAATTACAGCACTGCACTCCAGCCTGGGCAACAGATCCAGACCCTGTTTCCAAAGGAAAAAAAAAAGGGAATACTGGCTTTGAGGTGGCAGTGATATAGTTCCAAGGAACTATCTATGAATCATGTGGACATGTGCAACTGTAGCAAGGGAAGTGAATGCTTGGGAGCCAGATGCATGTTAATTGTGACTGCTGGTCACTTAGGGAGAGAAAAGAATAAGACCGAGTTCTAGGGGACTGGAGGAAAATAATCCAAGGGAGGCAATAAGGAATTATCAAACTACTGTATTTGAATTTCAACAAGGGTCAAAGCTTAAGTTAAAGGAATGACTCTTTGAGGATAGAATTGAACTCACAGAGGTGGGATAGGAGGGAATGGGTGAGAATGGACCGCTCAGTAGGTAAACATTATTCACTGGGGCAGGCTGTTAATTAGTCCCAGTACCGATTTTTTCTTCCTTCATTTAGTAATAGAGGCCCTACACCCTCACTGAGTTTTTTTTCCTCAACAATTTATTTTGAAAATGTTCAAACAACAAAAATACAAGAATTTTACAATAAAAACAGATATACCCACCATCTAGATTCTACCATTAACATTTTATGGCCAGGCGCAGTGACTCACGCCTGTAATCCCAGCACTTTGGGGGGCCGAGGCGGGCGGATCACGAGGTCAGGAGATCAAGACCATCCTGGCTTACATGGTGAAACCCCGTCTCTACTAAAAATACAAAAAATTAGCCGGGCGTGACGGTGGGCGCCTGCAGTCCCAGCTACTCAGGAGGCTGAGGCAGGAGAATGGCGTGAACCCGGAGGCGGAGCTTGCAGTGAGCCAAGATGGCGCCACTGCACTCCAGCCTGGGTCAAAAAAAGCAAATAAAAAAAAAACACAAAAAAAACATTTTATGGTTCTTGTTTGAGCACTGATCTAACTATCCTTTTAAATGTTGACATATTTCAAAAAAAATTGCAGTCACTTTTAAATTCTTCTGCGTTACCTGTCATTACCCAGAGTTCAATATTTGTTTAGTTCTTCTTTTGTTATGAAATTTAAATTCAATAAAATGCACAAGTCTTAAGTGTATATGCACTGAATTTCCCCAAATAATAATTTTATTATAAATATTATAATAATATCTATATCTATTATAATATATATTTTATTGTAAATTTTTGAAATATACATCATACTTAAAAGAATTTTGTAATGAGCCCCTGTATACTCACCACCTAATTTTACCTTAACAGTTTATTATGCTTGCTTTCTTAATCTATCCACTCATCTGCTTCTCTCTCAACCTAATTTTTGAGGCGTTTCAAATACCTTATTTCTCTCAAATGCTTCAACATGGGTATCAATCAGAGATAAATATATATTTACAATTTGCTTTCATTTGATGCAAAATTTACATGCAGGAAAATACACAAATTTTAAGTGTACATTCACTGAATTTTAACGCACACGTACACCCATGTAACTTGAGCCTCAATGAAGTTCTAGAACATTACCATCACCCCAGAAAGTTCCCTTTTGCTCCTTCTCACTCAATCCCTGCCCCACTTGCCCCAGAGTTTTAATGTTTCTACCATAGATTTCATTTGCTTAATGGAATCATACAGTATATGTATACTCTTTTGTGAAAGGCTTTTTTCACTCAGCATAATATTTTTGAGATTCATTCATGTTGTTGCTTTTATCAGTAGTTCATGTCTTTTTATTACTGAGTGGTATTTTATTGTGTGAATATACCAAGTTGTCTGTTCTATTGGTGGATATACCTGAGCTGTTTCCAATTTGGGGATATAATGAGTAAAGCTGCCATGAATGTTCTTATACATGTCTTGTAGTGGATGTATGTTTTCATTTCTCATGAGTAAATACCTGGGATTGGATTGCTGGGTTATAAGGGTAGGAATATAGGTTAAGATCTGTAAGGAACTGCCAGATATTTTCCCCAAAATGTTTCTAACTCTTACACTCCCATCAACACGGTGTTAGAGTTCTTGTTGCTCTATGCTTACCAACATTTGGAATTGTCAGTCTTTTAATTTTGGCCATTGTGGTGGCTATGTAGTCATAACCCATTATGTTTTAAATTTGCATTTCCCTGATGATTAATCATGGTGAGCACTAGCCTGTTAATTGCCTATTCATGTGATGACTTGCCTATTAATTGTCTCAATAATAGCTTTTTGATGAGTAGAAGTTTTAAATTCTGATGAAATTTATATATGTTTCTGGCTTTCTGTGACCAGTGTCACAAAACTTTGCCTTTCCCTAAGTCACAGAGATATTCTCATATGTTTGCCTCTAAAAGCTTTATGATTATAGCTTTTATGTTTAGATCTATGATTTGATGGGGTTCAAGACACACTACCCTAACAACTTGATATTTGAGGAAAGAACAGAAGCAAGAAGGTCATTCTTTGAACTTCTCCTGCCCTTCTTCCCTGACCCAGGCCATAAAAGAGTTGACCTTCCCTTGAAGTAGGCCATATGACCCTTATGTGAACTTTGAAGACCCAGAGATGTCCAGAAGAATCTGAACAAACAGGCCTTGCTAAATTCTCCACAGTTTATTACCATTAAATCCTATCCCTTTTGTCCAGTTTTGCTTCTCAACTATCCACTTCATCAAACTTAGCATAGAAACATAGTTTTTCCTGTTTCTTTGGGTCTTCATTTCTGAAGGCTCTTGTGTCACATACAACTTAAATATATTTGTATGCTTTTCTCTTGTTAGCCTGTCTTTTGTTATAGGTTCCTCAGCTGTGAATCTGGTGATGGGTGAGACAGATTCATTTACAGTTGACTTTTGTGTGTGGTGTGAAGAGGGACCCAGTTTATTTTTTTCCAGTATGAACATCAGATTATTACAGTTTTATTTGTTGAAAGGACCTTCTTCCCTATTTGTTTTGGTGCCTCTTTTGAAAAATCAAATGGCCCTGTAAGTGCCATCCTATTTCTGGGCTGTATTCTGTTCCATAAATCTGTATCTTGATCCTTAAGCCAGTACCACACTTTCTTGATTAATCTTTATGGTAAGTCTTGCAGTCAGGTAATATACATACTCCAAATTTGTTGTTATTTTTCAAAATGCCTTAGCTATCCTAGAGTCTTTGAAAATCCATATAAATTTTATAACAAGCTTGTCAATTAAAAAAGGCTGGGATTATTATCACTGGATTACATTGAATCTATGATCAGTTTGGGTAGAATTGGCATGTTTCCATTTATTTTAAATGCCTTAATTTCTCTCAGTAATGTTTTATAGTTATCAGTAGAGTAGTCTTGCATGTCTTTGACTATATTTGTTCCTGAATATTTTATTTTGTTTTTGAGATGGAGTCTTGCTCTGTCACCCAGGTGGGAGTGCAGTGGTGCAATCTTGGCTCATTGCAACCTCTGTCTCCTGGGTTCAAGCAATTCTTCTGCCTTAGCCTCCTGAGTAGCTGGAATAACAGGTGCCCACCACCATGCCCAGCTAATTTTTGTATTTTTAGTAGAGATGCAGTTTCACCATGTTGGCCAGGCTAATCTCGAACTCCTGATCTCAGTTGATCTGCCTGCTTCAGGGTCCCAAAGTGCTGGGATTATAGGCATGAGCCACTGTGCCCAGCCCTGAATATTTTATTTTATAATACAATTATAAATTAAAGTTCTGGTTAGTTTTCAGTTGTTTGCTGCTAGTATACAGGAATACAATTGTTTTTGTATATTTACCTTATATCTTGAAACCCTGTTAAATTCACTTATTAGTTCTAACAGTTGTTTTAGATTGCTTTAGACTTTTTTGTAAACAATTACATCATATGCAAATAGAGATAATTTTACTTCTTCCTTTGCAAGTTTTTGTCTTTTATTCTTTTTGCCTCATGGCAAAGGCTAGGACCTCCACTATAACGTAAAATAGAGGTAGTTGCAGTGGATATCCTTGCCTTGATCCCAATTTTAGGGGGAACTTTCAATATTTCACTATTAAGTATAACATTAGCCATAGATGTTTGGGTTAATTGTATTTTTTGAGGAAGTATCCATTTCCTCTACATTGTTGAAATTTTTTTGCGTAAAGTTCATAATATTCTCTTGTTAGATCCTTCCTGATGTAGGTAATTTATATTCTCATTTTTTTTCCTGGATTAAATTGGGGAATTATCAGTTCTGTTGACTTTTGCTTTTGTTAATTTCCTCAGTTGTTTTTGTCCTTTGTTGAGTTTTGTTCTTGCCTTTATTATTTTCTTCTTCCTCCTTAGTTTTGGTTTGCTCTACCTTTATTAAAAAAAAAAAAAAAAGAAAGAAACACAGTCAGACTTGCTCAGCCTCGCTGGTAGCTAGGACTACAGGTGCACACCACCATGCCCAGCTGATTTTTTTTATTTAAAAAAATTTTTTGTAGAGATGAGATCTTGCTGTGTTATCCAGGCTAGTCCCAAATTCCTGCGCTCAAGCAATCCTTTTGCCTTGGCCTCCCGAAGTGCTAGGATTACAGGCGTGAGCCATTGTGCCCAGCTGGAGCTTTTAAAGTAGAACCTTAGCTATTGATTTTAGTCTATTCTTCTTTTCTGTTATAAGCATTTTCTACCATAGATTGTATTGGCAAATAGAATCATGATGTATACATATACACACTATTAATTTCCCTCTATTCACTTCCTTCAATGTATTCCACAATTTTTGATGTATTTCATTATTACTCAGTTTAAAGTATTTTCTAATTTTTCTTATCTCCTCTTTGGTTTGGGTACAGTATGAAAGCATTTTAATTTCCAAATATTTGGGATTTTCCTACATATCTTATTGTTACTTCTAATTTCATTGTCAGGGAATATAATCTGTGGTTTTAATGCTTTTCATTTTATTGAGACTTGTTTTATGGGCATGTATATGGTCTATCTTGGTGCGTATATCATGTGTAATTGAAAAATGTGTATTCTTCACTTATTAGGTTTAATGTTCTAAAATATCAGTTAGGTCAAGATAATTGACCTTGTTCCAATCATCTGTGTGCTTACCGAGAATTTTTGGCCTAGTTTTTACTATTTTTTAAAAATCTTGCTTTAAGTTCCAAGATACGTGTGCAGAACGTGCAGGTTTGTTACATAGGTAAACATGTGCCATGGTGGTTTGCTGAACCTATCAACCTGTCATCTAGGTAGTAAGCCCCACATGCATTAGGTATTTATCCTATTAATTGATTAGGGAGAGATATTAAGATCATAGATTTATATTCTCTCTTTAATTTTGTCAATTGTGTTATGTATTTTGAAGCTTTTCAAATAGATATGTATTATATTTTTTGATGAATTGACACTTTTATCACTATGAAATTGCCCTCTTTATCTGTGGTAAAACTTTTAGTCTTGTATGTATTTTATCTGATATTAATATAGCCACTTCAGTTTTATGGTTACTGATTGCATGGTACTGATTGCATATCATTTTTCATCTAATTACCTTTAATATATTACTTTCTAAATATTTAAGTGTATCTTGAAAATAAAGTTGGGTCTTGGCTTTATAATTTATTTGGACAATTACTACCTTTAAATTGGAATGTTTAGCTCACTAAAATGTAGTACAGTTACTGATAATGTTGAGTTTAGGGTTAAAGTATTAATGTTTTCTGTTTGTCTCCTTTCTTCTTTGTTTCTCTGTTCTTCCTTTCCTGCTCTCTTTTGAAGTCAGTATTTTTTAAAATTTCTTTCTTTTTTTTTTTTTTGAGATGGAGTCTTCCTCTGTCACCCAGGCTGGAGTGCAGTGGTGCAATCTCAGCTTACTGCAAACTCTGCCTCCCAGGTTCAAGTGATTCTCCTGCCTCAGCCACCAGAGTAGCTTGGATTACAGGCATGCAACCATGAGCAGCTAATTTTTGTATTTTTTTTTTCAGTAGAGATGGAGTTTCATCATGTTGGCTAGGGTGGTCTCCAACTCCTGACCTCAAGTGATCTGCCCACCTCAGCCTCCCAAAGGGCTGGGATTACAGGCATGAGCCACTGTGCCTGGCCAAAATTTTATTTTAACTTATTAACTGGCCTTTTAGTTATAACTTTTTGCATTTTAAAATTCATAGTCTAGAGATTACAATTACAGACTCCTGGTTCTTTGTAATTTATTAAAATCCTTCATTTTTTCTGTTATTCAAACTGAATTCCTATTGATCTATTTAAAGTTCACTGACCCTTTCATCATCTCTATTTTGCCTTAGATATGTTCAGTATGAGGTCAACTTTTTTAGCCTCCACTATGAGTGAGAGCATACTGTGTTTGTCTTTGTGTCTGGCTTATTTCACTTAAGATAATGTCCTCCTAGCTCAACCATGTTGTCATGAATGACAGAGATTTGTTCTTTTTTGTGGCTAAATAGTGTTCCATTGGGTATATATAACACATTTTCTTTATCCATTCATCTATTGACTGACACTTAGGTTGAGTCTATCTTAGGGTATTGTGAATAGTGCTGGAATAAAGATGGGGGTGCAGATACCTCTTTGACATACTAATTTCCTTTCTTTTGTATATATACCCAGTAGTGAGATTGCTGGATTATGTGATAGTTCTGTCTTTAGTTTTTTGAAGAACCTCTGTACAGCTTTCCATAATGTCCGTACTAATTTACATTCCCACCAAGATTGTATAAGAGTTCCCCCTTCTTCACATCCTTGCCAGAATTTATTTTTTGTTTTTTTGATAATAGCTGTTCTAATTGGACTGACATGATACCTCATTGTGGTTTTGATTTTTGTTTCTCTGATGTTGAAAATTTAGTGATGTTGAGCATTTTTTCATATCCCAGCTGGCCATTTGTATGTCTTCTTTTGAGGTGTTTATTGAGCTCATTAGCCCATTTTTAAATGGTTCTGTGTGAATTTTAGGATTTTTTTTTCTATTTTTGTGAAGAATGTCATTAGTATTTTGGCAGGGATTGTATTGAATCTATAGATAGCTTTTGGTAGTATGGTCATTTTCACAATATTAATTCTTCCAAGCCATGAACATGGAATATCTTTTCTTTCTTTTTTTTTTTTTTTCATCCTCTTACATTTCTTTCATTGGTGTTTTATAGATTTTCTTCTAGAAATCTTTCACCTGCTTGGTTCATTTTATGCCTAGGCCTTTTATTATTATTTTTTGGTAGCTATTGTAAATGGGATTACTTTGACTTCTTTTTCTGCTACTTTGTTGCTGGTGTATAGAAATGCTATTGATTTTTGTATATTGATTTTGTACACTGCAACTTTACTGAATTTATCAGTTCTAAGAGTTTTCTAGTACAGCTTTTTAGGGTTTTCTATATATAACGTCACATTATCTGCAAACAGAAAATTTGACTTCCTCTTTTCCAGTTTGGATGCCCTTTATTTCTTTCTGTTGCCTAATTGCTCTGGCTAGGAATTCCTGTACTATGTTGAATAAAAGTGAGGAAAGTGGACACTGTTGTGTTGTTGCAGAGTTTGGAGGAAAGGATTTCAACTTTTCCTCATTTGGTATGATGTTGATTGTGAGTTTGTTATATATGGTCTTTATTGTGTTGAGGTATATTCTTTCTATACTTACCTTGTTGGAGGTGTTTATCATGAAGGTATGTTGAATTTTATCAAATGCTTTTTCCGTGTCTATTGAGATGATCATATGGTTTTTGCCCTCTATTATATTAATGTGATGTATCGTGTTTATTGATTTGCATATGTTAAACTATACTTGTATCCCTGGGATAAATCTGGCTTGATTATGTATGGTGAATGATGTTTTTAATGTGCTGCCAGATTCAGTTTGCTATTATTTTGTTGAGCATTTTTGTATCTATGTTCATCAGGAATATTGGCCTATAGGGGGGTGTGTGTGTGTGTGTGTGTGTGTGTGTGTGTGTGTGTCTGTCCATCCTTGTCTGGTTTTGATATCAATACTGGGCTCACAGAACGAGTTTGGAAGAATTTCTTCCTCTTCAATTATCTGGAAGAGTTTGAGAAGAATTGGTATTAGTCCTTCTTTAAATGTTTGGTAGAATTCCACAGAAAAGCCATTGGTTCCTGGGCTTTTCCTTGATGGTAGACTTTTTTTTTTTTTTTTTTTTTTTGAGACGGAGTCTCGCTCTGTTGCCCAGGCTGGAGTGCAGTGGCATGATCTCGGCTCACTGCAAAACTCTGCCCCACCCAGGTTCACGCCATTCTCCTGCCTCAGCCTCCTGGGTAGCTGGGACTACAGGCACCCGCCACTACAGGCCTGGCTAATTTTTTTGTATTTTTAGTAGAGACGGGGTTTCACCAGGTTAGCCAGGATGGTCTCGATCTCCTGACCTTGTGATCTGCCCATCTCAGCCTCCCAAAGTGCTGGGATTACAGGCGTGAGCCACCACGCCCGGCCCCTTGATGGTAGACTTTTTATTACAGATTCAATCTTGTTACTTGTTGGTGTATTTAGACTTCCTATTTATTCTTGGTTCAATCTTGGTAGGTTGTATGGTCCAGGAATTTATCCATTTTTGCCAGGTTTTCTAACTTGTTGGCACATAGTTGTTAGTAATAGTTTGTAGTGATCCTTTGTATTTCTGTAGTGTCAGTTGTACTGTCTCCTTTTTTGCTTCTGATTTTATTTGGGGTTTTTCTCTTTTTTCTTGGTTAGTCTAGCTAGTGGTTTGTCAATTTTTGTTCATCTTTTCAAAAAACCAACTTTTCATTTCACTGATTTTTTTTTAATTGTATTTGTTTTTAGTCCGAATTTTGTTTCTTTCTGCTCTGATCTTTAGTATTTCTTTCCTTCTAATTTTGGGTTTGGTTTATTCTTGCTTTTCTAGTTTCTTGAGACACATTGTTACACTGTTTATTTGAAACCTTTAAATTTTTTTGATGTAGGTGTTTATTGCCATAAATGTTCTTCTTAATACTGCTTTTGTTGTATTCCATAGGTTTTAGTATGTTGTTTCTATTTTCATTTGTTTCAAAAAATTTTAAAAGTTTTTCCTTTTTTATTTCATTTTTTTAGAGACAGGATCTTGCTCTGTTCCCCAGGCTGGAATGCAGTGGTGTAGTCATAGCTCATTGCAGCCTTGAACACCTCAGCTCAAGCAATCCTCCTGTCCCAGCCTCCTGAGTAGCAAGGACTATAGGAGACTGCCACTATGCCTGGCTAATTTTTTAAAAAAGTATTTTGTAGATATAGACTCTTGCTATGTTACTGAGGCTTGTCTCAAACTCCTGGGCTCAAGCAATCCTCCTGCCTCAGCCTTCCCAACGGATGGGATTATAAACATGAGCCACCGTGCCTGGCTAATTTCCTTCTTGACTTCTTCATTGACCCATTGGTCATTCAGGAACATGTTGTTTAATTTCCATATTTGTAAAGTTCTTCTTATTGATTTCTATTTTTATTCTATTGTGGTCAGAAAAGATACTTGACATAATTTTAATTATTTAAAAATTTTCAAGACTTGTTTTGTGGCCTGACATGGGGTTTATCCTGGAGAGTATCCCATGTGCTGATAAAAAGAATATGTATTGTGCAGCTGTTGGATGAAATGTTTTGTAAATGTCTGTTAGGTTCATTTGACCTAAAGGGCAGTTTAAATCCAATGTTTCTTTGTTAATTTTCTGTCTTGATAATTTGTCCAGTGCTGACAGTGGGGTGTTGAAGTCTTCTTCTATTATTGTATTCAAGTAGATGAGGGGAGTTAAAGGGATTCCTCTTGGTGTCAGGTATGACATGGTCTACAAGCAGCTGCATCAGCACTGGGTTTGAGGTGCAGGTGCTCAGAGCAGCTGTAGGGCTCAGAGTCTTACAAACCCATTGTGGCACTTGGGTCTTGGGGTGTAGATTTGCTCTCTGTGGCAGGGTTGGATGTAGGTTGCCCACACTGCCAGAATCGGTAACTCTGAGTCATCCCTTGTAGCTCAGGCAGGGTTGTGGTGATGGTTCTTCCACTGGATGCAGGCACACCACTGGCCAGACTCAGGAAGAACAAGGTGCTCTGGAGGTTTGGGCCTGGGGAGCAGGAGATCCCTGCAATCTGGGAACTTGAGCCAATAGGGCTCAGTGGCAACTCAGGTCCCATAAGGTGACCGTGTAGTAGTGACTCTAAACTAAGCTTATCTAACTTATGGTGTGTGGCCACATGTGGTTCAGATGACTTTGTATGTGGCCCAACACAAATTCATAAACTTTCTTAAAACATTGAGTTTTTTTTTTAAGCTTGTCAGCTATTGTCACCTTTCGTTAGTGTTAGTGCATTTTACGTGTGGCCCAAGACTATTTTTCTTCCACTGTGGCCCAGGGAAACCAAATGATTGGATACCCCTCCTCTAGACCATGGGATGGTGGGACCCGGCAGTGTCCCAGAGTGAGAGGCCAGGTGCGGTGGCAGCAAGTGTCCCAGAATGGTGGAGCACATCTCTCATTTGGGCCTTGGGGGAGCAGGGAACAGCAAGTGATATCTTCACTTCCCAAGAAGAGGGGCATCTCAGCAGTTTGTACTTGAGGGAGCTAGTCCAGCCCCAAGGAAGCACAGGGTACTGGAGTTGTTTGGCCTGTAGGGCAGGGTGTCTCACCTCAACCACTGCTCTATTTCCCTGGGATATGGGGTACTACATCAGCTCAGCCCTGGAATCACAGCTGCTCAGCTTGGCCAAGGCACCGATTCCCCAGGGGCTGTGCTGCTTCAGGACTGGGAGGCATGACTGTTCTGGGTGGCTCAGGGACCATTTCCCTCAGTTGCAGGGCCCTGCATCAGCGTAAGTCCTAGGGTGCATGGCTGCTCTGCGTGGCAGCCAAGGCATCATTTCTTGGGATGCAGAGTGCTGCTTCAACTTAGGCATAGGGGAAGAGTGGCTGCTCTGAACGGCTTAGGTACTGTTGCTGGGAGGCAGGGTGCCACTTCAGCTCCGGCCTGAAAGGGCAGGGGTAGGGGTAGGTGGAGTGACTCCACCTCTGCTTGGCCCTGGGGAAGGCTGTAACAGCTACTTGCAGCTCAGCTTGGGGATGTCAGGCCACTGGGATGGGGTGGTTTAGTGGCAGCTTAGCCTCAGGGATGAAAGGGAGCCGTGGCTATGCACCCCTGGAGCAAGACACACTCCAGCTGTAGTTTTAGTTCCAAGATGGTATAGCGCAGCAGCCACATGGGCCGTGGGGCACAGCATGGTGTTGGCTCCTTCTCTGGGAGGAGCACGCTATGTGGACTCCAGGCAGCTCCCCCAGCTGGGTTGAGTAACTGTGAGGACTGCAGGGGACTCCAGTGGTGAGGTTTGTAGATATCCAAGGTGCTGATGGGGATTTATGGAATCCTCTTACCTCCTCACCATAAGAAGAAGTTCTTCCTGGTTCCCAGCTAGTCCCAGTTTGGGGACAGGGCAATAGAGGCCCAGGATTTCCTTCCATTCTCTTTGGCCATCCTGAATTTCTCTGCTCACTGGGGTTTCTGTTACTTCTCTGATGCACCGTCCCTCACTTATTTTTGTTAAAATGTAGTTGTTTATTCATTGTTCTGGTTGTCATTGTGAGAGAGACGAGCACCAGGGGCTTCCAGTTGGCCATCTTGCTCAATGCCACGAATCTCCTGTAGATAGAAGTCTTTATTTGGTACTTTCTACTGATTTCTGATCAATATGATCTGAAGAGCTGTAGTTCTACTTTTGTTAGCAGACATACCATATATCTTCTCAATTACCTGTGTGAATGCACATATTTAATCATCCAGAGTCATGATGAACACACAGTTTTCCTGCTGTACCTCCCTTCCTACACATGCGTCTCTCTCATCTACCTGTAGAGGCACATTACTTAACCACACCGTAAATTGATTTTCTTAGTTTCTTCTTCCTAAGCACATTACTCCTTAGTTAGCTTTTAACCAACATTTGCAAGAAGGACTTACAATTTGTTTTGTTTGTTTGTTTGTTTGTTTGTTTGAGACAGAGTCTCACTCTGTTGCCCAGGCTGGAGTGCAGTGGTGCGATCTCATCTTACTGCACCCTCCGCCTGCTGGGTTCAAGCAGTTCTCCTGCCTTGGCCTCCAGAGTAGCTAGGACCACAGGCATGCACCACCACACCTGGCTAATTTTTTTTTTTTTTCAGTAGAGACGGGGTTTCAGCATGTTGGCCAGGCTGGTCTCGATCTCCTGACCTCAAATAATGCACCCACCTCAGCCTCCCAAAGGGCTGGGATTACGGGCTCACTCTGTCTCAAAAAACCAAAACAAAACCAAAACAAAAAAACAAAAAACACATTGAGTGATACATTATCAAACTGAGGTTGACCTTTTGAGGCAACTTGGAAGATGTTGTTTGTTCTTTTTATCCTAAGCTTAAGTTCCTTTTCTGCCTATCTACTTTCACTGGAAGGAGACATCCGACTACCTCCCTGCCTTTTAATAAATCTGCTCTAAACCATTGCATACAAGGTTAGGTATTCTATTTCTTTTTTTTCTTTTAATCTTTGAGGGAAGATGGGCTTTTAAAATTCTCATTTCCGTATCCATGAGCTGCCTTTGAATTGTTCCTTTTTATCAAATCAATTTTTATTACTACAAAATAAAGCCAATTCCTATATTCTGTTCTAATTAGAGATGAGGAATAGTTCTCATTCACTCTTACATATATTTAAACAATATTGCAACATCTTCTTTATATTTATTAAAATTTAAAATGAGGTGAGATTCTTAATTTTTCTTTCAAATTAAAACAAACAAACAAAACACCTGGGCATGGTGGCTCATGCCTGTAATCCCAGCACTTTGGGAGGCTGAGGCAGGAGGATTGCTTCAGCCCAGGAGTTTGAGACCAGCCTGGGCAACATAGGGAGACCCCATCTCTGCCAAAAATATTTTAAAAAATTAGCCAGGTGTGGTGGCTCATGCCTGTGGTCCCAGCTACTTGGGAGGCTGAAGCAGGAGGATCGCCTGAGCCTGGGAGTTCGAGGCTGTGGTGAGCTATGATTGCACCACTGAACTTAATGTATAAATATGAATCATTTTGGGAATAAATGAACAGGAAAGTATGACAGTTGCAGATGTTGAGATAGAGAAAAACATATGTGGAGACACACCAAGAGAGACGTAGACACATACAGAGGTATACAGAGGCAGAGCTAGGCAGAGAGAGACCTCAACAGAAACAAACCTTAGACATGCTCTTAAATCGGCCTGAATCTAAATCTATTGATTTAGATACTTTGAGTAATATAGGTGTATGGAGCATGTTTAAAGAAAACATAAATGAGAAACTGCTTTCCTTTTGACACCTCCTTCAAGAGATATGTTGGCCATTTTATAGGCACTGTTTTATTATCTGAGAAATGGTTCTTACAGAATCAGCAACTATAAAATTACATGTGGTATCAGAAGATAATGCCAGGGTATATATGTAGAACAATGTGTCTGTGACGGCTATCAATTTATTGGCTCAGCTCTGGAATAACCCTTCAATCAAGTGTCTGTGTAATGGGCAGGGTCCTTTTAAGCATCTTTTACAGTCAGCACGATGTTAAGCTCTCTCCATAGGGGGTGCTGTTGGGGCCCTTTGTGGCTGCTGCCTTATGGGTCAGTGGTATGGGTGTGAGGACATCTGATGGAGTTCTCTTCCAACCACTGCCTACAATTGGTGGTGCCTTGGGACCTTGAAGCCTCATTCTGGCCATAACCTTCTCCTGGGCCTGTGGATTACAAACTTGAGCCCTGAAAGATTCCTGCTGCATCAGTGCCCGGAAGGCCTTCTGCCAACACTGGCTCCTCACTCTCTGAAGATCCTGTGAGGATCACCTGTGACCTGGAGGGTTCCCACTGGGCAGCCACGCCTGCTGCAGGCCCCCACTCTGTGCACAGCCAGGCTGTTGGTTGCTGGTGGACTGACCCAGCCTGCACTCTGGAGGGTTGCTTCCTATGCGCTCAGGGACTGCAGACCAGTTCCAGCCTGGGCAAACCAGCTAACTTCCCTGCTATGTGGGTCGAGTTCAGTTCTCCAAGGAGGTCTGAACCTCAGGCTTGGGACTCTTTCCCAGTTTGTCTTTCCTTGAGTACTCTTCCTTAGCTCTAGGGTACCAGAGAGAATTTCCTTATGTCCTATAGTCACTCGTTTATCAGAATTTAATAACTCTTTATATAAATATTTCCCCTGTTCAACCTACTGTAAAGCAATAGCAATACCAGTGTTTAAGCAAGAAATACAGCTGCCTTTCCACCTAGAGAATAATTTATAGAATGAAGTAGGAATCAATGAGCCAGTTTTTTCATTCACAACTTTCTTCTTGCCTAATTTTGATTTTAGAGTTTCAAAATTGGGTGACAGCTGCTTTCATTTCTCAAAGAAAATGAACACAGTCTTGTTTCATTAGCTAAATTGTCAAATCCACACCAAGGAGAGGTTCTAACTCATATGTAGGATAACATTTGTGATGAAGCAACAGGAATCTGATTCCCACTAAATCAGTAAAGTTCCCACTGAAAAGGCCAGTTGATTAATTTCAGTCAGGGCAGAACTTAAAATTACTGGCAATGTGTGATAAAACTGATTCCTTTTGAGGAAAAATAATTAGTGCAATTAAATCTGAATAAGTGCATAACTTGTTTAAAACAGATCTAAAAAAGAGTAAACAGGGAACAAAATCTGTATCACAACCTTGGGGATTATATAAAAGTAGTGGAGACAGTATAAACTTATATAGCTAATAGAATAAATATGACAGGACTTTCAACTTCTGAGGTTATTTTTATTTTTAAATTTAACTTCAATTTCTGTTTATTTAAATTTTAAAAATTATTCAGATTATTAAATTCATGTTAGTCTTATTGTGATCATAACAGTAGGAACTGTACAGATGATTGGTAGTGGCTCTCAAATGTTAAAATACATCAGAATAACATGGGAAACCTGCTGAAATGCAGTTTCCAGCAGACTTGGTTTTGTCATAGCAATTGGTATTTTTAACAAGCATTCCAAGGATTCTGATGCAGATCGTATCCTGACCACACTTTGAGAAACCATTATTTAGTTTCTGAATGAGCTCCCCATTAAGAAATGTGAAGTTTTATTTAAAAATTAATAAGACAACCCTTTCTGATATTAAAATGGTCTTTATCATTTTATCCTATGCATCCCAAAGAGTTAAGGCAGCAGGAAATACTTTGTTCCCGATAATATATTCCTGTGTAGAAAAGCCCCTTCACATTCACTTGACCACTTTTTATACCTTGTAGGAAATGAAGTTATTTCTGGCTGTAGTTATTCCTTTTTCTAATAGTAAGGTGAATAAAATTCATGTTGTTCTAAAAGGAAAATAATAACTCCAACCTAACAATGAAGCCAGCACTACCATGGACAATTAAACTGAAGAGAAGTAAATTTGGAACCACATAAGAATAAAAAGCCAACATTTCCTTGGGTATCCAGAGACCCAGTATCTTAATAAGAGATGCCTGAATAACATACAAGTTTAAAGGTAGAGCTTAAAGCATATATTTACCATTTAAACTCATGAATTATTTTAGATGAGATATTAACAGTGGAGGAATAGGAAAACTGGGATGTCCCAGGTTGTTTCTCCTTTATAGCTCCCTCAAAGGACCTCAGTTAAGCCCACACTCCTCACCTTAAAAGACAGCCACTGATTCTTAGGGGTGGACCCAAACTTGTTAATCTTCTAGTCTGGAAACCAGCTGTGCAAAACAAACCCTAAAATGTTCCCATAGAGCAAAGGAAAAGATGTTTGGTTTCGACAGCATCTGGTCTCATAGAGAAACTCAGGCACTTTCACTGTGGATCCTCCCTTCATTCTTTGGGGTTAAGTGGCCACCGCAAGAAACAAAACAGCATGAGAAATGGCTGAGTCAACCAACATGTAGTGACATGCCCAGGAACTTCTCAAGTGGCCCAGGAAGTGGAGGCCTCCTGATTTTCTCGCAGGACATTGTCCTTTCCTGGAACCTTGCGGGTGGCTGGAGTATCTGCATTTGGAGTATTGCAAGATTATCTCACCTGAGTTCTGACCAGAAGTGTATCTCCAAAATTATCACATCCACAAAGACAATTATTGACTGTGAGCAAACATTCTCAGTGACATCACGCGTATTCTGAAACCCTGACCAACAACATGCTCCTTACTGTTCTCATGGTCTTGGCAAAGGATACTGTTGGGAGAAAGAAGAATGGTTTCTACTGTAAATGAGTTTTTAAAAATAGTGGGAGAAGAATGCAAAATAGGAAAGGGATAAATACATAGATTTCTAGCTAAACGCATTTAAAAGGAAACTTTGAAAATTTGGTTAGTGATTTCTTTAAAGTACAGAGGTCAAGTCCTATTACAATAAATATCACATCCACCTAAAAATTAGATTTCAAAGTCTCACTTGGTGCCTTACCCATTTCACATAACAGAACAAAGTTTCCACATAATGAAAGAATGGACACAATCCTAGGAGTGTCACAAGCTTTCAGATGTTTGTGGCATGCCAAGCAGCATTGCCTGTTACTGTGCTGTGGGAGTCAATTACTTTTATGTCTATAAATTAGAAAAGTGGCTGGGTGAAGTGGCTCATGCCTGTAATCCCAGCACTTCTGGGACCAAAGCGGAAGGATCCCTTGAGCCCAGGAGTTTGAAACCAGCCTGGGCAACATAGCGAGACCCCCGTCTCTATAAAAAATCAAAAAATTAGCCAAGCATAGTGGTGCACACCTGTGGTCCCAGCTACTTGGGAGGCTGAGATGGGAGGATGGCTTGAGCCTCAGAGGTTCAGACTGCAATGAGCTGTTATCGCACCACTCTGCACTCCAGCCTGGGCAACATAGTAAGACCCTTTCTCAAGAAAATAAATAAAAATTTTTGAGAAAGACTGAATATGTAAAATGTTCCCCAGTCAAATCCCGAAAAATGGTCATCTCGAAGAGTGTTGGGAACTGGGAGCCCCCTGGATTCCTCTGAGGAATTTCACTAAGAATAACTGTAGACGTTTGCTGGCTGTCTTCCACCTGGCTTGGCTTGTGAGGGCTCATTCAGTATCAGCAAGACACACAGGTAGTTACTGATGGAGTTAATTTCAGGCTCCCATGTTGGCCTAAGACTGATGACCATGCAGTGTGGCTGTTGAATGCTGTCACTGGTTCTACTGCTTTCCTGGGAGACAGGACCTCTGAATGAAAACATCCCTGGGAAACCAAGGTGCTGTCTTATTTGTATCAATGGAGTCATGCAGTATATAAGCTCCAAAGAACAAAGCCATAGCTTTGGTTGACTATGCAAAGGAAACTTCTGGGTGGCCAGTTGTTTATAAGTTAATCAAAAGACATCTCTACTGGAGACCCAAACTACAATTTTGATATTCTTACATAGGAGATAAAACTTCATTAAGTAATGAAAATGTACTAAGGGGAGAAGGAGCATTTGGTTCCCTTGTCATTTTTTTTTTTTTTTTACTTCAAAATTTTACTCCCCCAATTTTCTAAGACTGGCTACTATGAAACTCGTAAGCCCAAATCAACAAAGGTGGCCACCAGCCACAGATCAAACGTGAAAAAACAAATCTACCTCTAGCACAGCCTGGGATGTACTACCTGCTCAAAGTATAAGGCTACTGCCATCTCCAGCAGCTGTAAACATAGCCTGGCTGCCAGCCCATAACCTCCTCAGCCTTCCAGTTTGTTTTTATAAGCTTACAACTGGGGCTACAGAGTAACCTCTGAAATGTTATTATTGAAACATGATAAAGCAAAATCAGTCTTCAGAGGTTAAGGAGGCAGTTTTTAATCAAAGTGTGGTCAACAGGTTTGACATTTTAGAAAACATTTTTTTTTTTTAAAGCATCATTAAAACAGCCTCAATAAACAGGCCGTATTTAGCCCAAATCTTGTTCAGGAGAACAGCATGGGCTCCGTTTGAATTTTGTTGGATTCTGGACGTCCTCCTCCTATTATATAGGTCTGAGAGTTGTCTTTGTTAATAAAATTTAGCTTTGTTTCCCCACCAGTGATAATGACATGAAGCACTAGGAAATGATGCAATAACCGCAGTGCATGAGGCCTTCCTCCTGGGGAAGGTGTGAGACAGGAGGGGAGCAGGACTCCCCCATACTCAGTCCAGTGGAAGCGCAGAATGCCTGCTCGTGTTGGTAAAAATAAGACAGGAATGTAAGAAAAAAAGTCTTCACGCTCAACGTGACTATCTTTGGAATTCATTTCATTAAGGTTTTCACAAAATACAAAGCTCAAACGTAATCATCTATGTCCACCACAAAACAGAATCAAATAAGTGGTTAGCACAACAAACATAGTGATCTTTTCCATTTTAAAAAATATAAATAACAATGTTCAAGGTTTTACAGTTTTCTTAGTGTGTGTCTTTTTAAGGCTTTATGTTGCAGACCCTTCATTAATGGTACTTGTACCCTGCCATCAGGATACACTGCCCACCAGCAAGGAAGGCCACTGTGGATACATTCCTGAGGGGGACACACACTGATCCATGTTGCCTCAGCCTGTTAAAAACTAAATGATCAAACACCCTCCAATCAGTTCTCAGTTTCATTAACTTTCTTTCTACTACAAAGTAATAATAGAAAGGGGTACGTGTCCAGCAGCATTCGAGCTCTCAGAAGATCAATCAGGAAGGGCAAGAAGGAAAAAGGCTTCCTCCTGGAGAGAATTTTTTTCCTTTCATCAGGAACAAACACCAATAACCCAGATAGTTCAAACAGTGGTTTGTACTGAAACATTTTTCAGATTAAATAGTGTTGAGAGAAACAGTGATCTTTTGGTTGGGTATTTTAGAAGAGGTTAAAGTGGAGAGGTTAATGTTGGGAAAATACCACTGAAAGTACAGCCCCCAGCAGGAATGGGCTCACTCGTGAGGTTTGGGGGCAGAGCCAGGGCCCCAGCCTTGGGAATGAAATCTGAGGGCAGGCTCTCCAGCAGACACTTGACCTGCTCCTGGCCCAGCTTGATCTTGTCATCCAGCTTCCGTTGCTCAATGAGGAGCGTGGACTTCATTTTCACGAAGTGCTGGTAGTCCTGGAGCTGCTCCTCTGAAAGGTAATTGGCCAAGATGCCCAGCACTACTCGCTCCCTGCGATCCAGGTTCTCCTTCAGCTCCCGGGCATCCTCATGCTGACCAGCCAGGATCTTCCTTTTCTCGTAAAGAGAGCTCTGCCAGGGAAAATTGGACAGATCAATGAAGGCCAGGGAAAGGGAGAAAAGAGCCAGACTCCCTGCAAGGACACCTCTGACAGGACTGGGAAATATCTAAGCTCTATTCCTATTGTCACTCCTAAGTAAGGAGGCTAACTTTTTGAAAATCAGATTATCCTTATATTACATATTACAGCATTCTCTAAATTGTAACATCATAGGATAGCTTCAGTTTGAGAGCTGTTACATTAAATTGGCTGGAGATAAAATTGCTTTCAGATTCTTGACTTTAAAAACCAATCATCAGCTGGGCTTGGTGGCTCACGCCTATAATTCCAGCACTTTGGGAGGCCGGGATGGATGGATCACTTGAGGCCAGGAGTTCAAACCCAGCCTGGCCAACATGGTGAAACCCCGTCTCTACTAAAAATACAAAAATCACCTAGGCATGGTGATGCATGCC
This sequence comes from Homo sapiens, assembly GCF_000001405.40. Taxonomy (NCBI): domain Eukaryota; kingdom Metazoa; phylum Chordata; class Mammalia; order Primates; family Hominidae; genus Homo; species Homo sapiens. The sequence goes on along the minus strand of NC_000004.12, from coordinate 76,778,363 downwards.
TGTAATACCAGCTACTTGGGAGGCTGAGGCATGAGAATTGCTTGAACCCAGGAGGCAGAGGTTGCAGTGAGCCGAGATGTGCCACTGCACTCCAGCCTGGATGACAGAGTGAGACTCTTGTCTCAAAAAAAAAAAAAAAAATCATCAAGGTACCTTGAGTATATACATGAATACGGTGGTTCTCAAGGTGTGGTTGCTGGACCAGCAGCAGTGGCATCACCTGGGAAATTGTTAGAAATGCAAGGGTTCAGGCCCTCTTCCACCTCTTGAATAAAAAACTCTGGAGGTGAGGCCCAGCAACCTGTTTTAACAAGCCTTCCAGATGATTCTTTTGCGGCTAAAGTTTGAGAACCTCTCCCTAATCCATAATAGCAATGAGATCATATTTCCCATCTCTAAAGAAGCCAGTTTCCATTTTTTCAGTTCTCTTTTGCAGGCCTCTGATCCAAAATGAGAGAAATTCTGTTCAACAATGACGGCAATGTCATATTCTAAGAGTTTCTTATGCTTTTCTATGATATTGTAGCATATGTTATCTTTAATGTGGTTTTCTCTCCAACATGATCATTTTTAAATTAAAAAAATTATATTTAACCATTCAGACATTTTAGGCAAAGTAACTGAGGAGACAAACCCACAGCCAACATTATACTGAACAAGGAAAAGTTGAAAGCATTCCCCCTGAGAACTGGAACAAGACAAGGGTGCTCACTTTCACCACTGCTATTCAACATTGTACTAAAAGGTCTAGCCAGAGCAGTCAGACAAGAGAAAGAAAGAAAGGGCATCCAAATTGGTAAAGAGGAAGCCAAACTGTTGCTGTTTGCCAACGATATGATCCTATACCTAGAAAACCCTGAAGACTATCCAAAAAGCTCCTAGATCTAATAAATGAATTCAGTAAAGTCTCAGGATACAAAATCAATGTACACAAATAAGTAGCACTGCTATACACCAACAGCGACCAAGCTGAGAATAAAATCAAGAACTCAACCACTTTCACAATAGCTGCAAAAAAATAAAATACTTAGGAATATACCTAATCAAGGAGGTTAAAGACCTCTGCAAGGAAAACTATAAAACACTGCTGAAAGAAATCATAGATGACACACACAAATGGAAACATATCCTGTGCTCATGGATGGGTAGAGTCAATATTGTGAAAATGACCATACTGTCAAAAGCAGTCTACAAATTCAATGCAATTCCCATCAAAATACCGCCATCATTCTTCACAGAACTAGAAAAAACAATCCTAAAATTCATATGGAACCAAAAAAGAGCCCGCATAGCCAAAGCAAGACTAAGCAAAAAGAACAAATCTGGAGGCATCACGTTACCCAACTTCAAACTATACTACAAGGCCACAGTCACCAAAACAGCATGGTATTAGTGTAAAAACAGGCATATAGAGCAATGGAACAGAATAGAGAACCCAGAAATAAAGCCAAATACTTACAGCCAACTGATCTTCGAGAAAGCAAACAAAAACAAAGTGAAGAAAGGTCACCCTATTCAACAAATGGTGCTGGAATAATTGGTAAGCCACATGTAGAAGAATGAAAGTAGATCCTCATCTCTCACCTTACACAAAAATCTATTCAAGATGGATCAAGGACTTAAATCTAAGACCTAAAGCCATAAAAATTCTAGAAGATATATTTAACTGAAGGAAGGAAGTACATGTCTTAGTGGCTTCTAGTTTGAATTCATTTATATTAAGCGTCTACTGCTTCTTTTGCACAACAGAAATTAAACTCCACGGTTTTTGTAATTAGTCTTTCATTTTTCTCTTAGCCTAAAATAGCTAGATGGAAAGAAGACAATCTTCTAGGCATTGGCTTCGGCAAAGAGTTCATGACAAAGAATCCAAAAGGGAATGCAACAAAAACAAAGATAAATAGATAGGACTTAATTAAACTAAAGAGCTTTTGCACAGCAAAATAAAAACAGCAGAGTAAACAGACAACCCACAGAGTGGGAGAAAATCTTTGCAAACTATGTATCCAACAAAGAACTAATATCCAGAATCTACAAATAAATCAGCAAGAAAAAATCCCATCAAAAAGTGGGCAAAGGACATTAATAGACAATTCTCAAAAGAAGATGGACAAATGGTCAACAAACGTGAAAAACTGCTGAACAGTTCTATCAGGGAAATGCAAATCAAAACCACAATGCAATACCACCTTACTCCTGCAAGAATGGCCATAATCAAAAACTAATATATGTTGGCATGGATATGGTGAAAAGGGAACACTTTTACATTGCTGGTGGGGATGTAAACTAGCACAACCACTATGGAAAACAGTATGGAGATTCCTTAAAGAATGAAAAGTACATCTATCATTTGATCCTGCAATCCCACTACTGGGTATCTATCCAGAGAAAAGAAGTAATTATATGGAAAAGAAACTTGCACACCCATGTTTATAGCAGCACAATTTGCAACTGCAAAAAAGGGAACCAGCCCAAATGCCCATCAATTAACAAGTGGATAAAGAAAATGTGGTATGTGTGTATATATGTATGTGTGTGTGTGTGTGTATATATATAGTATGTGTGTATATATATGTGTATATATGTGTATGTACACATATATATGGTGTGTGTATATATATAGTATGTGTATATATGTGTATATACACATATACAAATATGTTATGTATATATACACACACACACATTTTCTTTATTCACTTGTTAATTGATGGGCATTTGGGCTGGTTCCCTTTTTTGCAGTTGCAAATTGTACTGCTATAAATATGAGTGTGCAAGTGTCTTTTCCATATAATTACTTCTTTCCTCTGGATAGATACCCAGTAGTGGGACTGCTGGATCAAATGATAGATGTACTTTTAGTTCTTTAAGGAATCTCCATACTGTTTTCCATAGTGGTTGTACTAGTTTACATTCCCACCAGCAGTGTAAAAGTGTTCCCTTTTCACCACATCCATGCCAACATGTATTTTTTTTTATTGCCATTCTTGCAGGAGTAAGGTGGTATCACATTGTGGTTTACACACACACACACACACACACCCCATGGACTACTACTCAGCCATAAAAAAGAACAAAATAATGGCATTTACAGCAACCTGGATGGAGTTGGAGACCATTATTCTAAGTGAAGTGACTCAGGAATGGAAAACCAAACGTTTTATGTTCTCAGTTTTAAGTGGATGCTAAGCTATTGAGGATGCAAAGGCATAAGAAGGATACAAAGGACTTCGGGGACTCAGCGGGAAGGGTGGGAGGTGGGTGAGGGATAAAAGACTACACATCGGGTACAGTGTACAGTGCTCGGGTGATGGAGGCACCAAAATCACAGAAATCGCCACTAAGAATTTATCAATGTAACAAAACACCACCTGTTCCCCAAAAACCTATTGAAATAAAAAAAAAGTGATTGTGGAAAATTAAAATGAAAATCAATCAAGAAATAAGATCACTTAAGTATACCTCAATACAAAATAGCTTATGTAGGGTTATCAAAGACTCATGTGTCTTTGCCCTAAATCCCCCTAAACTAGCCTGTCACATCTTACATAATAATGCCTGGGGGAAAAGTGAAGAATTACAGGCTTATTGGCATAAGTTTCCTTTCCCTAAGCAGAAAAACATACCTTAAAAAAAAAAAAAACAAAAAAAAAACCCCAAAAAACCCTGAGGGACTGAATTTGAATGAGGATGCCTTTCAAAGTATCATTGAGATGTAAGTTAAAAAATTGAGAATTTTTTCATCACCTACCTTAAAAAATATATAAAATATTTTAGACATCAGTAATGTATAAAGAATCACTCTGTGTACCTATCATTAATGGTGCCAAATCTTAATATGAACACTTTTTTCATATTGGCTGCAGATTAAAAAAATTTTTTTTAGAGATTCAGTTAAAGCCTTATAGATACTCCTCCCCAATCCTGGTCTTCACTACTCCCCATTTGGTAACTATTTTTCTTCCTTTTCTCATTTCTACTTATAGTTTTAGTTTCTTAACAAAGACCAATCATGATAAAAAAACAATACTGCTATAGTATTTTTTGGGTGAGCAAACTTACTTGTATTTAAGAGTGCAGGCATGCATGTAAGTGTTGAATTTAATTCGGTTCTAAAACAATTTATCTTGCCCTAACTAGAAACTGCTCCAGTCTTTCTTGTCTCAGATATCTAGAGCATTCATCCAGGTGGCCCAATAGGAAACTTGGAATTATTTTCTGCTCTACCCTTCCCCTCATCTAACATGCCCCTTGCTAATACAAATTCATTCTCTAATTTATCCCCTCTTCTCTACCCCCAGGACAATTGCCTACATCAACAGCATAAACCCTCCTTGTTTAGACTATTAAAATGAGCCTCCCAACTGTTATTTTAACATCAATCTTGCCCCTCCCCAGGCTGAGTAAGTCACAAAGTTAGTTCATGACTCTTCCCTACCTATAGGCTGAAGTCTAAAGTCTAGTGTATGACTGTGGTAAGGTCTTTGTGATGATTTTCTGTGCTGGATATTGTGTCTGCCTCTCCAGGTCCACTCTTCTCTGCCCTGTGCTGAAGGAAGCTGAACTCTAGGGGTTGCATCCACTGGGCTCCCTTGCTGTCTGGGTTTGACCAAGGGGAGTGATGGAAAAGAGACTGGAGAGTGCGAAAAGAAACTGTGGCATGTATCCCTGGCTGCCTCTGTGCCAGGCTTCGAGTTGGTGGCAGTTGCATTCTTTTACCAGGGCCTCAGTGCTATAGGGCAGCTGCAGCTATGGTTCTGATCAGGGCTCCCTTCTCCTTGTCCCTTCAGAAAGAGGCCCATAATGGCTTTGCTGCTGATGCTATAGCTCTGGGTGAGGGACAAGGGGCGAGCCCTCATTACCCCTTCCTGGTTTCCCCCTTAATCCTTCCCACACCTTCTTTGAACTTTCTTCTTTATCTCTTTTGATGGGGCCATGTACTTTCTGTCAGTTTCTAATATTCCCATAGCTCTTTTTTTTTTTTTTTTTTCTGAGACAGTCTTGCTCTGTCACCCGGGCTGGAGTGCAGTGGTGTGATCTCGGCTCACTGCAACCTCCGCTTCCCGGGTTCAAGCAATTCTCCTGCCTCAGCCTCCTGAGTAGCTGGGATTACAGGCACCCGCCACACACCTGGTTAATTTTTGTATTTTTAGCAGAGAGGAGGTTTTGCCATGTTGGCCAGGCTGGTCTTGAACTCCTGACCTCATGATCTGCCCCCCTTGGCCTCCCAAAGTGCTGGGATTACAGGTGTGAGCCACTGCACCCAGCCTTAGCTCACTATTTTTAAAAACAAAACCAAGCAATCACTGTATGTTCTAGACATACCAAACCACATGCAAATCAATTCTTAAACATGGCATCTCTTTCTTGACTTTGTCTATGGTATTTCTTCTAAATGGTGAGGCCCTTCCCCTCTCAGTCCTCTTAGAATTAAGAGGTTCTTCTAAACTGTATTCATGTGTCACTGCGTGAAGTCCTTCCTGCCTTACGCTCCCCCACCTGAGAAGTGTTTGGTGGCTGAGTTTCTCATTATGCTCAGCACCAGCACACAATTGCTCCTCCATACTGCTTTCCTCCATAAGTTGTGAGTTCCTGGAGAGCAGGGCCTGTGTTTTAGTCAGCATTTGTCCCCAGCAGACACAGCACCTCATATTTGACAGGCTACTGTTAGCTGTTTGTCGAGTGGAAGAAAGGAGGACAGGACACACTTCTGAGTTAGGTAGTATCAGACTATTTCTAGATAAGGAAGCTGACTCAGCACATTTACACGAGGAAGATGCTGAGAGTGGCGCTGCAGAGTTCCTAAATGCTGAGTCACTTTCCTAAATGTTTAGGATCCAGACTTTTTCTAATCCTTTTAAAATCTATTTGAAAAAGGACCTCTTTCCTTTTAATGCAATGTATTAGGAGAAATTATTGGAGAATTCATGAGAGCAATGAAAAAGAAAGATGGTATGGTAGGCTGGGCATGGTGGCTCACGCCTGTAACCCCAGCACTTTGCGAGGCCAAGGCAGGTGGATCACCTGAGGTCAGGAGTTCGAGACCAGCCTGGCCAATATGGTAAAACCCCGTCTCTACTAAAAATACAAAAATTAGCTGGGCATGGTGGTGCGCACCTGTAATCTCAGCTACTTGGGAGGCCGAGGCATGAGAATGGCATGAATACGGGAGCCAGAGGTTGCAGTGAGCTTAGATTGCGCCACTGCACTCAAGCCTGGGTGACGGAGTGAGACTCTGTCTCAAAAAAAAAAAAAAAAAAGAAAAAGAAAAAAGATGGTAGCATAGGCAAGAAAAGGAGCCCCTCTTCACGGCTGGAGTAGTTTCCATCTTCTAGCATGTATATACACATACACACACATACTGTGTGCACATATATATAAAATAATTGTGTCTACTGTTTGTTGTTCAGTATCAGGAGGGTAGGATCTGTCTGCTTTGCTCACAAATGTATCCCATGTGCCTAGACCACTAAGTGACACACGCTAGACCCCCAGTAACTATTTGCCGTACAGAGGAGTGGATGAAGAATGCTCTATAGCTCTGGAATTCTGTTCAATGCGGTGATACAACTTGGAGTCTGCAGTAGGACTCCTCCTATCCTAGCTCCCTCACTGGGCTGTTGTGAGGATTCCATGAGACTGCGCATAAGCTCACAGTGCCTGACAGGTGGAAGCTCTTGGTGAATTGTCTCCAGTGGGGTCAGCACTGTTACCTGTCCCCCTGTACCCTCCCTTCGAGGAGGGGGTGCAGTGGAGACACCCTGGTGCGTCCTCACTGAGTGCCTGTGGCCCCTCATGTGAGATGCCCTGGAGCCTTAAGCCTATGTTCCTGCCCCCTCCCTGTTTTAATGTATTCATGATGTTTTTATCTTTTTGGGAAAGAAAGGAAGGAAGACAGTTGGGAGGAAAGAAACTCTGGTGCCTGTGGTTCTTACTTTCCCAAGAATTCCATGAGCCTTAAGTGTCAGCAGTACAGCAGTACATCTTTTTTTTTTTTTGATGTGGTCGCCCAGTCTGGAGTGCAGTGGCGTGATCTCGGCTCACTGCAACCTCTGCCTCCCGGGTTCAAGCGATTCTCCTGCCTCAGCCTCCTGAGTAGCCGGGATTACAAGCACGCACCATGGTGCCTGGCTAATTTTTGTATTTTTAGTAGAGACAGGGTTTCACCATGTTGGTTCACCATGTTGGCCAGGCTGGTCTTGAACTCCTGACCTCAGGTGATCCGCCTGCCTTGGGCTCCCAAAATGCTGGAATTACAGGTATGAGCCACCACGCCTGGCCAGCATTATATCTCAACACAGAAAATGCCTTCTCTGTTTCTTGGTTACCTATACATGTATTCTCTCCCTGCCCCAAAGAGATTGCCACAAATCTTCCTGAGAGAAAGGATGGCGTCTAATGGCGCCTCTCTATGTATGTGGGCTTTGAGGGAGAACTTGTTGAACTGCATCACTAGGCCACCTACCCTTTCTTCATTACTGGCATCTTCACCAAGGCCGCTAAGGACATTCTCAACACGGGCTAGACGCCCCGAGAGGGAGAGCAGCAGGTTGACCACCTTGTCCAAATCCCCTATGAACATCCTATACTTGTCAAACTCATTGGGCTTGCAGAGCTCGCTGATCAGAGCCTCCACCTCTTCTCCCAGGGCGTTGTTGAGCTTGATGTCCGTGAGCAGGCTCCCCTTCGCCTCCTGGAGGGTCTCCAGCTTGTGGGTGAGACTTCCAATGAGCTCAGCCTGAAATGACAGATAAGACCGCAAAGATCAGCCAACAGGAGGTGCCAGTGGAAGCAGAAGTCACCTCCCCCAGCCACCTTCTGTCATCTTCAAGGCTCAGCTGAATATCCTCCCCCTTCTCTATATGGAGTGTCCCCCAATATTATGCCATAATAGCCTTCTTTCCCTAAGGGTCTACCATTGCCTTTCTCTAAACCTCACACACCAACACTTGATTACACACAACCTTGTAATGTTTTCCATTGTGTCATGCTATGTACAGCTTTGTCTTCTGTTTTTTTTTTTTTTTTTTTTTTTTTTTGAGACAGAGTTTGGCTCTTGTCACCCAGGCTGGAGTACAATGGTTCAATCTCGGCTCACTGCAATCCTCTGCCTCCTGGGTTCAAGCGATTCTCCTGCCTCAGCCTCCTGAGTAGCTGGGATTACAGGTGCCCACCACCACGCCTGGCTAATTTTTGTATTTTTAGTAGAGATGGGGTTTCATCATGTTGGCCAGACTGGTCTCGAACTCCTAACCTCAAGTGATCCACCAGCCTCAGCTTCTCAAAGTGCTGGGATTATAGGCATAAGCCACTGTGCCTGGCCAATTACTCATTTTTAAAAGTCCTTTTAAGACATGTTCTCATTTGATCCTCATGACAATACTATGGGTAAGTAGGCAGGTAGAGTAAACAGTATTCTTATTTTACAAATAGGCCAAGAGTCAGAGGAATTAAGGGATTGGCCCAAGGTCTTAGAGCTGAGTTGAATATTAATTGTAGCTACCATTTGTAGAGCAGTTGATATGTGCCATACATATGGAGAAACTCTACACTGATTATGTTACTTAGTCTTCCCAGCAATCTTATAGTAGATACTGTTTTATCTACCTATAATAAGGGAGGAAACTAAGACATTGTGAGGTGAAGTGAACTCAAGTCAGCCTCACTTTAGGGGCCACCCTTGTACAATCATTAGAAATTGACAGCAAGACCTTTATCAGAAAGTCAGCCCCTTGTTCTACCTCCCCTGTCTCCAGTTACCAGAGCTGTGCAATTTGACACCTTAATCACATATTTCCATACTTATAAAACAGTGAAGCAAATACCCAATATATTTAACTGAAGGAAGGAAGTAAATGTCTTAGTGGCTTCTAGTTTGAATTCATTTATATTGTCTACTGCTTCTTTTGCACAACAGAAATTAAACTCCACGGTTTTTGTAATTAGTCTTTCATTTTTCTCTTAGCCTAAAATAGCTAGATGGAAAGAAGACAATCTTTTTTAGTTAAAACTTACTTTTTTTTTTTTACTGCTAAAAAGGCCCCAGCTCAAAAATTCTCTGTATGTACATACACACATGCATACTATATATATAATTGGTGTGTGTGTATATACACACACACGCATATAGACACATGCACACACATGCACACCCCAAACTGGCTTCAACTGGAAACTTGGTTAAATATAAAGGTTACAACTTCTATGTTGGAAGTATATGTTCATTTTAAAGGAAAAAAAAAACACACACACAAAAAAAGGAAAAACATATTTTTGACCAACAGAATTGAAAGGTACTGACAACTTTTTGTACTATTTCAGTATCAGCACCAGAGAAGGTCCATTAGGAATGTAATCACAATGACTAGGGAAATATTTATTTCTCCACAATCTGCCTATCTTGGAGTCGGACCATCAGAGGTACTTCACAAGTGAGTGAGGTTCATAATGTCCTTGAAATGTCTAAGTTCTGGCTTTAATGGTGACATCTTGTTGTTTTCTCAATCTGCCTAATCCTAGAGGCTGCAGGTGGCTAAAAAATTCACATCCAGGCTGGGCGCAGTGGCTCATGCCTGTAATCCCAGCACTTTGGGAGGCTGAGGTGGGCGGATCACCTGTGGTCAGGAGTTTGAGACAAACCTGGTCAAAATGGTGAAAGCCCATCTCTACTGAAAAAAATACAAAAATTAGCCAGGCGTGATGGTGGGCGTCTGTAATCCCCAGCTACTAGGAGGCTGAGGCAGGAGAATCGCTTGAACCTGAGAGGTGGAGTTTGCAGTGAGCCTAGATCACACCACTGTACTCCAGCCTGGGTAACAGAATGAGACTCTGTCTCAAAAATCACATCTGCTGCACCATCTCATCACAGGTTATAATCTTTGGTTTTCCTCAAGCTGTTAAAATTGCTTAATATTAATTATTTAAGTTTTCTTATCTTCACCTGGAAAAATTTCATTTTCCAAAAAAGCAATTCTGGCTGGAAGCTATGAAATTTACCTGCAAGAGAACATGTTATATACCTCCAGCAAAATGCCTGGCAGGGTGTGATGATCTTTCACTGTGATATCAGCGCATATGGAGAAAATGGCAAGGACACTGGAATGCAAAGCAGCAGGAAAAATAAACACTGCATGCTGTTGTGTCTCCCAGCATTCCTGCTGGACTGGGTTAAGACAAGTCAAATGTCATCATTCCTGTTTTTCAGACAGATAATGAGAGAGAATGTCATCTATGTGAAGTCAGCCCAGGAATTTTTAACTCGAAGGGTACATTTCCTAGGCTTTTTGCTCTAGATGTTACTGGAAGACACTTAAAGACAACTGGGTTATACCAAATTGAAAGAGATAGTTACTGGGGCAAAACATTATCACTGCACCCTCAGGAAAAGGCCTTCAGCTCATTCAAATTTCAGGCGTCCATTTCAACCTCATGTCCTGAGAAGCAGAATTTCTAGAATGTCTAGAAAATGCTTTTTAAAAACCAAATAGTGGAAAGAAACAAGGTGGTTTTTTTCAGCCTGTTTTTCATTATTTCTATTAATGACTTTTTTTGAAACTAGTATGGTGTGTTGTCATTTCTGGAAGGAACTAAAACCCTTATTAAACTATTATTTCATGTGGCCTCATTGTATTTAAAAATCCTCCTGTGGCTCTTAGAGGCTGCTTTTTTTGTTGTTTTGTTTTTTTGAGATGGAGTTTCACTCTTGTTGCCCAGGCTGGAGTGCAATGGCGTGATCTCGGCTCACTGCAAACTCTTGCCTCCTGGGTTCAAGTGATTCTCCTGCCTCAGCCTCCCGAGTAGCTGGGATTACTGGCACCCGCCACCACGCCCAGCTAATTTTGTATTTTTAGTAGAGATGGGGTTTCACCATGTTGGTCAGGCTGGTCTCGAACTCCTGACCTCAGTTATTCACCTGCCTTGGCCTCCCAAAGTGCTGGGATTACAGGTGTGAGCCACCGCGCCCAGCCAGAGGCTGGTATTTTAAAGGACATGTGTGATGCTTATCAATTTGCAAATGGGCAGAAACCAAGGATAAGTAGTTTGCTCTCACATGTGGTGGTGAGTGATGAGAGGAGAGAACTCATCCTTTCAAATTTTCTGCTGAACTCAGGTCAACAGCTCTCTCCGGCACCTAAGCAGATCAGCAACACTGCAGGGGTGGCCCTGAGGTGAGCATGGTTCAGTGGACTGGAAGGGTCAAAATAACTTGACCCAGCCAAACTGCAATCGGGCTTCAAACACAACCATCCAGTCAACCCCATCTTTCCTTCCCAGACCCTGTTTTGGTTTTCAGAGACATCAGTGCTGGGCAGAACCATAAATAAATCTGTCACAGGAGCATGTGTGTACCCCAGGCTTCACGGTGCAAGAAAGAACGGAATGAGATGAAAATGTATAGAAGTGATGCAGGGAGGCTTCTGTGGAAAGAACCTGATTTTGGAAAGTTATTAATATTTGCTGGGCTCTAATGTGATATCTCATGGCTCAGCCACAGATGCTAAGGCCAGAATTACTGAGTGGTCACGTCAGTCACTCCTGGCTGAATGTTCCTCAGTTAGGTGGCATTTGAATTTTTTAAAAGCCCTAACGAGCCCCTTAAAATATGATAATTTGAATTTTAAAATGCAGTTAAGAGGGATTTGAGAAACTGACAGCAGCAAGAGAAAGCTGGCTGTACTAAATAGCCATTTCTTTGCCAGGCAGATCTCTTCCAAAAAACCTACCAATGTCTACCAGAATAACTCACCGGGGGAGGGAGAAGAGGTGTGTTTTGTTTTAAATAACACACTAGTCTCTCAGGAGCTACTTAATTTGTGAAATCATTTATCCACTTCTCATCTGGCATAAACTGTTAGCTCACCCTGTGTGAGATGCTATTTATACGAGTTCTTCCCCCAAACATAGCTTCATAGACCCTGCCTCCCACCTCATCCTCTGCAGAAATGTCCTCTGGACCCTTCCCCACTTCCTGCCTACAGCAGGATGAACACTGGACAAGGAGGCAGGAGGCTCTGACATAACATTCGGCATCAGGCAAGTCACTTGACCTTCTGTTTCTCAGTTATCCACAGCGAGAAGAAAATAACACCTGCCGAAAACTAATAATAATGTCTAATTAATTATTCAGCTCTTTCTCTGTGCCAGACACCATTTAAGTGTTTTACTATTCAATTACTACTTGCAACAACCCGGTGAGAGAGGTATTATTATTATCCCCGTTTACCGATGAGGAAAGTGAGGAGGATAGAGGTTAACTTGTTCAAGGCCATGCAGCTGGTACGTGACAGAGCCAGGCTTAAACGCAGATCATCTGGCTTCAGACTTTCATCACTTTATTAAAATAGCTCATAAGAATACTATGAGGCTCAAATGAGGCTGGCGGAAACCACAACATATGATATTAGTTTCAAAAGAAGTCATAACAGAAATAACGAAAACCATGAGGATGAAAAGAAAAGCCTTGTTTCTTTCCACTGTTGAGTTTTTCAAAAGCATTTTCTAGAAATTCGACTTCTCAAGTCATGAATGTTGAAATGGAGGCCAGAAATTTGAAGAGTTGAAGGCTGGTGCAATCACTTTGGAAAATATGAAAGTATTATACACATTCTAATTATATTTTTTGTGCAGTCGTAAGATTAGACAACAATTTGAAGATGACACACCGCTCATATTAGATAGATGTCTGTAGGGGGAATACTCCTTCCCCTGACAAGACCACATCGCCAGTAACGTCACTCTACACACACAGTTGGCCTCTGTGTGTCTCCGTCTTAAGAGTAATTCAGGACTACTAGCCAAGTGGTTGGGATTTAGGAATAGAGTGGAATTCAGCTTAGCTTGTAAAAACTAGGACGAGATAAAGCCATTTCTAGCATATAGGCATTGCTGGCATAATCACAGCTCACTACAGCCTCAACCCCCCGGCTCAGGTGATCCTCCCACCTCAGCGTCCCAGGTAGCTGGGATTACAGGCACGCATTACCACACTTGGCTAATTTTTTTTTTTTTTTTTGTAGAGATGGGGTTTCACCATGTTGGCCAGGCTGGTCTTGAACTCTTAGACTCAAGAGATCCGCCTGCCTTGGCCTCCCTAAGTGCTGGGTTACAGGCATGAGCCACTGTGCCCAGAATCTACAAGAGTCTTTAAAACAACTTTAAAAAGAGACCTTCTCAGCAAAGAAATAGAAACTATTTTTTAAATGTAAATTTTAGAACTGAAAACTATAATATTTGAAATTAAAAAAAAAAAAAATCACTGGCAGAATGGAGATAGGAAAGTCAGTGAACTTGAAAACAGACCAACAGAAATTATCCAATCTGAAGGACTGAAAGAAAACAGATTTAAAAAAAAATGAATGGAGCTTGTGGGACAATATGAACTGTCATTGAAATACTGTATCACTAGTCACTAAAGTCCTGGAGGGAGAAGATTAATGCATTAAGAATATTTGAAGACAGAATGGCTGAAAACTTCCAGAATTTGGTGAAAGACATAAATTTACAGAATCAAGAGGCTCAGCAAACCCCAAATACGATCAACTCAAAGAAAACTAAGTCCATCCAAATCATAATCAAAATGCTAAAGACGAAAGAGAGTGGCCAGAGGAAAACAACACATTGCATACAGGAGGAGCCAATATTTAAAGGACTGTGCATTTCTCATTAGAAACCATGGAAGCAAGAGGAAAGTGAACATTTGTTAAGTACTGAAAGAAAAGAGTCAACTCAACCCAGAATCCCATATCCAGTGAAAATGCCCTTCAAGGGTGACAGTGGAATAAAGACATTCCTAGATGGAGAAAACTAAAAGAATGTGTTATCAGCAGACCTATTCTGAAATAAATACTGAAAGGAAGTAAGACCAGAGGGAGAGCTGGAACTTCAGGAATGAAGGAAGAGCAGCGGGAATGGGCAGCTGAGAACCAGTGATCTCCTGAGAAAAGCTGACTCAGAGGAACAATAGATTCCTTTTGCCTTTTGAAATATTCCTCTAAGTTTCTGAAGCCAAAGCCTGTTGGACTTCAGAATAGGGAATTATGTGATTGGTTTAAGTAGAATTTTGCTTAATAATAAGGCAGGCTTTAGCCAAAAAATTGACAGCTCTGATTATTTACACTGTCTTTAGTTTTACGTATATCAAAAGTTCAGACAATGGAAGTTTCATATTTTAACTGATACTTACATTTACTTGGAATATTATTCATCATCTAGGATATATAAATAGAAATATCAAAGTGAAACTAAAGTGTTATTTTTAATTTATAAAATAGTTATTAGTAAACCAAGACTCTAGTTCCTAGCCTAGATATATATCTTAGGTTATTAATAACTTTAAATATTAAATAACAAATTATTACTTTGCAAAAGTTGGTCAAAGGCTACATTCTACCTCAAAACAATATTGGAGAATGGATATTGACCAAGTATCATTTTTCTAAACCATCATTAGAAAAGCTTGTTGTATTTCAGGAAGAAAACTGCATTTTGCTGAATATATTAAAGATGTTTTCAACAACATCACTTATTTAAAACTTTGTGTTTCCAAATCAGATATGTAAATGTAAGTGATACCAATGAAAATTCAATTACACATTTATAAACTTGTAGTTCATTACAACAAACTAAAATCTCAAAGGGTTCTCCATTGTCATATGATAAAATCCGAACTTCAGCATTTCACACAAAGCCCTACATGACCTTATGACCTACTGGCTCTTGTGAACCCTTCCAGCCTCATCTCCCACTGTTTGTGGCCTTCCTTTGTTATTTTCTAAATTTGGTAATTTTTTTTTCTTTTTTGAGACAGGGTCTCACTCTGTCACTCAGGCTGGATTGGAGTGGCACGATCTTGGTTCACTGCAGCCTCTGCCTGTCGGGCTCAAGCGATCCTCCCACCTCAGCCTCCCAAGTAGCTCAGACCACAGGTGTGTGCCACCATGCTCAGCTAATTTTTTAGTTTTTTAATTTTTTTTTTTTTGAGATGGAGTCTCGCTCTGTCGCCCAGTCTGGAGTGCAGTGGCACGATCTCAGCTCACTGCAACCTCTGCCTCCTGGGTTCAAGCAATTTTCCTGCCTCAGCCTTCCGAGTAGCTGGGATTACAGTTGTGCGCCAACACACCTGGCTAATTTTTTATATTTTTGGTAGAGATAGGGTTTCACTATATTGCTCAGGCTGGTCTCGAACTCCTGGGCTCCAGCAATCCTCCTGCCTTGGCCTCCCAAAGTGCTGGGATTACAGGTGTGAGCCACTGTGCCTGGCTTAAGCTTGGTGATTTTTTATTTAATCATGAGCCTTTGTTACATTCCAAAATATCAAACTACTTGAAGCACCCTTCTTTATCATACACATTCCATGCTTTTTCTTATCTTTTGGTTTCTCCTTATGCTTTTCCTTTTGTCTCGAATGCTCCTGACTCCTACCGATACATTCTTCAATGCTGATCTCAGGTTTTATCTTCCTGGAGGAGGTAAAATCTGACTCTACTCTCTTGAGTCAGGAACTGCTCCTTTGGGCTCCCCCAGTAGAGTCCATGTGTCTATCAGAAGACCAATAATGTAGTGCTAAAATAATCCACCTCTCTTGCCAGTCTAAAGTTCCAGGAAAGCAGACACAGTGTCTTATTCATGTTTGTATGCCCAAGGCAGAGCACAGTGTCTGAAACAGAGAAGGTGTGTTCTCACTAAGCATTTATGAGCCTAACATTTTACACTCACAAAGTGATGCAAACCCTCAGGCCACTTACAGCCTTAGAAGAAAGGATTGAGGGAAGAAGGAACCGAAGGAAATTCTAACTGGATGTGGAGGCCTCATTAACTAAATGGCCTTTTCTCATCTTTCTTTATCCCTGAAGAGCCAGATAAGCCCACAGGGCAAGTGGGTATCATCCCCCTGGTGCTGTGGGCAACATTTTCCACAGTGAAGAGAGAAAACAAATGTGAGCTGTTTTTCCTCGTAAGAGTCTGATTTAGGAAAGTGCCTAGCCTTGTTGGCAATAAGGCACCTTCTCACTGAACATCTTAACATGAAAGATACCAGATGCCATCAACATTTGCATACTTACATGACATTGCCTTAAACACTTCTCTGTTAAGATATTATATGCTCTTACACCCTGCAGCTCAAAAAGCACATTCATATATGTCAGTTAATTTGACCCCACAACTATTATGTGAGAGATCATTACCACTTCCATTTTATTAAGAAAAAAGGGTCAAGAAAGGACAAACTAGTTGCTTAACTTCCAGATTTTTTTTTCTTCTGAATTCTAATACCATGATCTCCCATCCAAGTACTAACCAGGCCTGACCCTGGTCAGCTTCTGAGATCAAATGTGTTGAGGATAGCAAGGCCATAGACTCGAATCCTATAACCTTTCCACAGTGGGCTTCTGGATATTTTTCTTCAGTTAAACGGTAAACTCCAACTTGGGAGTTTTGCACTTTATAACTTCATGAAACAAATGTTTATTGAGCACGTGCTAGGTGCCAGGCCCTGGTTATGTGGCTGTGACATTTCCTCTCCCTAAGATCTCTTCCACCCTGAGTGGGGTTTTGTCTTCCTAAGCCCGTGACTCCCCCAAAAGGCACTCCAAATGACTCGAAACTCCTCAGTCCTCAAGTCACGGACACTGCTGTTCTCATATTTTTGGTTTAAAATGGGTTTTAACTGGTTTTAATCTCAAACTCTAGCTCTGGTTAGTTATACCCAGAGAACCTCCAGTTTAGCTCAGTTCCCAGGGCAGCAAGGTTTAAAGGCAGCTGACCTGGGAGCAATTTTTAGCAGGCTTTGGGGTCAGAAAGACATAAGGTTAAATCTGACTTTAGCATCTATTAACTGTGTGACCCCAGCCCTTAAATTCTCTAATTCTGATTAGCATAAAATGTGGTAGTACAAGTGTCAGAGGAGTTTTGTGCAAGTAAGATAGTACAGCATTGTGTTGAAAAGAAAATCAAATACATAGCCCACACTTGGAATGAAATACATACTACCTAATGTTGTTTCCCGTGAGGATGGATGAATTCTCTATTTCTTCATATTCTCAGTCTAAAAATACTTTTTGCCACATAATGCTTCGAGTGAGAGGGTGATAATTGAAAGTGATGGGAAAACAGTTAATTGGGTACACATGGACATAAATATGGGACCAGCAGACACTGGGGAATAAAAGAGGGTTGGAAGGAAAGGGGACAAAGGTTAAAAAACTACCTATTGGGTACTATGCTCGCTACCTGGTTGATGCATACAATCATACAGCAAGCCTCAGGATCATGCAATATACCTTTGTAACAAACCTGCCTATGCCCCGATTCTAAAATAAAACTTAGAAAAAAAAACACTTAAAAATTAAGATAGGGAGGAAAAGCAATGAGTATTTGCCACACTGCAACTGTAAAGCAGGTATGCCCAAAGGCAGAAAACAAAATAACAAAAAAATTGTGTAAAACGTTCAGTTAAAGATGCCATGGCAACGTGATACATGTAAGGGTGTATACATAGCTCTCTCTTTGGGATAAATATAGACAGACCAAAAGCCAAGTGGTCTTATTTGCAATCAGGGGACCCGTTAAATGAAGTGCTCAGCAGTGCTGGGGTAGGTATATATATCAGGGGTATACAATGACAAGTATGTAAATAGGAAAACTTTGGGCTAGCAGGGAGCTTGCTACTACAATGGTTGCATCAGCATGTTAGCCATGACCCAGAGGTGCTGCAAAGATCCCTCCTGTCCAGTTACCCTCTGCTCCTAGGGTCTATATCCTGTGGTTTCATTCCAACAGACAAGACAGCTTGGGACACATTGTAGATCAAATGAAATAAAATCACCCTAGAAAGTTTCTCCTGGAATCAGGATCACTGAAAACCACTTACCTTCCAGGCTCAGCAAGAAGCAAGCAAGCTTTCCTTTGCAGCACACATGCCTGAGCTGCATAGAGAGCTGCAAGCACAGCAGAAGGCAGCCCCTCTGGTGCTATAGAGAAAGTGGAAGGCGAGAACTTTCTCCCCTGCAGACACAGCCCAGTTTAGATCTCCATGGCATGTGGGAAGACAGCAGCAGCATCACGGTCATTTTTTAAGTGTCTTAACATTTGAAATCTCTGTAGGAGTATCAAATGCTAACAACTAGATTCCAGCACTGCACTTTCAAGCTATTCGCTGAAGTCCCTCAAAAAGGGCTGGGGAAGATATAAAGGTTAATATTACTTTTTCTCAGAAGTGTCATTTAACAATTGGCCTCC
The DNA here is from genome assembly GCF_000001405.40 of Homo sapiens. Taxonomy (NCBI): domain Eukaryota; kingdom Metazoa; phylum Chordata; class Mammalia; order Primates; family Hominidae; genus Homo; species Homo sapiens. Next base: position 76,760,126 of record NC_000004.12, on the reverse strand, counting down.
TTCCCTAAAAAAAGTTTCTAGATTTTAAAATTTTCCTTTTGACTATGAAACAAGAAAATTACACACACCGTTGGCACTGGCCAACCAGCAGCTGAGAACAGTGTCGGGGTCCTGGTGCTGGATTAGGAGGCTAGGGACTTGGGTTCAAGTCCTGGCTATGAGACTTCTAATAATCCCTCTAAGCTTCACTTCTGTTATTTGTAAAAACGAAAAGTACAGTAGCTTACCTGCCCTGCCTACTCACAGAAAAGCTAAGAGGAAATTAGTTAAAGTGCCATGTAAATCCAAAGTCTAATGATTTTGGTGCAATCTGGTGATGTGACAGGTCCTTTCCCCACCTGCCTCAAGAGGCCCAGTCACCACGCTGATTACATGGACCTTGTCAATTTTTCTGAGGAAAGCTGAACAAGGGCATCCCATTCTTTATTTACCTTCTTTTCATTGACATCTGCCTGTTCCTCTTCCTCATTCACTTCTGCTGGCATCTCTTTGATTTTGTTCAGTAGCTCAGCCTTGGGAGCAGACACACTGTAGTAGGCAGGGCAGTTAACCAACATGCTCACTGCTTCCTTGTCTTCATTCCTGGGCCAAAAAGAGCACAAAGTATAGCCACACAGATCACGCCAGAGGCTTTGTTTCACTGCAGATGTCAGTCCATTCAGAAGTGCGTAACAATTCTATTTAATTTCTTTCCCAGAAATTAGGATAAACTAGTAACTGTTAACTAATGAGTGATTACTATGTACAGGGCTGTTGAAGCCAGGCAAACTTGGGATGGAAAACCACCAAAAGCAGCATTAGGGATGACAGTGGGAGTCAAGGCTATGGCCTCGCCAGCTGACTCTGGAGAAGACATTTAACCTCTCTGCTTTTGTGATTCATATAAGAACGACACTGACTCCTTATTTCAGAGAAAGGCAGTGTGGAACCATGACTCAATCAATGTGAAAGTATTTTCAAGGTGCTGCACAAACCTCAGGTTTTAGGTCAATTATTTCCTATACTCCTTTGGTTACATGTAATCTTTCTAGTGCCTACTATGCACTGTTGCTTGAACACACAAAATTTTTCCTTCTCAAGTGTGCCTGCTATCCCATATAATCCTGGGAAATCTGCAGTTTGCTGGTCCGCAGTGAACTAATACAAGATATAAAATCTACTCATTGATAATATAATAGGGATGTTTTAAGGCTGAAGAAAAAACTCAGAATTGAGAAACCTGCTATCTAGTAGTTCTCTGTTTTACCACATTTGAGTTGCCTTTCAGCCTATAATTCATATCCTACCCACTGAATAAATGACTCTATGGAAGTACGATTCTCTTGGAGAGGAACTTTATTTAATCTTGTGATATTATTTAACATCTAGCCCATCATTTTACTATGAAATTAGGAACCACACACACAAAAAATCATCTTTACTAGTTTCCTGCTTGATAACTGTCCCAGTAAGCAACAATGACCACATTTAATCCAGTTAATTGAAAGACAGGGAAAAGATTTTCTGATACATTTTTGTTTGTTTTTGTTTTCAGATATGTCCACCGCATTACAAATGGGATTCTCTGGCATCTGACCAACCCTCACAATGGCTACTGGCCATCTCATGCCCAACAGGACAATGCTTATTTCCACCAGGAGATGGCGCATGCCTTTTTTTTTTTTTTTTTAAATCCCCAGGAAGGTCTCAGTGCTGCAAAAGCTCCATGACCATTCTGCTTCTAAACTGACGGAGCAAACATATATTTCCAGTGGTAATGCTAGGAAATACTTTGCTAAGGATGTTACTTTGGTCCTTCAGCCAGTGGTCAGAGAACAGAATGACCATACTGCAACCACCCATGGTGAACTGACTGGCACACCTACAAAAATCTTATCTTTGGGGTCCCCATAGTACCCAGTGGATTGCCTTGCACATTGTAGGTGCTCAGTATGTGTTTGCTAAAGACATGACCCTGGATAAATCACTTCACCTCAATTAGTCTGTTTCCCAAATCTGAAAATAAAAGCAGTGAAATGGACAAGGTGACAGTTAAGGCCTTGAATCAGAAGAGCCTCTGACAATGTGACAAATAGCTTGTAAGTATCACATAGCTCTTTCCTTTCTCTCTCCCCCATAAAATGAAACGTGGTGTTCCTGTTAGTAATTTAGTTAGGATCAGTTGGAAATTTTTAAAATGCAATCCCAAATTTGGATAAAATGTTCTGTTTTTATTTAGTCTGGAAGCCACTAACTGCTGAGTCCCAGACTGTCAATCCACAAAGATTTCACTGAAAATTTAAGAGAAAATGAAAGCTACTCAGTCTTTCTCATAGTAGTCTTTTAAGGAAATAAAACATGCAAGAAAATACTGCAGTAACCCAGGAGAAATGAAAAGCACAGACTGCACACTGGGACACGTGTTACATGGCTGGCTCAAGGAGCTTCAGAAGCAGAGGCTCACGGACTGGGCCAAACCAGACAGTGCGCTCCTACTCAGACCTTTCCTGATTTTCAGGATTTGCGCCAACACCCACCTTAATGCCTCAGAGGTAAGGGTCAGTGTAGTACACGAATCTATTTCTCTAGGCTCTCCTCCTTACAAAGCCCTTCCCCTCTCAGTCTTGGCAAGACGTTGGCCACGCTCACCACTTCCACTTGCTCCTTTCCCAGCACCGAGCTCTGAGGGCCTCTCTGCCAGAGCAGCTCTGATACAGAACCGGCAAGTACACCTTTGCTGAGCTGGGGGCACTGTGTAATTGCTGGAGACAGGCACAGTCATGGGGCTGTGATCAAATCCAGGTGCCATCACTCACATGTTCAATGACCTTGGTGAGCATGGTCTTAATTCCTCTGTACTTCAGTTTCCTCATTTGTAAATGGAGGTAAAATTGGTAGCCACCTCAGAAAGTTCTTGTGAAAATTAAATAATGTTGATATAAATAAATTAATACAATGTTTGACACACAACGTTAACAATGGGTACTAATGGCAATTATTATAATTATTACTATTACTTTCTTTGTTGTTGCATATCTGTCCCACATCCTCACTGCCAGAGCCATTCCTCCAAGACTGAGATAAAATGTCACTCTTGGTTCAGGAGCTGTGGCAGTAGGAGAACATCAGGCAACTAGTCCTAGACTTATCATCATCCCCATGGAAGGAGTGTGATTGTAAGTCTCTCTGAGGACATCACCAGGGACTTACCTCTTGCCTTCACATCCTGAAGAGCTGACAGTTCTCTGTATGGCCTTCCTCTTTACACTGTTTTCCTTCAGCAAGTTCACATCTCGGGGAAACAAACCTTCCATCAGGTCCATTGTTGTCTTCAGCCTGGAGTCTGGATCCAAAATGTCTGCTAGAGATTTGTCTTGGTGGACAATTTCCTTGGCCAAAGCCTCTGTTCTGATGTCTTCTGAACTCTTCTGAGGATCAGGACTGACTTTCTTTTCTAAACCCTGAGTTCCACTGACTGGATCATGGCTGAGGCTTTGAGTCTGGATGGGTGCTGGCTGCCCACCAAGAGACCCAGCAAGTTGGGCGTGAACGCTCATGAAGGAGGGTGGTGTGGACTCAGCCTCTGAACCCTTGATAGAAGTTTGGAGTCTGGAAGCCAGTGTCTGACTACCTACCACATGGGCTGCACCAGGCATGTGCCTTTCCCTTGCAATTGTCACTTTAGAAAGTTTGTTGAAGCTGCCAGGGATATTTAAAAAAAAAAAAAAAAGAGAGAGAGAGAAAGAGAGAGTGATAAGAGAAGGGTGATGATAAGAGGGTGGAGAAAGACTGAGGGAGAAGCTTTCCACATCAGGGCTGTAGCTTTCCACATCTTCCACATGTTACTGACAGAGCTAATGTTAAAGAATATGGCTTCTGATTATAAGTGGGTCTCCTGATACTGAACCCCGAAACTAAAAACATTTACCTACCTAGTCACAGGTCATGCTAGACACACAAACATACATAGATATATACATAGGAGTAGGGTGAGATAGTCACATTTGAGATCAACCCCTTCTTTAGAAAACAACAGCACTCTAAAGGGGCTCCTGAGCCCAGCAGCTGGTCAGGAGGTTGTCATCTCCTGAGGAAGATGGACTAGGAATTCAGTTCTGGTGAATGTTGCTGTTAGATTCCAGAGATTTCTGAAAGGTCTAGGTTAACAGGGGTAGTGGTAGTAAGTCACTCTTGTGGTGTTTAAAGAAAGCCACTCAAAAGGTGCTGTCAGGCAATGTGTTTTTTTGGTGTTTTGAGAGATTACTTGTTCTAGGGACTATGTGTTGGGGAATGCTTCTTTCTCATTCTCCTAGCTTCCAAGAGGTTTTCCCTAAACATTACTGACCTTGAGCCCTACTCTTTATTCCTCCCTATGGACATGGAGTGATTTTGGAAAGAGAAGCTGAGCATTCACATCCCAGTCTCTCTTCTCTTTTGAGACTGAGGCTGCCTCAAGGCTGTATATATTAATATCTATGTGTATTTGTGTGTCTAACATGACCTTTGATGAGGTAGGTAAAGCTGTTTAACTTGGGGGTTCAGTATCAAGAGACCCACTTACAATCTGAAGCCATATTCTTTAATGTTAGCTCTGTCAGTAATAAAAGTGATGTTTTTGTCTTCTATATGCCCTCCTCTTTTGTCTTATTTCCTAACTGATTCAGAACTCATCCAGGGAGGAGGGATTTACTTGGACCGCCTAAGCCTATCCTGTCCCCAGAAGTGAAATGTGCCCCTTGGGTCCCAGCTTTCATTTCTGCCACCCTGACTCCTCAGTACCCAATGACACTGGTCCAACTACCTCCTGAGGCAAACAGATCAACAGTGTCCTGAGCTGAGCTGTATAGAAACATCTCCATGCCAGGGTTCTTCTGTGGCCAGCAGAAGGACCTGGGCCACCTGGGGCATGACACTCTCCTGTTAGTGGGGGAAAGCTGCCCAGTCTGCTCACTCACCTGGGGCGTGGCCCCTCGGGATCCTCACTGTCCAGCTGCGCCTCACATACAGTGTGGGGAGGAGGTGGAGGGAAGTCATCCATGCTATACACCGGGGTTTCCTGACTCGGTGGAGGAGGTGGGGGTGGGGGAAGAGGTTCAAATGTGGGGCTGGACGTGGCCTTGGGGTGCGGATCCCTCACAAACACTTCGTCTTCATAATCCTCATGAGGTGGCGGGGAGTCCCGCAGGACAGACTCAGATATTCGGAGGGAGATCCTCCCTGGAGTGCTCGGGGCCCCAAGAGGTGTGTCTGGGTCAGAAGTGCTGCATAAACTTGGAAGACTCTGCTGTTTTTGATAGTGCTTCAGGTTTGCAAAATCAGGGGCTGAGGATTCCTCAGGAAGGCTGTCCTCTCTGGCTGCGTGGGCCCACTTTGCTCGAGAAGGAGGTGGCCACTGAGGCAGCGAGACCCTCTTCCTCGTTCCCTCTTCTACCCCATGCTCTGGGCCATCGCCCTCACAGCCTCTTGGACCGGGAGGCTGGGTCAGGGTGTGACCATTGCTTCTGTGCATCATGGCAGGGGTGTAGGGCGGGAGAGGCTGTCGCCCTGTCTGACCGTCCTGTGAGCAGTAGCCAGAGGGAATGGCTGAAGGCAGAGGGGTGCCAATTGGGGTCAGGGGTGCAGCCCTGGTGTCTGTGACCAGCCCTTGCGTTCCTGCCAGTGGTGGCCTGGGGCAGGGTGTCCTACTGGCTTGCCTCTGATGGTCCAGGGTTCCAGGACATTCACTAGGAACGGAGGAATCACCAATGGCTTTGCAGCCTGAACCACCCCAACGAGGGGTGAGATGGTGGAAGAGCGGCAGCATCTCTTCTTGGCCTCTTTCTGAACAACTGAGTGACCTGGAACGGCACACAGACAGGAGGGTTACAGCTCTGAAGAAAGGGGCAAACATGCAGCCCAATGCTCCTTACATAGATGAGAAAAGCATTTAAGAGGAAGGAGGACCTCTTTTCCTTCCCCCAGAAACTGCACACTGTCTTCCCTGGCTGCTCACAGGAAGACCCAAGTTAAACCAGTACTAGGCAGGCATAAATTCCTACAGGAAAATGTCACATGGAATGACTGGGTTCACAAGGCATTTTCTTTTATTAACCCTCTCACCGCCCCCACATCCTGTACACACCATGCAACATAAGGCAGCTTTTGAGGACAGGCTTCAGGCTATAAAAACAAACAGTACATTTCTTCAGCCCCTTTTAGGACTACTTCAGGAAATAGCTCCCAGCTCTGGGGAAAAATAATGCTGCCTTCTTCTCTCCCAGTGCGATCCCCACGGGGGAGGTCTGTTTTGAAAGCATTTGCATGGGCTGCTGAATTTGAAGGTTTTATTTACAACTTTTGCTTACTCTCCTAGTGTTTTCATTTCATCTGATGAAAAATAAAAAGGAGGGGGAGAGTCTCACCTAAGGAGCTAATAAGCAGTTACCTCTGGAGAAAGAGGCTGGCAATAATAAGCAAATATAGTACATGGTGATTTAAACAACTGTACGCTAGACTCCGAGGAAAAACCCAACAATTCGCAAAACTTTTGTTATTGTGTTCTAAAGGAGAAAAATCCACAAAACAAAACAGAAAAAAGAGTCTGTGGCACTACCTGCTATGCAAGAGTTAATGTGAGGATAAAAAGCTCTCCAGCAAACCCACCGTGATTTGTACATTCCCTGTCTGCAGTTCCCTGACTGGCTATGTGAGTGGATCTGGAGTGCAGATGGCACATTTCATCTCACAGATCTGACTCCTCTGAGGGAGTGGTGACTCAGTCCCACATCAGAGCAATAACACAGGGCTTGCCACAAGATCATCCAAGTGCCAGGCAAACAGAATGCAGCATGTGGTGGAAGAAGATGGCAAAGAACCAAATTAGCTCTTCTCATGCCTTTATTTTTCCTTTATTATACATAGATGCAGATGATGGAATAAAGGGCCCACCTCTCTCTCTGATGCAACCCCTCCCTTCCCATGACCAGTCCCTTTCATTCAGACATGGTTTCTTTACCAGGAACCTCTCCATAGAGAAGTGTAGCCACTCTGCACTTCCTGGTGGCTTCCCGCTGGGGATGCTCTTCACTTCTGTCTCATCCATCCTGGCATCCCCAGTACCTGCCACCAAGTACCCCCTCAGCAAATGTCTGTTGAACAGTGACGTCTCCTTTGCCCAGCTGCTCTCCAGACTGTAGCATACAAACTGTTTTTAAACCCAGCATCCTTTAACAGGATGTGGAGTCAGTTGAAATCTGATGTTTTAACGACTAATTCAGATGCCTTTATTTTATTTATTATATCTTGAGGCTTTTCTAAAGGGGAAGACATCACTAAAACATACAATAATATAGCACTTATCCTTTAAAGATCCAGCCCAATAGACTTTTATATGATGTTTTTAGTTTGTGTGACCTTAGTTTACACAAACTATACTAAAGTGGCATTTTCTTTTTGAAGATAATATCAGTGGTAAATGCTTAGCTTGGTTGAGAATGCTTCTCCGTGGTGATTATTTTGTGTTTTTAGGAATGAAGTTTGGGATAAAAAAAGACTTTGTTCAAGTCCCTTTTATAATAGAGTGTGAGAGGGTCACCCAGAGTCTGCTGATATGTATCCAGGAATCCTACTATTCAAGAATGGATTTTGAGAGCAATTAGTCTCACCTTTGTTTTGTTTTGCTTTAAAAAAAAAAAGAAAAAGCATTTTTAAAAAATTGTGGTTAGAAAAAACAACATAAAATTTCATCTTAACCATTTTTAAGTTCAGTAGTGTTAATATGTTCACACTGTTGTGAAACAGATCTCCAGAACTTTCACAACTTGCAAACCTAAAACTATGTACCCACTAAATAATAACTCCCCATTTCCCCCTCCTACTAACCCCTGGAAATCACTATTTTGTGTTTTGTGTGAATTTGACTACTTTAAGTACTTCATACAAGTGAAATTATACAGTATGTCTTTTTGTGACTGGCTTATATTTCACTTCACGTAATGTCATGTTGAAGCATGTGGCAGAATTTCCTTTTTAAGGCTGAGTAATATTCCATTGTATGGCTATACCACATTTTGTTTATCCAATCATCTGTCATGAGTAGACATTTGGGTTGTTTCCACCTCTTGGCTATTGTGAATAGTAAATACAGCTGCTATGAACATGGGTGTGAACATGGGTCTTGGAGACCCTGCTTTCAATTTTTTTGGACACATACTCTGAAGTGGCATTGCCAGATCATATGGTAGTTCTATTTTTAATGTTCTGAGATCTCCATGCTGTTTTTCATACGGCTGCACCATTTTACATTCCCACTAACAGTGTGCAAGGTTTCTAATTTCCCCATATCCTCACCAACACTGGTTGTTTTTCGTTTTTTTAATTGCAGCCATTCTAATGTGTGTGAGGTAAACATCTCATTGTGGTTTTGAGTTCTCTGATGATTAGTGGTGTTGAGCATCTTTTCAATGCTTGTTGGCCATGTGTCTGCCATCTTTGGATAAATGTCTAAGTCTTTTGCCCATTTTTATATAGACAAGTAAATTTTTATGTTTGAAATTAACAAGTGAATGTCTGAATTTAGTTGGATTGGTATCCTCTAGTGTTTTTCTTTAAAATGGAGATAAAAAGAGTGGAGAATGTTTGAAAACAGGAAAGAAGTATATAATAATGACAACTATTGTCTCTTTGTGACCCATGAAGGCATCAAACTCTCATAAAACTTGAACAGTGCAAAATCTCTACTTTTCTATAAATTAGAACATTTTATGTTTTTTAAAAAGCACTAATGTAAAGTCTGAATTTCATGTATTCAGGGAGAATTATGTCAGCATGGAGGAAAACTGACTGATCCTAATAGGCATTCATGGAGAACAGAGGGCACATTCCTCCAAATTCCACCTTCCAAATTATTTTGACATTTCAATATTGTCCAGTTGATGTGACTCTTGTCTTCGTACTATGATTAACAGAGTGACTATGATAAAAGACCATGCAAGCCTTTAGAAAAAAAAGAGTGTTATACTTTTTTGTGTCTTCTTGGTTGTGATGGTCAGAAAAATATACTGCAAGCAGAATTTTTAGTACTCAAAATTCATAGCACAGGATCTGTGATCAAGTCCCTCCCATGTTTTCCTGTCGGCTGCACTTTCCATGCCTATGCTTTTCCCCAGGACAGCTGAGAATTACATGTCCTGAAATTATCAATATCCTTTTCAGCAAGCACTAGGCATGCAGCTGCACCTATGCTAATGTCAATTGCTGAAGAACAGGACAAGCATTTCAGTTATTCAGTGGTATGCGATGCTTGTCATATTTATTCTTTTGGCATTTTTACAGCTCAGAAAGTTTTTTTTTTTTTTTAAACACAGAACTAATTTTGTTGAGGAAGATTTCCCCCTCCCCACAAAATTGCCACCTGTGTTTCTCAGATTGTCGATATTGCCACTGAGCCAACCAACAGCCCCCCTCACCTGTCACCTTCAATTATTTTTTTCCTTTCCAAGTTTTATTTTAGGTTCAAGGAGTACATGTACAGGTTTGTTACATGGGTAAATTGCATGACGCTGGGGTTTGATGTAAAGATAATTTTGTCACCCAGGTAAGCATAGTACCTGATAGGTAGTTTTTTCAATCCTCACCTTCCTCCCACCCTCCACCCTCAAATAGGCACCAGTGTCTATTGTTCCCTTCTTTGTGTCCATGTGTACTTAATGCTTAGCTTCCACTTGTAAGTGAGAACGTGCAGTATTTGTTTTTTTGTTTCTGTGTTCATTTGCTTAGGATAATGGCCTTCAGCTCCATCCATGTTGCTGCAAAGGACATGATCTTGTTCTTTTTTTTACCTTTGCCCATTTTTAAATAGGGTTATTTGATTGTTTGTTGTTTCGTCCCGTCTTTGATTTCAGACCAATTTTCTTTAGCAGTACTCTAGTTTATTGTTAGTTTTCCCTTGTCTCTAGCATTTAATTAATGCACCCAAACTCACCAAAGTCCTCAACCTCACCTTGAATACTTTCTTCCTTGTCAACACAGCTATAGGAGCAAGAGCATATAAATGTAGAAGGCTGATCTTGGCTAGAAAGCAGGTAATTAATACCTACTTCCTGACCATGTTGGCTGCTTCTACTTGACAGAATTAGGTTGTGTTATTAAGAAGGTGAATGTAGAAACAATGATTGAATGAAATGTAAGAAAAATTAAGGAAATGGCTTAAAAACGTAGAAAGGAGTAGGTAGGGTGTAGGTGTATTATCATTAGTAATAATAGATTATAGTAGATAACTCTGTAATGCTGCATTAAAACTACATACAGAGTACATGGTTCAGAGAATACCCTTTCTGAAAATTTCTACTTATTAAGTCCCATGTGAACAGTTCAAAATTTTAAATTCTAAAAAAGTGCTCATTTTACTTTTCTACCCAGGATATATGATTTTGATGGCATTTTAAAAAAACGACTTTCCTCTGTTTTCCATCCCCACATGTATAAAGTTATGATTTTGAGCTTTATTTTTCACCTCCGATGCTTACAGTTTGCCTTCCTCTGTGAAGCTGTTCATGAAATGCCCGTTCTTCCCTAGCACTGTGGTCACCAGATGTGATGCTCTGCACACAGAGCTGGATGAGATCAGCCACACAGGAGGCCCCATTTGTGAAAGCCATGGGGCACGCTCAAGAATAGCACCTCCATTAATTATTCTGTTGTCAAACTGGTTAGCCAAATCAACCTTGTCCTCAGTAGCACATGTTCAAAACCTATTTTGAACAAGTGTCATTCTTAAAGAAAATCATTTCTAAATGGAAAATAAAAAGTTCTCCATGCTAAATGACGAGTTAATGGGTGCAGCACACCAACATGGCACATGTATACATATGTAACAAACCTGCACGTTGTGCACATGTACCCTAAAACTTAAAGTATAATAATAAAACTAAAAAAAAAAGTTATCCATGGCCTAGACAAATCAAAAAAGCATGTGACACTATATGACATCACATTTCAATTTCTTGTAGAAAGGAACAAGAGTAGTTTAACACCAGCAGCATTCATATGCAGAGAGCATCATAAGTACATGTACATACCTAGATCCAGGACCAGCCAAATAACATGGATCCTTCACAAGACCAAAGCCACTGTCTTGCCCCAAAAGCACATCCTTGAAACACAAGAAAGGCACAGCATTACTGCCAATAAACGGGTGTTTAAATTTACCAAGAGGGTGGAGGTAAAAAGGAGAAGGAACACCTATTTACTGGCAACCTACTATTGTCAGGCCACGTGGTGGCACTCTTACATAATCCCATGGCATCGATGCAGGAGATAAGCCGAAGATTTAAAAAAAAAAAAAAAAAAAAAAAGCAGAGTCAGAATTTGAACTTCAGTCTGTCTCACCAGGTGCCTCCTCTAACAAGGATGTTTCCTAACTAAGAGAAGTCTCCTAACGATTATCTCTGGAGTTCAAAACAACTGCTAAACTTGAAATAGGATAACGAAGACAATGAATTCAATGGGCCAAACTTTTCAAATGGCAATAGGGAAATATGAGAGATGACGGGAAAGGACAGTCTATTACATTTTGCAAAAATCTCAAATGTTCCTAGTTACAATTAGTGAAGATATGAATTTGGATTGTAATCGGGTGCAATAAATTCTAGGAAAAAGTTCACTCACATGTGAGATCAATAACTCTGGGGCCTTTTCAGGGGTAGTTGTTTTTGTTTTAATGAGGGTATATACTGGAGTCCTGAAAGGGTTGTCAGTTTTTGATAGTATACAGTTTGGTCCCTGTGATCAGGTCCATGATGAAGATGATGATGTTGCCATTGATGATAATATATTAAACTCCCAATTATTTATGACAGGAGACAGGCAAAAACCAGAAAAATTAAATCCATATATAATCTCTAACTTAATTTCAGTAATTTATTTTGCCATTTAACCCTGCCCAATGGGTTAACTGCTCTTCACCCCGTTCCTCATTGTTTTTGTTTAGTGGTTGAGAAACTAATAAGCAATAGAAAGGGTCAAAGGTGGGAGCAGGCAGAAGAAACAAACCCCTGAACATTATTAATAATTGCAGCTACCGGTACTGGGTATTTACTGTGTGCCAGACACTCTGCTAAGTACCTTGCACCAACAAATTATATGCCTGGAATATTAGGCACTTGACTTTTTTTTTGTAACTTAATCTTTATAACAATTGGAAGCAGGGTATGTAATTGCAGCTCAGCAAGGTGACATATCTTGCCCACAGTTAAGTAAGTGGAGAAACTATGATTCAAGCCATGATCTCTTCAAAGCCCAAGGTCTTGCCATGGAATCTTTATAGGTTGAATGGCAGCTGGGCTGGATGTAATCAGACTTGAATGGCTTGAGAAAAATGAATTCCATGTGTTCTGATTCACTCAAATATCACTGTAGGGAATGAGAATTCCTGCTCTCCATGAAATTTATGGTCCTTTAAAAGTCTTTTCCCACCATTTTTCCCTATGTTGACAAGAATGTGCTACTTTGCCAATAATTAATTGGAAAAGCCTAGGTCCCATGTGAGCGCCTAACCCAGTAAAGTATAAATATGTATTCATATCCTATTACATCCTTTGCATTTCGTTTTGACAATGAATATAACTTCTGTATTCACATGATTTGGCCCCTAGAATATCGAGCTTAAACTATTTATGTGGATGTGGATAAAATAAAGGAATTAGACCCAGTAATAAACTATTGAGAGAATTCTCTGAATCTTCTATCAATCAAAATACCACTTGACAAAGGAAAATATCTTCCCAATCTGATACAAGCCCAAGGAAGATAAATTCCTATTGCATTTCTTGCTTTGAGCATATATTCACTGTCAAGACTTAATTTTCTATAAATTGGTAAGAAGTACAAAGTGCTTATTATGGCAATTACAGGGAAAAAAAAACAGTGGCTATGGGAAAAATACTAGGCATAGAATTATACCAACTTGTTAAGTGTCTGATTTATTTTTGTTAATTATCTCAAAATTGACTTAAAAATACACCAGTTCTTAGCATACTTAATAATGTAAATTGGTCGGGCGCGGTGGCTCACGCCTGTGATCCCAGCACTTTGGGAGGCAGAGACAGGCAGATCATGAGGTCAGGAGATCGAGATCATCCTGGCTAACGTGGTGAAACCCCGTCTCTACCAAAAGTACAAAAAAAATTACCGGGGCCTGGTGGCGGGCGCCTGTAGTCCGAGCTACTCAGGAGGCTGAGGCAGGAGAATGGCGTGAACCCGGGAGGCAAAGCTTGCAGTGAGCCGACATTGCGCCAGTGCACTCCAGCCTGGGTGACTGAGCGAGACTCCGTCTCAAAATAATAATAATAATAATAATAATAATAATAATAATAATAATAATAATAATGTAAATCTAAAGTCTACTGAATCTCAGTCCTCCTGTTTTGGGTTCCAAGTTAGTTATCTCAATATCTCTGTCACTGATGAAATGTGAAGACAATATTCACCTACTTTAGAATATTTCAAGTAACTACTAAAAATAACTAGAAATCCTTATGAAAAATCTGATGTGAAAAATACAGTCATGTGTCACTTAACAACAGGGATATGTTCTGAGAAATGCATCATTAGGCAATTTTGTCCTTGTGCAAACATTATAGAGTGTGCTTACAGAAACTAGATGACATAGACTACTACATCCCTAGGCTATATGGTATAGGCCTATTGCTCCTAGGCTACAAACCTGTTACAGCATATTACTGTGCTGAATACTGTAGGCAGTTGCAATACAATGGTATGTATTTTTGTATCTAAACATGGAGAAGATACAGTAAAAGTATGGTATTATAATCTTATGGGACCACTGTCACATATGTGGTCCATCCTTGACCATTATATGATGCATGACTGAAATAGTAATAAATGTTAAAATGAAATAAATTCATTGGATGATATTTTCAGATATAGAACATTTAACTCTTGCCTCTGTTTCCCCATTCCCAGCCTCTTTTTATTCAGGAGATGGCATGGTATAGTGACTTAAAGACTCTGCAGTCAGACAGTATGGGGTGAAAACCTCACTCTACTACCTTGGGCAAATTTTGTACCCTCTTGGTGACTTGGTTCCTTCTTCTGTAACTTAGAGATAATAATAGTATTTACCTCATTGCACAGATGTGAGGAATAATTTTATTTTATTTTATTTTTTGAGACAGAGTCTTGCTCTGTTGCCCAGGCTGGAGGGAAGTGGCGCTATCTCAGCTCACTGCAACCTCTGCCTCGTGAGTTCAAGCGATTCTCGTGCCTCAGTCTCCCAAGTAGCTGGGACTACAGATGCACACCACCATGCCTAGCTAATTTTTGTATTTTTAGTAGAGATGGGTTTTTGCCATGTTGGCCAGGCTGATCTCGAACTCCTGGCCTCAAGCAATCTAGCCACCTCGGCCTCCCAAGGTGCTGGGATTACAGGTGTGCACCACTGCACCCAGCCAAGACTAATTTTATACTTATAAAACACAGTACAATGACTGGCACACAGCAAAAATTTGATTATTGTTAGCTATTTGTATCTTCACATTTTGTGGAAAGTCAATTCTATTTTGTATAAGCTTAAATGTGTGCTTGTAGAAAGGTGCTAAAAAAGACTTATGAGTTGCATTCCACAGAATCAAGCCTATATCCAATACTGTGGTTCCATGCATTGAGCAATTTCCTCAGCAATTCAGTAATGTTTGTCACACCATCTCATAGTGATTATGTTACACATCAGACATGAAGTTCCCTGAAAATACTGTGAGAACCAGAGAAGTCTCTAACTCAGCATCCGGGGGAAATATCCCCACCAGTAATCTTATTTCTCCAAGGGTTTCTCTTTATAGTCTCTACTATATTTTAAATCTATGCAATGAACAGATATACATTTCTGTCTCTAAGGCAGAAATGTTGGCTATCTTTCTATAGCTTTGCAGGTCCTACCCACTTTTAACAGGTTAACTTTTCCAAGGTCTCACAGAAAGAAAGTGGAAACAGGCAAGAGTCTGATGTGCACTTAAGCTCCATCACTAATATCTATTTGTTCTGCAATGAAGAGGAATTAAAGGAGAGGAAAATAGAAGGTTGCATGTTTCAGAGAGGATTTCAAGCTGGCTGAGGAGAGGCCAGACCTGCCAAATACATGAGAAGGTCTCAGGCTACAAGTAGTTCAAAATGGTAGCCTCCTGCAGTCATTATTTCAGGCCAGAGATGGATCGATTGTCACATACAGAGGAACTGATTTCCATGATGACTTTGTTTTTGGAGGCAGAAAGGCCTCACTAATGAGAATTTTGAAAAAGAGCTAAATCCTTGTCAAAAACTTGTAAAATCCTGCCCTGTCAGCATCTGACTGGTAAGAGCAAGCAACATTTGTTGGAGATAGCATCAACTAAGCCAGCAGCAGAAACACACTCCACATTGTGGTTTTAACTCAGGCAGACAGTCTCTACAAGTTCACTTAACTTGTCAGAATTCTCTAAAGCAAGGATGAGAAAAATGATTGATTAACAAACCTTCCCAAAAGCTTACTGATAATGTTCTTGAAATTTATTCAATAGGAAAAATATGTATATAATAACCACAATAGTTATGTGGTGAGAGTAACTTTGTTTTATTTTTTACTCATCATAACTACAAATAAGGCAGATGATGAAGAGGATGCAAGGAGCAGACCGCCTTGCCATGAGATGCTTCTCCAGTCAGCTAAGGTCTGGCTGCTGTGCAGGAGACCAGGAGAGGGAGGAAGCTCAAGAATGCAGTCCTGGCACAGTGACAATATAAGAGACTATGCATTGTTCAGAAATTTCAGTATTTGTTGGAGCAAAGCAGTACAAAAGAAGTATTTCATTTGGAAATATTTCCCTCTCTGCCTGCATATTCCCCAAATTAAATAACATCTAAATATGGCATTCCCTTTATGAAAAGGGTGCCCAAGTACTGTTTTGTATTCACTTGTCTTTCTAAAAAGTTTTCCAAATAATACAAAGTATTTAATTGGGATTTGGAGGAATCTCTTCACTTCTCCCAACGCCTATGTTTTAGCTTTATTTCTTAATCAACCAGGCTTAAGAAATATTTGGGGGGAAAGATAAAATAACATTCATAGCCATCCAACCAACCTCTAAGACAAAATAACAATATCTAATGGGGAATAAACAATAATGATTTGGTTTTCACCTAAGCATTTTTATTTTCTTTGAAACACGGGGAGAGAAAGGAAGGTGTCTAGACTGCTATGCAGTTAAGTTGCTAAAATCCATCAAGCTAAATGAAATTGTGTGTTACATATATGGATTTTAAATGTGTGTTAGTGGTAGGATAGGGAGTGGGAATTAGCTCTGTTCATTCTGAAGGAAGGAAAAGGCTACTGAAGGCTTATGGGAAGTTGCCTCTATATTTGTCGGGGATTTATACTGGGAGAAAATATTTCTGTACAATTCTAAACAGAAAACATCTGGGAGGGGACGGTATTTTCTCTCAGAAGGAAACAGGCAAGAGTCTGATGTGCACTTAAGCTCCATCACTAGTATCTATTGTTCTGCAATGAAGAGGAATTAAAGGAGAAGAAAATAGAAGGTTGCATGTTTCAGAGAGGATTTCAAGCTGGCTGAGGAAGAGGCCAGACCTGCCAAATATATGAGAAGGTCTCAGGCTACAAGTAGTTCAAAATGGTAGCCTCCTGCAGTCATTATTTCAGGCCAGAGATGGATCAATCGTCACATACAGAGGAACTGATTTCCATGATGACTTTGTTTTTGGAGGCAGAAAGGCCTCCCTAATGAGAATTTTGAAAAAGAGCTAAATCCTTGTCAAAAACTTGTAAAATCCTGCCCTATAAGCATCTGACTGGTAAGAGCAAGTAGCATTTGTTGCTGTATGCGTGTGATAGAGTGCAGCAAACTTCTCAGCCAGAACTGCTGAATCTTTCTTTGTCTGAACTGGTTTCTTCCCATCAATGCATCCCCTCTCCCCTAATCTCTTGTCATCATGCCCATCTTTTACATCCTGGCCCAAAATCCCATTTCCCTTCAGGAGAAGCACTTTCAGATCACCTCAGAATTAATCACTTTCCTTTCCATAGCATATTATTGATCACTATTCCCAAAGCATTCACTAGTCATATTAGATTTATACATATAAGGTCGTATTCCTTGCTTAACTGTGAACTCCAGAAAGGCATGAGCCTTATTTTTTCCTTTTGTGTATCCTTTGATGCTGTAACACAGCATTTTTCATACAACACATGCTCTACAGATGCTTGCTGAATGGCTGACTTCTCTGAAAGGGAAAACAGCAGAATCTGAGAGGGGAGAGTGGAGCGGAGTTCTTCCTCCCCTGTGCTAACAGGTATGTGATTCCTATTATTGTCTTTGGTGGGAAGGGAAGCATGAGGCAGGCCCCTGGTCTACAGTGGAAGTGAAGCCTGAGGATAGGCTAAGAATTAGGGAAATTAACAGGCTCCTAGGAGTCAGAATGCTCAGCTTCTATTCCCAGCACTGCTTAAAATTTTCAGGGGAAAGTACTTTATAATCCTTGCAGCATTTGGTGCCTTTATTAGAAAATCCTTTTATGTGAGATTTTGAGTTTCTTATTTTCTCTCCTCACCAGGATAATGCACAGAAAGAGCTGAGGTGGGAGTCCGAGAGACAGGGGTCTGACATGTATAATATACTCTGCTGCACAGGATTATCATGAGGGTTAAATGAAATAATAAATGTAGATTACACTTAGCTCAGGACCTGCCACACACTTAGCTGAGGGCCAGGAATTCAATAACCAATGACTATCAATGTCAATCATTCTAGCTATTTTGTAGATGCAAAGTCCAATAGAAACAGAAAGGGTGCAAAGCTAAAACTTTTAAAATACTCAGACCCAGACTCTAATCCATTAAAAAAAAAAAAGCAAAAAACAAAAAAGATAATCCCTAATTTTTCTTAACCTTGCATTTTTCCATTGAGAGGTGGTGACTTCCTAAAATGGAGGTAGACAGATAGATAGAGAATCTGTATAACAACATACGTAATCTAGATACCTATATCTTTATAAGGAAACCAGGTAAGGGACACTTGAGAAACTCAACTCATGAAAACAAATGCTACTTTTCTGTAATCACAAGGAAAACTGAACTGGGAGAGCGGGTGAGAGTGTGGGGGGTTGGGGAGCCCCACTAAAGCTTCTAGGGAGGAAGGGACAGTTCGAGGCCAGGACTTGCTGGTTGCACGTACCTGGCGCTTGTCTGCGGTGGCGGGAGATGACCTGGACCTCACATGGACAGGGCCCGCAAGGACGTCCGAGCGTTCCAGCAGGTCCTCGGCCGACATGGACTTCCCGGCCCTGGCCCCCCAGGAGGATGGCTCCCTGGGGGTCTCATCCCCTCTCTGGGTGCCCCTTGTTCCACCGTTTGCTCCGCTAAGCAGGTCCCCGCGTCGCCGTTCCCCGAGGCGGCGGCCACCGGCGAAGGAGCTGCTGCGATCTCGGGGAGCCTGCTGGGTTTCTGCAACTGTGGCCGGCAGGAGCGTGGCCTCCCTGCGGGGCTGCAGGCTGGGCTCCCGCAGTGAGCTCAAGCTGGAGGCCGAGGCGAGGCCGGAGCCTTCGAGCGCCGCGGGGCCGGGCTGGAGGTAGGCACTCTGGGCGCGCTCACGCAGTGGCCCGGGCTCCTGGAGGCTGCAGCCGGCGGCGGAGGTAGGCCGCTTGCCGGTCTTGCGCTGGATGTAGTCCGCCAGGGCGCTCTGCTGGAACTGCTTCAGCTCGGGCCCCGACAGGCTGAGCGTGGAGCAGGCCTTGCCATCGCGCTCGAAGAGACGGCGCCGGTCGGCCACGCTGCTCTCCGGGAAACGCATCCCATTTCTCTGCGGGCCCAGGGGTGCCGGTTCGGCCTCCTCCACGATCCCCACCTCGTTCATCTTCTCGGGCTCCGAGTAGGAGCGCTTCTTCTGCTCGGGAGTCAGGCGCCGGCGAGCACCTCTCCGGGCGGCAGGGGGCACGGGCCTGGCCAGGTCGCCCTCAGCAGGGGTCACGCTGTGCCGCTCCCGGGGCGTGTGCGGGGAGGCGGAGGCCGACGCCTCGGGGCTCCGCAGCCCCACGTGGGCCGAGGAAGGCCGTGGCCGCCAGGACCTCGACGCCACGGGCGCCCCCAGCTCCAGGTCTCGACGTCGAAAGGAGGTGGCCCCCAAGACACGGGACTGTGCGTCCTTGATGCTGTTCCGGTAGGCGCGGCTGAAGGGGGCATCCAGCAGGGGCGATTCGGGCGAGCCGGGCCTGTCCCGCCACTCGGGCTCCCTCTCTGGCTCGCTGGAGAGCTGGAAGGTGCTCTGGCTACGGAGGAGCCGAGCGTCCGGCCTCTGGGGGCCACGGCCGCTGTCCGACGCTCCTCCGCTCAGCTGCTGACCGCAGGGCTGCCGGGAAGCCTCTTCCAACTTCAGCTCCCCGTTTTTGAAGTGCTGCTCCCCGTTGCCTAGGGGTTCAGCTGACTCAGAGAAACGAATGTGTGCTTTTGTCTCCTCGAAGTCATTCCCAGAAGTACTGGAAGTTGAGACGGTCCTGTGGGGCCTATAGTTATGGCCAAAACCAGAGCCGCCCACACTCGGTCTCTGGCTCCCTTGCTCTCGCTGCTCGAATTTGGAGACCTTCTCCAGCACCGAGCAGTGGGGCTTCCCGTACTGAAAGCCCTGAAGAGCCGAGGCGCTGCCTGGGCCGGGCCCCCTCCGGCCCAGACTGGATGTGTGCGGGTGCGAGGGGGCAGGCGGCTCTTCGGGACTTGGGTCTGTGCTGTTGAAAGAAGCCGAGGCACCGGTCCTCCCCTCGGGCCGCGGGTAGGAAACCTGCCGGTCCAGATGGCTCCCGAGGTCAGGAGCGGCTTTCCTCCCAGGGTCTTCTGCCTTGGTGTTGACTGCACAGGTGGGCCTGCCCCCGGGGTAACCCTCCTGGGTTCCCCGGCCTAGCTCCAGGCTGCTGTGTCTTCTCAGACTCTCAGGAATGTTCTGGAGAGATGAGAAGGCTGACTTGGTCTTGCCAAAGTTGCCTGACAGGCTCTGGCCTAGGCCTTCTCTCTCCAGCCTCCTCCAGAGGTTGGCATTGTGGTCTTCCTGGAAATCGCCCTCCCAGGGCTCTGAGAGCCTGGAAGATCTCTTGTCTTCACCCGCTTGCCAGGCCTGAGCCTGAGGGCATTTGAGGCTGTGGGGATGAGAAGATGGTTTGTTACTGTGGGTGCTCTTTCTCTCATTGGAATGTGGGCTGTTGCCTTGGGGAGGTGTGAGATGTCTCTTCAGGGAGGCATCCTCCTCATTTTCAGGCACTGAACAGAAATGGACTTTGGAGGGGACATACTTGGCTGTAGCTTCTGGTTTCTTCTCCACTGGGGACAGCAAGTCATGTTCTAAGGGCTGGCAGAAGGCAAACCCAGGCCTGCCAGATCCATTCTGGTTCCCATTCTCATCAATGGTAGCCATCTTGTTGCATGCTCCCTGAGGGGCTATGTATCCACTCTCCTTGGCCAGTGCAGGGTAGAGCATACCGTTGCTACTCACAGAAGGCTGAGGCACCTGGGCAAAGTGTGGCTCCAGGGAAGGTACCGGGTAGATGCTGGTCGGCAGCAGAGGTTGGCCAGGTTGGGCCTTCTGGGTATAGTTATGCTTGGGCTTCACTGGGGGGCTGTTCTCTGGACTCTTCTCCAGCACAGTATGCAGCTGCTCCTCTATGAATGGAGACTTCAGGGAGCCTAAAGAGTTTGCCTGAGGCCGGCAGAGCCGTTTCTGATCAAGGCTAGACCAGGAGCTGGGCCGCTCACGGTGCCGAAATGCTGCGTAACTGTCACTCCGAGCTGGAGGCAGGGGTGCACCCACCTTAGGAGGAAGGTTGTCCGTGGCAGTCTCCAAGGAACTGGGGCACTGCTGGCTCCAGGATGGGGGTGGCACTCCCTTGCCCCGAGGAATATTAGACCATTTATCATAGCCCTGACCATTTGCTGAGGCTCGGGCCTCCCTACCTTGAAGCAGCAGGGCTGAAGAGTTCACCTCATACTCTGCTGAGACTCCCCTCCGGGTGTCATAGACTGTCTTGACATAGCGAATATCTGCCTGCCTCATCCCTTCGAGGAGGCCACCTCGAGCAGAAGTATTGTCCATGGAGCCTGAACGCTCCCGGCCAGAGATGCCAGGGTGTGGATACTCTAGGATGCTAGAACTGGTGGAGAAAGAGCTGTAAGCCGAGTCTCTCTTGTTATGGAAGTGGCTGAGCTGGTCAATGCTGCCGGTGGACTTGGCAGGGGAAAGATGACAGGGTGGGTATGCCCCACTGGGCTCCAGGCTCTCCATGCTCCCCTGGGAGCTGCACTGGTCAGGGCTCCGCCTTAGATAAGCATGGTCATAGTTGGAGAGGTCACTAGTAGAGGAGCTGGAAGAAAGACAAAGCAGTCAGTACCACTGAGCTGTTATCATTTAGTAGGCTTACAGGCAGAGGACCCAGCTTATAAATGTTCTCTTGTGCAAGAGGTTTGGTGTTTGGAAGGGTGGGTAAAAAGGGCCATATTTGGGCCTTGCTCAGCCTCCTTCTGTGTCATCGCTAGGAGTAACTGCCCAACACTCTAACCTATCTGCCTCTAATTAATCACCCAGGCTAGCAAGGAGAGGAATGAGGAGCTCAGAGGAAGCCACGTGGCCTTTGGGCACAGGCAGCACTTTGATGTGATTTGCTGCATGCTGGAAATGACATTTTGCATGTGCCAAGAAATGAGAGAGGTAGAAGAGTGATTGAGACTGAAACTGTGTGTCTACTGGGGCTGTTTGTGGGAAGAGGGGAAAAAGTTAATAAGAGAATAGGCACGGGTGAAGGAGACTTTGTGTGCACATGTATATGTTTTTAGTTAATATCTTTCCTTTTTATGGAATTGAAGGATACACCCTGGCAATCTTCCTGGAATCTTAACTGCACTAGAAACAATTTGTTTGTGGTGGGAAAGCTAAACACAAAGCTGAATGAGAGAAATTAGAGTCAGAAAAAGCTCATGAGAGGCAGAACTAAGGGGAAAGAGGGAAGGAGAGGGAAGCTTTATGAGAAGGCTTAATCACAGGGGCTCTTCGGTGCTGGGATTCCAACACCTGTGGATGACTTCCAAAAGCCAAAGCAAAGCCTCCTCATACATTTAGGAGGGCAAGATTTTCTCATTTACAAGCTCCTCCAGATGGTTTTCAGAGCCCGTCTGGAGAAGAGGAAAAAGACTATCAATCACTGTAAACTCCAGAAAGCTGTCTCAAAATAAAATTACTTAGAAACTCAAAATATATGTGTTTTTAAAAAATCACTTAAAACTCAACAATAAGAAAACAACCTGATTTAAAAACTGGCCAATCCTAAGAAGATATACAGATGGTGAAAAAGCAAATGAAAAGGCTGTCATCATAAGTCACTAGGAAATTACAAATTAAAACAACAAGATACTAGGGAACATGTTCTCAGGACGTCCTGAGGGCTCTGTCATAGGCAAAAACAAAAAACAACCAAACAAAACCAAGATACCACTACACACCTATTAGAACGGCCAAAATCCAGAACATTGACAATACCAAATGCTGGTGAGGATGGGGAGCAAGAGAAACTCTCATTCATTGCAGGTGGTAATGCAAAATGGCACAGCCACTTTTAAAAGAAGTTTGGCAGTTTCTTACAAAATTAAACATACTCTTACCATAAGATCCAGTGATCACATTCCCTGGCATTTATCCACTGGAACTGAAAACTCACGTCCACACAAAAACCCACACACGGATGTTTACAGCAGTTTTATTCATAATTGCCAAAACATGGAAGCAACAAGGCTGTTCTGCAGTAGGTGAATAAACTGTGGTATATCTACACAATGGAATGTTATTCATTACTTAAAAAAAAAAAAAAGAGCTGTCAAGCCATGAAAAAAATATGAAAGAAACTAAAATGCATTTCACTAGATGAAAAAAGCCAGTCTGAAAAGGCTACAAACCATATGATTCCAACTACATGACTGACATTCTGGAAAAGGCAGAACAATGGACACAATAAAAAGATCAGTGGTTGCCAGGTCTTAGGGGCGATGCAAGGAGGAATGGGCGAGCACAGAGGATTTTTAGGACAGTGAAAGTATTCTGTACGATACTATAATGATGGATACATGTCATTATACATTTGTCCAAACCTACAAAATGCACAACAGCAACAGTGAACCCTAATATAAACTATGGACTTTGGGTGATTATGATGTGTCAATGTAGGTTTATCAGTTGTAACAAATGTACTACTCTGGTGGGGGTTGCTGAAAATGGAGGAGGCTGTGCATGTATGGGGACAGGGACTATATGGGAAATCTCTGGACTTTGTTCAATTTCACTATGAAACTAAAACTGCTCTAAAAAATGTCTGTCTCTGTCTCTATATATATACACACACGGGGAGGGCATATATGAAGGAATAAGTGGTTTAAATGTTTGTGACTCACTGTTCTCTAAAGAAGGGTAAATCACTAGAAGTTCTTGCCCAAGATTTTCTATTTTTAAATGGATAGGCGTTTCAACACTATTAAAATTCATGATGTATTCTTCTATTTCTAGATTACATGTAAATAAATGTAGTGTCTTATTGGTCAAGTATGTGATAATGCTTTATGGCTGGAATATCTCCAGATAATATGTTGAGACTAGAAAAACCATATTCGGAGTCAAAACTTGTGCTGGAATTTAAGGAAAAGGAGACTACACTTTCAGCAGCTCTCCTCAAGAATGTAATTTTTCTCTATCAGAGAAAGTCAGTTGACTGAATGGCGCATCCTACTTCGGGACAGATAGGTATAAATTCAAGGGAGAAAGGAAGGAAATAGCTCCCAAGCCAGCCAGATCAGGGAAATCAGACCCGGCACTCAATGGCATAGCATATGTCAAAGATTTTACCCCCTACCCTGAATTTCTTCATTCCCCTCTAAATAAAGAGGTCCTACTAAAGAAGCGCTAGACAGCCTTGTGGATAATCCTGTATGACCCAGTCTGCTTCCTTTTTAGAGCTAATACTTCCAGGGGAAATGGAACCCCATAAGGGCCGTTTCATTCACCATTTCTATGAAGGTAGGAGACATTAGGTAATCCTCCTCCCAACTGCTGAGAATTTTAGCAGTCTTTCATTGAAAGGATAATTCAAATCTAACATAGGAACACACACAACAAATCAAAGTAAATAAACTGATGGTTAACTGAAACACTATCGAGTGGGGAAGATACCATCACTAAAATATATATATATATATATATATATATATATATATATTTTTTTTTTTTTTTTTTTTTTTTTTTTTTAAGATAGAGTCTCGGTCTGTCGCCCAGGACGGAGTGCAGTGGCGCAATCTCGGCTCACTGCAACCACCGCCTCCCGGGTTCAAGCAATTCTCCTGCCTCAGCCTCCCGAGTAGCTGGGATTACAGGCAGGTACCACCATGCCCAGCTAATTTTTGTATTTTTAGTAGAGACGGGGTTTCACCATGTTGGCCAGGCACGTCTCAAACTCCTGACCTCAAATGATCCACCCTCCTTGGCCTCCCAAAGTGCTGGGATTACAGGCGTGAGCCACCGTGCCCAGCCTAACATATCTTAAAATATAGATGGTATCTATAAATATGAAATCCCTGTTACACATATCTCTAATCAGACCAGTGCAAGGGTATAGTGGGTTCCTTCCTGTAGCAAACCTAAGGTAGAAAGGTCATGGAAGGCCTCTGTTAGGTATTTTCCCTCCTGCCCGGAGAGGGTTCTGTCCCTTCAGAATTACCATTCCCAAGCTGCCTGGGGAATACAGGCACTGATATCACTCACTAGGACAAGTTCTTCCACTGCTGTCTGGAAATACTCATTTTTATTACCTTTGCCATTGATGCCACCAAAATGGCACTTTTAATGATGGGTAAGAAAACTTGGAATGAAGGTTTTCAATCCTGCAACAATTCCAACTCACATAAAGCCAGCCTTACTCTCAAGAGGGGTGCATCTTGAGTGGATCAAAGTTCTTACCATGGTCTGGCTACTTCTCCAGCCTCATTTTCTATTGCTCTTCTTCTTGCTCCCTGCACTCCAGCATAATAGTTTCCCTGTTGAAACTCAAACCCAGGAAATTTATTCCCATCTCAGGGTCTCAGAGTCTTTGTACTCACTGCTCCCACCACCCGGAGTGCTCTTCACCTGGCTTACTCCCTCTTACTTCATTCAGAGAGGACCTCCTGGAACTAACTAAAGAGCATCTCTTCTCTCCTTTATGCCTGTTACCCTGCTTTATTTTCTTCACAGCACTTACCACTACTTGACATTATATCATATCCCTTTGGTTATGTGAAAGAGACTTTGACTGTATCTATAATATTTAAAGAACTGAAGTGAACATAAAATGCTTTTTAATTCTGTGGTAGATGTATGTATTTTTATAATATCATTCTATTTTGTGTGTTTAAAATACTTTTAAACACAGGTATCTACCAGGTACGGTGGCTCACGCCTGTAATCCCAGCACTTTGGGAGGCTGAGGCGGGAGGATCGCTTGAGCCCAGAATGTCAATGTTGGAGTTAGCCTTGATCGCATCACTGCACCCCAGCCTGGGCAACACAGTGAGACCCATCTCAAAAAAAAAAAAAAAAGTATTTTTAAAATATTTAAAACATAGAGCACAAAATAAGTGTATGAAAACATTTCCTAAAGTGTGCTCACAGAACACTAATTCCTTAGATGATTAAATATGTTTGGAAAATATTGAGCTAAATAAGCTAAACAATTTTATTTACTGCAAGATTTCTGAGTCTTTTATAAACTATTGTTCTCCCAAACCATTTTTCATGTGTTGTTCTAAAAGAGAAATATATAATTTAACTAAGAGATGTTTTCTAAACTTACTTGATCTCAGAAACTTTTTTTTCTAAGAAGTATCTAGTGGATTGTTATTCCACGGAACACATTTTGGGAAACAAATAATTGTGGTGCAGGGGGCTTTTTATGCCTTGTTCACCACTGTACTCCCAATACCTACAAAGCATCTGAGACATAGTGGATGCTCATACAGATTTGTTGAATGAATGAATCACTGATTTGATACTGCTATTTCAGCCTCTTGTCAGGGGGCTAGACTACATAACTTTTCAGTCTCTTCTAAAGTACTTTAGTACTTTAGAACCACTGGGTGAGATTTCCATAGGGCAGCAAAAACAGAGTGTCAAGGGTCTGACAGAAAGCAGCTGAAATACAATTTCAGTGAAATTCCAAATCCAACCTAGCTCACAGTTAAATTACACATCTTCAGTCTCTCCATACTTCTCTTTCTCTCTCTCTCTCACCTCACTCCTGTCTCTCCCTCATCCTCTCACCCCCTCTTACGCCTGCTTCTTAACAAGAAACAGATCCATAAATTCAGGACTGAGATTGGTTTCTGGAACTTAAACTAAGGCTGTCAGAGAGATACCAGCCAACTGATGTGGCACACTGGACCACTAGATGCCACTGTGCTCCTCAGAAACACACCTGGGGCACCTCTCCACCTGCCGCTGCCAAGATCAGATCCCACAGGTGGAACTCAGCATGGGGGTCAAGCCCTCTGCCAAAGCTGCAAGCCTCAGGCATGGTTTGTTTGTGCTGCACCACAGGGTGGTTTGTGCTGCAGCAGGAGAGAATGCACACGCCTGTAACATTTTGAGTTATTTGAACTTTCCTTTCTCCTTTTGTCCCCATGCAGTGCTTTTGTGCTGATGGTCCTTATGTCAGGAGGAACAATTTTGAAGCTTCAATCAGAGAGACAGAGTGGTAGATACAGCACAAGGGCAGATCCACCTGCCTAAGCCCCTCTGGAGGCTGGGATGCAGAGGAGGAAGGAGGAGGTGCAGAAGCAAAGCCTTGAAAATACTGTACTTCTGGTGCTGACGGCCCCATTCCCCTGAGGCCTACTGGAGCTCACCATAGTTACTGTAAGCAGTCATTCTAAGTACTGATTGCAGTGCTTATCTCTGCTGAAGGGCCAGCACATTTTTTAAGTCACAGTGTGGCTTTGGATTTAGGGCTTCATAAGAAGGTTAGGAGTAAGGATGCTCAAAGGACCCCACTGTTGAAGGGCACTCTGTTAATACATACCCACCTGCATTTATAAGTGTGTGCTGGCCATTCACCCTCAAGTTCAGTACCAGGTTTCATGGTGTCCTGAAGTCTTCAGCTTAATTATTATAATCAGTCATCATTCATTGAGTGCTTACTATGTACTAAGAATTGCACATATGCTATTTTATATAATCCTCACAACAATCCAATGATGTAGGTACTAGTTATTTTACAGAAAAGGAAGCCAAGATCAAAGGTTAAATGATTTGCTCAAGCTTACACCGTAGGGGTAAGGGGAGATTTAAACCTAGGTCTGACTTAAAGGCCCAGTCCCTTACCACTATGCTATTCTTCCTTCATTGTTAGGCTCCACACACCTTACCTTCTAAAGGCCCTCAACACCTCCATGCCTGTAAAGCAAAAGTAGTCTGGCTTTGTCAAGGGTCAGGAGACACTGCTAGGAAACCTGCTCTCTGAGAACAGATGGCTCAGACGGTGAGAATAATTTCTTTCAGGGTGATTGGGAAGGACATGGGCAAGGGAGAGGAGCATCTGTAACCAGGAAGGAACCAGGACATTATCTCTTCCTGTGGCCTGAATCCTACCCTGATATGCTGAGAGAGGTTTGTCCTGTTCAATTCCATGAGCTACTGTTCATCAGTGAGAGGTCTAGGATTTGGCCCTTGACTTGACCAGACATGAGTATTAAGGGCTGTGACTGAGTTCTGGCCTTGCCAAATGCATAGCTACCATCTGTTCATTAAGTAATCCTTCCAGAAGCTTCCAGCCTCCCCTCCTCCCCCCAACACACATGCACACACATACCAACACTTGCGTCTCCTTTGTATGTAAGGACTAAGTGACCCTTATTTTCCTGACCTCGCTACATTAGCGCTATCTAAGCATTTCCCAAAAGTGATAAGCTACGGAGTCTAACTCCCTGGGATCAGAAGATAGATTCCAGTTTGTAGGGGTTCCAAGTCTGAAGTGGAGGGGAGTCCTGGCTTAGTTCTCTCTCTAATGTGTGATGGTGGTCAGGCTGTGCTCCCTCGTTCTATAACCCCTCTCCTAAACCACTTGTGAGGGCTCTCCTTCTTCCTGACCAAACCTTGACCCATACAACAAACAGTAGCTAGAAAAGCAGAGGAAGTATAACCTACTGATTACATGCAGCAGCTTTGAAACCTGGCTTGGATTTGTCTTGACTTGGGTACTGATCAGTTGTTTGAGCTTGGACAAACTAATCTTTCCAAGCTTAAATTTCTGTTTGTTTGTTTGTTTGTTTTTTTTTTGAGATGAAGTCTTACTCTGTCACCCAGGTTGGAGTGCAGTGGCGTGATCTGAGCTCACTGCAACCTCCACCTCCCGGGTTCAAGCGATTCTTCTGCCTCAGCCTCCCGAGTAGCTGGGATTACAGGTTCATGCCACCACACCTGGCTAATTTTTGTATTTTTAGTAGAGACAGGGTTTCACCGTGTTGGCCAGGCTGGTCTTGAACTCCTGACCTCAGGTGATCCGCCCTCCTTGGCCTCCCAAAGTGCTGGGATTACAGGCATAAGCCACTGCACCCAGCCGCAAGCTTCAATTTCCTATTCTGCAAAATGGGGTTAATACTACTGTATCTGTTTTAAAGAAGTCTATGAGTCACTACATGAGATAATGTATACACTGAGTGGTCCTCAGTACATTAGTTGTGCCGTTGGAGCTAAGATGGACAAATTACCTTAATTGAAAGAGCAAAACCAAATGGGGAGTTCAAACACAGGAATAAAAATGGATACGGTTTTGACTAAGGCAGAAAGCACACTTAAGCACTGAAGGAAGAAAAATCTCAATTTTTCTAATATAGTGCTATCAGTGGAGAAATGTCTGAGAATTGATGGACCCCATAAATATCTCAAATGGCCAGCCAGTGCTTCAAATAATTCTGATCTTCAAGTTGATCTAGCCAAGCATATAAAGGTAACTCATATACACGTCAAGCACTATAAGAGGATGAGAAAAGCAGTGGATAGAGATTTAATATTTAGTGTGAGTATAAGAAAAAACATTCTCAAAACAGAGAAGAAAACATTCTTTTCTGGGAACATGACATTAGAAAGAAAGAAACCCTTCAGTCTCAGCTATAGCCACTTACCTGGAATGGTAGCTTTGGTGCCAAGGAGGGCCGATCATACCCTGAGATATCTGCATCATGCTGGCATCGGGTTGCTTCTCCCCAGATTTAGTTGTGTGCCACGAGTGAGGTCGGCCTGCAGGCTCACTGCGCCTGGGGAGACACAGGAGGGACCCCCCAACATTAGCCAAAGTCTCAGCTGAGTCTCCTCACTGATGTGACTTGTGGATTTGGAAGCGAAGACTGCTGTGTCCTCAGAGATTGAAAAGCAACCAAGTCAATACTGAGAAGAAGATTTTGCTACTTATTTCTCTGACTAATCATTGTTATTCTCTGCTTAACTTGTAAAAATTTTTACTTATTTTGACATAATTTCAGACTTGCATTAAAATGTTGCAAAATTAGTGTAAAGAATTCTCACATAAACTTCGCCTAGACTTCCTACATGTTAACATTTTGTACTTTATTAATGTAAAGCACATGGAGTTGCCTTGGTCTTTCTTGGTCTCTATCTATCCATATATAAAAATGGGAGCCCGCAATTCCTTTCCATTTCCCAAAGGGCTTTGGATATATGGCAAAACATTTTCTGGGGTTTTCGAAGTCCTCTATCATATCCTGTTGCTGGGTAAATGATACTATTGGTAAGAACTGCAGAAACATTAGCAGCAACCTCAGTGTGAACACTGCTCTAAGCTACATGGTCTAGAGAACAAAATGCCCTCTGAAATTTCTCATTTTGCAAGTCAATGACTTCAACTTTTAAACATCCTGCCCTTACAACACAAAGAATTGACAAAGACAAAGAGAAAATGTGGGTGTCCTTCAGACTGCAACACTGAAGAATGAATTCAGTAAGGACTATAATTCAGTAAGGACTATAGAAAGTCAGAGTCAGGAGAGAGCTGCTGTGCCTTATTTTTGGCAAAAAAAGTCAGGTAATCTACCAGGCATTTCATGCTGAAAATTCTTGAACTGTAAGACTGTAGGGGGATTTTTCTGCAGTTTAGAAACACTTTTATGGGATCCAGGAATCCATCTGGATATGGTGAAAATAATAGCTGTAAATTATTCCAACTCATTGTACTTGGCCTTGTAGCTAAAAATGCACCTATCTCTTTTCTGTGAAAAAATAAATTAGTTTTTGTAATATAAATGAAAAATAATTCCCCTGAAGCTAATAAAATTTAATGTATTAGGACATCAGAAAAATACTAGACCAGGTGTCAGGAGACCTGGGCTCTTGCCCTGACTTCGTTATTAACTTGCTGTCTGACCTTATGTGAGTTACTTCCCCTTCTTAGCTAAGCCTTTGCTCATCTAGAAAGTCAGAAGATTAATCAGAGGCTGGATTAACTGCATCTTAATCTAAAATAACTTTAAAAATATAGCAGACACTGAAGAGCTTCCCAAAATAGATGATGACTTAAAAACAAAACAAAACACAAACATATACTTCAACTCCTTAGAGATTAGGGTGATAGGAAAATGTTCTTGTGTGAAGCAAGGGAAACAAATACACAAATTTTTTTTTTTCAAACAGTCAGTCAACAAAGATTTACTGAATTGAAGGAGTCTGTAGTCAGGTGGACTAATGCTTGAGTTGCCAAATAGGTCAGGAAAAGTGAGAAAAATTCAACTCCCTCTCAAGAGAGGGAGAGAGGCTGGAATGTAGCTAAGGGTACCAGCTCTGAGATAAGAAAAACCTGGGTTCTAATCCAGATTTAAACTGAATACCACTGGTTTTAGCTTTTAGATCTCAGGTAAATTTCGTAATCACCCTGAGTTTCCTTATCAATGAAGGGCAGATTATAGTAGAACCTATTGACGGAGTTTTGTGAGATTAAAAATGAGAAAACACACCTGGCCCATAGTAAGAGCTCAATAAATGTTAAGTCTTATTACCATCATTCATTACTAATAAGTTGATGAATAGTAGACAGGGTAGGGAGACAAGCCTTCAGAGATCTTTAAAAAGAAGGATGGTAAATGATGAGGGAGACAAGAATGGGCAGGAACTGCTGGTGCTGATGAGGCGCCCAGCCCCGAGCTCCCCAGTGAGGTATTGCCCCGAGCTCCCCAGTGAGGTATTGAGTCAATAATTATGACAGAGCCTGGCCTGAGACTTACCATGGTCACAGCCTTTCGGACCCTGGCCATGGTGGTGAGGAAGGGAGCCATCAGAGCAGTGGCTGTGACCTGAAATCACGGGGGTAAACATAGGCCAAAAAGAAACAGACCTCACCCACCTGGAAACTATAAAGGAACAAAAGGGAGCAGGTGCACAGCTTGGGCTAAGGAGATGAAGTAGATGCAAAATCAAGACATCAACAGCAGAACCAACATATGACAATTTGTTTGCCTCCTTGTCCCCACATGTATTAGTTCATTCTCACGCTGCTGATAAAGACATACCTGAGACTGGGCAATTTACAAAAGAAAGAGGTCTAATGGACTCACACTTCCACATGGCTTAGGGAGAGGCCTCACAATCATGGCAGAAGGCAAGGAGCAGCAAGTCACATCTTACATGGATGGAAGCAGGCAAAGAGAGAGAGAGCATTTGCAGGGGAACTCCTCTTTTTAAAACCTAGATCTCATGAGACTTATTCACTATCATGAGAACAGCATGGGAAAGACTTGCCTCCATCATTCAATTACCTCCCACCGGGTCCCTCCCACAACACGTGGGAATTAAAGATGAGATTTTGTTGGGGACACAGCCAAACCATATCACCATACCTCTCTAATCTTCAATAACAGGTCCCATGTAACCACTAAACCTTGAAGTTCAGCACTGCTGCCCAGGTTGGAGTGCAGTGGCGCAATCTTGGCTCACTGCAACCTCTGCCTCCCAGGTT
Source organism: Homo sapiens (assembly GCF_000001405.40). Classification (NCBI taxonomy): domain Eukaryota; kingdom Metazoa; phylum Chordata; class Mammalia; order Primates; family Hominidae; genus Homo; species Homo sapiens. The sequence goes on along the minus strand of NC_000004.12, from coordinate 76,728,095 downwards.
CAAGTGATTCTTGTACCTCAGCATCCTGAGTAGGAGGCTGGGACTACAGGCACACGCCACCATGACTGGCTAATTATTATTTTTCTTGCATTTCTTTTTTTTTTGGTAGAGACGGGGTTTCACCATGTCAGCCAGGCTGGTCTCAAACTCCTGGCCTCAAGTGATCCGCCCACCTTGGCCTTCTAAAGTTGAATCAACCTTTTTTTTTGAGATGGAGTCTTGCTCTATCGCCCAGGCTGGAGTGCAATGGCACAATCTTGGCTCACTGCAACTTCCACCTCCTGGGTTCAAGCAGTTCTCCTGCCTCAGCCTCCCAAGTAGCTGGGATTACAGGCTGTGCCACCATGCCTGGCTAATTTTTTGTATTTTTAGTAGAGACAGGCTTTCACCATATTGGCCAGGCTGGTCTTGAACTCCTGACCTTGTGATCTGCCCACTTTGGCCTCCCAAGGTGCTGGAATTACAGGCGTGAGCCACCGTGCCCGGCCGAATCAACCTTTTTCTCAGTGCAGGTAGGCAGGGAGCCTGAGGGTTCATGGCTCAGCATCTTAGCAGTTCAGTATTCTTGCTGCTAGTCCTTCTCTAATTTTGGACACCAAAGTCCCCAGAAATTAGGCTGCTGCATCTTCAACCGGTTCCTTGAAGGTAGGCTGCCTCACTGACTTAGATTCCTGGTTTATCACCTTGTTCCATCCAATGATTAGAAATCCTTCCTAGTGCTCTAAACCCTTCAGGGGCTGGCCCAAATCACACAGCTAGTAAGTCTGGGAGTAAGGGTTTAAACCCAGTTATATATGACTTCAGGTACTCAACAAATGCCACTGCTTAATCACATAGCAAAAGCCCAGCCTCAAAGAAAAAATAAAGTCTCTTTTGCATGAGATACCTAGAGGTGTTTCATGTATGTATCATTTTAGACCCCAGTGGGCCCAAAATACATTAGGAGAAAGAAGAGAAAGAACAAACTGTCATCTTCCTACTGCTCATTCCCACTACTTAGTGAAGGGAGTTGGCAGAATCACTCTCAGTAGTAGAAATTAGCCCCGGGACTGGGTATTGGCCTTGAGAAGCCAATGGACACCAATGGACCGTGACCTCAGACCAGCACCACGTGACACTAAGGACGGCTCTTCAGTGGCATCATCACCCAACAGTATCTGTCCATGCCTAGCTAGATGCCGAGAAGATTTTCCCACCCAAGAGAAATAGAAAGTGATAAATTCCACAGGCTCCACAGGAAAAAAGATGTCTTCCTGTCAAGGAGATGAGGTGTGAGACAACGTTTACTGATAACTTCAGGGGTTCCAGATAGGCCCTCTAGTTTGCTTGTGCCTATAAGCTGAGTTACTTGGGAGGCTGAGGCAGGGGGCTCAATTTTTTTTTTAATTAGCTGGGTGTGGTGGCATCCACCTGTAGTCCCCACTACTCAGAGGCTGAAGCAGGAGAATCACTTGAACCCAGGAGTTTGAAGCTGTAGCGAGCAATGACTGTGTGCCACTGCATTGCAGCTTCCAGAGAGACAGTCTCTTAAATTTTTTTTTTTTTTTTTTTTTTAGATGGAGGGGATGGGAGTGGAGAGAGAGAAGAGGAAATAAGCAGGATGCTGATGGCTCATTCTGGGGCATGCGAATGAGTGCCTGTGGGACTTTCAGTGGAGAAGGACTAGAGGACTGAGGGCTGGGCTGCATATAGAAATTTACAAGTCACAAAACACAGGGCCTTTGAGAGAAGATAAGTGACTTGAGGAGAATGAACAGGGAGACAAAGGAAATGATTTAAGGATGAGTCTCTGAGAATGATCAAAATTTAGGGGAGAGGGAGCCTGGGAAAAAGCCCAAGAGGAGCTTCCACAGAAGGAGGAGGAAAACAAGTTAAGTATGGGAGTCTCACAGATTTCTAGTGGGGAGAGTGAGGAGGAGGAGGAAACTGTCAACCACTGCAATGCTGTAAAGAGGTTAGTGTGATGAGGGTAGATGCATGGCCACTGGATTTGGCAACTAGCAAGTCCTTGCAATGGCATGCTTTAGGATGGGGCTAAAGGTGAACAAGGGATAAGACAGGCAGTATGGGCAGATGATTCCTTCAAAAACCTGTTTCTAAAGGGGAGAAGAGGGTGGTAGCTAGAAGACTGAAGGGATCCAGGGAGTGAAAAGGTTTTGTTCCTAATGTTTTTGTTTTAAATGAGAAGTTCAAGCAAGTGTCTATAAGGCAGAGAGCGTGCAGAGGCCCATCTGAAGACACAGGACACAGGAGGAGGACTCCTTAAAGACTCAGGAAGGGATGGGATTCAAACACTCAGGTGAAGGGTATGAGCTTATGGAGGAGGAAAGCCAGTGCTGTTGAGATAGAAGAAAGGTGGATGCTGGCAAATGTGAAAGCAAGTAGGTAGCACGAAAAGTTGAGGGGACCTCGTACCCAATGTCCTCTGTTTTCATGATGAACCTAACCTGGAAGAGGGAGAAGTGAGGGAGGTGACACACGGGATCGGGCTCCAGGGATGTGGTACATGAGGACTAGAAGAGTTGAAACTGATATTTAAAAATATTTAATTATCCTTATCTCATCACTATACATTATTTGTACTGAAACATCATTATGTACCCCATAAATATGTACAATTAAATGTCCATTTAAGAAAATAAAAAATTAAACAAATTTTAAAGAGATATTTTAAAGAAATAATGACTAAGATATTGTCTCTGCCTTTAAGGAGCTTACATTCTGCAGGAAAGAGCAAATGAAATAATTCCTACAGTACAGATAAAATAAGTGCTTTAGAAAGTAGGTCCAATACCTGCAATACAAAGACAGCAAACTCAACTTTGGAGCTTTTACTTTGGAGGAGGTTGGAGAGGTAACTATTTATTTGCCCTGGGCAGAGTATCAGGTTTCATCACAGTTCTAATAGATTAAGAACAAGATGACAGGATGATTTTGGCGGTGGGGGTGGGGAGGGGGAAGCAAATCAAAAGGCCCTGAAAAAAACAAAAACACGAGGAAAAAAAAACAAAAAACAACTTTTCTTTTAGATGCAGAAGATATGTTGGGAGAGGGCTTCGGAGATAAATCTTTGTTTTATAAGATTCTTCCATACCGTACAGATAGGAGGTAAGTGATGAAATAAGCGAAGAATTGAAAAGGATGACCAAAAATAGCCCACCAGTGTATATCAGTACAACCTGAATGAAGGCCAGTTTGACAACATCTAGCAAATGATTTTTAAAATAACATACCCATCAAAAGATTGGAAGACAACCTAAATGCCCATTAGCAGCAGACTAGTTAACTCAGTGTGGTATATCCATATAATGGCTGTTAAAAAGGATGAAGTATCTCTATACATACTGATATGGAAATATCTCCAAATATATTGTTACACTGGAAAGATGCAGAATTACATGTACAGTCTGCTACAGTATGTGGGGAAAATCACATGTGTGTATATTAACGTAAAGAGTAGTTTTGGAAGGACACTTAAGAAACTAGATACAATGACTGCCTCTGGGAAGGAAAACTTATTTTCACTGTATTTCATTTTGTAACTTTTCAAATTTTATACTATACGCATGTATTACCTATTGAAAAGCAAAGTATTTTTAAAATAGTCTTTCATTTTGAAAATACAATTCACTGTAGCTTGAGAGTTAAAAAAAAAAAATTAAACAGCTATTTTTTCAGTTAAACAGCTGACTTTCTCAATGATGCGAAACATTTAATAAGCATTCCTAAAGAGCATGGCATACTAATTTTACATTTTGGGATCACTTTGATCTTTAAGAACTTAAAGAAATATTTTCCTAAAGTACATCACATCATGAGCATATCAGTAAGTCAGAAGATGGTTTAATTTTAAAATTTAGCAAACTAAGTTTTGTGTGTGGGTGTAATTCAAACAAAGCCCTTTTGTTGCATTCCTAACCACAAACAAGGAAGCTTAACTGCGTGGGATGGGTAGGCTGATGAAACTGGAATTCGCAAGTGACATGATGTCCTTCTTAGATGATTTTGCCCTAACACAGAGAGATTCAGGAATGCAAAACAAGTTTCTGAGAAATCTACAGTAAGTTCAGTATTTTAAGCAGTATTCACTAATCACCTATGTGCCTTCAACCTTGTTAAATTATAGTTGGAGCTCTGCAAGGTCTTGGAAGGCCTAAGAGTTTATAATCTTGCTGGGGAGGCTCAGATGCAAGAAAAACTATTAAACAAAGTCAGAGCATCATTCATTCACTCAAAAAATATTTGAGTGCCTACTGAGTGCCAACCACCATTCTAGGCACTTGACGAGTATTTTCTCACTTAGCCTTTATATTACCTTTATGATACAGGACTATTAATGAGGAAAGTGAGGTAAATACAGAATAAACAATGTGTTCACTGTCACAAATGTAGTGAGCAGCACAGCTACTAAACCCAGGCATCTCTCTCCAGAGCCTGTGCTTTTAATTTGCAAGTAAGGAGCACTGTGCAATGAGGTGGGAGAGGCAGAGGAGGGAGACAGGGAGTAAGCAAGTAAGCAAATCAAACAAGATATTCTCATATAGTTATAAGGGTTCTGAAGGAAATAAAACTGGGTAATGTGAGAGTGTGATGGAAAGTCCCCATTTAAGTCAGAGACAGCCTCTATGAGCAAGTGACATTCAAACCAAGACCTAAATGATAAGAAATAATTAACCATGCAAAGAGCTAGGAGAAGAATATATAGCTCCAAAGGAAAAATGAATGCAAAATCCTTGAGAGGAGGAATGAGTTTGGGTTTTTAAAGAATACAAGAGAGTATAGCCAGAGCCTTGTGAGTGAAGAGCAGATGGTATAAAATTCAGATCATATTGGGCCACCGAGGCTGTAGAGGCATTTTGGATACAAAAAGCTCACATGAATGGGGTCTGAAGTCAGCCAGAAGGCTTAGTAGTACAGTGGGACTTCAGATGACCTTGAAAGATTGGTATGCTTTGGATAAATGGAGAAAGTGACAACTATTAGTTGGAAAATAAAAAATTCTAAGAACTAATTTTTTTGTTGATGCTATTCTTTAACGAACTGTTATGACACATGTTGCATGGGCTCTTCTCGGTGCAGTGTTATAAAACTCTGCCAGTTATCAACTGGACCCGAGTCAAGTGTATAAGAATACAAAATATACTCAGACTACCAGCACCACAAAATAAAAGTTACCATATTTCTTAAACCCCTTACTAACCCATCAACCTCTCCATCCATTATTGTTTAGTGCGCAATACTATGAGACAAAGTCCATCATAAGAAAGTTCTAATCAAACACCCCCATATCCCCCAAAAAAGAAACAAAATACATCAATATATTCTGCAAATTAGGTCTATTAAATTAAAATTTCAAATATTTGAATTGTAGATCTTCATCATATTCTTATTGAACACTGTGCTTAGCTGGGGATAAAGCACTGGTTTTTTTTTTAACTTTAATTTTAGGGGTACACATGCAGGTTTGTTATATAGGTAAGCTTGTGTCATGGACTGGGGGTGTTATATAGATTATTCCATCACCCAGGCACTAAGCCTAGTACCCAATAGTTATGTTTTCTGATCTTCTCTCTCCTCCTACCCTTCACCCTCAAGTAGGCCCCAGTGTGTGTTGTTCCCTTCCATATGTCCATGTGTTCTCATCATTTAGCTCCCACTTATGAGAACATGCAGAATTTGGTCTTCTGTTCCTGCGTTAGTTTGCTAAGGATAATGGCCTCCAGCTCCATCCATGTTCCTGCAAAAGACATTATCTCATTCTTTTTTACGGCTGCATAGTATTCCATGGTGTATAGGTAGCACATTTTCTTTATCCAATCTGTCATTGATGGCCCTTTAGGATGATTCCATGTCTTTGCTATTGTGAATAGTAAAGCATTGTTTTTAAAGATTCTTTTTACATGCCACTGCTGTTTTTCCCCATTTTTCCTCATGTATTTTTAAAATTATGAAATCGTTTTTTGAGGCAGGGTCTCACTCTGTCACCCAAGCTGGAGTGCAGTGGCATGATCATAGCGTACTGCAGCCTTGAACTCCTGGGCTCAAACAATCCTCCCATCACAGCCTCCTAAGTAGCTAGGACTATAGCACGTACCCCTATGCCTTGCTTATGAAACATTTTAAACATATATAAATGTATCTGGATTAATATAAATAACCATGTATGCATCATCAAAATTTATAAAGTTTATAAAGTCTTCATATTTTCCCCATATTTACTTCTGGTATTCCTCCTCCACCACACCCATTTCTCTTGCCCCTACAAGCTAACCACTGTAGTTAATTTCTTAAGTATCTTTTCCAGTGTTCTGTTATGCAAATACAGGCAAACATGAACATATAATCTCATTTCACTCCTTTCCCAAAAGAAACTTCATGGCCTGTTCTATCCCTTGCTTTTTTACTCAACAATACATATTCAGCTGGGCATGGTGGCTCACGCCTGTAGTCCCAGCTACTTGAAAGTCTGAGGTGGTAGAATTGCTTGAGCTCAGGAGTTTATGATCAGCCTGGGCAAAACTGAGACCCCCTTCTCAAATAAAAGCCCTCAAACATATTGAAGATCATTCTATACCAGTATTTACAGAGCTTCCTCATACCTTTATTTCCTTTCAGCTACCTAGTACTCCACCGTATGCATATATTTGTTTAACCAGACCCCTTTTGTAGACACTTTTTCATGTCTAGTCTTTTGCTATTACAAATAATGCTGCAATGAATAACCATGTCCACATAGTGTTTTCTATGTATGTTGAAATGTCTGCAGAAATTCTTTTTTTTTTTTTGAGACGGAGTCTCGCTCTGTCACCCAGGCTGGAGTGCAGTGGCGGGATCTCGGCTCACTGCAAGCTCCGCCTCCCGGGTTCACGCCATTCTCCTGCCTCAGCCTCCCAAGTAGCTGGGACTACAGGCGCCCGCCACTACGCCCGGCTAATTTTTTGTATTTTTAGTAGAGACGGGGTTTCACCGTTTTAGCCGGGATGGTCTCGATCTCCTGACCTCTTGATCCGCCCGCCTCGGCCTCCCAAAGTGCTGGAGAAATTCTTAAAAGTGGAGTTGCTGGCTCAAAGGGTAAATGCACTTCCAATTTTGATAATTACTGCTAAATTGCCCCCTTTCACATTTTAAAAAGGAAATAAACTCAATATGAACAATTAAATGTCACTGTAGAAATAATTCGGGGGGAGGCCGGGCGTGGTGACTCAGGCCTGTAATCTCAGCACTTTGGGAGGCCGAGGTGGGCGGACCACGAGGTCAGGAGTTCAAGACCAGCCTGACCAACATGGTGAAACCCCGTCTCTAGTAAAAATACAAAAATTAGCGGGGTGTGGTGGTGCGTGCCTGTAATCCTAGCTACTCAGAAGGCTGAGGCAGGAGAATCGCTTGACTCCGGGAGGCGAGGTTGCAATGAGCTGAGATTGCACCACTGCACTCCAGCCTGGGCAACAGAACGAGACTCTGCCTCAAAAAAAAAAAAAAAAAGAAAGAATTCAGGGAGAGATTATATCTTCTTTAGTATAGAATAATAGATGATGCATATTTGAACAACATCCCTTTTTAGGCATTTACTGTTTATAGGAAAATGATAGGCCCCAAATACTAATGATAAAAACATATAGCAATGGAAAACTGGGACCAAGTCAAAAAACACTGAGCTGCACTCATAACATTGTTTCATTCAGATGGTGTTTAGATGTTTATAATATGTTCACAGGAGACAGAAAAGGTCTGAAGCATTTTTAAAAGATTTGAAACAAACAAGAATCTTTCAAAACACGAAAAAAGGTGGCCATTGTCCTTCAACACTCCATTAGCAAAGGGATTACAGGCCTGAACCACTGCACCCGGCCAACTCCTTGTTTCTATAACTACTTCCAGGCTCCTCAAGACTATCCCTCAGACCTTTTGGATTCACAAAAAAAAAAAAAAAAAAAAAAAAAAAAACCTAAAAAACACTTTTCCAAGGCTTTTCATAATTCCCTCATTAATATCTGTGTCTTTAAAAAGTGGTTCAGTAGGTAGAAAGGTATGCATTAGGTAATACCATCTCATAGCAACACACAGTCCCTTCTGGAAAGAAAAGTTGTTTTTAAATGTCACATCCTGATAATATGTCCTGGGGACTTTTGGTTTTGACAGCTGAAGCATCAGTAAGTGTGAAGTCTGCTAATGTGCAGTCATAACGCTGTAACACCAAAACTGGCATAAAAGATACAGCCCCTTTTCTCGTATCCTACTTTACCCCATTCTACCATGCCTGTCCCAATATCCCCTTCACTACTAGTTATCTCCTCCCCATCCTCCATTCTGAAACAGTTTTTGAAGATTAAATTTTATTGATTACTGCATGAAAACACTACTATAAAAGAGAGGGACTAGCAACAGGGGTGTTTTTCATTCAATTGCCGGGGGGTAACAAATTGAAATGTTTTTTTCCCCAATATTCCCCTCTTTATATCCCCTTTGTCAGCAATGACACACACAGAGAATCAGAATATTCAACTGTCCTTCCTACATGTCAACATCTGCATAAAAATCAAGCAGAATTTGATGCAAACATTGTAATATCTATGATGTGTAATAGCATTCATCTTTGCCTTTTATTAATTTACAAACTCAATTACAAAAGAACAGCACAGCATAAATAGAATAGCACAACTTCTAATTACCAATAAATAATTTCTGTTTCTCAACTCTCATTTGGAACTGGGCATTTTATTTGTTGGAGGAAAGAAGGATGGTTTCTACCAATTTCTCCAGATATCAGATATGATTTTAGAATTTTCTTCCATACTGTTTTTCTGTGCCATAGCATATGTTGCTAAAACTTAGGAGAAATCACTTCCATGGTGGTGTGTTATTTTCCACAGACAGGCACATGCAAACACCCCCAAGACTGTCATGGATCTCAGAGAGGCTCAGATAGCTGCAGAGGGCTAGAAATGTTGTGTGTGCCCCTGAATTACTATAGCTTTTTAGGGAGAAGATGTCTGGGAGCTTTCCCAGAGGACTTCTGCTGGCAGACAAATGAGGAGCAGCTCAGCAGGGTGTAGTAAAAGGTGTAGAGCTTCTCCCCTCTATCCAGCAGATGGTGAGGCTGAGTGCCCGGAGAAGGCTACCCCTAAGCAGGAAACCTTCCTCCTTAATGAGAAACCCATAAAAGATTGCCTTTGAGAGTTTAAAGGAGTCCAAATACCAACCAACATATTTCAAAATTAAGCTAATTTTTATACAAGGCCAAGAATAAATTAAATTGCACTCCTCAAAACAAATGAAGAAAGGGTTGTGTTTTTTGCATTTGTGTGTGTGAGGCAGAAGCCTTACCTTTTGATGGTTATTTATTCTAAACACCACTCCATTAAACAAAAGCAAATCCCTCCCAAACCTCTAACACCAAACAAACTGAATTCTCTTTTGGAGTAAGTCTGATGCCTTGTGTTATATTTTTCACTTCTCTATTTCACTGTCTTCCTCTTCATTTAAAGGAAAAGGCCATAAGTAAGAAATTAGAGGCAATAAGAAAACAAAGGAAAAGACAGAAGGCATTAATTTTAGTGAAAAATGTTAAATAATGCTCAAAAGAATCTATATTTTCAACTCAGACTGGCAAAGAAACTTCATTAAAATAAAGTTTCCAAATGTTACTGGAACTGAAATAAAAAGAATAGTGAAGGTTTTAAGGCAGAGCAGCTGAAAATGTAAAAGACTTTAACACTTGCTCCAGCTCAATTCCTACCTACCAATATTTCCACAAGAAATTTTACAATAGAGAAGAGTTTAACTACCACTGCTCAAACAGAAGCTGACACTTTGGGAGAATAAAAATCAAAAGAACGTTCTCTCTTACTCACTTTCAGATGAAAGAATGCCAAATAAAACTGGGAAAACCAGCCCTGTAATCTCTCTATATATAGATGAGCAAATTTGATAATATAAGCAGTTCATGTTGTCTTTTTTATCTTTTACATGGTGTAATAATAAAATGAATGCCTATAATAATAAAATAAATACTCAAATCAGCTAGAGAGCTAGAACATTACCACGACTGTTGCATCCACCTGTTTTTTTCCATGTCCTATTTTAAGTAAAGGCATCTATAGAAGCAAGCGCTGACATTTAGCATAATTCTGGAGGAAAATTTCAAATCAAGATTATATATGGATAAAAGTTGAATTTGAATTATAAGAGAAAATATAATGAAGTATTTAAATCTTCAATTGTGATGGAGTTAAATAATGTACAATTGGCAATCTCAATCAATACTTCTTTTCATATATGACTATAATCTCAAAGTTGAATAAGAAGACTATACCTTTTCTTTGAAATTTAGAATATACACATGGGTTCCTTTTGTCTTCTTTTTTTAAAAAATAGACTTAAAAAAATTTTTTTAGAGCAGTTTTAGGTTCACATCAAAGCTGAGTGGAAGGTACAGAGATTTCCTTGCCCATACCCCTGCCCCACACATGCATGCTGGACAGGGCCAAGGAAAGAATCTTTGTGCCTGAGGATATCTGAATAAAAAACCTTCAAAACTGAAAGGCAAGGAGAAAAAAAGACAGAAAATTCCAGAACAGAATATCCAAGAACTGAGAGACAACTACAAAAGGTGTAACATAGACGTAATGGAAATACCAGAATGAAAAGAAAGAGGGAAAGGAAGAAAAGAAATTCTTGAAACAATAATGACTGAGAATCTCCCCAGATTAATGTCAGACACCAAACCACAGATCCAGGAAGCTCCAAGAACATGAAGCAAGATAAATACCAGAAAAACTACACCTAGGTATGTCAGTTTCAAACTACAGAAAACCAAAGATAAAGCCAAACAGCCTGAAAGAAGCCAGATGGGAAAAACACCTCACCTATAGGGGAGCAAAGATGAGAATTACATCTGACTTCTCCTCAGAAACCATGCAAGAAAGAAGAGAGTGGAGTAAAAGATTGAAAGTGTTGAAAGGAAAAACAAACAAACAAAAAACACCAACATAGATTCTGGATCCTGTGAAATTATTCTTCAAAAGTGTTGAAAGAAGTAAAGTCTTTCTCAGGTAAACAAAAATTGAGGGAATTTGTTGCCAATAGACTTGCCTTGCAAGAAATATTAAAAGTTCTTTAGAGAAAAGGAAAATGATATAGATCAGAAACTTAGATCTGTGTAAAAAAAGGAAGTGCATCAGAGAAGGAATAAGTGAAAGTCAAATAAAATAAAAACTTCCCTTTCTTTATACAAATATTGGCAATGAGAATAGAGAACTTGGCTACTAGTACATAGGTATATAACCATTCCCATAAGAAACAGCAATGGTTACTCTGAAATTCCCCAGGGAAATGAGGAAGGAAAACCGTGAGGTACACAGCACAAAGCACTTGTTAATTTGAATGGGATAAAAAGCCAGTCAAGATACACACATCATAAAAAATAGGGCGACTGTATTTATACATAGGAGAATGAGAATTCCCGAACAGAAATATTAATACTACACCAAATCATGTGAGATATTCAAATAATGAGAATATTCATAACAATTTAGAGAAACAGGTTTAAACCTAACAGGCAGTTGGTTATTTTTCTTTATAAACAGATATAGCACAATATCAAAAAGACAGCTGTTAAAGGCTTGTCATTGGAGGATCCTGCAATGAAAGATTCTGAATCGCATTCTAACACAATACTGAACTTACCTTGTGGCAAATAGAAACATCCCAGATAGCAACCCTCTGGCCAATTGGATGTCATATTCAGTCGTGGAATAAAAAGCCATTCTGCCCTGCTACTGCTCTTTCTGCTCCCCACAGCATGGTAAAAGCCTCACAAGTACTACATGTGCCTCCAGTTGGACGGCCTGAATCGCCTTGAACTTGCCCAGCTCAGCGCAAGTGGGAGGGACTCTCAATGCCAGTCCCCTCTGTAAATTGGCCAATTAAAATTCAATTCCTGCTCTGTAAGAGGGAAGAAGAGAAGGTGACCCTTAATGACTCCCTGAGAAGAGCTGGCATCTTGAACAATAGCCTATAGCTTAGAAATGCTGGAATTCTATTTTTGTGGGCAAGAGGAGGAGGGAAGCAAGGAAAATCATCTGATGATAGAATGCATCAAACTGAAATCAGGAAGTCTCCTTAAATGATCTTCTCTGCTAAACACATGCCCTCCTCCATATGCAAAAATGCCACTGTCTACAAAAGTGCTAGTTGCTTTAAGCCTCCCATAGTTAGGGAGTCGACTGAAGCAGTGGTTCTATAACAACATCTCACCGCATCTTCCTAAGATGTACTGTCATGAAAACACTAAGTCAGCAGCACAGGGACAGAACTCACTGCCAAGGGACAGCACCGCAGAACTAACCTTGCTGTTCAATTGAGAATGAATTAGAGGAGTCAGATTCTGAGCTTCTATTATCCATTCATCTTGATTTACTTTATGAAGCATGGTGATCCGAGATCCCCATATAAGGGTAAATGCTTAATAATTACATCAGACTATTTTTATAATGACTTGTGGGAGAAGGTGAGGAAGGAATGAGAAGCTTATGGAGAAAAGCATCGGCTTGGAAAATCTTCAGTTTCAAGCTAGAACATTTTGTCTCCTTTACCGACTCATTACCCTAGCCCAAGGCTTGATAGATTTTAGAGAGAAGTTTCTGCCAAGATAAGTTAGATCATAAGAATTCCTGTTGATAGATAAGAGAGAATGCAGGGATCTAAGCGGGAAAGGAAGGGTGGGATTGGATCTGTGAGAATATTAAGCCCTGGACCACTAAAAGTGTCTCTCTCTGTTTAACTTGGTTGTTTCACTGGCTCCTATATATACCTGGGAAATGAGCTTCTGGCTTTTCTTTTTTCTTATAGATAAGTGAGAAGATCCTTCCTGGCTATTTTCTCCACAATGAAGGAGCTATGAATATATATATACCTGTTACTCATGGACTTGGAACTAGCTCATGAGGTGACCACAGCACTTTCCAATTCCAAAATCAGTATAGGCCTCTGTGACATGTCACAAATTAGAACTGCTCCATACCCACCATCAACCTCCCACTTCAACATTTATAAGACTCCTAAGAAGATGATAGCACATCATGGTCTGCAGTCTTTTGTGTAAGGACAAGGCATCACTACCTCATCCTTTTCCACATTTCCAAACAGGACTTAGACCAGAGCCAGCTCAAAAGAGCTCTCGATGGCCAAAACTAGATCCATTTGAACAACAAAATAAATAACAGTAGTACTGAATTATAACCCACAGGATAAAATAAATATGGAAGAGTCCTTACTGACATGAATGAATAATGAATAAATAAGTAGAGGAGAGAAATAGGCTTTTTTAAAAATTCTAATTAATAAATGTAGAAAAAATGAAAGAAATAAAGAATCAAATTTAGAACATTATAGTAATAGTTGTCACAGGCAACACTGATAGATGCCAAGATCAGTGAAGAAAGTTTGAGGAGAAACAGGATATTTCCATAGCCTGAAAATTATCTTTCCAAGGTTATTTATTAATTACAAAGGGACAAATAGTAACTTTAAAATAGAAAAACCTGGCGGACTTCACCATAACCAAGTAATCAAGGTTAATCATCACCAGTAATGAGACATATTGACATCATGTAACCCTTATATGAGACAGAAGAAAACAACATCACTTCTGTGGTATTGTCAAAAGCCATCACCTCAATGTAACCATGAGAACACATCAGACACACCCAAATAGTAAGCATTCTACAAAATATCTGCCCAGAGCTCTTCAAAAGTGTCAAGGTCACAAAAGCCAAGGAAAGACTGAGGAAATATCACAGATCAGAGGAGGCTAAGGGAACACAATGTGGGATCCTAGAACAGAAACAGGACATTAATGGGAAAGAATGGTGAGATCTGAGTAAAGTTTATAGTTTATATAAAGTTAAGTCTGTTAGCTAATAGTATTACACCAGTGCTGATTTCTTAGTTTTGATATTTGTACTACGGTTATAAAGGGTGTTAACATTAGAGAAAGCTGGGTGACAGGTATACAGGAAATCTCTGTACTATTTTTACAACTTTTCTGTGAGTCTACAATGATTTCAAAACAAAAAAGTAAAAAGCAAAACAAACAGGATGTAGGATCTGAGCGTAACTAGATGAGAATGACTCTGATTTCCTAGGTTAGTCCCATATCAGTAACAGTTGGGTTGCAGAGAGACTTCTTGGGGGACAGGAAAATTAGGAGGTACACTAACATAGGGCTTACAATTTACAGTCATGTGCCACATAATGACATTTCAGCCAACAATGGAGTGCACATTATGACGGTGGTTCCATAAGATTATAATGGAGCTGAAAAATTCCTATCGCCTGGTGAAGCTGTAGCCATCACTCACGTGGTTTTGATGCTGGCATAAACCTACTGCACTTGCCAGTCCTCTAAAAGTACAGTACATACAATCATGTACAGTACATAATACTTTATAATAAATGTGTGTTACTGGCTTATGTATTTACTATATTATACTTTTAATCATTATTTTATTCTGTATTCCCACTTATTAAAAAAAGAAGCTAACTGTGAAATAGCCTCAGGCAGGTTCTACAGGAGGTGTTCCTGAATAAGGCAGTGTTATCCAGGAGAGCTCAGCTCCATGCACTGCCCCTGCAGACCTTCCAGAGGGACAAGACATAAAGGTAGAAGCCAGTGGTATTGATGATCCTGCTCTGTTTGGCCTAGGCTAGAGTGTGTGTTTGTGTCTCAGTTTTTAACAAAAATGTTTAAAAGAAAAAAAAATTCAATGAAAAAAAGCTTTTAGGATAAGGATATAAAAAAGAAAATATTTGTATAGCTATACAATGTGTCTGTGTTCTAAACTAAGTGTTAATACAAAAGAGTCAAATATTTTTAAAAGTTTAAAAGTTTATAAAGTTACAGTAAGCTAACGTTAATTATAGAAGAAAAAATTTTAAATAAATTTGGCGTAGCCTCAGTGTACAGTAAAGCAGTGCACAGTACCGGCCTTCACGTTCACTCACCACTCACTCGCTGACTCTCCCAGAGCAACTGCCATTCCTGCAGGCTCCCTTCATGGTGAGTGCCCTATGTAGGTGTATCCTTTTTATCTTTTACATTGTATTTTTGTCTGTTTAGACAAGCAAATCCTTACCATTGTGTGACAATTGCCTACAGAATTCAGTACAGCAACATGCTGTCCAGGTTCATAGTCTAAGAGCTACACCATAGTCTAGGCTACACCAAATGGCCCAGGTGTGTAGGTCACACCATCTAGGTTTGTGTAAGTGCACTCTAGTATGTTCAGCAACAATAAAATCGCTTAATGACACATTGCTCAGAATGTATCCCTGTCATTAAGCAATACGTGACTGTATTTGTAGAGATATGACACATACATGTAAAATTCTTAGTGTATGAAGAGTAAAAATTCCAGCCAAGAGCAGGAGTGATGTCTGCACCATCTAGCTCATGACTTTTTACAAAGGAAATTGCTTGTCGCTTATGTTCTCCATACAGACATAGCGCCATCGGCCAGCTTTGACCACACTGATGAGGACAATCCCAGCTTGTTATAAATATGATTTATTTATGTTTAAGATAGTAAGTAGATATACATTTGTTTGTTCCACTCAACTTTCAGGGATTGTTTTATAAAATATTTTAATTGTTTCTAGCTCAAACCCAGGTCTATGTGATTCTACTGCTGATATTCTTAACCCCCAGTCAGTTTCTGTGATTCCTGCCTTCCCTGTCCTAATGGCCCTGCAGATATCCCCAAGTGCCTCATACCAGCAACTCAGCAGTCACTCTTTAGTTTTTCTCTCCTTTATCCTACCCTCATCTGCTATTTATTCTGCCTCCCTAAATTTATCTCAAATCTGTCTCATCTCTTGTCCCATCACCATTGATTTAGTTCAGGTCTTGATCATTTTCTTTCCAGGCTGGAGCAGAAACTCCCTAACTACTACTTTCTGGCCTTGAGCTTTGGCACTGACATTAGATTAGCCTATCGGGCCCTGTGGACACCTCCTTGTTAAAGAGAAAATTTTGATTCTCTATATTTTAAAGATCCTAGCAGGCTAAAGGAAAGAGTGATAACCTCGGAGCTTCTGCTTCTTAGGATGTCTCTGGGAGCAACCTTGCTGGCTGGATCTCTTGAGTCAGAGGTCTTGGCGAATCTCACCCTGTTCTTGGCCTGACTCTCAGACACCAGCCAGTTGGCCTCCCTAGACCTTTGGTATGTTTAAACTTCTTTTAAATCTTTTTTTTTTTTTCAAATGAAATCTAACAAAGAACCTTAAACACCCCAATACAAGTGTTGTTTTATTATATAACATTATTTCTTTTATGTATATTTGTGTATTATTGAACATGGATAGTCTAAAGATACCAATATGGATTTGCATAAATCCAAATTATATTGTTTGTTTGAAGCTCTGTCTCCCAGGCTAGAGCGCAGTGACTCAATCATGGCTCACTGTAGCCTCGACCTCCCAGGTTCAAGCAATCCTCCCACCTCAGCCTCCAGAGTACTTGGGACCACAGGTGTGTGCCAGTATGCCCAGCTAATTTTTATATTTTTTGTAGAGACAGGGTTTTGCCATTTTGCCCAGGCTGGTCTTGAATCTCTGGGCTTACAGGCATGAGCCACTGAGCCCAGCCTACTTATTTATAATGCAAGTCGACATGTCTATATGAAAGAACTTCCCAAACTGAAATCAAGATAATTGGTTACTATGATAACATTTGTTGCACTCATGACATAGTAGGCACAGCCCTAGTGCTTGACATGTATCGGCTCTTTCAGTCCTTTCAGCATCCCTAGGAGGCGGATCAGTTATTAAACTTATTTTACAGTTGGAAGTAGAGAGAGCTTCTATAACAAGTCTGAGGGTCTATGGTAAGTGGCAGAATCTAGGCTTGAATTTTAGGTAGTCTGACACTGCACAAACCCCATCTTACTCCCCGTATCATACTACCATTCATGATATCATACAGACTTTTGTGATAATGATGAGAATGATGAGGATAATTATATTCACACAGCATTATACCACCACCTAACATTTATTTTTTGTTCTGAGTGGGCTGTGTGCTGAGTGCTTTGAATACCGTATCTCGTTGAATCCTACAGTTGTCCTATGAAGTAGGCACTGTTGTGCTGATGCTGAGGCATTGGTGTAGAGGCTGAATTTGAATCCACTGCCTCCTAGCTGAATGCTATTCTACAAGAGCAAACCTCACAGGGCTGGTGTGAGAATTTAATGAGATAGCCCGTGCAAAGCCAGGACACCTAGCACATGGGAAGCACTCAGGTTCATTCACTCTCAAAATCTGACCCACATGGGTAAGTAGCTACAAATCTTTGTTAGGCTTACGTTGGAATCTTGGGACATTCCTCCGAGAAATTTTAAATGAAGATTAGTTCAAAGATGAATTAGTCTTGCTGTACAATTTGGCACACTGATCATTTCCAAGGTATAAAACATAAGTGTATCACTTTTGATGTTTTAAATTGTAGTTTTACAAATAATTATAAATGTATTTTTGAAATGATATTTGAATCAAACTATTTGTGGGACCCTGGAATGACCTCCCAGGAACTTTACAGTTCTTTAGAACCTTGTGCGTAAACTACCATTAATAAGATCAGTATCCTTCTAAACTCTGAGCTTCTATCTCGCCTCCTTGTTCTGCCTCTTACCTCTCTCTCAACAGCCTGTATCCTGACCATCCTTGCCCCCGACTCCTCTCCCAGCAGCTGAGTGGCTTTTTGGACTGGGTTCTTTTTCCGAACTGCCAGCACCAACTTCCGTGCGTCTTACCTGTGCTTCAGCCGAAGTTTAACCCCTCCTGACCACGCTGCTTTCCTGTGCTGGGGGCCAGAGGTGAGGTGTTCTGGGCTGACGAAGTTAGAGGCACCAGTATCTGCATGGCCTGGGTCTGTGCACACATCTCTGTCAACAATAGGAAAAGAAGAAGCTGAGCATGATGGTGTTCATGGACAGGAGCACAAATGAATCTTAAAAACCGAAAAAGCACATGAAAACGAACCCCGGAGCCAGAGCAAAGCAGCACAGCTAAGTGCAGGGTTCTAAGCCTGCACCTAACAAAGTTCTCTGCCCTACGAAGGCGAATCCACTACTGAGTGTCGTGTCTTCCTTTTTTATCCATGTTCCTCTGAAGCAATAAAGCATTATTTCCCAATCTCAGAAAACCCAGATTTTCTAAGCAAAAAGGAAGAAAGTTATATTAACTGTTATAAAGACAAACTCCCCTGTAATTTGGTTTTGGTAATAAGGGAAAAACTGGATTCACTGAAGCAAACTGTCAAACGAGGTGGTTTGAAACCAAGCCTCTGCCACCTCACTTCTCAAGTTCTCTTTAAGGAGCGGGATCTCCAAGTGTAACAGGCCTTGCTCTGTTCAGTGGGTGGCAGCTCAGAAGCACATGCCAACTCTTGAGCTTGAGCTATTTCAGATTGTTTAGATTCCACTGCACTGGGAGGCAAGCCTTTTGTGTGTCCATTTAAATCCACCCTCCCACCCCCAGTCCCTAACACCATTCCCATAACTCTCTTCCTCCATACTCCCAGGGAGTCAGAGAAAAATTTTAAGCCCTACATGGCCAATGTGTTCCGCCATGGGAACAGGAACATTTCTTCTCCTTAGGACAGTGACAGGTCATGAATTTCTAAGCATCCTGACTGTGCTCTTGATGTCTCATCAGACTGTCCCCTGCATCAGGCTTTGAAGTTTTGTCATCATCTCTGTTTGTGGGGAACCAGTGGTTTATTTTCAATTTCTGTCTTCAAGGATTTTTCTAAGCCTCTGAGATCTGACTGGTGGGCCCATAAACAGAATCTGGAGAAGGTACAAATGAGGCCGTGCCTCCTCTGCACAGGCCATGGCTGAGAGGGGAAGGGATTACTGAACAGCTGTTAAGAATAAGCCCCGTCCATCTGGCCTTCTATTTCCTGGAACACAGAACGGAAGTGAAAGAGCTTTCTTTCCTAAATCCTAAGGCAAATGAAAGGATCTCTTTTTATTCTACAGCATGGGGAAGATGGCCAGGAGGCCAACAGGGAGTTTCCATTTCTAAGCTCAAGTTTTCATGTTTACCTTAGTTATATCTAAGCACCACCACCTCCTTCTGTACATTACTTTTCTCACCGAATTTAGGATTCTCGGCTTTGGATATATTCAATATAGTGCTAGACTTGAAGTTTGAAAATTGGTTGAGGTTATGTCAATAATGAACTGAATAAATTGGTCAAGTAAATTCTGAGTCTCAGGCTCCTCATCCACGGTAAAGTGAAACCATGAGGCAGTGTACCATGGTTTTAGGAGCATGACTCTGGAGTCTGAGTCCTGGCTCTACCCACTGAGCAGCTCTGTGACTTTGTCTTCTCTGTACCTCAGTTCTGTCATCTATATAATGCACGCATAGGAACAATCGGTGACTAGAAAGTAGATTGAAAGATACCTCGCCATCCAATACCTGACTGTAAAGATTATATGAGTGTAAACAGCACACTCCAAGACCACCCATTGGTATAACCAGGGGAGGGACTTTTCCTTTTCAGGACCCCTTTAGACCCTAACTTTGTTTGTTGGGGGAAAACAATCAAGACCAGGCCTGAGCTTTCATAAAACCTTTGTAGTATTTAATAACTTCCTAATTTTTTGTGTAAACCAAAGTTTTCGACTCCATCTTTTTTTTTTTTTTGCACAATGTCTTGGGCACCAGAGACTGAGCTCTTTTCTCTTTCCTTTCCACTTCTCCTTCCTGGGAGATGCCTAGAGACAGAGGTCTAGGAGTGGTGACTGTCACAGTGAAGGGCTGGCAGGAAGAGCAGGCAGACCAGAAAGAGATGGAAGCATGAGGAACATAAAATCATTCCATCGATTTAAGCATTTTCAATGTATGATTCCTTTCTACCCTAGAAAAGCAGAGACCAGCACCCCAGCACTGCCCCCAAAACCATGTTGTCCTACTACGTGTCACCTCTACAGGACCAGCTGAAATTAGCAACTGGGTGTGAGAATCCTGAAACCCATTTTGATTCTTGTTAATTGCAACCTCCAGGCTAACCTTTGCCCCTCCTAATCTTCACCCTCCTGCCCTGGATGGGTTGGCTCTGGATACCAGAAAGAGCCTGGGCACCTGGGTGAGCTGTCTGGATGCACCACACAAACTAGAAATCAGGCTGGAGAGAGTGCTAGAATCACCAGCACACCAAGCACACCTTTCCTCCCTTCAACTCTTTCTGGAATAATCTGGGCAACAAACACACATTTTAAAAATTCATTATATTAAAAAAAAAGAAAAAAAACCCATAGTGAACCGAGGTGGAAAATAGTCCTGGCATGAGTGTTGGGAAGCCTGTCATCCCAGAAACCAGGGCCCTGGAATTGTTTCTTTGCCCTTCCTTCCTTCTGCCTTACCTGTACATTGAATACCTTACCTGTACATTGAACTCATGCTGTCTCTAGAATGCACATTTTCTTACCCACCTCAAGTTGCTACTTAGCCTCAAAACAGACTGCCATAGACAAAGTCTGCAATGTGCTTTGATCTTATCGGGGAATGGTGCCCCACTGGTGCGCCAATGGTTATACACGACTCAGGCAAATTTGCCAAGTCTTTCTTAAAAAAAAAAGTGTGCTTTCCCATGTGCCAGATATTATTCCCACAACTTTTTTATGAAGGAGAGAATGAATGAGGGTTTAAGTCCCATTTTACAGACTGACAACCTGAGATACAGAGAAGTTATGTAAATTTGCTCAAACCACACATGGAATCATATTCCCTTCGGACTGTCAACCACTCACTCTCCTTCCTTTCAGTTTGGCAGGTTTCAAAAATGTTCAATTTATGCCACAGATTTTGTAGGCGTTACAATTACTAACCCAGATTTGGTAGGGAATGGTGATGGTAGAGCCATTAACTAAACATATTACCAAATAAGCCCATTTTTACTTAAAAGATACTAAAAGGTACAATGTCTCACTTAAAGATAACCAACGATACATTGTAGAAGCCTGGAAATCAATGAATCCAGTTCAAGTGAAACATACTGGGATAAACTATACACTCTCCAGGCCTATTGGGCTACTTCTAGATCCCTAAAGGATCCTCTCCGGGCTTATCCACACTCATCCTTCAGGTTTCAATTTCGACATCATTTCCTCTGCTGGCTACCCAGAGGAACTGTGGAAGTCGGGGTGAGGTGGCCCCTTGTGTGCTAGCAGTGCAGCACACTGGCTATAGATGTACACCTCAAAGTGCAATTCACACTGGCTGCTAGTTGCCTGCTTGCTGGTCCCTCTCTTCCACAGGTCAACAAAGATAAACCAGCTCAGCTTAGTGCCTGGAACAGAGAGTTGCTCAATAAATATTTGTTGAATGAATAAAGTACAGATGACCCTTGAACAACAGAAGCTTGAACTACGTGGGTCCTCTTATACGCAGATTTTTTTCAAACAACTGTATCCACCTCTCCTGTCTTCCCTTCCACCTCTTCGTCCATCTCTGCCACCCAAGACAGCAAGACCAACCCATCCTCTTACTCCTCCTCAGCCTAGTCAACATGAAGACAATGAGAATGAAGACCTTTGTGATGATCCACTTTTGATTAATGAATAGTAAACGTATTTTCTCTTCCTTATGATTTTCTTAGCATAATAACATTCTTTTCGGCCAGGCACAGTGGCTCACGCCTGTAATCCCAGCACTTTCGGAGGCCGAGGTGGGTGGATCATGAGGTCAAGCGATCGAGACCAGCCTGGTCAACATGGTGAAACCCCATCTCTACTAAAAATACAAAAATTAGCTGGGCGTGGTGGTACATGCCTGTAATCCCAGCCACTCGGGAGGCTAAGGTAGGAGAATCACTTGAACCCGGGAGGTAGAGGTTGCAGTGAGCTGAGCTCTGCACTCCAGCCTGGCAACAGACGGAGACTCCGTCTCAAAAACAAACAAAAAACAAAACAAAACAAAACAAAAACCATTCTTTTCTCTAGCATACTTTGTTGAAAGAATACAGTACGTAATGCATATGACATACAAAATATGTTAATCAACTGTAAGGCTTCCAGTCAACAGTAGGCTATTGGTAGTTAGGTTTTAGGGTAGTCAAGAGTTGTAAATGGATTTTTGACTCTAGGGGGTTAGCATCCCCAATCCCCCTGTGTTGTTCAAGGGTCGACTGTACTGCTAAATGTTCAACAGATCTGCAGCCTTTCTTCCCTCCTATATCCTTTTAACTCACAAGTTAACTTGTTGGCAAAACTAACAAGACATTTCTTGGAGCTGTTTTATGTTTATGTTTCTTGCTGTTCTCCAGTATCTATATCTCAATATTACCACTATGAGTGAAGAGCTAGGAATCAAAGCTGACCTGAGAAAGTTTAGCAGAGGCTAAAAAAATATACTGTAGTATGATCTTTCTTCTTCCAGATAGTTAAACAAGAAAGCCAGGCCAGCCACCCACATATTTCTTCTACTTCCCATGATGAGGACATTCATATTTGCTCTGCCTGCCACCCAATATTCATAACTCCAGAATATATACTGACTGCTTTCTTATTTGCTTTTTGTTTTGTTTCGTTTTTGAGACAGGGTCTTGCTCTGTCACCCAGGCTGGAGTGCAGTGGCACAATCTTGGCTCACTGCAGCCTCGACCTCCCAGGCTCAAGTGATCCTCCCACCTCAGCCTCCCAAGTATCTGGGATCACAGGCATGCACCACCATGTCAGGCTGATTTTTAATGTTTTGTTGTTGTTGTTGTTGTTGTTGTTGTTTGTAGAGACGGAGTCTCACTACATTGCCTGAGCTGGTCTTAAACTCCTGGGCTCAAGTGATCCACCCACCTTGGCCTCCCAAAGTGTTGGGATTACAGGCATGAGTTACCATGCCCAACCTATTTGGTATTTTAATAGTACCCATTAACTGCTTTCTGAACTGAGTTTCAGCCAATACAAAAGAAAGGGTTCCAGATCTTTCAGTTCCTTAGGGCTCTCTTGAACACTGTACAAATTAGGGAAGGCTGGGGAAACTGGAGTAAAAGACACGGAACTGAGCCATTAGGCATGGTCTCTCCAGGTCCCTTTGCTTCCTGGTTTCTATTGAGTTTGCATTTTTCTATTTTATCCTTAAAGGGGAGGGTGAGATGGAGGAATCGTGTCTCCTTGGCATGGTCTGTTACAACCTTAGGGAAGTGCTTGGTTTTGTCTGTTAGAATCAGCCATTTCCTCCTTTTTTGTTATGTTTCATCCAGGAGGGAATGCTTCCTCACTGGCCTCCCCCTTCCACTTCTGTCCCCTCCAATCCAGTGTCTACCCAGCAGCCTTTCAAAAAATGTAAATGGATGATGTCATTCCCTGATGAAATCCTGTAGCTTCCCTATGCATTTTGGATAAAATCCAGGTTCCCCTACTTGGCCTGCAAGGTCTCTGGTGACGTGGCTCCTGCCCCTCCTTCAACCTTTCCCCTTACTGCATTCTGACCTCACTGGCCTTCCTTAGGTTCCCCAAACTTGCCAAGCTCTTTGCTTTTTGCACATGCTGTTCTCTAAGCCTGGAATATTCTTCCCAATTCATTTCTTGGCTGACCACTCCTTAGTTTCTGCTCCCAGCTGGAACATCACCTCCTCGGAGACTGCCTTATCTAATGCAAATACTCTTTCCTGGCACCTGATCTTTCCCTTTACTGCACTTATAACCACATGAAATTGTTCACTTGTGCATTGTCTGCTTCGTTGTTAAGACATAAGCTCAGCCAGGTCAGGGTCCACCTCTGGCTTTTCTTCAGCCTTGTTTTTTGAAACTTCTACACACCCAAGGCCTAGCACAGTGAGTGTCTCCTGGTAGGCACACAATGCATATTTGCTGAATGAATCATAGGAACCTGTAAAGGAAATAATTGTAATGCATCCAAAACAAAGTTCTATGTCCTTAAATCCATAAGGGCATTAAACTGTTCATAATATCTATTTTGGGAAATGTGGGATCTTCTTTTCTTCTAGTTACTTTCTAGATCAGGCTCTGAGTTGATTTCTTCTTGAAAATAGAATCTAGCCCTAACTTTTGATCCATCTCATTAGCGGCAGGCTTTCTTGGGACAGACAAGAAAAGTTGGGAGTTGGGAGACTGTGGCAGAGCCCCTTCGACAAACAGCTGGTATGGCTCAGTGCAATTTTGTTGCCTTATGTTTGGAGGCAATCAGAATGCTTTTTGTGATTAAGTAGACAGGATGCATTTATACAGGGCTAA
Source organism: Homo sapiens (assembly GCF_000001405.40). Taxonomy (NCBI): domain Eukaryota; kingdom Metazoa; phylum Chordata; class Mammalia; order Primates; family Hominidae; genus Homo; species Homo sapiens. The sequence continues at coordinate 76,703,837 of NC_000004.12, read as the reverse complement.
GTTTGTCCTCAGAATCCTTTGGAGAAATTCCTTTTGATTTATGTTGGGTGTGTACACTCATTCATGTGGCAATTTGTCTTATTTAAAGCCACGTTCTTGGTTTTCAAGTTTTCCTTCTACTCTGTGTCCTTCATCCATGAAGTTAGCCTTACTATTGCATCTCTATCCTGTCATCCCCCTTCTCCTGGGTTTGCAGGTCTCTAATGCCATAGTTGTAGGTTTCTCAGCACTTTTTCTCTTGAGTCTCCAGGAGGCTGAAAAGGCCTTAGATTAGAAGCTTTTTCAGTGTCTGAAGAAGATTTTAAGAAGTGATGCCCTCAGGCACAGATTTCTGTTCTTAGCCAAACATAGGTGCTCTTCATTTTCTGATAACTGACCATTGATCAGCCGTTTCACAGACATCTCAATGAATTACCCTTTCTTTAAAAGGCCCCCTTGTTCCTGTTACTGACCTTTTGTAACTTACACATTTAAGTCTTAACCTTCTGGGTCCTGTCCTCTCATTACTCATCTTTTTTCCTTTTTAAGTCATTATTTACCATCTAGGAAGCTCCCTCTGCATGCCCTCAGGCCTGTATCCTATCTAGTGTTTTAGTCATAGGCATGCCATTCATTTGTACTTAAAGCCTCCTCCTGTCTTTCTGCTTACCTACCCTGGTCTACAGCTTGTTTTATTACAGGAGGGCCACACATAACCCTTCAGCTCTGCAGAGATGCACTTTGTATGTCTCAAACCTCTGTCCATTTGCACCTCCTGCTCTGGCTGCTGCTTTTTTTCACTTGATTTCCCCCTGAAACTTGCCAAACAAATCCAGGTGTACAATATACCCCAGTAACATTCAGCATATTTCTGACTCTTTCTGAAACCGTAAGCTTAATTATCTCCAGATCTTAGCCAATGACCTCTATGTCAACCTTGCAGAAAGATGAGGAAAGGGTGGATAGGAGAAAAAGCCAAATGACCTGCCAAATCTTTTAACCTGCCTAATAAATATTAATCTGCTTCAGTTTACTGCTGACATCAGTCCCTCTACCCACTGAGCCCTTTGACACAGCTAGTAGCCCAGGACAAGTGCATAAGAAAACCAAGGGCTCTCACAAGGGCTTTATAGTGAACAGATGATATCTTCATGGAAGCGGTGTGCCCCTAGCTACAAGCACTCAGAGCCTAGATCTTAAGACAACTCCAACAAGCAGCAGGCTGTGTAATGTATATGGACGATGTGGATTCCGGAGCCAGCTGCCTGGGGTCCTGTTCTGGCTCTGTCACCTAGGAAGGTGTTTGAGCAGGTCACTTAACCTCTTATGCCTGTTTTTTCCCCTATAAAATAAGAATACTAATAGCACCTTCATCAAAGGGTAGATGTGAGGCTTGAATGAATTAATATGTATAAAGCAATCAGAACAGTGCCTGGCAATAATTATTAAATTTTTACCCGTAGAACTGAAACTTACATTTACTGGGCACATGGTATGTACCAGATTATTTGTGCTTTAAAAACAGTAATTCAGTTAATCTTCTTATCATTTGAGGCAATAATCATCCTTATTGTAAAGAAGAAAAGAAAAATTAAATTAAAAAGTAGAAAGAGCTATGGCTAAAGGCCTCACCCTCTCCACTACCTACCCCATTAGATTCCTTTTAGGATTACTGGGCTTTGTATACTTTGGTAGGTATCAACCACATATCAAACCATGTATGCCTTTAATTTTTCCACATCACTCTTTTGTTATTCATATGAGATAAAACATATGCATAAAAACAAAACACCAGCAAGTATTCCAAAATGTTACTACTGGGTGACAGGATTATGGGTACTATTTTTCTTCTCTCTTTTCTATGTCTTGCAAATTGTTTACAATTAATGTTTATTATTTTAATTATCAGATAATAGTAAAATTAGCCTTATTTTTTCTTAATAGAATGAGTCTAAGGGTCTAAATTTTCTACATTTTTAAAGGAACATCTTCTCTAGGAAATGGAAGTGCCTATCCTGAGAGCATATGTGGGCAGCAGAAAGACTCCACACTAGTTGGTGAAGGGGATTACTTTGAGAGCTCCAATAACTGCTGAAAATAGCCAGTGGAGGAAGAAGCAGGGTTTCTGTGAAACTAGTATCAGTAGAGAGAGACAAATACCTCCTGAAAAAATTCAGTCTAGGCCTTTCTTTCCCTATCCTCTATCATTAGCCTACAGTAACAGACTAGTGTTCCCAGAGAACAATACAAATCTCTACAGCGAACCATTATTCATTACTTTAATACCAGATTATAGCTTATAAAGCACTTCCCAAACATTATTTCATTTGGCCCTCAATAATCCTAAAAGGCAAGTAAAGCAAGTATTATTTATCCCCATTTAACAGATGCAGAGACAGCCTCATAGAGGGACAGTTATTCGCTCAAGGTCAGGACTTCTAAGCCACACGACTGGCACAGCAGGGTCTCATACTCTAATTTTTAAGCTCTCTTGTTCCATACTGCCTTTGGATTCTGTGATCCTAAAAGTCCATTGATACAGTAGCAAACATTTAATACCAAAAGCCTCTTTAAAGGGGAAGCTTCAGAAGAAGAAAGTAGACTGACTGAAATTCAGATGAGACCCCTCTCTCAAGTCCAACTGTCCCTAGATCTAGAGAAATGATGAAGTCCCTACCCCTGACACCCAGACAGCATTCCTGCCCCTACAAGAACTTTCTAGCGCCGGTCACACTGCTGAAATGATGCAGGATATATTAAGATAGATATTTCAAGGCCAGGTGCAGTGGCTCACGCCTCTAATCCCAGCACTTTGGGAGGCCAAAGCAGGCAGATCACTTGAGGTCAGGAGTTTGAGACCAACCTGGTCAACATGGTGAAACACTATCTCTATTAAAAATACAAAAACTAGCTGGTTGTGGTGGCTCACACCTGTAATCCCAGCTACTCAGGAGGCTGAGGCATGAGAACCACTTGAACCCAGGAGGTGGAGGAAGGTTGCAATGAGCTGAGATCATGCCACTGCACTCCAGCCTGGGTGACAGAGTGAGACTCTGTCTCAAAAATAAATAAATAAATAAAAGAAAGAAAGAAAGAAAAAAAAAAGATATTTCATGCTGAAACCCAGAGCCTAGTCACATCTATACCTAGCCCAATCATCCATTCATTCAATCAACTATTGCTAAGGGCTAACCACAGGCCACACATTGGATTAGGCACTGGACTCGTGGCAAAACAGACACGATCCTTCCCTTTGTGGAATTATAAATTAATGGGAAGAAAGCCAAAATTAACTGAATAAATATATACATACACGCCATAAGTCCTGGGAAAAGAGACCATGAGAGCAGCCCACACTCAGCATGCCTCCCTCTCCTTGTCATTCACTTTTACACAGTCGGTGTAGACACTTGCTTCCCCCAGTCGCATGCCCCAGGGAGGGCAGGTATCCAAGCATCAGTCCTCAAAGTTGCCATTACCTTATGGAGTGCTCTGAGCCAGGCTGGGGGCCAAACTGTTTCTGCACAGCTTCTTACCATCCTTACAGCCAACCTTGAAGGCAGGTGACTTTCTGCTATTAGTCCCTACTTTATTCATGAGGAAACAGACTCAAAGAAGTGCAGGAAGTTTGTCCAAATGCTGGTGAAAAAAGAATTTGACTCCAGATCTGGCTGATGACAAAGTCTATGCTCTTAACTATGATGTCATAGTCTTAATCTTATTTGAGATTCTCCTTTCTTCCTTGGCCCCATATGGTTCTCTTCCTTGGATGATGCCCAATAAGTATTTGGTTAATAAAAATATGCCGAGTGGACACGAGGCCAGCTTCCTGATGGGTTCCCTGCAGTTATCTATCCTGTCTCATTCGAATGGGAATTACTGTCTTCCCAGAGTACAGCTCTGTTGCTGATATTCTGCTTGGACTACATCAATGTGAATATAACTCAGCCAACGCTCAGACCCTCAGCTGAAGCCACAAAGGGCTAACATCCTGCATCAGGGGAGTCTCATCAAAGGGTAAAGCTGGGGTCACATAGAACACATCCCAGTCCAAATACCTCTGACATGCCTCTCCTAGACTATGCTGCATGGTGTAGTACCATTAATCATCTCCAGAAAAGCACTTTGGAAAGGAGCTACTTGTGGAAAGGAGCAAGAAAGAGAACATGCAACAAGCACGGTGGAAGTAAAGCAGGAAAGTCGATTTGGTAATCCTTCTTCCCTGTTCCCACAAAACATCAGGGAAGGGAGCACGGATGGTTAAGTAGACCCTCTAAAAGGCCATATATACATACCCTATTATAGCAGGAAACATTACTGGACCTGCAGCCAGGACACCTGCACAAGGCCGTCTCTGTAATTGCTATGAGCAAGTCATTTTCATGTTCTGGGCTACTATTTTCTCATGTGTAAAATGAGGAGGTTAGTACAGATGAGCCTGGGGGTCCCTTTACCTTTGACAGTTGATGAACCAAAGGTAAAAAGCAGGGGGAGGGCCTACATGGCAAATCCCAAGTGAGAAAACATGATCTGCGTACCTACATCAACAAGGGATGAGCATGTTCTACATGCAGGCTCCGAGTTGGAATTGGTGTAGAATAAAAGACAGCTTCTGACCTCCAGTCTTGTTGGGGAGGCACACAAAGGATTTGTAGCTGGATCAACCTGGGTTCTAATCTGATCTCTGCCAGTTCCTGGCCACTATTCTCTCTGAACCTCAGGACCTCATCTGTAAAAAGGGGACAAAGTATTATCTACCCTGTGGCTTAATAACCACTGCAAGACAGGTGCTATCATTGTTCAATCAACATGGCCTGCATAAGGGAGATGGATGTGGAAAGTCACCATGGGGAGGGTGACAGGATGGTGGTGTCTTGATGGGTTAATTCCTTAAAAAGGGCAACTACAAATTGCCCAAAACATTTGGGGAGGAATATAAATATTTAAATCCAAAGTGGAGGGGTTTTTTTGCAGATAAGAACAGAAAATATAGGGCATTACCTGAGCTCCTTGGGAATAGATATAGAGGACCCAGTGAGTGGTGTGAAAGAAAGGGCTCCTCAAGGTCAAGGATGACAGAATTAACCTAGAGGAGCTGCCTAGAGGCCACCTCTCACTGGCAGGAGTCGCAGGCACTAGGCAGGGATGGCTGTTGGTGAATGCATCTTCAAGGCTGTCTTTAAAACAGAATGAGTTTGGCCCCAGCTTTTTTCAGCCCCTGAGTCCTTCCTACTTCAGGCTCTGGGGTAGGAGACCCCTCCCCTTTTGTAAGCGAGTGAGGTAAAGGGACTCTGGCTCAGGAAGGTCTCTGAGGGTCCCAATGTAGTCTGTAGGAGCCAGGGTCCTGTCTCCTATCTATATGCAAATAAGTTGCTCCAGCCCTAGACCTGCCTAAAGGAGTGGACATTAAAAATGTAAATGGAGATTGTCATTCATTGGGAAAAAATGGGTCCCTTGCTAAATTTGGCATCAGCTGAGGAATCTTAGCAAAAATGAACTCCCTGCCTTGTTTGTGAGGGAGGCCTAATCCTTACTTTGCCCAAGAGGATTATTGGGTCTTAGAAAGAAGCTCACATGCACTTTTTTTAAGCTCATGCCAAATGCATTTGTGTCCATAATATCCAAGATTCGTTCTGCTTTTTAGGGTATATAATAGACATTCCATGCTATTTAAATGCCTCCAAATATCAAACCTAAATGTTTCCAACCTTTGCTATCACCCAAAGGGGGACTCAGCTTTTCCCAGTGGTTACTTTATATTCTTTGGGAGCACAATTTACATGGACATCAAGGTACCAAACTGCAGCCCATTTGTGGAAAAGTAATGGTTTACAGCTTACAGTAGACCTTTTCTAAGTGTTTGTGACTATAGTTCCATGGGCTGATTTTCTACTTATCCCCTTCATTTTTCCTTTCTCTTAGTTACTATAGGGTAGTGTCATAAATGCTTGAATTCTTTTTTTCCTCATCCTGTATGTTCCTGCTCACCCCAGCACTTTCCTGTGCTCTCCAGGGGAATTCTGGACCCACTGACATACATACCACAAAGTAGAACTGATAAAATCTATGTCCTCAGTTTAGCATGACATTCTCAAAACATTTAAAAACATTACAATTGGCACCTGTGCTGGCTGTACAACATGCAAAGTATTTTTACATAACAAATTTAATCTTTACAGCAACCCTCTGAAATGCTGTCCTCATTTCACAGAAAAAGAAACTGAAGCAAACGTAACTTAAATAACCTGCTCAAGATCACAAAGGAAGTGGTAAAGCTTGGACCCAACCTATTATAAGGCTCCAGAGTGTGCCCTTAACTGCCTTCTCCCACAATCGCATCACTTAAGTGCTTAGTTAGATACCTACAGGGCTGAAAGATCTCTGAAAACAGATTTGCCTTGTTCCAAGAAGAGCATAACAATTCTTCCAGTATTGAATTCCTCAGGAGTGTTGATTTTTGGTGCTTTCTACTAGAAACTACCTCCCCTCACCCTCACCACCAGGGCTGCTTAATTTCCACCTGTAATTCCAAGTCCTGCCTCAACTCTGGGGCCCACCAGACTCTAAATGAGAAGGAATTTAAGAAGCCTCCAAATAGTATGTCAGGAAATAGCTTCAAGACAAACTCTCGGGGCAGAGTACAGTGGCTGACACCTTAATCCCAGTGTTTTGGGAGGTCAAGGTGGGAGGATCACTTGAGGCCAGGAATTTGAGACCAGCCTGGGCAACACAGTGAGACCTCATCTCTTACCAAAAAAAAAAAAAAAAAAATTAATTAGCTGGGTGCGGTGGCATGTGCCTGTGGTCCTAGTTACTCAGGAAGCTGAGATGGGAGGATTGTTTGAGCCCAGGAGTTCGAGGTTGCAGTGAGATATGATTGCACCACTGCACCCCACTTGGGCAACAGAACAAGACCCTGTCTCTTATAAAAACAACAACAAAAACCTCTCGGCTAGTTTTGTTTTCATCTTGAACCTTGAATCCCTATGCTATCCCCCAGTTCCCAGAGCCTGCCTGGTCTTCCAAGCTGGATGTGAAAACATGCCTTTGATGCAAATTCTTTCCAGACTGGAGCCCACCCTTGTTAATGTTGACTAACTTAAGAACAGATGGTATTGGGAACAGAATCTGAGCAGAAAGCAGGTAGAGAAGTGAGTCATCATTTTTATTTGACCAAGCAGAGCAGCCCCTTCCCCCTCAATGGGCATTCACACATGGAAGGGTGACCTCAGGGAGGAGTTTGGCAGGTCAGGGACGCCAGGCCAGGCCAGCCTATGACAGGACATGTCCTGTGAGCAGTCCATCACCCACCATGTCCCCTCCCACTGCAACCCTGATATGTCAAGCCTGGGAAAGGTATAGAACCCACGACAAAGAGAAGGTACTGGACTGTGACCCCATTTCACAAATCCAGCTGCGGATCAATGGCCTCCGCCCCAGCCAGACCTGGCTCAGTAGGGGAGGCAGCCTCCTCTCACTATCACATTCCAGCTGCCAGTAGTGAGGAGGTAACCATGGGAACCGACACAAAGGGCTTAATGTTAGAGGGAAAGAGGCTGGGGGCGATGGTGAAGAGGCTGAGAGGGACTTCAAGTGACAGTCCTGCAATTCTCCTAACTTCAACCATGTGCGTCTATTGTGAGTCAGACTAAAAGACTGAAGTGGAGCTTTTGCACAGCAAAGCAGCCTGGCACAAGGCCTCGAGAGTGTCAGAGACAAGCAGACAGCTAAGATCCTTGTAGGTTCTTCTTCCAGATTTATTTTTTCCCCATCAGAGAGCAGAGTCCTAATAATTTCATTTCCCAGTCATTTTGCCCCAAAATAATACGGCTCATTTGGATGGACATAATTGGTACACAGTGGCACTCTTTCAAATACAGGGCTGCAAGCAACACTTTGCTTAGGGGCTTCTTTCTGCACCATCTGGTTTCAGTCCAGTGTCTCCAAAGGTCTCTGCATGCTGAGGGGCTTCTTCGATGGGTCTGGAAATAGACCAACGTGGCACCACTTGAGTGGCTGAGGAAATGGTCCTGAGATTCTGGCTGCCTAGTTAACTCCACACTGCAATGGAGAGGCTTTGATGTCAGGACCAATAATCCAGAGTATCTTCCACGACACTCAGGACTTTGGGGGAGAAACTAAGTGAAAAGGCTCATATAGGAACAGATACTAGGATCCATATTTATTTAATTACATTTTCCCCTGGGCATCTATACATTATTTTAATGAATTGGTCAAGGTGACTTCGTCTTCATTAAATCAGCAGCGTTTTCAACGTACCATTTGGAACTTATTTTTATTTAAGTTTTAGCTCAAGGTTCTCCAGAATCTGGGAGTTGAGAAAATGCCAATGGAAATAGGAAATATGAAATATCCAGGATCAATGGTAGACTTTTCTTCTTACTGTAACAGTGCTCTGGGGCACATTTCTTACCTTGCTATTTTTTTGGAGACCAAGAAAATATTGCATCTATGTCCATCCCTACATAGACCTCACAAAGCATAGGTCAAATTCTAATAGGCAGCCATGATTCTCCAATTTTTTGTTCACAAATAAGTCGACTGACTTCCTAATTGGAGTCATTGGGGGTAAGGAGCAACGGACAATGTCAGAGAGGACCACCTCACAGGTGGACTTGTGAGGGGCTGGGAAAAGAAAAGACATGTTCATTAGAGCCTTTCCTACAAGCATCCCACAAACCCCCAAAGGTGGTAGACCCATTAACCATTTAAGAACATATTCAAGGAGTCAACCATCCCCCACCACCAGTATTAATCTGCATGCAGCCATAAGCAGGGCACTAGTTAGTTCCACTTATTGGTATAAAACAATCATATCTAAAAGGGAAAGATAGTTGACATCTATTACAGACCTCATCCATTAATTGACAGGATGGTATTGGGTACTAACCCTGGCACCTCCATGCCCTCAGCAAGTTATTTAACCTATGATTTTGGTTTCCTCACCTTTAAAAGGGGATAGTAACAGTGCCTGCCTCATAGGAGTGTGAGGAAGATAAAATCAGCCAGCACAAAACGTATTAGACAGTGCTTGACTCCTAGTAAGTACTCAATAAATGTTAGGAATTAACACCTATCAGGTGCCAGCCTAGTTATATTTACATGTATTCTGTCACTTAATCCTTATAACAGCCTTAACCTAATAAATATTAATACCTCTCTTAAGGTATCATTATCACCATCTTGCAGATGAGGAAACAGCTGCTTAAAGGACTCTCCAAATTACTAGTGTAGCAGAGCTCAGATTCAAACGTAGGTCATTCTACTTGCACAGTCTCTGACCTTTCCACTGTACTCAATTGCCTTTATATAAGACCATTTTGTTTTTGCTATTTTTAGTAAGGAATAACAAGTGAAGCCTTAATGAGAAATGCCAATGTTTAAGAAAATAACATCAATTAAAAGAACTAGGATTTTAAACCTCCACTGTAAGCAGGAGCTTTTAAAACAAACAACAAAACACAAAAAAAAACAAACAAAAAGACTAGCCTGAGACAGACCTCTCTGCTCTGAGAAAAATTCCAAAAGAAATGTGTACACATTCACACTTGTGGCTGGAGTGTCTATGAACCCTTGAGGGTACAATGTCTTATTATTCATCATTGAATTCCCAGAGGCTAATGCGTTCTCAGTAAATGTTTGACAAATGTTTACTGAATGAATTAAACCAACCCAACAACAAAATGCCTCACTTGGAGTTGGCAAAATATATAACATCTTTCCCAAATGCTTTGTTGAACTTAAATTAAATCACTGAAGCTTAATAGATTAAATAAACTATTATAAATTTACCACTCTGTCCAAAGCATTTTACTGAAAAGCATGACGTTAATTTTGATAGAGAGATCGAGTTTTGTTTTTTTTTTCTACCTACATCTTTGGGAAGAGAATATAGTATGTTAACCTTTCATTTGGATTCCCAGAAGATGTTGTGAGCCTCATCTGGGAGCTCAGCTTCGACAATCATCATTAAATCAGTCCTCAGATCAGTCCTCAGGAAAAAAAAAAAAAAAAAAAGGAGTTTGCCTAGTGCGTAGTTCCTCTCTTTGGAGTTTACTTCTGCTGGCAAAACCAAACCCCAGTAGTATTTTGATCACGTACACAAGAACTTCACATTTTAAATCCCCACAACCTTAAAAAATGACTCATCAAGGGCCAGGTGCAGTGGCTCACACCTGTAATCCCAGCACTTTGGGAGGCTGGGGCAGGCAGATCACGAGGTCAAGAGATTGAGACCATCCTGGCCAACATGGTGAAACCCAGTCTCTACTAAAAATACAAAAATAATTAGCTGGGTATAGTGGCATGTGCCTGTAGTCCCAGCTACTTGGGAGGCTGAGGCAGGAGAATCGCTTGAACCCGGGAGGTGGAGGCTGCAGTGAGCCAAGATTGTGCCACTGCACTCCAGCCTGGGCAACACAGCAAGACTCTGTCTTGTTGCTTTAAAAAAAAAAAAAAAAAAAAAAACAAACTTATCAAAATGAAGGTATGCATAGTAATAATGATAAGGATACCAGTTAATATAAGATCCTTGATAATCTTAAATGATATGGCTTTCACAAAAGTGTAAATACTTTTTCATCAACTCCAAAATCACATATTATATTTATCACAGTGCCTGGAAATAGTAGTTGACATTTACTGAGTTCTTACTAAGCTAAGTACCTTCAGTCATTAACTCAATCTTTGCAACAACCCTATGAAGATGTTCTATTATTGTCCAATGTCTTGCAGCTCAGAGGTATTTATTTAATATCTTGTCCAGGGTAATATATGCCTAGAGGCAGATGTGGGATGTATACTCTTGTGTAACTCTAGAACCTAAGTTTTTCTTCTAATTCAGGTAATGCTTTGCATACAATAAAATGCACAGGTCTTAGGTGTTCAGTTCGATGGGTGTGGATAATTGTGTATACCTATGAAACCATCACGAAAAACAAAACATAAAACATTTCCATCATTCCAGAAAATCCCTTCTTATCTCTTTCTAGTCAGTCCCTACCCACTGGCAACCACTGACTTCTGTCATAGATTAGTTTTGCCTATTCTAGCACTTCATGAATAGAATTGCTTATTATTATTTTGTATCTGGCTGCTTTCAGTTAACGTGCTCTTGAGACTCATCCAGGTTTTTGTATCAAGAGTTCATTCCCATTGATCGCTGAGTCGTATTCATTGTATGGATGTGCCACTGTTTCTTTACCCATTTTCCTGTTGATGGATGTAGGGTTGTTTCCAGGTATTGGTCATTATAAATAAGGTTGCTATGAACATTCTGTACAAGTCATTGGTGGACATTTGTTTTCACCTATCTTGGGTAAATACCTAGGCGTGGAAATGTTGGGTCATAGGTTGGTGTATGTTTAACTTTACAACAAACTTAATTTCTTAACCCCTGTACTCTACACCTTCAGAATGGCACTAGCTTATTAACATGTTTTATTTTGCCTCTTATAAGACGAGTTCCTGAGGGCAGGGAACCCATCGCCAGTTCCTGGGATGCCTCCCACACAGTAAATGATTGCTGAATAAATGAATGACCATTGTTCATGCCCCTATTCCTTCTTTGGGTGTTACAACAGCATAAGAAAACTAGTTTCTGACATGCATGAAGAAATCCCACAAGCTGAAGGCTGTGAAATGGAGGCATTGCTCATTCAGGCAAGGTGAAGACTGCCCAGCCACCAGGCTCTACCTCCCAATCTTCTTTCTGACATGACCTTCCCTAGAAAGTGAACCCCTCTCAGTGATCCTGCAGGAGGAAACAGCTCCTGTTCAAGTGATACTACAGAAGGGGAGGAAGGTGTCAAGGCAATTGAGGTCACACAGTGGTTAGAATTACAGGATACTTCTGTCAAACAGAAAGTCAGAAGAAGCGGCAACCCATGAAATCCTGACCTTCTGGAAGTCACCAGCAAAACCTCAGCACTGCTGGACTCCAGGGAAACATCCTCGAACAGAACTTACAAGAATAATTGATTTTGGTCAAAGGTCTGTATGGGTTCTGCATGAAAAGGGAAAGCAAGAATAAACATTGAAGAGACAGTAGAATGTTGATGTTTTAAAAATGTAACCAGATTTAACACATAAGACAGGATTCTAAAAATAACACTAGGTTAAAAGTGGAGAAAACTCAGGCACACTCTTCACACACACCCTGCCCACCTTTCAGGCAAAACTTTTAATTCCCATGAATCAGTTCATTTACTTTAAAATCACAGAATTTATACTGTAATTCACCTATACCTTCCCAGAAAGCAGTTAAATCATTGTTGATTTTCTATCCATAATAGAAAAGGATTGGTAACTCCTAAGAATAATTTAACGTATCTGTTACCAAAAGAAGAACTTTGTTTCACATAAATCAAAACAGGGCTCCACCTCCTACTGGGCTCAGGTACTTTTGGCAACCTTAATTTGCTTTGGTCCCAGGTCACAGAGGACCTGGTCCCAGGTCAAAATTGAGGAATTCTAAACAAATTTTAGAATTCCTCAATTTTGAGGTTCAGAGTAGTGACCTAGTCTTCCTTTATCCAGACAGTACTGCACTGAAGCCATCCTAGGCAGATGGATGTTTATCCTATTCTTAAAATCTCCAGGGAAGTGAATTCTCTACAACATCCCTTGGTAACCTTCTCCAGGGTTTTATCAAATGTATGGTGAGGAAGTTCTGATGCAGAAGCCAATAAACATATTAACCATATGAGCCAAGCCACAAGCACTGGAAAGGGGTATGTGTTTGGGCACCTCGCCTTAATGGTAGAGAGATGTATTTACAAAATAGGCTGTACAAACAGAAACCATTTGCTGGGAGCAGATGTGGGAAGTTGATTCAAGAGAAATTGCCACAATAAATTCTGTTCCAACTCATGGGCAATGTGAATAAGTTATTGTTGGTTATAACATTTTTTTAAGTAAGTTTATTTCCTTGTCAATTCCTAGCTTTAGTTCCTAAACCAGGATTGTTAGCAATGGAGAAAAAAAAAAGTCCATAGCTGAAAAGTTTTCAAATGACTAGGATTCTGTGAAAAACTAGGTCTTAGCAAACAAAACATAGATGTTGTTATAAGAGTTTATTTCTTTCTCTGTATATTACACCTTTTCTGCAACGATTGTGTAATATTTTTATAATCAGAAAAAAAAAGGTAACCATCAAAATAAATTTAAAATGTAAACCAACTTCTGGTGAAATTTTTTGGGGGAAAGATCTAGCCATATATCCGACCAGGGTGCTTTTAACTGGAAACGGACATTTAACTAGGCTTTAAAACAACTAATTAAAAACAGAAAATGCACAGAACTCTCTCTGGCAGCCTCTGTGCTAGGACTTCCTGTTGCACCCCCCGATATCACAGCAATCTCTCCATGGAGATGACCCGCATGCAGGGCACCCATTTGCTCCCAGTGCAGAAGCTCCCGTGCACACAGTGCGCCACAACAACACTACTATTTAAAGGGAGAGGGGAAAAAGGTAATGCCAAAATACATCCTAGAGGAAGAGAAATACATCCCACCCCCAGAGAGTGCTCCAGGTGTTGAAATTTTGTAACCACTCCCCTCCCCCACCAGCAAAAGTTTTATTCCTCTGGCAATTCGGAGTAAAGCGAGCGTCAGGTAGAATTTCATTTTCATGATTTAAGTGTTGCTGCAGCACAAGGAACACACTATTTAAGTAACTGTCTTAAGATCTGGAGCAAGTGGGGGTTGGGGGTAGGCGTGCCCCTCAACGCACTTCAGGAGCCTTTCCTACAGAAACAAATCCAGTAAAATTAAGAAAGGCAAGGAGTTCTCAACTCAGCAGGGGCCCTGGTGGGAAGCAATTTATCAAAATTAAAATATTTCACAGATCATTTCTTCCGAAAAGTTTTCATGCTGTCAATAATCAACAATTATTTTCCTCTTGGAGTGGCAGCTACTGCCTCTCTGATAAAAAGCCAAGGCCTAGGAGTGTCAGGAGACCCTCGGAGCACGCCACCTGCCCCCATCAGCCGGGGTGCTGGCCGTGAAAGCCCCTGGGAGCCATCCTCCAGACAGGGCTTTCCAGAGTCGCCGCAGAGCCCGAAATAGACGCGCTCCAGAAAGCAGCCGGCCGGCCCCCGCCTCCCTCTCCGTGCCCAGCCGCCCTCCTCACTCACCATCGCCGCTCGCCTCGCGGCCGCCGCCCCCGGGCTGCTCGGGGCTCCAGGCCGACGCCAAGTTCAAACTTCGCCGCCGCTCCGAGGAGGCGGCGCGCGGCATCGCCGGCGGGGCCCAACGCGCTCAACAATGGGCGGCCCAGCAGCGCCCTGCGCCACCGCGCCACCGCGCCGCGGCTACAGCTGCACGGTGGGCCGGGGCAGCGCGGCTGGAGGACGCTGATCCCGCGCGGCGCGCCGAGGGTGCGGGGCGCTCGCCCACCTCTCGTCCCGCCCGGGCCCGCTCAGTCCACCCCGCGCCCGCCGCACCCGAGGGGCCGCGCTGGCTCGGCGCTGGCTCGGCGCTCGCTCGCCACCAGGTAATCCCACAGGAAGCCTCCCGGATTGGCCCGGGAGCTCAGGACCGGATTTGCATTTCAATGGCAAAGAAGGCTCCCTAAGGTTTGAAAACGGATTCTGGGGTGGAAGCGTCGCGCTCCACTCGCCCCTCCGCGGTCCTTGGGTCCTTACGGTATTAAGGGGACCGGACCGAAGCACACACCCTCAGTCCCTCTGCCCATTCAATCAGAAAGGTGCCTTAATTAACCTCCCCCCGTTGTAAAATGCAGAGGAATCCAAAAGCAAAATATCAACTTTAAGAAGCCCGCGCTCGCTTTTCAGAGGCTATACAGTTAGTAATTGATCAAATGAAGCATGAATGAAGCAAGGTAAAAAGTTCACAGCTAAAAAAAAAAAAAAAAAGCTCGCATTACAAGGAAAATAACCATCCTTTTTCTCAGCATGCCCTCTTCTCAGTGTAAGTCACAGCAGAGATGCAGGTGGTGGTGAATGCCGCTGAAGCCTTCCTTCCGGGCCTGTTTTTGTTTCCATAAGCATCGTCTCTGATTAGACAAGAGACGTGATTCTTTCGGTCGTCATGACTGTAATTTCGAGAGATTTTGGATTCAGCTTTGCAAACTTTGGAATTTTAGAAAATATATCCATTTGCATTTGTTTTGCATTTATGATATAGGCGTCCAGTTAATATTCTAAAGGAAGGGATGGTGCTAGTTTAAGTTTCATCTTTCTTCAAAGGTTCTTCCAGCCTCTTTCAACGGAGGTAGGAATTTTTTCCCCTCAGAGTCCTCTCTTAATTGCTCTCACGTGTCACCTCCAGAGATGAAAGTAACAGTAAGGTTTGAAATTGGCTTTATTCTCATTCAAGCAGAATCCCTGTTGTTAAATGTCCAGGTTCTATATTTAAGGTAATAAATATGCATATAGACACAGAGAAGACCTCACTAGGTAGGAAATAGAAACCTCCCTTACCAAACAGCTGATACCACATTTACCTTTACTTGTCTGTGCTCTTATATCCTGACAGAATGCAGGAGCATTAGCAGCCATGGCAACCACTGAATAAACCTCTTTACTGAAACCTTCATGGACAGGCTCCTCCCTGCCATAAAGTATTATCCTCCTTAAAATTGTATTTTGTTTTACCTATGGTATCACAAGCAGGTATCAACACATACACAGCTGTCACACAGTCATGGGGTAACCACAAACATTGTTGCTAGGCATTGGAAGCAGAGAGGTTAATATGGTTTGTTCTGTGTCCTCGTGTCCTGTGGCAATCTTGTTTGGGGGAGAGGGAGGTGATGTCCAGAACTTAAGCTTTGAAGAAGTGGTCAGCCCTTGCAGTTTATAACGCACATTGCCGCTGCCATTGCGCGTGGGGGGGAGTAAGAAGTATTAGCTGGAGAACACAGCCAGGAGCTCTGTGGGCAGAACAGATAAGGCCTCCTCTCCTGCTGCTGCTTTATCTTGTTTTCTAAGTGCTCTGGGTCAGGTGAAATCTCATAAGGGTGGAACAGATCCCTCTACTTCTGTGTGAAACATCACTGTAAATTGGTGATTAAAAACACAGTTTGGGTCCAAATCTCACCTCCCACACAGCATGGATGTTACACCAGTGAAATTCATCACTATGACCAGAGGTCCCTGGGCTTCCTTTGTAACATAGATTCTGGAAAAACACTTTTAACTTGTATCTGCAATGTAGAGGCATCATCCGATATTTTTAGATGGAAGCAAACAACTTGTCTCATGGGATCAAAAGTAAGACATGAAGAAATTTCAGCAACAATACAAAATTATGCTAATGTCTCTCTGCATGAGCTGGGGGTTAGTTTGCTCAACTGGTACCTCCGTTCTCCTTGTCTGTCCCTTCCTCCACAAGACGAAAGAATGACCTGAAATAGTTACACATATCAAGTGTGTGTATGTGTAAACTCCCAGCCACTATTAAAGATGTTCTCTGTAAAATCACACTGCCCTTTAGTTCCTGTCTTAAGACTGCTTTCAGAAATAATGCATCACATTAGAATCGAAAGCATTTTACTTTTTATTAAAATCAAATATATTAATGAAGAAATAAAGCTTTAAAAATGCGAAAATATTTTGTGAGAAAGTTACACATAGGAAAAAGGTGCACAGCCTGTCTTAGAAAGGGTGTGCATGGCCAGTCTGGAACTTGTAATTTGTACATTTTTTCTTTTGTTTAAAAGTTTTTATTTTAAATATTTTAATGGACAGATGATTCACATGCCATTAAAATTTACACTTTTCAAAAGACGTTTTTAAATAGGTTATCATTTTTTGCTCCCTTTCCTTCGCCAAAGCCACCTCTGGTGCTGGAGTGTGTTGTGGGAAGGAAAGACCAGAGAGACTGGAATAAGTCCCCAACATGGTCCTAGAGCAGCACAGCACCCACCTGCACAGAGGTACACCAGACTGAGGTGTGCAAGGTCCCGCAGGTGGTCCTGAGTCAAAACCAGGGAGTCAGTGACAGAACCCACAACACTGGCAGCCAGAACAGCACTGTGTGCATTTATGCCAAGTCAGTTTCCTCCCTTCTCTCTTAAACATTTCAACCTACAAATCCAACTGTCAGTGAAAGATAAATATAATAACCTGTAAGAAATATTTAAAATCACATCAAATTAGAGTATGCTTATTGAGGATCTAGTATATTCAGAGGGTCTGATTCATATAGATATTGAGAAGTTTGTTTTTTTACTACAGTTGATTAGTTGGGAGGGACCTGTGAGAATGAGTATCTTTTTTCAGACAAAAAGCTCTAGAAATTTCAGATTATTGTCATACATCTCAAAATTCTAGATTCAGCACTTATTCTTTGAATTATTTCATCTTAATTTAAAGTCTAATACATTTTCAATGTAAGTCTAATACATTTAATTAATTGTATATTTAAAAAGACTATATCTAGAAATCATACATTATTTGGGTTCTCAATTTATTCACAAGTTTAGCTTTTTTTATATATATTATGGCAATTTGGTTTTGTAACATATGTTATACTTTAAAATATTCAACTAAATTTCACTTAGAAATAGTCTACGAGGCTGGGCTCATGCCTATAATCCCAGCACTTTGGGAGGCTGAGGTGGGAGGATTGCTCAAGACCAGTCTGGGCAACATAGGGGGACGCCATCTCTACAAAAAATAAAAATAAAAAAATTAGCCAGGCGTGGTGGCATGCACCTGTGGTCCTAGCTACTAATAATAGGGAGGCTGAGGCAGGAGGATCATTTGTACCTAGGAGTTTGAAGCTGCAGTGAGCTAGGGTTGTGTCACTGCACTCCAGTGTGAGCAACAGAGCAAGACGCTGCCTCTAAAAAAAAAATGGCTATCATTACTTACTTCTATACTTTCTTTTATTTTATTTTGAGATGGAGTCTCGCTCTGTCACCCAGGCTGGAGTGCAGTGGTGCAATCTCAGCTCACTGCAACCTCTGCCTCCCTTGTTCAAGCGATTCTCCTGCCTCCCGAGTAGCTGGGATTACAGGTGCATACCACAATGCCTGGCTAATTTTTGTACTTTTAGTAGAGATGGGTTTCACCATGTTGGCCAGGCTGGTCTTGAACTCCTGACCTCAAGTGATCTGCCCGTGTCAGCCTCCCAAAATGCTGGGATTACAGGCGTGAGCCACCGTGCCCAGCCTATACTTTAAAATATTACTAAATTTTACTTAGAAATAGTCTACCATTATTTCTTACCAATTCAGTTTGACATTCCTTCTATTATTACAACTAAAGCTTTGATGTGAAAAACAATTATTTGAAATGTAGGAATCTTTGCTAAATAATTATTAACTCTTTCTTGTCACAGTCATACAATAAATTCCCTGGTTCATCTATACCAAGCTTGTCCAACCCTCAGCTTACAGGCCGCATGTGGCCCAGGATAGCTTTGAATGTGGTCCAGCACAAATTCATGAACTTTCTTAAAACATTATGGGATTTTTTTTTTGTGATTTTTTTTTGTTTTTTAGCTCATCAGCTATCGTTAGTGTTAGTGTATTTTATGTGTGGCCCAAGACAATTCTTCTTCTTCCAGTGTGTCCCAGGGAAGCCAAAAGATTGGACACCCCTGCTCTATACTGTTCTTTTCAATGTTGACACCTTAGAGAAACAACTTATATATAAGTTGAAAGTCAGTTTTAGGAACTGTTTAATGACCAATATAAACAACACACTACAAAGAAAGAACACACTTGAAACATAGATTGTTTGCTTAGGAGAGAAAATATTAGGAGGAACGAATGATGTGCTGCTTTCTCAAATGGGTGTTGGGGTTTACTGTGAACAATATATAGCTTCTAGCATAATATTCACTTTAATAAATATTTTGATTTTTTGGAACCACTCACAACAAAATGAAAAACAAGTGAACAACCATCCTAGGTGTCCTAGAAGAAGATGTTAAAATGGAAACTTTAGGGAAATGCATTTAAGGCCATGCCAACCCCTTAGAAATGATCTATTTCATGTAGTGAACATGAAGGAGGAAAACTCTATAATTTCTTTCAGCGTCTCAGAGTTACTTTGTCTTTTCAAATACCTTTTAACATCTCTATCACAGTCTTTTCCCGTAAATAGGCCAGTGAGCCCCCAGATCCTCTGAGTTGATACTGGCCTCACCCTTTCTCTGGATAAGGTCTCTTTGTGTGGCAGCTGTTTCACAGTGACCAAAGCACCTCCAGGTTTTCTGTTGTTCTTTATAGCCCCAGGGTCCCAAGTAAAGGCATTAATGCATCCTGGCTATTATCCCGAAAGCTATCTTGCACAGGTGAGAACCCAAAGAAAAGAGAGAGGAGGACTAGGTAGATGAGAGTTATTCACTATCTATGCTACCAAAGTATGTTAGCACAGCAGTCAACTACAATGCGCATGGAGCCTGTATCAAACCTGTATAGGTTTAAACAGAGGCAAAAAGGTTAGGAAAGAACAGAGCAACAATATTAGCAGAATGAGACCTACAGGGATAGCCTCAGAGGGTGAAGGTAGCCAGCAAGTTCTTGTCCTTATGGAGACACGGAACACAAAGGACCCTGTCAAGGCTATGGGGGTCACTGGTTAAATAACAGTCACTCAGGTCAGCAGCTCCAAGTCATTAAGGAGACAAGAATTGACAGCATTCTTTTTGGGAAGTCTTGGTTGAAAGATTAGAAATGCATCCTGTAAATTGGAAGCAACCTAAATGTTCATGTAGAAAATAGTTAAATTAATTGCAAAGGATATTATGCAGCATTTAAAGTGAAAGAAGGGGGTCCTATATGTGCTGACATGGAGAGATGTCCACATTATCTAGTGAAAAAGCTTCCCATTTGCTGTCTACATCCACCAGTACATACAATATTTGTTACATGTTTTATAAATATCCAGAAAAACTTCATGAAGGAAAGCTAAACTCTTCTTGGAGAGTGGCATTGCAGGAAGAAGAATTCTGGCAGATAAATAAAAATTTATCATTTGTTTTAAACACTTCTATAGACTTTGAGGATTTTTTAAAAACAAGAACCATGATTTACTCTTTGAATTACATTTGTATAATAAACATTTTAATAACTTTAAAAAGCATCCTGGGTTCTAAAGTAGTTCCATCAAATAAGTTAATCTTGATTAACTGAATATTTGACTTTCTGCCTACCCTTTTCTATTCCTTTCTTATGCTGAGGCATAAGACAACCCAAGAAAAATGTTCAGAGTCAAAACTCAACTGAACTGTCACACCTTGAAGATAAATGCAATTTTCCAAGAGCCTGGGTCCTCCAAGGCTAACGGAGAAAGAAAGAAAAAAAGGTAGAAAATGAAAAATAGAGAAGGGGAAGAAAGAGAGAGAGAAAAGAGATGGAGGAGGAATGGGGAAGAGAAAGGGGGAAAGAATGAGGGAAATTCGCTGGAGGGTAAAGGCAAGGAAGGAGGTCAGGAGAAACACTATAAGGAGAAAAAGCAAACTTCTATGAATGAGAATTTGTGCGAGAACACAAACATTACATGACCAAGGAAGAACACACCCCAGGCTGTTAATATAAGTTACCTGGGAAAGGTGGGGCAGAGAAATGATTAACTTTATGGTTTCATTTATGTTGTGTTCTAGTTATCTGTTACAACATCAAATAAAATTTTTTTAAAAAATAAAACACATAATAGATGATTATGAAAAAAAAACTATTCAGCAAAACTACGTTGACTGTAACTTGGGCATGTCACAGCCTAAAACTTCTACCCTTCACCTACATTCATGGGCAAATAAATATGATACTTGTTATCAGAGGCTTTTATGTAATGTGGTAAAACAAGGGCTTTCAGATAAAATTTTAATGGAAAGCTGTGAAATTCCTCAAGTTATCAGATTTATATGCCACCAGCATCTTGGATGGTACTGTCTAGAAAAGTAAATAAAAATCAGCTATTACTGCATTGACTGGTAAAAACTGTCCACACTGGTCACTGCTCACATATGCACATTTTCCTCACTTGTCATTGCTATGTCACCAACCACATTATACCCTTTTCTTTCCTGGAGACAAGGAATTAATTTCTATGGCTAGAATAATTTGACAGCATAATATAAGGAGAGCTCAGTGCTAGACGTGACTTAGATAATCATCAAACTTTTCATTCCACTTATATTTTAGCTGGCAGAGTATCATTCAGGAAGTTTCAAAATAGCTTAAGATAAGGGAATTTTCTCATTCTCCTTTTTTTTTTTCCTTCTTACCTTTCCTTTCTCTCTCCTTGACCCATTTCAATTCAACTGCCACCTACTGAGAACCTGTTATATGCCAGGGATAGGGATATCAAGATGGATGAGGTCCAACCCTAACTTCAAGGAACTCACAGTGTAGTGGAAAACCCAGGTATCTAAAGAAATTATTTCAGTCCCATGTGCTAAGGATGGTGGAGTGTGGTGGTCAAAAGTGCGGACTGAATTCAAGATCTTGCCTGCTGGGGGTGACGTCAGTTGATCTCACTAAGCCTCAGTTTTTCCTCTGTGAAAATGGTAATTACATCTTCCACAGAAGGTTTTTATAAAAATTAATATGGGATAATCATTGAGTGTGTGTGTTTGGGGCCAAGGTAACAGTGAGATATTAACTGCTTACTCATAACATTGACTTTTCCAGTAACCTTCATCTTTCTTCCCAGTCAGTGTCATTCACTGACCAAAGAAAAACAAGGGAACACAACAGAACTCATAGAACAAAGGAATGCATGTGCCCGACTTAAGATGTGCAAGAATACTCAATTAGAGCCAGTTTTTCTTCCCAGCAGACATTACAGCTTTCTAGGACTAACAAAGAAAGGCAAGGAGAGCCAGAGGGAAAGTGGAGGGGAGTTAGGAGTGTTATGTAGGGCAAGATGAAAGCTCCAGAGAAGCAGAGAGTTGAGGGCACAAAGGATGTGGGCCCTGGTCCCAGGCAAGACTCCGGAGAACTGACTCAGTCCCAGAGTCCCTGCGAGCCCAGCATGGAGTGGGAATGAAAGAAATGTCTGTGTGGTACACCTGGGCTGGAGAGAGTGTTATACCTTCCACCAATCTTTCCAGTCCAAAGTGGTTCAGGAGAGGCAAATTGTTTCTGGTAATCCAAGAGGGCACAGATTCCTAATCCATCTGAAAAGGCTGCAGATACCAACATCCCGACACCAGACACCAACCAGACACTAGCATGGGGAATGGTGACAAGGATACCAAAGGTTCAATCTCATCCAGACACATACACACACACACACACACACACACACACACACACACACACCCTAGACTCTGCCTAAGCTTCTTACAACTTAGCTGCAACCCCAGGAGCTAGAGGGGATCCTGAATTGGCTGATACTAAGTTTCTGTCTCCCAGCTGAATGAGGTCTCAAAATAGAAATTATGGTCAGTTTTTTTTTTTTAAAGAAACAGTAACATTTCTCCCTTAATTATGTCTGTGGTTCAATATTTGTACCCAGCAAACATGCTAAGTGTTCAATACTATGCCTGGCACATGAGAGCTGAAAATAGTGGCTATGATAATTTTGATAAATAGTTCTATGTGTTGGTAGCAAACAGAGGAGAGGATATTTATGTCAGGGAAGGATGCACAGGACATGCTTGGGAGAGGTTCTGAAGGATGTGCATGAACTTGCTAACTAAGAGGAGGGGAGGAATAGTTCAGGGCAGAAAGTTTGAAGATCTCAAAGCATCAAACAGCACAGGCCAGTTGTGGAACTGCAAGTGACATCACTAGGGCATGGGCAGGTGGCAGTTGATATAGATGGAGAGGCAGATGGTGGAAGATAATGGCCCTTTAGGCCATCTTCAAGATCTGTACTTTATTTTGTAGGCAAAGAGAAATCACTACAACTTTTATACCAGTGTCATGATCAGATCTGCACTGTTCAAGAAGTCATGCTGACAGCATGGGGAGGATATTGAATGGGAGGTGCCGGGCTCATTGATTTTGATCATAATGACTTTGCCACCAAGGTGGAATCCCATTTCAGTTGAGACAGTATTGCATCATGGAATTAATGGTTAAAAGTGTAGTCTCTGAAGCAGAATAGGTAAATTTGAGTCCTGGCTGCAGCGCTTATGATGTGATCTTGTGATGACCACTTACCCCATGAAGCAGTTTCTCACCTACAAAATGGTAGCTAAACATTGAATCTGAATCACAGAGTTGCTGAAGTTCTAGATGTAATACTTTATATGAAGCACTTAGGATAGTCCCTGCTATAAAGGAAGTGCTTATTGAATTTTAGCTCTTATTAATCAGGCAGCACTTAACATGTATGGGGGTGAGTGACGATTATGTGGGAGAAATAGGGTAATGTCTTTCACTTATGGTATTTATTTAAATTTTGGTCCCCGAGCAAAATTTCAGAGAAGAAAATCCACTTTGTAAATTCACTTGTAAAAGGTATAGGTCGGGCCAGGTACAGTGGCTTACGCCTGTAATCCCAGTACTTTGGGAGGCCGAGGCGGGCAGATCGTGAGGTCAGGAGATCAAGACCAACCTGGCTAACACAGTGAAACCCCGTGTCTACTAAAATACAAAAAATTAGCCGGGCGTGGTGGTGGGCGCCTGTAGTCCCAGCTACTCGGTAGGCTGAGGCAGGAGAATGGCGTGAACCCAGGAGGCGGAGCTTGCAGTGAGAAGAGATTGCGCCACTGTACTCCAGTCTGGGCAACAGAGCGAGACTCCGTCTCAAAAAAAAAAAAAAAAGGTATAGGTCAAGCTGCAATCCAAACAACAAAACCTCACCAGCTTAAAACTGATTCTGGTTGTTTGCGCTGGAGAAAGTGTTTTTCCTTTTCAACCTTGAAGCTCTCAACAGGGTTGATGTGAATTACTAACAGCTGCCACCTCCTGTTAGTGGCGACAACCTTCTGGAAGAAAGTGAAGTGTGCTTGGTATGTGAAGGGCATTTGACTCTTTGAAAAAGACATGTGATCTAGGTGACAATGAGTAATGATGGCCCAGAATCCTGAAAGGTAAAACTCCACAAGTGACAGGTCCTTAACAGCATGGGTTCAACTGGAGTGCATTCAAATACCGGTAGGTCCTTGTCACCGAGGAGAATGTGCCTGGGGAGTGTGGGGAGGTGGTTATGTGCAGGATGGACAGGCTGAGCTGGATGGCATTCAGAACCTAACCTTTGCCTGAGCAGAAGTGAGAATATTATTTTCTGTTGAGACAAGTGAGTATTTTAATTGATGATGTCCAAAAAGCACAAGACTTGAGGACTGAATCTTTTCTGGGGCATAATCCCATATGTTCTAATGGAAGCTTTTTTTTTTCTTCTAGAAAAATATTCATGTTTTAACGACATAGATGAAGATAAGTAAAGGCTTGGGGGAGCTATGAGGAAGGGGAAGCATAGAAGATTTAAGCATGGAATTTGGTACAGTTCCTATCCTTGGCTTACAACTTGTATTTTAACAAATACTGCTTCCCTGTCTGAGAAGCTGCCTGATGACTGGGTGGGGAAAAAGAGCCAGGGAAACAGTGTAGGAGATAATGAGATGAAAAGGATGAAAGACTAGGCCAAGAGTAGACCTGGGATGGAAGACACTAGCGTGCCTGGAGGGCAGTGGGTGGGGGATTTTAAGACTAGGTTGAGGTATCTGACTCTAATCTTATGTGATAAGTAAGGAGACAGGAGAACTAGAAATAGAGAAAGGTGACACTGTCATAAACTGGCATGCAAGTTGAACAAATGACTTGTAGAAATCTGTTTTAATGACTGGTAGAATCATGTTTTTCCATTGCTACAAACTTATCACTTATTTATTGTTAAGAGCAGCTTCGCTGACCAAGAGAATCATCAAATACACCAACGATTTCTTCATAACAATAAAAAACATCAACAACAAAACTAAAATTACTTTTAAAAAAAATTGCTCGGCTGGGTGGGGTGGCTCATGCCTGTAATCCCAGCACTTTGGGAGGCCGAGGCAGGCAGATGACCTGAGGTCAGGAGTTTGAGACCAGCCTGGCCAACATGGTGAAACCCTGTCTCTACTTAAAATACAAAAAATTAGCCGGGCATGGTGGCAGGCACCTGTAATCCCAGCTACTCGGGAGGCTGAGGCAGGAGAATTGCTTGAACCTGGGAGGCGGAGGTTGCAGTGAGCCAGGATCGCGCCATTGCACTCCAGCCTGAGGAACAAAAGCAAGACTTCGTCTCAAAAAAATAAATAAAAAATAAAATTGCTTATTGATTTGGCACTTCATGTCTTTGCGTCATATCAGAATTTTGGGCCTTTCAATTTTATTCATAGCATCAAAACACCCATCCGACTGACTCAGTTGTCTTCTTAAGACTTTGGTATATAAAGTCTTGACTACATATAAATATTTAAAGGTCATCAACATTGCCATACACTGCTTTAAGAAAACCCAAAGTGCCATGAAAAATAAACTTCAAGAGATAAAAGCAAGAAAAGTTGCTAGGGTAAAACTAATTGGGGTTCCTGAAATGCAAATGACTTCCTTTGATGATTTACTCCTACTGAGGTCCAGACAATATGATATTGAATGTCCACAAATTTTCTAAAAGGGGCTAAGTCTTATTTGGTGCTCTATGTCAACAAAAAAACCCTTATCTTTACTTGTAAACCTTAATATTTATGTTTGAAAAGAAAAATTTTCCATTAGCTAGTTAGCAGTTTCATTGGACTTGAAGTGCTGGCCTCCTTGGCTCTCAAAGGAAAAACAGAAATTAAATGTAGCTCCTGTTTACTTTTGTTGGCAGTCTCACTTTAATTGTTGACTTAAAAAAGCTAATTCACCTCTCTTATTCTCTAAAAACCTACAGACAATGTGCTTCTAAGAGGGATTCTAGCCAGTAACCACCACGATAACTCTTCAGAGTACTTAATTTTCTAGGATCTCTTTCATTTGCCTCAAATCACACATTTTATTTTAGACTTTCACAAGCAGATTCACGCAAGAGGAAAATTTTTCTTGACTTTCCAGTTTATTTGCTTTTAAGCACAACTTTCTCCCCGTAGGTGTTCAGGAAACTGTTCTACTCCAAGCCGGATGTGAGTATTATGCCACATACTTTAGCGCTCTTGCCTAGAAACGAAAAGATAAGATGGGGGAAAAATATACTTTTAAAATTCTTATAGTGGGCACATTTGGGCGGTGTCCAACATGTGCTTGTATTGGCCAAAGGCAAGAAGATAACAGAGTCCTGAGCAGATTCTAGCAGGCTCTTGGCTGCCATTTCTTGATGGTAAACCAAAAATCATGGCAATACAGACAGACACACTTGCCCACAAAGAGTTGCGCCATTGTCTATTGGTAAGAGAAGCAGCCACCATGTATTTTGTGCTGCCTGGTCATTCACCTCGCCTGGTTATTTATATACTTTCTTTCTAATTTTTACAATAATACCTTAAGGTAGCTATTATCAGTCCTGTTTTATAGAAGAGAAAACGAAGCTCAACTTTTAAGTAACTTCCCAAGGTCCAACAGTAAAGAAGGGAGAGAATGAAGACTCAGAGAAGTCTGCCCAACCCCAAAGCCCGTGCTTTTCTCTCACACCACCCTGGATAACCAAGATGTGCTGTAGGTTAAACTATTTTAATAAGAGGACAAAGTTTGCTATCTCCTAGAAGGTAAAGGAAAGTGGACACATTCATTCTGTACAGGCAAATACTTTATTCCTATTCAGGGCACTAAGAAAAACCAAGCTACTTCTAAACCCTTTTTACCTCGTAAGTCTAATGGGGGATGGACAAAGCCCCAGATGTCTCTAGAATGATTTTTCCTCAGTAAATGGGAATTTATTCAAATTTTCTTTAAAAATTGTACCTTTTCACATAACTTTGCCTGATTTCATCCTAACTGGCTAAGCTATAACGGTCAGAAATTTTCTTTTTCCTTTTCCTTTTTTTTTTTTTTTTTTTTTTTGTGAGACGGAGTCTCGCTCTGTCGCCCAGGCTGGAGTGCAGTGGCGCCATCTCTGCTCACTGCAAGCTCCGCCTCCCGGGTTCACGCCATTCTCCTGCCTCAGCCTCCCGAGTAGCTGGGACTACAGGCGCCGGCCATCATGTCCGGCTAATTTTTTGTATTTTTAGTAGAGACAGGGTTTCACTGTGTTAGCCAGGATGGTCTCGCTCTCCAAGGGTCAGAGTTTTTCTAACGACCTTTAATGAGTCGAATAATTACCATTTTACAAGCATGCCCTGGTTTCCCTCCTCCATTTTCCTTTGTCTGGGTTTCGATCCTTTCCTTAACGCCAATCTCTGCTATGGAAATTCTAGCCAACCTCCCAGGACCTGCAAAATATATTCCTTTCTCAATGAAATGCCTCTGATCCTCATCCAAAAGCAACTTCTCTCTCTTCTAAGTGTTCAAAACTGCATCATTCAATCATCTACTATAGCCTTTATCACGTTTTAACTTTAATAAATCTATTGATACCATTAAAACAAAAATCTTCCTCCTAGATGAAAAGTGTTTTAGGAGCAGGGATTCTGCCTCATTCATCTCTGATGCCACATGGTGAATAGCACACACAGGTATGGTTGAATTCATGTTCCTAAAACACTAGACACATGCCCACCATCTCATTTTTATAAGGCTAGGCTATCCTCCTTGTCCCCCTTTGTTTTTGTAAGTCCCATTCTTCCAAGATCTTTTCCCAGTTGCTCCAGCCATTTTTTCCCTGAATTTATGAACCAAATTTTTGGTACTTGTCATAAAACTGCTGAGAAGCATATGCGTATGCCCTGTATTCCCAACGAGATCTACTCCTGGAGCTAATTTATCTGAATATTATTCTTGCTACTGACAACAACTTCCATTTATTGACCAGTGTCTCAGGAAGTCTGCTGAGTGCTTTATTTTCCTTATCCTGTTTAATCCCTTGAATAACTTTAGGGTCCCCTGACTTTGTTCCTCAGCCTGTATCAGCTCTCAGCCTTCTCTGCTATCATCTATCTACTTACCTACCTATCTATCTATCCTCTAACTACGTATCTAATGATTGATTGATGACAGGGTCTCACTCTGTCACCCAGGCTGGATTACAGTGGCATGATCGCAGCTCACTGCAGCCTCAGAGGGATCCTTGGGCTTAAGGGATTCTTCTGCCTCAGACTCCTGAGTAAGTGAGACTACAGGCACACATCATCATGACCAGATAATCTTTAAATTTTTTATAAAAATGGGGCCTCTATGTTGCCTAGGCTGGTCTTGAATTCCTGGCCTCAAGTGATCCTCCCATCTTGGCCTTCCAGAGTGCTGGGATTATGGGCATCAGCCATCGCGCCTGGCCTCTACTTATAATATACTCCAGGATTTTGACAACTAGACAGTAAGATTCTTGAGGGAAGGGACTACATCTTTCTTACTCTTCTGGGTACCTACAGTGTCTAGTACAAGGCATGGTAGATAATAGATCTCCAATAAACATTCCTTTGGAGTTTTCAAACTACTGAGATCACAAAACAAATAATGCTTTGAAAACTGTTTTTAGAAATACCAGTGGTACTTCAATATCATGAATTAATGAGTGAGAACCCTGCTTCTGTCAGTATGGTAGTTGCCAGGTTAAGAATTCTGCTTTTTGTCCCCTTATCCAGCATGAGATCCCTGTTCTTCATAAATGGGTGTGTTTTCACCGGTGCTAATACGCATCTGGACTTTGAGCTTCCCTCCTACTCCCTACACACACCCCACCTTGTTTATCTCTGGTCTATGTTCATATTCATGTCTGAAGGGAACATTGGTCTCTTCCTCATGTGTAGGAATGAATAAATCTGACAGAACCTAAAAGCATACCCAGAGGAAACTGTCTAAGCCCATTATTTATATCCCTCGTTTTCTTATTAACTAACTGCCAGATTTCAGAAAACTGGAGCCAACCCAAGAAGGACCCCTGGCAGCCGGTATGAACCCTAAGACCAGAGACTAGTATGCCACAGTTGCTGAAGAGTGGGGGGAATGGGGAGGATGAGTGGGGAGAAGGTAAGAAATGGCTTCTAGAAACTTGACATGGCCGGGTGTGGTGGCTCACGCCTGTAATCCCAGCACTTTGGGAGGCCGAGGCAGGCGGATCACTTGAGCCCAGAAGTTCAAGACCAGCCTGGGCAACATGGAGAAACCCTGGCTCTACAAAAAATGCAAAAATTAGCTGGGCATGGTGATGTGTGCCTGTAGTCCCAGCTACTTGGGAGGCTGAGGTGGGAGGATCACTTGAGCCTGGGGACGCAGCGTTTGCAGTGAGCTGAGATTGTGGCAGCCTGGGCAATGGAGCAAGACCCTGTGTCAAAACAAAAAAAAAAAAAAAAAAAAAAGGAAGGAAGGAAGGAAAGAAAGAAAGAAAGAGAAAGAGAGAGAAGAAAATAAATTTGACATATGATCTAGGAAAAAAGGATTATTCTGCTTCCTGCTATTAGAGGACAACTCAGCCTCAATCCTCACGTTATGAGGAGTCAGAGAGGTGGCTAAAGATTCAAGGATGTGAATGAGTTCCTGTCTCACCTACCTGAAAATGTGTAGGAGAGAAGAAAAGATAAATAACCTATAGAAATATAGGATCACTGTTCATAGAAAACAGGTATCTCTTATATTAAAAATACTTTAAAATTTTGACTTTTCGACATATGAATTGATGAAAACATTATACAGAATCAGAAAAGTCCATCTTTTTAATTCTAATTTACAAACAACAGTAAGGCTGGGCATGGTGGCTCATGCCTGTAATCCTAGCACTTTGGGAAGTAGAGGTGGGAGGATCGCTTGAGGCCAGGAGTTTCAGACCAGCCTGGTCAACATAGCAAGACCCCTGTCTCTACAAAAGAAAAAAAAAGTAGTTGGGTGTGGTGGCACATACCTGTAATCCTAGCTACTTGGGAGTCTGAGGCAGGAGGATCACTTGACCCCAGGAGTTCAATGTTACAGTGAGCTACGATTGCGCCACTGCAGTCTAGCTTAGGCAACAAAGTGAAACCCTGTCTCAAAATAAACAAATAAATAAATATTTTTAAAACACAACAGTAAAGTGGGGACACGGGGGTTGTTTAATGGATATAGAGTTTCAGTTTTGCAAGATGAAAAAGTTCAGGAGATCTGTTGTACCACAATGTGAATATACTTAATACTACTGAATTGCACGCTTATAAGTGGTGAAGGTGGTAAATTTTATGTTATGTATTTTTCATCACAATTAAAATTTTTTTTAACAAAAACACAGTAAAGAACAAGTATGAAAAAGAAGAAAATAGCCTAATTCATTCTGAAGAGGAAAATACACTATTGCTCAATTTGGCTGCTATTTAAACCCCACCCCACTCCTCCACCCTTGGCTTTTTTCTCTCAGCAAGCTGCCTAGCAGTTACTCTTAAACATCCTTTCTCTTTATGTAGACAAAAAGGACAAAAAACAGAAAAATATAAGACTTTACAGAAACAGAGAGGAGAACTGTGGATCTTCTTCAGAAAAAAAAAATCTTTCTTTCTAAACCATTGGCCAATAAGATTATTTTTAAAATTACCTTGGTATAATATATAATGGCAAAAGAAGCTTTTGAAGACCCAAATAAGACTATATTAAGTCCCTAATCACACAGTGTGATTCCAACTCAAGTCTGATAGAGATTCATAGAGCTAACCGTTGAAGACAGTCATGGCGACAGGCAAAATGAGAAGCTTAAGGAACCCAACTCAATTACTTATTACCTGGGCTACCTACCCACCCTCACCCCATCCCACTTTTTCTTTCTTATCCAGTGGGGAGGCTAAGCTGTTTATATTGACTGATTTAATTAGGGAAGGGACTTTTCAAAAAATCTGGCCTAGTTTTGAGTTTATTTTTGAAATGGGTGTTTCTTGATCAAAGCGACAAACAGCAAATGTTGTTTTGATGTATGCTCCCTTTAGTTTGGAAATTTGTAGGGAAGAGAACTTTTTTAAGGGCAATGAGGCAGAATCCCCTTAATGCAAGTAATATTTTTTCACCAAATTAAAATGCATGTATCCGGCCGGGCATGAGCCACCATACCCTGTAATCCCAGCACTTTGGGAGGCCGAGGCAGGCGGATCACGAGGTCAGGAGATGAGACCATCCTGGCTAACATGGTGAAACCCTGTCTTTACTAAAAATACAAAAAATTAGCCAGGCGTGGTGGCGGGAGCCTGTAGTCCCAACTACTCAGGAGGTTGAGGCAGGAGAATGGTGTGAACCCAGGAGGCGGAGCTAGCAGTGAGCTGAGATCACGCCACTGCACTCTAGCCTGGGTGACAGAGCGAGACTTGGTCTAAAAAACAAAAAAAATGCATGTATCCTTTACAAAATGGTGACATATCAGTAGCTTTTCTTTGGGGAGTAACTAAGTTTCAAGTCAACTTGCCACATAGTTTAAGCTTACTGTTCCTATCAAAAGAAGCTGGTGAGCAGAGAGAAACGGTATTCTTTTTTTTTTTTTTTTTTTGGTCCCTAATTTGAAGTAACAGAGTAAGTTCCAGTAAAAAGAATTTAATTAAAACATTTAAGATATATGCCTGCTGAAGCAATATCCTCAATGCCAACAATAGGGATAGAATTATTCTCTGGTTTTCTTTTCTCTCCGAAAATATTACCTTAGTTTCTTTTAACCAAATAACCTTAGCACTTTGTATGCATATCACTTCATTGTTAATCTCATTTATAGAATTAGAACGGAAAATCTTGCTATGTTCATTTTTTTTAGAGGGATAAATCATCTTGACTTTCTTTCTCACTGTGTCCTTCATGGAAATTGTATATAAAGCTCCTGTTTCCTAACTCTGAAAAACACTCTTTCCCTTAAATGTGGGGGCTATGGTATCACATAAGTAACAAAAGTCAATATATGTTGAGTATCCCTAATACAAAAATCTGAAATCCAAACTGCCCCAAAATCTGAAACTTTTTGAGCACTGACGTGATGCCCAAAGGAAATCTTCACTGGAGCACTGTGGATTTTGGATTTTTGGATAAGGGATGCTCAGCTGGTAAATATATAATGCAAAAATATCAAAATCCAAAAAAAATTTTTAAAAATCTGAAATCCAAAACACTTCTGGTTCCAAGCATGTAGGATAAGAGATACTTAACCTGTATTGGCTCAACCTGTCTCTCTCTAGATGTTTCTTTCTGGGTGTTCATTCACCTAACGTGTTTTATTAACATGTTTTATTGTGCATCTCTTTTCCATGGGAACTGTGTGATGAAATCTGTCTGGCAGACTGGGGAACTATAGGAAGGCCCCCTAAACTGGAACTGAGGGATTGCAAAAGGATTCTAAACAGAGATATAGAGATTAAATGGGAGTTAGGTTAGCAAAGAGAATGAAGAGGGCTGGCAGACCCAGGAAAGGGAAGATGCCAGTATGGATGGAGGAGAGCACAAAGGAGGAAGTGGCTACAGCTGGCACACACAGCCTGGGCACAAAGGCCTGGCCGGCTCCAGATACACAGCTACAGTCAAGTCCTGGTTAGGAGTTTGAAGTTTATCCAAAAGGCAACTGGAAGCCATTGGAAGTTTTTAAGCAGAGGGACAGGATCAGATCTGCATTCTTGAAGGATCACTATGGTTGTAGTGGACACTGATGGAGTGGGGCAAGGCCAGAGGTAGGGAGAACAGTTAGGGCACAGTCGTGGGAGTACACCTGGAGGTGATGCTGGCCCCTCTATTGCCAATATGTAAGCTCCATGAGGCCAGGGGTCTGCTTGGTTTGTTTACTATACCTCAAGCATCTAGGAAAGTGGCTGGCACATAGTAGGTGGTCAAATGTTTGTTGAACAAACAAATAAATAGGCTAAACTAGGGTAATAGCAGAGGGGATTAAAAGGGAGGTGAGGATAGGGAGACAAATTAGAAAATGGAGTGGATAGGTCTTGTTAATCTTCTTGAACTCTTTTATTTTTATTTATTTATTTATTTTTGAAACAGGGTCTTACTCTGCACCCAGCCTGGGGTGCAGTGGCATGATCTCAGCTCACTGTGACCTCCCAGGCTCAAGTGATCCTCCCACTTCAATCTCCCAAGTATCTGAGACCACAGGCATGCACCACCATGCCCGGCTAATTTTTGTATGTTTAGTAGAGAGAGGGTTTTGCCATATTGCCCAGGGTGGTCTAAGTTCCTGAGCTCAAGTGATCCACCCGCCTTGGCCTCCCAAAGTGCTAGGATTACAGGCATGTGCCACTGCACCTAGCCAAAATCTCTTTCTTGATTTATACAGTTATGCCCTTTGCTTTTCTTTCTATAATAAATCTGTTTGATTCAATATAAAATATCTAAGTTATTTTTCAAATAAAATGCCTTTTTTAAAAAAAAGTATACAATTCAATGATTTTTAGTAAATGGATAGAGTTTTGCAACCATCACTATAATCCAGGTTTAGGACATTTTCATCACCCCCAAAATTCCCTCATGCCCAATCCCTGCTCCCACCCCCTAACCCAGGCATCACTGATCTCCTTTTTGTCTCTATAGATTTTCCTTTTCTAGATATTTCAAATAACTTGAATCACAATATGTAATCTTTTGTGTCTGGCTTCCTTTACTTAGCATAATGTTTTTGAGGTCCGTCTGTGTTGTAGCATGTTTCAATAGTTAATTCCTGTTTATTGTAGAATAGTATTCTATTGTGTAGAAATACAACATTTCATTTTTCTATTTACAAGTTGATGAACACTTGGATTATTCCCACATTTGGTCTATGATGAATAATTCTGCTTTGAACATTTGTGTAAAAGTCTTGCAGTGGACAGACAGAGGCCTTGTTAATTTTTATTAGATGTGGGAGGTTGTGAGAAAAATGAAGGGGGCAAGGAAGATGCCCAGATTTCAAGCTTGGCAACTGATGAGTGATGATACCTAATTCACAGAAATGGGGAAGACTAGAAAGAGAGCAGTTTTGATGAGAAAGATTACCTCAGTCTGGGGCAAGTGCCTATGAGATATGGTGTGGGTGTGCCCAGTTGGCAGGTAGGCACATGGATGTGGAACCTTAGTTTCCTTAAAACATCTAACAAAGTTAGGCCCGTTTTTGAGCAGCATGTCCCATGTTTAAGATGCATTCCTCAGGCATAATAAAAGCAATTCTCTGTGACTTAGTCTCACCTCTATATAAATCTGACCAAAGAGAAATTCATGTAACATCCCACATACTCGTTTTGGTTTGCACAACAATTATTATTTTTTTTTTAAATTTTAAGCAAAAAGTTTATTTAAACAAGATATGTGAAGAGAAAAGTATCTAGGATTCTTTTTTTTTTTTTGAGACAGAGTTTTGCTCTGTAGCAGTGCAGTGGCCCGATCTCGGCTCACTGCAACCTCTACCTCCCGGGTTCAAGTGATTCTCCCACCTCAGCCTCCCGAGTAGCTGAGATTACAGGCACACCCAGCTAATTCTTTTTGAATTTTTAGTAGAGACAGGGTTTTACCATGTTGGCCAGGCTGGTTTTGAACTCCTGACCTCAAGTGATCTGCCTGCCTCGGCCTCCCAAACTGCTAGGATTACAGGTGTGAGCCACTGAGTCCAGCCATAGGATTACTTTTTTTGTTTGTTTTAGAGTAATTTATCCCTACTTAAAGACAGATTCCCCTACACGTAACAGCTACATACAAAAGAGTTATAAAACCGTCCTTGGTTTAACAAGGATAAATGAAAAACATTAAAATTCTCCAATTGAACAAGGTATACAAGGATTTTTATGTTGTTGTTTTGTTAAAACAGTAAAAGCAAAATAACTTACTAGAATAGAAAGATAAGAGCTGAGTGAGCATGCCACTAAAGGAGAAAGGGGGCATTTTCACACAATCAGTATTTTTCCCTATCCCGTCTCCATGTGATGTCAATCAAAACATACCATTGGCTGTTTAGTTAAAAAATGCAATATGCTTGTGCACATATGCCAGTTACTTTATGTGCAATAAAGGAATGGGGAAGGGGGAAATTAAATAATAGAGAAAACTATACTGTAGTAGTCAGAATGTGGTAGAACCAAATTGCAGTTTTCTAACTGAGAATGTCATGTTGGTCTGAAAAGAAAACAGTCCTGGAGTAACGAAGCAGCTTCCCTTCTCAGTAGACACCTCCCCTCTGCTGTTGGAACACATCAATTGTATCTTCATCCTCTATTTCAAACTGTGCAGGTGTGTCTGTTTCATTGATTTGTTGCCTGTCAAATCGGAATCTGATCTGCCTCATTGACAATCCCTATCATTCACAATACGCTTTCATTAGTTTACTAAGTGATGTATGCCTCTTAGTTTTTTTCATTTGTTTGTTTGTTTGTTTGTTTGTTTTGAGGCGGAGTTTTGCTGTTGTCGCCCCAGCTGGAGTGCAATGGCACAATCTCAGCCCACTGCAACCTCTGCCTCCTTGGTTCAAGCAATTCTCCCACCTCAGCCTCCTGAGTAGCTAGGATTACAGGCATGTGCCACTACGTCCGGCTAATTTTTGTTGTTGTTGTTGTATTTTTAGTAGAGACGGGGTTTCACCATTTTGGCCAGTCTGGTCTCGAACTCCTGACCTCAGGTGATCTGCCTGCCTCAGCCTCCCAAAGTGCTAGAATTACAGGTGTGAGCCACCGCGCCCGACATATGCCTTTTAATCAAACTGCACCACAGAACTATCCTGCCCCGCCACCTTCAAACTAATATGATCGTTGTTCTCAGTCTTGACTCCTTCCTTGGGCTTTTCGCCGGCCATGGGGAGCGCCGGAGTCTCCTCAGCTGCCGCTTCACAGAAGAGGTACCAGGTCCTCACCGAAGGAGCACACAAGCAGCACCAGGAGCTGCAGGAGGAGGCTGCAGCGGTGGACAAGGGAGAGGGGGCGTGACATTATGTGCTCCCTCCCCGCACCCTGCGTGCACCTGCAGAACAACTTTTTTTTTTTTTTTTTTTTTTTTTTGAGAGGGAGTCTCCTTCTGTCGCCCAGGCTGGAGTGCAGTGGCGCACCTTGGCTCACTGCAACCTCCGCCTCCCGGGTTCAAGTGATTCCCCTGCTTCAGCCTCCCGAGTAGCTAGGACTACAGGCGGGCGCCACCACGCCCAGCTAATTTTTTTGTATTTTAGTAGAGGCGGGGTTTCAGCGTGTTGGCCAGGAAGGTCTCGATCTCCTGACCTCATGATCCGCCCGCCTCAGCCTCCCAAAGTGCTGGGATTACAGGCGTGAGCCACCGCGCCCAAGCAACAATTTTAATAACATCTTCTATTTGCTTAGCATTTCCCCTTTAAACAAATTGTTGTAAAGAATACATAACAGGCTGGGCATGATGGCTCATGCCTGTAATCCCAGTACTTTGGGAGGCTGAGGAGGAAGGATTGCTTGAGCCCATGAGTTGAAGACCAGCAACAGAGTGAGACCTTGTTTCTACAAAAAATAATTTAAAAATTATCTGGGTATGATGGCACATGCCTGTAGTCCCAGCTACTCAGGGCTGAGGTGGGAGGATCGCCTGAGCCCTGGAGATTGAGGCTGCAGTAAGCCGTGATCACATCACTGCATCCAGCATGGGTGACAGAGCGAGAACCTGTCTAAAAAAAACGAAACAAAACAAAAGAAAAAACAGCCTACATAATGTAAAGTGAACCATCTTAACCACATGTAAGTGTACAGTCCAGGGGCATTAAGTATATTCATGCTGTTGTGCAACCATCACCAGCATTCATCTACAGAACTCTTTTACTCTTGTACTCAGAACTCTTTTACTCTTGTACTCAGAACTCTTTTACTCTTCAGTTTTACGAAGTTGTAAAACTGAAACTTTGTACACACTGAACAATAATTGTCCAATCCTCCCATTCCCCAGCCCCTGCCAACCACCATTCTACTTTCTGTTTCTATGAATTTGACTATTCTAGGTAACTTGTATAAGTGGAATTACACTGTATTTTTCCTTCTGTGACTGGCTTCTTTCACTTAGCATAACATTCCCAAAGTTCACCTATGTCATATTCTGTAACAGGATTTCATTCCTTTTTAAGGCAGAATGATAGGCCATTAAATGTTTATACCACAGTTTGTTTATTTATTCTTCCCTCCATGGACACTTGGGTTGCCTCTACCCTTTGTCTATCATCAATGATGCTGCTATGAACATGGGTATGCAGATAGCTCTGAGTCCCTGCTTGCTCTGTATTTCCTTTTAAGAAATTAAGATATAAGAATTGAAAGATCTTTATCATACATCTTATAACATCTTCCCACATTCTCGTTTTGGTTTGCACTACAATTTTAATAACATCTATTTGCTTAGCATTTCCTCTTTTTAAAAAAATGTTATAAAGACTACATAACAGGCCGGGCATGATCGCTTATGCCTGTAATCCCAGCACTTTGAGAGGCTGAGGAGGGAGGATCATTTGAGCCCACCAGTTCAAGATTAGATTAGCTAAGGCAACAGAGTGAGACTTTGTTTCTACAAAAAATAATTTAAAAATTGGTTGGGCATAATGGTGTATGCCTGCAGTCCCACCTACTCAGGGGACTGAGGTGGGAGGATCATTTGAGACCTGGAGGTAGAGGCTGCAGTGAGCCGTGATTACACCAGGCAGGCTGTAATCCACTGATGTATCTGAATAGAAGTAATCACATGAACAAGTCCAAGATTAAAACTGCAAAGCTCCAGCTGCAATGAGTGAGGCCAGAACTTTCTGCAGCTTTGACACTGGGGTATCACTGGACTTTTCTTAAACCCTAGACCGACAATGCAGAAAATTACTCTTTTTTAAAGGATTTTAGAGGTACCACCGTAAGTCAACAACACTTTAACCCCAGATTTTCCTCATAAAATTTTCTTTTTTTCCCAGTAATCCATAGGGGTCCTAAGGGTGACCCAGTCTTGTTTGCTTTTGTGATAAAAGTGTTCAGCTGGAACGTCCTAATGCACTTAAAGATTTCTGTAGTATGCCAGGTCAGGTAGGTCAGCACTGATGCAGTGGAACTTACCAGGGCAGCGCTTATCAGGGAATGAAGGTATGGCGTGGGGTCAGGATGTCACGCCTGATGGCAGAGAGAAAGATTAGACATATACCAGTAAACAGGAGAGAGAGGTTTTGAATTTTATGCTACAAAAAAAGGATGCAAGCCAGGTCCTAGCTCCATCAACTTGAATCTGTTTCTCAAAACAACTGTTTTCCACAGATGAACACAACAGGTAGCTCATGGAAAATACCAGAACAGGGCAATGTTTCTATTCTATTGGGATCATGAGAGACAGATGAAAGTGCCAGGAATCAAGTTAATAAAATAGGTAAGCTTAAACAGCCACAAACATCACAAAACACCATTTTAATTATTGTAGATGTGACAAAAAGCAGCCAAATCCATAGAACAGTCCAGGACTCCAGGCAAAGCCTTGAATTTCACCACTGCTGGTGCAGGAAGTCCATATGGATCTGGGCTCTCTTCCAGATGACTGGTTCTTCTGACAGTCCAAGTCCAAAGAACTCTTGGAATGCCACAGCTTCCTGGTACACCTTCCCAGGTGCCCCACCCTCAACTGGTATTAAGGGTGGGTCAAGAAATCAAACACAAGCTATAAATGGCAGAGAGATAGGAGATTAAAAAAACCCCATGGATCCCAGCCAGGCCACATGGCATGAATGAGTACTTCATAGGTAAAGCTGCAGCCAAGTGGAGGTGGTTCCACAGTTGGAGGCCTGAAGCAGAGGCTAACTGTACTCAAGTTCATCAGAAGTCCTAGTACTACTGTGTACACAAAAAACCCATCCTACCTATTTGTAGATGGTATTGGCAGCTGTGGAAACCCTGGTAAGAACTGTAAAATCCTTAGAACCCCTTTGAGGTGGGAATCCTTCCCTCCAAGTCAAGGTTGGAGGCACATCTGAATCACCTGGAAGCCTTTATTTTGTTAATATATATATTTTTGAGACGTGGTCTCACTGTGTTGCCCAGGCTGGTCTCAAACTCCTGGGCTCAAGTGATCTGCCCACCTCGGCCTACCAAAGTGCTAGGATTACAGGCAAAAGCCACCGTGCTCGACCACCTGGAAGCCTTTAAAACCAAGGCGCAACCAGAGGCTGTGGAAGAGGGAAATGGAGTTTTTAGTGTGTATAGAGTTTCAGTTTTGCAGGATAAAAAAGTTATCAAGCTCCATTGCACAATAACTTTGATATACTTAAACTTATTGAACTATACACTTAACATTATTGACCTATACACTTAAAACTGGTTAAGATGACAAATTTAATGTATGTGAGTATGTGTGTGTCTGTTTGCCACAATAAAACGATACAACAGTAACAAAAGCATAAAGACCCAGAGGCCCAGGACCAACCTCAAACCAACTGAATCAGAATTTCTGGGGATGAATGGCAGGCATCATCATCATCACGACTATTTTAATTGTAGCACAGGCATCATTATTTTTAAAAGCTGTCAAGATCATTGTCATGTGCAGCTAAGATTGAGAATCACAACTATTAATCAATGAAAGATTCTGGCTGCATAAACTCAAGAAGAATGATCAATTAACAACTGCCTGCATTAATTTCATATGGCTACACAGATGTTCTCCAAAGAAGTTAGGTTCAGTAAGCTCTTTAGATGAGAAAGTGGCTTTTCTAGGCAAACTCTTTGACTTCACAAATATCAGATGTTTTATTCACTGAAAGTCAGAACTTTCTGAGGAGTAAGCTAGCACATAAGGAAAGGGATACTTTTTGAAATTACATGAATGCTGACAGCCAGGAGGATCCCATGTGGTAAATGACTATGGGCCTACAGAGAAAGTATTCTTTCAATGACGCCAGACTTACAGCCAGCAAGTAGTTCACCCACTTTGAAAATCTGGTTTATTATTTTCAACTGCCAGGAAATGAGAGCCAAACATACTTGGTATATATAGGCCAGATAAGAAATTGTTTGAATAGTCAGACAAGGTATCTCAGAACTGCAGCTTGGGGTGAGGCAGGTGTCATGACTCAAGTTCCTACAGAGACCAAGAGGGTAAATGGGGAAAGTGAACCAGTTGGAACTATGGCCACTGAAGGCCTCATGTCCTGTTTAAAGGACCACTCTAACCCAACTGTTACACTGCAGAAAGTGGGTCCACTGTTACCTGAGTTCCCAACTTTTCAGAAAAATCCTGGACATCTGGATGTTTATGTAAAGTTTTCCAAGTTTTAAATATTGGAAATTAATCCAATTAAAAACCAAAGCTGTGCGCAGCAGTGTGCACCTATAATCCCAGCTACCCAGGAGGCTGAGGGAGGAGGATCACTTTAGCCCAGGAGTTCAGCCTGAGCAACATAGTGAGGCTCCATCTCTAAATCAACAAGAACAACAACAATCTATGGGCCAAACAAAGCACAGCTTCACGAGAGATTGGGCTTCTTTGCTGCTGGTTATTACCTCTGGTGTATAGCAACAGGGAGACCTGGATTCTAGCCTTGACTTAGCAAGTTGTGTAGCTTCACAACCAACTTCTCTGGAATCTATCTTGAAAAATAAAAGGCTTATGAGAGTATCTTGAATGCCAGGCCTATGATTACTTATTCTCTATTAGGGAGATATGCAGGGTCCCCGGGTTGAGTGAGATTTCAAACACACAACCGAGAAATCCTAAGATCTTAACACCTAGGCATGAACATGCCAGACCCAATGGCTCCTTCCCTACCCAGTTGGTTTCAAGCTGACAAAGTATAACTTTTCTTGGAATAGATTTAGCCAGTTTAAAAATTTTGATTTGGAACTATCTATGCATGATTTTCAATAAATGTTTTCTAGATTTCCAGAGACTTTTATGGTGATTTAAATTACCAAACCGCAAAGTCCCCTTATAGGATCAGACTCTGTCTAGAAGCAAGAAGTGATTAGAGTGTAGTAGACAATGTTCTAGGCTAGGAATCTAGAGACATGGCTCTCAGTAACCAACTCTGTGAATCTCTCTCTCTCCCTCTCTCCCTCTCTCCCTCCCTCTCCCTCTCCCTTCCTCTCCCTCTCCCTCTACCTCTCTCTCTCCCTCTCCCTCAGATAGGGTCTTGCTTTGTTGCCCAGGCTGGAGCACACTGTCGCAATCACAGCCTACTGCAGCCTCGAACTCCTAGGCTCAAGCAATCTTCCTGCCTCAGCCTCTCAAGTAGCTCGAACCACAGGATTGCAATTATTGAACCTACAGTAGGCATGCTTCTTTAGAAGGAAAGTATACGTGGATTCTTAAGCAACTGGATAATGAAAAGTGATCCTGATTTTAGGACTTCATCATGGACTGCTATGGTAGGCAGAATTCTGAAGATGTCCCAAGATTCCTGTCCCCTAGTTATTCAAACATCGATTGTGAAGGGAAATTGCAGATGCAATTGAAGTCCCAAGTCAATGAATCTTAAGATACAGGAGATTATCCAGGTAGGTTTGGCCCAGGCAGGTGAGTCTTTTAAAAAGCAGAGTTTTTATTCTCTGCCTGGCAGTAGAAGAGGAAGGCAGAGAGATTCAAAGCACGAGGGGGATTCAATGCGTCTTGCAGGCTTGAAGATGGGTGTGTGGGGTTCCATGTGAGAAGAAATGCAGGCTGCCTCTGGGAGCAGAGAGAGCAGCTCTGGGTGAGAGCCATTAAGGAAATGGGGACTTCATCCTACAACCACAAGAAACTGAATTCAAACAACAACAAGAAGGAGCTGAATTCAACCAACAACAAGAAGGAACTTCGAAGTAGAATCCCCTAGAGCCTCCAGATAAGAGCCCAGCTCAGTCTACACCTTGATTTCAGCTTTGTGAGGTCTTAGGTAGAGAACCCAATGATGCCATGCACAGCCGTGACCTAGAGTATTGTGAGCTAATAAATAAGTGCTGCTTCAAGACACTTCATTTGTAATAGTTTCTTATGCAGCAATAGAAAACTAACACAACTGCCAGTACCACATGTTGGGAAGGTTATGGAACAAAATGGTACCACACTTTGGAAAAGGGTATGGAAAATCGAACACACATCCACCTTATGAGGTAGCATTTTACTCTTAGGTATTTACCCAAGAAAAATGAAAACACATGTCTACAAAAATACTTGTACAGTAATATCTGTAGCAGCTTTATTCATAATAGCCCCAAACTAGACACAATCCAAATGTCCATCAGTAGGAGAATGGATAAACAATGAACTATTAATACAAGCAACAACACAGATAAAGTTCAGAAACCTTACATTGAGTGACAAATATCAACAAAAAAGATTATATACTGTGTTATTTCATTTAACGAATTTCTAGGATAGAAAAAACTAATCTATGGTGAAATAAATCAGAACAGTAGGTGCCTGGAGGTGCAGAGCGGACTGGAAAGGGGCACAAAGAAACTTTATCTGGTGATAAAAATGGACTATATTTGCCAGGCGCAGTGTCTCACGCCTGTAATCCCACCCAGCGCTTTGGGAGGCCGAGGTGGGCGGATCATGAGGTCAGGAGATCGAGACCATCCTGGCTAACGTGGTGAAACCCCGTCTCTACTAAAAATACAAAAAAATTAGCCAGGCGTGGTGGCGGGCGCTTGTATTCCCAGCTACTTGGTAGGCTGAGGCAGGAGAATGGCGTGAACCCAGGAGGTGGAGCTTGTGTGAGCCGAGATCGCGCCATTGCACTCCAGCCTGGGCGACAGAGCGAGACTCCGTCTCAGAAAAAAAAAAAAGAAAATGGATTATAGTTTGATAGGGATGTGGATTACACAAGTGAATACATTTGTCAGGATTCATGGAACTGGAATACTCAAGAGTCACACATTTTATATAAATTATCTCTCAATAAAAATATCTTTAAAAACAAATTAAGCCAGGTACAGTGGCTCACACCTGTAATCCTAGCACTTTGGGAGGCTGAGGCAGGAGGATCACTTGAGGCCAGGAGTTCAAGACAAGCTTGGGTAACAGTGAGACACTGTCTTTACAAAACATAAAAAATTAAGCCGGCATGGTGGTACATGCCGGTAGTCCCATTTACTCAGGAAGCTAGGGTGGGAGGATTACTTGAGACCAGTTCAGGGCTGCAGTGAGCTATGATTGTGCTCCTGCACTTCAGCCTGGGTGACAGAGTGAGACTGTGTCTCAAAAAACAAAATAACCACCCACAAATGAAAAAAAATGATTCATCAGGCCAGGCACAGTGGCTCATGTCTATAATCCCAGCACTTTGGGAGGCTGAGGCAGGTGGATTACCTGAGGTCAGGAGTTTGAGACCAGCCTGACCAACATGGTGAAACCCCGTCTCTACTAAAAATACAAAAATTAGCTGGGTGTAGTGGCAGGTGCCTGTAATCCCAGCTACTCAGGAGGCTGAGGCAGACGAATCATTTGAATCTGGGAGGCGGAGGTTGCAGTGAGCCGAGATTGCTCCACTGCACTCTAGCCCAGGCAACAGAGCAAGACTCCATCTTAAAAAAAATTAATTAAAATAAATATAAAAAATAATGCAACCAATATGTGATAGACTAGTTATCGCTGAGGTGTTGATGACTCTCTCCTAGGGGTAGCTATTTAAAAACAGACAGGGTAAGAGTTAACTCAAATGAATGAGCCCCTCATAGAGGGATATGGGACCCTAAGCAGCTGGGTGAAAGATTTTTGGGCAGTGAGACCTCTAGAGAGGACCTCAAATCACTCTATGCACTTAATCAGATAGTCCTGCAAAGGGCTCCTTGTGGGTTTATTCTATGCCCAAGTGCAAATTGCTAAAAGATGAATGGTGAAGATGCTGATGGTGCTGGAGCTTCCCAAGCAAGAAGAGCTCTGGAGGGGGCTGGGGTGCACAGAGGCGGGTGGCAGTGCCCTGACGTGGGTGAGAGAGGTGCGTGTGAGGTGGGGAGGGGCAGTGAGCTTCACACTCTCGAGTCTGGTGGCCTCCGTGTGATACCCAGCATCTGAGCACAGCCTCTGGGAATACCCCTGCGCAGCTTCATTCTTGGTTTATTCAGCATATGCATGTTTTAGATGGGTTGCTTCAGTCAAAATGAACCCATCTTTTCTTGTTTTGTAAAAAAGTTTTCTCAGGCTGGGTGCGGTGGCTCACGCCTGTAATCCCAGCACTTTGGGAGGCCAAGAAGGGTGGATCACCTGATGTCAGGAGTTCAAGACCAGCTTGGCCAACATGGCAAAACCCCATCTCTACTAAAAATACAAAAATTAGCTGGGTGTGGTGGCGCACACCTGTAGTCCCAGCTACTTTGGAGACTGAGGCAGGAGAATCGCTTGAACCTGGGAGGCGGAGGTTGCAGTGAGCCAAGGTCATGCCACAGCACTTCAGCCTGGGCAACAGAGTGAGACTCTAGCTCATAAATAAATAAATAAATGCTTCTGAAAGCCCACAGCAACTTCACTGGATTTCTGATATATACTTTGGTGCTTGTTACATATACATAAGAATTGCAAAGAGAGCCAACAACTGTAGGCTAAAATCTCAGTTTGTCTAACATATGGCTCTAAACCCAAATGACCAATATGAAAAGTAATGTTTTAAACTATGGGCTGTACTTTTTCCAAAGGAGCCCAGATGGCTAGATGGTGGGGGAGTAAAGAACTCAGTCATGGGGCCTGGCCTCTTGGCAAGGTGCCTGGGGTCTGCTGTTGGCTTCTGTCCTCAGAAAGTTCCACCT
Source organism: Homo sapiens (assembly GCF_000001405.40). Classification (NCBI taxonomy): domain Eukaryota; kingdom Metazoa; phylum Chordata; class Mammalia; order Primates; family Hominidae; genus Homo; species Homo sapiens. The sequence goes on along the minus strand of NC_000004.12, from coordinate 76,659,278 downwards.
GTAAGTAGGGAGTGATCCATCCACTTGAGGCTCTCTAGTGAGGAAGAGTCAGTTCACATCGGGAAGTGCTTTGAGGGAGAGGAGAGGTGGCTGAAGGATGGGCCTTGAGTATTCACAATGAGGGTTCCAATGAGACAATTTAATCAGAGGGGACACCAGAACCAAGCTTTTCATGCTAGAGGACCAACCGAGAAGGAAGAATGGGATCTGAATGAGGTCCATTTTTAGATGAGCCTTTTTTTTTTTGGTTTGTTTAATCATAACAGTGTTTTGAAAAGGCTTTACCAGTGAGTCAGTGGTGGGTTTCGCTAAGTCCACCACAAATTAGTTACACATTCCCTAATTGTTTCCAAAAAAAGATTTACTATGAAATGACACAAAGTGCAATTGAATCCTTGGGTTTTGTTTTTGTGTGTGGTATGTATCTGATGTGTCAGTTTTGCAATCTGCTTGGTTTTGATATTGAAAAATGTTTGATGTTTTGGCTTCCAGTTGAATTGACACTATTCATCTGTTTATCCATCCAAAGGTACCTATGTTAGTTACTAGTTGGATCCTACCAAGCACACATGCGGGCATGTGCACACACACACAAACACACACACACATACACACATGGGAGGGGGTTTGGAAGGGTAGCATCCTGCAGGAATGCTTGATGTAACATTTACCACACTATTATATATAGTTCACTGTTCCTGCTCTGTATTGCTCACTTGACAGTGAGGTTCTGGATGGTATGAAACAGTTTGTCTAGTTTATCCTCCATTCTTAATGCTTAACAGAGTATCTGACACATACTAGGCAAAAATAAATATTTTTAGTCTTGCTATTTCCTGTTATGTTCTTTATGGAGATGGAAACCAGCAATGTAAATCTTTTTCTACTTAAAGATACTGACTCATTGCTCAATCTCTCACATCCAGCCACATAGCCTTTCCTTTGATTTTCCATTTTTAGAACCTCCCCTGAGGGCTCTTCCAGAAATGAAGCAGGAATTTCTGTAATGATTTCATTAATTCCAACTAAGGTAGCAAACATAAGTCACCAAGGCTTGAGGTTTGAAACCCTGTAATTTGGTGTTCAGCTTCACATCCTCACAGTCGGTGGATGCTAAGCAGATCTGATCTGTGCTTTCCTAATTTTCACAATTGTTGTGGGATTGTGGGAAGTTATTATAAAATGCATGGAAGAGCACTTTGGTAACTACAAAGCAGGTATTGCTATCGACTTCATTTTATCAATGTGGAAAAGTCCAGAGGCAAAGTGATTTGCCCTGGCTTATGCTGGAGCCCAAACCAATGGTTTCCCAACAGCCCAATGAACGTGCTGAACTCCATGGAGAGGACCAGTTCTAGGACTGTCTCCACTTGACCAGAAGGGAACACCCAGCTGGCACTGATCTTAGAATATGTATCCTTGGGAAGGGTCCTGAAACCAGCCCAGTCTGCAGGGGACCAGGTGTTGACCACTAGCTTGTCTTACTTGGGCCCGGAGACAGTTTGTTCTCTTTGTATCTTTATATCAGAAAATCCAACAGTCACAGAGCAGAGAAGCAGGTTTCTTCTATAATTAGCATAACAGGTCAATGGATGTCACTGTTGCACCACAGAAACAGAATCTAAACTCCAAGGGGACCCCCCCACCCCCAAACAGCAGCACCCTCACTATTTGGGAACATTAGGAGAGCAGAGCACACTTTGAACCAAAAGAAAGCAATTATAAATGAGTAACAGATATTCCATTTAAAAATGTTAGCGCTAGTAATGAGCAGGCATATTCAGGGACAAGTTAAGGCAAATAGCTTTGAACATCATGAATGGCTATAAATGAGTGTATATGTCATTTACCAGGAGGAAAAGTCACAAAATGAATCAAACCAAGTCTTTTGACTTCAAATACTGTGTTTCTTTCACTCTGCCTCTCACAATGTTCAAAATTATTTTAGAAAATACGTTGATACTTAGATTAAGACTTCTCACCATCTATCAACGGCCTTACATAAATGTTTTGGAAAGAACTTAAATCCTCAACCTAGTATAATGATCAAATGAATATGTGTATATATATATATAGAGAGAGAGAGAGCGAGAGAGAGAGAGAGAGAGAGTTTCGCTCTTGTTGCCCAGGCTGGAGTTCAATGGCATGATCTCGGCTCACTGCAACCTTCATCTCTTGGGTTCAAGCAATTCTCCTGCCTCAGCCCTCTGAGTAGCTGGGATTACAGGCACCTGCCACCACGCCCATCTAATTTTTTGTATTTTTAGTAGTAGAGATGGTGGTTTCACTATGTCGGCCAGGCTGGTCTCGAACTCCTGACCTCAGGTGATCCACCCACCTCAGCCTCCCAAAGTGCTGGGATTACAGGCATGAGCAACTGTGCCTGGTGAATATGTGTATTTATTCAGCACCTACTTTCTGCCAGGAACTTGTTTGATTTTTCACAACTCTTGAAGGTAAGATGATTATTTCCATTTTTCATGTGGGTTCAGCAAGAGTAAGTAATGTTTCCATTATGCAGCTGGTAAGAGACAGACATTGGTACAGATCCACGTCTACTGGCCTGCAAGTTAGGATGTGCTCCTATTCAGTTCAAGCCTTCTTTGACATCCCACTGCATGTGCCTTATTGGAGATACTACAATAAATGCAAACCATCTCTGCTCCCAAAGAAATGTTGAGGTCTTTCATGGACAATTATATTACAGTCGAGTAAGAAGGGCTTTTTCCAGGTGCCATGCAACTCAGTGAGGGTTAGAAAGGGCCTATGACACTGAGATATAAAGAGTGAATAAAATCCAGCAGGCAAAGAAAAATATAGTCCAAGGGCATTTAACCTGGAGGAATATCCAGTGTCTAGGTAAGAAGTGGAGAAATATTATAAATACCTGTAATTTAAATTCAGAGAAGATTTTTTAAAGGAACAATCTGTTTCTTTTAAATTGGACTGGGTGTGAACTGTTACTATTAATAACCTACTGCCCAGCAGTAATTCCTAAGAGGAACCGTAGTACAAGACTCTGCTTATACTATGGGATGGAAAGTCAAGCCTTGTCTTGGGAATGGTGAGGGGCTCTGGTACCACAAATACACTAAAAATACTTCCATGAGTTTCCTTATAGTTGGAAATGAAGCAGGAGCAGCAGGAATAAGAAATGAGGAACTCCCTGCCAGCTCTCCTGGCGCCCTCACCATGCCTGAGTCCCTGACTCCAGACCAAGGAATCTCTGATACAGCAGGGTAAGAACAGGCCACAGCAGAATGGTCTCCACGAGTCTCTAATTTCATGAATACAAAACTGTGACTGTCTCTCTATTTTCCGGTCTAGTATAAAACCTCACATGCACAGATAACAGATGTAAGCAGCTATGTAACTGGGTACTGGGAATCCTTTTCCATCCAGGTCCAGAACTGACTCCCCCAGCAGAGAGAAGGAAGGTGATCCTGAGAGATAAATGCCAGTGACATCCCCTGGCAATTCCTATGGCCTTTGGAGCCATCACAGGTCACAGGCTATAATCATTCTTGAAATTTCTGACGATGAGACCTGTCACTGCTGTCAGACAGGCTTAACTGGCCTTTTTGGACACTTTCTTAAAATATAAGTAAATTGGGCAGCTAATCCTACAGTGTTGTATCTTGTTTTTTCTTGGAGCTTTGAAGTCTGGACTTGGAGACGGAAAGGTTAAGTGAGCAACCCTAGAGAAAAGAACACAGGAATTTCTTTGTGTTTATCTTAACAATATCCATAACTTTCCACTTTTAGCCCAGTGACATTTTTCCCTTTTTTCCTGCCCAACAGTCTTTCTTGGTCGTGGTCACATTTAATATTTTTGGATAGAAATGACAATAGGACTGAAGGTCCTCTTATTGGCCCAGAATGTAATGGTGATGCTAAAAATGTATAAATGACTGAATCATTTAACAAGTATTTGCTATACCTGTGTCCTTAGCACTGTGTCTAAAGAGAACATGGTGAGTGATTAAACAAAGAGGCAGAACAATGGACTAGGGGACCTCAGGACTTCACTTGTAGCTGCAGGAACCTGAGAAGAGACTAAAGCTGCAGCTCAGGTGGGGGATATTTGCATATAATATTGGATAAGCTATTTATTTTTCCCCTCATGCATTCTAATTTGAAATACATGAAAATGATATGTAAATATATTAGTATAATTTTCATTAAAATCATTCCTTTCTTCAACAAATACTGAGCACTGGCCAAGCATAAAGGCCAGCAGTAACCAAGCTGACTACTTTCTGAATGATTCATTTTCACCACTTTAATCCATACTTAGCCAGAGCCACATAGTATGATAGGCTGGAAGTCAGATAGTCAAATAGATCTCAAATCCTGGCTTCTCTACTCAATAGCTGTGTGACTTTGGGCTAAGCAACTTTCTCCTTTGAGCCTTAATTTTATCATTTGCAAACTGAGGATAATAAGTTAATATAATAGCATAATACAATAATTACCATCACTATATATTTCCTATAGGATAGGCAATGATGGTGGCACCCCAACTGTGAGAGGCAATCATCCTTGAACCCTCCCCCTCCTCCTCATCTCCTGTATCAAAAGAGTCACTAAATCATACTGTTTTATCTCCAAAATATTTCCCAAATCCTGTCCCCTATTTCCCATTGCCCTAGGTCAAGCCCTCATCACCTCTTGGCAAATCTAAATTGTCTCCCTGCTTTCACTCTTGTGCTCCTTTAATCCATTTTCTGCATGGCAGCCTGGGCAACATGGTGAAACCCCATCTCTACAAAAAAAATACAAAAATTAGCTGGGCATGTTGGCACACACCTGTAGTCCCAGCTACTTGGGAGGCTGAGGTGGGAGGATCCCTTGAGTCCAGCCAGTAGAGGTTGCCAAAACAACTGGTTTAAACAAAAACATGTCACTTCCTTACTTGAAGGCTCTCAATGGCTCCCCACCTCTTAGAATAAAGTACAAACTCTCAGAATGCCAGACAAGGTCACCTGTCTACCTCGGCAGACTTTTAACGTTCCCTTCCCAACACTCAACACACACCAGGCTTTTTCACCTGTGTCTTATCTTACACTTCGACGTTAACTGCAACACTGAATTATGCCTCTGCTTCAGTGTCCTCACCTCCTCTACCCACTTATCTAAGACTCAGTTCAGGCCAGACAACTCGAGAAAGCTTTTCTTGACGCCTCCAGCTTCTACTGCCCAGCTGGGTTAGGAACTCTCTACCCAAGCCTGTTATCATGTCTATTTTGTTACATTTACCACATTGATTGGTAATTTATCTATATATGAGTTTTTCTCCATTACTAGAGTCTTCTATTTAAGGCAAAAACCATGCCTTACTCATCTTTGTATCCCCATAACCTAGCACAGTTCATGGCATGTTGCAAAGGCTCAATAAATAAAATGAACGAGCTGAGCATGGTGGCTCAGCTAAGCCATAGGCCCAGCACTTTGGGAAGCTGAGGTGGGCAGATCACTTGAGTCTGGGAGTCTGAGACCAGCCTGTGCAACATGGAAAAACCTCGTCCCTACTGAAAATACAAAAATTAGCCAGGTGTGGTGGCATGGCCCTGTAGTCCCAGCTACTCAGAAGGCTGAGGTGGGAGGATCCTTCGAGCCCAGGAGGCGGAGGTTGCAGTGAGCTGAGATGGTGCCACTGTACTCCAGCCTGAGTGACAAAGTGAGACTCTGTCTCAAAAAAATTAATTAGTTAAATAAAATGAATGAAGAAATGAAGACAAGAATGTGACTCTGCAGTTCATGCTTTTTGCATATACCACATGTCATACCATATGTCATGTATCTAGAATGCTGGTTCTCAACCAGGGGCAATTTTGCTCCCAGAGGACATCCTGCAATGTCTGGAGACACCTGGGTTGTCACAATTGGGGGAAGGTGCTATGCTTCTACCATTTATTGGGTAAAGGCCAGGGATGCTACTAAGCATCCTTCAATGGCCAGGGCAGACCCAACAACAAAGAACTATCCAACCCCAAACAGTAACAGCACCAAGGCTGAAAAATCCTGATCTAGAACAAGGTCTGGCACATGGAAGAATTCAATATAGGATTCCTAACCCTGACCGCTTAGTGGTACAAGTGGCAGAAATGATCATCATACTTGATATAAACCATATAATTGTATGGTATACTTCTTTAAGTTTACTGAGCAATTCTTCATAATATGAGCTCATTTCATAGCCTCAGACTTAAGGGAGATCAGTTCTAGCTTTGAAGTTAGACTGTAAATATAGCAAAAGTCCTACTGAGGATCAATGGAATATGATGCATGGCCCTCTCCTCCCATCTCTTGTCTCACCACACCATGATATATCTGCTCCAGGTCTACATCCCTCAACAACCAAGTAGAATGCCTGGATCGTGAGGGTAAACATATATTAGCTCACCAGCTAATATTTTTTGAGTTATATATTATATGTTTTATATATGTGTGTGTATATGTATATATATACACACACACACTTATACACACCACACACATACATCACAGAGAGAGAGAGAGAGAGGGAGACTCAAGTGTATCTCTTACATCTCTTACTTTGCATGAACTCATAACCTGGAATACCCTCTCCAGGAAGGCCTGGTCTCCCTGGGATCATAAGGAAATGTAAAAATTAAAACTTTTATGCTGTTGCATGAGTTTTATTGGCCATTCGACATAGCACAGTTAAGGCAGGAGCCTGTGATATGGGACACAGGCTGAGCTACTTCTCAGGGACTTCATAGTCCCATCAGCTATGTGTAACCTATAATACATGTTTATACTGGGCAATTCTTTTCATACATGCATATTCAACCTCCCAATGTTTGGAGATGGGTGCATGACAGAGGCTGCCTAGAGACATCAGAATCAGGACACAAGTTCTAAAGCCGCCACCATGACCCCTGCCTATAATTCAACTGCATGACCCCCTGTCTGAACCTTGAGGCAAATTTATGATCAGTTTCTCTTGGTTATCTTTAGCTTCTCTCTCAGTTGCCTTCTTATCAGTCCAGATGTCTTTTACTTTTGAGAAGAGCCATCTTTCTTGTCTCAACAACCTCCTTTTTCTTTATCTAGCTCAAATTATTAAACTGCCAAAACCAACTGCCAACACCAGGTAAGTTTGCCTCAGCCTAATACATATGAGCACAGAAATGGTTGTGTCCTTTTTTGGAATTGAATTGAACACTTAATTCATCCTAGAACACATAATTAATTCTAGAATTTCCAAGCTGAGATGAGGCATCCTGGGCCCCTTAGGTAGCTTTGAGTCCAAGTATAAATAGGAATGACCAGCTTTCTAGAAAAGATTTTCAATTGTAAAATAATGATTTTAGCCACCATTAAAACCATGGCAGGCTGAAGTGCAGGGGCAGTAAAGCTGGACATTGTGAAGCTTCCTTTGCCAATACCCCGATTTGCTGTATAGATGACTCATATTCAAAACTGATGGTTTATGACAAAGAATTTCCCGATTGGTTACATTGCCATTAAACATATCTTTTGGGAGTTCAAGCAAATTTGTAAGGAGGAGGCTTCTACTGGTTATGCTCTTTGGCTTGGACAATTAATTCATTTATAATTTAAACAAATAGAAAATGCAGCACTAGCTGGCTTTTAGGTTTCCTGACTGCTTGCCAGCCACTCTCCCAACTATTCTTTAAGTGGTAAAGACATTAGCCATTGATATCCAAGTGTGGCAGGAAACCCAGCTACTTGACAAGCCCAGAGATTCCCTGGCTTCTTGCTTATTGTTGGATGGTGGTATGGACTAAGTGGTTTTTTAAAAATCATACTTTTACTTTCATTTTTTGTGGGTACATAGTAGGTATATATATATATATATATATATATATATATATATATATATATATTTATGGGTTACATGAGATGTGTTAATACAGACATGCAATGTGAAATAACTACATCATGGAGAATGGGGTATCCATCCCCCTCAAGCATCTTTCCTTTGAATTACAAATAATCCAATTACACTCTTTAGGTGATTTTAAAATACACGATTAAGTTATTATTGACTATAGTCACCCTGTTGTGCTTTCAAATAGTAGGTCTTATTTATTCTTTCCATTTTGTTTTTACCCATTAACCATCCTTACCTCCCCACCCAGCCCACCACTACCCTTCCCAGCCTATGGTAACATCCTTCTACTCTCTATGTTTATGAGCTCAATTGTTTCGATTTTTAAATCCCACAAATAAGTGAGAACATGCAATGTTTGTCTTTCTGTGCCTGGCTTATTTCTTAACATAGTGATCTCCAGTTCCATCCATGTTGTTGCAAATGACTGGTTCTATTCTTTTTCATGGCTAAATAGTACTCCATTGTGTATAAGTACCACATTTTCTTTATCCATTCATCTGTTGATGGACATTTAAGTTGCTTCCAAATCTTAGCTATTGTAAAGAATATTGAGGCCAGCGCAGTGGCTCATGCCTATAATCCCAGCACTTTGGGAGACTGAGATGGGTGGATCACGAGGTCAGGAGTTCAAGATCAGCCTGGCCAAGTTGCTGAAACCCCATCTCTACTAAAAACACAAAAATTAGCTGGGCGTGGTGGCATACGCCTGTAATCCCAGCTACTTGGGAGGCTGAGGCAGGAGAATCGCTTGAACCCGGGCAGCAGAGGTTGCAGTGAGCTGAGATCGTACCGCTGCACTCCAGCCTGGGTGACAGAGCAAGACTCCATCAAATAAATAAATAAATAAATAAATAAATAAATAAATAAATAAATATACTTAAAAAAAAGAATGTTGCAACAAACACAGAAGTGCAGATACCTCTTTGATACACTGATTTCCTCTCTTTGAGGTATATACCCTGCAGTGGGATTGCTAGATTGTATAGTAGATCTCTTTTTAGTTTGTTGAGAAAGCTCCAAACTGTTCTCCATAGTGGTTGTGCTAATTTACATTCCCATTAACAGTGTATGAGGGTTCCCTTTTCTCTACACTCTCACCAGCATTTGTCATTGCCTGTCTTTTGAATATGAGCCATTTTAACTTGGGTGAGATATCTCATTGTAGTTTTGAGTTGCTGGACTAAATGTTTATGTACTCCCCAAATTCTCATGTTGAAGCCCTAACTTTCACTGTGGCCGTATTTGGAGATAAGGTCTTAAAGGTAGGGCCCTGATCAGATAGGATTAATATCATTATAAGTAGAGACATTGGAGAGCTCATTTTTAAACTCTCTCCAAGCACATCCACCTAGGAAAAGCTATGTAAGGACATAAGGAGAAGGAAGCCACCTGCGAGCCAGGAAGAATGCCCTCACCAGAAATTGAATTCTGCAAGCACCTTGATCTTGGACTTTACAGCCACCAGAGCTGTCAAAAATACATTTCTGTTGCTTAAGCCACATGGTCTGTGGTATTTTGTTATGGCTGCCCAAGTAGACTAATGCAGATGGTGATAAGAAAGTGTATTAAGGAATGTACAACCTACCAAGGTTGTGCTAATTACAATCACAGCAATCACCTAACAATTGTCCACCACAGGACAATTTTGACAGTGATTTCCTATACTTTTATCATCAAAATGCTAGATTTTAACCCAGGAATTATTTTGTATCAGATGGGGAATCAGTTATAAAGCACTCTTATCTGTATGATTTTTTAGAGTTATCCTTCTGATATTTGTCTTTATTATTTCTCTAATTTGGAAGAAAAGCTAGTTTACCTTTTACAACACCATGTCAAATTTATGTAGCATAATTATCCCAAATGTTCAAAGAATTTTGCTTAAAACTACTCACTGGTTTTGATTGAAGCCCTAGGATCCAGGGAAAAGGCTGAATCCATTGCCCCACTTTTCATTAAAAATCATTTTGCTTTCTTCTGGTATTTGATGAGAGAAGCAGCTCTTTGATTTGGGGGATCTTTTTAAGACTGACTTTGTTCTTTTTTAATCCCCACTGCTCCAGGCATCATTAGCTCCTTTTAATAGAAGTTTCAATTTCCTTTTATCCCTTTGAGTATGGGTTCCAATATCCTCAAAGCAGCACCTTTTAATTGGCCAGGAAAAGGTCACCCTTCTAAGAAGAAACCATATCACACATTCTAACAAAGTCAATGTGGGTCTCTGAGATCAGAAGGAGATGGTTGCTGGGGGTGGATTCATCCCCCAGCAAAATGGTTAACTAGCTAGCCGGTGGCATGTGATTACATTTTCAGCATAATTACTATATAATTACATATACCTACTCTTATCCAACACATTCTCTGCTATAATTAGTGGCCTTTATTTAAAGTTCATTTGTCTTAAAAAATTTTGTCCTCCTTTTTTTATTTAATCAATGGCTGAGGGACACTGTTAATTTTGACGATAGTTTCCTATATGTGATAATTTTCTGTGATACTCTCCTATACAGCTCCCCCCATCATATGCTTTTTAGAAAATGATATAAGGACATCTAATGTATTTTTCCACCTTCATATATCCACCACCACATGTTGCCTTGTATATTCTAGCAATAACTTCTCCAGTTAAGTCTAAAGTTATAATCAAATCTTACATCTACATGGTCACAGTTTCTAATCAAAGAAAGCCTTTTCAGATAGATCTACTCTATTACATTTTTTCTAGTGATACAAAACCGAATCTGGATCTGGAGTGGGTACCTAAATCCTCAGTGGAGGAGGGAAGTAGTGAGCTCTTTCAAAGCGATCTGAACAAATTCATATAAACATGACTCCATCAAGATGGCAGTAAAGGGTGGGCCGAGGAGGAGGCTGCTAAAAAAAAAAATGCAGGTCTTTAACAGCCTAGCCATCCATTTCAAAGAATCACTGGCATAAAGAAATACTCTACAATAGTTCATCTCTTACTTTCAACAGGCCACAATATTTGGTACCACAGGGATTGTTACTCAGACACTTATGAAAAGTTAAGCATTGGTTTTTTGTTTTTCTTTCTTTCTTTTTTTAAAGATAAGATATCACTCTGTCACCAAGGCTAGAGTGCAGTGGTGCACTCATAGTTCATTGCAGCCTCAGCTTCCTGGACTCAAGCAATCCTCCCATCCCAGCCTCCTTAGTGGCTGGGACCACAGGTACGCACCACCATGCCTGGGTAATTTTTTAATTTTTTGCAGAGACAGGGTCTCACTATGTTGCTCAGGGTGGTCTTGAACTCCTGGTCTCAAGTGAGCCTCCTGTCTTAGCCTCCCAAAGTGCTGGGACCACAGGTATGAGTCACTGTGCATAGCCAGCATTGTTATTTTTACACAATTCCTGTCTTACAGATGGTATCATGGATAAATATTATTATAAAAACTGATATGTAAGAAAGATACTACGATACATAAAATAAAATATCTAGGTCCATAGTTTTTTTCTGTATTATTATTATTATTTGAGACAGAGTCTAGCTGTGTCTCCCAGGCTGGGGTGCAGCTTGTACATGATCACTGCTCACCACAGACTCAACCTCCAGGGCTCAAGCAATCCTCCCACCTCAGCCTTCCAAGTAGCTAGGACTACAGGTGCACATCACCACATCCAGCTAATTTTTGTATTTTTCTGTAGAGATGGGGTTTCACCATGTTGCCCAGGCTGGTCTTGAATTCCTGGGCTCAAGCGATCTGCCTGCCTTGGCCTCTCAAAGTGCTGGGATTACAGGTATGATCCACTCTGCCTGGCTTCCTGTATTATTGTTTGAAGAAAAATAAATTGACCAGTTGATTTCTATTTATTTTTATTAATACATAATATATGTACATAGTTATGGGATACATGTGATATTTTGTTACATGCATAGAATGTGTAATGATTAAGTTGGAGTATTTACGGTATCTATCACCTGGAGTATTCATCATTTCTACGTGTTGGGAGTTTTTCAAGTCTCTTTTCTAGCTACTGTGAAATACACAATACATTGTTTTGAACTATAGTCACCCCACTCTGCTGTCGAACATTAGAGCGTATTCCTTTAACTGTAAGTTTGTACCCATTAACCAACATCTCTTCATCACCACCACTCACCCACTTACCCTTCCCAGCCTTTAATATCTAACACTCGACTCTCTACCTCCCTGGGATCAACTTTTTTAGCCCCCACATATGAGTGAAAACATACGATGATATTTGTCTTTCTCTACCTGGCTTATTTCACTTAACGTTAAGAACCTCTAGTTCCACCCATGTTGCTGCAAATGACATGATTTCATTCTTTTTTATGGCCAAATAGTATTCCACTATGTGTATATACATTTTCTTTATCCTTTTGCCCGCTGATGAACACTTAGGATTCCATATCTTGCTATTGTGAATAGCGCTCAAAATGTGAGTGCAGGTATCCCTTTGATATACTGATTTCTTTTCCTTTGGATAGATACCCAGTAGTGGGATTGCTGGCTCAAAGGGTAGTTCTATTTTCAGTTTTTCGAGAAATTGCCATACTATTTTCCACAGTGGCTGGACTAATTTACGCTCCCACCAACAGTGTATAAGAGTTGCCTTTTCTCTGCATACTTACCAACATGTGTTATTTTTTGTGCTTTTCATAATTGCCATTCCATGACTGGTTGATTTCTTTACAAACTTTCCAGAATAAAGTTCCTTAATTTCCCCTGCTTTTAAAGAATTGGATGAAATCTTAAGCTTAGCACATCTAATAGAAGTAGACCATCAAGAGCAAGGTAAGTGGCTGTCCTTATCTAGTCTTCCCTGAAGTACCGTGTTATGTGATAAATGTCACAGTCTGAGAGCAACATGGACAATTTAGGGCATATCAAAGAAGAGGGACCTTAACAGTCCAAAATGCTAGATCATGACATGGGAATAATAGGTGAAGATTGAATTAAAGACCTTAACCTGGAAAAGAAACAATTTGGCAAGGAAATGGTGACTATTCTTAAAGATTGGAAGGTGGTAAAGTATAAAAACTATTCGATGTTTTCTGTTTGGTCTAAGAAGGATGAAAGAATTGAAGTTTTGGGACAGCAGATATGGAGTTACCATAAAGAAGAACACTGTTGCAATTCAACAGGTTCTTTTTTTTAATTTTATATATATATATATATATATATTTATTTATTATACTTTAAGTTCTAGGGTACATGTGCACAACATGCAGGTTTGTTACATATGTATACATGTGCCATGTTGGTGTGCTGCACCCGTTAACTCATCGTTTACATTAGGTATATCTCCTAATGCTATCCCTTCCCCCTCCCTCAACGGGTTCTGAAAATGAAATAGTCTGCTTTCCTACTTAGTGAGTTCACTTTCCTTGACTGTGTTCAGATGGAAGCTAGTTGCCCACTTTGGGGGACTGTTGGAAAATGTATCAGAGAAGAAATGGAACTTCTTAAATCTTCGGTCCCCTTCTCACCCTGAAGTTCTATGAAGATGCCTATTTTGGGGAGTATGAGGCAGGCTAAGTAACCCTTATCTGAAATTCTTGGAAGAAGAAGTGTTTTGGATTTGGGATTTTTCCAGATTTTGGACTATTTGCATGTATATAATGAGATATCTTGAGAATGGGATCAAATATGAATGGTTTTAAGAATCTAGGTCTGTGGGGTTTTTCTTATATGTCTTTGTATTGGCTTTCCTAGCACACAGCTAAGGAAACAATTACTTTATTTCATTAAAAGAGGCAGTATATTAAAGCAGTCTAGTTTATTTAGACAAAAACCCACACAAAGCAAACAAAAAACCAAACTCCTTTTAAGGATGTTCTCCCAGAATTATCTATCTATGCTCATCTACTTAAATAGGCTCTTTTGAAATTTCTGCATGTGTTGTGCTGGGTGGGGTAGATACAACCTTTCTGTGGCCATCGTGCTGCCCAGGTGGGACGTGGAGACCACCACTTCACCCAAGGTGGTCGACAGCTCCACTCATGGCGTCCATCAGCAGTAGAGACACTAAATGAGGTTCGAGTCCTAGGAGGCATCCTCTGGGGATGTTGAGGGTCAAACTCGAGGCTAACAGTGACCGGTGGGGAGAGGCTGGAGAGAGAAACAGCCGAAATGAAGCTGCTCCTTCAGACAACTCCCTGCTTTCTGCTGCTAGTTGAGCCACAGAGATAAGTGGTAGGGCTTATCTTTATTGACTTTTACACCATGGTTGACTGCATAATGCTATGGAAGCCACTTCATATTAATTAGTTTAGGTAAAAGACTTGTAAAAGAGATAAAGAGACAGTGTGGTGTAAATATACAGGCTTTGGAGTCAAAGAGCCAGGGTTCAAGTTCTGACTTTCTAACTGTATGACCTTGAGCAAGTAAATTACTTAATCTCTCTAGGCCTCAGTCTCCTTATCTGTACAATGGAGCTAGGAATAGTTGCTGGCTCATAAGTGCTACATAAGTACTACATAAGTACTAGCTTTTCTTGTTTTCACAGAAACAGAAAACTGAACCCCATTTGAACTTGCTTCTCCTTAAGTCCTGTCCAAGACACAAAAGGAACAAAAATGGCATTGAGGTAAGAATCTAGGTCACATCAGATATGTTGCTCTGGTAATTGCAAAAGAACGTGAATCCAGATGAAATGATGCTGAAAGTGAAAGTGAATCCTATATAACTTTTAAAGGAAATAATATAAAAGTGTATATCCTTGCTAATTACCCTGATTTGATTATTACACAATGTATACATGTATCAAATCATCACATTGTATCCCTTAAATATATGTAATTATTATGTTTCAATTAAAAATAAAAGTTAAAAAAAAAAAACCCCGTATGTCCTGACATGGAAAGCTGTCCTATTTATTAAATTAAAAAGCTTGTTACGGTAGGCCGAGGTGGGCGGATCACCTGAGGTCAGGAGTTCGAGAACAGCCTGACCAACATAGAGAAACCCTATCTCTACTAAAAATACAAAAAATTAGCCAGACATGGTGGCGCATGCCTGTTATCCCAGCTACTCGGGAGGCTGAGGCAGGAGAATTGCTTGAATCCGGGAGAGAGGTTGTGGTAAGCTGAGATGATGCCATTGCACTCCAGCCTGGGCAACAAGAGCAAAAACTCTGCCAAAAAAAAAAAAAAGAAAAAGAAAAAGCATGTTACAAAACAGTATGATCACCTTTTGGAAAAAAGGATTACTATTGACATAAATGATGGTAATACAGCAGCCTATATATATAAAAGAAAAGAGGTGGGCTGGGTGTGGTGGCTCATGCCTATAATCCCAGCACTTTGGGAGGCCGAGGAGGGCAGATCACCTGAGGTCAGGAGTTTGAGACCAGCCTGACCAACATGGTGAAACCCTGTCTCTACTAAAAATACAAAATTAGCCAGGCGTGGTGGCACATGCCTGTAATACCAGCTACTTTGGAGGCCGAGGCAGGAGAATGGCTTGAACCCAGGAAATCGAGGTTGCAGTGAGCTGAGAACGTGCCATTACGCTCCAGCCTGGGCAACAAGAGCAAAACTCCGTCTCAGATTAAAAAAAAGAAAAGAGCTGGAGGAATTTCTACCCAACAGTAAATAATGATTTGGGGGTAGGAGGATAATTAAGATTTCATGGGATATTCACTGTATATCTGTTATTTCTGTAAGATTTGAATTTTTATAACAAATACTAATTTTTAAATGAGAAAAATCAGTGTTTAAAAGGCAAAATAAGAAACATTATCCTATTACAGATTTTAAATTTTACTATATACTGATAACCTTAAACTGTGTGTGAGTAGGCAATTAACGATGATAGGAAAATGGATGCAGGAAATGCTTCTCTGGTCTCCTTTCAAAATGATAACAAACATCACTGTTTAGAACCCCTTTCATCATACCTTAAATCTTCCCATGAACCTGCTGAAGCAGGCATTTGTGGTTAATATTTGGGCCTTGGCAGACTTACATCCTGGTCTGAATCCTGTCTCTCTGTCTTATAACTGTATGACCTTGGGCAAGTGCTTTAATTGCTCTGTGCCTCAGTTTATCTGTCAAGTGGGGCCAATAATAATACTACAAAGGGGTGTTCTGAGGATGAATTGAGCTACTGTTTGTAAAATGCCTAGAACAGTGACTGGCATTTAACAAACACCTAATAAAGAGTTTAGCCATCATTCTTTTTTTTTTTTTTTTTTTGAGACAGCATCTCAAAAAATGGCACGATGGAGTACAATGGTGCAATTTCGGCTCACCACAAGCTCCATCTCCCAGGTTCAAGCAATTCTCCTGCCTCAGCTACTGTAATCCCGAGTAGCTGGGATTAAAGGCATGCACCACTACGGCCGGCTACTTTTGTATTTCTAATAGAGATGGGGGTTTCTTCATGTTGGTCAGGCTGGTCTTGAACTCCCTACCTCAGGTGATCTGCCCGCCTCGGCCTCCCAAAGTGCTGGGATTACAGGCATGAGCCATTGCTCCTGGCCCATTCTTTTAACCTCATTTAGAGAGAAAACTCTGGATACAAATGATACATTAATCTCAAATCTCCCCTCCCCCACAAATACTCCAGAATCCTAACATTTATTCCCACTACCCTCCTCCCCCACCCAGATCAGCATTTTGTCACACACTCATGGGTATTGGCTTCCATTCCTTCATAGAGCCCTTGTTCCTGGCACCTCATGCTCTAACCTATTACCTAGATTCAGTTCTTTTGAATTTTCCTTTTATCTCTTTACAGTTCGGCTTAAATGGCTTCAGTGGTTTCCCATTGCCAAAAGTTTAAATTTCAAACAACTTTGTTTGTCCCTTCACACATTGGCCTCATCCTGCCACTATGGTCCATTCACTATTCCCCAAGAACCACAAGAGCATTCCTAATCCTGAGCCTTTGCCTCCAGTGACTGGCCTCCTCCCAACCTGCTTAATCCCATCATCTCAAAATCCCAGTGGCGTCATACTGCATATTCAAGAAAGCTGTCAACCATTCAAATCCAATCACGTCTATTTTGAATTCCTTGAACACCTCAAATCCTGGCCCTTGTTCTAATTTGAGACCCAATCGCAGTCATCCTTACCCTGTTACATGGCTTTGGGGGTTGAGGGTGTCATATGTATATTCAATAAGCATTTATTGATCAGGCTTTAGACATTTAGAAATGAGGAAGACAAAGAGTCCTTGCCCTCACTGAGCTCATGATCCATTAGAAGAGATAGGGAGTAAACAAATAATTGCTTTGTTACTTTGTAACAAAGTACATTGGCCATATCCTATATCAGAAGCACATATAAGACACAATAGGGGCCCAAAGATAGAAACAATCAGGAAAGAATGAGCCAACATTGAGGGCATGAAGTGTGTGTCTCATCTTTCCTGCTCTCAACCAAATTTGCCTTCCTGGCTGATCAAAAACATGGAGCTGGATCTGAAATATTTTGAGATCCTGTCCTACTTAAGCTCTAAAAATGACAGGCTCTGACCGGTTTCCCCTCCCCAGCACCTGCCTCTCCCTGGAGTATATTTCCATCTTCCTTTCTATTTAGTTCACCTCTACCTGCCTATTTATTTGTTTAAAATGTGAACCAACTGGTCGGGGACAGTAATCTAATTCTGCATTTGGTTTGAGGCCAATGCATTGAGGGCATTCAATAAATAATGGTGTTTGGTGAGCCTTTCCTAGATCCTGGCTGCTTATGTCCAAGATGAAGCTAGGACCTTCAGAAGCAAGCTCAAGAGATGATGAATGAAGGAAGGTGGAGCTCCGAAGACCATGAAGGTAAATTTGCTCTGGTTGCCTGGCCCAGAGATTACGCACCTGTGTGTTGGATTGCTGGGTTGAAGCCTGTGACATGCAAATGTTACTTCCGTGCATCGGCTAGGGTGTGCCCTTCTTCCTGACATGGTTTTCCCTGATTCAATCTGGGTAAAAGTACACAAAGGCTTCCTTCCTATGGGCATACAGGCCTGTGTTTACTTGCCTTCATTAAGGAAATTCTCCTTCCTGTGGGTGGGTGGTTCTGGGAGGGGTGAAACAGGTGTCTCTGTGGGATTGAATGGGCTGTCCCAAGGGAGGATGAGCAGGGAGAAGATGGAGAGTCCTTAAACTAAAATCTCATGAACAATATGTGTTTATCCATTCATCAAGGCATCCTTCCTGTCCATCCACTGAATGATAGGCACTCAAGTTACAAAGCTGAATATTATGGGACTTGGCTCATGGGAAAGCCTCAATAAATATTTCCTGCATTAATGATTTAAATTAATACATTGGCTTTACTTTAAATATTTCCTACCAGTGTGACATTGTACTTTCGGTACAACAGATACTATCCAGTATATTTCAGCCCACAGTTAAAAGAGGGATGGCCTGCATAAAAAGGATATTCCAGCATATTCCCTACATTCCTGGACTTCGATCCCCCATTTCCTCACTTTTAACCTTCTTCCCATTTATGTATGCATGCAGCCCCTTTGGTTTGACCCACTGCTTGGTTTCACCTGGCCTCTGACAGGCAATTCAAATACAGATTGCTTGCAGGCAACTCTAGGTGGTTCCAACTTAGCCTGCAGCTCTCCTTTTTTAAGCTGCAGATTCACCAGCAGCAAGGAGCTAGAGAGACACCTGGGGTGCTGGCTCCCAGTTTCAGTGAGATCATCCGGCTTTTGGGCATTTTGGCTTGCACAGCTGTATCTCCCATTCTCCATCTGTAGAACGGCAATGATGCCAACCAGCTCAGAGACAGAGCAAGGGCTGGTGAGCTCATAGCTGGAAAGGATGTACCCAAGAACAAAACAATATTATGAGGCAAAATTCTGATTTTATGGTCCCTCAATAGCAAGTCTCATACTGTTTCTGGCTTTTCTGCTTCTGTGATTTTGCCACATTACTTCCAAGGAGGAGGTCTGAATAATTAGTATGACTAGTCTTCTCAAGCACAGGCTCCCATATTTAGAATGGATTTGGCACCTGGCTGTGGCTGGCTGCTAATCAAACACGCCAGCAGGTGAGCGTGAAGAGCACCTGGCTTAAAGAAGCACTTCTGACGCGGGAGAGCATATTTTAAAGTGTCACTCAAAGCTGGATTCAATTACATGACAAGTTTGAAAAGAAATCATGTTACAAAATGAGAAAGCGATCTTTATGCTTAAAGATGCAGAAATCTTTGCAGATTACAGCTAACGACACACGTAGACACACACACAAAGACACCAATGAATTATTTCCCTCACCCCCTCACAGGGTATACAAAACAAATTCTTTGAGCGTGAACTATGGGGGTCTCTTTAGAAGAAAACTCCCCCTTTATCTGCTTGTAATAATCTGGCAGCTGACAAAAATGTTAGCAACATAACACAAGAGAGGAGCTAAAATCTAAAATAAACACCATTCAGAAAGGAAAATAGCAAAACCAATGTATAAGCAAAATTATGGTTACAAGAGTAACCATAATTACTCTCGTATTATAACTTTCTAACATAAAAGTGAACAAGCAGACATTATTTTGAGTTTTAAAAAAGAAGTTTGCAGAAATAAGATTCCTTTAGGGAAAACGTCGTCTAACCTAAAATCAGCCCAAAGGTGACTGGAAGAGGCAGTCAACATTCATTTTATTCTTGTGTGCCAAGTAAGAACTTCCCATTTACTTAACGGGGGAAGGAAGAGTAACGCTGTAGTGGTGTCTTCACATTTGCCCCTTCTCCCCAGAAAACTTTACCCAGGAATACTGGCTAATAGGAAACACAGGCCCATGAAGCCCTCACTTACATGTTTCGTTGTCTTCTTGAGTTTTGGGTCCCAAGTCTGGGAAGCATCAGAGCCAGGCAGCCGCCCTTGCTTACCACCATATCCACAACAGGCCAGCAATGAGATTGGCATGGGAGAGGAGGGCAGCCCAGAGGGAAGAGGAAGAGGCTCTTACTCACCACGCACTCAGAGCTGGCACTGGTTATAAAAACAATAGAACTCCCCCGTGTAGGTGCACCTCCCAGCCAACTTGCCTCACCACCAATTTGCAGCAATAGACCTTGCTGTGGGCATGAAAGGGAAGGGAGCTGGGATGTGGGGATGTGGAAGAAACCCCAAGCACTTTTTGGAGAAATATTCATTTCAGGGTGGCTTTTGTGAATCCAGAGGCTCTTCAGAGGCTATCTACCTCAACAGTAGGTAGCAGGGAGTGATACATGGGTTTATTAGGTACTCAGTAAGTGGCTGTGGATTGTTCCATTGGGGTTATTTAGAACATCCCCTTATAACTAGAGCTAGTCTACTGAGGGACACTAGCCAAAGATTGAGCAGTTGACTTGTGACTGCCTCAAGGGGACTGCCTTACCATGTCTGGGGGATAGCGATTCTCTCTCTCCCCAAAGCTCACTTCGGTATCTACACGGTTAAGGGCTTACTGGTCCGTAGGAGTTCTTGGTTGGTCTGTGTCATTCGAGACTGAATGCCCCTCCCTTCCCAAGAGGTTAGGTCACTTTTAGGGTTAGCAAAAGTTTTAGGGTCTTCAGAAGTAGTAAACAAATCACCTCTCTTGATCTGATCCGCATAGCACTCATTCCCTAGGGTCAGACTGCAGAGGTATCGGAGGAAGGAAAAGATAAGATGGGATCATTTCATTTCTATCTTGCTCTTGAATTTGCTTGAAAAATATTAGCTACCTTGCCTTATTCCTGAAGGCCATTTTAGAGCTTTGCAGATAAAGGCACAGGAAAAAATAAAAAGGAATGGTCTTCCTGGATGAATTATGCTATTTAAAGTTTTGAACCCATTTGGTCTGCTAGCTTTGTATGCCAGAAAATTAACCTTTAACTAGATCCTTTTGAAAGAATATTTTGACTAAAAAAGAAAACTTTTTGTAAAGACATGAGGTCTCACTCTTTCACTCAGGCATAATGCAGCAGTGTGATCATAGCTTACTACAGCCTTGAACTCCTAGGCGCAAGCGATCCTCCTGCCTCGCCTCCTGAGTAGCTAGAACTACAGATGTGCACCACCACATCTGGCTGATTTTTTTTTTGTTGAAACAGGGTCTTGCTATGCTGCTTACTCAAAATATTTTATATTTTTACTTTTAGTTTTAATTTTTTTGGGTACATAGTAGGTATATATAAACATATTTTTGATTTAATTCAATACTTATGTCAGAGGCAACCCATGCATTGGAAATAGCTAACACTAATCAACCAACCATCTAACATCTGTTATAAATATACAACATCAGATAATTCATTTCTGGAT
Source organism: Homo sapiens (assembly GCF_000001405.40). Classification (NCBI taxonomy): domain Eukaryota; kingdom Metazoa; phylum Chordata; class Mammalia; order Primates; family Hominidae; genus Homo; species Homo sapiens. The sequence goes on along the minus strand of NC_000004.12, from coordinate 76,638,169 downwards.
TTTCTACACATTTGGTGCTATTAAAAAATTAGGATGAACGAAAGCAGAGATGGAAGTCTCTATCTGTTGACTCATCTAACAGGTTTGGCAAAAGCTTTCTTTGACCTCTCCAAGAAGATAACCTCTTAGGTGTCCAGCTCATAGTCACCCCACCTAACCTCCAATCCCAGTTTGTGTTGGGTGGTGTTGACTACTTCCCCGGAGCTACCAAGATGCCACTCAGCACACGAATTGAGTCATTAAACCCTGCCAGACCTGACCTCTAGGAGGGGAAAGGTATTTTAGGAGAGGCACTGAGCCCAGTTCCCTTCATCCTCCCTCCCAAGGCACTCGCCCTGACTCAGAGACTGGAGTCCTTGGTTTTGGTTCATAATCCCCAGGCCTAGTGATGAGGGTGGTTTCCCCAGTGCAAGCAATTGAAAAGTTTCGACTGAACACATTCCCACAACTTCCAAAACTTGGATTCATTCTTAAAGCACACAGAGTTGCCATTCTGGGTAGAATTCTTTACCTTCACAGTTTGTTTCTCCTTCAGCAAGTCTCTCGTTGCCTGATGGAGCCAGTGATTGTGAAGTTACCACCAGCTTCTAAAGATCCTGAGCATAGCCTTCTTCTCAAAAAATTATAAAGGAAACACTGAATTTCACACAGGAAAAAAGAGAAAAGGAGCATGAATTATTCAGAGTAATCTTCCCTTTTGAGGCCTTTCTTTTCCCTGAATATAATGATTCTTCTAACATTCTCATTTTTACTACCACAGTTCCGTTCTTGATCATATTACCAGGGTGAGGCCAAGCCCTCAGTCTTCACATTTTCATTAGACCTAGAAAAACAACGGGAAACAGAGAGCCTGTGCCTATTGCATCTGCAAGAGTTTTGGTTCAACCTCTGTGGGTCCATCTTTTCTTGATACAGTGGGCTCATACAGAGAAGCACTGATATTTTCTTTCTTTGGAAAACCCCTGATTTCTTAAATAGGAGTATATATCATAGAAATATCTTTTCTCTCATCCAGGAATGAATTCAAAGGCTATAATTCTTGGACAATTACAGTAAGTCCTCAGTTAATGTCATTGGTAGGTTCTTAAAAACTACAACTTTAAGCAAAATGATTTCTAGTTAAACCAATTCTACCATAGGCTAATTGATAGAAACAAGAGTTAAATTCCTATGATGTATTTCTGGCCACAAAAACATCACCAAACTTCTAAATAACGACCAAAGAACTTCTAATATTAATCATTGAAATAAATGTGAACTATGTATGCATTTAAGAAAGATTAATAAAAACAAGTAAGATATTTATTTACCTACTTCTTCCAGTTCAGTGCTTTGGTTGGCCATGGCCTGTCTCAGCAGCTCAGGGTGAAAGGTGGTTACCAACCCTAGCCAGGATGTCATCCCATTACAGGGCGCACTCACACACAAACCCATGCTCATTCAGACTGGGACTCTGTAGACACGCCAACTCATCTAACATGCATATCCCTGGGATGTGGGGGAAAACAGAGTCCCTGGGGAAAACCCACACAGACATGGGAAGAAAGTGCAAATTCTACACAGATAGTGACCCCAGCTGGAAATCAATTTTTTTTCCTCATCAATTTATAGTGAAACAGTGTTGAACAAAACAATGTTATTTGAGGACCTGTGGTATAGGTAAATGAGACTGCTAGGCACATTAGGAAAAGTGATTTTAAATTACTAATAGTAGTAATTTCAGGGCTGAAGTAAAAGGCTGCTTCTGAGTCCTTAGCTATACTTTATGTGAAAGTGACTACACAGAAGGTTCATTAAATAATTACCAACTTCTTTCCCTTAGAGTTCCTAATGGTTGGAGTATTTATTAAACAAGTAGGGCTGTGTGTATGTCTTTCCATCATGAAGTCTGTCAAAAATTTTAAAATAGCTGGGTGTTTCTTGAAATATTTGTCACATGGCAATTAAAACAAAGTAATGAAGAACATCTTGAAATTTCAGAACTGCTACAGAAGAAAACAAGCTTTCAATAAAATAAAAGAGACATCAATCACACATTTTACCCATTTATGAAACATGCTCAGGACAAGGTACTCAGACGTGAAGAAGCATTCCCAGGAACCATCTTGGAGAACTGGACTTGGTAACATGAGAGCTGGGAAGTCCCAATTCTTGGTCATGAAGAGTCTACCACGAAGAGAATTGGTTTGGAAACCAGAAGGCTAACTTTTACATGAGGCACCAGGGCTAATGCCCACAGATTTCAGAGAGGACAATAATGGGTATTTCTGATGTTGAAATCCTAGGATTGATCTGACAGCACAAACCAAATGCCAGCAGTTTCCCTGGAGTTCTGCTGCGTGCTTTTGCCAACCCTGATGATCCAGAGGACCTCACATCTCAAGTGGCTCCTATGGTGAAGGAACTACGGAGTTTCTCTGAGCACCTAAGATTACTCTGCTTCAAGGAACTCATGAGTGTGTGGACAGAAAATATCTTTGAGGGATTCCCAGGAGTGACTCCAATGAAAGACCAAGAGAGTGAGTACACATAGGCTGTTGTTCCATTTCTCCAGAGGCCTTTCAGACCTGATTTAGGCAGGACAGAATTTCTTTGGAAGAGTCCCTGAGTTCCACATTTCTAGAATTCTACAACCTGAATGGTAGGTCTGGCTGTCCCTCCATCAGGCTGTACTTATTTAATAAATACCCCAACCATTAGGAACTCAAGGGGAAACGAGTTGGAATTAGAAGACACTGTTTTTTGGTTCTGGTTTTTTCTTTTATGACCAGCTCATGTCAGGTCCCAAAACGAAGAGGAGGGCAGGTCTCAAACTAGGAGAAGAGATTTACACTTTCTCTCACCAAAAGGAGGATTGTAATCCCCCAAATATGGTTGATCAGTGAGTGACCCTTGAGTTAGCAGAAGCTGGAGCTACTATGTAATGGCCGTATGGATGAGGAGACAGTCAGAGGCAAGGTGTCCACATGGTTCAGTGAGGGTCTTCCTCTACCTTTAGCTTGGCCTCTTTGAACATATCTAATTGCAGTCTTCCAGGGTAATTTTGAAGACAGAAACTTTAAGATGATAATATCAGCTTAATAAAGACAGGAGGTTTTGTTCCCATCTCCCCCCGTTCTCTTCTGGCCCCTGCAGTATCGTCAGCATAATGCCCAACACACAGTAGGTGCTCAATAAATATCTGTGGAGTAAATACAATGATGCTATTGCTGGAATTAATGGATAGTCAAGCCAGCTTCAGGAAAGGGTGTGGAATTGTCACAAAAAGATTCTTAAAGGAAACACGGTCTATCAATTCTGCTTTTAGAGTGTGTGTATGTGCTAACAGAGTTCAATACATCTCTTTCCTTCTTCCTCTAAGTCACACAAACATTTTTTCCTGCTTATATAATAAAATACAGTTATTTTTAAAAGTTTAAAAATAAAGTCACCCTTCAAAGAACAAGTGAATACATATATGAAATACGGTTAGAGATTGTTTTGAATCATTTTGGAATTTGAAGATGCTTTCTCTTTTTGCAACACTACTGATGAAAAGCTTAGAGTTTGATAAATTATAAACCTAATGAGGCTTCTAACTCCTCTAGCTAGTCATTAGCTGCCAGGAAATGATCATTATTACTTAATTATAAGATGAAACTAAACATTGGGAAACGTTGAAAGTGATCTGATTGGCCAATACACTAAGGACTAATTTCACAGGCATGCCCTCTACATACCAATTAAAGCTGCATCACCATAATAAAATGCTGCATGCTGTTGGCTGTGTTCTATGTTGTCATTTTCAGATTAGAACAACAAAAATAATTCCAGTCTAGGGCACTTCCTGGCCACCAACGTCTGCTAGGACTTTCTATACCTTGGAGGATAAGGTCTCCTCCTGAGGGCTTATTACTCCTCAGGAAATGCCCCAAATTCTATGCACGAAGTAAGAGGCACTTAAAAACAATAAAGGCAACAAATCAATCAATTATCTGTTTTCCTAGCTGTCAGGTAGAAAAATACCAAAATGCTTTCCAAAAGGAAAGTGTACATACGTGACACTTTCATTTTGATTTTGAGGGACAGTTTATTAGCAGAGTGAGAATGGGTGTTAGGGGAGAATATTGAGGACTAGCACTCCATTAGTATGGGCTCTACTGGCACACAGATTTAAAAACACCATTAAGAAGGGTTCTCCAGGATAAAATTTTCCATTCTAGCTCAATGCATTATAACATCTATGTCATTCTATACCAATACTGATTTGATAAAATGTCATCTGCTTTTCCTTTCCGGAGTCTCCCTTCCATTTGCCTGGTATTAAAGGATAGCATATTGGTTGAGACTAGGGGCCTGGAGCTCCCAGACTGCCTGGGTTCCAATCCCAATGCTATTATTTAAACATACTATTGGGTATTTGGGTGAGAAGGAGAGAGAAAATGAAGATTTTTTGCTGAAACAAAGGCACCACCCAACTCAAGTACAAGGTGTGTTGCAGAATTTCTTTTCTTTTTTTTTTTTTTTTTTTTTTGAGACGGAGTCTCGCTCTGCCACCCAGGCTGGAGTGCGGTGGCGCAATCTCGGCTCACTGCAAGCTCCGCCTCCCGGGTTCACGCCATTCTGCTGCCTCAGCCTCCCGCATAGCTGGGACTTACAGGCGCCCGCCACCACACCCGGCTAATTTTTTGTATTTTTAATAGAGACGGGCTTTCACCGTGTTAGTCAGAATGGTCTCGATCTCCCGACCTCGTGATCCGCCTGCCTTGGCTGGGATTACAGGCGTGAGCCACCACGCCCGGCCAGTTAACAAGATTTCTTTTCCTTTTTCTTTTTCTTTTTTTTTTTTTTTTTTTTTGAGACTGAGTCTTACTCTGTCCCCCAGGCTGGAGTGCAGTGTCCCTCCACTGCAACCTCCACTTCCCAGATTCAAGCGATTCTCATGCCTCAGCCTCCTGAGTAGCTGGGACTACGGATGTGTGCCACCACATAGAGACTCACCAAGTTAGCCAGGATGGTCTCAAACTCCTGGCCTCAAGAGATTCCCCCGCCTCAGCCTTCCAAAGTGCTGGGATTACAGGCATGAGCCACCGCGCTCGGCTGCAAGATTTCAATTGTCAATTGATCACCTGGAGTTTAGAATAGTCGTGTGACCTTATCAAAAAGGGATTATAACAGCTCCTACCTCCTGAGGAATTGTGAGGATAAAATGAGCAAAAACACCTTTAAACTGCACACTATGTGCTCTATAAATACTGGGTTTTTCTTATTATTGCTTTTTGTTCTATTTGAGGGGTAGAGCTGCAGGAAACAGATCCAAGAAATTAGTATTCAAGATTGGTAAAGGCAACATGGATACTCATCAAGGTGTCTCCATGAAAACTTAATCCCCCCAAGTAGACACAGCAGATCAAATTTCCTAGGAATATGTATTAGTTTTAATTCGCCTTTTTAAAGCCTAATAATTGGGAGTTTTTCTACCAATACTGCTTGTAGTCCTGCCTCATTACCGTATCACTAGCTAAAATGGTGATAGAAACTCCAAACATAAATTGTCTGTACTTGTCTTCATTTTGTCATTTCCCATTCTCCCTTCAACCCACTGCAGTTCAGCCTTCTTCCCCTCCATCCCCAGTAATTGCTCTGTCAAAGCCACCTCTTGCCAAGTCAATGATTTGTGTTTATGTCATGGACCCCTCAGCAGCATTCATCACAGCTCACTATTGCCTCCTTAAACACTTTCTTTTCTTGACTTCCACACCTCCACACCCTACTGAGTTTCTCTCCTTGTCCCCAACTCACTGTTTCTTTTAAGTAGCCTTTGCTGGGTCCATCTCCTCATGAGGTTGATATGTCCCAGGGCTTGGTCTTCATATCTCTATCTACATTCTTTCCTAGGATGAGGGATTCCAGTCCTTTGAACTTAAATATTATTTATACAAAGTTGGTAATTCTCAACTTTCTCTCTCTGGCTCTCTCTCTCCCTCAGATTCCAAACTCTTTTGTACAATTACCTGCCCGGATGTCAGATTGGTCTATCCAACATAATAAATCTAAAATAGAACTCTGAATTCTGCTGTTCCCAACCCCTCAACCTCTACTCTACAAACTTGCTATTCTCCAGTTTTCCCCATCTTGACTCATGATCCCATTACCATCCCAATTATTCAGATAAAACCCAGTGTCTCCTCCATTGTTTCTTCCCTTAATCCTTTTATTCAATCATCTGCAAGTCAGTTGATCCGATCAGTCCCAAATTTCATCACTTCAGCTATCTTCACTGCTACCACCCTAAGCTACCACCATCTCCTTAGATTGGTGTAATAATTTCATAACTGGTCTCCCTCTCTGCTTCGACTTTTTCCCTCATTGACTCTATTTCCTCAAAAAAAGGAATCTCAGTGTGATTTCAAGAAATAAAGTTGATAATAATTTTTCCTTTGCTTAAAATGCTCCAGTAGCCTCGTGCTATACTTAGAATACAATTCTTACTATGGCCTATGAGGCCCTACGTGATGTGGTCCCAACCCTGCTCGCTGTGCTTCTGTCATACTGCTAAGATTGTTCCCACATCAAGGCCCTTGCTCTTGGGATTTTTCTCTCTGCCTGGAATAGCCCACATCTCCATGTGGCTGGTTCTTTCCTATGGTTTAGGTTTCAGTTCAAAAGTCACCTTGCGGCCAGGTGTGGTGGCTCATGTCTGTAATCCCAGCACTTTGGGAGGCTGAGGCGGGTGGATCACCTGAGGTTGGGAGTTCAAGACCAGCCTGGCCAATATGGTGAAACCCCATCTCTACTAAAAAAAAATACAAAAAATTAGCTGGGCGTGGTGGCAGGCACCTGTAATCTCAGCTACTTAGGAGACTGAGGCAGGATAATTACTTGAACCCAGAGGTAGAGGTTTCAGTGAGCCAAGATTGCACCACTACACTCCAGCCTGGGTGCAACAGAGCAAGACTCCATCTCAAAAAAAAAAAAAAAAAAAAAGATTAAAAAAAAGTCACCTGTCTTTCTCTGACCCTCCTATTAAAGCACCTCACTCAATCTCTCTCTATCCCAAGACCCCGTTCCATTTTCTTCATAGCACTTATTACTGTCTGAACTTACCTTCTTTGCTTATTTGTTTGTTGTCTGCATACCCCTATAAGACTGTAAATTCTATGAAAACAAATACCTCATCTATCTTATTCATCCTACAATTCCCATGCCTGCAACCCATGAATATTTGTTCAATGAGTTAATTCTCTCTAAGTGGAACAGCAGTTTACAAATTATACATAATGACCCATTGGAACTCAGTAGCCCATCCACATAATTCACAATAGCTAAGAAAGTGCTGGCACTTGGGGTAAATTCAAGTGGAATATATCTCTGACTGTAATCCACAGTCAAATAAAAAGTATGTTCAATTCTATATTCCTTTAGCTCTTTCCAGGCTTCTCCAATTTATCATTAAGAATCATCAAAAGCTCGTGGCAGAGTCGCCTACATTCTCTTTCTTATCCTTCTTCCTTAAGTTTCCTAGTCTAACAGGAAAAGAATCACTTTTTTGTGACTGATTGAATGGAAAAAAAATGATTTCCCCATGTCCCAGCTTCCTATAATCCAATGGTCACCCCCTGATTTATCCAAAACCTGGCCTGAGCAACTCAGAAGGCTCTCTCCGACTCTCCCTTCAAAGGGCAGGTCTGCTAGACTTCGCCTGTGGCTTTTTACTGTACAGGATGCAAGTGCCACCAAAGTTAATGCATAAGAGAGCTCTACTACCTGGAGTTTTGCTTTGAAGGAAACAATTGGTGGCAGAAATGACCTCTGACTTTACCTCTCTGTTATCACCTTTCCTGCTCCATCTAATGAAGCTGCAAGTGCTCTAGCTGGTGTAAGGAAGAGGAAAGAGCTGAAAGGTAGGCACTCCTGGTCCCGCTGTAACCATTTCGTGTAATTTTGGGCAAGTCATTTAACTCCTCTGAGCCTAGCCTCTTTATCTGTAAAATGAGAGGATTTTAGTAGATGACCCCTAGTTCAAGCTGTACGTGGTATGAAAATATGGTGAACCAGTAAATACAAAACAATGAAACTAACAAGTGTAGCTGGTTATGATTGGTGCAGTGCTACTGTAGTTAAAAGACAATAAAAGTCAAGATCAACTTGGCCAGAGGACTAGACTGAGTCCTGTGTCATTGGCTGCAACTTCTTGAGACGGGACTTTCAGGAATTAGCAACTTCCCATGGAAATTTCATGGTTCATATATAGGCTGAAGACTCCAAAATTCACATATCCAGCCCAGTTTCCACTCCTAAATACCAGATTCATACACCAATCTGCCTCATTAACATCTGCACCCAATTTTAGTAGCTATACACAATTTACAATGTTTAAAACCTTTCTTGCCTGTTTCACTTCTTATCTTTTCCATCTCAGTTGATGGCAGTTCCAGCCACCTGGTACTCAACACTAAAAGCTTGACTTCTCTCTTTCTCTCACCCCACATTGAGCATTCCAGTAGATACTGTTGTTTCGACCTTCAAAATAAATACAGAATCCAACCACATCTCCCATCTCCCTCGCTATGATCCAGGTCCAAGTCACCAGCATCTCTGTCCTGGATCCGTGCCACAGCCTCCTCACTGGAATCCTTGCCTTGCCCTTATCTGCTCACCTCCAGTCTTCATAGCCAGAGTGATTATTCTAAAATATAAGCCAAAGTATGTTGATTCTCTGCTCAAAACCCTGCAACCTTTCATCATTTCACCAGAATAAAAGCAAGTCCTTACAACGGGCTGCAAGTCCCCATATGATCCACTCCTCCCCACATACCCGTTACCTCTTTGACCTGATCTGGTACTATCCTCCCTCACTCACTCTGCCCCAGCCACAGTGGCCTTCTTGCTCTTTTTCAAACAGACCAGGCATGGTCTTGGCCTTAGAGTCTTTGCACAGACAATTCCCTTTACTAGGTGTCACCATAGCTACCATCTTCATCTCCTTCAAATGTTGCTTTGGCATTGAGGCTTACCCTCACTTCCTTATTTAAAATTACAACCAGCTGGGCGTGGTGGTTCACATCTGTAATCCCAGCAATTTTGGAGGCCAAGGTGGGCAGATCCCTTGAGCTCAGGAGTTAGAGACCAGCCTGGGCAACATGGCAAAACCCCATCTCTATAAAAAATACAGAAAAAACTTAGCTGGGTAATGGTGGCACACACCTGTAGTCCCAGCTATTCGGGAGGCTGAGACGGGAGAATCGCTTGAGCCCAGGAGATCCAAGCTGCGGTGAGTCAAGATCGCACCACTGCATTCCAGGCTGGGTGACAAAGCGGGACCCTGTATCAAAAAAAAAAAATTCAACCTGTCACCCTTTTTCCTACCCTAGAACTCCTGATCCTCTTCTCCATTTTTTCCCATGCACTAATCTTTGAATATTATTTCTTTACTTTGATACTTATAATTTTTAAATGCCCTTCAAATATTCTTTATAAAGTAGTTATAGATTCATGTAAATTACTTTTTATAAAATAGTTATGTTTAACATTTACTATCTATACCTAACCCTGTATATAATCTCAACTAAGGCAGGGATTTTGGCATGTTTTATCCCTGGCACAAAGACACAATAAGTATTTGTTGAGTGAAGTAAAGGACAAGTATCACTGCAGGTTAGGAGTAATCCCAACGTCTGTGCCCCACTGCATTCACTTCCTGGAAAAGCATTAATTTGTTTAAGGTTCACTAAGCATTGTTCACATTTCCTCTTGGTTGATCCCATCCTCATATCAAGAAACACATGAGAGATCCAACCTGCTCACTGAACCACAGAGACAAATAATGATACACCTTGCTCTCTTTGAATTTAAGGCTATTTCCCCAGTGAACCAAGGATTTCAGAAACAGGGAAAAATCTAGTGATCTATATAAATTAATTTGCTAATAGTGAAAGAAGTAGCCAAATATCATTCTAACGTAAGATCTAAGATCCCTTCCTGGACTACTTTCCTAACATCAATGTTAACTCTATAATTTTTTTATATCTCACTTTCTAAAACTTTTTAAAGCCATTTCTAGGTTTCTTTTGGGGAAATCATGCCTATATTTTCAATGCCTTTTCATACAGACCTGTTAGTCTGTCCAAACTGTCATAAAGTAGGTGTCTATTTTCAAAAGGCCTACATGGTAATCCAGGATAGAGAAAGGAAGAAGAAGCACCTGAAAGGACATTCTCATCGAAGGGGAGGTTGCCAATGTTGAATTATAGGAACTAACTTGGGGCTAATATTTATAGCTTCTATAAGTTGGAATCAATGCCCTATCTTTTGAATTACCTTCGTGAATAAAAGTTAGTAGTAAGACTTTTGGGCTGGACATGGTGGCACACACCCGTAGTCCCAGCTACTGGGGAGGCTGAGGCAGGAGGATCATTTGAGACCAGGAGTTCAAGGCTGCAGTGCATGATGATCATGCCTATGAATAGCCACTACCTTCCATTCTGGGCAACATAGCAAGACCCCATTTCTAAAAAAAAAAAAAAAGACTTTTGCAAAACAGAGGAATATGTATGCCTTTAAACCTATGATAATCATAGGCTTTGTGGATAATTTTAGGAAGACAGGTTGCTGACTTTCTTGGCAGTTGACTTCCAGAGAGCTTAAAATAGGCATTCTCCCTAAATCCTTGTCACCACCATCATGTACAGAATATAAACAATAGAGAACACAATATTGGGTAGAATCTCTACCTAGTGGACATCTTACTGGCATATCTACAAGACCTGAAACTTAATTTTCTTAAAATATCAGAACTAATTCAGCCACAAGTCTCTAAAGACATGGCTGTTGGGTTGTATGTTATTCCAGAAATAAAACCACAGTTCTGAAGGGTCTGACTTGGGACACAAGTTTTAGGCTATTTTGTAAGCTTTACGTGAACCCTAGGATCTCCCCCTGCAGGCTGCTCTCCAGAAGTTCACGTGTTAACCTCCTGAGTCTGGAAGTTGGGAGAAAATCTGAGAATAATATTCAGAGAAAAAGCCCCTACTCGCATCCCCCAAAGTGCTGTGATCCTAACAGAAGCAAATAATTTGACATAGCCACACACGATCTATATACTGTAATATGGCTGTAGAATCTGGGAAACACAATTGTAGACTCATCTGTTTGGCAATTCCTAATCATTTGGACATAGGAAGACTCCCAACAGTTTGGATTAAAATCCTAAAGTTCTGTCAATGCTGTCTGTGGGCGTGAATTCAAGAAGGCTGTTGTTGGTAGCCCATTAGCCATGATGTCATCATGGTATACACAAAGAAAAGTATTCTAAAATGACCTGTACAAACATCCAATGCCTGAGAAAACAATAGTGCTTTAATTGAGGAAGAGAAATATGCTATAAAGAAAGGAAGCTTTTGGACCAAGAGACCAAGTTTCATATCCTAGATTTGCCACTTACTAGGTGATCTTGGCCAAGGTGTTTCACCTCTCTGAGCCTCAATTCCTTCCTCTGTAAAGAGGGACAATACCACCCACCTATCAGTGTTGTTGAGATGATCAGAGATGATGCAAATAAAATGCCTGGCATTGACTCTGAATAAATGGCAGCTACTTCAGGTAATTCTACCCATGCATGTTAAACTAAGATTATGCTTCATAATCCCAGCAATTTCATAACTGCAATCATGGTTATCTGAAATTTTTCTTATTTGTACAACTTGGGGATGAATGGTAAGCAGTGTTTGAGATAGACAATGGGTATGTATTTAAGAAGGAATAGTTTAAGAAAGAACAGTTTTAAGCTGCCTTTTTGGTGGAAATGTAGCAGCAAGCAGCATTTGTGAAACTCAACTTGTCTTATTTAAATACCCACAATTAATATTCAGGCAAATAGAATTAATGTAGCAGACTGGAGGCAAATTTTAAAACTATCTCCACCTAGAGATAAAAAAAATCCCACTATCATTTCTACCACTTGGAGAGAGTGATTTTCCTTTCTTTTGATTTCCCAGCGTTGAATTTTACATGAATTAGGGTTCGCCTGATGAAGCAGCCCTACGTACGTGCTTCCTCTTCACAACCATTTTGTGCTTCAATTTTAAATCTATATAATGCTATAAAGAGCTGCCTCCTGCAGAGTTATAAAACACCACAGAGCACATTCTGCCCTCTGCTCTCTTCCCTCCAACAATAAACGAAAAGTTAAGGAGAGTTCTCTATGTTTAAAGCAAACTGAGTGACAACTAGACTCAATTGAGCCTTCAACAAATATGTGCTGTATAGCTACTGTATGCCAGGCACTGTGCTAGGCTCTAAGTATAATAGTGAGCGAGATGGAAACAGTCCTTGCTCACAAGTTGCTTAGAGTCTAAAAAGGAAGAGAGAAGTTTAAATACAATATGGTTAGTTATAGGGGTAGACAAAGACATGATGTCATGAGAATATTTGCCAGCCTTTAGAGAGGGGAGGATAAGCCTTCTAGTTAGAGAAGTAACACATAGGAAGAGGCAGAAAGTATGGTATGCTCAGGAACTGGACATGGTTCTCGGCGATTGGAGTGTGAAGTAGGAAAGGAAGGATGCTGTGGTCAGGTATGAGGCTGGAGAGAAACACTTCCTATATTGTGTGTAAATCTTGACTTTATCTTGATGAGATGTGAGCAATGAGGGCTTTAGGTAATGCAAGAAAAGACAGACAGAGGGAGAGGCTGGGTGGGAGGAGGGACTAAAGAGGGAGAAGGAGAGGGAGGGAAGTGAGGGGTTGAGGGAGAGGGAGGGAGACAGAAGATTGGTTATCACTGTTGAAAATGAAAAGATTTGTTTCATATCCCCAAAAGAAGAATGTTCTGTTGTATTTTATTTTGGCATAGCTGTATAAAACTAAGAAGCTAGCTATTTGGGGTTAGGTAAAAAATTTGAAAACAGAATATTTAAGGCCTATAGTTTCTCACCAGGATATTTTAAACTATGTTCAATAGCACCTATTAGAATTTACTTTGGGGCTGATGAAGCTGAAACTGTAACCATACTGCTATTGTAGTTTGGAAATGATTTTGGTTCCTGGCAAAGCAAAGATTTGGCTGATCATCTCATTTAACATGGGAACTACAGCCCAAAAGTACTGCATAAACTAGGAGTCTGGCATTAAAATATCTGCGCTCTCCTTATACAATTCAAGGGTACTTGAATTACCAAGCAAGGCTTACACAGGAACCTTTTCAATTCCAATAATAATATAATATCATTGTACTGAGGTTAATGAAGAAACAATAGGTCATAAAGGCAAAAATTATGAAGCATATGCTATTATTCTTTTTAACTCAGAAAAATACTAAAATCCATTGTAGACCACATCAAACAATTTTGTAAACATAGCAAGTCTTACCTGGCTTTAATTCAATCTTTCCAATGTTCAATATTATTAAATCCTAAAAGAATTTGAGGCAGCTCTGGAATATGCAACATATACACTCATATTAGTACAGATGTTAACACATTGATTCATTTCAGACACCTCTTTATAATTTCTGTTTGGCTTCTGAGGCACAGTCCCACTTTAAAAACACCACGATAACCACTCTTTTTAAAAACGTAACAGAGAGTCGCCAGATACCAGTATTCACGTGTAGTGGTAACTGCTGGGAATTCTCATGCCCCTCACCCACCCTTGGAAACCCGAATAACAAAACAGGACTCAAGGCCTTCTGAAATTACTCAGGCTGGAGCAAATGTTGCTCATGCTTCATCTCCCAGGAAACCTAAAAACTTCCCAAGAATGAAGTCACCACGGGAGCAAAGCAGGCAGCTGAGTGAACTCTGGAGCTCTAATGTACTGTCTTTTGTAGACAACAGCTCTTCGGTGTTAAAGCCACAAGACCAAGAGCAGACACAGCATCCAGAAGAAAACCTCTATTGGCAAGCACAAGACAGTGATCACAGATGTGGCCCCAGACGACGGAAGGACAGGAGTGCAGCACGCTGAAATGTCGGAATACTACACGCCTGCAATTGCCTTTCCCTCTGGCATTTAATGAGAAATAAAAAGCACATGTGAAGGTTTTATGATCATTTTAATTATGTGTTAAAAACACTATAGGTAACTCTTTTGGAATGTCCTTTTCTCTCCAACATAAGCGGATATTTGAAAAATATTTGGTTAGAAAAATTAAAATAACCTAAATTTAAAATCCATGTACAAGAATGACAAATACAAACATGATAGTGGTTAAAAGCAAAACAAAACTAAAATAGAATTTCTCTCAGAAATAAACCATCTCCACTGTATGCTTTAGAAAGAAAATGTAGAATCCTCAGTTATGGCGTATGAGTATGCAAGGAATATCTTTCTCCCCTTCCCCCGCCCAGATCTCTCATTTCAAATCCCAGGCGTGTTCATTCAATTCCACACTCTCAGCTCACACTGCTGAAAAATGCTTGGGTGTTTTGTGCAAATCCAAAGCTAAATAGGAAAGAGACAGAAAAAGATTTAGAGGCATAATAATCTTGAAAGAAAATAGTTCTGTATCATGTTTGTCAGTTAATGGGGAAAAAAAGTGCTTTAGGAAGTTTTAATTGAATAAGAACCTTTAAAATGTCATCTTTCTTCAAAGAAATATTTGTGCATATTGGATAAGAAAAATGTAGAATGTTCATGCTAACTCCTTGAAAAGAGCCAGATCATTTGGCCTATGTAGTAAATGGAGGATTCCGAGTGGTAGTCCAGTGCTTTCCTTGGAACCTCTGGCAATTAACTTTCTAGCTAGGAGTCAAGTTTTATAAACTGTTAAGTGACCAGGCAGACAGACTGGCTCTACAAGGTAATGTTTCCAATTTGACTCATGCTTATGGTCTTTGACTTTAAAAGTCATTTGTAGTCCAAGTGACACCAGACATTCTTAAAACTGGTATACTAAGGGATCAGCTTAGACTTTTGGATTTTGGTTGACTTTTTGCATTGTTGCCCACAGACTTGGTGCAGCAGGAGATACCTGTTATAGGGAAGAAGGAAGAAAGGAAGAGAAAAGAAAAGGAAAAGACCAAAATGCATCTCCTGGAAGCAAAATATCCCAAACTTGAAAGAGGAGTCACAACTTAAATCAAAAGCATGAAATGTGTTATAAGGAGGTCTTTTCCCTAAAACAAATATATTACTAAAACAGTAAACAGTGGTATGCTGTAAATCATAATCTTTTGCCTAATGCATTCCTAAAGTTTCATCCTAAGAGCAAACACCAGTGAGAAATGGACACTCAGGAACCCAGATAACTCAAAAGTTGGAAGGAAGCTGTCTGCAGTCATTTTCATTAAAGAGATAAGATCACCTGGCCCTCTTCAGTAGCTTTTACACTTAATGTCCCTCCCTCCCGACTCTCAAAGCTATAAACCTGAGAAGAAAAAACCCAGCTTTGCTTTTAGCCACAACTCTAGCAATTTAAGCAAAGACAGGGTAGGGAACAATAAAAATATTCATGGCCATCATGAAGATTTACCATAACACCCATTATACTTTCTTGGTGGAATTACTTCCCCGTGGCCTCCTTTCTTCAACCAAGGAAAAAATATGCCTTCCAAATTCCATTTTTTGTTCCTTCTTGAGCCAAAAATATAATCTATATTTGCTTAAAAGAGGGTTCTGGAAAGTGAAAGAGCCTTTATCTGCTTGTGAGAAATGGAATTAACTGAAAATCAAATGGAAACTTTGGTAGGAATACTATGGTGAATGGTTAAATATTTACAACATAAGAACCAGTTCGTTTGAAAACAAATGTACAAGTGCCTGGCTTCCTTCCCTGCCTCAGGAGTCAAGAATGTTCCGTTGCTGAGAAGGGCCATTTTATTGACATTCAAGTAAAAGATTTGGTTCCAGGAAAAGAAGGTAAGAGTGAATACAAGTGCTATGGTTCTACAAACTAGTATTGTACCAGATGAGTCCATGCTGATGAGGCTGTCCTTTAAAGATAAATTCACAAAGAAAAAGTGCCTAGGGGAAAATGAGTAATTCTGACATCAAGCATAGGAGTGCCCCTAGCACGACTAGGTCTAGTCGTCCAATTTCCCAAAACTAAATGGGATATAAAGAATGGAAGAACATTCAGCCGTGCGCAATCCCAGCACTTTGGGAGGCCGAGGTGGGTGGATCGCCTGAGGTAAGGAGTTCAAGACCAGCCTGCCCAGCATGGTGAAACCCCGACTCTACTAAAAATATAAAAATTAGCCAGGCGTGGTAGCAGGTGCCTGTAATCCCAGATACTTGGGAAGCTGAGGCAGGAGAATTGCTTGAACCCGGGATGTGGAGGTTGCAGTGAGCCGGAGATCGTGTCATTGCACTCCAGCCTGGGTAACAGAGTGAGACTCTGTCTCAAAAAAAAAAAAAAAAAGAACATTCAAACTGTCTCAGACCTAAAGAAAACGCTGGAACTATGTTATTTAGGCAACTGGGACCTGTATCTCATGCTGAATATGCAGTTCTGAAACAAGCAGCATAAACACTTACTCCATATTAGTTCAGATGTTAACACACTGATTCATTTCACACACTTCTTTGTAATTTCTGTTTTGTTTCTGAGGCACAACCCAACTTTGAAAACACCAGGACAACTACTCTTTATAAAAATGTGACAGAGGGTCTGTTTGTTCCCTAAGGTGGAAGGAAAAAGAAAGAATGATGGTGAGAAAATCAAGCTTCACCCAAACCACTGCCCTGCACATACAAATAAATAACCTCCAAGGCTCAATAGCCCAAGTTTGCTTTGGTGCAAAGGTGGTGGTTTGTGAACTAGAAAGGTGTGTAAAATAATTCCTATTAGCAATCCTTCTTTGTACTGTTTGTGTTTTCTCTTAATCAGCGTTAGTCCAGCCTCTCTGAAGGGACATGTTGGGCCTGCTGGGCTAATGTACCAGGTGACTCTGCAGCTCCTGATAGGGTTTCTGGAACAGTCTGATGATCACCTTAGCTTGTCATTCGGTAACTTCCTGGGACAGGTGTTAGCCCAGTGTGAGGCTCTCTGCAGTGCTGAGACTCTGCCCTTGACTGACAGGAAGTTTTTTGTTTTTTTTTTTAATACTTGGCAATAAAAGGCTCTTGGAGGTGGAAATGAAAAATCAATGGAGAAAACCACAGAAATCCCACTGAAACCAGCTTTACTTTTCTAGAGTCTTTCTGTTATAAGGGGCTGCTTCAGGTTTCCACATTTCCCTGGAGGGCAGGATGCTTAAGGGTTTTAATCCTAGTCCCTTCAGATCACATAATGGTGCTGATAAGGTGCTGTTCTGCTGACCCAGGGAAAAGTGCCCCTTCATCCTTTCATCTGCTTCTGGGTAGAAGTGACTGTTGAATGATTTAAAAGAGTCATTAAAGAGTGGAGAAATGCCTCCTCACTACAATGAAAGACTGAACGTTACACAGGAAGATGGTCATCGGGTTCCTCAGCCTGGTGACCCTAAGTTCCCATCTTTTCACTGCCTCTAGAGCTGAACATTGCCACACAGCCCCCTGCCCTTTCCGCCTCTGCCTCACCGTTCTCCACTCACATTTATTAATCCCCTGTAGTCGGGCTTTCAAGTTTGTCCAAACGGCTCCACCTCAATTGCCAAATCTGCCTGCCTCTTCTCAGTGTCCACACACTCCCTTGCTGTTGGCATTGCCAACCATTCCCTCCGTCTAAAACTTTCTTCCCTTGGCCTCTGAAACAATGTGTTCTTATTAGTCCTCCACCTGTCACTTGTGCTAGGTTTACTTCTTCCTGTAAGTACCAAGGTACCAGCCCTCCTCTCCTGGGCACTTCTGCTCTCGCCCTTGGGGATCCCATTCATTCTCATCTTTAATGGTCACCCTCTATGTAGATAATTCCCGTATCTCTAATATGTCTTTGGATGCTCTCCTTGGCTTTATTCTACATTTCCAACTGCCTGTTGGACACCTTCATCAGCAGAGCCCAAGACCTCTCCAAGACCAAAATCATCACCTTTTCCCAGAACAAACAAAAAAGTCCCAGACTGTCTTCCCAAATTGCCCATTTCTACTAACAACCTCACAATTCCACAAGTCGATGAGCTTCAAACATCCCTCACAAAAAATTAGTGATCAAATCCTATTGTTTCTTTTTCTTTTCTTCTTTTTTTTTTTTTTTTTTTTTTTGAGATAGATTCCTGTTCTGTTGCCCAGGCTGGAGTGCTGTGGCATCATCTTGGCTCACTGCAACTCCTGCCTCTCCCCTCCACCAGGTTCAAGTAATTCTCCTGCCTCAGCCTCCCGAGTAGGTCGGATTACAGGCATGTGCCACCACTCCTGGGTAATTTTTGTATTTTTAGTAGAGACAGGGTTTTGCCATGTTGGCCAGGCTGGTCTCGAACTCCTGACCTCAGGTGATCCACCCGCCTCGGCCTCCCAGAATGTTAGGATTAGAGGCATGAGCCACCACGCCTGGCCAATCCTATTGTTTCTTAAAGCCCTCTGGGTTTGTGTGACCGTCCCCTCTACTTCATTCTACTACAATCCCCTAATTCAAATCTTCACCACTTTTCCTCTAAACCATTACAGCTCTGTCTCTTACAATAAAAACAGTAGCTCGCCTCTCATTAGATAGTAAGTCTGTATCCCCATGTTTCCACTGAACTTCTGGATACACCCCTCAGCTCTTTTACTGCTTGCTTTCACACTTCTATGAAAATAATTGAATAAAAGACCATGGGATTACTCAGTATTTCAGAAATTTTTAGGCAAATGCTTGTATGTTTATAAATTTCACTACAATGTGAAGACATTTGGTCAATAACCCTCTTTAAGAGCAGGCTGCTCTCCCAAGACTGGATTGGTCCATTTAGAAACCTCATATTCCAAGCTGAAGTACCATGACACAGGGACTCAGCACTGTGATCACGGGGCTCCACAGAGAATCCAGCAGAGTAAATCATTTTTCATTCAAACACAATATGGGTCAGAAAGTCAAATTAAGTGTTCTTTGTCCTTTATTGAAAACAAGGAGGATTATATTCTTCAAAAATCACAATTCATTAAAGAAAGGATGGCACATGTTCCAGATTAAAAGAAATGAAAAAGAAGCCTGGGCACAGTGGCTCATGCCTGTAATCCCAGCACTTTGAGAGGCTAAGGCAGGTGGATCATTTAAGGTCAGGAGTTTGAGACCAGCCTAACCAACACTGTGAAACCCCGTCTCTACTAAAAATACAAAAATTAGCCGGGCATGGTGGCAGGTGCCTATTATCCCAGCTACTCAGGAGGCTGAGGCAGTAGAATCACTTGAACCTGGGAGGCAGAGGTTGCAGCCTGGGCAACAGAGTGAGACTTCGTCTCAAGAAAAAATCAACTAAAAAGACATGAGAACTAAATACAATACCAGGCCTGGGAATGGATCCTGTACTGGAAGGAAAAAATAAGCTATAAAGGACATTATTGAGTCAACTAACAAAACAGAAATTCAGAAAATAAAGTATTA
Organism: Homo sapiens; assembly: GCF_000001405.40. Taxonomy (NCBI): domain Eukaryota; kingdom Metazoa; phylum Chordata; class Mammalia; order Primates; family Hominidae; genus Homo; species Homo sapiens. Next base: position 76,618,752 of record NC_000004.12, on the reverse strand, counting down.
CATCAATGTTAAAATTACTAGAGTTGACAATTATACTGTAGCTATAAAAGAGAATATCCATGTTCTTAGGAAATATGCATTGAAATATTGAGGCATAAAAGGGCCATACTCTAACTTATCTTCAGTGGTTCAAAAAATATTATAGTACATAGGCTATGTGATAAAGCAAATGGGGGCAATAGGTGAAACTGGATAAAAGGTAAATGAGTGCTTTGTGTACTGTTCTTACTCTTGTAACTTTCCTATTAAGTTTGAAATTATTTTCAAATAAAAAGTTTAAAGATTTAAAAAATTAAGTCCTCAATCTGTATTATTGGTAAGCAGGGTAGCCCATCACATAACAAGGAATCAAAAAATATTTGAGGAATGAATAGTCATTGCATACATCTTTAATATAGTAACTGCTTATGTAAGAGTTGTGGTTTTAACAACATTAATTACTTTTTTTTAGAGACAGTCTCCCTCTGTCATCCAGGCTGGAGTTTAATGGCATGATCATAGCTCACTGCAGCCTTGAACACCTGGACTCAAGTGATCCTTCCACCTCAGCCTCCCCAAGTAGCTAGGCCTATAGGCACATGCCACCACGCCCAGCTAATTATTTTAATTTTCATTTTTAGATATGGAGTCTCCCTGTGTTGCCCAAGCTGGTTTGAAACTCCTGGCCTCAAGCAATCCTCCTGCCTTGGACTCCCAAAGTGTTGGGATTACAGGCGTGAGCCACTGCGCCCAGCCACACTTATATTCATGATGTTCAACTTTTCATGCTTGCCAGCATCTTGTTTCTAAGCTCAGCTCAAATCATACCAATGTGGAGATAGATGTATACATAATTTTCAAACCTAATATACAGTAAACAAACACCTTATGTGTTTACAAGTTTCAAATTCTCATTCTAACAGTTAATATTTTAGTGTTAAAAAAGTTTTAGATTTTACAGGACTATCCAGGTACCTTAAATTTAGTTTTCATATTTTAATTAATATTCTATGTGTTAATTATTGGTTAAAAAATACAATAAATATAGGTCAATTCCTGGAACTCAGAAAACACTATTAGCCTCACACTATACCTTAGAGAATTAAAACTTTAATAACAAACCAAAAACCCTTAGATGATTAAATTACATTTCTGTAATGCAATGAAGTAGTCATACATCTTAGCATAAGTCTACAAAGTTGAAGCCTGAAAAATATCTGACTGTGGTCAAAAGTAAATTTCCTTAGATTACAAAAACTTCTTTGTATTAATGTATCATCAGTCTCATTATTTTCATAATGTCACCCACTGGGACAGAAAAATATTCAGTTAAAGCATTATATATCATTCAAACACCAACATGGTTATTATGTGAATTAAATAAATTCTTTAGGGGAAAAAATGAGTAAAAGTTAATACATCAGGTCAACTCCAAACACAGCCTTTCATTCTGCCTTATAACAACAACAGCAGCTAGCATTATTAATCTATGATCTGCCATGCTCAGTTCTAAATGTTTTATACATTCTCTTACTTGTCTCACAAATAACTCTATTTCTGCAGATAATGAAACTGAGGCACAGAAAGATTAAGTAATTTTCCCAAGGTCTAGTCTAAGACAGAGCCAGGACTTGAACCCAGGATTCTGGCCCTGGAGCCTGTGCTCTTCACCAGGCTCTTCACCCGCACCATTAGCCTGTGCGGGTAATACTCATCCAGTTAAAATACAGTGCTACTTCACCTTTCAAATGCAAAGTAGGTTGATTTTTAAATACACATTCATTTAATTTTGACTTCTGAGATTTGCTCACATTTTGTATCTCTTTTATTATGTGTTTAACTTCACTATCTGTTCCATGTTAACTTCTGCAGGAGGGAAGTCCAATTGGTAGACCAATTATTGTTATTTCTTTAGGTATTTTTAAATTGTGGTAGAATACACATGCAATTTACTATCTGAGCCATTTTTTGGGGAACAGTTCATAGTGTTAAGTGCAAACATATTGCTGCATCCCATCACCACTATCCATCCACAGGATGCTTCTCATCTTGCAAAACTGAAAGTCACCATTAAGCAATAGCTCTCCCTTTCCCCACTTACCCAGTCCCCGACAGCCACCATTCTACTTTTTCTCTCAATGAGTTTGACTACTCTAGGTACCTCAGATAATCGGAATCAGATAGTATTTGTCTTTTTGTGACTGGCTTATTTCACTTAGTATAACATCCTCAAGTTTCATCCATGGGATAGCATGAGTCAGAATTTCATTTTTTTAAGGCTGAATGATATTTCATTGTGTGTGTGTGTGTATGCATATGAATGGATACACTATATTTTGTTTATCCATTCATCTATCAATGAACACTTGGTTGCTTCCACCTTTTGGCTATTGTGAATAATGCTGCTATGAACATGTGTGTACAAATCAGATTATTGTTTATGTAATTTGTTTCCAGATGATTGTTTTAAAAACATTATTTATGATCCAGGAGGCAGGAAATGCATGAGGGTTGGTCCATTCAAGATTCCAAACCAGATTCGAATTACAGAATCTCAAGGTTAAATGAGAACAGGAACTTCGTCTTACCTAACCCCCGTATGATGCTGCAATGTTTTTTTTAGAACATCTGCTACCAAAGTGTTGTCCAACCCCAGGCCTTTTTTATTTTCAAAGAATCTAATGTCAAACCTAATGTCAAACTGACTTCTGCTTCCCTTAACTTTAACCCACTGGTCCTAATTCTGCCCTCTGGAGTCTAATCCTGCTTTCCCATACTGGTCTTTTCAAGTATCAGAAGGCAGACACAACCCCTCTGAGTCTTCTCTCCTCTAAGATAAATATTCTCAGATATGATGACTGAGAAGCCTAGGAGATTAGCGTGGAGTTCCTTGAAGCGAAGGCGTTGTCTTCCTCACTTGATGCACCACTCATATTTGTACACATATCTGAAACTGAGGATTCTTTGATCCTGTCTCCTGATCAAAACTCAAATCCCAGTGAATGTGAATGTGAAACACCCCACATTTTATAAGCCATCCAACTGGGACAGGAATGATCTGAAGGAGAGGTGCTTCCGACTTTCCAGACCTGGCCATGAGCACCTCTCCTAGATCAAGTATTATGCATGCCCTGGGTGCCTCCCCCACTCCTTTCCCTCCACTCCTTCACATGACTACAGTGATGGGTTCACTCTCAATCACCTCTAAAATTCTTAGCTAAAAAACAGTCATTAAGAGCAGGATGATAATTTACTTTCAACTTCTAACAGGATTTGTAAACACCATGATAAATGGGGAGAGGCACAACGCTGCATTCCTCCAGCGGGTCCTCTGAACACACCACGTTTCGGCATCAGTTGGCTTAAATCATTCATTTCAAATCAGGACTGAAATTCTCCAGTGTTCCTGTCAGGCACCCTTCCCATCTGATCCCCTGGAAAGGATATGTCAGTCGAAGTCACAGGTAACACGGTGTATTAAGACTTGAGAGCGTTGATATCAAATCCATTAACTATGCTTTTGGTTGAAGGCGGTACTGACAATATGTAGTAAGCAAAGGGACGATTTTGGGAAAAGGGGAAAAATGTTGAAGGTTCTAATGGCAAGAGTTTAGGCGTGTCTTCAAATGTGCTAGAACTTTGTGCCTCCTGTGTTCATGCTCTGTCCTTGCTGCTTTTGTATCCATGCTCCACACTCCCATTCTCAGCTAGCTTCCTCCTCTGCACCCTGATAAGCTCCTTGATCTCAGAGGGCAACAGTCATTTTTCCCAGAATGGCACAAATCATAGCTCAATTTTTTTCTGGAGAAGAGGGAAGGGATTGGCAAAGGCCTATTGTAGAAAACCATCTGGACTCATTCATAGTCCCATCTCAAATGCCTTATTCAGGACACAACCCTTCCATGAGCCTCTCTGACCCCAGGCCAGCATCTGCAAATGGCATTTGACTCCCAGGCTTGTTTTGGTTGGCCTATACCATGTTATTCCACATAATGCTTTAAAATTTCAAATTGAGTCATTTGTGATGGTTCACTTAAAAATCCAGATTTCTGGCAACACTGGGTCTGCATTCCTTCATCATAAGAACCTATTGAGGAACACCACACATCAGGGCCTGTTAGTGGGTGGGGAGCAAAGGGAGGGAGAGCATTAGGACAAATACCTAATGCATGCAGGGCTTAAAACCTAGATGACAGGTTGATGGGTGCAGCAGACCACCATGGCACATATATACCTATGTAACAAACCTGCACATTCTGCACATGTATCCCAAAATTTAAAGTAAAATAAAAAATAAATAAAAATAAAAATAACCTATTAGAGTTGAGAAGCAGCTGACTCCTTTAGATGGGGCACGAGTCCTCCATTTGCCCCAGTCCTCACCACTCCTCATTGTGTTCTTGAAAAAAGGGCCATTTAGGACCGGGCGCAGTGGCTCATGCCTGTAATCCCAGCACTTTGGGAGGCCAAGGCAGGCAGATCACTAGATAAGCAGATCGAAAGCATCCTGGCTAACATGGTGAAACCCTGTCTCTACTAAAAATACAAAAAATTAGCCGGGCATGGTGGCAGGCGCCTGTAGTCCCAGCTACTCGGGAGGCTGAAGCGGGAGAAGGTGTGAACCCGGGAGGCGGAGCTTGCAGTGAGCCGAGATCTCGCCACTGCACTGCACTCCAGCCTGGGCAACAGAGAGAGACTCTGTCTCAAACAAACAAACAAACAAACAAACAAACAAACAAAACAAAAAACGAAAAAGGGGCCATTTAGATTTTCCGCCTGGAACATTTCATTCATTTGTGTTTCTTTCTTGGTCCTGTAGCCATTTAGGTTTACAAACCTTCTGTCAAAGGCTATTAAATCTGTTTTACAATCTGTAAAATACGGGGGTTGACCTTCTAGCTCTGTGATTATATGATATAGTGGCTTGCTGAGCAAAAGTGATATTGTGTTGTTCTTGATCCCATTTCCTCAGGAGTGAAGTTGAGCATGCAGCATGGCCAATAAAAAGCTGTAGCTGAGTGACCAGCTATCCCCCAGCCCTCTTCTCAGATATGCCCACTACTTGAACCTAGGTATGGCCCTCTCTTCCTTGCTATCAACATTATAACAAGAGGAGTCGAATGGAAGTTGAAGACAGGTTTGAATGGGTGACTTCCATCGAAGCCCTATCTGAGTTTTCCAATTTCCATGCCGAACTGCACATCTGTAGTATGTTCCCAAGACCACTTGAGGACTTTTTATCAAAGCAAAGGAGGTGTTAATGAGACGGATAAGATATTTCTCATGTACTGTTGGTACTTGACTCCTTTCAACTCTGCTAAAACACTAACAATCCATGGTAAATGCTTTATGTGAGCTCTGCATGTGTTCTAAAACTTGACAGCATAAAATAACAGCTTGTCTTGGCTATGAGTATGGACAGCAATTATTGAAGGTGGAGTGTTGAGGACTCACAATTTCAACTTTCTAACAATTAGAGCCATGAAGATAAGAAATGAACTGACTTGTCCAGTAGTGGGAAACCATGCAAGGAGAGGCTGGGTAAGCAGAAATACTGTAGAAGAGTTCCCTGCACTGGACCTAGTGGTGAGGTGGGAGTTAGGGATATTTGAGGAGGAACGCTGAACCACCTGCCTATCCTACAATGCCCCCACCAACTCGTTATGCTGGGAATTCTCCCTTCTGCCTCTGTTTTGTTTTGTTTTTATAACATAGAAGTTGACTGACTTGGTGTTTACCCACCTCATAAGATGCTGGGATAGACTGATATTACATGGATTCAACTCTAACTTAGTTGGCTATTCAATAGTGTCTACTTTTATTTTTTCTTTAGAGACAGGGTCTTGTTCTGTCCCCCAGGTTAGAGTGCAGTGGTGCAATCATATAGCTCACTGCAAACTCAAACTCCTGGCTTCAAGTGATCCTTCTGCCTCTGCCTCCCAAGTAGCTGGGACTACAGGAGCATGCCACCACATCCGGCTTCTTGATTGATTGATTGATTGAGATGGAGTCTTGCTATGTTGCCCAAGCTGTTCTCAAACTACCGGGCTGAATGGATCCTCCTACTTCAGTGTTCCAAAGTGCTGGGATTACAGGTATGAGCCACCATGCCCAGCCTACTTTTTAAAGTATTTGTAACATGTAACTAAATCTTGCCTGAAATAATATCATTATTATACTACATTATTTTTCAGTATAGAAAGTTTAATAATAATAGCAGCTGATATTTTATATGAAGACCACTAAAGCTCTGGCCAAAAGAAAACACTTTTAAGTCTGACAGTAATCCCTTTAGAAGCTACTTAGCATCTCATAATGTTGGGCCCTGGGATTCATTCTCAATTTAAAGGGAGTTAAAACTTACTGACTAACACACCAGTTAGGTCTTCAGATTGTCTCTCCAAAGTTTTAAGTATTTCTATATCATGAGTACTGCTTCCACTTATATCTTTTTTGGCTAAACAAACTAGTTCTATAACTAATATCATCTTCCAACTAGCCAGAGGTTTAACTAGAAAATCCTGCCATAGGAGAGAAGCAGGATACATGCAGCTGCACACAGATTAAAATTTTGCTCCTTCCTTTAGATGTATAATATTATTACTGGATACTGCCATATGTGGATGGAAAAATATACCTCCAAATCAAAAGGCAGAATTCCCTCTGAGCGGGTTTAGAGTAGAGGAATAGAAACACTTGGGTTTTACAACAATGAGAGGAGGCAGAGGCAAGCAGGGGGTTTGGATCAGAAAGAACTGTGTCTGAGCAAGTTTTTCCTTGGAGAAAATGAAAACATTGTTCTAAGAATATTTCAAGAAGGAAAATGTGTGTTATTCAACATGGAACTGATTCAGCCTGTGTTGAACAAACAAACTTCCATGGCTGATGATCCGGACACTGGGTGAAGATGATAATCCTTTCAGGTATGATTCGCCAGAAACTCCAGAAGCTGGAGCCAGCACAGGGTGTGCCTGACGGGCAGTCTCCCCAAGTCAGGCTGATCCAGAGGCTGGGCATGTTCCGTGTGTTTCCTTGTAGAGTTCCTGGTATGGCGTGCACACTAGGTAAATATTAAAGAACTTTCCTCTGCCTAGCTTCATTACCCAAGGACACTGTGACCTTAAGAAGTTCTTATCAATGGAGGGCAAATATAAAAACAGTAAGGAGTTTGCCCTAAATTACAGCCAGAAAGTTCACTACGTAAAAACTGGGAGTCTCAGTTTCTTCAGGGAGCCAGGATGCCCCTTTAGCATCCAGGAATGACTTCCTATCACCCCACCGTTTTCTCACTTTTGCTAAATTGACTCAAAAGGAGGTGGCTCCCTTGTGCCCCTTCACCCCTGCCATGGCTCTTAGAAAAAAATCCAGCATTCCCGATAAGAAATAACCAAAACAACGAGATCGTTTGAATTCCACTGAGACCAATTCATCATGCAGTGTTAAAAAAAAAAAATCCTTCACACTCTCCAAGTTAAATAATCAGAATGAGAACGCAGACTTTAAGAGAGAGAGAGAGAGAGACACAGAGAGAGGGCGCACAAAGTCAACTGGAATTTGGGAGCTGAGGCAAGAAGTAACTTTAAAAAAATCATCTTCAACTCACTTAAAGATTGGTAGTGGTGATGGTTGCACAACAATGTGAAGGTGCTTAATGCCACCAAATTATACACTTAAAATGGTTAAAATGGTCAATTTAATGTTATGTATACTTTACTGCAATTTTTTTAATGGGAAAAAAATCACCTTAGAACTCTTCAAGCAAGCCCCTCCCCCATCCCTATCCACAGTGGAGGACAAATGGGTTGAGATTGTTGTGAAATAGTTTCTCATTTGAGGGAGGGCTACTGAACTTGGAGGAAAGCAGCCCCTCTCGTCACCAATTGCCTGAATCTTAACCCCCCAGCTGGGTCTGGAGAAAACATGTTCATCAGTGAGAACCTGCACACGAAATCCCTGACTCACCTTTGACTTTGGATCTCTCAATCAACAGAATAGGGAGATAACCTTAAGATCTGGAGAGGGGTAACGGCAGGATCCCTCTACACGGATGCCAACAGCTTTAAAAATAAAACCCAAATTACAGAAGAAATCATGGAAAGGCTGGGAGTGGATTCCCAAAGGTGTACATTAGTGGAAAAAACACACATATGAACAAAACAAGAATCAAATCACTACAAGAGTGTATCAAGATTTGTGGATATTTAGGAAATATATAAAAGTGGACAGCGGAAGACGAGGGGATGCAGTTATTTCAGCAACAAGAGGCTTCATCTCCAAATTTCACATTAATACATAAAGTAAAACACAAACCACTCTACTTTTTTTTGGTGTTTCAATATAATCTTCAAACCAGAAAAACTCTCAGTCTGCTAAAGGTTACTAAAAATCAAATTCTGAAGCTATGGCCACTTTTTAGGAAATTCAAAATTACCAGAAATGAACAGCTGTGATTTTGCTAAACAAAGAAAACCTTTCCACAAAATGCCAACATCTAACTCATACCTCGATGGCATATCACTCAATGAGAGTGAAAAAGTAAACATTTTCTGAAATGAGGGTGATTTTTTTTGGCTAGACAACTGCCACATGGTGGTTATCTTCTCTTTTAGTTTTACAATAAGGAAAGACAGGCACTGGCTTATTTGCTTTGGTTTGACAGATGATGGTCAAGCGTAGCTTTGAGATTATATCCTCATTACCCTTTATGAAGGAAAACAAAGTACAATCCATTTTCCTTGCAGAAAAGTCTTCCCCTTTCTTGCCCAGGAGATTTTTCAAAGTCATTCTCTCCTTGTCCTCCAAAAGATAAATAAAAATAAAACAAAATGGGTACCAGGTAGCAACAGCTTCCTGAGACAAGTTTGAAAATCTAAACTCGAGCCTAATAAGATGTTCACAGTTCAGTAGCATCTACTGAAAAAAAGTAAATTAATGTTATCTTTTATATTGTTACTTCCAGACAGAATACATAATGGTGTAAACATGATATTCTAGACTCTCTATTTAGGTAAATGTTAGGAAGTGGTGGATGGGCACAAAAGACTTAATTGCCTGCTAACACTGCTCTTAACATCTAGTCTATTCTGATAGACTGGGGTCATTTGAAAGGAAACTAAGAGTTTACAACGTAATTTGTTTTTTCACATTTCTTTTTTAAAGACTTCTGATCCTGAAGAGAAACATGGTCAGATACAGATTCTGAGGGCCAGTTGCAATGGCTCACGCCTGTAATCCCAACAGTTTGGGAGGCTGAGGCAGGAGAATCTCATGAGGCCAGCCTAGGCAACATAGTAAGACCCTATCTCTCCAAAACAAAAACAAAAATTAGCTGGGCATGGTGGCATAAATCTGTAGTCTTAGCTACCCAGGAGGCTGAAGCAAGAGGATTGCTTGAGCCCAGGAGTTTGAGGTTACAATGAGCTGTGATCTGTGTTCCAGCCTGGCTGACAGAGCAAGATCCTGTCTCCAAAACAAACAAACAAACAAACATACCAAAACAGATTGTCTATATGGACTATGATGTACTAGAGGCCTGGAAAAAGATTACTTGAATTTGCAAGGTTCAATGTATACTCCAGAAATGAAATAACTGCACTTCTCCATTCAGTTATCAGGAAATTATAAACATATACAAGCTTTCCTAAATGTTGAATGGTTAGAGAAGTGTTCTTGTTAATTGTATATCCTAATTCACTTAGTAAAATATTCTGGATATTAACACCTTGTCAGACATATTATTTGCAAGTATTTTCTCCTATACCCCTAAGTTTTATTTGGGACCTGAGATTTGCATTTCTAACAAGTTCCCAGGTAATGCTGCTGGTCCAGGGCCCAAGATTTGAGAACCACTGCTTTCCATAGCAAGTGTTCAGCACTTTACATGTATTAACTCACCCAAGTCTCATATTATCATTCTTGTTTTACTGAGGGAGAAATGGATTCTCAAAGAGATGAAGTAACTTGCTCAAGGTTATTCCACTAAGTGGTAAAGCAGGGGTTTTCCCCAGGCCTTCTAACCTGACACTGTGCTATGCTATGCTATGCTGTGCTGTGCTGTGCTGTGCTGTGCTGTGCTGTGCTGTGCTGTGCTGTGCTGTGCTATGCTGTGCTATGCTATGCTATGCTATGCTATGCTATGCTATGCTATACCATCTCTGTCCAATGCTATGCTATGCTATGCTATGCTATGCTATGCTATGCTATGCTATGCTATGCTATGCTATGCTATGCTATGCTATGCTATGCCATCTCTGTCCAATCAATCAAATCAGCTTTCCGGAGAGTATAATCTAATGACCAGGCCAATGGACTGAGAGAACAACAGGTGATGCTTTGCAAGCTCTGCCTCTTTTTCTTTAAATCAGAACTTTCCTTGAATGTTGCATTCTGGCTTCATTAAGATGAGTTGATTAGTAAAAGGAATCTGCTCTAAGGTAATGGGGAAAATGGTAGTGAGGGGAGAGAGACAGGGTGGGGGGCACTTGCCAAAGTGAAGCTGGACCAGGCTCACTGATGAACGAATGCGCTCCCTCGAGAGCTAAAAACTGTGCTTTGGTAGATTAGGCAAGTGTTGTGCCTTCTTCCCAAGGTTGTGTATGCTTGGACATTTCCTCAATAGCAGCTCTATTCAGTCAAGTCCACAACCAGCCCATATGAGGCTTTTCTTTGTTTGCAGGAGGAGAAGGCATCCCTCAGCCTATGTAGTCAGCCTCACAGATGCCTGGCCAGGCCAGTGAAGTAGGGGTGGGTTGCAGGCCCCTGGTGCTACCTAACTGGGCACTGTTTTGGAGTGAACAGCCTGCACAGCTAGAGGTTAAAGCATGATAAAGTGAAGTAAGTCATCAGCACTCTTGCTATATTTTAACAACCTTCATAAAGGTTAATGTTACTACTGATTAAAATGGCTTGGGAGTATATAAGGTCTCCCAGTTACTCATTTCCATGGATTACCAGGGGCTAGTGGTAACTATGCCCTATGGGTAAAAACAATTCATGGTTTCATGATGCCCACGTGGTGACTTATTTTGATGTAAAGATGGCTATTTAAAGCCTGCCTTGAAACCCTGTCCTTTATTAACCACAAGAAAAAAAAAATGCACCCCTCATAGAAACCAGGCCCAACAGCATTATTGCAGAACCTGTTGCTTTTGTGTTAGACTTTACAGCTGCAAACTGAAACCTGGTGGTTTGTGGCCAGTAATAAATAGAAAATGCGGAGGTCCCTGGATGAAGACATGAGTTTTTATTTGTCTTCAGATATTGACATTCCCCAGAGCCACCATAACAAAAACAGAATTAAGATGCAAAAGGAATTCAAGACTTTCCTTTGCTATCCCACGTCTGGGAATCTTTTCAAATTTAAATGAATATCTGTCAAACTAATTAAGAGAAGATGCAATGCTCTTGTTCTGTACTCATTAGAGAGCAACTTACTGGTCATAAATTCCTCAGAGTGTGGGAGTGAATAGGTCTCTACCCTCTAGCTTAAGATTCTTGGCTTTGTTTATTTCCAGTTCAGTCTGTTCATCTCCTAGACCCAGAAGGACCACAAAATATGTACTAAATCAAGCTTTAGTTCCATAAAACAGAAATAGATCAGATTTTGAGATGTTGCAACTGATGCTTTTAGTCAATAAAACTGGAGGAAATGATGAGTATTTGTTTGTATTTGAATGGCATCTTTTTTCCCAAGATGCTTTATATTCCTGAGCACACTGCAAATCTCAAATGTTTCACACACACACACATACATATAAATATGACACACACACACACACAGTTTTTGAACACACTGCCATTTTTGAAGATTTTGAAATTGAGGCACAGTAAGCTGATTTGGTAAAAAATATGGAAATTGTCAGAGTCAGAGTAGAGTTTAGCATACCAAGACCACTTTCTACAAGCTGCTACAGCATTTTTTGGACTCCTGCCAGCTACCCAGTACAATACTATGTATGTAATTTAATGTATAATGCATGTAATTTATACTCCCAGGAACTCTAGAGGTAAAGGTTTTTACTCCCATTTTATTTATTTATGTACGTATGTATGTATGTATGTATTTATTTTTTGAGAGGGAGTCCTGCTCTGTTGCCCAGGCTGGAGTGGAGTGGTGTGATCTCAGCTCACTACAACCTCTGCCTCCAGGGTTCAAGTGATTGTCCTGCCTCAGCCTCTCAAGTAGCTGAGATTACAGGCACCTGCCACCAGGCCTGGCTAATTTTTGTATTTTAGTAGAGATGGGGTTTCACTATATTGGTCAGGCTGGTCTCCAACTCCTGACCTCAAATGATCCACCCGCCTCCCAAAGTGCTGGGATTACAGGTGTGAGCCACTGCACCCAGCCTTTACTATCATTTTACAGATAAAAAACCAACATTCAGAGTAGCTAACATGCACCACACTGGTAAGCAGCAGTCGGTAGTAAGCATAACACTTAAAAGTATTTGTTTGTTTAAAATATATAGTATTTGGTGGCTCACACCTGTAATCCCAGCACTTTGGGAGGCCGAGGCAGGCAGATCACAAGGTCAAGAGATTGAGACCATCCTGGCCAACTTGGTGAAACCCTGTCTCTACTAAAAATACAAAAATTAGCTAGGCGTGGTGGCAGGCGCCTGTAATACCAGCTACTTAGGAGGCTGAGGCAGGAGAATCGCTGGAATCCGGGAGGTGGAGGTTGCAGTGAGCCGAGATTGCACCACTGCACTCCAGCCTGGCAACAGAGTGAGACTCCGTCTCAGAAAAAAAAAAAAAAAAAAAAAAATATATATATATATATATGTGTGTGTGTGTATATGTGTATATATATGTATATATATATGTGTATATATATATATAGAGAGAGAGAGAGAGAGAGAAAATTGTGCCTTTAATACATTTTTGGAACTATGAAATGATAAAGAGTGATTCTGTATCAAAGGTGTTATAGAAAGAAATTGAATGGTAGCTATTAGAATTTCTACCAAGGGTCTTTAAGGTCACATTTTAGAAAACAAGGATTTTTTCCATCTATTTAAAAGCATACATCTTTTCATTTTTTCTGTTTTTGTTTTTGCTCTGGGATTTATGCCACTGAAAAAATATTTTCCCCCTCTTCAGCAACTTAATTAGGTTTTTTCCCTTTGTTGTCACTTAGCTGAGTTACATAGTTCTCTCAACAACTAAGCAATTCTATTTGACCATTTATTTATAGTTTCCTTTTTGCTATTTATTTCTTAAATAGGATTATTTTAATTTCTGCTTACCCAAGTTAGAGGAATGAGTCATACCTGCCTGTTCTCTGACAGTTTAAGGGGATACAAAATGGGATGTGTTGAGGCTAAAAGGCATGCCTAGTTCAAATCTAATTTATGGTGCTCATTATTTTTCCAACTTTTCTTAGAATTTTTATAATGAGAACTGTTCTCTCCCACTAGAATGCAATAAAATGGTGCCTCGAAATCCTCTTCCGGGCTGTATGTCATTTAGGTATTTCCCGGGCAAATCCTAGCTGTTGATTTCTCCACTTGTTTTTAATTAAAGTTCACTCTGATGATGCTGTCATGGCCATGACTCCACTGCTGCACCGACAACATTGAAGTCATCATGAAATAGGGCTGACTGATCTTCCTACAACAAATCTTTCCACACGTACACTCATACTGATGCTTTTACCGCCATGGGGACATTACTTTTCAAGCCTGCATTTGAGCTGTGTAAGAGGTATTTAAATCCAAATCAGTTTAATGTTTATTAGTAATGCTTCATTCAGCACTATATCAAAGGTGCATGCACCTTGACCCTTGAGGAATTCAATCCAGGGAAATATATTAGATTGATTTTTGGCATTTTAGAGACAAAATGGACCCTACAGATAAACTAGTTCACATTTTTGGTTTCATAGATAAGTAACTCCTTAGCCTTATATAGTCAGCTAATTGTTTACTTACTACAAATTCAATCTAAAATCAACAGAATAAATTCCTAGAAATCTTATTTTGAACGCAAGGTCACTTTTGTCTTACAAAACTTACTATTTTAGTGTTTCAACATCCCTGCTATTTCTGTTTCCTATACTGCCTTAGATGGTTGTGATTTCAAAAGTTTCAGACATTGTCTAACAATTATCAACATCAATGCTTAAAAAACAATGATTTCTAATATTTTCATGGCATCCTTCAGGTGGACGGTTACCATTTGAACATTTTAATGAAGGCATTCCAACTTTGAAGAGATCATTTTGATCAAGTGCCTTTGTTCACCAGAATAACACACAGACAACTTAGATACCACACTAAATTTAGTTAAGCTCAAAAGCAATCATGTGTCTTTATGTAGGAAAGCAAGTGAGACATGTTCTAGAAAATAAATTGAAAACCCAAAGCTGCAAAACCATCTTTACCTGTTTGTGTACAGCATTTTGATCCTATCATGCATTAGGAACAATAAATATTATACAACATGTCAGCAACTTGGCATAAATATAGCCAGACCATATTTGATATCAACATCCTTTAAAGCACAATCAACCAGTAGCCCCCAAGTATTACAACAGGCTAAAAGTGTTGAAAACATCCTCTTCCAAGGCAGCCAGAGGCTCCAATTCTAATAAATGTCCTTGGCTGCCTGAAGACTGAGATGCTCTACAGGCTTAAGAATACAAGATGCAGTCGGGCACAGTGGCTCACGCCTGTAATCCCAGCACTTTGGGAGGCCGAGGTGGGCGGATCATGAGGTCAGGAGTTTGAGACCAGCCTGGCCAACATAGTGAAACCCCATCTCTACTAAGAGATGGGGTGGCAGGTGCTTGTAATCCCAACTACTCGGGAGGCTGAGGCAGGAGAATCACTTGAACCAGGGGGGCAGAGGTTGCAGTGAGCTGAGATCGCGCCACTGCACTCCAGCCTGGGAGACAGTGCAAGACTCCATCTCAAAAAAAAAAAAAAAAAAAAAAGAATACAAGATGCTTGTTCTCACTCATAAGGGGAGTTGAACAATGAGAACACATGGACACAGGGAGGGGAACATCACACACCAGGACCTTTTGCAGGGTTGGGGGCTGAGGGAGGGATAGTGTTAGGAGAAATACCTAATGTAAATAACGAGTTGATGGGTGCAGCAAACCAACATGGCACATGTATACCTATGTAACAAACCTGCATGTGGGCACATGTGCCCTAGAACTTAAAATATTAAAAAAAAGAAGAAGAAAAGAAAGAATACAAGATGGTGGTCTTATTCCATTACTTTATATGGTCATACTACATAGAAAGTCAGAGGCTTTGATCATAAATCAATCAATAGATGTCCTGTTAGTTGCAAAGTACGGTTTTTTTTTGTTTGTGGGTTTTTGTTTGTTTGTTTGTTTTTGTTTTGAGACAGAGTCTCATTCTCTTGCCCAGGCTGGAGTGCAGTGGCCCAATCTTGGCTCACTGCAACCTCCACCTCCCGGGTTCAAGTGATTCTCCTGCCTCAGCCTCCCAAGTAGCTGGGACTACAGGTGCGTGCGACCACACCCAGCTAATTTTTTGTACTTTTAGGAGAGACAGGGCTTCACCGTGTTAGCCAGGATGGTTTCGATCTCCTGACTTCATGATCCGTTCTCCTCGGCCTTCCAAAGTGCTGGGATTACAGGTGTGAGCCACCACGCCCAGCCAAGTATGTGTTTTTAAAAGATAACTATCTCCAGGAACATGTGGAATCAGAATTAAGTGCCTTTATACCACATTACACTTGGGAAAGCTGCAATGGGTCTATCGATCAGTCCATCTTTAGTACAAATACAGAAAAATAAAATACAATGCAACAATAATGATGACAATAAAAATAATGTATCTTGAGCATTTACTATGTGCTAGTTACATGCATAACTCATTCAATTCTTATAATCACCTTCTAAGAAAAATACTATGACTGTTATCCTCATTTTGAAGATAAGGAAACCGAGGCACCAGGAGGAAAGTGATCTGTCTAAGGTTGCACGGTCACAGAGTGTCAGTGGCAGAGCCAGGATTTTAATCCAGGCAGTCTGGCTCCAGGGTCCACCTTCCTAACTCTTCTGTCGTATTTATACAGTGAGTTCCACTGAAGTATCTGGAGATACATTCACATTTATCATAATGAAAAGTAATTTGTTTTCCTAGGGCTGGACCAAGAGAGATCCAATTTAACACCAACCTATTTCATATAATGAAGTTTATTTATTGTAATTAAATTTAATTTTGCCTACTATATATCAATATATTGCCACTAGTAAGCCCCAGAACTGGGTAATCTTTCAAGATAAAGCAAAAGAATTCTAACGAAAAAAAAAATCAAGAAAATTAACATATGGCTGTATCATTTATTATAAATTTCTGTATTTTAACAGTTTTCAATAGACAAATGCATAGAAAAATGTGGACTTAACTTTATATGTTGTAAGATATAAATACATAAAATCTAGGAGAGAAATCCTTTGTCCAACATTTCTTTTTCCTGTAGGTGATGACCTACAGGACTTTGTAATTTTTTTTTAGTTATTCTTAAAATCATTTGAGTTTTCTTTGTATTAGGAGCAGTACTTATCATAGGGATTGGGATGGTAAGTATTCAATAAATAGTTCATAAAATAAGTCAAGGAAAACAGAGGAGAAAGATTGAAAGGAACGTTCTGTAATTGCTCCTGGATGGCTTCACACTTGGCAAGTATTTGAAAAGCCAGCTTTCCCTTTCCTTGAAGGGGAGTGTTGAAATGTGAAGGCATTTCCTCAACCAACTTCGTTCTTCTGCTCTCTTTATCACCACAAAACAGCTGTGTGTCCACAGAGTGCTGAACCAATCAGCTGAGAAGTGAACCCTTGAATCAACCTGGTTGTTGTTTTTTTGCAGTCACAATCTTTCAAGCATCTGGCCTGAGGACTTTGGGGACTGAATTGTCTGACAATTTGAGAGCTATATATAAAGAAGATAGTCCAGACTAAACCTATAAGAAAGTAGAGGAGTAAGGCTGGGCGCCGTGGCTCACACCTGTAATCCCAGCACTTTGGGAGGCCAAGGTGGATGGATCACCTGAGGTCAGGAGTTCGAGACCAGCCTGGCCACCAACATAGTGAAATCCTGTCTCTACTAAAAATACAAAAAATTAGCTGGGCTTGGTGGCGCACCTGTAGTCCCGGCTACTCAGGAGGCTGACGCAGGAGAATCGCTTGAACCTGGGAGGCGGAGGTTGCAGTGAGCTGAGATCACGCCACTGCACTGCAGCCTGGACGATAAATAAATAAAAAAGAAAGCAAAGGAGTATATTTTCCTTACATAACCTGAGGAAAATAATTTCAATTAACAGGATGGCTAATTTCTTGCTGAAAGAGACAGTCCAGTGGTAGAAGCTCCCAACAGCTGTTATTTAACTCAGTGTTTCTCAGCCTTGGCATTACTGACAATTGGGGCCAGGTAATTCTCTACTGGGGGGCCTTTCCTGTGCATTGCAGGATTTTGGCAGCATCTCTGACCTCTACCCACTAGATGCCAGTAGCACGACCCCCTCCCCACACCACACACAGTTGTGACTACTAAAAATGTCTCCAGATATTGTTAAATGTCCCCTGGAGGGAAATCGCCTCTAGCTGAGAACCACTGATGTAAATTTTTAACTGTCACCAAATTTTATTTCTGTTTTACAGCAAACTATGGGTGGCTAATTTTAAACACTCTGAAAACTTATCTTCCTTCTCAAAGGCATGGGATGGTGCAGAAGTAATTGTGGCTTTTGCCGTTAAAGTAATTGCGAAAACTGTAATTACTTTTGCACCAACCTAATAGATTTTAGAGTAGTATAAAAATACAGACTTTCCACTTTTCCTAGTCCCTGATTCTGTTTGATTTTTGTGGTTGCTTCATGAGGATTCAGTGGCAATCAAAACCAGTAATACTTAAACATGTATTTCTTATCTCAGGTATTTTTACAATATTAACTCCTGAATTCTCACCACTCCCTTTTCTACAGGTGAGATAAGAAAAATACTCGTTTGTTTTCAGTTACAATACAATATAAAAATGTTGTTAATCTGTAAAAGCATCAAATGAGAGCATTTATAAAAATTTCCATATTGCACCTATGGGCAATGAAAACTGGCAGCACCATCAGGAACATTCCAGAGCAATGACCAAAGTTACAGTCACCCGGTCTCTTATCAAGACCATTTCTTGATAAGAAAGTTGAAGTACATTTTCTTTAGGTGCTATTAGCTGCTGAAGCCATGGACTGGTAGTTAATTAATGTGCTTTATTGAATTATTAATGTAATATCAAGTGTAGCTTCAGTGGCCTATTGTATCCTAGGAAAACACCTTGATCATGTGAAAGCTGAAAGTACCACAGTTTTCTGCTTTCTTTCCAGTGATTTCAATAGTCTAATGGTATGCTTCTCTGTCCCAAGCATAATCAGCACAGTATCTCAAGACACATCAGGAAGGAGCAAGCCATGTATATAACCTACTCTTTGACTCACGTGGCATGGAACTCTTTCTCCTCAGGTTAACCCATAAAGAAGGCAACGTGATATACAATCAGCATCTAATAGATGCAGGCCCAAGGAATAATCAAAGGCTGCAAAAGCAAGTTGGTTGTTTATTTTTTGGGTTTTTGTTTGTTTGTTTGTTTGGAGACAGGGTCTCACTCTGTCACCCAGGCTGGAGTACAGTGGCACAATCATGGCTCACTGCAGCCTTGACCTCCTGGGCTCAAGCCATCTTCCCACCTCAGCCTCCTGAGTAGCTGGGACTAACAGGCTTGTGCCACCACACCTGGCTAATTTAAAAAAAAAATGTTTTTTTAGAAATAGGGTCCGCTATGTTGTCCTGGGCTCAAGCAATCCTCCCACCTTGGCCTCCCAAAGTGCTGGGATTCCAGGTGCCATATCTTTTCTTGATATCTGAACACTGGCATTAATAACAAGTACAGTAGCACCAACAAAGTCCATTTCCACAGCCACCACTTGTGACCAGCATGTGGCCTGCAGGTCCTATGCCAAGCACTCCACTTTCCTTAACCCTCGTAACAGCTCCATGAGGAAACTGTATTTCCCTACATTTTACAGATGAGGTTCACAGAGATAAGTATTCTGCCCAAAGTGACAGATGGTGATGAACTAGGAATTCAAACCCAGGACCATTCAACTTCAAAGCCTGTGCTAGGACACCGTCATGATGAGCACAGGGAGACAGAAAGAATGCTGCTGCCATGTCCACCATCAGAAACAAAACAAAAAACTGCTTTCTCCAAAAACAATGAGAAAGGGTTTAAGATACCCTAGATTTATATTATTTTCATCTTGAAAGAAAGAATAAAGGAGATGAACTAGCTTTCTGCAGCTGGGCATTACTCTCTGACCTATCTTGAATGGGCAGATTATCCACTACAGGGGATTTTGCTGTGCTTGAATGGGATCACAACGCAAAAGATCCTACAGTTTCCTTTCATATCAATTGCTCATTCTCTGAAGGGACACAACTAAGGATCAAGGTGTTTTTCGTCTGTCTCAAAAGCTACTACTGAAGCCCTCCTCTTACTCTTTAACCACCGTGATTATATAAAGAACGCTTTTATTGTTATTATTCAACAGGTAACACCTCAGCACACACTATGGCAAAGTTCTTGGGTTTATTGATCTTTACGGGGATGTGATAATCTCCCACTGAGCTGCTAAAGCTAAAACCCTAGGAGTCATCCTCCTCGCCTTGCACCCCTGCACCCAAGCAGCCAGCCCGTCACCAAGTCTACCTGCTGTACCTTCTGGATATTCAATGCACCACTTCCTTTCCTTCCCCTCCCACAGCTGTCATTCAGGCCCCCATTATTTTTCACCTGGAGCAGCCTTTTCTCACTAGTTTCTTTTCCTTCAGACTTAACATCTTGAAAACCACCTCCCAAAATGCAGCCAGAATGGTCTTTCGTAAGCACAAGTCCGATTTTGTCACTACTCTGCCTTTTAATTATTTATTAATGTCCCATCACCTTTCTGGGTTCTGTTCAAACTCATGAGCATCCTCACATACACTCTTTAGTCAAAGAATACTAAATACACTCAGACAGGGCTACCCCCTGCCCACGTGGCCCCTTGTCAAACCAGAAAAAGACACCTCCTCCAGGTGGATACAGCTGCACCAGGGGGCGAAGCACGGGCTGAATTTTAGCCCCTGCTCCCCACTTCCTGGCCACCTCTACCCCATCTCCACCTTGACTTTTAGCAGGTCACAAGTGTGCCATCAGCCCTGCAGCCCTGACTTAAGGTTCTCTTTGAGTACCTCTCTGTCTTTGTGTAAGCTACTTTGTCTAGCTAGAATGTCTTCACTCACTAAATCCATCTACCAAATGCCTGTTCATCTTTCCAAAGATCAAGACAATCATCCTCCTACAAGAAGCTTTCATCTTTTCTATGCTGCCAGAAAAGCTTCATCATAGCATGACTGTTATAATCATAGATTTTTTGGCCAGGTGTGGTGGCTCACGCCTGTAATCCCAGGACTTTCGGAGGCCGAGGTGGGCTGATCACGAGGTCAGGAGATCGAGACCATCCTGGCTAACACGGTGAAACCCCGTCTCTACTAAAAATACAAAAAATTAGCCAGGCGTGGTGGCAGGCGCCTGTAGTCCCAGCTACTCGGTAGGCTAAGGCAGGAGAATGCCCATGAACCCAGGAGGCGGAGCTTGCAGTGAGCAGAGATCGTGCCACTGCACCCCAGCCTGGGCAACAGAGCAAGACTCCATCTCAAAAAAAAAAAAAAAAAGTCATAGATTTTTCTCATCTACTTTCACCAGTAGATGCTGCATTCTCTGAAAGCAAGAACCTGGTCCTTCAGATTTGCATGCTCACAAAGCCTAGCACAGTGCCTGGGAGATTGTAGAAAAATAATTGCTAAATGCCAAACAAATAAACACTGACTCTTGCTGTCTTAGCCTTGTCACCGTGTTAGATGGGAGCCTTTTGGTTCTCCCACACTCAGCAATTTGGAGATTACAACACGGGATCTGCTTCCTCAAGTTACATAATCCCTACTCAGATCGCTAGAAGCCAGATCTCATTTAGCAATTATTTCATTAACCTATGATTAAGAAGAATAAACATCTTGGATTTCAGCTTCCTGTCCTCTCTTGACAAGTTCACTAATAGATCTGTCACTGAACGTTTTGTCCTTCACTGGCTCCTGCTCCTTTCTTTCATCTTCTCCTCCTCCCTGTCTTGTTCTACTTAACAAGAGCCATCCAGCTGGAGGGTGGGTGCGTGGGAATTTGTGGGACCCTCTACTCTCATAAATGTTTATGCCACTTTCATAACAAAATAGTAAAAATAAACATTAAAAAAAGATCTATCCATACTTCCTGAATGACAGTCTCAATGTCTCATATTTCCACCTTCCAAGGGATTTTTCTCATGAGTCCAATTGGCCTGCCCCGATAGCCACATTGATTTTGTCTATGACTTCACTCTACTCTCCTAGTCACTCACTCCTCGAATCCTTTACTAATTTCCCACTGATAGGAAACCACAATTCTCTTCTCCTATTTAAGTCAGGCCAAAAGGAATACAGCCACCAGATTTAAACTCCCTGTCAAAGGCACTTGTATATCTGAAATAAAGTCATTTTATTTATGAAACATGTACTTGTCAGTAGGGTGGTCTCTTTTGCTGAGTCTCTTTAGGAAAGACTTGGCAGATATTACACCCTTTTATCAGAGACAGAGGTTACTGTCTCTCCGTTGCCGTCTATTCTAGGAGAACAGGTCCTGATCAAGCCCCAGTTGAAGGGGTGAGGCTAGACCAGCTCTTCCTCAGCTATAGGCAGAGCTGTTCACATTGCGGCTGGTGCGACCTGGTGCTGGGGCAAGGCTGAGAGTGTCAGGTGATAAGGCTCTAGAGCTGTGGGGCACATGGGGTAGAGCCCAGTGATGGCTCCGGGGTGAGCCAGGGCCACACACTAGTAGATGTAGGGGACAGAATCCCAGAAGCTTAGGAGAATGCTTCTGATGGGATTTTGTTATTGTTGTTGCAAATGACACAGTAACATTGAACCCACAGAGAAAATCAAGCAAAAATGGGAATTTCTTGAGAAGGCCAGGGATGGAGATGGCCTCAGGGACTGGAAATTATTGTCAGGTTCTTCCTTGGGAGAGGCAGCATCTGTTGGAGAGTGTGTGTGTGTGTGTGTGTGTGTGTGTGTGTGTGTGTGTGTGTTTCTCTGTACCTATCTACCTACCTATACATCTAGACACAGTCATGCATTGCTGAATGATGGGGATATGTGACCAGAAATGCCTGATTAGGCAATTTCATCATACAAACATCACAGACAGTATTTACACAAACCCAGATGTTATACACAACATCTTTTGCTTTTCTTTTTAGAGACAGGGTCTTGCTCTGTTGCCCAGGCTGGAGTACGGTGGTGTGATCACAGCTCACTGTAGCCTCTACCTCCCAGGCTCCAGCCATCCTCTTGCCTCTAACTCCCAAGTAGCTGGGATCATAGGCACAAGCCACCACACCTGGCTCTCTATTTTTTCATATGAAAATGTCCCAGCACATTACTGAATATCAAACATTTCCCCTACTTGATCTGCAGGGATAATATCAAGTACTATATATCACTTCTGTGTATGCTCCATTATCAGTTTATGGAACCACTGTCATGCATGGGGTCCATCATTGACCCAAATTATTATGGGGTGCATGACAGTATATAGACAGAGAGAGCAAGGTGAAAAAAAAGACCTCACTTTTATCTTTGCAATAGGATTCAGTGTGTGTGCATGCAGGGGTAAAGTACACAGAAAACAACCATGGAGCAGAGAACTTCAGGTTTACCTTATCCCAGATTAACAACTGCAAGAGTTCTGCCTCCTCTTAGACTCCATGTACAAAAAGATAAAATTACAAAGAAACACTCTGATTTGCCTGGCTTAGAAACTTGCTTATCTAAAACAGGCCCTCATAATTGTTTACTCAATGGTTACTGTCCCCTGTTTTACTCCACAAGTATAATTTTGATTCCATTGCAGGATCAGATAATGATGTGCTCAGAAAGGCAGCTCCTTCATCACCCTAAGGGATTAACCATGCCTGGTCTATACTATTCTTGGTAATCTGACTCCCTGCCAGTTACTAGTGTAGGCAAGGATATAGGACATAAGCCTAACTAATGAGATCTGACTCCTAAAAAAAGAGAGTTTGCAGGAGGATTTTTGAAAAAGTATTTCTCATTCTTGATGAAATACACAAAACTAGAACTCCTTCCCTTGTTTGGACAAGACTCTGTGAGGACGTGATGCCTGGAGCTGCAGCAAACACCTTGCAACCATGAGGAACAAATGTAAGGAAGAAAATCATCATGCTAAGGGTGGCAGAATGAAAACACAGACAAACCTGGAGCTTTGATGACATCACCATGCCATTAAATTAACCCTGGCACCATGTCTGTCAGAAAGCCAGTCTGCAGACAGAGCAATGGAACTGACGTTCAAAGTCAGCTGAAATGAACAACTATGTAATCCAAAAAGAAAGTGAATAGCTGCCTACTTTCTAAATAATAATAAGAGTTAATGGTTACTGAGTTCCTATTACGTGTCAGGCAGTGTTCCAAGTGCTTTATATGTATTATCTCACTGAAACTACACAACAACACAACAAGGTAGAAACTTTGATTATTCCTTCTTTTTAGACAAGTAAATGAGGTTCAGAAATATGAGGTAACTTATCCAAGGTCACAAATTCAGCAATGCCAAGGTTGGAACTCACATGCAGGCCTTCTGACTCTAAGAGCTTTTCACCACTAAGTTAATGTTGAGGTGTTCCTGGCTTCCTATAGTTGGATTTCACAAGCTTCCTTCATATCTTGATATCTTCATCTCTTTTTATTTGAGTTGGTCTTAGTGGGTTTATGTTCAATACACCCAAATGTTCCCTTAGATACTGGCATTGTCAAGATTCAGGCTTCCTTTCTCTACTCCATAACAAATCTGTGAGTCTCAATGTCCATTTGTTAAATGCACCAAATCCAGATTTGCACTGATTTAGTGGAATTCATGGCGTTCCAATGGTTCCCTGTTCCCTCCCCAATTGTCACATAGCAGGTGTTAGTCTGACATCAGGGTCCTTTGGAGCTACACTTCCAATGCAATGTGATTTATTAATTAAACTATGAATGAGTGCCTAACAAGGGATGAAATTGTTGACACTGGTTCAAACACTGTAATTGTCCCATGATGTCCTCACCTCTAATTTTATGTTTTTTAACTTTTCAAAGTTAAAGTTTTTATGTAAGTGACATCCTGCGATTACATACATCTCTGTGACTCTTGAGACTAGGATGGCATTTCTATGGCCTTACTATTGTTTATTCATGTCACACCCTCACTCCCTCACTCAGTCAACAAATATTTGAGTATCTGCATGCACCAGGCGCTACACTAGGCACTGGTATCAATAGGTTATGTTCTCTGCCCTCACAGAGGGCAATAAAGTGTAATAATATGCCATATCAGTTTTCCCTCTGAATCAACAGGAGAGCTACAACAAATAAAAAGAGCACATAGGATTAGACATTTTGTGGATGAGAAATCCAATGTAGCAGCTAAGAGCACAGACTCTGTTGACAGATGACCTGGGTTCAAGTCCCTGTCACTGTGAGACTTTGGATTAGTTCCCTGTATCTCAATTGTTTAACCTGTTAAATGGGAACAAAAACTGTAGCTCTGTCATTGGGTTAAGAGAGAGAGCATTTTTGCAAATCACTGAGAATGTAATAAGTACTGCAGAAATGTTTTTCCAAAAGAAAAAACAGCTCCAGTCCACTCTGCCCACTGATCATAACCGAGCAACCTGGCAGCCAGCAGTAGCGATGTGACAATATTGGAAACTGCAAACAGGAACACAGCATCATCGGTGTTGGGAACTGGGGTTCCGGGCACCAGGACCATGGTGACACTGCAAGAAAATGACTCCACTAGCCACTGCCCCTAAGTGAAATAGGGCTTCTACAATCAGTTGCTTCTGGCTCTCAGAATTCCTAAACTAAGGTGACTTTTCCTGAAGAATTTGGTTTTTAATAAGCAGATCTTGGAAGGATGAAGCAGAAGCACAAATTTGGAAGGGATCTTAGAAGTCAAGTTCTCACCCAAATTTTTAAAAAGAGTTTACTTTGCTTACTAATTAGAGGAATGCCATAAAGATTACTGATTTACAACTAAAAATATACAACACATGTCATCAAAAATAGTGGAACTTGTGAAGCCAAAATATTAGAACTTGACCAACTAAATAAATAACAGGGCCAGTCATCGTGGGTGGTTTTATCATTCTTTCAGATTTATATTAAATTATATCATCTGTGTTCTTTACTGTCTTTGGGTTGAAGAGGTAAAAACATGGTACCTTTCTGGGTCATTAATTACATGATCTCTGGTAGGATGCCAAATCCTCTAGGGGTTATTTCTTAACCCCAAAGGGCTTCTTTTAGTATGTCGTGTGGATAAACTCAAACCCCTCTGACTATTGATTGATTAATCAGCCTCTCCTGAAGCATTTCCAGTGATGAAGGTGCACATTTTTAGACAGATCTTTTCATTCATTCAGCATCTCTAGTTATCATCAATAATTCCTTTTGTTGCTCCCAAATCACTTATGGTGGTTCTAGAGCAAGAATATCCCTGACTCTAAATGATGGTCTTCATATGCTTGGAGAAAAGGATTCCCTGTCTTGTTCTAATTTCCTGAGCTAGTCATCACTCGACATAAGTTATGACCCAAGTCCCTCAGGTTCAAAGGAGATCAGCATAATCTAGACATTCAAAGGGGTGTCCAGGAAGATCATTTTAAGAAAGGGTCACTGAAGTGCCTCAAAAGGTAATCTTGCTTCTGGACTGTGGGGAGAAGAAAAGCACATTGACTCCTTATTTTCATTATATCTGCAATATGCTCCTCCCTACCTCGAATCCTGCTGCCTAGAAAAGGGAATTGATATCAGAACTCAAACATGAGTACGTTGTGAGATCATGCGAATTCAGTGGAATTCAATAAGACTTTTGTAGCTGAAATTGGAAGCAAATGTCTCAAAATACACCTGTCCCTAGAGAGCATGGACTTGGTACTTTCAAAATGGAAACAACGATTTAGCTTAGTCAGGGCCAATTTCTTAAAAGCAAGCTTTTTTTCTCTGTACGTGTGACGATATAGACTTGGAACCTTCTTAGCTGATAGAATTTAATGTTTAAGAGGCCAAGGTTGGGAGTTTAATTCTCATAAGAAACAATTAACTTTGATCAGAACAAAGCTCTGTGCTGTGTGCTCACATCATTCCATCCTTAAATCCTAGACTATGTAGTGGTAATAATAAGCAAATGGATGACAGCTAACAAGTACCGAAGATTTTCTGTGTGCTAGGCACTCTATAGAAGGCTTTACACAAATTATTTCATTTAATGCTCACAACTGCTCTGTGAAGCAAGTTCTCCTAGGATTTTTTCAGAGTAAAAGCTAACTGCCTCCCAGTGACCCACTGTCTCTCTGCCCCGCCACATTCTGCTCCACCCACACTGGCCTCCCAGCTCTTTCCCAAACACGTTTGCCCCAGGGCCTTTGCATATGCTCTTCTCTCTGTCAGCAATGCTCCCTAGGTAACCTTCAAGGCTCATTTTTTCCCCTCTTTCAAGTTTTCTTTTAAATATCATCTTCTTAGCAGGTCCTTCCACCACCCCCTAAAAAATTGCAATACGCTCTCTGCCATTATATGATGTACTTCTCTGCTTTATGTATTTTCCATAGCAGTTATCATTTTCTAGCCTATAATACAATTGACTTATTTTTGTGTTATCTGACTTGTTACCTGTGTCACTTGACTAGACTGTGTGCCAGAATTTTTGTCTACTTTTATTCACAGCTCCAAACTCGGTACCTAGAAACCCAGCTGATACATGGTAGGCACTTCCTAAATATGTGGTGGTTATATTTTATATGGGAGGCAATATGCACAAAGAGGGTATGAGTCAGGACTTTATAGAAAGAAAAACGTCATTAGGAACCTGTGTTTCAGAAACAAAACTTGAAGTACATATCCCTTTCCGGGTAGGTTGGCGCCATTACTAAGGGCAATGTAATAGATCTAAATAACACGTAAATAGAGGTTGGCGCCATTACTAAGGGCAATGTATTACATCTGAATAATATATAAGTAGCAATACACACTACCAATCAAGAATATAAAGAAGTATTCCAAGTGTGTTGCATATTCAGGAATTATGTAATAATAGTCAGAAATCACTTGGAATATTTTGCGACTCTTCTGGGAAATTTCATGTCACAAAACTTGAGGGAAGTGTGCCAAACTAAAAAGTGAAGGAGATCTAAAAGTTCTCATGAAAATGTTTTCCCAGGGTTGTGCCACAGCAAGAATGACAGTGTATAATACTTCTTTATAGACGCCATTCAGATTCAAGGATCTTTTCCCAAGTTCCTTTTAGGTGATTATATTTAACCTCCTTAACAATGCAGGAATCAGATTTGCAGATGAGGCACTGTGCTCTGACAGGCCGTGTGCCTTCCTGAAATAGCCTGGTAAGGGGTACAATGCGGAACAGAATAGAATTCTTTTGTCTCTGTCTGGCATGCCTGCCCAGGCTTCATGTATTTATCATTTTACAGTATCTTCTATCCTGAGGAAAAACCTCAGTTTTTGTAAATGACTAACTTAATGTCTCATCAATGAAAAAATATGAAACTATAATTATTACTTTCCCTACCTATTTTTCTGAGGTCAGCTGTTGCACAGATTCGATATTCATACCGGAGGGCATACATCATCATGGTAAAATTAGTGTCTTTGTCTGAAGTTCATTTCACTAACTAAATAGCCAGGCATATAAAGCTCACATTATTACAGAGGGGGAAAAATGCAGCTGCCGACAGGATCGCTAAGAACAACAAATACCAAGAAAATCTCAAAAAAACTGACCACTTTTTTCCTAACCATATTTTTGCTGACTATTTTCTCCACAGCCTTGGAAACTTGTTTTCACCTCCATTCTTTTCCAAAGAAAGACTTCTACCCCGGGGGAGAAAAAAAAAAAATTAAGACCTCAACACCAAGTACAAATTGCTCATTTAAAGAACAGGAATGTAGGATGCGGGGGCTTTTCTTCCTTAAAAACTCATCACTGTGTAGAAAAAATCTGAATGCTGTCCTGATTCTTCTTGAGCAGTGGAGCAGTTTTTTGGTTTTGTGTGAGTTAATTTTAATTAAAAAAAAAAAAAAAAGCACCATTCTTGAGAAGCTGTTGCTATGAGACTTCCTGGGCCACAACAGATGGCCACAAGAACAGTTCTCAGGCCTGAGCTCGGAGCTCTGCGGCCTCCACTCAGGCATACCATTAACATTCCTGAAATACCTTCGGAGGCAATGCAGGCCAGCCACCTTCAGACGGCTCACCCGCAACTGGCCTCCCTGGTCAAGGGGCCAGGGTTGAAATTTGTTATAAACTAAATGATCAGGTCTTTCTAGGAAAAAGCCAGAGGAGAGAGGGTGCTGTCCTCAATTTAGGCTTCAGGAAAACTTTACCAGCAACCCGCTGGGGTTTTGAGTTGTTCAGGTGAGCACACACCCAATTCATTTCATTGTTTTAATGCTCTCTCTTTCAGTCACAGAGTGATCCAGTTAAGAGAACCAGCATATTTTTGGCCTGAAGCATTTTAGTGCCCAGAGAGAACTGCTCAGGGAAAGGTTTAAGGATCCCTGATTTCCGTTTTGACAGAAAGACAAAAAGGGAAGGAGAACCGCATGGTATTTGAGGTTCTAATTTCTCACTAACTTCTTGGTAGTGTTGGACAAATTCTTCCATTTCATTCTTTTTCTCTCTCTCTTCCACACTAGGATAATGATATATGACCTACCTCAGATGGAAGAACTAATGATCCACGATTAATAAACAACTGAGAAATAAATGCATAAGTATCAGGTCACTGAGACTGTGCCTCCACTGCTGTGAGAGTAAAGATAAGGGAAGAACTTGGAGATTCCCTTCAGAGGCTGATTGCTGGGA
Source organism: Homo sapiens (assembly GCF_000001405.40). Lineage (NCBI taxonomy): Eukaryota > Metazoa > Chordata > Mammalia > Primates > Hominidae > Homo > Homo sapiens. Next base: position 76,589,727 of record NC_000004.12, on the reverse strand, counting down.
CCCCCGCCCCTGGAGGGCTGATGGGCAATGTGGAACACATGTTTTAGTGGGCAGAGTCTACTGGTAGCTCTACTGCTTACTAGGGAGCTTTGGTACTTGGAAAAAACCAAGTGTTTCTGAGCAGCCATAGCTTCCCAGGGTGGGGCTCATTTACATTCCAACACCAGAGTTTTTGCTTTAAAGCCAGGCTTCCAGTGCAGAAGCAAAGTCCTCCTTCAGTGACTGATGCCAGGAGTCTTTTTTCTTTTTTTTTTTTTTATGAGACAGAGTTTCACTCTTATCACCCAGGCTGGAGTGCAATAGCACAATCTCAGCTCACTGCAACCTCCGCCTTCTGGGTTCAAGCGATTCTCCTGCCTCAGCCTCCCGATTAGCTGGGATTACAGGCATGCGCCACCAAGCCTGGCTAATTTTGTATTTTTAGTAGAGACAGGGTTTCTCCATGTTGGTCAGGCTGGTCTCAAACTCCCGACCTCAGGTGATCTGCCCACCTTGGCCTCCCAAAGTGCTGGGATTACAGGCGTCAGCCACCGCACCCAGCTAGGAGTCTCTTGATCACTTGTGGAACATCACTCATTCTATCAGTTTTGGTTCACACAAGTTTGTTGAGAGCTTTTATCTCAATGGGATCAGATGATATGCCACCCATACCGCTCTGCGGCTATCATTTGGGCTTCATTTTTTAAACCAGTCAGTCCAACTAAGAAGCAAAATTGTGTGAGACAGCTTAGGTTCATGCCTTCCAAAATCATCCATTTGTATGAAAGTATACCTTCCCACCCGTCACCAAAATGTGATCATTAAGACTGCTGGGGATTTTTTTTTTGTTTATTTTTTGTTTTCTAAAAAACATGCCTTTTAGGGGTTTGGCCTAACAAGGAGTGCTACCTTTTCCCTATTAACCAGCGACATTTTAATGAAGTCATCTATGGAGGGGTGGAGGTGAGGAAGCTGTTTCTTTTTCCATGTGTCTAGGGCTACCCAAACTCAGCTTGCTTGTCTGCTCCCTATGGCCAGAGCACATTGAGCTAAGGGAGGTCTTCACCCAGCTGCTCAGCTTCTGAACCTACAGGCCTCCCCAACCCCAGGAAAAGTCAGGGGCCAAGGCTGGACACTGTGGGGAGAAGAAGGGGAGAGAGACAGAAACAGAAAGAAGGTGTCTGATGTTTGCAACCTTCCATTTGCAGAGCTGAACCTTCCAAGCAGAGCCAAGGGGGTGCACAGCATGTGTCTAGGAGGGGGAGGCTGCGTGGCTTTCTTGTGCCCCATTGTGTATTGTGCTGTCCACAGCACCAGTAGGGACCCTCACCAGACAGCAGTCAGGGAGCCTGGCAGGCATTCCACAGTTCCTGGAAGGAGGCTTTTAAAAATGGTCACTCGGGAAACAATAAACTTAAGATACTTAATCCCCTTGCCCTCCAATCTAACTCTCTAATGATATTGTTCTTGGAATAAAATATCTATTTATCATAGTTATTAATGAATGTGTTAAATTACATATTTGGAGTGCCCTGGTACTCTGCAGACCTGAACAAGGGCTTTCTACACTCTTAATATGAAACGTGGGGTTTGTGACTTTGTTTACTTTTAAGTATTGTTAAGAAGTTTTTCAACCAGCTCTCTCCTCTTCCTTTCTGTACCTTTTTAGGATACTGGGGTTTTTATGGAAGACAATGATTAGGGCTAAGATTAGGGAATAAGATGAGGGTATTTATCCCTCTCCATACAAAAAATGATTTACACTTAACTCAGGAAATTACCTTTGATTTATATATTCTCTAGGTTGTAATTCATAACCGAAGGTAGATTTTTGAAATATAAAAATGTTCAATATCTATTTAGCTTTCCAATGTTCATTTCTCTTTAACAACTTCAACATTTATAAATTCACTTTGTGTCTACCTACCTATGGATCCATATTTTAAAATCACTTGCATATACACTATATTTTTAAGTGATTGCTGTAGACTTGTGTGATGATCATATTTCATCTGATGGGTAATGCCATTTCTGGTGCTTTTATTCATCAAAGCAGTAATTTTTATGTTTATATTAAATGTCACTAATGTGTTATTTTATTATAGGAAAATGTTTTTATAAAGACACTTTAGCTAACTGCTGAAAAAAATGGAAAACTCCAACTGGCTGTAATCATTGGAAGAAAAAACACACTTGAGGATGATTAGCACAGATTTTGAATGACCTGTTTGCCCTATTGCTGTTTATCACTTGAACAGAATCATTGAGAATGGGTAAACACCTTCCTTTCATGAAGGTGTTTACATCCTTGAAATTAATGAGGTGGGAAAAGTAGTCTCAGAACCTCTTTAGATTTATAAAGAGAACTTTACCCATTTTCAGAATGTTTTCAATGAAAAAAATTTAAATCCAAGGGAAAATTACCTTCCTTCCTATCACAACAAAACAGACAGGGTGAAAACACTAGTCCCAAACCACCAGTCTTTTTTATCAATCTTCAATTATTAAATCCTCAAGTTACAAATACGGTGACAGCAACCCCAGAGAAAAGACAGGATGGTCCCTGAAGTATGTGTCAATTGATTTACAAGTAAAATGAAATCAGAGCATAGTTAAGGATTAATCAGAATCACACAGAAGCACGTTCTTAAGCATCTCAACTGTTGCTTAAATGTAGGTGCTTGCATTTATAATCCGACCTTCTCTGAAACATAAAGGATGAGAAGAGTGAGCCAACCAATCAATACAATCCAATTTTGCTGTTGAAGTGCAATTCATTGATTCACCCATGTCGAACAAACCTAAAAAAGAAAAGCTGCCTTCATATCCCAAATAAGAAAGTTAAAGATAGCTTTAAAAATAAGTTATAATTAAAATTAGGCTGTAAATCCTGAGGTTGCATGATTGGAGGGAGCCAAGATGTTCAGGCTGACTTGGTCTTATTATACAAGTTAGCATATATATTTGTTGGCCTTAACTAAAAGTTACTTTACTCTGTTATCATTTGAGCTTCTCATCAAATAGGAAAAAGTGCCCGTTGCCTGAGAGGACTAGAGTCATTTGTCAAGCTCTCTCCTCCCCATGTACATGTTTCTTTATTCTTTTATATTATTTTGTCAGCATATCTGACAGCCCAAAACCTTGGTGATTTCATCACAAAGGCCTAACTTGAACAACTTCCCTACCTCTCTTTAGTTTACCTTCCCAATGCTGGCATTTCTGCCAACATCGACGGAGAAATAATGTCATCGAGAAATCGTTGGTTTAAAATGGACTTACCTTAAGGAAGTCTATGCCCAGGCAGGTCCATTGTCCTCAGTTATCTGTTGGTCATTTCTGTCCTGCGTGACACTGGGCCAAGGCTGGCCCACCGCGGGGGCTTGGTGGCTTGGGGGAGGTGGCCTAGAGGCACGGTTCTGGCCCAGGAAGGATCCGCAGGAGCCAGCCCGAGGAAGACAGAGCTGAGACACAGGTGTCTGACACCACAGACGCACCTCCGCTGGGAACCTGGGCTGCCCTGATTAGCCAAACACAAAAGGCAGTTTGAATGACTGCCTCCTCCCGGCCAATCGCCGGCCGCCTGCCTGACAGGAGCTGGCCCGCTGATGTAAGGGGAAGTCCACTCGGCCAGAACCTGAGAACCGGTTTCCACCGCGCTGGCACGCCGACTCCGGCGTGCATTCCCGCCGCCACTTGCAGGAGCTGCCTGTCGTGCTGTGGTGTCCTGCCCGTCCCCAACAAGTGTCGCTCTAGGGTCCTCTGACTCATAAACACGACGTGCTGTGAAGACCATTAAAGCGAAGGTAAAGAAGAACACAGCGTCGGCAGCTTTATCTGCCCTTCCTCCCAGCCCTGGCGAGTCGGGCTTCTTTGTAGCTAATTAAGTTCAATTTTTAATTAGCTATGTTTTTTGCAAGCAACAGTTTCTTCCAGACACTGGGAGAAGAGACAGGAACAATAAAGAAAGATCTTTCTACAGTCATTGTTCTCAACAATGAAATTCAGTATTATAAAAATCACCACAGACATAAAAATAGATCATTTATAATAAAGATGCTGCTCATAAAAAAAGACAAAACAACAACACCACATCGCATCTTAAAATTCAGCACAGTGGGGTGCGATGCAGCCCGCCTTTGTAGATGAAATCATAACAGGTTTCCTAAACTCCATCCAGTTACAGACTTTACTTAAATCTATCATCTGAGGCCCTGAAACCGCAATCCTTCGCAGCTGTATGGATAAGTAGTGCTTGATTCAAGTTTGGTATTTGCCCCAGACTGTAGGGGTCAGCTTAACAGTAACCATAGACACAAAGAGAGAGAGAAAGAGAAAAGGAACAGCACACACAGAAAGAAAATGGGACTCCAAGAGTGTCTGAGTTTATGGGTATGTAAATGTATTTTCCTTAGAGCCATCATGATGGGAAAATAATTATAGAATACACAGACAATTTATAAATTTCCTTGCAAAAGAATTTGAACAAGATTTGCAGGTTATTTTTAGGCACAGAAAGAAGAGAGAAAGGGAGCATGCCCCCCTCCCCACACACACAGAATTCTGAATTCACAGTGGCATTATTTTCTACCAGCAGTAGTAATCATTCCAAACACCAACAAAGTCTGAAGCATCCTCAAAGTATCATTGCATTTCAAAGGTGATACTAATTTTATTGAAAGATTGTTCCTGTTTTAACTAGAATGTCTGTCTCTCTAGAATGTTCCACTTGAATTCCAGAGTTATTTATATCTCTATAATGTGAAATCTAAGGAAATGAAATTGAGGCAAATGTGGGATAGGAATGGGGTGGGGCACAGAATCATCTTTCAAAAGAAGAGAAGCCTCCCACTAGATCTGGCATCATAGATGCATTCGTTCAAAAGTAGCCTCCTTTTTTCTTAGGAAAGCACTGTTCTTATCCCAGCTTTATGTTTTCCTCTCCCCACCATGCAACCTCCCCAAAACACCACCACAGAGTGGAATTTCCTTCCATCATAGGCTACTCCCAGCAAGCCAGAGTTCAAGAGCAGCCAGGCCGTGCAATTCATTTTGAATATGTCAAATTTAACAACCTCCTGCTGCAGACCAGAGCTCATCTCCACTATGCGGAATGACGAATGGTCATGTTTGACGTTTGTTTATCACAATCAGCCGGCTAGTATGGGAACGCCATTCCTGAAAAGACCAGAACATTCACAGTAGTTTAAAGGAGCCAGGAGTGGACTCATTTGTGTCACCAGTCACTTCCTCATAGTCCAGCTCTGTCCAATTTAAGCTCACTTCAGATCCACTCTGCTCCAGATTCTCTGTGACAACATCCTCAACAGGTTGTGTTGGCTCAGGGAACTGTGTATATTGCATACACAGTCCTCATGGATGTTATGTTGTTACAGTAAAAGAAATCTATGTGACTCTTTTTTTTTTTTTTCTTTGAGATGCAGTCTTGCTCTGTCGCCAGGCTGGAGTGCAGTGGTGCAATCTCAGCTCACTGCAACCTCTGCCTCCCGGATACAAGAGATTCTCCTGCCTCAGCCTCCCAAGTAGCTGGGATTACAGGCATGTGCCACCACGCCTGGCTAATTTTTTATTTTTTTTTAGTAGAGATGGGGTTTCACCGTGTTGGCCAGACTGGTTTTGAACTCCTGACCTCAGGTGATCTGCCCGCCTCAGCCTCCCAAAGTGCTGGGATTATAGGCGTGAGCCGCCGTACCCAGCCTCTATGTCACTCTTTAGGGAAACTAAAACAAGGAAAAGTTAAAAGCAATTAAATAACCTGTCCTTTCACAAATTATGAGATGAATAAGGAAAGCATTGATATTTACAAAGAATGGATGCCTTTTAGTAATACTAGATTGAACCATATGAAATTGCCAATATTTGATAATTTTTGGTCCACTACAATAGAAATTTCATGTGGTTCCAACCTACAGTTGACCCATAGTTAGTAGTTACTATGTGTCGGTAGTTACCATGTTACATTCTCTAATCATCACCACAATTCTATAAGGTAAATATTATAATTATTACTCCAACTTTACAGATGTGGAAACTGAGGCTTCGAGAAGTAACTTGTTGAACATTTTACAGCCAGCAAGCAGCAGATCTGGAATGCACACCTAAGCAATCTGACCACAGAGCCCATGTTCTGAACCACCACCCTCTGAGATAAAGGCTTTGCATTCACCAGCTTTGTGATTGCAGGCAAATTATTCAGCTTTTCCAAGCGTCAGTTTTCTCTCCTCTGAAATGGGTACCTATCTGATGTGAGGACTGAAGGTGATGCTATGAAAAAGCACTTAGCATAGTGCTTGGTCTACAGGAAGAGCTCTAATGTTACCCAGTTGTGGTGGTATGGGCTGGATGGTCGCTCTTCCTACCTTCATCATGACCTGAGGTGAGAGCATAGAGCACGACCTTTCACCCTTGGGTGGTTGGGTGGCCACTCATGGACAGAAGAATGGTGAGCTCAGGGGTCCTCAAGTCTGGAGATGATGCCGTCCTAAGTCAGTGCAGACAACTCTGGTGCATAGGATGTTCTTTACACTGGAATGTGCACCAGCTCCCCTCATTTAGAAGGAAGACCATCCACACCACGCTGCTCCCCCAGCCCAGGTAAGACCTGCCCACAGCCCCATCTTGTATTTCCTCCTTTCTCTACATCTGAGTTCTAGAGAGCATTCAGACTCAGCTGTGATCAAAAACAAACGCATCTGTTCCTCATGTGGAATGCTCTCACAAACATCTTGACTTCTCACTTTCTACCTGTCCAGATTCTTTGGCAATCACTTGCAGAGGGTTAGGCCATTCTTGTTGGAAGAAGTAATGATGATCTAATCTGGAAGCAGTGCTGTGGACCCCGCTGCACACTGGACCAGAAGGGAGGGGACATTGCTTTCCCTTCTGGCTCTGCCACTGATTAGCACGTGACCTTGAACACGTTACTTATTGTCTAAGGCTCTGTTCCTCATCCTTGGAGGAGGCCTCTGGTCTAGAACATCACTCAGTGTCTTCCTAGTCCTAATATTTGTGGTGAAGAGAGGATAAAAAGGAATAAACTAGATGAGTGTTTGAATATGGTGCTTTCATTTTTTTCTCTCAAAGCTAGTAGCTCATCTACTCAAGCACATCCTGTTTTCTCCTAATTGCCATTTTATAAGCCCAGGGCAGGAGAGTTTTATGTTACTCTGTTGATGAACTGCAGACCAAGATGAATAGCCTTGATTTCTGAACACCAGATTTCCGCTGGTCTTTTTCCTTAATGATTTGCACATGGCCTTGTGAGGTGCTTGTTTGGGATTAGAGATGAAGGTCTATGGTGGGAAAGCTGCACAAAATAATGAAGACTGTGGTTTCTTTGCTCATTTTTTTTTTTTAATTTCTGGGTCTGTCCATAACAGTTAAACTATTCTCTAGGTGTTGTAAGGTAGATTGATTTTCTGTGTAAGGTAGGTTTAAATGCCTGTAGGGCATAGCCATTTAAACTCCCAGGAGGAACTTAGGAAATTTATGAATGGGGGAGCTAGAAACAGCCTCTTGAACTCTTGGTCTGGTTTTCTAAGAGCACTCACCAACTTCTAACACACTGTTTCATTCACATATGTATTGTGTTTGTTATTTATTGCTTCTGCTCACAAGAATGTCAGCTCCATGAGACAGAGGTTTTTGATTTTTATCATGGCTGAGTTCCAAACACCTAGAGCAATGGCTGGCATTTATTAGGTGCTTAATAAATAAACTTTACAAAATATGCAAAAGATTCAGGTAGAACAGGTGTCCTGTACATCTCACTTTTGGAAGTCACACTGCATCTTTAGAAGGAAGAGTGATTGTAGAATAAATCTCAATGGTGAGGGTAGAGACCAGGTCCAAGATGATGATGATGTGTTAGACAGTAAATGAACTTCGTGGGGTTCACGATTAGTTTAGCCCAACTCTGCAAATTCCCACATATAGGTTTCAGGTTGAAAGAAAACTGGGCAGTGAGCCTAGATAGAAACTCAGTAAGCTTAGTTTCTCCCTTATAGCCCATTTTCATTTAATTTCCTGGGAAATTGTATTTGTTGAACTCCAAGTATGTCTGAAAGAGTCAGATCCTTGAAAATGCTGTAAGGGAAGCAGACACACAGCAGCTGAGCCCAATGCTCATTTTACACTCAGGCAATCATTTTTTATCCCAGGCTGATGACACCGTAACTTTAACAATTTTGATGAGATAATGGCTCCAGGCTTCTTAGTATCATAAAAGATGTCAGTTAAGTCCAAAGTATTATTATACAATGCCTGTCCAGTATAATAACTGTAGGACATAAACCACTTATGATACAGCAATCGAAAGGCACACAAATGAAAATGACTGGAATTACAGATGAGAATCAACACATTTTTTCAATTTAATTTTGCTTCTTTTCTACTGGCCTAAAGTAATCATATCCCCCTGTTCTTTTTTCTCTCTTTCCACATTCTTTAATTCTTTGGGGAAACCAAGGTATTTCTTCACAAGAATGTTACTGGCCAGAAGGTAGCAATTAAAGGCATTGAACTCAATCATCCCTTCAAAGTCCCAACATCCCAGACAGGGAAAACCAAGTTACCATTTAGTGCTAAGAATAGCAGGTAAAAGAGTTACATTTGGGTTCACAATTTATTCTTAGGAATGAAAAAAAAAGCCTCTTGGAGAAAAATCATTGTGGAACACAAACTAGCATTATTAATGATCCATTTCAATCTCTGGGACAATTCCACAGCTAATATAAAGAATAAATAAGGCACGTTGTGCACATGTACCCTAAAACTTAAAGTATAATAAAAAAAAAGAATAAGGTGGAAAGGTAGAAGCACATATCAGTTACGTTTATATACTTACATATGTACTTAGTAGAGTGTTTACTAGGCATCAGGCAGGATATTAAATACATATTTTGTTTTAACTCTCTCAACCACTCCACTAGGGAGGTACTGTTATTATCACCATTTCCCAGCTGGAGAATCTCAAGCACAGAGAGATTAAAAACTTGCCCAAAGTTGGCGGGGTACAGTGGCTCACGCCTGTAATCCCAGCACTTTGGGAGGCCGAGGCCGGCAGATCACCTGAGGTCAGGTGTTCGAGACCAGCCTGACCAACATGGAGAAACCCCGTCTCTACTAAAAATACAAAATTAGCCAGGTGTGGTGGCGCATGCCTGTATTCCCAGCTACTCGGGAGGCTGAGGCAGAAGCTGCAGTGAGCCAAGATCACGCCGTTACACTCCAGCCTGGACAACAAGAGCGAAACTCCATCTCAAAAAAAAAAAAAAAAAAAAAAAGAACTTGCCCAAGGTCACAAAACAAGTGGTAGTAATAGGATTTGAAGCCAGGTAACCTGATTTCAAGTCATATGCTCTTAAACACTACTGCACATATTGGATTTACGGCAACTTCGGAATGGGACATAGATGGCATGTATGATGCTTAGCAGCTTTGGGTATTTTTCCAGGTAGCAGAATTCTCCTTAGTGAGGATATGCCACGCCTCTCCCAGCCAGATATCAGCAGAGGGGATCAGTTGAATGGCGCCAGCCAGCAGTAACAAGAGAGGTTGTCAAGCAATTAGCCTGATGATAATTTGGTATAATAAAACCTGCTTCAAATCATGATTTAAACTGACAGTGAAGAGAACATTTTTCCTTTCGCTTTCCTAACCCGGCATCTTGTGCTATGGTAGAAAAGGACGGTTTGAATCACAGTGGGACTAACAAACCCATGTGCCATGAAAAGAAATGTGACAGGAGATACGTACAAACAAGCAGTCAGCACATGATGCGGGGTTTTTCATTCACTCAACAAGCATTTCATGAATGCTTGCCGTGGACTGGAGAGATCAAAGAGTAAGACACAACGATTCTCTTCCCCGATTTAGGATTAAAAATCATCAACCAGTTCTTCAGTGGAAAAGATAACTTTGTCAGTTGGCTGGAGATGAAGAAGATAACTGGCCAACCAGTGTTTGTGTTACAAGGCTGGCAAACTCAAATGCTGACTAGACCAGGCAGGTGGAGTAAATGAGCAAAGCAACAGGTGTAGGATCACAGGAAACAGTGGGGCCCCAAGGCAAACTGGAGAGGGAATGCTTCATTAGACGTGGAAGCATGCAGCTCCAGCCCACTGCTGCCAGATCGTCTGACTTCTCCACAAGCCAGAAATCCAGATTATGCAAAACTTCCAGATTTTTAATGTGGATTAAACAAACATCTGTAGACCAAGTACTTGTGTAAGTTTGTTTGTTTGTTTGTTTATTATTATTTTTGAGACAGAGTCTCACTCTGTTGCCCAGGCTGGAGTGCAGTGGCACGATCTCGGCTCACTGCAAGCTCAGTCTCCCGGGTTCACACCATTCTCCTGCCTCAGCCTCCCGAGTAGCTGGGACTACAGGCGCCTGCCACCACGCCCAGCTAATGTTTTGCATTTTTAGTAGAGACAGGGTTTCACCGTGTTAGCCAGGATGGTCTCGATTTCTTGACCTCGTGATCTGCCCGCCTTGGCCTCCCAAAGTGCTGGGATTACAGGCGTGAGCCACCACGCCCAGCCTGTTTATTTATTTTTTGAGACACTCTGTCGCCCAGGCTGGAGAGCAGTGGCACAACCTCGACTCATGCATCCTTGACCTCCCGGGCTCAAGCGATCCTCCCACCTCAACTTCCTGAGTAGCTGGGACCATAGGCAAGCACCACCACACCCAGCTAATTTTTTTTTTAAATTTTTTAAAATTTTTTGTAAAGTCAGGGTCTCATTATGTTGCCAGGGCTGGTCTCAAACTCCCAGATTGCTGGGATTACAGGCATGAGCCGCCATGCCCAGCCAGATGTCATTTTTAAATTCGCACAAAAAACTTTATTAAATTCAGTGAGGCTTATTAAAAATAAAATCAACTTGCTTTAATAGTGGATTTGGTATGGGTGGGTCTTGTGATCCTTATCAAATCATTTAAAAATGTTTATTAAAGTGTAACATACACAGAATGGATAAAGTGTACTAATCTATGTAAAGGGTAAAAATGATATAGAACATTTCTAACACCCACAAAAGGTTCCATCAAGACCTTTCCAGCTTATTCCAGACTTTCCAGCCCACCTTGGGTCTACATCATAAATGAGCTTTGCCTATTGTTGTCTCGTTCACATCTTAGCCATGAGAAACTGATAACAGATATAGTTGCATCAAGTCTGAAAGAAATAAAACTGTGTTCAAATAAGTAAGGTACAACCAAAAAGAATGATGGTAAACTCAACAACCCCATGCAGTTCACAAAGTTAGCCAAGAGCTCTGGTGATTACTGCTTTCACACACCTCTTCTTTCTGATAACTACCATCTCCTGTGCGGTTACCATATGCCAAGTACTTGCTTGTCACCCTGCTTCTGCATAGAGGATCTCATTTAAGTACCACAAAAACCCCCTGAGATACAAATTTAGATAAAGTTTCCTCCAACCGTATAGCTAAAGGAAACTGAGTTTGTAATAGGTTATGCAGCTAGATTCACACAGCCAATAAGTGAAAAGTCCAGATTCAAAGTCAGGGCTACTCCAAAGTTCAAGTACTTTTCCATTGCACTCCATAGCCTCCCCATAAAATTAGGGGTGTGTTTTCTTAGCTCTTCCACAAAACTATGATAACCTTCTTTTCTTAACCAGGAGCATAATAAACCTTATTTAATTTAGAATCTAAATTCTGAATGATTTACATTATAAGGATTGGTGGAGGTGTGGGTTATTAAAAGATGACATTACCTAGGTACTTAAAAAAAAACAATGAACACAGTAAGAAGAAGAGAGAGAAAATATATCACTATCTTTTATTAACATAGATATTATCTACCTTTATTTACCTAAACCAATTTCCTGGGGCTTATGGAAACATTGTCTTATATGAATATAGTTTTGAGACAGATGGCAGAATTTGATGTTTAAAGATTCTTCTCCCTCTCAGAAAATGTATGCAGCATGGAAATGGAGTTAGAACAGTGGTGGCTGCAGAATTTCTTATAAGAGGGGCTAAATGTTAGCAACTGGATTGTGAAGGAGTTATAGGGGACTTGTCTTGAACCTGTGTTACGCATAATAAGTTCAGATTTTACCTAGACTGGAGCATTTTTCTAAAGATTCTTTAATTCATCCTTTAACAAGATTGATAAACGTGAATTGTTATATTAAAGAATATTATTTTATTGGGTAGACAAATAATACAGGAGGCAGAGGTATTGGTCTACAGCCCCACCATCTTCCAATACCAGTCCCTGTCCTTTATTGCTGCCTCTAGGGAGGCTGGAACCATTCACCTGATGCCAAATGATTGGAAGAACAGGGCAATGAAGGGACTTAGAATAATTCCTAGTTAACCAATGTACTGCTGACAACAATACACAGTAAAGAGTAAACAATCAGACCTTCCCCAGCACCTCGTCCCTTTGGTGGATGGGGAAATTTGATTTGCCCATATTTTTAATGTAGAAAGATATAGACCACTAGGAATTAATTTACACAGAGGGCTTTTTAGCCTGTGATATGCGAAAATTTCAAGTATAGATTATCTTTTATCTCAACAGACACACTGACACCGATTACCCTTTTGGAACGCTAGAGTCAGATCTATTTGACCAGCTCCTTCTTATACTTTAGGTAGATCAGAAATTCAATTAAGGTTTGGTGAAATACTCATGTTTACCAGGAGCATTTGTTCCAGTATTCAGTTCTGAACCCTAACCTCCAGGATTACGTTCAATGAATAATCAGCTGAGTTGGCCATGTCACCATTCACCAAATCAATACCTATTGCTTAAACTGTTTTTAACCCAGTTTTTATTTTTGCTTTAATCACCAAAGTCCTTTATTTTTATTTTTAAAAATTTAATTTAAAAATTAAAAATATTTATAACAAAATTTACCATCTTACCCATTTTTTATTTTAACATTTTAATTTTTAATTTTTGTGGTTATAAAGTAGGTGTATACATTTATGGGGTACGTGAGATGTTTTGATACAGGCATGCAACACATAATAATCACATCATGAAGAATGGGGTATCCATCTCCTCAAGCCATTATCTTTTGTGTTACAAACTACCCAACTACACGATTTTAGTTATTTTTAAATGTACAATTACATTATTATGGATTATAGTCACCTTGTTGTGCTATCAAAGAGTAGGTATTAGTCATCCTACCTTTTTGTATGCATTAACCATCCCTACCTCCCCACCAGCCTCCTACTACCCTTCCCAGCCTCTGTAACCATCCTTCTACTCTCTGTGTCCATGAGTTCCATTGTTTTGATTTTTAGATCCCACAAACAAGTGAGAATATGCAAAGTTTGTCTTTCTGTGCCTGGCTCAATTCACTTAACATAGTGATCTCCAGTTTGATCTATGTTGTTGCAAATGGCAGGATCTCATTTTTTTAAATGGCTGAATAATATTCCATTGTGTGTAAGTACCACATTTTCTTTATCCATTCATCTGTTGATGGACACTTAAGTTGCTTCCAAATCTTAGCTATTGTAAAGAATGTTGCAACAAACACAGGAGTCCAGATACCTCTTAGAGGTACTGATTTCCTTTCTTTGGGGTATATACCCCATAGTGGGATTGCTGGATCGTATGGTAGCTTTCTTTTTAGGTTTTTGAGAAACCTTGAACTGTTCTCCGTAGTGGTTGTACTAATTTGCATTCCTACCAACACTGTACGAGGGTTCCCTTTTCTCCACATCCTCACTAGGATTTGTTACTGCCTGTCTTTTGGATATAAGCCATTTTAACGGGGGTGGGATGATATAATATCTCATTGTAGTTTAGATTTGCGTTTCTCTAATAATCAATGATGTTGAGCACATTTTCATATATCTGTTTGCCATTTATATGTCTTCTTTTGAGAAGTTTAACAATATTGATTCTTGCAATTTGTGAACATGGAATATCTTTCCATTTTTTGTATCTTCTTCAACTCCTTTCATCAGTGTATTATATTAATAGTTTTTATTATAGAGATCTTTCACTTATTTGGTTAATTCCTGGGTATTTAATTTTATTTGTGGCTATTGTAAATGGGATTACTTTTTAAATTTCTTGTTCAGATTGTTCACTGTTGGCATATATTGGGCTGGTGCAAAAGTAACTGCAGTTTTTGTCATTACTTTTATTGGCAAACACTGCAATCACTTTTGCACCAACCTAATAGAAATGCTGCTGATTTTGGTATGTTGATTTTGTATCCTGTGACTTGACTGAATTTGTTTATCAATTCTGCTAGTTTTTTTGGTGGAGTCTTTAGGTTTTTCCAAATATAAGATCATCTTATCTGCAAATAAAAATAATTTGCTTTCTTCCTTTTCAGTTTGGATGCCTTTTCTTTCTCTTGTCTAATTGCTCTAGCTAGGACTTCCAGTACTATGTTGAATACCAGTAGTGAAAGTGGGTAGCCTTGTTGTGCTTCAGATCTTAGAGGAAAGGCTTTCAATTTTTTTCCCATTCAGTGTGATACTAGTTGTGGGTCTGTCATCTATGGCTTTTATTATGTTGAAGTATGTTTCTCCTATACCCAGTTTTTTGAAGGACTTTTATCATGAAGGGATGTTTATCATGAAAGGATCAAATGCTTTTTCAGCTTCACTTGAAATGATCATCTGGTTTTGTTCTTCATTCTATTGAGAAGATATATAGTATTGATTGATTTATATATGTTGAGCCATCCTTGCATCCCAGAGATAAATCCCGCTTGGTTGTGATGAATGATCTTGTTGGTGTACTATTGAATTTGGTTTGCTGGTATACCCGTTTTTTAAGGGTGCACTTCAGTGGCATTAAGTATATTCCCATTTTTGTAGATCCAATGTCCAGAACTCTTTTCATCTCGCAGAACTGAAACTCTGTACCTACTCAACAAAACTCCCTAATCTCCCCTCCCCCAACCTGTGGCAACTGCCATTCTACATTTTTTGTGTATGAATTTGACTACCCTGGGTACCTTATACAAGTGGAATCATTTACAGTATTTGTCTTTTTGTGACTGGCTTATTTCACTTAGCATAATGTCCTTAGGGTTCATCCATGTTGTAGCATATATCAGAATTTCCTTTGCTTTTAAGGCTATACATTTCTTTTTTTAATCACAAAATGATTTGAGTTTATGTAGCTAATCAATCAATTAGATTAAGAGGGAGTATCCGGTCTGTCTAATAAGAGTTTAGGCATGAAAAATGGTAAGAAAGGCGTTGGTAGAGAGGGAGAGAGAGAATTTGCTGAAATATTTAATGCCATGGTTCTTTAGGGTGCATCAGAATCATGGGGAAGACTTGGTAAATCAGATTGCTAGGCTCAAACTCCAGAGTTCCCAATTCATTAGGCTTAGAGCAGGGCCTGGGAATTTGTATTTTCCAGAAGTTCCTGGGCATGATCACACTTTTGACAACCATTGTAACCTATCCAGGGTGAGGCCTAGAGGATTCTAATTGCCAAAATTTTCCCATCGTGCAAAGAAGATACCCCTCCCAACTAAGACAAGAAGCTTGAAGTTATAGAAGTAGGGAAGCACAGAGAAGAGTGAGAAATAGTGAGAAAACCCAGCCCTCAAGATCCCAGCAACTTGTGGAAATGAGGGAAAAGATGGTGGCAAGTCAAGCTGTGAGGACCAAGTTCTGATTTCTCTTCTAGCCTCAGGGAGGAGAGGGAAAGTGTGTGAGCTAAGTGAGGAGAATGTCAAAGGGCTCAGGGAACCCTGGCTCCACTGCACCATTTGAGACCCTAGGAGAAGGTCACTGGAGTAGGTCTGGCCTGGCTCAATTTCGAGGTCTCTAGAGGTCCAGACAGAAGGAAGAATCTCAGACATCAGACGGCAACCAGCAGACTTGCAAGGAGGCAACTATGGTGGGGTGAGATGATCCTAGGATGGGCCCTGGGTCAGGAGTTGCTGGGATGAGAGTTTGGCAGATGCTAAGTTGTCTGAAGCTAAGGGGAGCTGAGCAGAGACTGAATCTGTAAGTGTGGGGTTGCCAGCAATCCCAGGGGCATTGCCCAGGCCATGGCTGACCATGGATTTACCAGCTGCAGGATTCAGCGTTGGAGGCCAGCAGTGGCTGGGAAGGCTATGGACAGAGCCAAGGGACCAGGGGAGATGGTGCCAAAGACCTGCGCTCACCACTTCTCCAAATCCCCAGACACTGTTTAGCAAGACAGCTGGGCAGTGGAGAAAAAAGATGACATCTGAGCAAGGGAGGATTTTATTTCAGACTGAGCCCCTTAAGGGACTATTCAAATTGATTGGACCAGGTGAGCTTTTAACTTGGCCAGGAATAAAAATTATTATTATTATTATTATTATTATTATTATTATTATTATTATTATTGCCAACCAGCAGAAGTGGGTTTGTAAGGAAGACAAGGAACCTACATTTTTTTCTATACATCTAAATTGTCATGTGACTAGGTTTGGTAGATAAAATTGGGTACCTACTTTGACTAAAATAAATTCAATGATTATCAGAAATTCAAATTTAATAGGACATCTGTATTTTTAATTGTTAAATCTGGCCACCTTACCTTGTTGTGCCTGTTGAGGGCAAGTGACAGATCTAAATCTCAATTTTATTGAGTTTCAAGCTTGTGTTCATATTTCTTTCTTTCTTTTTTCTTTTTTATTTTTTTTTTGAGACAGTGTCTAGCTCTGTCACCCAGGCTGGAGTGCAGTGGTGCAATCTCAGCTCACTGCAACCTCTCCTCTTGGGTTCAAGCAATTCTCCTGCCTCAGCCTCCCAAGCAGCTGGGACTACAGGCGTGTGCTACCACACCTGGCTAATCTTTTGTATTTTTAGTAGAGACAGGGTTTAACCGTGTTGACCAGGCTGGTCTCGAACTCCTGACCTCAAGTGATCCACCTGCTTTGGCCTCCCAAAGCGCTGGGATTACAGGCTTGAGCCACTGAACCCAGCCTGTGTTCATATTTCATAAGCAGTTGGGTAGCAGAGAAAACTAGTTCAGAATAAATCTCTTCCTACCCACAAACCATAAAGGGGCAAACCCGTACACTGTTATACTGCTAGAGCTGCCCCTAAAACATGCCAATCACTTTTTTCCAGTATATTCAAGATGCAGATATTTACATTTGAACGATCACAATATCCCTAGAAAACAACTCCCAAAATTATGAAATGAGTCTTTAAACTGTATATACTATTAGGATATCTGACACATCCTCTGTCCCTCACCTCCCTGGCCCACCATCATTGACCACTAAGGTTTCCTACTGACTGCACTGGGAATAGTCCTCAGGGGAAGTGTCAGTCACACAGGGAGACCTCAGGATGCCCCAGAACATGCAGGCTGCAGTGGCCAAGGTCAGCCTTTATTAAGATCACTTTCTGCCCATGACCTGAAGGTCCTGTCACCTATCACGGTATACAGTTTGTCACTGAGATTACACCATTGGGAACTCACTCCTTTAGGGTAAGATGTTGACAACCTGCAAAATTGCCCTTTAAAATATGAATAGTAACTTTATTATTCCCGTTGTATGTTAGTGCAAGATTGTATTGTTCTCAAAGGACATTTACTATTCTTAGCCATGTCAAAGATTAGCAAATCATCTCCTAGCAAGGCTCTGAGGGAGTAAGAAATGCAAAGGCAAGTTTGGATGAGGATCCAGGAAAGAGGCAGATATGGAGGAACAATTCTCAGGAAGGAAAGATTTTAGGGAGATTGGGCTGGGGGGCGCAGTATGGAGGAAGCAGAGAGAAGATGGGAGTAGCTTGAGTGCTTCATTAGGATGCTGTTAATAGCAGAGCACAAAGACAAATCTCAACTTCTTCAGAAGCTGTATTTGACCCACGTACAGCCCATCTCACAATGGACACAGAGACTTCTAGATCTATGAATAAGTACTAGTAAGACTAGTACAGAATCCTAACATCATTTATCAGGCTTCCACTATTTGGAAGAGAAATGATAAAATCTTATTGGAAGTCTCAACTATTCTCTTACAAAATAATGAATGTTACAACATTTCAGTATTAATCAGGCATTTCAACCACATAAAATCACAGAACAAACTGTGATTGGAATCAAGCTGTGGGGTTTTGCTTTGTTTTGTTTTGAAAGGAGTGTAGAAAATGATGAGCTTGTGTTCATGTCTTGGTGCACTCTAACGCCTCTGCCACTTCTCTCTTCTTGCAGTATTGTTTCTCCCATTTCTATTTTTATTGGCATGTAAACTTGCTAATGTCAAATGAGTGAGACAACACGGGAAGGCTAATTTATTTAGTGAACGTGAATCAACACTGCTGGGAAAACAAAAGGGCCCAGTGTGTGCTTTCTTTAAAGCAAAGCAAATAAAAGCATTGGCCAAGCCCAACTCCTCTTCTCCCAGAGGCTGAAGAACCCATATTGGTTCAGGGATTTCAGCAATCACTGAAAACCAGCTCAACTGAACTAGTTTTTACTGATGTAAAAGCTTGGGCTTTTGTATCAGATAGACTGGAGTTTAAATTCACACTTAACACATGTATCCCCTTGATAAGACTGCCCTCTTGCAAGTCTATCTCCTCGTCTGTAAAATAGAGTAGTAATAATCCCTATTACTGGTGTTGTGAGAAATAAATCAAAGAATGAAAATGCTTAGACACCCACCCAAAGCTAACATTTTGAGAGCTTACTAAAATTATTTATTTAAAGATAGCAGGCTAAGTTTGCAAATCAAAAATGATTCCTGTAAGTAGGATCCTAAACTGATAACAATTGGTCCACTTCTTCAGAACTTACTAGGAATCCTATGACTGTGAATGCTCAGTAATCCAGTCCAATCACCTCATGTACATTTAGTGTCAAGTGCCCCCATTCTTTGACCCCATTTCTTAATTTTAGAATGTTAATCCCAAGAAATTTTAATTCTAATACCACCCACGTAGTCTGCACACTTAGGGACTGGGACGGGAATGTGCATGAATTATTACACAGCCCTCACTGTTGCAGGGCTGTCCTGAATATAGCAAAGATAAGTTCGCCTTTTCTGAGCATTTTCTTGAAAGAGCCTAAAATTAAATTTGCAGCTAGATGATGCATTGTAAACCCACAAGTTTGCAAAGAGGAGAAATGCAAGACAGATTAAACAAAACGAAAGAAAACACGGTGAGTCTTAAATTCCTGAACATGAGCTCATGTTTATATTCATTGCTACCTCATGGAGTGACTCGGAGTTTTTGACCTCTGCCCCTGACTTTGAGACAGTGATGGAAAGGTGACGAGGAATGGCAAACAAAGGTTGAAAGGGCCTTGAATCCAAACACGGCTGGATTTTGTGGGGATGCCACCGATTGCACACCAGCCACAGCCCCAGGTTGCATTTTCTCAGGAGTTCCCACAGACTGATGTTGGTCCTCATGCCTCATCAAGTCAGCACAGTTGTTATGAAGGTGTCAGATGTGAAACTGTAAACAGAGTGACATGGAGGCCATTCCTGCTTAGTGACCTGTAGCAGAAAGGTCTATTTTTAGAAACTGCTGCAGGTTGCTCTGCCCTTGGAAAGGTGGCAGGCTGAGAAGTACTGGTGTGCGTGTGTGTGTGTGTGTGTGTGTGTGTGTTTTAACATTTCTGAGCATTTGGGTTGTGTTCTAAAATGTTTCTGAAGGAGTTCACAGAAATAAAAACCATCCCCAAACTTTATTTGAAGTAGAAAATTTGAATTTTGAACTTTACCTATATATCAAGGCCAAGGAAAGGCACGATGCTAGAGACTTTGAAGAATAACCACGGAGTTGCTCAAATGGACACTGATCTCATCCTTTTGTCTCTTACATGGGCCAATGAGGCAGGAAAGATTCATGGGGTTGACCTCACCCAGCCAGAGAAGAGCATGTCCACTCCCTTAGGGCTAGAGGCTGCAAGTTTCAGTGGGTGTTGGCATCTGTTAAAAGGCAGGCTTCCCTCAAGACAGTCTTATGTAGGAAGAGGTACAAAGGATTTGCGAGTTAAATAGACACCACAGCCGTTTTGATGCAAGTTGTCTAAAGACCACACTTTGAGGGGAAAAAAAAAAAACTGTCATAGGAAGAAAACTGGAAAACTAGGAAAACTGGAAAGATGTGTGAGAGAGAGAAGGGAGAATCATCTAACAAAACATGAACATCCCAAATTATCCATTTCCTACCACCAGTAAGAAAGAAAATATAAGATTAAGGCAAAAAGGAGCTCTGGCTTTTGGAGTTTTCTATTTTTATGTATGCCCTGAGAGAGCAGGCTTGGCTGGTGCTAGAAAACCTGACTTCTCTTCCTCATTCTGTGGTTTACTAGACCTGTGACCTGAGGCTAAGTCCTTTCATTTCTGGGTGCTTTGACCTTCATAAAGCAGGCAGCAGTTTCTCCAAAATGACCCCTCTGGAGGTCAGGAGAGGAGCCTTGCCAGTGACCTCTCACCCATCCACCCCGTACTAAAGTTTTATATCCATCGTTATTAGCAAGTCACCTTTTCCCATTGCTTTATTTCCCCCCCTGACAAATTGGATTTCGGTCTAATTTTAGTTTAACTTTCACTGGTGAGAAACGTAAGCCCCAAACCCTCCTCGGTTGGATCTGTTCTTTTACTCATAAAACAGCTAACAGTATGGAAAACTACTTAGTGAAAAATAGAAATGCCTCCATTCAGCACATATATGCTGAGAACTGGTGCCAGCACCTGCTCAATAACTATGGTTGAACTTATGAATGAGATGATTGATAACAGTGTGCCAAACCCAAGGCTGAGTTTTTTTTCTATACACAGGTTGTCTTTATGGCTACAACCTCCATATGAAGTGTGGATGGTTGTCTTTACTTCCCAGATAAAAAAGTGAGAGGTGAAGTCACTGGCCAAGATCTCACAGAACGGGCAGGGTTGTAAACCAAATTCTATCAGATTTAAAGCCAGTGCTCCTAACCGCTGCACAGCACTGCTCCCTGAGGGGTAGGAGGTGGGAGTAGTAGAAACAAATCCAAACCTCCAAATAACAAGGTGACTGCAAAGAGTACCTATTCCAGTGAGACTTGAGGAAGCTGAGGACAGAGAGAAGGGTGGGTCCTGCTACAAGAAGCACCCCTGAAGCCAGGCTCCTGGGGACCTCACTCCCGAACAAGGGCTGGGGACAGGCTACCTTACTAAGAAGATACACAGGGGCATTAAGGCAGGAGGAAATTAGGTCGATCTCATTTCACAGAGGGGAAAACAAACTTCGAATATGATCCTTCTTTGGTGGGGGATACAGGAGAAAAGTGTGGTCAGTTAAGTGATGAAACTATTGACCATATTCCATAGGGAATAGAAGGATAGTGAAGATAAGTGCAGACTGCCTGTCCAGCAGCTCTTAATGCAGGAAAAATAACTAACGCTATTTGATGATGTAATTAAAAACAGCCAAGATTTAGACAGCAATTTATTATACCCGTGAAGGGGAAACTGTTACTATCCCCACTTTACAAGTCATGAAACCATGGCACAGGGCAATTAACTTGTCCAAGGGCCCTCAGTAGTAAATGTTGTAAAGCTGAGAGGCAATGTCAGGCAGCCTGGCTTGGAGCTGGCTCACCAATATTCAGTGAGCACATTTGTGTGCCAGGAACCATTCCAAGCACTGCGGATACCACACCGAACAAAATCCCTGCCATCGAAGAACTTATATTCTAGTATGTGTGACAGAGAGACAGGTAAAAAATAAAGATTAGAAGGGTGTGAGGATACAGGAGAAAGGGGACTGCGATGTAAAATGGACTCTGCAGGGGATGCTGACATTTGAGCAAATACCTGAAGGAAGTGAGGGAGCAAGTCAGAGGGGATAATTGAGGAGATTTTTAATTTAGTTAAAAAAAAAAAACGTTCAGTACCATGTAACCACCAGTAAAAAACAATGGGTCTCTTCAATTGTTCGCTTCTTTAAGTTATGAGGGTGAAGGACATACAAAATGTGTCCTGAGAAAATTCCATGAAAGATTGTTTTAGGTGTCCAGGGCTTGTGGGCCCCTACTTATTTACAATCAAAAAATAATAGTGGCTCATCCCTAAGAGACACCTTTAAAGAAACATTCCAAAGAATCTTTTTAGTTATTTATTAATTTTTTTGAGATGGAGTCTCGCTCTGTTGCCCAGGCTGGAGTGCAGTGGCACGATCTCAGCTCACTGCAACCTCTGCCTTCCGGGTTCACGCCATTCTCCTGCCTCAGCCTCCTAAGTAGCTGGGACTACAGGCGCTCACCACGACGCCCGGCTAATTTTTTGTATTTTTAATAGAGACAGGGTTTTATCGTGTTAGCCAGGATGGTCTTGATCTCCTGACCTCATGATTCACCCGCCTTGGACTCCCGAAGTGCTGGGATTACAGGCATGAGCCACCGCACCCGGCTGAGACGGGGTTTCACCATGTTGGCCAGGCTGGTCTCGAACTCCTGACCTCAAATGATCCACCCACCTCGGTCTCCCAAAGTGCTGGAATTACAAGCATGAGCAACCGCGCCTGGCACCCAAAGAATCTTTTAAAAATGCTCCTTAGAATCACAGTCTTCATGAAAACAACATAGCAACCTTCCTACGTAAACAATAAACACACTAACCAAGCAACTGTCCCCACATGTATAATTTTACACATCCCACCCACTAAGCAAACGCAGCATCAGACTAGAGTTTGACAGCAGAATAAGAGGGGAGTAGAAAAATTGCGTTTTTCAAATGCACTGACAAACTGTACTAAGCAATCTGGCAGCTGGTCTACAGACAGCGGCACGGGCCTCTAGACTAGGTAATACAATTAAACAGACATTTTAGCTACTGGCAAAAGCACAAAGACGCTAGTCTTAGAGACATAATTTTGCCAACGACTAATGAGGCTCTTCAGAGCTGCCACATGCGAAGATGCCCAAAGCAACAGAACCATGAGGAGACAGGTGGTAAAAAATACATATTTGAGGTAGCCATCTTAATAAACAATGATCAAAGGAAAAAGAACCCACAGTTCATCTCAAGTCAGATGGAACCAGGTGTTTCTCTTTGCCTAATGAAGTCTAAGAGCCTACTACTGCTCTCAGTAACCCACAAACCTATACTTTAAGATTCTTCTCCAGGACCTTCATGGGACACTTGTGATCTTAGAGCAGTTAAATTAAATAAAACAGAAAAACAGAACAGGACAAAGCTTGCCAGGACCTTCGAAGATCTGATTTTCCATTAAGGATATGTGGAGGGGGTGGTATTTAACAATCCTTTATGGAAACCATTTCTCTACCCCTCATTCTCAAGAAATGGGGGATTTATGCTAAGGGTATACAAAGTGTGGTTTTTGAAACATGGGGGCTGATGAAATAAATGAATACAGTTGTAGCTCTGCATTCATGGGGGATTGGTTCCAGGACCCCCTCATAGGTATCAAAATCCATGGATTCTTAAGTCCCTTGTATAAAATGATGTCATATTTGCATATAACCTATACACTTCCTCCTGTATACTTTAAATCATCTCTGGATTACTTATCCTACCTAATATAATGTAAATGCTACGTGAATCACTGTTGTATTGTTTAGGGAAGAATGACAAGAAAAAAAGGCTGTACATTTTCAGTACAGATGAACCATCCATTGTTTTTTCTTGATTTTTTTTTTTTTTTTTTTTTTGAGACAGGGTTTTGCTCTGTCGCCCAGGCTAGAGTGCAGTGGCCCGATCATGGCTCACTGCAGCTTCAATCTCCTGGCTCAAGCAGTCCTTCTGCCTCAGCCTCTTGAGTAGCTGGGACTACAGGCACGCACCACCATGCCCGGCTAGTTTTTGTAGAGACAGGGTCTTGCAATGTTGCCCAGGCTGGTCTGGAGGCAGACCTGGACTCAAGGGATCCTCCTGCCTCGGCCTTCCAAAGTGCTGGGATTATAGGGATTACTGCACCCAGCCTTTTTCTTGAGGCGCTTTTAAAGTTTCCAATACAGGGCTACACCCCCACATCTATTAAATTAGACTCTCTGAGGCTGGACTTGGAGGTTCACGCCTGTAATCCCAATACTCTGGGAGGTCCAAGGTGGGAATCATTTGAGACCAGTCTGGGCAACAAAGCGAGACTCTGTCTACAAAAAATAAAAAAATTATCTGGGTGTGGTGGTGTGCACCTGTAGTCCCAGCTACTCCGGAGGCTGAAGTAGGAGGATCACTTGATCCCAGAAGGTCAAGGCTGTGTTCATGCCACTGCACTCCAGCCTGGGCAACAGAGTAAGATCTTGTCTCAAAAAACAAGTAAAATAAAATAAATTAGAATTTCTGGAGGTAGGAGCCAGGAATTAGTTTGTTGTTGTTATTGCTGTTTTAAAACTCCCTTGGTAATTCCAATGTGTAGCCCAATTTAAGAAGGAGTAGCTTTAAGCCATTTTGATTCAAGTATTCAGAGTTCCAAATATTTGGTTCATCTTCTAAATGGGACTCATCCAAACTTACCTGTCCTAGCTGATGCATCCAAATTTAAAACTGGGGGGAAAGATTCCACCATAACTTTTATTTGATCTCAGAACTCAGACCTCATATCCTAAAGGCTCAGACAGATATTTGAGTGCCATTCTTTTTTTTTTTTTTTTTTTTTTGAAATGGAGTCTCGCCCTGTCACCCAGGCTGGAGTGCAATGGTGCAATCTCAGCTCACTGCAACCTCCGCCTCCTGGGTTCAAGCGATTCTCCTGCCTCAGCCTCCCTAATAGCTGGGATTACAGGCACCCACCACCACACCCGGCTAATTTTTTGTATCTTTAGTAGAGATGGGGTTTCACTATGTTGGCCAGGCTGGTCTCGAACTCCTGACCTCATAATCTGCCAGCCTCAGCCTCCCAAAGTGCTGGGATTACAGGCATGAGCCACCGCACCCAGCCTTGAGTGCCATTCTTTAATGGTGCATTCATTAATTCTTTAATGGTATAGAAGGTTGGCTCCTGTCTGGAATACATTTGTCTGAAGTAAAGCTGTGCTAGCCCAAGAATGAAATGTGGTCTTTTATCATCAAACCTCCTTCACTAGGAACAATAGAACATTCCTTTGTATGAAGCTAGTGTTTAGTGCATAGCCAGTAAGCATATGTAACCCATTGAATAAAAATAGCAGTTATCATTATGTGCTACGGGGGAAAAAGATGTCCCCTTCCTCATTACAGTAAGGGAGTCTTATTGCATACCTCTCAGGAAACCTAATAATGTGTTACATGAATTTTCCATGGGAAGGAACAACTGGTTAGGAAATAAAATACTATACTTCTATACAGTGACATTCAAGCCTAGAAGTCCAAAGAAGCCGAAAACTGCTCTGAGAATGGTCCCAGCAGGATTGAAATACCTCCTCAAAGCATACTGAGCAAATTTCCATGATGCCAGGCCTCTTGGAAAAGTTTCTGGGGGTCAGAGGCCACTGCAGCTGCCTCCTTCCTCTCCTCTCAACCACTTGCTCAAGTGGAAAAAATGTTTAGAAGGGTAAGTTACCACAGTTCTCAGTTATACTGATCTCCCCTCTAGGGAAGTCTCATCCTGGGTGCAAACGGAAGTGCAGTTTGGGATTTGTACTCATGTCCCAGGCATCTGCCAGCCCTTTGCCCAAATTAAGAACTTCAAAGAGCAGATGACCAGGATGAGTGAAGTAATGAAGGGAGAGCAGAGCGGGGCATGGGAGGGTGGTCACAGCTCTTCAGGAGACATGTGGAGGTGAGAGGTAACATTTCAGACACGAGACGCTCCTAACACAGAACCATAGAGTGGTACTGCCTGCCATGCTGGCTGCCACTTCAGCTCCTGTGCTTTCCTCCTGTGGCACGTGGTGGGGACACACTGCCTTCCTGCCCCTTCATACAGGAGTTAACCACAGAGCACAGCATCGGGCCTTTTTTTGTGTCTTGAAAGTCAGTTCTTGGAACTTACCATGGCACAGAAATATTTCTCATTTGTCTTCTGTGTCCAGGAGAGGTAGAGGAAGCCACACTTTTATGCACAGAGGTGAGTTCCTTGAGCTTCAAGACCAGTTTTGCAATTGCCTATAAAAAGGTCACTGCACCTTTTCTGTTTGTCCTCACCTCCCACTGCCTGCCCACTTGATAGTTATCTTTTGATGTCATAACTTTCCCAGAGGCAGCATATTGTGCTGTCTAAAGAACATTATGTTTTCAAATTGCTCAGCCTGGGTCACATGTGCCTATATAACCTGACCAGTCCTTGGAACAAAAAAACACCAGATGGTGCAAATACACTTGCGTAGAGAGCCCCTTCCTGCAATCCGAGCTTCCTCTCCTGGAGCTCAACCTTCCACCAATGAGCTTCAACATGGTTCAAAGTTAGAACTCTTTCAACTTACGTTCGCCAGAGAATATGGCCTTTTTTACAAAATCCCATTCTGAACTTGGGCCTAGTTGGTACTGTCCTTTAAAGCCACATTTCCTCTTAGCAGAAAGGTTATAATCAGAAGCTTTAAAACCTATGTGTTCTCATTTACAAAAATGAGTCAAATCAGTGCCATTAAATAGAGCAATCATCAGAGAATGTGGTCAGGTAACTTTTCATGAGACTGTACAATAGAAGCTCCTTATGAAATAAAGATTAATATTTTACTA
The DNA here is from genome assembly GCF_000001405.40 of Homo sapiens. Classification (NCBI taxonomy): domain Eukaryota; kingdom Metazoa; phylum Chordata; class Mammalia; order Primates; family Hominidae; genus Homo; species Homo sapiens. The sequence goes on along the minus strand of NC_000004.12, from coordinate 76,563,161 downwards.
TGATGAAACATTTTATATATACTATCTTATTTCATCCTTATAGCAACTCAGTATGGAACTGTTCTCCTCCATTTTAAGAAGAAATTTAGTCTTAGAGAGATTGAGTAGCACCGTGGTATGATGGCCAGACCACAGCAGAACTGAGACTGGAATCCAGATGATATAATGTCTTCCTCATGCTGTTTGCAATTTCATATCTGAGAATTGGCACCTTCGTGCTACACAATCTGGCTTGCAGATTGTCAATTTATAAGAAAAAAATATGCTTTTTATGTTCTAGAAAAGTTTCAACCCTTCCTGTCAACTTTATTGCCTTAAAAATAGGGAGTTCTGTTCCATTTGCTTTTAAAGCTTTTAATAAATTGCTTCTTTAAACTGCTTTAAAAGAGTCAGAAAGAGACATCAGGTGGTTAATCTCAAACTGCTTTAAGAATGTAGATGCTTTTTCAGGAAATAGAGTCAGGCAGGTGAGGGGGTGGAGAGGTGGCAAAACAGTGTGAAGGAAGTGAGGAGGTGGTAGTGAAAATATTCCAAGAAATTATTTTCTTTTATAAACTGTAACCATGAGCTGGAAAAGGCACTGATTTGCACAACCCTTTTTATTAATAGCTAATAGAGTTAATTTTGTATCCTTTCAGAGGACTTAAAAAAGTTCATTACAAAGTATTTCTTTTAAGATCATTGACTTGCAAATCCTGGGTGAGTTACAGTCTTGCAATTCAATCTAGAAATATAAGGTCACAGAAATCTGACACTGAGGTAGCAAGTGTGTCAGCCAACCATCCCATTCCATTCTAATAATGTCATCTCACTAGTTTATAAAAAGAAACTATTCTGTTAACCCTCAGAAACATGGGACGGTGAATTCGGGGGAGTGTGGGCCCAAGGGTCTTGGTGAACTTAATTTCATCACCATTTTTGTTAGGAGGGAGGAAGCAGCCACTAATGCAGCCCAGAGTTTCATTTCCAGAGGCTGCTGCAGAGACTCAAGTCTGCTGGGCATCCAAAGTAGTCCGGTGCATTTCCTTCCCAAAGGAAGTTCAAGGTCAATGGGGAATCACCTCTTCATTCAAAATGTTTTCTTAGATGAATCAAACATAAGCTTCTTTGTTTTTTTATTGTTTTGAGGGTTTTTTTTGTTTTGTTTTTTGAGACAGAGTTTCGCTCTTGTTGCCCAAGCTGGAGTGCAATGGCGGGATCTTGGCTCACCGTAACCTCCGCCTCCCAGGTTCAAGCGATTCTTCTGCTTCAGCCTCCCGAGTAGCTGGGATTACAGGGGCACGCCACCTCTCCTGGACAATTTTTTGTATTTTTAATAGAAACGGGGTTTCACCATGTTAGCCAGGCTGGTCTCGAACTCCTGACCTCAGGTGACCTGCCTGCCTTTGCCTTCCAAAGTGCTGGGATTACAGACGTGAGCCACCATGCCCGGCCTTGTCTTTTGTCTCTCTCTCTTTTTTTTTTTTTTTTTTTTTAGCATCACAGATATTTCTAAAAGGAGGAGGCAGTGGAATAGAAAGCACTAGTTCATGATTTCACTGCTTGAGGGGCCAAAAGTCCCTAAGACTTACATCCTCGAAGAACTAGACTCTTATTTTGGCCACTAGTATGTGGCCTTGGACAAGTCCTTACCTATTTTTGGATGCATTTCCCTCATTTCTACCTCCAGGCAGAGACTCAAGGGCTGAAAGTCTTAAGACCTAGATTCTCACTCTAGCCTAGATTCTCACGCTAGCCACCTCTACATGGGCAAGTCATATAGCCTGGCATATACATATTTTAGGCAGATGTTTATTGTTTTTTACTTTTTCAATGCTGCTTTCTCCTCAATCTCTCTTTTCCCAGCAAAATGTGATCTACCACTGATACTACTACTACTAGTACTACTAAACACGTATATTCAGCCAAATAAAAAAGAATTGTTTCCTTCCAACACATCAACTCATAGAATAAATTGATGGGAAGGGGAAAGGTTACATCAAACTTGCAGAGGTGATGGAAAGCTTTGGGAGGAAGATTCCATTTTGAAAAGGGGCTCAATTTTCCCTACCCTCTGCTCTCTTTGATGCCCAGAAAGATAATTTCCCCACCAAAGTCTTCCCATTAACTAGGACTTCATATGCTGTGTTCTAGAGATTAAGGTGGAACTTGTCAAAGAGATAATTTACTTAACAAATATGCAACTTGTTTTCAGTAGATTCATGATTTAATAACTGTACTAAATACCATACCCACATGATTCTTATTTAATCCTCACAACAATTTTGTGAGGCAAAAATCAGACAGATTAAATTACTTGCCCAAGGTCACAAAGCTAGTGCCTATGCCATCAGACTTCAAACCCAGGCAGTCTCAAATCTGGTAGTGCTGGACACCGCTATCTCAGGTATCCTCTCTGACTTTTGCCTGGCTTGCATAGCATTATAAAAAAGTACGAAATATTTGAAATGAAATATACTCAAGTTTTTCTTTGCCAACTACAAGTAAAAACACAAAAAATTCACTTACAACAAATTTAGGAGTAGGATAGTATTTGGCAAAAATAGCACCTCCAGCTTTCTTTTGATTAATGAAGGATTAATAAGTAAATAAACAAAATAAATAGCACCTTAATGCAGAAGGTTGGAAGGTTAGATTTGCCAAGGAAAATGGAGAAAAGATCAGAATTGGGATTAAGGATTCATTGATTCTAAGGCCATTCTGATAATCCAATTCAGGATAGGAGTCTGAGTCTGAACTCAGGGTAAAAATATGTATTTATATGAATACACAGCAATTAACCCCAGCAATCTGTTCTGGAGGTCAAATATAGCTTCCTATTTTTTAAATTCAAGTTTTAGATTATCTACAAATAGCAGTGAGCATTCCTTATACTAAACGCAACTTCCATTACCCTCAGGGATGATAAATTAAACCTGAAGACCCTTTCCTTTGTCAGTTTCCATTTTAAAGGTTACCCGATCCCTGGACAACTATTTTACACGTATCTACCAGATAAAGTCTCTGTTGATTTCAGGGAGGATTTGGAGTATGATTCTCATTCGTGTCCATGTCTGCTTTCCTAATTAACATCCTTTGCACTGTCCTTGCATTCCACAAGGGTTTTCTGCAACTGGGAGCTGTTTATTTTCCTTTGGGAATGTTTTTTCTCTGACCCACTTATTATTTTATCATTTCTTCTCCATTTATCCACTACTAGCTGTTAACCTTCACTCTTCGTGTATCAAGCAGCAGACACATGCTCTGTTGTTGCAGCGTCCACAGCGCCTCCTTCACGCCCTCCTCCCAGAGAGGGCTAAACTCTGCCTTCTTTATGGGTCAGCAGATCTTTGAAAGTCTTTGACCCACAACTTACTTGAGGCTTTGCATTTTTCTTGTCACTGTAGCCTTTTAAGAAGGTGTTTCTACTTTTTATTGTTTTTGGTCACTGGGTAAGACAATCCCAAAACTTATATAAACACTATTACCCTGCTCTGTGTTCTTGGCATTTTTATGATGGATGTGAAAGCCTGACATGAGGTGCCGCCCTCGCCCAGCCAAAATAACTTTAAGAGAAAAAGAGGCAGGTACATGGCTGCCAAAATATACATTTTGACTACACAAATGATTTATTCATGAAACAGACATTCCTTCCTATTATGTTTCCAGGAAGACACCCCAGTCTTTTTTAAAGTATAGAGATCACATAGAAAAAAAGAAAGTTAATAAATGAAATGTCCTTAGTCACTCTGGCATCAATAAATCAAAGGAAACAGAATCTCAGGACGATGACGTGTGCCAAGGTATAAAGGTAAGACTTCTCAGGAAAGTGACGGCACTACGAAATACAAAGCCAGATTAATCCAGCGCAAAGAGGCTTCTACCCGGATCTCTGCAAGGTAGGGGAGGAATGTCCATCCATGTCTCTGGAGGCGTGTTGATAATCCCCATCTATAAGCATGTGTCAGATGTAAAGGCAGCCTCCTTTTCCTTTGAAAGTTCAACTATAAAAATCAACACATAATAGATGAGATAAGACATATTCAAAAGGCATCTTAGGGACAAAATGTTTCCCACACCAGAAGCAGAAAGTGCAAGAACTGCTCAGTAACCTTATCGATTGCATTAGCATACGTAAAGAAAGAATGTGTCAATCAGGAAGAGGATTTGGTGTTGACGAGAATGAAAATGGAGAGGAGAACGTTGGCAGCATGATTCCCTGGGGCCCAGAGGGGAAAGGGCCCTTGCTTCTGGATGTGAATCTCTGGCCGCCTGGCAGCCAAGCCCCTATTAGGAAGATGGACCATCTGGCCATCAGAGTGGATCCTAGCAAATACTGGTGCCTACAGAACTATTCTCTTCACTTGGAGTTGGAAATCACTATGCAAACTCCTGACCATAATTAGACTTCCCATTTAGTTTTCTTGTAGGGATAAAGTACTATATACTGGTTTTTGGTCCATATGGCATACTTTTCACTTATAGTTGTCTTTTCCAAAATGAGTCAGTGTAGTAGCATTCTGGTTTATATCCTTCAGTTTCTTGTGATTTGGATACTGTGAATTAACACTCCTAAATTCCACAAGGTCTGAGACAGTCATGACCAATTCTGGACCTGTAAGCTGGGTACTAGCCCTTAAATGGTTGTAAACTCACTAAGAGAATGAAAGGGGGGGCCTCCAGATAACCAGGGAACCAGCATATATGGTATTATGGCAATACTTCTCCATATTAGCATGTGTCACATCTCTCTAGCCTAATCCAGAATAATAATAATCAAATATTGCATATCCACTGTGTACTTACACTTACTTCACTAATGCCCTTTCAAGGTAAGAATGATTATTTCCATTTCACAAATGAGGAAACTGGGGCTTAGAGAGCCCAAAGTCACACAATTTGCAAATAACCAGACCAGATTTCAACCCCATATCTGTCTGTTTCCAAAGGTTCTACTAGAAGAAGTAATTCAAATCTTATATCACCATCTATTAGAAGGCCTACCAGAAGCCACCATGATTATTCTTCATAGCAGGAAACAGAGCAGCCCTTTCCAGAGGCCAATCTATCACCACAGTCATGTTGAAACACATCAGGAGTGTGGATTCTGCCATTAGTACCCAACAGATCAATGCCCAGTGTTTCCAAACTGGGCTCCTGGGTTCCAATGCCAAGGTGAGTTCAAAACCTTCAGCACTCTCTGGACACAAGGAATGGCCCCATGGTTCTGAGCTTGTCTACCCATCTGTTTGAAACATCAGCCCCATGTTTGAGATGACTGCTTACTTTACTGAAATCTGGATCTGCAAGGAATGAGCCTATGCCTAGAGTTGGCCAATAATAATAGAAATAATAGCAGCAGCATCTCTTGTTACCTCAGAGTGTTTCATCTAATCTTTCCAATCACTTTGTAAAGTATGTTGGATTGCCCAAGTATAATTGCCAAAAATTGCATATATTCAAAGTGTACAATGTGATGATTTGATATATGTACACACTGTGTCATGATTACCACAATCAAAAATCAAATTAATCAACACACAGTTACCTGTGTGTGTGTATAGTGAGGACACTTAAGATCTATTCTCATAGCAAATTTTAAGTAAACAATACAGTATTACTAACTGTAGTCACCATGTTTTACCTTAGGTCCCCAGAACTTATTCATCTTATAACTAAAAGTTTGTACCCCTTGACCAACATCTCCCCATTTCCCCTGTGCCCCAGTCCCTGGCAAACACCATTCTACTCTCTGTTTCTGTGAGTTTGACTTTTTTATACACCATGTATAAGTGAGAAGATACAGTTTTTACGGTTCTGTGACTGGCTTCTTTCACTTAACAAAATGTCCTCCAGGTTCATCTACATTGCTGCAAATGGCAAGATTTCCTTCTTTTTTTATGGCTGGATAATATTCCTCGTGTGTGTGTGTGTGTGTGTGTGTGTGTGTGTGTGTATACATAAACATATACATATATACACCACATTTTCTTTGGTTTGTCCCTCCATGGATACTTAGATTGTTGCCATATTTTGGCATAAATACATATATTTAAATCCTCATTTAAAGATGAGGATATTGAATTTTCAGTGAGGTTAAGTAATTTGGCCAAGCTCACACAGCTAACAGGTGACAGCCCTGGAATTTGAACCCGGGTCTGTCTGAATCCGGTGCCTATGCTTTGAGCCACTCTGCATCACTGACCACCAGAGAAGCAATTGCTGGTTGATGGCCCTGTAGACAGACCAGACACAGCCCAGCACACTAGGGAGAGTCACTAGAGCCTGGAGACACAGTGGGACCACAGTCATCGCTGTGTTTTTTGTGGCTGGGAGGAGCTGCTGTTCCCCTGAGCATGGGCTCACTTAGGAAACATTTGAGAAATGAATTAATGCAGGTCTTTAAGAGGCCATCTGTGGCATGATGGAAGACCAGCTTACTTTCTACAGCCTGAAAATGGTGGGGCTTCATTGATGACTCCTGAAGTCTCAGCCAACTAGAACATTCTTAAATACTGTAACATTAGCTGCTATGTGAGGCAGCTGAAATCTAAGGAAGAAATATTCAAATATGCAAAATATTTGGGCCTAGCGCTTAGCAGGTCAAGATAATGATGCTCAAGTGGCATGAAATAGAATCAGGCAATCTGGATTCTATTCTGGCTTTTCAACTTATCAGCTTGGCTACCTCCAGTAACCTATTTAATCTCTTGCCTGTAAAATGGGGATAGTGATTAGCTATCTCATGGGGTTCATGTGCAGATTAAATGAGCTAAGATGTGTAAAATGTCTCAAGCAGTGCTTACTAATAGAGATCAAAAAAATAATTCAATTCCCATCCCCTTTCCATAAATAATTTCCTCCACGAAGGGTTGGTTCCCGGGAGTACAAAGCTTCTGATGCTAAGGCATTAAAATCAAACACAACCCAACACTTTCCCAACAGAGGAATCACCACTATTGAGACCAGAAAACAAAACAACCAATGAGAGAATTTGCCTGTTTTGAAGAACCCTGTGATGCAGGTGTGGTTCCCAAAATGCCACTGAAAGCTCCAAGCCAATTTCTTTCTCTAGTCCCACCAGACAAAAAGCTTATTAGAGCTCTGACCGCATCTGGGATGAGTGTCACTTTTCATCAGGTCCCAAAATTTAGGTAGTCCAGTGAGGTCTATCCCTGACAAACCAGTACCTGCTGGGAAATGAGTGTTCTGAAAGACAGCAGTGTCTGAAATGTCTTCACCCCACTTCCTCCCCACATCCCACAAGATAGGAAAGAAAAAAGAAAAAAAGGCAGGATCCATACATGGAGGTTTAAAGCCAAGCTACCAACCCCGAGCTCTTTTCCCAGAGGTGGGGTAGGGTAGGGAGAGAGGTGGGGTGAGGTGGTAGGAGGGACAGGGTGGGGGTCTGCCACCTACCTGCGCACTACCAGCCTGAGGGTCTTGTAGGATCCTTTCACCAGGGAAACTGCCTCCTTTCTGGAGCTGCTCAGAGTCACCTCATTGATGTGCACAACCTCATCCCCAGCCTGCAGTTTGGAGCTCAGGGTGTCTGCTTTGCCCCCTTCTTCGACCTGCTTGGAGGGAGAGATGCGACAGCCACGAGTGAGCTTTCCCCTGGCCTGGGGTCTGTCCGGCTATCCCGAGCCCAGCTTAGACTCCTGCAGAGCCCAACGGACCAGCTAGGGCCACACCCCAGCGCTTGCAGCCAGAGGGAAAACTGTGAGAGCGCAGGGACTGGCTCTGGGTGTCCACACCCTCAAGAACCAGCACCCTGCCTGCCCAGGGAGGGCGCCCTTAAACATCAGCTGAATGAACGACAGAACTCAGTTTCCATCCAAAGGCCATTATCCCACGGTGCTCAGGACATCTCCCCAGCCCTTGCTTTACATCTTCAAAAAGTCCACTCAGGGCAACTGTTTTATCCCTTTAGAAGAGCAGTCCCCAAACTTTTTGGCACCAGGGACCAGTTTTGTGGAAGACAATTTTTCCACGGATGGGGTGTGGGCGGATGGTTTTGGCGTGGTTCAAGTGCGTTGCATTTATTGTGCACTTTATTATTTTTTCATTATAACATATAATGAAATAATTATACAACTCAGCATAACATAGAATCAGCGGAGCCCTGAGCTTGTTTCCCGCAACTAGATGGTCCCACTGGGGGCGATGAGAGATAGTGACAGATCTTCAGGCATTAGATTCTCATAAGGAGTGTGCTACCTAGATCCCTCGCATGTGTAGTTCACAATAGGGTTCGGGCTCCTGTGAGAATCTAATGCTGCCACTGATCTTACAGGAGGCAGAGCTCGGGTGGTTATGTGAGCAATGGGGAGCAGCTGTAAATACAAATGAAGCTTCACTTACTCATCCACTCCTACTGTGCGGCCTGGTTGCTAACAGACCACTGTAATGGTCCGTGGCCTGGGGGTTGGGGACGGGTTACATTAGAAGTTGAGTTCCTCTGGCCGGGTACGGTGGCTCATGCCTGTAATCCCAGCACTTTGGGAAGCTAAGGCTGGCAGATCACAGGGTCAGAAGATCGAGACCATCCTGGCTAACACGGTGAAACCCCATCTCTACTAAAAATACAAAAAAATTAGCCAGGCATGGTGGCAGGCACCTGTAGTCCCAGCTACTCAGGAGGCTGAGGCAGGAAAATGGCATGAACCCAAGAGCCGACGCTTGCAGTGAGCTGAGATCACGCCACTGCACTCCAGCCTGGGTGACAGAGTGAGACTCCGTCTCAAAAAAAAAAAAAAAAAACACAAACAAAAAACAACAAAAAAAAGTTGTGTTCCTCTTACCTTACTTTTTGTTCTAAAATTATAATTCATTGGATACATAAAGTAGTACATTCAGACAATGGAATATTATTCAGCACTGAAAAGAAATGAGCTATCAAACCATGAAACAACATGAAGGAAACTTAAAATGCATATTTCTAAGTGAAAGAAGCCAGTCTGAAAAGGCTACATACCACACAATTTCAAGTGTATGACATTGTAGGAAAGGCAAAACTAGGGAGGCAGTAAAAAGATCAGCAGTGGCTGAGGTTAAAGGGAAGGGTAGGATGAATATGGTGGCACAGAATATTTTAGGGCAGTGAAACCATTCGATATGATATTGTAGTGGTGGACACATGCCTTGTACATTTGTCAAAACCCATAGAATGTACAGCACCAAGAGTGAACCTACTATAAACTATGGGTGACAGGAGATGTCCATGTAGGTTCATCAGTTGTAATAAATGTATCACTCTGGTGCAGGATTTTGATAGTGGGGGAGGCTATGTGTATGTGTGGGCAGCAGATACATGGGAAATATCTGCACCTTCCATTCGTCTTTTTTTTATGAACCTAATATTGCTCTTAAAAAATAAATACGCTGGCTGGGCACAGTGGCTCACGCCTGTAATCCCAGCACTTTGGGAGGCTGAGGCAGGTGGATTTGGATTGCCTGAGCTCAGGAGTCCAAGACCACCCTGCGCAATGTGGTGAAACCCTGTCTCTACTAAAAATACAAAAATTAGACGGGTGTGGTGGCACACACCTGTAATCCCAGCTAGTTGGGAGGCTGAAGTGGGAGAATCGCTTGAAACCACGAGGTGGGCCTCGTGCGGTGTCTCATGCCTGTAATCCTAGCACTTTGGGAGGCCGGGGTGGGTGGATCACCTGAGGTCAGGAGTTCGAGACCAGCCTGGCCAACATGGTGAAACCCCGTCTCTACTAAAAACACAAAAATTAGCTGAGTGTGGTGGTGCATGCCTGTAATCCCAGCTACTCGGGAAGCTGAGGCAGGGAAATCATTTGAACCTGGGAGGTGGAGGTTGCAGTGAGCAGAGATCATGCCACTGCACTTCAGCCTGGGTGATAGAGCGAGACCCCGTCTCAAAAAAAATAAATAAATAAAAGAGAAAAGAAAAGAAACCAGGAGGTGGAGGTGCAGTGGGCCGAGATTGCATCACTGCTCTCCACTCCAGTCCAGCCTAGGCGACAGAGCGAGACTCTGTCTCAAAACAAAACAAAACAAAACAAAAATGTCCTGCACTATTATTCAGTCAACAAAGTTATTCAACACCTGCTTTACATCAGAAATTTTTCCAAGTGCTTGGGCTATAAAAGTGGACAAAATAGACAAAAACCTTTTGATCTTCTGATGCTTAAGTTAATGGGCAGAGGAGGGGAAGCAAACAATAAACATAATAAACAAGTAAGTAATGTAGTACGTTAGAAATTAATCATATGCTTTGGAAACAGGAAAATAAGGCTCGATCTGGGTCACATGCCAATGGATACTTATAGACGTCAATAACAATGAAAGGGAAGTAAAGGGGAAAACAAAAACAAAACCTGAGTAAACAAAACCTCACCCATATTTTCTCTTTTTTTAGTAATTACTCTCCAGAATTGCCCACATGTTCAAAAACCTTCAATAGGTCTCAAGATACATAAAATAGACCAAGCAATTATATATATACATATATTACATATACAAATTATATGCAGACATAGCTACATACATATATAGATATCTATATATATGTATATGTATATAGCAAACATAATGAGGAATGTATATGTATATAGATATATGTATATACATATATAATTGCTTGGTATGTCTATATACATATATTATATAATTGATATATCTATATACATATATAGATATTTTGGGAGACAGACTCTTGCTCTGGTGCACAGGCTGGAGTGCAGTGGCACAGTCTTGGCTCACTGCAACCTCAGCCTCCTGGGTTCAAGCAATTCTCCCATCTCAGCCTTTTGAGTAGCTAGGACTATAGGCGTGTGCCAACAGGTCTGGCTAATTTTTGTATTTTTTGTAGAGATGGGCTTTTGCTGTGTTGCCTGGGCTGGTCTTGAACTCCTGGGCTCAAGTGATCCTCCCACTTTGGCCTCCCAAAGTGGTGAGATTACAGGCATGAGCCACTGTGCCTGGCCAATATATACTATTTTAATATATATAAAATAGCTTTTATTTTATAAATAACAATTAAAAATTTAGGCCAGGCGCAGTGGCTCATGCCTGTAATCCCAGCAATTTAGGGGGGCCGAGGCGGGCGGATCACAAGGTCAGGAGATCGAGTCCATCCTGGCTAACACGGTGAAACCCCGTCTCTACTAAAGATACAAAAAATTAGCCGGGCGTGATGGCGGGCGCCTGTAGTCCCAGCTACTCGGGAGGCTGAGGCAGGAGAATGGCGTGAACCCAGGAGGCAGAGCTTGCAGTGAGCCGAGATCGCACCACTGCACTCCAGCCTGGGTGACAGAGCGAGACTCTGTCTCAAAAAAAAATAATAATAATAATTCTTCTTTTTCCCATTTTCAGATAATCAAGTGGACAAAATAATATATAAATGTAAAGTGACATCTAATAGTTTATTATTTTTATACTGCTTGAACTTGCTGCTGTGGTTACACACCCTGAATTTCAGCAAAGCTATTTATGTCTATGTCTGTTCCCCACTCACAGTCCCACCCCTCCCCACCTTGGACTGTGAAGTTATTGAAGAGACTTCATGAGAAATCATGACTCCATCCTTTCCTCCCCCAGCATGCCTCTCCAGAGCTTTGCACACAGGACCTACTCAGAAAATATTGGTTCGTTCATTCAATAAATATTTATGAACAGCCACTACTGTGGTCAGCTATGGTGCTAAAAGCTGCGAGTACAGTGATGAACACTGTAGATACGGTCTTGCTCATGTTGCAGTTTGTGAAATTGCATCCCTTCAGTATTATTTGCCAACAATTTCAACGAAATGAGACCTAGGAAACAATCAATTTCTTATATTAAAAAAGGAAGTCAAGAAAGCTCATTTGTATAGTTTATATCATGTCCTCATGACTGATTTGATGTGAAAGCAAACATTATGGGGAAGACTGTCATAAAGAGTTTCATTGTTGTTCACTGTTCTTATAAACTATTTCTTTAACCTTTTGTATTTACAGAGTTCCTCACAATCTCTTCGTTTTGCACTGCACTTTTAGAATTAGCCGGATGTGGTGGCACATGCCTGTGGTCTCAGCTATGCAGGAGGCTGAGGTGGGAGGATCGCTTGGGCCCAGGAGGTTGAGGTTGCAGTGAGCCAAGATTGCACCATTTCATTCCAGTCTGGGCAACAGAGGGAGACCCTGTCTCGAAAAAAAATTCATCCTAGCCCCCAAGTGAGGGTTCTCTCTCTGCTGCTCAAGCTGGAGTGCAGTGGTGTGATCTCAACTCACTGTAGCCTCAAACTCCTGGACCCAAGCAATCCTCCCACCTCAGCCTCCTCAGTAGCTGGGATCACAGGCATGTGCCACCATGCCTGGGGAAATTTTTTTATTTTTTGTGGAGACAGGTCTCACTATGTTGCCTAGGCTGGTCTTGAACTCCTGAACTCAAGCAAGCCTCCCGCTTCAGCCTCCCAAAGTTCTGGGATTACAGATGAAAGCCACTGCACCTGGCCATGGGATGACGTTTTTGAAATGGCACTTATTTGTCAAACATTTCATGGGCCCCTACTTCATGTTTTGATTCTCACATCTCTCCATACTGTCTCTCAGGGATTTGTGCTGTCTTGGGGTTTTAATTATTACCAAAGAAGATTTTTAGAAGCTTTCTTCAACAGTGATCTTTTGTAGAAGGCCCATCCCACATTTCTAGTTTCCTTTTCCTCCTTTTTTCCTCCAAATACTCTTCCATTATGAAATGTCTCCTTATCAACCCAGGCAGAATCTATTTCATCCTCTCCTCTTAATGGTTTCTGTCTTAAGACAAGCCTCAGTCACTACCTTTGTCATAGGTATTTCTGACCATGCCCTATCTGCTCTTCTAGGTCCTAAACTCTTTGAGGTCAGAAACTTGGTGAACACATTCATTCTTTCATTCATCTCACAAGTATTTTTTAAGCATCTATCATTGGCAGGCATAATTCTAGGGCTGGGAAAATATCAACAAAGGAAACACGGTGTTCTCTCCTTTCCCAGAGTTTATATTCTAGTATACTTTTAATATATTTCATATCATTGTACTTAAAAAACATGCACATTCACTGGGACATGTCAGAGAGCCTATACTGATAAAAAAAAATTAAAACGCACACACAAAAAATTAGGCTGGATTCTTTCTGTGCTTAAATTGATCCATTTAAACAACACTCCCTCAGAGGTCAGCCAATTTCCAGCAAGTCAAAGGAGCCCTGGGAAGTTTGCTTGGTGCCAGGATTCCTCCAGAGGATCCACTCCTAAAGGTGGAGTCCCAGTAGGTCCAAGGGAGGACTTGAATTGAGCCAGCTGGGGGCCAAGTGTAGACTCTTAGTCTAACTCATTTCAGTTAACTGGATTAAGGGATGCTCCATCAGCCTGTGGATTCCTTAGGACCCTCACATTCCCCTCCTCCCTCTTTGTTGCTGCTGGCCCTTTCCTGACCTTTCTATTTGGTAGCATCAGTGTCTGTGGATGTGATATTTGTTGGCCACTCCTACAATAAACTTGGTTGCCAAGAAAGTTGAAGCCACTGCCGGGCGCAGTGGCTCACACCTATAATCCCAGCACTTTGGGAGGCCAAGGCAGGCAGATCACAAGGTCAGGAGTTCGAGACCAGCCTGACCAACATGGTGAAACCCCGTCTCTACTAAAATTACAAAAATTAGGCGGGCATGGTGGCACGCACCTGTAATCCTAGCTACTCAGGAGGCTGAGGTAGAAGAATCATTTGAACCCAGGAGGCACAGGTTGCAGTGAGCCAAGATCGCTCCACTGCACTCCAGCCCGGGCAACAGAGCGAGACGCCATCTCAAAAAAAAAAAGGAAAGAAAGTTGAAGCCATTGGCTAGAACAAGGCTGTGAATTACCTTAATCTATGGTGTTGTCTCCATTTATTATCATGAATGATAAATTAAGATATTGAGGTGCATTTGTTGATGCACTGGTAACAACACATTTGATTGTACTGAGGCTAACTAAATGCATACATCGTAAGTTTGTACCAATTATCCACACAATTTATCTTAAAAACATTATTATGACTAAAAAAACCTTGTTTACAAAAAGTTTAACAGTAATTTTTTTGAACTATTCATCAGGGATTTAGACTCTTCTAACTCCAAGCCCTGCTGATACTCTCTGTCAACAAGATTCAGTGGAAAATGAAGCTTATTATTTTAAACTTTTGGACCAATTACTTCAGCAGCTAAAAAGGTTACTGGCATTGTTTGTCCAAGTTCACCTGCATGGAACTTACTTATTCCAAGAATGCGACTGTCAACAGGTTAAATGACTTCAGATAACACACCGTGTGCAACTGGGTGGGAAATCCCTAAGCTAACAAGCTAAGGAGAGGGTGTATATCCGCACATTGGAGCCCGGAAGCTAAGCACGCTTTTTCCCTTCTCAAATCCTAAATATACCCACACCTATAGGAGAAGTCGACTTTGCTTTGATGACACAGTGTTACTTTTCTGACATAAGAGGCGTTGATTTTTTAATTGTTTACAGCCTTTTATGTCACTGTACTATTTAGCACCTAACATAGTGCCTGCACGTAATGAGTGATCGGTAAACATTTATTGAACAAATACTGGGGAAACTGACTTTGAAGAACAGCACGGTGATATACACTGTGATGAGAGTACATTCAAAAATACAGGTGTAGGCACAAAGGAAGAGTGGTGGATGCCTATGTCACAGCTTGACGTGGTGCTTTGAGGCACAGAAAGCCAGGCCCATCTCTTTTCCTCATGCTTAACCACTCTAGCCCAGTCTAAGTGAGAAAGGGTGGAGCTGCTGTTATGGGGATTGGTCCTGTGTTGTGCTTCTCCAGGGTTTGTGCCCTCCCTGTGACCCTCCTCATCACACTTAGAAGAGAAACCGCAGTCCTCCCTCTGTACCAAAGGCCCTGCCGTGCTGGATTTGACCTCCCTGCTGCTTCACTTCTTAGTGTTCTCCACTGGATCACTCAATACCAGCCCCTGGCCTTCCAGCGGCACAGGGAGCATGGCAGGCACTGTCTTCCTTCAGGGGCCTTAGACTTGCTGTTCCCTCAGCCTGGAATGCTTTTCCCCCAGGGAACCATTTGACTTTTTCCCTTACCTCCTCCAGGTCTTACACAAATTCGTCTTCCAGAGGGGGCCTTTCCTAGCTACCGCTTTAAAATTTCAGCCTCCCCTAATACTACTTATCTTCCTCCGCATTGTTATTTTCTCATTAACACTTAATTCATGACGTGTGTGTGTGTGTGTGTGTGTGTGTGTTTTGAGACAGGGCCTTGCACTGTCACCCAGGCTGGAGTGCAGTGATGCAATCTCGGCTCACTGCAACCTCTGCTTCCTGGGTTCAAGTGATTCTCCTGCCTCAGTGTCTCGAGTAGCTGGGACTATAGGCGCACGCTACCACATCCAGTTAATTTTTGTATCTTTAGTAGAGACAAGGTTTCACCATGTTGGCCAGGCTGATCTCGAACTTCTGACCTCAAGTGATCCACCCACCTCAGCCTCCCAAAGTGCAAGGATTACAGGCATGAGCCGCCGCGCCTGGCCATGAACTCTATTTTTTACTTACGTATCTTGCTTATTGTCTGTCCTCTACTGGAATGTCAGCCCCACGAAGGCAGGGATTTGTGTCTGTCTTGTTTACTGCTGTATCCCCGACGCCCAGAACAGCATGGAGCACATAGCAGTGCCCACTATTTATTGCATAGATACATTAATTATCATCATGATTGCAACCAGATGTTGAGGGCTTCGTGTGTTCCAGTAACTTTATCGCATCAAATTGTCACAACAACACAATAAGGTTATTATAATTGTATTTTTATAGAAATGAGAATACCAAGGCTCAGAAGAAGGCAATGACTTGCTCCATGTTGCACAGTCAGTAAAACAATAGAGCTGGGATTAGAATTCAAGACTAACCTCAGAGCCCACATTCTCCAGCCTGCTGCCTGAGAATCGCCCAGACATTTGTCCCTAAAGTAACACTTCACTTGTCCTGCCTAATCCTTCAAGTGCCCAAGAAACCTGACACTCAACACTGCTGTGTTCTGATCCTTCTCTTTCAGGGATCCTAAAATCTCTGAACCTATTATAGTGGTTTACAGGCTTAACAGCATTCACAGCTTACACATGAGAAAAAGAGCTGGCACGCACTGCCGGTGGAGCAGGAAGCTGACCTTGCTACATCAAACTGAACAGGGAATGATTCATTTACAAACAACTCCACTTGGAGTTTTAATTAACATTAAACTCATCCGGTAGAAGTCTACCACAGCAGAATTTAGCCAACTTTTTATGTTTAAATTCTTGAATGATTTCTTTGCCTTTCCTGGCTACTTTCATTCCTAGATGAAGATAAAGGCAGGGGTATGTGATTGAGGGGCACTTCAGTCACTCACAGTTAATGCAACATAACCTACAAATCATTTGCTGTTTTGTGAAGTTGGCGGTTTGAGGAAAAATATGCTCTCTATAAGTGCGATAATTGTATGGAAGCAATGAGCAAAATGTAGAGATAAAAAGGTAGGTGGATAACAAAAGACGTCAAGAATCTCTCAAACAAAGCCGTTTGGGCATTATTTTCTATTGTCTGGAAATTGTCATTACTCACAACCCAGTGGGCATTCTTGGTTTTGAAAAGAACATAAAGTGAGGCCAATGAAATAAAGTCAAATAAACAAAAAGTTCCTCCCAGGATCCTTCTCTGGTTCTCAGGTTCTACGAAATTACTCAGCATTGTTTTGGCACCAGAACTAAATGCTGGACTTTAAAACAGAAACATTTCCATGGGTTGCAATGAGTGCCACAGGGTACAGAGGTGATTCCTCCTGTTCTTCCCATCTACCTCTCATCTCATCCTAAATCATTACATTTATACTGTTGAACATTCCTATTTGGGGTCGTAAATGGGGTATATTGTAGTAGAAGAAAGTAAACTGGGTTAGGAGTCAGGAATCCTGTGCTCTAATCCCAACTCTGGCCCTTTTATCTGCAGGACCCTGGATGGGTCTCTCATCTATAAAATATAGATAATGTTGTTTGCTCTGCATTACTATAAGACCACCCTGACAAGTGAAAATGTGTGTTTCTCACACTTAAGATGACCATCAGGGAAAATTCCATAGTTTTATTTAAATTAAAATACATATGTAACACTTAGTATTATTTAGAAATTACAGAATGACTTTCTTTTGTTATTTTCTAGATAGGAGGTATGCTATTCTTTTCCAAGTTTTATAACCTGGCTGGGAAGCATAAGAAAAGAGGTGAGACAGTGGTGAGGTGTATAAAGATGGGCAGCTCTGCAGTCAGACCAACATAGGTATAAATCCCACTTCCAATACTAGGTGATCTTGGGCGAAATTTGCACCTTCTTCGAGCATCCATCTCCTACACCTAATATGGGAACAATAAGACTAACCACATAGGGTTGGTGTAAGGATTGCATGAACAAACACACGGAAAGTCCCTTACAAAGAGCAAAGACTCCATAGAGGTTTGTTTCATGAATTGCAGGGTTTTGTGGTTTTATTTTAAAGGTTTAATACTTTTCTACTGTTTCCACCACAAGAATACATGTGTTAGCAACTGCATGCATGAGACCAAGAGGAAGAAATTTGCTGAGAGGAGGAGATAGGTTATTTTCTTAAAGTCAAAGAACCAGAGTTAACTTGATTTATAAATGAAATAGGAGACAGTCTCTCCTTTGGAGGGAAGTTTCTATTTCAGAGAGAGGTCCCAGAGCAGGAAGTTACCCAGTGACACCCTATGGACCATCCAAATGAGCTGCAGCACCGGAAAATCAAGAAACACCCACAGTTCTTGATTTACAGCTCCCTGGGAGGAAGGAGCTGACCACAAGGGTAGGATAAACATCAAGCTTCACTGAAGCATCTTCAGCCACTCAACTCCGCTCAGTGCCTTAAGAAAAGTTCACAGACCCCATCTACCCCAAGGTGGCCGATTCTGAAAAAACAAGTTTGGGGATAATTAAAAAGTTGGGTAGTCAATATTTATGTCCATTGTTGGTTTATACCCTGCCTCCTGTTAGAAAAGATCTGAGGCAACTCCTTAAAAATACAAAAAAAGAAAAAAAAAAGAAAAAAAGAAAATAGTAGAGGGAATCTGAACAAAAAGGAAAAAAGTGATAAAATAAAAGCCAAGGACAAGATTAATTCCAAGAAATGCATTCCACACATGGGGATTCTCATTCTCTATCTAGGTATTTATTATCCAGGTCTCCACAGTTACAGGGTTTCATAGGGAGGCAAAGTCTTCCTAATTCAGAAATATTCACTAGTGAAGAGACCAGCTGTAAAAGAAGGCCCCGCTCTAACAGATTCTGCAGTTTAGCACCAGCTCCAATTTCCTGCTGTTCCATCAACGTCTATGCTGTGGGATTGCAAACAACCAATACAACTAGCAAATAGAATGCAAATCCATTGCATAGTTAACTAGAATATCTCTCAAAAGAGGCAATATATAAAGAATAAACCAGCCAGGTGCAGTGGCTCACGCCTGTAATCCCAGCACTTTGGGAGGCTGAGGTGGGCAGATCACTTTAGGCCAGAAGTTCAACACCAGACTGGCCAACATGGCGAAACCCTATCTTTACTAAAAATACAAAAACAAAACAAAACAAAAAAAAGCCAGGAGGCTGAGGCAGGAGGATCACTTGAACCTGGGAGCTAGAGGCTGCAGTGAGCCGAGATTGTGCCACTATACCCCAGCCTGGGCCACAGAGTGAGACTCTGCATCAAAAAAAAAAAAAAAAAAAAAAAAAAAGCCATTGAGCTATCTTAAAATTTTTTGAGGAAAGTGGGACCCAAAAAGTCAACATGGTTAATTTTTCATGCTGAGAATTAGCACGTGGTTGCAATGTGATATAAGTGTTTTAAAAGTAAAATTAAGTAAATTTATTTTCATACTCATTTGTTTTGTTTTTCAACTCTGCATAATCTAACATCATATTTTGCTCCCTGTTTTACAATGGATTCCCTTAGACAGACTTTTTCTGGTACCAACTGTTTGCAGATAATAAGGGCTACCTGGAACGTACTATAGTGCAAATTTGGCTCTAAGATTCTTGATGGCAAAAGCAAACTAGAAACATGCTTTCTTAGAAAAGTCATGGGTGCATAATATAAAAACAGGAAGTTGTTGTGGAACAGTGAGGATAATGGTATTGAAATCCACGATTAGAGAAGACTTAGGGCACTAGTGGCTAATAAGAAGTCTAAGAAGGTAAATACCAGTCTTTCTAAATTGCTTGGTGTTTGGTTGAACAGTGTCACACACAAAATGGCTAACAAACACAGTGCTGGTCATTAATTCTGTTCAACAAGTATTCCTGGCTCTCCACCTTGGCTTCAGAGGAAATGCTTTTTTTCATTGAGTTCTAGGCTGGGCCACTTGCAGTTGGGTAGAGCCATGAAACATTTCTTGTCAGCATATTTTGAGCAGAAAAAACACGTGTCATCTCCAGGCAGAGATCCTTCAGAGTTTCCTTTCCCTCTGGCATGGTGACTGATAATGTTTGAGATGATGACCACTCTGTAAGCTAGGGTCACTGGGAAACTAAAACGAGCTGCTGCCCTGCAGACACATCATGGACATGTAGAATGAGCATGAAATAAACCTGTGGTTTAAGCCACGAGATTTGGGGTTGTTTGTTACTGTAGCCTAACCTGGTATCTTCTGACTGATACAAATATTGTCTTACCAGTGATAGGATGAAACAAACAAATAAAAACTCAATTAGTCCTGTCAAATCCATGTGCAGCTTTTGGGTAAGCCACACGCTCGTATACCTCCAGGACTTTCCACACTCTCATATACCTCCAGGACTTTCCAGGTGCAGCTTCCTCCTCTACCACCCTCAGCCTCACAACCCCCTAACTCACCTTTCAAGACTCAGTTCAGTGATCACCTTCCCTAGGGAGCCCTCCTGAAGCCCCTGAAACTGGTAGCATGCCTCTTCTATGCTTTTCCATAAACTCTATCATAGCACTATCCCATGGAAAGGTACTTATCTGTTTACCTTGACTGTGCCCCCCACTAGTCTGTTACCTCCTTGAAGGACCAGACAGAATGAATGTGATCAGTGGGGAAATGCCATGGTCCCAGGGATTCAGCGTTTTGAAGAGAACTTGCTCACCCCACCCCACCATTCCCTGGCTGGATGGGGACAGAATGTCTGCCATTCCTGGAGTGTTCATGATCTGTTTTGTGTCTCTTAGGCCTTTGGGCCTGTCTGGTGGAGCTGTTCAGCAGAGTGGTCTATTCCTTTCTACCAAGGCCTGCACTATAAGGAGCAAGGCACAGCTCTGTACCAGAAGGTCTAGGGCCAGACTTCAGGCTTCAGCTTTACCACTGTATTAGTTTCCTCTGGTTGCTGTAACAAATCACTGCAAACCTACCGGCTTAAAGCAACACAAATTTAGTATTTTACAGTTCTGGAGGTCAGAAGTCCAAAATGGGACTCACTAGCCTAAAACCAAGGTGTCAGCTAGCTGTGTTCTTTTCTGGAGATTCCAGGGTAGAATTGGTTTCCTTTCCTTTTCTAGCTTCCAGAGCCTTCCACAGACCTAACTTACGGCTTCTTTCATCTTCAAAGCCAGCAATGGCCATCAAGTCTCTCTCACTCTGTGCCATTTTGACACTGACTCTCCTGCTTCTTTCATTTATGAGGATCTTTGTGATTATATTTGGCCCAATAAGATAATCTAGGAGAATCTCCCCAATCTAGAGGTCAGCTGATTAACAACCTTAATTCCATCTGCAACCTTTATTTCCCATGGCACGTAACACAACATAGTCACATGGACTAGGAGGTGGACATCTCTGGAGATTATTCTACCTACCATAACCACTTACTAGCTGTGTGACCTTAAGCAAGTTAATTCTTTCCTCTAAGCCTCAGTTTATTTTCCAGAGAAACAGGGAAGGTGAGGATAATGGCACCTACTGCTGGGGAATATTGAGAGAATGAAAGTAGACTATGGTGAGGATATTGGCACCTACTGCTGGGGATTATTGAGGGAATGAAAGTAGACTGTGGTGATGAATGTAAAGCTTAGCATAATACCCAACAGTCAGGGATCAATAAATGCTGTTGGCCTTTATCACCATCCTCCTCCTCCTCCTCCTCATCACAATTGTTTGTAGGGGGAGGTAGGAAATGAAATAACACATCCTCAAGAGAAGTAACATCTGCTCCTTATGGAGGGAGAATGAGCACCATCATAGAGGACTCCTATCCTTGATCCCAGTCCTTCCTCTGCTCCATCCCGTTTTAGTACCCTGAAGGAGGAGCAGGTTCAGCAAACAGGATTGACAGACAAGAGGCCGCTGCACTCCAAATTGAGTCTTTTGTGTTCCTGGTGTTTGAACTCTCCTAAATTGGGCACTGGGCTCTCAGATCTTAGAAAGGGCATGGGAGACAGTTCCAGCCCCAAACTAGTTTCTCAAAGTCTCTTGAAATGTGTGGAGGGGCCATAAGAATGCCTATTCTGTGACAAGGGCAATACTCTCCATTTCCTGGTGTGTGTGTGTGTGTGTGTGTGTGCGCCCACATATGTGAATCCCGGCCTTCTCAGAAAGTGCAGTGCGACTTTTTTCCCTCTTATGAATTCCCCAAGCCCCTGCCGTTATTGTATGCCTCAGCCCAGTGAACTCTACTCAGCTTCAAAGAGGGGATGGACCAGGGCCATTCAGAGAGCAAGAGGCCAAGGCTAGCTGGCCCCCAGCCATGCCTCAATCCCCTTTTTCTGCTGCATTCAGATCAAAGACTGAGGCATTCATTTATATTTTATTTAATTTTAAAAATTTTCTTTAAATTTAAAGGAATTTATGTATATTTTACCTAATTCTTTAAATAATTTCAGCCATCTTAGCACGTTTATTCCATGTTCTTAAGAAAGACCCTTTGAATTGCTCCAGTTGGTTTATGTTTAAGTCATAATCTTTTCATTCCTTAGACTGAAATTCTGCTGTATTTATTCATGGAAACATAATATGTATATGCAATATGCATATCTGTGTAGAACATCTATTATAACGTACATATAGGGGATGTATATGTAAAACGTTTTACAAATAAGGAAAAGAGAACTTCTTTTCAGTAACTACATCAGTGGAGAGACTGAGTCTTTAGAAAATAAATAAGTCAACAAATTGTATATGTATTTCATGCATTTTACAAGTATATAAGGTAAGTCCACTTTTTATTGCCAATTCAAATAGAATAGGGCTCACAGGGCAATAGTTAAATATACATATAGGCACACACATGCCCTATCTCATTTTAGCTAATAATTTTCAACTCTTTCTTCATCAGATTCATATCAAAGTTATTAACATACTAAAATAGTTAGGCTTTAGTTTTCTCTTCTCTTTTTTTCCCTACTCCTGGTCTGGGAGAAATTCTAGTGGTTAGAAACTAAATCAGTGCCAGCAAGAAGAAAAATAACAAATCTCTTGATATTTTAAATATTTGATCATCTACTCCTGATGAAATGCTTTAACTATGAGATTTCTAGCACTTAGTAAATAATCCACAATGTGACTGACTAGATAGTTTCACTGTTCTAAGATAAGTTTCATGAGTGTCCAATGGTTCGATCTTAGGCCAGATATTCTTCCGCTTCCAAAGAAAAAAATCTACTTGTTCATTATGAGATTGATTTTGACCTCATGAATTATTTGTTTCCTAAAGTTTTCCAAAGCTTCCCCTACGTGTTTAGACTTATGATATTGAGAAAGTTTATGATTTTTTAGTACTGGCTTTAATATTAGAACTTGGCTTGCAACAAGCAGAACTAAAATAGGACAAGGGTGGCAATTATTGCTACTATCTCAGAGGGATTGTCTTGTTTGTCTCAGCAAAAGAATTCTCAAGGGTGGCTGAGCTAGAAGGAAACAGGGTAATAAAACTCATGCAGGAGGTATGGAATGCCTCCCTCCTGCTGAAGATAACAATAGTGTTCTATTAGTGACCACAGTGAGCTACCAACATTTTCCATCTCCATCAGATTCCAGAGGCCAGGCCGGGTGCTGTGGCTCACGCCTGTAATCCCAGCATTTTGGGAGTCTGAAGTGGGTGGATCACCTCAGGTCAGGAGTTCAAGACCAGCCAGGCCAACATGGCGAAACCCTGTCTCAGCTAAAAATACGAAAATTAGCCGGGCATGGTGCCGCACCCCTGTAATACCAGCTACTTGGAAGGCTGAGGCAGAAGAATGGCTTGAACCCGGAAGATGGAAGTTGCAGTGAGCTGAGATTGAACCACTGCACTCCAGCCTGGGTGAAAGAGCGAAACTCCATCTCAGAGGCCAGAAAGATACCTGAGCAGTAACTGGTAAAAGGATTTCTTCACTTGCAACCCCCACACAATTTGTTTACTTGTCTTACATTAGAGGCCATATATTGGTTAAGTTTTGTAACCAGACTGCCTGGGTTCAAATCTGGCCCCCATGCTTAGAAGTTATGTGACCTTCAACACATTATTTGACCTCTCTGTGCCTGTTTCCCTTCCTGTGAGATAAAGTTAATAATACCTATTTCATAGAATTGCTGCGAGGATTAAGTTAGTTAATGGATGTAAAACATTTAGAAAAATGATATTTAATAAATGCCCAATAAATGTTAGCTACTTTCAGTATCTTATATTCTCTTCCATAAATTAGGAATACTAATGCCTCACTTATATACCTCACAGTATTAAAGAGTAAGATTAGAAACATTTTATAAAACACCTTGAGAAGCATAACATGGCACACTAAAGTAAACAATCAGAGTGACTCTATGCCAATCTGGAAGTTGGCTTGATAATTTCAACCATCCCTAGAGGAAGGCTTCTGATCAGAACCCAGACCCTGGACATGATAGAAGCTAGAAATAAAATAGCAGAAGCAACATTAACATAAAGGTGAAGGAAGGAAAACAAGGGAAAGGAAAGAGAACTAACATCTCTGGTTGTGCCTACTATCTGTTTGGAGTTTGACACACACATGTTATTTAATTCTCACCAATATTTATGAGGTAAATATTTTGTAGATAAGAAACTAAGACTCAGCAATATTAAGTTTCCCGAAGTTATGAAGTTATAAATAGCAGAGCTAAGATTTAAACCCAGATCTGTCCAAAGGCAAAGCTTATCACAACTTCTTCCATCTAATTCTAAAACAGGCAGCTCCCTACAGCCTAAGAAACATAAAGCCATATACTATATTAGTGTAACTAAACAATGATGGCCAATATGATGACAGTGATCAAGGAAAGGCTGCATACTGATCAGAACAGCCCTCCACTATACTAGTGGGTAATAGGTCCTTGGGGAACTCATTGAAAGGAGATTATTATAACAGAATCTGGGATTCTGGCCATCAAAAGCCAGCTCCACCATGTTTGGGAGCATCTGCAGATATGGCCAAATGAGTAGATAATGGTGTCCCCAAAAGAACAAATACATGTTGCATGAATGAATTAATTAATAAAGGAAAAGTAGAGTAGGCCCTTAATACTTGAAGTTTTTTTTAAGTCCTTCACCAATATTCAAATTTCAGAACATTTTTTCTACCCACACCCAGTTGGAACATCCTGCTATCAGATTCCTACCTGCCATGCTTCCTTGTTGTAGTCATCTGCAAACTCTCAGGTCACTCCTGACTTGGTGAAGATTTTCCCCCCAGCTCACTGTCAGACCTCTCACCAACATGACTTTTGCCACCATTCTTAGTGACACCCATATCCTCACAGATGTCCTTCCAGTACTTGGGCCTCTGTCTTCCTTGACTCCTCCTCCAAGCCATCTTGGCTACTCAACTTCCATGGTCAGACTCTAGCTCTTGTTATTGCCAATGTGGAAATCTTCCCTAATCTCAATTTTAAGCATCTCAGTCTCTGACCACCTCCTCCTTTTCTTTTTTTCCAACAGCTTTATTGAGATGTAATTTACATACCATAAAGTTTCCCCTTTTAAAATGTACAATTCAGGCTGGTTGCAGTGGCTCACGCCTGTAATCCCAGCACTTTGGGAGGCTCAGGCGGGCAGATCACCTGAGGTCAAGAGTTCGAGACCAGCCTGGTGAAACCCTGGCTCTACTAAAAATATGAAAATTAGCTGGGAGTGGTGGTGCATGCCTGTAATCCCAACTACTCAGGAGGCTGAGGCAGGAAAATTGCTTGAATCTAGGAGGCAGAGGTTGCAGTGAGCAGAGATCATGCCACTGCACTCCAGCCTGGGCAACAGAGGGAGACTCCGTCTCAAAAATAAAATAAGATAAAATGTACAATTAAATGGTTTTTAGTATATTCACAGAGTTGTAGAACCATCACCATAATCACCTTTAGAATATTCAATTTATCATGCCCTAAAAAAACACTACTGACTTGGGGTGGAGCAAGGCGGCAGAATAGAAGGCTCCACCCATCATCCCCCAATGCCCCCTGTGAGGGCACCAATTTAACAACTACCTACACTAAAAAGCACCTTCATAAACACCAAAAATCTTAAAGGGATCTCTCTCACATTATATATTGAACCCATCAGCAAAGCCTAAATTGCTCTACCTTTTCTAATGACTTCTCATGACCTACACTGCTACTGACCTACTCTGACCTCCTGCCTGGGTTATTTAGTGGGATCCTAACTGGTGTCCCTGTTCTGCCTATGTGTCCCTCTCCTCCTCATTCCACATCCTTGCCCTATAACATATTCTCAACATAGCAGTCAGGAGAATCATTTCAAAACACATCACTCCTCAGTTTAGAACCATCTAGCAGCTCCCCAACCCACTTAGAGTAAAAGCTCAAGTACTTTTACTGGCCTTCAAGGCCCTAGGCAATCATACACTCTGCCCCTCTGGATCTCCTAGACCTCTTCTCCTACCATACTTCCTTGGGATTGGTCTACTTCAGCCACCCTGGCTTCCTTGAGATTTTCTGAAATGTCCATGTACACATCTACTGTGTGGTCTTTGCACTTGATGAGCTCTTTCTTTGAAATACCTCCCTCTCAGTAGCTACATGGCTCACTTCCTTTTCTCTTTCATGTTGCTTGCATTATTATTATTATTTTTGAGATGGAGTCTCGCTCTGTCACCCAGGCTGGAGTACAGTGGTGCGATCTCGGCTCACTGCAACTTCTGGCTCTCGGGTTCAAGTGATTCTCCTGCCTCAGCCTCCCGAGTAGCTGGGATTACAGGCTCCTGCCACCACACCTGGGTAATTTTTGTATTTTTAGTACAGATGGGGTTTCACCATGTTTGCCAGGCTGGTCTCAAACTCCTGACCTCAGGTGATCTGCCCACCTCAGCCTCCCAAAGTGCTGGGATTACAGGTGTGAGCCATCACGCCCAGCCTTGCCTGCATTATTTATAAGTTCAGCAAAGGCTGTTTCCATCAGATACACAGAAAATCAGAGAAAATTGCTGGAGCTGGATAGGAAGGAGTTAAAATAAGAGAGAGAAGTGAAAAGAAAAAGGACATTTAAACTTTGAGGGTCTCCTAAGGCCAGGGGCTACTTCCTTTATAATTTGCTTTAATTCTTATAACCTTTGGGATGATGATTATTATATTTATTTTACAGATAAGACAACAGGGGCATGGAGGGATTAAAGTTATGATCTTGTATAAACCTCTAGAGTCAGCTGTCTGATTAAAAAGTCCTACCTTTAAAACCTAACCTTGGTCCACTACGTCACAGATTTCCAGCCTCCTATTTAGTTAAGATTTCGCTGGGAATGAATGCCTATTACAAAATTCAAACATTTGCAAAGAAAAAAAATCAATACAGCTTAGTTTTATAAGTTCTTCACCTTGATACCACCTTAAAATGAAACCTCTATATGCTCAGCTGAGGGTTAGATTCCAGAGATTCCTGGCAATCTCTCAACCCATCATCCAAGACTATTTTTGCATGATAAAAATTCCATCAACTGTCCCTGCACATGGATACTTGTCAGCAAATTTACTCCTTCCAGTTTTGCATCTCAGGAGGCATAAACAGAAGATCCTGCCAGTGAAGGAAATGAAAGGAAAGTAATTTGTCAATGGCTTTATTCAATAGTGCCATTTGCCCAAATTCCATACTGGGTGGCCCAAATATTTTGAAATCCATGCTTCATAGATCTTGTAAGATGAGTTGTAACCCTGGGTCTCGCTCAGATGCCTGAGAAAGCGCTGGGTCTGGATCCCCCTCCCACTGTGTTGCTGTAACCCACCCCTACATCCATTATCTTTCAATTATCAGCTCCGCATTTCTTCCTCCGCCTGTGGCTTATTCTTCTCTTTTGACCTCCTGACACACTTATTTGCTTTTCCCTGTCTGGAATTCTTGCCCAAACTAACTTCAATCACTCAAAACTGTGCTGTAGGAGAGAGATGAGTGTGGGGATGCAGTGACAACAAAGTCATTCCAATAAAATGGTTGTGGCATGGCTCCCAGCCAAACTCCCTGCTTATTTTATGATGATGGGCCATTCATCAAGTGACCGTGAACCATAAGTGAGGGGCTGATTTCTATTGCAGGCTGGTTTTCCATAAACATGAAATTACTTCAATAAAATAGCTGTTTTAAAATGTTTGGGCACATCTGGTTTCTACTTCCTACAGTGGAAATTTGGGATGAAATGTTGGTCAGGATATTATGCAGCAGCCCCTTAAGTATTATTATTGTCATCAAGATCACCATAACTTCCAGTTGGGATTGTTTCCCTGGTGCTAATCAGTCTAAAGTTAATAAATTTTATCCAAATAATCCTAAGAGAGAATTGCTCCCATTTTCAAAGAGGAATGGAAATAATTTGCCCCAAGTTAAATATCAAATATGGGGGAAGAATCAGAATTCAGGCTCAGGTGAACTTCAAAGTCCATTAGGCACAGCCCTCCCAATGGCTAACAACATCCAGTGGGAATGGTACTTTTCTTCATCAGTACCATTATAAAAAACTGGTATTTTCAGTACCTACTGTGTGCTAGGCCTAGCGGATACAAAACATGTAGTTAATGGAGTCTACTCTCTTATAGTCTAGTTGAAAAGGAAAGGCCTACAAAAAAGATAAATAGCAATGCAAGGTAGTAGATTTCAAGTATTAAACATGAATTAGAAACTGGAAGTGCTATGTGTGTTCAGACCAGAGAGTAACCACTGAGGCCAGGCAGGAATAGGATGATCTTTTGGAAGGAAGGGGTATTGAGCTGGACCTGGGAAGCTCTTAGTCCATTTGCTACAAGGGCCCTTTAATTATCATGCAAAAATGGATCTGGGGAGTAAATCTTTTCCATGGTCCTTAAGAGGAAGTCAAAAAGAGGACAGCAGAGCTTGTGTCATGTTAAGTGCCAATTTCTCCTTTTTGAAGTCAGTTGACTAGGGAGACTGAGTATAGCCTGCAGGGGTTAGCCTTCTGGGAAAGGTGCAGGAATAGATCTGTGGATAGGTAGGCCCAGGACAATGGGTAGAGTACCCATCAGAGATTGCATTTCTCTTGTGATCATGATGAGAAACTGTGGGCTAAGGATGCTGCTTACCCTGAAGGGCTGGGTGACAATGGCAAGTGCTTGCCCTTATGTGTCCCATTTCAACCAGGACACCACTCTTCTGGTAACTTATTATTTCTTCACGTACGTCTAAATTCAATTCAATCAGACTACTTTTTTTGTATGTTTAATGGTCAATGACAACAATAAATATATATCGAGCAACTGCTTTGCATCAGATGTGCTACGGAGCTCAAAAAGTGGGAGTCCCTGTATGTCAAGAAATTCTTGGTCAAGGGACATAGACAACTAAACAGACAATTTATCCGCCACATAGTAGGCTGTGACCATGGTAAACACATATGTTTGGACTTGGGGGTTTCAATGAAGGTCCCATCTGCCCCCAATAGCTTAGAAATGCAGAACATGAGGTTGTTTTATGAGAGTTTAATCTTTAAAATCGATGCACAATGGGTCAGAATGGAAACATACAAAGACAAATAGAAAATATGGAATAACCCATAAGGCTCCACTCAGCCCTGAAATCTTGGGGGTTTGTGCTTTACACACACACCAGAAGGCTACCTCATGGCATGCCTACTGCATACCAGGCACTGGGCCAGGTCTTTTCATACATAATCTCTTTATTGGACCCCCGAGTCTCTGAATTTCATGCCATAGACTCTTGAACCTTATAAATAATAATTTTACAGGTGTGGAATGATGCATCAAGATTGTCTTTGTCCTACCCAGGGTCATAGAGCTAAATATTTGCAAAGCAGTTATTGGAAACCCAGTATTCAGATTCCCATTTCTGTGTTCTCAGACACTACTCGAGACACGGGAGTGTGTTCTGCAGTTCCAAAAACAAAACGCAGCTTGAGTAAGACTTCCTCAATTTCTATTTCATTAATAGCTTCCCAGCAAACTCCTTTTAAAAAATTAAGTGCATTTACTATTTGGTTATTATTTTTTACATCCAAACAGCTGATTTGGTTTAGGAGAGAAGGTAGTGTTTTACATGCTTATTACTTAGTTTTTAAAATATGAAACATTTTCATAGTGTATTGCTTTCAAACATCCTGCACTCATTGTAAGTTCATTCTCTGCTTTCCCACATCAGTGTTCTCTAAGGTCATGTCTAATAAGCCCAGAGATTCTTCACCTCTGTCCTCTTCCCACAATTGCCAAGATGCTGAGCTACTGGAGCAGCTGATCCCTTGGCAGCAAAAGGGAACATTTTGGAAACAGGTTTTCCAGGCATGAGAGCAATGGTTCTTGATTCCAGTGACATCTGCCATTGAGTTTCTCTGGGAAATCACTAATCTTCCTTTAGGTTTTTAAATGTCTTTTCAATTTCCTTTTACAGATAGTCTTGCCACCTCTGATCCTAATATATGTGTCCCCAGAGTAGGCACAGAATAGGGAACTGTGCCCAGGGCACCCAGAGGTAAAACAAAATAAAATGATAGCTCATCAAGACCCAGCTATATGAGGACAAATAATAATCTGGGCCCTGATTCCCCCTTATTAATGGTTTTGCATTCTGTAGTTTTAATCATCCTCAGTCAACCATGGTCCAAAAATATTCAATGGAAAATTCCAGAAATAAACAATGCATCAGTTTTAAATTCTGCACTGTTCTGAGTAGAATTATGAAATCTTGCACTGTGCAACTCCACTGGGCCCAGGGAAGTGAATCCTCCCTTTGTCCAGTGTATCCACACTATAGACGCCACCTGTCCATTAGTCAGCAGCTGTCACAGTTATCGGATTGACTGTTGCAGTATCACAGTGCTTGTGTTCAAGTACCCCTTATTTTACTTAATAATGGTTCTAAAGTGTAGGAGTAGTGATGCTGGCAATCACCAGAGCATTGGTGATGCTCTCAGATACACCAGAGAGAAACCGTACATAAAGTATGGTGAAGTAAAAAAGTGGAAGTTCTTGACTTTAGAAAAAAAAATGTACGCTGAGGTTGCTAAAATCTACAGTAAGAATAAATCTATCCATGAAATTGGGAAGATGGAAAAACAAATTTATGCTAGTTTTGCTATCACACCTCCAACTGCAAAAGTTATGGCCACAGTGTGTGATAAGTGTTGAGTTAAGATGGAAAAGGCATTAAGTTTTGGGTGAAAGGCACAAACAGAAATGTGTTCCAACTGATGACAATTGGATTCGGTACTGTCCATGGTTTCTGGCACCCAATGGGGGTCTTGGAATGTCTCCCCTGTGGATCAGGGGTACCACTGTATATTGGAAACAAATTGTAACAGCTCTCAAATTTGAGGAAATCATTTTATTTTCAGTGGAATAGGGAACCGAAGCATTCATACTTTTCTAGCTACTTACTGTGAAAGAAGGATGCCTTAAAGAGCAACTTGGTGCTCGCTTCAGCAGCACATATACTAAAATTGGAATGTTACAGAGAAGATAACATGGCCCCCACGCAAGGATGACACGCAAATTCGTGAAGCGTTCCATATTTTTAGGGACATGGATGAAGCTGGAAACCATCATTCTCAGCAAACTATTGCAGGGACAAAAAACAAAACACAGCATGTTCTCACTCATAGGTGGGAATTGAACAATGAGAACACTTGGTCACAGGAAGGGGAACATCAGACACCAGGGCCTGTCATGGGATGGGGGGAGGGGGGAGGGATAGCATTAGGAGATATACCTAATGTAAATGACGAGTTAATGGGTGCAGCACACCAACATGGCACATGTATACATATGTAACAAACCTGCACGTTGTGCACATGTACCCTGGAACTTAAAGTATAAAAAAAAAAAAAAAAGAGCAACTTGGCAGGCAAAGCTAGAATTTGTTCCAATGGCCATCATTATATTAAATCTAGGATGGCCTGACTTTTCTGGAGTGGAATTACTTGTTTGATGGCCTTGCTCACGACTTTCAGGATTCTCTTTGTGCAATAGTTTGGAATTAATTATCTTTCAGACATTTTCCAAATGCTGGCCAAAGTGACTGGTTGGCTGAGGACTGTATAGACTAGACATACTGTCATTTGGTAATCACTTACTAAGTGCTGTGCTGAACACCTTGCAGAGATCAATATTTATTCCTTATAGCAACCCCATGAGAAAAATACAATTATGACTGACAGATGAAGAAACTGAGATGATGATGATGTTTCTAGTCTTTTTCACATCACAGCAAGTACCTCCTCAAGAACTGAGAGGACCAGTCTCTCAGCACATCTGTAAACCCTTCGTGGTGCACTAGATGGAAAGCTCTGGTTTGGATAGGGTTAATTACCTTGCCAGGGTTAAGAAAGTCACCAGTGTGAGGCTAAACCCAAGGCTGTGTCTACAAAGACTGTGCTCTTTATACTGAGGGGCACCATCAATTTGTGTAATGTTGTAAAATTCTCACGCACAGCTCCACAGGATGAATTTATATATTTTTTTATTTGGAGAGTGACTATGGCTGAGTCGCTTTGTGATGCTGGTGTTGGGACACAGGACAAATGCTCACGTTACTGGGTTATCCTATTGGATTGTATTTTCAATGTTCAGTGCTTTTAGGGTTACCATTTGACTAATGTATTAATAGAAATCCTATAATCTTACTGGTTATACTGTAAGAAGTTTCTGCTATATGTACACTGAGTGCAAGGGTTTTAAGGGTAGAAATCACAGAGCCAAGCAAACAGCACTGCTATTATTATTACACTAGGAAGATAGAGGGTTGCCATTTTAGGCTAATGCAATGTACCCTAGGACAATCTGGGAAAGCAAGTACAGTCCTTGGCAACTTTTTCTTTTTATACATCTGAGTCCACTGAAAAGCTGGTTAGGAGGATATTCCTCCAAACACCCATTCCTCAGCACACAGCCTCCCGTGTGTGATGGTCCCCAGCCAGCCACAGGATGGAGGCACAGGCTTCTCTTCTGAGTGCTTCTTGTCAATCTGGTCCTCTCTGCTACATGTTCCATTTATGGAAGCTTGTACAGGCACGGGAATTAAAGATCTCATGTGATCTGTCCATTTACCTGGAGACAAAACCTTTCCCTGGGGTTTCTTCCTCCAAGTTATACTTTTCATCTTATGAGTGTTCATTGCTTCTTCACCTAGAACCTTAGATCCAATATCTGCTCAGAAAAGAGGAAAGGCAATGAAATAGACTAAAGATAGCAGACCAATACACATAAGAGTTTTAATTCTAAGGGAACTCCAACCCATTTCAATGGAATTACTCTCGGTTAAGCACTGAAGGAGATTAACAAGACCCTGGAGGATGAAAAATGAAGCTGTGGCTGTGACATGGCCATCACAGCAGCTGATCAAGGCTTTGTTCTACAAGCTCTAAACTTGTAGGTACCACTTCATGAAGCAGATACCCCACAGATAAAGAGAAATGAACATGAAGTTCCAAAACCATGCCCTAAAAGTATACAGCTGGGCTTTACCAATGTTTATCCAACATGTTGTTAATCTCTGTGTTATCACAATAACCCATTGCCGAAACAGCAGAAACAGTAGTCATTTATTCCTAAATGCGTTTCCATATGCGTGGCAAGCAAAAGCTTTTCAGACAAGACCATTTCTTTTCAATGTTAAAAATGAGAATCTCTGAAGAAAAGTGAATAGTAGATCTCCGCATATTACTGAACACTTCAAGAGAACTAGATCAGGACCCCCAGCACAAATTGTGCCCAGTGTATTTCTACAAACAAAATTAATAAGAAGCAAAGCTTGAACATACCATGCTATTCAATTTCTGTATTGCTAAAGCTGAGAAAATCACTCCAAATCACATGACTGGAGTCCAGCCCTAGAACAAAACTACTAAATAGCAGGATTTATGCCATAACTAAGAGATTCAAAAGAATGCAAAATTATATAAGCTCCCCTCCCCAGACTAGACAGTGACGATTTTTAAAAAATCTTCGCTGGACTGGAAGCAAAGCAGGAGAAGTGGGAAATAGAGCAAGAGAATAAGTCGGGGTAGCTCTTGGAAAGTCCAGTCCTGTACGTAGGGGTAATAGAAACCTCAGATGGGTTTGGGGATCTTGGAGCAGGAGGGCCTATGCCTCCACTCTCCATCAAAAATCCTACAGGCTGGGCTCGGTGGCTCATGCCTGTAACCCCAGCACTTTGGGAGGCCGAGGCAGGTGGATCACGAGGTCAGGAGATCGAGACCATCCTGGCTAACATGGTGAAACCCCGTGTCTACTAAAATATATATATACACAAAAAATTAGCTGGGTGTGGTGGCGGGAGCCTGTAGTCCCAGCTATTCGGGAGGCTGAGGCAAGAGAACGGTGTGAACTCGGGAGGTGGAGCTTGCAGTGAGCCGAGATGGCACCACTGCACTCCAGCCTGGGCAACAGAGCGAGACTCTGTCTCAGAAAAAAAAAAAGAATCCTACAAAAAGATATTCTCATGGAGAGCCCTAAGCCAACATAAGTGACTACAGTAGAGTAGCAATGGCCACAGGGCAGGTCCAGCCAGAGAAACTATCTAAGAGAGACCCACCATCTCCACCTCCATGTTTCCAGAAACATCCTAGTAGCACAGAAGGGCATCTGAATTTTTCCCATGGTTTCCCCGACATCCTTCCCCATGAGCTCCAACAATAGTTTGGCTGAGAGAAATCCAATGGACTGGGAATGTCCTTATGGTTGCATAGACCGGGGCAAGTTTAGACTGTGAACATCAGCGGCAGATGGCAGTGAGGATAGATACCTAAAGCCAAAGCCATCTCAGAGGAGGCCTCCTCACAAGGAAGACGTCACAGTTGCCCACCCATTAATGTCAAGATCATATGTAGGAACCACAGGAACCAAGATCATTCTTCAAGTGAAGATTGGAAGAATAGGGAGAGGAAGACCGGGCACAGTGGCCCACACCTGTAATCCCAGCACTTTGGGAGGCCAAGGTGGGTGGATCACCTGAGGTCAGGAGTTCAAGATGAACCTGGCCAACATGGTGAAACCCCATCTCTACTAATAAATACAAAAATTAGCTAGGCGTGGTGGCACATGCCTATAATCCCAGCTACTGGGGAGACTGAGGCAGGAGAATCGCTTGAACCCGGGAGGTAGAAGGTAGAGGTTGCAGTGAGCCAGGATTGTGCCATTGCACTCCAGCCTGGGCAACAAGAGTAAAACTCTGCCTCAAAAAAAAAAAAAAGAAAGAAAGAAAGATAAAGGAGAGAAGTCCTATATTGACTAAGAATTTACTGAAGAAAGACTGGCTTTTGCTGAGCATGAGCAAGCCTATAGTCCCAAGCTACTTAGGAAGCTGAGGCAGGATGATTTGCTTGAGCCCAAGAGTTCAAGTACATCCTGGGCAACATAGGACATAGGAAGACCCTGTCTCAAAAAAAAAAAAAAAAGAAGAAGAAGAAGAAGAAGGAAAGAAAGAAAGACTAAGTTGACTGAGTTCTAAACAAGAAGTAATTGGATTTATCTTGAATTAGAAAGATATAGTTTTCTATTACCAAGTAGAAATTGGGGATAATAAGTTAATCTAATTCAATTATAGAGAAATAAAATTACTTCTTGGCTCACTTGACAAATGTGATTGTAAAAATTTATTCCTGCAACATGTTTCAGTGTAAATTAATTCACTGTTACTATTTCCATTTTATCTCAAGTTTCAGAATGAGAGGCTTGATGCTCTCTTAAAGGATTTTAATCATCAGTGCAGAAATTAGAATAACTTTTTAAGAAGATGTAGTAGTAGGCATTGCAGTTGTTGCCCCAATATCCATTCACCCTCCCTTGTGAAGAACCTTGGCGTCTAAATCAACAGGGCCCTTCCACCACCAGCTGTGGGGATTGGTTCAGGAAAGCCAAGCCCCAGCCAATCTGCACGTGACATTTCTCTGGCCAGCAGGGCTGGTCATGGGCGATCCATCCAGTATTAAGAACAAGTCTCCACGAGTTGTGAAAAGGACTTGCCTGTTTTTGGAAACAAACCCTGAAGCATGGAGCCAGCCTTCCTTTGAAATGGACACCATAAAAGGTAAAGAAAAAATGACAAGTTACTAAATCAAACCAACACCGAAACCACTACTTCTAAATTTTGCAGTGCTTAATTAATCAATCTCTTTTTTTGTTTTACCCAGTTGGAGTTAGTTTTCTGTTACATGCAACAAAAAGCACTCCTGAAACGTTACAGGCTGGAGTGCAGTGGCACGATCTCGGCTTACTGCAACCTCTACCTCCCGGGTTCAAGCAATTCTCCCACCTCAGCCTCCCGAGTAGCTGGGATTACAGGCATGCGCCACTATGCCAAACTAATTTTTGTATTTTTAGTAGAGACGGGGTTTCACCATGTTGGCCAGGCTGGTCTCAAACTCCTGACCTCAGGCAATCCGGCCGCCTTGGCCTCTCAAAGTGCTGGGATTACAGGCATGAGCCACCGCGCCCAGCCTGATGCCTTTTTCTAGAAGGTTATTCACTGAGGAAGAACCAATAAATAAATAAAAGCAAATTTTATGAAGGGAAAAACCACAGAGTACCCCTTATTTTCCATATTTCATATTTATCTTCCCTCCAACCTGTGGTGTCACTCTTCTAGTGACCTCTACATAATGGATCTTTTTTCCTTCCCTGCCTGCCCCCTTCTTTCTTCCTTCAGACAGGAGAAGGAGAAAGGGAGAGTGTGAAAGAAAGAAAGAAAGTAGGCAAGCATCAGCAACAGCTCTCTGCCTCCGATCGGGTGGCTGGAACATTCCTTATTAGCTCTTATATAAAACTAAGAATGTATGCTACCATTGTTCAGGGATATTGGGTGACTCCGTGAGAACAATCCATTCCACAAATTCCACTGAAAACTCATGACCAGGTGATGCAAGCAGTGAAACACAATGCAAGTGGATTGTTTGATCTGTCATAGACATCAGGGCTGGCAGCTAAACAATTATTATATTTCACTCATCCAGGCTCTCTCTCTTGCATACCACTCCTAGGCTCTTCTGGTAAGCTCCCAGACCAGAGTTTAGAACAAGCCAGTGGACAGGACACTTATCAAAGTGCAAACATTTACTTGACAATGTGGCAGTTAAAAATAACCTGCCAGAGACTCTCAGTACGTTAGGGAAGGCTATGTCCCATGTGGTGTACAGTGTACCCAAGACTTCCTCCTGTAGACGTTCTCTTCCACATTCTTTTATTTCCTTCCTATGCCTGCAAATTAATGATGTTCAAAGGGGACCCACTGTCTTTAGGGAGTCACATTTTCAAGTTCCTACTCTTTCCCATTTACTCTTTGCCTTTTGGGTTAGGAGACAAATTACAAACTGGCTGGCGCACAGGGGAACAAGTACAAAGGAACACACTGACATTTATTTTTTATTTTTTTCTTTTGAGATGGAGTCTCATTCTGTTGCCCAGGCTGGAGTGCAGTGCACGATCTCAGCTCATGGCAACCTCTGCCTGCCAGGTTCAAGCAATTCTCCTGCCTCAGCCTCCCGAGTAGCTGGGATTACAGGCACCTGCCACCACGCCCAGCTAATTTTTGTATTTTTAGTAGAGATGGGGTTTCACCATCTTGGCCAGGCTGGTCTTGAATCTTGACCTCAGGTGATCCACCTGCCTTGGCCTCCCAAAACGCTGGGATTACAGGCATGAGCCACCGCACCTGGCCGACATTTATTTTTATATCACAGGGCATGTGGATCCAGAAAAAGAGGTATAATTCCCAAAGCTTGGTTTCAACTCTTGGTTTCAGCTTAGTGGTGCAATAGCAAAGTATGAGGTCAGGAGCAACTCTAGAAGCTAAAGTTCAAGCTTCTCTGGAGATTCTAGCTCAGGGGTAAAGTTCAGGTAATGGCTGGGAAAGAGATGAGGATGTAGCAGTGTTTTTTGAATGTGACATGTGGGGAAAATGCCCGTGCTGAATAACAGAGGATTGGATCCTGCATCCATGCTGAGGCAATGATGGGTTTAGAGTTAACACCCTGCTACTGAGAGCTGAATTAAAATATATTCTGTACTTGGAAGAATGATTTTTAAAAGCCTCTAAGAATGTTACTAAAAGGCTTTAAAAATCTTTGCATTAAGAAAAAAACAATCTAATTTGAAAATGGGCAAAAACATGAGGAGACATCCAACTGCAGAGGTTACATCATGGTAAATAAGTGCATGAAATGATGTTCAGCATCACTAGCCATTAGGGCAATGCATGTTAACACCACATTGAGATGTCATTACATACCTGTTAGAATCACTAAGATTAAAAGAAATAGTAATAATACTGATATGGTTTGGCTGTGTCCCCACCCAAAATCTCATTTTGAATTGTAATCCCCATAATCCCCATGTGTCAAGGGTGGGACCAGGTGGAGATAATTAGATCATGGGGGTGGTTTCCCCCATGATGTTCTCATGACAGTGAGTGAGTCTCACGAGATCTGATGGTTTTATAAGTGTCTGGCATTTCCCTTGCTTGCACTCACTCTGTCCTGTCACCCTGTGAAGAAGGTGCCTGCTTCTCCTTTGCCTTCCACCATGACTGTAAGTTTCCTGAGGCCTCCCCAGCAATTTGGAACTGTGAGTCAATTAAACCTCTTTCCTTTATAAATTACCCAGTCTTGGGCAGTTCTTTAGAGCAGCATAAGAACAGACTAATACAAATACCAAATGCTAGCAAGATATGGAGAAACTTGATCTCTCATACATTGCTGGTGGGAATGTAAAATGTTATAGACACTCTGGAAGATAGTTTGGTAGTTTCTTTCAAAACATATGATCTAGCAATTGCACTCTTCTGGGCATTTATTCCAGAAAAATGGAAACTTATGTCCACATGATAGAGGAAATCATTTCAGCCCTAGGTCCTGGCATGCCTACCTTTGGCCTGCTCTGTTTTTGAGCCTACACATCTCATCAGCCTTGTGTGTTACCGTAACCCCTGGATAGTTAACAGTTAAATGGAATGGCATGACGGACGTCCTTCCCTTTCATAAACTAACATAAAAAGCTCTTGGGGGCAGGGTGAAGGGGTACCCACTAACCCAACTCTCTGTATCAGTGGCATTCATGGAAACCTGTTTTCTGGGAATCCTGGGCACAAATCTATTGAAGCAGCCCTTGTAAGGGTTGATGGTGAAACCTAACATGCCCCATCCAGGTGTGCCTGGAGGATGCAGCAGGGAGAAACCCTGTTTTGTTAATTAAGGCAGGATACTGATCCCTGAGTCGATAACATTCGAACCAAGACTCATCATTTTGCTTCCCAATTCCCTCACCAGTAACCCTGTTTTCGCCTCCTTTGGGCTCACTCTCTTCCTTTCTCCTGTCCACCCCAGTCAGTCTTCCACGGTTCTGCCCCTGCCTGGTCACTGTTCCCCTCTCCCTTGTTCTTCATGAGGTCCTGAGAAGATCTGAGGCCTACGCCTCCCCTCTCTCCAGTCCCCTGCCTCAACATCCCAGTAGAAATAGGGCTCTTTCCCATTGTGTTCTGGGTCCCATGTCCCAGGACTTGCTTCCTTCATCATCTCTGCTCTCCTGGATCTGCAATCTGCCCCATCTGCTGACTCTTCTTCCTCGGCATATACAGATGCTTACGTTTCTCTCTTCTTATAAAAACAAACATTTGCCCGGACCCTCTACCTCCTGCTAACTATTGCACTCTCTTTCTACTCTTCTTTGCCTTGTTTCTCCTCTGGCTTGTCCGCTTGTCCCACCAGTCTTCCAATTAGTTTGTCTTCAGGCTTCTTCATAGCCCCAGCCCTCACACAAAACTTTGCTCAGGTTACACCTTGCTTAAAGTTCTGCCACAGCTCCCCCAGTCTTCATGGTGCAGCGTCCTGGATGACAGGCTTCCTGCCTCTCTCCAGCCTCGGCACCACCATTGTCACACACACACGCCCCTTGTTCCAACTATTCTGGCCAACTGGCAGCTCCCCAGATGCACCTGCATCCCTGCTGCTGACTCTGACACTATCCTTCAAAACTCTGTTCAACCGGCTGTCACTGCTCATGGAAACGCTTCCTAATGTTCCCAAGCACAGTTGGCACTGTCTGCTGTCTTCCCTGTTCCTGCAGGGCCCTGCAGTGCTATCATCATGAGGCATTTGCTCCAGTGTCCTCCATAACTTCGACATAGCCTGAAGAACAAAGGCAATGTCTTCTTTTGATATAGTATATTTTCCCCAAATTTTAATTTTATTTGGAAATATTTCAAACTTTAGAATCATTGAAAGAAGGGCAAAATGAACAGTCACCTACCTTTCACCAAAATCCATCATCTATTAATATTTTGCTACATTGTACATGCTCCCATCCTATACACCCTCCCTCTCCCTCTGTAATATCTTTATATACCTTACTGGGTTGAACAGTGTCCCCCAAATTCAGGTCTACTCAGTACCTGGGAATACAGCCTTACTTGGAAATTGGGTCTTTGCAGATACAATCAAGTTAAGATGAGGTCACATAGAACTCGGATGGGCCTTAATCCAGTAAGTGGGGTCCTTATAAAAAGAAAGAAGTTTAGACAGAGACACACAGAGAGAATGTCCCATGAAGATGGAGGCAAAGCTTGAAGTGATGCAACTACAAGCCGAGGAATGACAAGGAGTGCTGGCAACTACCAGAAGCTGGAGGACACTGGGGAAGTTCCTCTCCTACAGGCTTTGCAGGGAGCATGGCCCTGCCACCACCCTGATTTCAGACTTCAAGCCTCCAGAACTGTGAGAGAATAACTTCTTTTGTTTTTAGCTACCTGGTTTGTGAGAATGTGTTCTGGTAGCCCTAGGAAACTAATAGTATAGCCATATGTAGTGAGATATAATAGACACACAATATAGATGCTCATATAGACATTAATAGAAAATGTATGTATAATGTGAAATATAAAAGATATGTTAATATAGCTATTACTATAGCCATATATAATCTCTTTTTTACTAAAGCATTTACTTTTATTTTTATTTTTATTTGAGACAGAGTCTCACTTTGTTGCCCCAGCTGGAGTGCAATGGCACGATATTAGCTCACTGCAACCTCTGCCTCCCAGGTTCAAGCGATTCTCCTGTCTCAGCCTCCTGAGTAGCTGGGATTACAGGCACAACACCTGGCTAATTTTTTGTATTTTTAGTAGAGATGGGATTTCACCATGCTGGCCAGGCTGGTCTTGAACTCCTGACCTCAGGTGAATGGCCTGCCTCAGGCTCCCAAAGTGCTGGGACTACAGGTGTGAGCCACTGCCCCAAACAAGAATTCTGAGAAGCAACCTGGTCAGAGCTTAGACCAGCAGAGCTGAGAACAGTGCCCTAGGCACTGTTCCGGCCAACAGAACCATTTAAAAGTAAGCTTTAGGCATGACATTTTACCTCTTAATGCCTTATTATGTATCTCCTAAGAATAAAGATATTCTCATATAATTATATCATTATCACACTAAAAAAAGCTACACTGGTACTTTTTAGTATATAATATTTATTAGTATATAATATATACTTAATATCATAAGTATATAATATATAGCATATAATAAAGTACTTATTCATATATAATATAGACTAGATATTCAAACTTCTCCGTTGTCCTAATAATGACATTTAAAAAAAAAAAAAGATCCAATCAGGGATCATTCACTGTATTTAATTATCATGTTTCTACCCTCCAACAGTTCCCTGCCTTTTTTTCTTATTTTTCCTTTCAAGACATTGACATTTTAAAAGAGTTTAATTGTTTAATATGTTGCCCCCAAATTTGGATTTGTCTGATTGTTTCCTCACGATTAGATTGAGGTTAAGCATGTTTGGCAGGAACCACAAGATGATATCATGTCCTTGCCAGTGCATCATATCAGGAGGCACATTATGACACTGACTTGCTTACCAATCCCCATTATTGGTAATATTAAGTTGATTACATGGTGAAAGTAGAGGATTATGTTTTTTTGTATTCCCAGTACTTAATGGGCCTGTGAACATTTAAAAGTTTATTGAATGAATGAATGAGAGGTTTATAAAGTACAGTGATCTATACTGAAACCCACAAGTCTGTAAATTTGGCAACATGTACAACTTCTGATTAATCACCTACGTCACCTTTTATTAATCATGGGCATCACTGGGGCACAATGACTTTGCCGTCGCCACTTCTACAATGTTATTTTTCTGTGTGAAAATGTGAAACTATTGTGCAAGTAGAGTGGTATTGGCTTGCATAGAATGCAATGTGAGCTTAACAGCTTTGGAATATTGTTATCAGGATGACTGTATAGAACAATTGAAAACAAAGCAAATTATGTCTTACTGACTTGAATGCCATAATTGTCTTCTAAGATGTTTTATTTAGGTCCCAGCAATTTAGACCAGTTTCCAGAGTTAGCTAATATGTTTGTAATAGCAACATCATAAAATAATTCTGAAAATTGTCTATTTATCTTTCAACACACATGTGTGCACACACACACATATGTGCGCACACACACACATATACATACACACAGGCTTCACATCTCTTGAAACCCCAGGCCTTATTAGCTTATTGACTGTAAATAGATTTCTGTCCACCATATTTAATCACGTCAGTGTTTTTTCAAAGGTACTCAACTTTAATCAAACCCTTAAAGGGAATATTAGAGATTAGGTCATGAATGATTTAAAAAAAAAGACTCCTGTTACAGAACCAAATA
This sequence comes from Homo sapiens, assembly GCF_000001405.40. NCBI lineage: Eukaryota > Metazoa > Chordata > Mammalia > Primates > Hominidae > Homo > Homo sapiens. The sequence goes on along the minus strand of NC_000004.12, from coordinate 76,521,081 downwards.
GTAATGAAGGCATATGATTTGCTAACTCTCCTGAGCTTAGCAGCAGCCACGGAAAGCTATTCCACAGCCAAAGATGGAAATAGTATTCCCTCGTTACCACAACAGAAGACTATGATTCTCATACACAGTGAGAATTCTCCGCTATGATAGCGGTCCCTAGCTTTAGCTGCCCAAATATTGGGGAAAAAGCTGTGGTGATTGATCTGATTGGCTTGATGTGAATTAACTCCACACACTGAAAATAGCATAGGTATAACCACATTTGTTAAGGAAGTGGATGAGCTCCTCTTTGCGTCAATGTTTAGAAGGAGGTGTAGCATGTGGCTAATGAAAACTTGAGTGGCATTAATAGTTCATGGCAGGCAGATCCTGTAGGATTGTATCCACTTCTGGACATTATTCTAAGAGAAATGGGGACAACCTGGATCACACTCAGAGTAGTGTCACCTAGCAAAGGAAGGCTCAGGAGCCCAATTGCCTGAGCTCAAAGTTAGGCTTTGTTACTCACTAGCTGTATAACTTTGAGCACATTATCTAATCTCTCTGCGCCTCTCTGAGCCACATTATGCAACCTTTCTGGGCCTCAGTTTCCTTATCTGTAAAATGGGGATAATACCTTCTAGGATTTTTATGAGATTTGTATGAGTATATATATATATAGCTTAGAACACCTGGCACATAACATGCACCCAATTATTGTTAATTGTTATTACTAGTGTTGTTATCATCATCATCATCAACAGTTGGTGAAAATAAAGCAAGGGAAGATAACAGAGAGACTTGTTGCGACATGACTGGTCTCTTCAAAGTCTTGAAATGCTGCCAAGAGGCAGAGGGATTAGATGATTTCTCTTTGACCCTGGAAAGAGATATAATATCAAAGAGTATAAATTATAGGAATTCAAATTTGGGCTTAATGTACAGGGGACATCATTTTAATGGTCAGAGTTATCTGAAGATCAAAGGCTTGCTTTGAATGGGAGGTGTCCCTGATTACTGGAGTATTCAGTTCCACTCTGGATAATATTTTGGGTTGTAAGGATTAGCTGGACAATGGAATTAGATGACCTAAAAGAAGCTAGTCTTGTGTGTCTATAATCAAATACATCCATTAAAGCATCAAGCAGAATTTCAAGAAATGATTAAAACACAAGAAGCTCAACACAAAATCTTCCGTTACAATATTGTCACACCTCACACCTCACAAATCCACTCATTAGTTGTCCTGATCATTTCCACCCAATTCTCATAAATAGGAAAGATTCAGTAAAGAGATTTCATTCTGAATAATACACCCAGATGCACATACAAAAAGCCTAAAAGGCACCGTGTTTTATGGATGTTTAAATTCTAAAATTCATCAGTGTATACAGTGAAAATCACATATAGTCAAGACTGTCCTGAAAAATCTTCTAGGAAGGCACTATTTTGGCACCTGCCTCTTCATAAGCCCAGCACAGTTTCCCTCCAGCACTGGAACGGCCCTCTACTTTTCTGGTTCAGTACTAGATAAAGGAAAAGATGTTTGTTCTGGGGGGAAATGAGACCAACTGCGATTCATTATCTTCCTGATTCTTGCTTTAGGACATATACTCAGTGAGTAGACTATCAGGCTGAATTGATTGCATAATTTATATTGTTATTTTTCTATTTTGTCTATTTCTTCTGCTTTTTTCTGTTTACCAAAATTTACAGAATTGATTGAAGTCACTGAAGTTAAATGCACCCTCTGAACATTTAGGAGTAAACTGGGGCCTCTTGGTCAGCAAATGCTATCTTTTGGTCCATAGTTTCTATGACTACTCCCTGACCCCTAGAGATGCACTTTGTTTATCCAGCACCCTCCTTTCTAGGAAAGGCATCCCTCCTTTAAGGGAATAGCCCTCCCGTCTACAGTCAGTGATTCTAAGGTTTTCCCAACCATAGTGTTTCACTGGCCACCCAGGTGGGCATGTGGCCTAAGCCTAACCAACCAGAAGCCTTTGCTGGGATTTCTTCACTTACAACCAGAGAGTAGCTCTCAGTTCTCTTCCAAGGGCAAGGCTATGCCGCATCTTGAGGCTTCACCAGCTGTGTACCCAGACTGTGGTGTGAATGAAGAAAACAAGCAGAGAGAGGCAGTGTTAGGAGAAGGAGACTCCTAGCTCCATTCTTGTTCCACTTCCAGTGATCTCTAGGGTATGTAATCTCTATGCCCTTGCGCTTTTTGTACTGGTTCAATAAATATCTTCTTTTTGCTTCATTGAGTTTACATCGCTTGCAATAAAAAGAATTTTAATACAGCCCTCAAGAGTTTGCTTCCCTGACCTGTATCAGTATTTATGTTTTCTAGGCAAATGAGAGAGTACACAGGAACAGGCTTGGGTGCCTGGCCCCAGATGTGTTACAGTACTCATTTAGAAATATGTTAGATAAGCTCCGTAGAACCCTACCAAATGTGAACAGCCATTTTTGATTCTTTGAAATCATTCAGATTATTTAACACAGGCAGGCAGGCAGGCAGGCAAGCAGGCAAGAAGGAAGGAAGGAAGGAAGAAGGTAGGAAGGAAGGAAGGTAGGAAGGAAGGAAAGAAGGAAGGAAGGAAGGCAGGCAGGCAGACAGGCAAAAAGGAAGGAGGGGGGAGGGGAAAGAAAATGAAATAAAACCCTGTCCATTAATGAGAACACTCTGTTTTTGCCTCTGTCTTTCAAAGACATGGGGAAAATGATCTCATTCAACCACAACAAAGATTTATGGAGTGCATATTAGGTGCCAGATGCTGATATGGAGTGGAGGACACTACGAATGAATAAATGTAGTCCCTGCTCTTGGGGGGTTAAATGCCTAAAGAATTATAGAGGTTTGAACCTCCCCAAAATGTCTGTCTTTCCCCCTATTTATCAGAAGTTGAGATAATTTGATATTTTATATGATTCTTAAGAGTCAAGCTCTCACCCTCCACTAGGAATACACACACACATACACACACACAACCAAAATAATCATCTTGCAATTTCTGAGGGTTGACAGATATTTCCTTATAACTTAAATAAATCTCTCATTTTAAAAGCTGTCCCTCTGGACTAAAAAAAATCTGATTTAGAAACTTTACCACAGTCAATTCATATCATTTACTTTGTAAGGAAAAAGTCTTCATGTTCCTCTTCTATATGCAGCCCTTGCTCTGCTGCAGCCGCAATATCCCGGTGAGGCTACCGGGAGGTCATTCAATCCACTTCCTTTCCACGGGGAATGGCTGGGAAGCTTTGGTTAAATGAGTGGTCCAAGGTCACATGGTAACAAATTCTGGCCCAGAGTCCTAATCTGAAAACCCTAGTCTTTTCCTCTCTCTGCTAGCATACACAGGCCCTCATTGGTCTGAGAATTAGCAGAACAGAACCCATATTGTTGAAGAAATTTTCAAATAATCAGCCACTGACTACAGCCCTAACATCCCCTTTATATATATATATATATATACCAAACAAACAAACAAAAACCCTAAGCAACTCAATCAGGAGAAATTCTTTTTAAGTTTCATTTACATGGATAAGAATCCTAAATCTTACCTATCTAGCACATCATGTCAAAAAACTACAAGTTAACCAAGCAAGAATTCTGTGAAACTACCTGGTCAGACCAGCAGAGCTGAGAACAGTGCCCTGGGCATGCAGGGTTAGGGATGTTCTGTATTTGGGATGCCCTGTACTTGCGATGCAGTGTTACCACCTGGGATAGGGAGGAAGTGAGCCTTTTTTAGACACTGTATCTTTGATAGTCCAGGTGATTTGCCTACACCCATCCAATGCCAACTGCATGTAAACTGGGGTGACTTGTTAGTTCCTGGATGACAAGGGTATGACCCAAGATGGGCAGACACACGGACTCTTTCTCACCAGGGCCTCTGGCAGACATTTTCCATGTATCAAAGCTCAAAGCAAAGTTCTTTTACAGCAAAGAAGACCAAGCAGTTGTCACTGAGAAGAAACCTGATTGCTCTCCTTGCAATGATCCTTTCAGCACTAAATATCTAATCCCATTGTAAGACTGAGAAAGTCACCAAGTGTGTTGTATTGCAGCAGGAAATCTATTTGAAGACAGTTTTAATAACAAGATAAATAGAAGTTCCAAAGGGTAGGAAAGGATTTCCTTAAGTGAGAACATAAATAACTCATCATTAAAATCTGGGTATGATGGAAGCTTGGCTGAAAGCAAGACTCTGGATTGGCTAGCTCAGAGGGAGTTCTCAAACCTCCCTGTAAAACTTTTTCACAGATTTCCTGTTCATGAGACTTGGGGTGGGATTGGAGGTAGCAGCTATAATTTATGAAAGGATCCAGGATCAGAAACTTAGAAAATCAGATCTGGAGACCCAACTTAAGTGTAGTTATTGGCTAGACTGTCCTCAGGGACTGCCCTGGTGATGTACACCAGGACTTTGTGTTTCTGTAATGTGCTTATTGCATAATATCTATTAGCTGGTGATTTTGGTTCCTTTTTTTTTTCTAAATCATGCTCCTGTTTTCATATATTATGAGCAAAGTGCTGTTATCTGAGAGTATCAGCTGACTCAGACCATTCAGTTCAGGGATTCCTCTAGGCTCCTGAGTAGGGGCTTAGATAGGGCAAATTCTGATGGTCTTACAAGGGAACCCCAGTCCTTCATGTCATAAGAGCATCTCTGCCTATAGCTTCATCTGATCTCAACACAGAGAACTAATAAGGTAGGGACATGGCATGATTTGGACTTCAGGAATATTACTTTCCTAGTTGGAAGGATGGATAATAGGAGCAATATTACAGTCTAGAAAACATGTTACAAAGATATTGCAATTGACCAGGCTAGAGAGAAAGAGGAACTGAACAGGAGAAATGACGGAGAAGAGATATACATTTGAGTAATAGTAGGAGGTAAAGTCAGTATCCTTGGTCATTCACTAACCATAGTGGGTGAAGGAGCAGAAAGACTCTGTGGTGACTTCAAAGAAGGATCACAACCCACTTTCCCTCTCGGTCTACTGCTAGTTTCACACACTAACCTGACTCCCAATCTCTCTCATTATCTTTGTGTTATTATGAAGTATCATTTCTGGTTATCAGACATGGCTTCCCATGTAATCATTTCCCATGCCAGGCCCTGTGTCAACAGTTGAGCTTTCTACCCACCTGGAGTTTGAGAACAGATCAAGACCAGCTTATGCCTAATATCTCAAATTAATTATTTACCTCATAAAGTAGTACCAGGCAAGTGAGACTGATAAGTCTGTCCTAGCTTAGAAGAAAGACCACCTACATGACTTCTCAACATGACTTTAAATAATAAAATTAAATTTGGCAATGGGAAGTCTACACCCAGACAAGTCTCGGCTTGAGTTTATATGGTTTTTAGACGTAAAATCCAACTCTGGTCACTGACTGATACTGCAAACCCAGAAACATTAACCAAGAAATATTTCATATCCTCTGCTCTATTGGAATAAAACCCAAGCCACTGAGGAGTTTAAGGGCAAAGGACAATTCGAAAACCTGGAAGCAATGGTCAATGTGCTCATTAGAAGTTCTAAAGGAAATAATAATAATAACAATAACATTCTGAAGACCAGAGCCCAAGGGAATCTCAGAGAACAATGGAAATTTCTATTGTGTTGAAAATCATGGAATCAGCCTCTCTTCTCTTGTTTGGTTTTCATTTTCTTCCTTCCTTCCTTTTTTTTTTCAGACAAGTTCTCATTATGTCATCCAGGCTGGAATGCAGTGGCACCATCTTGGCTCACTGTAGCCTCAACCTCCTGGACTCAACTGATCCTTCTGCCTCAGGCTCCTGAGTAGTTAGGACTACAGGCACATGCCACAACATCCAGCTAATTTTTTTTTTTTTTTTTTTTTTTAGACAGAGTTTTGCTCTGTCACCCAGGCTGGAGTGCAGAGGCGTGATCTCAGCTCACTGCAACTTCTACCTCTTGGGTTCAAGCAATTCTCCTGCCTCAGCCTCCCAAGTAGCTGGGATTACAGGCTTCCAGCACCATGCCCAGCTAATTTTTGTATTTGTAGTAGAGACGGGGTTTCACCACATTGGCCAGACTGGTCTCGAACTCCTGACCTCAAGCGATCCACCCACCTTGGCCTCCCAAAGTGTTGGAATTACAGGTGTGAGCCACCACATCTGAACTTTTTTAACAAATGGGTCTCACTATGTTTCCCAGGCTGGTCTTGAACTCCTTGGCCTTACAATGTGCTGGGATTACAGATGTCAGCCACTGCACCCAGCTCATTTTCTTTCTTGAGCCAAGTATTTTCTCTTCCATCTTTCCTCGTTGTCTTGTTCTCCTTCCCTATACTTCATTTTTAATTTTAATTGAATTATATTTTAAATGTTTAATATATTTATTGAATAAAGTTTCACGCTTCATATATTATTGAGATGTAATTCGCATATCATAAAATTAAATCCACATACTATAAAATTCACCCTTTTTCATTGAACAGTTCATTGGCTTATAGTGTATTTACAGAGTTGTGGAACTAGGACCACTATCTAATTTCAGAACATTTTCATCGTCCCAAAAGAGACCTCATATCCACTCGCAGTCCTACTCCATTCTCCCCTATACCAAACCAGCCCCTGGCAGCCACTGAAGTACTTTATTTTTCTATGGATTTGCCTGTTCTGGGCATTTCATATGAGTGGAATCATGCAATATGTGGCCTTTGGTGTCTGCCTTCTTTCAGTTTTTTAAGGTTTCTCCACATTGCAGCATGTATCAGTACATCATTCTTTTTTATGGCTAAATAATATTCCATTATATTGATATACCACATTTAATGTATTCACCATCAGTTAACAAAAATGTGGGTTTCTCCACTTTTTGGCTATCATGAATAATGCTACTATGAACATTTGTTTGGATGTATGTTTTCATTTTTCTTGAGTATTTACCTAGCAGTGCAATTCCTGGCCATATGGTAAGTCCATGTTTAACTTTTTGAGAAACTTCCAAACTGTTTTCCAGAGTGGCTGAAAATTGTTACTATGCTTCATATTTTTTACTTAAACCAGTGAACGGCTTAAAAATTTTTGAAGTCAATTAAGTTGCTTTTTGCTTCCCTTTAGGCTTTGATTTACTTTTAATGTAGGTCTTTGGTCCTCAATAAACTGAAGGGTTCTACCCCTACTCCAGGAACTGTAGCAGCAGAACATTTTAAGTGATAAGTTAATGACTATAAAACGTATGTCATTTTTTAAAGATCAATGTCTGACCCGGATAAGAAAAATCAAAGTCCCAAGTCTTCCAGACTCCCCCTCTATTCCTCAGAATTTTCTCAGTGCCTGCCAGCTAAGGTCAGAGATATTATCTCTGTAGGTGTTTGCTAATGCCAATGAAGTCATTTTCTTTTAAAGGCTTTTCTGCCGCAATTACCCAGTTCTTGTTTCCTGCTTAAAGCATACTACCGGTAAATGTGATCAGTGAGATAGAAGTATTATTTTCCAGCCAGGCACGGTGGCTCATGCCTGTAATCCCAGTGCTTTGGAAGGCCGAGACGGGTGGGTCACCTGAGGTCAGGAGTTCAAGACCAGCCTGACCAACATGGTAAAACCCCATCTCTACTAAAAATACAAAAATTAGCTGGGCGTGGTGGCAGGTGCCTGTAGTCCCAGCTACGCGGGAGGCTGAGGCATGAGAATCACTTAAACCTGGGAGGCAGAGGTTGCAGTGAGCCAATATCATGCTGGCATGGGTAACAGAGCAAGACTCTGTCTCAAAAAAAAAAACATATTATTTTCCCCTCAAACATCAGAATTAGAATCAGCAACCAGCTTCCCCTTCTCCCACACTCAGCCTGAACAGCTTTCCTTGTGTTTAGCTGGCATTGTCTCCCTTTCAGAGTCGAAAGCATACATGTAAAACCTCTGATAGGGAATCATGAAAGACCCGACAGTAGAAAGTTCCACCAAGGGACCTTTGAAGTCAAAGGAAAGGAAGGATGAGTCTTTGACACAAAGTTAACCTACTGCTCCTGCTCTCAGGTGGAAGCTGGAAGCCCTGCATCTGTGGAGGGTGACTTAGCACCATGGCAGGCCTGAGATGGCACGGTGCAAGCATCAAAGCAATTCACAAGACTTGCTCATGTAGATGTGGGTGCACTCCACAGTTTGGGTACTTTTATGACATTGTGAAAGAAGTTGGTTATGATCCAATCCACCTTGTTTCTTCCCTGTATTTCAGCAAAACATTAACCATTTTCTACCCTAGTTCCTCCTTAAAGCTCACCCCAGTTGGTCATATCTCTGGTCTGTGATAAGGCCTTTACCAAATTTTCTGCTAACTGTCCCTCCGTGGGAGCACCTCATCAAGTTGAAAGAGAAATGTATGATTCCACGCTCATTGCAGTATCCGATCCCTACCACAAGTCCCTTAGGTCCAGGTTAGGTTTTCTTTCCCCTTCCCACCCCCAATCATTTTGGAGGTAATTTAGATAGTAACCACCAAAAAGGCCACCAGTTTAAAGGTTAAAACATTTTCCCTCCTTGTCCCTCGATCCCCAAGCACCCTGCAGAGGGTGTGACCCCTAAAGCAGGTAGAATCCTGCGGAAGTGAAGAAGCCCACATTGTGGTGAGAAAATGGCCCACATTCCAGATCTGCCAGTTTCTTCTGCTGCTTTCCTTAATGATTTTCTGCTCTTACCACTTAGCAGGAAGGAAATAAAAGAAGGAAGAGGATCCTCTCTGAAAAAAAAAGGCTCTGTTTATAACCTGCCCTCCTTCCTCTCCTCTGGAGATCCCCTCTGCTTTGGAATCTCAGGGTATGAGCCCAATGCCATTGTAGGGGTTGCAAGGTCAGTTTCCAGTTGCTTAAGTCATGTGGCATCTATCAGAACCATTAAACAACTTCTTCCTGGTACTTGTGTCAATTTCCTTCTAGTCTACATGTCAATCCTTTAACTTGACCTTTGGCCCTATCTTTTTAGCCCTTCCATTCTACTCCCACTGCCTCTCTTAGGTCAACTTCTGCCTGGAAATCCCCAAGGTCCCTGAAGAAAGAGGATCTTTCTATTTAGGCCTCAGGCCCACTCCCTCGGACCTCAGGTTGAAAATATTCTCCTGAGGGTCACCTCACCTGTGTCTCAACTAGGCCCCTGGCCTCTTCCCTAGGGATCTTCAGAACAACCTTCTTTAGATTCTGAGGACAGGCCCCTCACTCCGTTTCTGCAATGGGGTTTCCCATCTCACTTCATGGTCTGTCTCCCACTTTCTCACCATCCTTTTCCAGCCCCACCTGGCCAGGAGTGATCAGCTCCAACCAAGGAACACAGAAACCCAACCCACAGATCATCGAGATTTCCTACTATTGTTTATAATTGGAACATATTTGAATAGACTGGCAACACATGGGTGTTTTATTTGAAATTTTTTCCCTGAGAGAGCACTACCAAGCCCCCATACTGCAAATCCTCCCCGATCCTGGAAGACAGAAGTTGTTTTTATCTTGTAAAGCACATAGCTGCCATTCTGCCAGCAAGACCCCTGCTCATCACAGGTGAAAACTTGAAGGGTATTTTTCCAAGAAGCAGTAGAAGTGATAGAAAAAGCCTTGGAGAAATTGTAGGCAGAGGTGTTGTTGAGTGGTGACTTCAGTGGATATATTGAGAGTAGGGGAATTCCGATTATAGCGATAAAAGCATAATTCTAGGGACATTAAACCTGGGCCTCATAGAAACCACTAAGAGCAGGTAGTGATCTTAAGCCACCTAGATCTTTTACTTTATAACATAGTGTAAATTAAATAATACCATCTTATCCTACTGGTTTTGGCAAATGGCAGCCAAGAGCCTAGTCTTTTGCTGCCACCTTGTGTTTAGGAGACAAAAGTCTAAATTCACAATTGCTGTGGCATTATTATTATTATTATTATTATTTTTGAGATGGAGTTTCCCTCTTGTTGCCCAGGCTGGAGTGCAGTGGCGTGATCTTGGCTCACTGCAACCTCCACCTCCCAGGTTCAAGCGATTCTCCTGCCTCAGCCTCCCGAGTAGCTGAGATTACAGGCGCCAACCACCACACTTGGCTAATTTTTTGTATTTTTAGTACAGGCGGGGTTTCACCATGTTGGCCAGGCTGGTCTTGAACTCCTGACCTCAGGTGATCCACCTGCCTCGGCCTCCCAAAGTGCTGGGATTACAGGTGTGAGCCACCGTGCCTGGTGAGAAATGAACATTTTAGAGCCAGAAGAGATCTTAGAAATTCTCTAGTCCAGCTCCCTTCACTTCACTGATGAGGGAACCAAGACCTAGATTGGGACCAAAGTCTCCTTGTTCTTTCCCCTGTGCCACACTACCTCTCTGGTCAATTACACTCACATCACATGCACATATCGAGTCCTCAACAACTAAGGCCATTGAAGTACATGGCAGAAAAAGCCAGTCTGTCCAAATCCATAGGTGTCTCATTCAGTGGAAACATTTCCAGGGGATTGTGCAGTTGTATATGACAAGGCCAGGTGACCAATGACAACGAGAGCTAACACTTAGCACTCACTGTGGATCAACTGCTGTGCTAAGCACTTTGTGTATATCTCACTCAATTCTTTCAGTAACCCTATAAGGCAACAACTATTATTACCACCATCTTATATTTAAGGAAATTGAGGCTTAGAGAGGTTAAGTAACTTGCCCAAAGTCATTCAGCTACATCTGGCAGAGAGAGAACTCAAACTCAAGTCTGTAACTAGTACAATCTGTGCTCTTGCCCCCATTTTTTATTACTGATTATACTGACTTTACCTCATCCCATTCTTCAGAGATAACATTATTACAATTTGATATATTTCCTTTCAGCCTTTTTTAATGCATAGATAAATATTTTTATGGCACATTGAAATTGATTTCAACACGTTTGTACTATAAAATAATACTGAGGAGGTCTTATATATAAATCTTGGTCTGGATCTCAGTATTTTAATGATAGATTTATAGAAGGAAAAGTACGGGGTCTAAAATTACAATCTTAACTGAGGATTTTGGTATTGGCAAACTTATTTTCAGAGTGCCCGCACCATTTCACAGTCCCACCAATAGTATATGGAAGTACTCACTTTAACACTTCCTCACTGACATTGGAAGTGTTCATATTTGCTCAATTTTGCCAAAAATAATTTAAATTTTGGCAAATTTCAAGGATCTAGTAGATGAGAGCAATACATATCTGAGAATTTCAGACCTAAGGTAACCTAAATGATCCAATAAGAAAAAGACTCTTAGCTCACTTCTGAATATGTGTAATTCTATATGGAAAAAATTAGGTAAAAATTGGGTAAATGTCCAAAAATTCCAAATAAAGTATTTAAAGAGTCTGAGAGTGCTCACTTTTTTGGACATGGCTGAGTAGGAGGCACCATCATGGGAGTCCACACCTGCCACAAGGAACCCAGTGCCAGAAACTCAAGAGCCAGGAAATTGATCTAAAGCTGTTGGTCAAGCGGTACATGTTTCTGGCCAGAGGAACCAACTCCACCTTCAACCAAGTTGTGCTGTAGAGGATATTCATGAGTGGCAGCAACAGGCCAGATGATCAAGAAAATGAAGTTTCCTGGCCAAGAACACAAAATGAATGGTTGTGGGGATCATAATTGGAGGGCAAGGTCCTGACCTGGACGCCCCCAAAGTCTATGCATTGTCCTGCTCTTTCATCCTCACAAGGACCAAGAAATATACAAGCATTTCAGTAAGGCCCCAGGTACCTGCACAGCTACTCCAAACCCTACACCAGAGGCCAAGAGGCCAGCTGTACTACAAAAACTAACCGGATCCTGTCATTATTAAAAATATTGTGGATGCTGGATTCGGAGGGGGGGATATGTATACACTGGCAATGAACAATCTGAAAATGAAATTTTAAAAAAATTCCATTTATAATAGCTTCAAAAAGAAGAACATACTTAGAAATAAATTGAACAAAAGAAATGCAAAACATATTGCTATGGTTTGAATGTATGTGTCCCTCCAAAATTCATGTTAGGATCTAATAGTCAGTATGATAGTATTAAGAGGTGTGTCTTTTGGGAAGTGATTAAGTCATGAACACTCCAACCTCATGAATGGGATTAGTGCTGTCATGAAACAGGTTGAAGGAAGGGCTCTATTCCTTTGTCCTTCCGCCTTCCACCATGTAAAGTCAAGCAACAAGGTGCCATTTTGGAAGCAGAAGGCAAGCCCTCACCAGATACTGAATCTGCTGGTGCTCTGATCCTGGACTTCCCAGACTCCATAACTATGAGCAACAAATTTATGCTGTTTACAAATTACTTGGTCTAAGGTATTTTGTTATGGCAGCAAAAATGTACCATGACACATATACACTGAAAACCATGAAACATTGTTGAAAGAAAATTTAAAAGACCTAAATAAATGAAGGACATCCCACGTTCATTGATTGGAAGGCTTTATATTGTTAAGATGGCAATATTCCCCAATTTGATCTACAGATTAAATGTAATCCCTATTAAAATCTCACTTGGCTTCTTTGCAGCAACTGAAAAGCGATTTTAAAATTCATATGGAAACTCAAGGGACCCAGAATATCCAAACAATCTTGAAAAAGAAGAAAGAAGTTGGAAGACATACTTTCAAATTCAAAACTTACTACAAAGCCACAGTAATCAAGACAGCATGGTACTGGCAGAAGAACAGACATAAATAGAATATAATAGAATTGTGAGTTCAGAAATAAACCCTCATACTTATGGTCAACTGATTTTCAACAAGGGAACCAAGAAAATTAAATGGGGAAAAGAATAATGTTTTCAACAAATGATGTTAGGCCAGCTGGATATCCACAGATCAAAGAAAAAGCTGGACCCTTAGCTCATACCATAGACAAAAAGTTAAAATATCAAAAAAAACCTGAATGTAAGAGCTAAAGCTATAAACTTACAGAAGAAAACACTGGCATAAATCTTCATGACCTGGAATCAGACAATGGTTTCTCGAATACGATTACAAAAGCACAAGTAATAAAAGAAAAAAATAAATTGGACATCATCAAAATTTAAAACTGTGTTTCAAATGACAACATAAAGAGAATACAAAAACAACCCTGATAATGGGAGAAAATTGTTGTAAAACATGTATCTGATAGGGGCTTGCATCTACAATACAAGTCTTAGAATTCAATAATAATTCAACAATAAAAAGACAATTCAATTTTTAAAATGAGCAAAGGATTTATATAGACATTTCCGATAAGAAGATATACAAACGACCGGCCAGGCATGGTGGCTCACTCCTGTAATCTCAGCACTTTGGGAGGCCGAGGCTGGCAGATCACGAGGTCAGGAGATCGAGACCATCCTGGCTAACATGGTGAAACCCTGACTCTACTAAAAATACAAAAAAATTAGCCAGGCCAGGCATGGTGGCGGGCGCCTGTAGTCCCAGCTACTCGGGAGGGGCTGAGGCAGGAGAATGGCATGAACCTGGGAGGTGGAGCTTGCAGTGAGCCGAGATCACGCCACTGCACTCGAGCCTGGGCAACAGAGCGAGACTCCATCTCAAAAAAAAAAAAAAAGAGAGATACAAATGACCAAAAGTGCATGAAAAGATGCTCAATATCTTTAACTATTAAATAAGTGCAAGTCAAAATCACAATAAGATACCACTTCATACCCACTAAGGCAGCTATGATCAAAAAGACATAATAACAAGTATTGGTGAAGATGTAGAGAAATTGGCCCTGCTGATTAGAGTGTAAAATGGTGCAGCTGCTTTGGAAAACAGTTTTCTCTATAACCTGATATAAGGTCAATATTTGCATGTGTTATTTGGTCATATGAGTCTATCTGGAATCACATTTGGATTTATTTATTAAATTGTTTAGATATTTTATGTCCTTTTTAGTTTTCCTCTGCTTGATCAGACATGGACCAACAAAGGTGATTAAAACCTTCTCCTTTTATTTCTTCTTCCTTGTTGCATAAAGTTATGTGATAACTCCATTATCATTGCAAATTATAATCTTTTTCATTATAAATTTTTTCTTTGCTTCATTTAAGAAGAGTTCAGGCTTATTTGACATTAATAATGTGAAACAAGGTTCCGTTTTTTAGTATTCACCTTTTATGCCTTGGTCCATATTTTTGGTTATTATGGAGAGGACCAAATATATAAAATAGAGTACATTATTTTTACATACATGGGATCATAAATGGGGGAAAGGAAGTATGGAGGGAGTACTGTAAGAGAGTTAAACGTTCATCTTCCATAATAGAAAGTCAATAGATAATACTACATATGGACAAAAAAAATGAAGAAGATCCATAAAACATGTTATTAAAAATATGATGATAAATATAAAAAGAAATAGTTGAGAGTTGAGTAGTTGCTGCAGGGAATCAGGAATGAGGTAGGATGGGACTGGGGAGGAGAGGTTACTAGTATCTGTAGCCACTCTGTTTTGGGATACTATATCCTTCATACCCTTCCCTTTCCTTTAAGGGATTGATAATTGATTAAGATGATTGATACTAAACACAGATAACATTATTGAGAGCCCACTATGTGCCAGGCTAAGATACATCCTGCAGTATCTGTGAGGGATTGGTTCCAGGCCCCCTCATCCACAGACACCAAAATCCATGGATGCTCAAGTCCCTTATATAAAATGGTATAGTATTTGCATATGACACACACACATCCTTCCATATACTTTATTTTTATACTTTTTGTTTTTTATCATACTTTAAGTCCTGGGCTACATGTGCAGAACGTGCAGGTTTGTTACATAGGTATGCACGTGCTATGGTGGTTTGCTGCACCCATCAACCCATCATCTATATTAGGTATTTCTCCTAATGCTATCCCTCCCCCAGCCCCCCACTACCTGACAGGCCCTGGTGTGTGATGCCCTCCCCCCAACCCGTGTCCATGTGTTCTCGTTGTTCAACTCCCACTTATGAGTGAGAACATGCAGTGTTTGGTTTTCTGTTCTTGTGTTAGTTTGCTGAGAATGATGGTTTCCAGCTTCATCCATGTCCCTGCAAAGGACATGAACTCATCCTTTTTTATGGCTACGTAGTATTCTATGGTGTATATGTGCCACATTTTTTTATCCAGTCTATCATTGATGACATCCTTCCATATACTTTAAATCATCTCTAGGCTGAGCATGGTGGCTCACACCTGTAATCCCAAGCACTTTGGGAGGAGGAGGCAGAAGGATCACTTGAGGCCAGGAGTTGGAGACATAGTGAGACCCTATCTCTACAAAAACTAATAATAATAATAAATTAGCCAGGCATAGTAGCATGAGCCTGTAGTCTCTTTGGAAGGCTGAGGTGGGAGGATTATTTGAGCCCAAGAGTTCAAGGTTGCAGTGAGCTATGATCATGCCACTGCACTCCAGCCTGGGCAACAGAGCTAGACCCTGTTTCAAAAAAAAAAAAAAAAAAGTCACAATACCTAATACAAGGTAAATGCTTGTAAATAGTTGTTATACTATATTATTTTAAAATTTGTATTATTTTTATTGTTGTATTATTATTTATTATTTTTTTCCCAAATATTTTCAATTTGTGGTTGGTTGAATCCATAGATGCAGAACCCACAGATACAGAGGGCCAATTGTATGTATGGATGTATAAAGTAAGGGTACAGCCATGCCTGGAGAAGGGTTGTAGTGTTGGGTCCCAGAGCTGAGTCAAAACAGAAGTGTACATCTTTAAAAATGCAGAAAAAACATATGATAAAATTCAATACCTATTCATGGTTTCAAACAAAATCTTAGGAAAGTAGGAATGGAAGGGAATTTCCTTAAATCCTTAATCTTCTCAAGAACCTTAGTAAGGTGGGTACTATTGTTACTGCCATTTATCAGATAAGGAATCTTAAGTTCACAGGGCTTATAATTGGCAACATTATGCCTGGCTGTGTGACTTGAGATCTTCTACCTATTGAGTTATCTTAGGTTAATGGGACATGGGTACACAAAGTAATCCTTAAAATGAAAAGAACTCAAAGCTATACTCTTTGTACATTCTCTCATGTCCACAAGAGGGCACCAGGATTCATTAAATTCAAGCCCAATAGTCAAATGTTGAAGTAATTGTAGAGAATCAAACTGCTTAAATATTAGTAAATTTGAAAACCTACAAGTGTGTATTCTCCCAGGTACACCTGCAACTTGGGTCTGAATTGGCCAGCTCTGCACTTTTCAATGATAAAATCCCATTGCCAGTTAGAGTCTTCATACATTTCTACTTACCCCAACCATCCTGGGACATCCAGATGATAGTAATGATAGATTGCTTAACCAGCTTATCTGCCGCTCCACCATGCAGTGATGTTCTATGTAGATGCTATTTCAGTGAGTTTCAATTAGGAGAAAGTGAAGGAGAAAAGTACCCTTTCAGGGAGGATGTATCGGACTTTAGGGGCAGGGGATTATAGAATGTGTAATTTGCTTTTACACATACTATATTATTAATCTCTAATAAGGGCAATCTATATTTAAAAGTTCAAAAAGCTTAATCATATTAAAATTTATATTTGGAAAATAGCTTATTGTTTCCATAATACGTACATTAAACAAAAGTTTCATGTGGATTTTTTATGTTTATCAAAAGGAGGCAGGAGTTTAAAAAACTGATAAGTCGGCCGGGCATTTTGGCGCACGCCTGTAATTCCAGCACTTTGGGAGGCCGAGGCAGGTGGATCACCTGAGGTCAGGTGTTCACGACCAGCCTGACTAATGTGGTAAAACACTGTCTCCACTAAATACAAAAAACTTAGCCAGGCGTGGTGGCGCATGCCTGTAATCCAAGCTACTTGGGAGGCTGAGACAGGAGAATTGCTTGTACCTGGGAGGTGCAGGTTGCAGTGAGCCGAGATCGTGCCATTACACTCCAGCCTGGGCAACAAGTGTAAAACTCCGTTTCAAAAAAAAAAAATTTTTTTGAGAAGTCGGCTTCTCTCTCAACACATCTGGGACTGTACAAAACATTTATATTGCAGAACATCAAAATCTCTTACAGTTGTCTCTTCCTTTCCATGTTTACTGGCACTTCTTCGGTTCAGGTCCTTGTTTGTTCCTTTTTGTTCATGGAGTTTTTGTGATTGTGGGGATAAAGCCAAGACCAGGGAAAGGGCTATAGAATTGGGTCCTAGAGCTGAGTCAAAACAGGGTTGGACATCTTAAGAGATGGAAAAGTCTTTAATAAAAGTCAGCACACATTCATGGTTTTAAACAAAAGTGTAGAAAAACAGAATAGAAGATAATTTTCTTAAACTAATAAAGGATATCTACCAAATGCCTTCCACAGATATACTTTGCTGAGTTTACAAGATCACTAGACAAAGGGTGAATATACAAAAATCAATTATATGGCCAATCACCGTGGCTCACACCTGTAATCCCAGCACTTTGGGAGACCGAGGTAGGTGGATCACCTCAAGTCGGGAGTTTGAGACCAGCCTGGCCAACATGGTGAAACCCTGTCTCCACTAAAGACACAAAAATTAGCTGGGCGTGGTGGTCCACGTCTGTAATCCCAGCTACCTGGGAGGCTGAGGCATGAGAATTGTTTGAACCTGGGAGGCAGAGGTTACAGTGAGCTGAGATCATGCCACTGTACTCCAGCCTGGGTGACAAAGTAAGACCCTGTCTCAAAAAATATATATATATAATAGCAACAAACAAAAGACAACATTTTAAAAAGAATACTATTTACTATAGCAAATCGAACACATAGGAATAAATCTAATGAAATATGTATAAGAACTTTACACTGATAACCACAAAATATTACTGGGAAAATTAAAGAAGACCTAAACATAACGTTCATGAATTGAAATGTTTAGATGTTAATTTTCTATGAATTTATAGATTCATCACAATCTTCACCAAACTCTAGGCATGTGTGTGTGTGTGTGTGTGTGTGTGTGTGGAAGTTGACAAACTATTTCTAAAATACATATGAAAATGCAAAGGACCAAGAATAGCTGAGGCAATCTTCAAGAACAAAGCTGGAAGACTTCCACTTCCAGTTATCAAGAGTCATTATAAAGCCATAATAATCAAGATTGTATAATATTGGCACAAGGATAGACAAGAAGATAGACCAGTGGGATAGAACATAGCATACAAGAAAACAACCATATGTATACAGTCACCTGATTCATGAAAAGTATGACATTGCAGTGAACTGATGGAAAAGAGAATATTTTAAATAAAAGGTTCTAGGTTCACTGGATAGCCATACGAGAGAAAAAACGTATCAGGACTCTAATCTCACATCACACACAAAAATCAATTCCAAATGAATTGCAGATCCAAATATGAAAGATAAAACCAGAAAGCTTTTAGAATAAAGCACAGGAAAACATTCTTATGATATTGTAGCAGCAAACATGCCTTTTTAAAAACCATACAAAGCCATGTAAGGATATAGGTAAAACCAATGGTTCTTCGAATCTCTCTACTCTCACAAAATCGTTCAACACTTCTGATGCCAGAGGGTGGGGGGTTTTCCCCACACACCAAGCAATTCTCTGGCAGATTCTACAGTGGACACGAGCTAAGTATCCTCTAATTCAATTGAATTCTGTCACTATCTGCCTGGAGATAGTGTCAGGTCCCACAAGTTGAGGGTTCAGTCCCACAAGACTGCCCCCACCCCCCTTCAGATGCCAGTCACAAGCACAGAATGTGGCCTCTGCTTCTGAATGACCAGCTATCCATCGGATTCCCATGACCTCCACTTTGGTTTGATTAATTTGCTAGAGTGTCTCACAGAACTCAGGTGTCTTAGTGCATTTTCTGTTGCTTATAACAGAATATCTGAAACTGCCTAATTTATAAAGAAAAGGAAATTATTTCTTACAGTTATGGAAGCTAAGGAGCCCACGGTGTAGGGGCTGCATCCGGTGAGGGCTTTCTTGATGGCGGGGACTCTGGAGAGTCCCGAGACGGCACAGGGCATCACATGCCAGAGAGCTGAGTCTCTCTTCCTCTTGTTATAAAGCCACCAGTTCCAGTACCGTAATAACCCATTAATCCATCAATGGATTAATTCATTCATGAGGGTAGAGCCCTCGAGACCTCTTAAAGACCCCACTTCTCAATACTGCCACATTGGGGATTAAGCTTTAATATGAGCTTGGAGGGGATAAACATTCAAACCATAGCATCAGGGAAATACGTTACTTATGTTTACTGGATATAATAAAGGATACAGATGACTGGCCAGATGAAAAGATACATAGGGCGAGGTCTGAAAGGGTCCCATGTGCAGGCACTCCTATGCCCATGAAGTTGGGGTATACCACCCTGCTGGCATGCAGATGTGTTTGTCAACCCAGAAGCTCCCTGAATCCCATAGTTTAGGAATTTTTATGGAGGCTTTATCACGTAGACATGATCAGTGATTAACTTTATTTCTAGCCCCTTTCCCTTCTCTGGAGAATTGTGGCAAGTTGGTGGATTAGGGCTGAAAGACCCCAGCTTATAATTATGGCTTAGTCTTTATGGTGACCAGCTCCCATCCAGGAGTCCACCAAGAGCTACCTTATTAAATGATGCTCCTGCCGCCCAGGAAATTCCTAAGGACTTTAAAAGCTCTAAAATTCCTAAGGACTTTAAAAGTCAGGAACCAGAGTAAAAGGTCGAATATTAGAACAAAAGGTTCTCCTAGCATCCTTATTGCTTAGGAAATTACAAGGGTTTTAAGAGCTCTGTATCAGGGACTGTGGGCCGAGAGCAATATGTGTATTTCTTATTATTTTTACAAATAGTAACACAAAGAAACAAAATATATAGAGTATATTAAAATTAAAAACATCTCTTCATCAAAAGATATATGCTTAAGAGAACGAAAAGGCAAGCCTCAGAGTGAAGATATTTGTAATACATATCTCTGCCAGAGGACTTTACTCATAATCTATAAATAACTTCATAATCCAAAAGAAAAGACAATCTAATTTAAAAATGGGCAAAAAGGCCATGCACAGTGGCTCACACCTGTAATCTCAGCACTTTGGGAGGCTGAGGCAGGATGATTTCTTGAGGGCCAGGAGCTCAAGATTAGCCTGAGCAAATAGCAAGATTCACCACCCCCCATCTCTACAAAATAATTTTAAAAATTAGCCAAGTGTGGTGGTGTGCGCTTGTAGTCCCAACTACTATGGAGGCTGAGGTGGGAGGATCTCTTGAGCCAAGGAGTTTGAAGTTACAGTGAGCTGGGATCACTCCACTGCATTCCAGCCTGGGCAATAGAGAGACACTTGTCTCAAAAACAAAAAAAGAGAGAGAGGGAGAAGAAAGAGAAAAGAAAAAGGGTAAAAGATTTAGATACTTTACCAAAGATATTCAAATGGCCAATGAACGCACGAAAAGGTATCCAACTTCCATAGTTCTCAGAGAAATGAAAACTGAAATCACAAATGAGATACTACTGTGTACCCACTAGAATGGCTAAAATGAAAAGGACAGAAAATACCAAGAGTTGGCAAAAGGGGGAAGCAACTGAAACTTTCCTACACTGCTAGTAGGAAAAAAAATGGTATAACCACTTTGGGAAACTATTTGGTAGTATCCACTAAAGCTGAACAGATTATCCTATAACCCCCAAATTCCGATCTTCACTGAGACAGGGACAGGGTTAAAGGAACCAACATGAGATGGTGAAGTGTTCTGAGGCTAGCATTAGCTGTCCTGGGACAAGGAGACAGAAGAGTTTTTCAACACAGGGAGACCTGTAGCTGCAAGAGCGGCTGGCCAACAGGAGCTGTGTCCTCTAACAAAGGGATACAGCCCTGGCAAACCTGAGGCCCCATCTCCCATTTCCCTCCATTATTATGACGGGAAACCAGGGCCAAGGGAGCATGCTGACAGAGCCCACACAGCTCAGCATCCTGGGTCCCCGAGCAGCAGGGAGAAGAGGAGGGTATAGATCTGGAGCGGCTAGCAGAAAAAGTCAAGCTCACTGTCTAATGTCCGAACTGGAGCATGGACTCTGAAGTCAGATGACCTGAATTCAAGTTTGGTACTGCTTACCAGCTGTGAGGCCTTTAGGCAACACATTTAACCTGCCCATGCCTGTCTCCTCTTTGGCAAAATGGAGATAATAATCTACCTCACAGAGTTGCACAACGAGCAAAAGAGTGAATACATGAGTGAATTCCGTAAGTGGTAGCTATCATTTTTATTTTAAGCTTTGCCCTTCACATATTCTATGCTCATTTAAACAGAGGAGTTGGTTAAATCTAAATATACTTTGTATTTGTAATTATGGGGCCCCCTTCAATAAGAATGTCCCTCAATCTGTTTTTCTAGACCCTTCTAAAAACCTCTCGAATGTTACTTTCTCTGTGAAGACTTCCCTGAGCTCCTTGTCCAGGAAGAACCTCTTCTGTGCACCCAGAGACCCATGTCCCCTCCTCCCCAGTGGCCCGTCCCACGGCCCTCACTGAAAGGCAGCCTAGCGTGCATGTCTACTCTCATTTCCTTAAAAGCAGAACCCAGATCTTGTTCTTATTTTTGAACTAACTCTAGTGTATAGCACAATATTTTATATAAAAATGTTTGTTTCCCTGAATTATATTGGAATTTCAGTATATTGAAATTTACTTCAAACAAGTTTGCCATTGGTTGACATTTTAAAATCCTATTCTAAGTATTTGCTGAGATGGTTTTTACTCTGTATTGTCACTAGCAACAAAAGCGAGCTAATCATAACTACTATTTATTAACTATCTACTTTGTGCCAGGGCTTTATATTTTATATCATGTGATTCTTATAACCAGCCCATGAAGCAGGGACAGATGAGAGAAGGCTCAAAGAGATAATATAATTTGCCCAATAGCCACAGCAGCTAGGAAGTGGCAGAGCTATGATTCCCACACAGACTTCCACAAGGCCTGTGGTATTTCTGTGATGCCACGTTGCTTCCCATAATTAGTATATACTCAAGAAGTGTGAACAGGTACCTCCGAGTTTTAGTTACTTTCTTCATTTATACAATGAGGGAGAATTGGATGCTCTCTTAGATGGCTTTCAGCTCTAGAATATATGATTTTAAAGCAGCATCTCTGTCTGTTCCTATCATGTGCCTGTGCTGATTACTGCTGGGGACACTTCTTTTCTCATAAAATTGGTTAGAAAAATACAGCTGTTCTCAGTTTCCATCGCACAAATCCAAGAGGCAGGACTGGTGAAACTGCCTTCTATAGGACTCCAATTTCCCCTTCTTTAATTTCATGGGTTACAGTGAAGTCAACAAGAGTGTAATTTGTGTTTGCATAAAACCAGAACACAAAGGAAAAGAGCCAGACATTATTGAACATTCAGGAAAGAAAGAGTCCCACACCAAAAGGGCAAAGTTCAGTACTGTTAGCTACTCTCGTTATTCAGCAAATATGCCTCTCATCTGCTTGTAATAGCACAGTGCCAGCTCTCTCTAGCCTTTCCATTGCCTTTGGGAGATAAGAAGGAATTCAGTTTCTATTTTGTCAAAATGGAATATACTTGATGATTAAGGGGATATTAATTAAGGTAGCGTTAATGAAAACATACCACTTCTAAACTCTGTTTGTGATTCACAAAGAAAGAAAAAGTCAACCAGTCCTCCTTATACACTGCCTCAAAGAGGACGAGCTCTCTCCTCCTCCTATCATCATCCATTTATTTTGTCCGTCTGTTAATCTAACCATCCATCCATCCATTTAATCTATTCTCTCTCTCTTTCTTTCTCCCTCCCTCTCTCTGTTAATCTATCTTCCTTGAACTATCTATCCATCTGAGCCTCAGTCCAGTTCTAGGAAAGTACGCATACATCATGACAATTGCAATTAAGACAAAGCAGTCACCCCATCTGTGTGAACTCCCTGGGAACTGAAAGTGCAAACTCTTAATCTATAAACATGAAATAAAAACCTGCCCAAAGCAACAGCCTATCTCTGATCATATAGAATTAGATTTTTCTGTCTCACAATCCAGGGAAATACAACTTTGTATGACTAGAGGCAAGAGAACAAACTATAATTGACACAGAAGGAGAGAGCTGATGACTTCAAATTGCATTGCTTCCCTGCTAAAACCATCCAGGGGTTTCCCATCATACTCAAAGGAAAAGCCGAAGTCCTCACATTGACCAGGGGCTCGATACACTTTGGGTGCTCTGCTCCAGCCATGCACGACCTCTTTCCTGATTTTTATTTTATTTTATCTTTTTATTATTTTATTTATGTATTTATTTTTGAGACGGAGTCTTGCTCTGTTGCCCACGCTAGAGTGCAGTGGCGCAATCTCGGCTCACTGCAACCTCCATCTCCCAGGTTCAAGTGATTCTCCTGCCTCAGCTTCCCAAGTAGCTGGGATTACAGGTGCCTGCCACCACGCCCAGATAATTTTTGTATTTTTAGTAGAGACAGGGTTTCACCATGTTGGCCAGGCTGGTCTCGAATTCCTGACCTCAGGTGATCTGCCCACCTCAGCCTCCCAAAGTGCTGGGATTACAGGCATGAGCCACTGCACCCAGCCCTCTTTTCTGATTTTAAAAAACATGTCAGGCATGCCTTGCTGTAGGACCTGTGGATTAGCAGTACCTCTGCCTTGGATATTCTTTCCCCAAACATTGCACAGTCTCTATGTTATGTTCCTCTGTTTTTATTTTTCTATTTTATTGATTTCCACTCTGATCTTTATTATTACTTTTTTCTTGTTTATTTGAGAGAGCAAATTATTGTTTTAAGCCACTAAATGTGGGAATTATTTTTTACTTAGAAAGAGATTACTGAAACACAAGGAAAAATAGTTTCTCTAGGAACAAGCTACTTTAAGAAGTTCCAGATGAATGCTTTTAGTTAGCCCAGACATACTGTTGGGATTAAGAGTTGTTAAGGTGTTTGGCTGATAGACTGTGAAATCAGAAATCATACAATGTTAAAGTGAGTAAGAAGTTATTTTGCTCAGAGAGCTGAAGTGACTTGTCCAAGATCACACAGCTAAATAGGAACATGCCTTAAAACAGAAATGGACTCTCAGTTCCATATACGTCTCTTATTTGTTCTACAAATATTTATTAAGCACATTCTTTATGTAAGGCACCATGCTAGCAGCTAGGGATAACACAGACAGCCTTATCCTTATAGAGGTTACATGCTATCAAGTCAGATAGACCTTAAGCAATGAAATAATCTTTTTGTTTGTTTAATTATAATTGTGATAAGAGTCACAAAGGGGAATAAGGTGCTTTGAGAGTATATAATACAGAAGTGGACTCTGAAATACTCTGGGGAGAAGAGAGACATTTAAGCCAAATGGAAAGGATGAGTAAGAATTGACTGAATGAGGAAGGGAATAGGGAACAATCCAGGCAGAAGGAAAAGCATGACCCTGTCTACTACATCAAACTGCTTCTCTTACAATATCATGGCACTCTTCATTCTTCAATGCCTGGGTCATTGAGATGATTAGGAGACAAGGACAGCAAGTCGAAATACATAGGAGGATGATGGAATGAGATCCAATAAGGGTGGAACTCTCCTGACTGGGAGATTTACCAGGAGGGTCAATGAGTCCAAGAACACCTATGTCAGCATGAAAACAGAAAGATGGGAAATATTTAACCTGTTAACAAGTGGTTTGGTTTCTATACCACCACAAAAGGGTCTCCTTGGGAAATTCCATACCTCCAAGTCATTTGTCTTTGCCCACTGCCTTCATTAGGGACACCTGCTCCACGAAGGCCTGACACAGGAAGTGATGGCATCTCTGGGACTTGGGGCAGGTAACAGCTGCATGTGCAGTGTGAATTCCTTGGACCACTACTGTGGCTCAGTGCTGGCAGTGTCCAAGAGGATGGCCCATCCAGCTCCCTAACACTGCAGTGCCCTGCCCTCCTCACCCCAGAAGCACACCCTCCAATTCACTCACACACCTGTGCTGTGGCATATCCTAGACATGTCATTAGGCAGAAATGCTTAAACCTTCAAATCTTAAGTTCTCCTGTTCCAAACTCTCAACACACTAGCCTAGCCTCCTAATCTTGACACTTGTTACCTGTATTTTGGTCATCACACATATTCTTCCATTGTATGAACAGCTTTGGTCCACTGACACCTCCATTTTCTCTCAAACTAGTCATTCCTTCCTATCTTCAAGTCCTTTCTTGTCGTGCCTGGTTCCTTGACTTCCTATGGCATCCGCCTGCCAGAACTACAACCTTGTGTCATCTATGTCTGTGTTTTTATACCCCAGGCTGCTGAGTGCTGAAGAAAATGATACCACAATACAGACTGGTGCCATACACATATGGTAGTCTCTCACCTAAGTTGATATCAGACACTGCTCCCATTCTCCACATTGCTCACATGCCTCACATCAGACCTTCACCAATGTTCCCAACCACTTCGTCTATTCCCTCTCCCCACATCAGGAAAAATGAGCCCTGAACACCAGAATAGCTCAACTTCTGCTTCTCTGCTATCAGGGGTTTCCTAGGAGCAGAGTCAGAGACAGGGATTCATTACAAGCGATGTACTGAGGGATGTTCTTGGGAGAATCCTATAGGGCAATGAAGGAAGCAGAAAGGCACAGAAGTGAAAATGTGGTTCCAGCTGAAGTCTGTTCTCAGCCTGATTGCATCAGATCTCTGGAGCAGGAAGGGCACACAGAGTTGTCTGCTTTGATGCAAGAAGGCCAGATTTTTGTACTTTCTTATTGATCAGTCATTGGTTCTAGGCCATCCCTGGGGGGAAGGTATGTAACCTCATTTTTTTTGCTCCTTTCAGCAGAACACAATTTTCCACAAGAGAGTGCAGCTGTGAGCCTCAGCAGCCAATACAACAGCTTACAGCTGGGGATACCAATCCAGTTAAGGGGACCTGGGCATGGCACCAATAGCAGCTTTTACAGTGTCCACGCTTACAATCTCCTGCGTCTACAGGCTTCTCTCTTTGCGGAAGTCCTCAGTGTACTGCGTGCCTCCAGCAGGCTCCTAACCCAGTGTGATCTATCACCACACCTCTTGTTACACTGCATTTTAACCATCTGCTTAATTTTGTAAGCTCCCAGATGGTGGGGCCATCATTTTCTTTTTAGTAGCCTTGGTGCCTAAATAGAAGAAAGCTGTTCTGAATAAATGTTCTGCATTCACTCGTGGTTCTGAGGTAGTTAAGAGTTTGTTTGTTTGTTTGTTTTTTAACAGAACAGGCCTTTGAATTATGTTGCATAGATGACAAACTTAGGCAGCCCCTTTAGAACCAACCTTGACAAACGACCTCTATTTGCCAAATTCTGTATCTTGCACATTGGACATCAAAGGCTACAACACAAGGACCACAGCAAGCACCACACAGAGGGTACCACGAAAGGTCCCTCCCACTACTCACCCTCAGGATAAATAACTAAAATACCAGGTTTTGTGGCTGCTTTCAAGTGCCAATATTTGGAGGGGACACCCCCTTACGATCAGGCACCTACCTTAGCAATTTCTTGTGCCACACATGTGTCAGTATCAGTATGTTCCGCCTGATTCCCGTTCATTCTCTTGCTACTTTTAATATAATGACCTTGTGCCCTAAAACACTTACCATCTGGGAGAGGTCCCCGCCATTGCTCAAGCTCAGCAGTCCTCTCGCTTCATGGGAAAGCATGGTTACCCAATGCAGAGGTGTTAAGTGATCTTGTTTGACAAACAGGAATAAAACTAGTAGCGCACAATGTTAATTCTGCCTCTGAAGTGCTCCACACAGCTACATACCAGGGTAAAACCCTAGTGCAATTCTTTTACTTCCTAAAGATTTGCTATGTGAGTGAAGAATGTACAAACAACTGAATGATGAGCATAAATAACACCTGAAAAGGTTCAGAAGTTTAGAAAAGAATTTCAGAAATTTGGCAATCATTTTTCTGTTGAGAAATAACTAGTCCACAGAGGGCAAAAAAAAAAAAAATCAATCTGGGGCACACACCAGCAGATATTAATTGAATTAGGGAGGGGGCCGTGAGCAGGGAGAATGAGAAAAATAAGGTCCACCCACTCATTTCAAAATTAGGAACAAGGACCGTAAAAAGGATGCCAAAACGACAGCCTATCATAGAAAGTTAATCTTTTCACTTTATTTATTTATTTTGAGATGGAGTTTCACTCTTGTTGCCCAAGCTGGAGTGCAGTGGCATAATCTCAGCTCACTGCAACCTCTGCCTTCCGGTTTCAAACGATTCTCCTGCCTCAGTCTCCTGAGTAGCTGGGATTACAGGTGGCCACCACCATGCCCGGCTAATTTTTGTATTTTTAGTAGAGACAGGCTTTCACCATGTTGGCCAGGCTGGTCTCGAACTCCTGACCTTGTGATCCGCCCACCTTGGCCTCCCAAAATGTTGGGATTACAGGCATGAGCCACCACACCCGGCCAATATTTTCACTTTACGTTAAAGCTAATTAAGGTTTATAAAAGCAAAGTGGGTAGAGGAGATACTTAAGAATGCGTGAGGAAGAAAGGAGGGAGGGTTCTCGTCCTAGCCAGGCTCCTAATATGTATCTTAGTCCCTTCACTCCCCTCACCTTTAGCCGAACCTACTCAGCCCCTCCCAGGACACCATATCTATCAAGACCTAAGAATCCTCTGCAGCTCCTCTTTGCTTATTTTGAGCAATTTAGGCTCAGGCCATTACCATCAATTATTCCTCTCAGAATCAGGGTTGCCAGAGTTAGCCAATACAAATACAGGACTCCCAGCTAAATTCAAATTTCAACTAGACAATGAATAATGTTTTAGTATAAATATACCACATGCAATGTTTGGGACATACTTATACTAAAAATAAAATCCTTGTTTATCTGAAATTCAAATGTAACTAGGCATTTTTTTTTTTTTTTTTTTTTTTTGAGATGGAGTTTCACTCCTGTTGCTGCCCAGGCTGGAGTGCAGTGGCACGATCTTGGCTCACTGCAACCGCCGCCTCTCGAGTTCAAGCAATTCTCCTGCCTCAGCCTCCCGAGTAGCTGAGATTACAGACACCCACCACCATGGCCAGCTAATTTTTGTATTTTTAGTAGAGATGGGGTTTCACCATGCTGGTCAGGTTGGTGTCGAACTCCTGACCTCAGGTGATTCACCCACCTTGGCCTCCCAAAGTGCTAGGATTATAGACGTGAGCCACCGTGCCCAACTGCATCATCTTTTATCTAGCATCTCCACCCAGAATCCCACGATCAAAACCAAATTTTGTTGAGATTACTCCTCTAGCAAGAGGCTTCTTTGCCTGCTCTCTGTCTGCAGGAGTGTTTTCTCAGAGAGGAGCATAGGGAAGACCCCCAGCCCAATACCATGTAGAATATGAGAATCTGTGTCTTACCATAGAAAGTCTAAGTTCACGTGTATAGGATCTCATGCATGATTTATTCAAACATTTTTATCAACAACAATGGGAGCTCAGAAAAGTTAAACAATTTTCCCTGAGTGGCAGTTATTAATGCGGAGTCAGGACTAGAATCTATGTAGCATAGGGTTTTTTTTCCTTATCATGAGAATTTATCATAAACTTTATATGTATATAATACCCCAAGCTTCAGGAATCAGATGGTGAAGTTGGTACTAAATTCTAAAATAATTTTGTAAACTTAAAAAGGATAAAATGACCGAAAAGAAGAACATGACAAAGAAAGTTGGCTTTTGTGAAATCTAGTTTGTAATGTACCTTTTGAATCTCATTTTGAAATTCTGCAATCAATTACTTTTCAATCAACCAGTCATTCAGCCCTTCAGAACAGCATACTTGCTCTGATTCAAAAGCTCCACAAAGCAGGCTAATTCTCATTAGTGCACATCCATCACTGAGCTAAACATGCCTTCCTGGCAGCAGACACCAGCAAATGTCAAGGAAGGTGGGAAGAAGCAAATGAAAAGAGCAGCAGTTCTGAAAACGGAAAATACTTCTTTCGCCCAGTTTGTATCTAGGGGCTATGGGAATGTTTAATTTACTAATGGGCCCCGTTGTCATTTGAGAAGCACATTGCACTATTGAAACCTAACAGAGGCTCTCACCTAGCAGCAAAGCGGGCCTAAGATCTGGGCCAGGCTGTTCGGCCTTTACAGACTTTTGTTAAAAAGCCCTCATTTTCTAGAAATGGTATCCAAAGTGCATTCTCTCTCTCTCTTTCTGGAACTCTTACTATTTTGGAGGCTTCAGTGGGCAATTGTGATGATCATTTCCCACATGGTGTTTTTCCAAAATTAATATCCAAAATAGAAAACACAGCAAAGCTCAGATCAAGGTGATCTGTGACCTGCACAAAGTCTGCATCAATTTGGATGCTCTGGCTGCAAATCACAAAATAACTCATCTAAAAATGGCTTGACCAGGGTTGGGGGGTGCTTTTTTCACATAAGAGAGGCAGACGGTCCTGGTGTTGTTTCAGGGGCTCCCCAGTGTCAGGGCTCTGAGTCAGCTTCCCCTAATTTTCTTGGTCTGTCCCTCAAGACTGCAAAATGGCTGCAGCAGCTCCTCGCATGACATCATGGTATCCTTGCATTTGAAACCCAAAGCAGGAAGAGGTTTTTCTTGCTAGACTTTTTATTATCAGAGAGAAAAATCTTTCCAATAAGTATCCACCTGTGCCTCATGACTGGATCTCAGTCACATGCAAGGGAGTCTAGGAAAGCAAGCATCCAGCGTTTTAAGCTTCTGTGTAGTAAAACAAAGGCTCTGACAATGAAGAAAGAGCTGCCACATTTCCCACTAACCAGTATGCTTTGTGGGGCAGTGCCCTGCCACCAACACAGGCCAAGAAGTCTTTCCAAATTGGCTTAATCTCCTATTTCCCCATTTCTATTCATGGCACAAGCATTCTAACACTACTCTGGAGATCTTGGATTCATCTTTGACTCCCTCCTTTCCCTAATTCCCACATCTGGTCAGTGCCCATGTCTCAAGGATCACCCATTCCTTCTCAGGGAGTCTTCCATCTTGCCTCTCCTTTTGACTCTAATTGAGCATATTAATTCAGACTCTTATCACTTCACAGTCAGACCACAGTTCAAAAGTTGCCAAACCATCCTGCCTTCCAGCAGCGATACCACTTTTTCGTGACTTTCCTATTGAGAAAACTTTCAAGAATTCCCCCGTTAACCCCAGAAGATATTCCAAAGCCTTATTCCAACCCCAATGGGCTCCAGTGGTTAAGAAAGCTGACTCTGTAGTTAAAAGACTTGTGTAATATGGGCTAGTGACTTCACCCTCCAACACAGTTCTTTCCCACATAAAATGGAGGTGATGCTAGTACAGGGCACACATGGTGTCAATAAGTTGTAATTATTGTTTCTTGCTATTATTTTTATATATAGGCATTCTACATATTAGGGAGAGTAGGTGGGTAACATATATGAGGTGTCTGTCCTCGATTAGCTGATTTCAATTGCTGAAATACAATTCAACTGAGGCAGGAGAATAGGGTCTGGAGGCAGGGAACCTAAGGCTGTTTCACGCCAACTTCCTAGGACTAAATTGAAAGGAAAACCCTAACTTTTCATGCCTAAGTAATAAAAGGACCAGAAGCAGCCGGGTGCGGTGGCTCACACCTGTAATCCCAGCACTTTGACAGGCCGAGACAGGCAGATCACGAGGTCAGGAGATTGAGACCATCCTGGCTAACATGGTGAAAACTCCCGTCTCTACTAAAAAAAAGAAAAAAAAATACAAAAAGACCAGAAGCTACTCCCTTTGCAAACCCCCTGCCTTTTCTGCATGTCAGATGGGAAACTGGCTGTCCACAACAAATCAGACTGATTGCCGGTCAAGTCTTCATTTGTAATTTTGTAACTCCACTCCAGCCTCTGAATGGTTGCTGTCCACAACCAGTCAGACTGATTGCCGGCTAAGTCTTCCTTTTCATAGAAGTATAACTTTGTAACTTCACTCTAGCCTCTGATTGGTTGCTTTTTGCAACCAACCAGATGTTTGCACAGGAGTGTGACCTTTGTAACTTCACTTCAGCCTCTGGTTGGCTTTCTGTAACCAATCAGACTGATTGCATGCTACCACTTCATTTACATGAAGTGAGCATGAAGTGGCCAATGGGAAACTTCTAGGGAGTATTTGGACCCAAGAAGATTCTATATCCAGGCCCTTGAGCTGCTGCTCAGCCCGCCCCCACACTGTGGAGGGTACTTTCGTTTTCAATAAATCCCTGCTTTTGTTCTTTTGTTGCCTCATTCTTTCTTTGCTTTGCTGGGCGTTTTGTCCAATTCTTTGTTCAAAACACCAAGAACCTGGACAACTTGCAGTTACGACCATCATACCGGTGACACAACTATGTCCCTCTAATCTGCTACTTGATATCCATTTTATAAACGGGTCCTTTGTCTTTTTCTATTGACAAAGGAGAGTCCCAAGTGTAGCACCATTCTTGGCTGTGCTCATTCTTCAAGAAAGCTTCCTCCAAAACCCCAAGGCCTCATTTTGTCATCAGGAAAACCTCGACTTGCTGAGGCCATAAACCCTGGCTCGAGCTTTGACTCACTCTTTCAAAGCACATTATGCTTCCAGAAGCTGTTAACAGTATTTATTTATCTTCCTCTGACATCTGCGCAACTTCAAAAAGCAGAAAGAAAAAAGAAGTGGTGGTCTTTGTTTCATTATGCCATAGTTAAGATTGCATCTGTAATTTTTAAGTAGCAGAGATTAAAGGTCATGCCAGGGATTAAACAGACACACAAATTACCTTCTTCTCACTCTACTTGGGTCTTGTGACTTAACTTTTACATCTTTAACTTTTAACTGCTCTTAATTTGACTTCTTTGTCAGTTTCTATGAACCAGCCACCATAAAGGACAATATTATATACAGGAGCATTCATTCTGTTAAGAAAAAAAATTGCATATCTTGAAAGATGAGCTAGATCTGTGCCTGTTGACATCTTCTAGCCACAAAGGAATTTCACATGACTGGGCTTCTTTTGCCGTCTGAAATTATTCAAGCAGCAAAGGTCATGACAGTGCCTCAGTTCACCAGTTCATTTTGGCAAAGTGCTGGCAGGGACCTGGGCCCTGCCCTGCCTGCTTCCTCCAGAGCCCTGGCTAGGCACCATATTCAGGAGTTGGAGTGTCTCCAAGTTTCTAGTAATCTGCACACTTAGTGGTTAGTACTGACTCTGGAACTAGACCACCTGGGCTCACATTGTGGCTGTGTGACCTTGAACAATTGCCTTAACCTATTTGTGCCCTAATTCCTTCATCTAAATTGGGGATAAAAACAAGTTTTGACCTCATAGGATTGTTGTGAGAATCACATGAGTTAGTACATGTAACGTGTTTAGTGCACTGCCTGACATATGATTAAGAGCTATGTAGGGTGAGCTGTTGTTATTACTAATACTTTTTTCCTGGGCTTGGCCACCTGTCAACAGTCTTTATGGCCTCCTGGAACACTTCTTAAAATTTTCCCCAAGGCTCTCTTTTCAAACCCTCAGCCATGAATCAATCAATTTCATTCTGTGGAAAAGAGTCTAAGAAGAATTAAATGGAGGATGCTGGAAATGGTGGGGCTAATGCTTTATCACATTCTCAAGAAATCTGGCCAACAGAAATGCAAACTGCCTTGCTTAAAGAGAAGTCCATATTTTATTCCTCTCCAATGAAACAATGTTCCCTTTAAAAGTCAAACAGCATCATTCTCATTGTCTACTCTTTATAACCTCCTACTCAAGTATACATGCCACTAAGAAAATTGTTAATGCATGTACAGTTTAAATAGCTTTGGCCCATTAAAAATCAGACTTAAGTCCATTAATTCTAGGACCTCAATTCTAAGACGATGTTTATTTTGCAAAGTCATAACCACTACAACTATGTGTAACGTTGCTAAAAATATGGTCTATTTAAAAAAATCTTTCTGATGGTCCTTAGTCTGTTAGTGAACCCCCTTTAAAAAAAACAAATTATAATTTACACACTTAAACAATTTGCCTTCAATACTATACACTCTTTTTATCATCCTCAATAATAACTCCAATAGCACAATACTAGAAGCTAAGATTAGGTTGAAGGAAGTCAACTGCAGCTTCTTCATAGTTTCAGGGTAAACAACATAATTTACAAGGGACATAGAAACCAAGATGACACACATATTAAAAGTTCTTTTCACCTAAAGACTATAAAAATACTTTGGATGAATTATCTGTGTTCTCTTAGCTCTGTAAGTGACACTAATGAAATGCAAAAAGGCCAAAAGAAAGAAGGATGGCAAGCAACTAAGAGAGCAAGAGCCCTAGAATAGTCTGAAATTGGCTGCTTCCATCCTTTGAGAGTTGACTAATGAAAACAGGGAACCTCTGTTTCTAGTCTATAGTTCCAATTCTTAGTGAATACTGTCTGTGTTCCAAGTGCAGTAGCAAAATAATAAATCAGAGTGAATTCAATGTAAGTATGACCCTGTTCAAAGAGACTAACCCAGTAGTACATTTCAATTTTCTGTGGTTCACCTACCGGCTCACAACATGGATGGGGATTGTAAGGCGGAGGTTTGATACAGGACCCAGAATTACCAGCCAAGCCAGATATATACCATTAATAAGATGACTTTAAATATAAAAGCAAATAATGTAGAGATTTCTAAATTAAAATTGCCTTTCTCTCCAGCAATTTCACTCCTAGATATATGCCTAAGAGAATTAAAAGCTTATGTCCACACAAACAAAATGTACATGAATATTCACAACAGCACTATTCATAATAGCCAAAAAAGTAGAAGCAACTCAGATGTCCACCAACTAAAGAATGGATAAATAAAATGTGGTATAGCCATACAGTGGAATATAACTTGGCAATAAAAAAGAAATAAAGTACTGATATATGCTACTTCAACATGGATAAACCTTGAAAACACTACGTTAAGTGCAAGAAACTTGCCACCAAAAGCCACACAGTATATGGTTCTATTTATATGAAATGTCCAGAATCAGCAAATCTGTAGGGACAGAAAGTAGATAAGTGGTTGCCAGGAGCTGGGGCAAGAGAGGAACAGAGAATGACTGTTAATGGGCATGAGGTTTATTTTTCTGGGGGTGGGGTGGTGATGACATGTTTCAAAATTGATCGTGGTGATAGTTGCACTACTCCATGAATATACTAAAAATCATTGTATACTATAGGCAGGTGAACTTTATAATATGTGAATTATGTCTCAAAAAGGTTTTTTTTTTAAAGTTGCCTTTCTCTTATTTTAGCACTGAATAGATATTAAGTAGTTACTCAGCACAAGTCACAGGGTTAATAATGAAATATGCAAGATACACAGTAGACCTTTGTCCTTCACAAGGGATACTTCTGGAAACATTTCCAGATTGCCAAATAAATGATTACCACTAGGGCTGAGATTGTACAACCATAGAGAGCGTCATTCCTTTAGGAATCTATGTGAATGATGCCCCCAGGAGTCATGCAGAGTACAAACTACATGTCCACACAGGGTGGTCCTGGCTGCCACTAAGACACCAGCATGTAGCTTTCTTTCCTGGGACACTTTCTCCATCCACCATCAAACAAACAGTTCCCTCTCCCTCTTTTTCTTTTTACTTTACAAAAATTATTGATGTGCCAGTGGATTGGGATATAGATATCAGTTGGTCAGCCAGGCTACAGGGTTTATTCCCAACAGGTATTGTCAACACTCATGAGGATTGACAAGGTAAAGCTTCATGATCAACTTTACTGCCTTGATCCCATCTTATTCAAATATTTATGAAAGAGATTCAATCCATCACATGATTATAAATTATCAATCTTGTTTATAGGCAAATAATCTTTTGTCTGCACATTTTAAACATTCTTTTCAAACTGTATTAGCTGTCATCTACTGTTTGTCCTTTCTGAACTTTCAATTAAATATACAACTTACTGTGTTTTTGAAATTGGTATAGTTAGTATTGCAAATATCTGTGCTTATTGATCCAATACATTGTATTCACTTCCTTTCTGACCTGCAGAGATGGAAACTGCTGATCTTTAAGCAAATGGCAGCACGCACTTATTTTTTTCTGTACCTCAGAAAAGGTGGGAAGCAACTAGTCCTATCCAAGATTGAAAAACGCAAAAAATAAATAAATAAATAAAATAAAAATTCCACTTGTGTTTAAGAAGGAGAAAAACAGAAAAAATGGAAATGGCCAAGCTATGATCATATTAGGATCTATGCAGATGAGTCATATGACTATGTAGGACAAATTCCCAAAACTAGTTGTTCTGTTTAGTTTTTTAAAATATCATTTATTATGACACATTTCAGATGTGCAAGACATAAAGAATAAGGAAACATCCCTGTATCTACTACAACCCTACATAAGCAATAAATACAATTAGAGCCCCTGATCACATTATTCTCTCTTCTATTTATTTTCAAATGACTTGGGAAAGGACAAAGAGGCGATACATAAAGCCTCTTTAGGGAGTGCAAAGCAAAGCATGAGTCACAGCCCAGCCAACATTCTGTAAAGGCGCTGCCTTTAATAGTCTGATATGCAGAGATCACCTGGCCAAAGCTAACTTCACCCTCCCAAATCCATACTGCCACTACTACTACTTCCTGTTTTGTGCAAAACGATCAAAGCTTCTACAAAGAGGTGAATGAACATATCATATGCATTCATAAGGGATAAGTTCATGAAAACACCATGAATGGCTGTATCCCTAAATATTTATTTCTAAAATAAAATGTTCTAAGCAACTAAACATATAACTCTTCTCTCACAAATGTTCCATGAGTTTTTCTATTTATATTTAGAGACAGGGAGAGAACCTCAATTAGGAACTAAGCTACTTTCCAATCCTTCTTATCAACTTTAGCCAAAAAGAGCTCAAAATCCTTCCTTTCACATGAAAAAAGTACCCAGAGTCCAGGTTATTTGCAGACAGCAAGTATCAATGAGAGACAGGAAAGTGAGGTCACAAGGGAGGGGGGCAAGGGACAGTTGACCCCTAATTTAACATCGCAGCTTCTGAATCTTGAGATAATCTGAATTGTTGAAACAGGATGGAAAGGCGACAACAGTGTGTTTCCCATGTGATATGAGAAGAGTGAGTTCTTCTATTATCTGACATCTACTGTGAATGTATTATAGGTATCTCACTGGATTCCATCTCTGAACAGAGACTGTGGGTGGTTATATTTTGGTGGGCAGAGCAGAAAGGGTCAGCAGCTTCAGTGCCTTCTCAAGACGACAGGTTTGGCTGGGCAGCAAGAGAGCTTGGGTCCCAGAGAGGGAAGCGGGTGGGGGCAGAGGGAGACAAAGGGCTGGCCTTATCCATTTTCTCAAATGTCAGGCCCAACCAGCTCCGAAGCTTAGACTGTAATTACAATCCTCTTACTTTTTTGCTAATAGATGTTGAGACTCCAAGTTGCCACAAAACATCCACAGTTTTGCAATCTAAGTAAAATCCCTGGTATTAAAAGAAGGGAAAGTCAAAAGGCTGCTTCCGCTAAACTGTAATCAGCTCTCCTAAGACTTTTTGTTTGTTTGTTTGTTTGTTTGTTTGTTTGTTTGTTTTAGAGTAAGGGTCTCAGGCTGTAGCCCAGGCTAGAGTGCAGTGGTGAAACCATAGCTCACTATAGTCTCCAACTCCTGGGCTCAAATGATCCTCCCAGCTCAGCCTCCCAAGTAGCTGGGACTACAGGTGTGAGACACCATGCCTGGCAAATTTTTTTTTTTCTTAAGAGATGAGGTCTCACTATGTTGCCCAGGCTGATCTCAAACTCCTGGCCTCAAGCAATCCTCCCCCCTCAGCCTCTCAAAGTGCGGGGATGACAGGCATGAACCACTACACCTGGCCCAGACCTATTTTTTAATTTGCTTTGTTTTGTATCATCTATTTCCTGTTCATAATGAGTTTAGCATTGCCTTGATAGAAATTGCTAACTAAAGGTTATAGACAGAAAAAAAAATCATTCTGGATACATCATCTGTTCTTTTTATTATTATTATACTTTAAGTTCTGGAATACATGTGCAGAACATGCAGGTTTGTTATATAGATGTACATGTTCCATGATGGTTTGCTGCACCCATCAACCCGTCAATCTACATTAGGTATTTCTCCTAATGCTATCCCTCCCCTAGCCCCCCACCCCACCACAGGCCCCAGTAAGTAATATTCCCCTCCCTGTGTCCACATGTTCTCACTGTTCAACTCCCACTTATGAATGAGAACATGCAGTGTTTGGTTTTCTGTTACTGTGTTAGTTTGCTGAGAATGATGGTTTCTAGCTTCATCCATGCCCCTGCAAAGGACATTAACTCATCCTTTTTTATGGCTGTATATTATTCCATGGTATATACGTGCCATATTTTTTTATCCAGTCTGTCATTGATGGGTATTTGAGTCAGTTCCAAGTCTTTGCTATTGTGAATAGTGCTGTAATAAACATACGTGTGCGTGTGTCTTTATAGAATGATTTATAATCCTTTGGGTATATACCCAGTAATAGGATTGCTAGGTCAAATGGTATTTCTGGTTCTAGATCTTGAGGAATCACCACACTGTCTTCTAAAATGGTTGAACTAATTTACACTCCCACCAACAGTGTAAAAATGTTCCTATTTCTCCACATCCTCTCCAGCACCTGTTGTTTCCTGCCTTTCTAATGATCACCATTCTAACTGGCATGACACGGTATCTCATTGTGGTTTTGATTTGCATTTCTCTAATGACCAGTGATGATGAGCTTTTTTTCATATGTTTGTTGGCCACATAAATGTCTTCTTTTGAGAAATGTCTGTTCATATGCTTCGCTCACTTTTTGATGGGGTTGTTTTTTTCTTATAAATTTGTTTAAGTTCTTTGTATATTCTGGATATTAACCCTTTGTCAGATAAATAGATTGCAAAAATTTTCTCTCATTCTGTAGGTTGCCTGTTCACTCTGATGATAATTTCTTTTGCTGTGCAGAAGCTCTTTAGTTTAATTAAATCCCATTTGTCAATTTTGGCTTTTGTTGCCATTGCTTTTGGTGTTTTATTCATGAAGTCCTTGCCCATGCCTATGTCCTGAATGGTATTGCCTAGGTTTTCTTTTAGGATTTTTATACTTTCAGGTTTTACATTTAAGTCTTTAATCCATCTTGAGTTAATTTTTGTATAAGGTGTAAGGAAGGGGTCCAGTTTCAGTTTTCTGCATATGGCTAGCCAGTTTTCCCAACACCATTTATTAAATAGGGAATCCTTTCCCCATTTCTTGTTTTTGTCAGGTTTGTCAAAGATCAGATGGTTGTGGATGTGTGGCATTACTTCTGAGGCCTCTGTTCTGTTCCATTGGTCTATGTATCTGTTTTGGTACCAGTACCATGCTGTTTTGGTTACTGTAGCCTTATAGTATAGTTTGAAGTTAGGTAGCGTGATGCCTCCAGCTTTGTTCTTTTTGCTTAGGATTGTCTTGGCTATGTGGGCTCTTTTTCGGTTCCATATGAAATTTAAAGTAATTTTTTCTAGTTCTGTGAATAAAGTCAATGGTAGATTGATGGGGATAGCATTGGATCTATAAATTACTTTGGGCAGTATGGCCATTTTCACGATATTCATTCTTCCTATCCATGAACATGGAATGTTTTTCCATTTGTCCTCTCTTATTTCCTTGAGCAGTGGTTTGTAGTTCTCCTTGAAGAGGTCCTTCACATCCCTTGTAAGTTGGATTCCTAGGTATTTTATTCTATTTGTAGCAATTGTGAATGGGATTTGGCTCATGATTTGGCTCTCTGTTTGTCTATTATTGGTATATAGGAATGCTTGTGATTTTTCCGCATTGATTTTGTATCTTGGGACTTTGCTGAAGTTGCTTATCAGCTTAAGGAAATTTTGGGCTGAGATGATGGGGTTTTCTAAATATACAATCATGTCATCTGCAAACGGAGACAATTTGACTTCCTCTCTTCTTATTTGAATACCCTTTATTTCTTTCTCTTGCCTGATTGCCCTGGCCAGAGCTTCCAATACTATGTTGAATAGGAGTGGTGAGAGTGGGTATCCTTGTCTTATGCCAGTTTTCAAAGGGAATGCTTCCAGCTTTTGCCCATTCAGTATGATATTGGCTGTGGGTCTGTCATAAATATCTTTTAATATTTTGAGCTATGTTCCATCAATACCTAGTTTATTGAGAGTTTTTAGCATGAAGGGGTGTTGAATTTTATTGAAGGCATTTTCTGTATCTATTGAAATAATCATGTGGTTTTTGTCATTGGTTCTGTTTCCGTGATGGACTACGTTTATTGATTTGTGCATGTTGAACCAGCCTTGCATCCCAGGGATGAAGCTGACTTGATTGTGGTGGATAAGCTTTTTGATGTGCCACTGGATTTGGGGTTTGTCAGTATTTTATTAAGGATTTTGCATCAATGTCCATCAGGGATATTGGCCTGAAATTTTCATTTTTTGTTGTGTCTCTGCCAGACTTTGGTATCAGGATGATGCTGGGAGGAGTAAAATGAGTTAAACATGAGTTAGGGGGGAGTCCCTCTTTTTCTATTGTTTGGAATAGTTTCAGAAGGAATGGTACAGCTCCTCTTTGTACCTCTGGTAGAATTCGGCTGTGAATCTGGTCCTGGGCTTTTTTTTTTTTAATAGCCTACCTGGTTGGCAGGCTATTAATTATTGCCTCAATTTCAGAACTTGTTACTGGTCTATTAAGGGATTCAACTTCTTCCTGGTTTAGTCTTGGGAGGGTGTATGTGTCCAGGAATTTATCCATTTCTTTTAGATTTTCTAGTTTATTTGTGTAGAGGTGTTTATAGTATTTTCTGATGGTAGTTTGCATTTCTGTGGGATCACTGGTGATATCCCCTTTATCATTTTTTATTGTATCTATTTGATGCTTCCCTCTTTTCTTCTTTATTAGTCTGGCTAGCAGTCTATTTTG
Source organism: Homo sapiens (assembly GCF_000001405.40). Taxonomy (NCBI): domain Eukaryota; kingdom Metazoa; phylum Chordata; class Mammalia; order Primates; family Hominidae; genus Homo; species Homo sapiens. Next base: position 76,481,215 of record NC_000004.12, on the reverse strand, counting down.
TTAATGTTTTCAAAAAACCAGCTTCTGGATTAATTGATTTTTTGAAGGGTTTTTCGTATCTCTATCTCCTTCAGTTCTGCTATGATCTTAGTTATTTCTTGTCTTCTGCTAGCTTTTGAATTTGTTTGCTCTTGCTTCTCTAGTTCCTTTAATTGTGATGTTAGGGTGTCTATCTTAAATCTTTCCTGCTTTCTTTTGTGGGCATTTAGTGCTATAAATTTCCCTCTAAACACGGCTTTAGCTGTGTCCCAGAGATTCTGGTACATTGTATCTTTGTTCTCATTGGTTTCAAAGAACTTCATTATTTCTACCTTAATTTCGTATTTACCCAGTAGTCATTCAGGAGCAGGTTGTTCAGTTTCCATGTAGCTGTTCGGTTTTGAGTGAGTTTCTTAATCCTGAGTTCTAGTTTGATTGCACTATGGTCTGAGAGATTGTTTGTTATGATTTCCGTTCTTTTGCATTTGCTGAGGAGTGTTTTACTTCCAATTATGTAGGTAATTTTAGAGTAAGTGTGATGTGGTGCGAGAAGAATGTATATTCTGTTGATTTGGGATGGAGAGTTCTGTAGATGTCTATTAGGTCAGCTTGCTCCAGAGCTGAGTTCAAGTCCTGAATATCCTTGTTAATTTTCTGTCTCACTGATCTAATATTGACAGTGGGGTGTTAAAGTCTCCCACTATTATTGTGTGTGAGTCTAAGTCTCTTCGTAGGTCTCTAAGAACTTGCTTTATGAATCTGGGTGCTCCTGTATTGGGTGCATATGTATTTAGGATAGTTAGCTCTTCTTGTTGCATTGATCCCTTTACCATTATGTAATGCCTTTGTCTTTTTTGATCTTTGTTGGTTTGAAGTCTGTTTTATCAGAGACTAGGATTGCAACCCCTGCTTTTCCTTTTTTGCTTTCCATTTGCTTGGTAAATCTTCCTCCATCTCTTTATTTTGAGCTTATGTGTGTCTTTGCACATGAGATGGGTCTCCTGAATACAGCACACCGATGGGTCTTGACTCTTTATCCAATTTGCCAGTCTGTGTCTTTTAATCGGTCTATTAAGGGGCATTTAGCCCATTTACATTTAAGGTTAATATTGTTATGTGTGAATTTGATCCTGTCAGTATGATGCTATCTGGTTATTTTGCCTGTTAGTTGATGCAGTTTCTTCATAGTGTCAACGGCCTTTACAATTTGGTATGTTTTTGCAGTGGCTGGTACTGGGTTTTCCTTTCCATATTTAGTGCTTCCTTCAGAAGCTCTTGTAAGGTAGGCCTGGTGGTGACAAAATCTCTCAGCAGTTGCTCGTCTGTAAAGGATTTTATTTCTCCTTAGCTTGTGAAGCTTAGTTTGGCTGGATATGAAATTCTGGGTTGAAAATTCTTTTAAGAATGTTGAATATTGGCTCCCACTCTCTTCTGGCTTGTAGGGTCTCTGCAGAGAGATCCACTGTTAGCCTGATGGGCTCTCCTTTGTGGGTAACCCGACCTTTCTTTCTGGCTGCCCTTAACGTATTTTCCTTCATTTCAACCTTGGTGAATCTGATGATTATGTGTCTTGGGGTTGTTCTTCTTGAGGAGTATCTTTATGGTATTCTCTGTATTTCCTGAATTTGAATGTTGGCCTGTCTTGCTAGGTTGGGGAAGTTCTCCTGGATAATATCCTGAAGAGTGTTTTCCAACTTGATTCCATCTCCTCGTCACTTTCAGGTACACCAATCAAATGTAGGTTTGGTCTTTCCACATAGTCCCCTATTTTTTGGAGGTTTTGTTCATTCCTTTTCATTCTTTTTTCTCTAATCTTGTCTTCATGCTTTATTTCATTAAGCTGATCTTCAGTCTCTGATATCCTTTCTTCTGCTTGATGGATTCAGCTATTGATACTTGTGTATATGCTTCACAACATTCTTGTGCTGTGTTTTTCAGCTCCATCAGGTCATTTATGTTCTTCTCTAAACTGGGTGTTCTAGTTAGCAATTCCTCTAACCTTTTTTCAAGGTTCTTAGCCTCCTTGCATTGGGTTAGGACATGCTCCTTTAGCTCAGAGGAGTTTATTACATACCTTCTGTACCCTACTTCTGTCAATTTGTCAAACTCATTCTCCATCCAGTTTTGTTCCCTTGTTGGCGAGGAGTTGTGATCCTTTGGAGAAGAAGAGGCGTTCTGGTTTTTGGAATTTTCAGCCTTTTCGAGCTGTTTTTTTCTCATCTTCGTGGATTTATCTACCTTTGGTCTTTGATGTTGGTGACCTTCAGATGGGGTTTCTGAGTGGACATCCTTTTTGTTGATGTTGATGTTACTCCTTTCTGTTTATTAGTTTTCCTTCTAACAGTCCGGCCCCTCTGCTGCAGGTCTGCTAGAGTTTGCTGAAGGTCCACTCAAGACCCTGTTTGCCTGGGTATCACCAGCAGAGTCTGCAGAACAGCAAATATTGCTGCCTGTTCCTTCCTCTGGAAGCTTCATCCCAGAGGGGCACCTGTCAGATGCCAGCCGGAGCTCTCCTATATGAGGTGTCTGTCATCCCCTACTGGGAGGTGTCTCCCAGTCAGGAGGCAAGGGGGTCATGAACCCACTTGAGGAGGCAGTCTGTCCCTTAGCATAGCTCGAGCACCGTGCTGGGAGATCTGCTGCTCTCTTCAGAGCTGGCAAGCAGGAATGTTTAAGCTTGCTGAAGCTGCACCCATAGCTGCCCCTTCCCCCAGGTGCTCTGTCCCAGGGAGATGGGAGTTTTATTTATCAACCCCTGCCTGGGGCTTCTGCCTTTCTTTCAGAAATGTCCTGCCTAGAGAGGCAGAATCTAGAGAGGCAGTCTGGCTACAGTGGTTTTGTGAAGCTGCAGTGGGCTCTGCCCAGTTTGAACTTCCCAGTGGCTTTGTTTACACTGTGAGGGGAAAACTGCCTACTCAAGCCTTGGTAATGGCGGATGCCCCTCCCCCCACCAAACTTGAGTGTCCCAGGTGGAGCTCAGACTGCTATGCTAGCAGCGAGAATTTCAAGCCAGTGGATCTTAGCTTGCTGGGCTCCATGGGGGTGGGATCTGCTGAACTAGACTACTTGGCTCCCTGGCTTCAGCCCCCTTTCCAGGGGAGTGAACAATTCTGTCTTGCTGGCATTCTAGGCACCACTGGGGTATGAAAAATAAACTCCTGTAGCTAGCTCGGTGTCTGCCCAAACAACCGCCCAGTTTTGTGCTTGAAACCCAGGGCCCTGGTGGTGTAGGCACCCAAGAGAGTCTCCTGGTCTGTGGGTTGCAAAGACCATGGGAAAAGCATAATGTCTGGGCCAGAATGCACCATTCCTCACAGCACAGTCCCTCATGACTTCCCTTGGCTAGGGGAGGGAGTTCCCCAACCCCTTGCACTTCCCAGGTGAGGCGATGCCCCACCCTGCTTCTGCTCACCCTCCATGGGCTGCACCCACTGTCTAACCAGTCCCAATGAGATGAGCTGGGTACCTCAGCTGGAAATGCAGAAATGACCTGCCTTCTGCGTTGATCTCACTGGGAGCTGCAGACCAGAGCTGTTCCTATTCGGCCATCTTGCCAGCCACAAAATCACATCATCTGTTCTTTAACATGTTCTTGATATCTCACTTGTTTCCAAAAGCAATTATAGGTAAATGTATATATTTTCTATATATATGCACACACATATACCACCTATACAAACAATATATATGTATATATGATAAAAAATCATGAGAATAATTCCAAAATTTAAAAATTAATATAGTCACTGTGAACATTATGAATGGCTTTGAGCATCTGGGCAATTCAGGCAAAAACAGAAAGAGGATTATGTTATGTGCAGTCTTGAGGCAAGGGGCAATGGTCTGAGTTTTCTAAGAGGGTCTGTCCTTTCCTCTTACCGCATACAAAGTTTAACCAAATCCTATTTTGGTTAGGAAATGTTCCCAGTCTCTCTGTCTTATTTCAGCCATAAGAACTAGTTAAGATAGGCCGGGTGTGGTGGCTCACGCCCATAATCCTAGCACTTTGGGAGGCCGAGTGGGGGGTGGATCACGAGGTCAGAAGATCGAGACCATCCTGGCTAACACGGTGAAACCCCATCTCTACTAAAAATATTAAAAATTAGCCGGGCGTGGTGGTGGGCACCTGTAGTCCCAGCTACTTGGGAGGCTGAGGCAGGAGAATGGCGTGAACCCAGGAGGCAGAGCTTGCAGTGAGCCGAGATGAGGCCGCTGCACTCCAGCCTGGGCAACAGAGTGAGACTCTGTCTCAAAAAATAAATAAATTAAAAACAAGAACTAGTTAAGATATAGTTCATGAACATTCTCTTATATCTTTAATCCTTTAATATGTATTTCTCCACACTCGTAGGAACTCCAGCCTTAGAGAAATCATAGCCAAGCCTATCCCAGCTCATTAGCAGTCACACATGTTGTTGAAACCCATAGCACATTCCCAAAAGCATTATCTTAATGCATCAGGTTATATGTGAGGGATTAAGAGATGAAAGGAGAGACTGCATATTCTAATTCTTAGTCATGTGCTATTTCTGCTTAAGAAAAAGGAAAATGTTTTAGTAACCAAAAAATAAAATAAATTACACACAGCAAATATCTAAGAACAAAGGTTATACAGTCAGATCTTTTGATAGTAAGTAAAACTGATAACCAAGTAGCTCTGCAGACCTATTTGCAGCTCTTCTTTAACCAAGGGACAGAAAAATAGAAGAGCTCATCTAAGAAAACCCAATGTCTAGAGATGAATTGGATTTTGTTGCCACTAAGCTGGTTTACAAGAAATGCAGTAATCTGATGCTCTGAAGCCAAGTTTCTTAATAATGAATGTATGAGCATTTGGAAGAGTACAGAAAACATATCATAGGCCAGACCTTGAGTGCTTAGTGGAGGTCATATAATTAACACAAATGGCTTTGAGAGTCTAGGAAAAGCATAGAGATCATCTCTCCTTGTGTACAAAGCACACAAGCTTCTCTAACCTAATTAGGTAACCAAATCCTTCAAAACAAAGGGTTTTCAAATTATTCTAAAAAATTGCTGCTGCCTCCAGATTCATTCCCTGTAGTCCCCCAAGTCTCATTTTCCCCCACCTGCTGGTTCTCAGCATACTGCCTGATCATAGACATATTCTGCTGGCACAATTGCCCTCACATTGTGTTGTATGCCCATGCAGTTCATCAGATTTAAATAAAATAAAATACAATTGCAGTTACAGGTAGGATTGTTTCATGTGATTTCTAGAACAGAATTTTTTTAAAAAACAGTATTGTTTTGTGATCCACACAGATCTCTTGGAATATTGTAGAAAACACTAGGAGAATTAATTACAGAGTGTTTTCTCACTCATTGTAAAATTTTTTTCCCTACTGTGGAATGTTACATTAATGAAAGCTATTGTAAACAATGAATCTGTGGTTAACACAATTTACTGAAACTGTCTTCTGAAGAACTGTGTTGAGAAAATTGAGTGCTTGGTATAAATCAAGTGATTTGCTTTGGATTTCCTTAATATTCTTTTTTAGCTTGTGGTTTTCAATCCAAAGAGCCAACATTTGCCATAGACTCTTAAATGTCCCTTAAGCATGTATTCAAAAAGCAATGTGAGAAACAGGTTTTATGCAACTTCTGCATTGAATATTTTATTTTACAATAAATATATTGGAGCTTTCAAGTACTAATTTGATTACATTTCTAAAAATTGTGTAACTAGTTAACTCTTCCACTAACTAAAGTTGAAATCAACTATGATAAAATGCAAAAGTCCTTTATCTCTGACCCAAAAGTCTTGTGTCTTCTGCCAGCATTCATGAAACTATGGCAGGTTAATTTGTTAGCTTGCTGGTAAGGTCAATTCTCAGATCCTTCACAGTCCTTGACAACCCTTAGTGAATTATTCTAATATAGCAACCCATTGAGACTTAGACTAATACAGTTATGTTTTCCCTTCCCAGTTCTCCAAATCAGAAATATGTATTAGTAAACACAACCAAAATCTCGCTTTTTCTCATTTTATCTATCACCTCTTTCCTATGAAATGAGGTAATGCTTGTATATATTCATATACATTGTATTATTACAAAACGACATATAATTCAATTTACCAGGCTAATATGATCCAGTCCTTTGAAAAATTTCTAAAATCATATGTATTCCCTAAGACAAAACTAAGCTACAAAGTACATAATCACTGTCCTCTCTAGTACAAAGGCTAGGAAAGACGCAGAGATGAATCAAAATGATGCTAGACTAAATTTCTTGAACCACGCTCTAATCACATTCCTCACTTTCTCAAAAAAAAAATTTTTTTTTTTTTGAGCCAGAGTCTCACTCTGTCACCCAGGCAGGAGTGCAGTGGCGCGATCTCAGCTCACTGCAACCTCCACCTCCCAGGTTCAAGCAATTCTCCTGCCTCAGCCTCTCAAGTAGCTGGGATTACAGGCATGTATCACCACGTCTGGCTTTTTGTTGTTGTTGTTTTTTGTATTTTTAGTAGAGATGGGTTTTACCATGTTGACCAGACTGGTCTTAAACTCCCAACCTCAGTTGATCCACCTGCCTCAGCCTCCCAAAGTGCTGGGATTACAGGTGTGAGCCACCATGCCTGGCCTCAGAAATCTTTAATGGTTCTCTACTGACAGCTTCTCACTAATAAAGCCTTTTATAATTTGATTTCAATTTATATTTTAAAATTTATTTCCCATTACTCTCTTTGTACAATCTATAATTTAGTCAAATATAACCATTACAAAGCATGGAACTATCCCATACTTTGTATTTTATTTATTTTATTGAGATAATAATTCACTTACCAGAATATTCAGCTTTTTAGAGTACACAAGTCAGTGGTTTTTAACATATTCAGTCTTACAATCTTACCACTATCTAATTTCATAACATTTTTTATTACACTAAAATTAAGTCCTGTACCCTCTAGTAGTCACTCTCCCATCCATCCTCCCCCATAGTCCCTGACAACCACTAATACTCTCTCTGTGTTTATGGATTTGCTTATTCTGAACATTTCTTATAAATGGAATTATACAATGTGTGGCCTTTATGGCTTCTTTCACATAGCATAACGTTTTAATGTTCCTCTGTGCTGTAGCATGAATCAGTACTTCATTCTTTTATATGACTGAATAATATTTCATCAATGAGTACACCATATTTTATTTTTCCATCAGTTGATGAAAATTTTTTTTCTACTTTTTTGTTATTGCTATAAACATTCATGTACAAGTTTTTTGTGTGGACTTATGTTTTAATTTTTCCTGGATAGAAATGGAATTGCTAGGACACATGGTAATTCTATGTTTAACTTTTTGAGGAAATAGCCAGTCGTTTTCCAAAGCAACTATACCATTTTACATTCACACCAGCAATGTGTGAGAGTTTTAATTTCTTCACATCCTGGCCAACACTTTTTATTGTCTGTCCTTTTGAGTACAGCCATCCTAGAGGGTATAAAGTGATACTTCATTGTATTTTTGATTTGCATTTCCCTGGTGATTAATGATATTGAGCATCTTTTCATGTGCTTATTGACCATTTATATATCTTTTTTGGAAAAATATCTGTTCAAACCTCTTGCCCATTTTAAAATGGGGTTGTCTTCTTTTTTTTCTTTTTTTGAGACAGAGTCTTGCTCTGTTGCCCAGGCTGGAGTGCAGTGGCATAATCATAGCTCACTGCAACTTTAAACTGCTGGGCTTAAGCAATCCTCTCACCTCAGCTTCCAGAGTAGTTAGGACTACAGGTACATGCCACCATGTCCAGCTAATTTTTAAAATTTTTCATAGAGATGGGGTCTCACTATGTTGCCCAGGCTGGTCTCAAACTCCTGGCCTCAAGCAATCTTTCCATCTCAGTCTCCCAAAGCACTGGGATTAAAGGCATGAGCCACCACACCCAGCCTTGTCATTGTTGAGTCATAATAATTCTTCATATAGTCTAGATACCAGACTCTTATCAGATAGAAAATTTACAAATATTTTCTTGCATTCTATAGGTTATATTTTTACTTTCTCAATAGTATCCTTTGAAGCACAAGTCTTTAATTTTAATAAAGTCCAATTTGTCTATTTTAACTTTGATTGCTTGTGCTTTTTTTCTTACTGATAAATAAAAATCGTATATATTGTACAACTTGTTGCTTTCAATATGTATACATTGCAGAATGGCTAAATCAAGCTAATTAACATATGCTGGTTGCTTGTGCTTTTGATGCTTTGTCTAAGAAACATTCCTGGCCGGCCGTGGTGGCTCACACCTGTAATCCCAACACTTTGGGAAGCCGCGGTGGGCGGATCACAAGGTCAGGAGTTTGAGACCAGTCTGGCCAATATGGTGAAACTCCGTCTCTACTAAAAATACAAAAATTAGCTGGACATGGCGGCACATGTCTGTAGTCCCAGCTACTTGGGAGGCTGAGGCAGAATAATCGCTTGAACCCAGGACACGGAGGTTGCAGTGAGCTGAGATCACGCCACTGCACTCCAGCGTGGGCGACAGAGGGAGACTCTTATCACAAAAAAAAAAAAGAAAGAAAGAAACATTCCCCAAGGTTTATTCAGGAATATCCCATATAATTTTTTTAAACTGAGATACAAATCACTCACATACCACAATTAAAGACATTTTTACTGTGACTATAACATATACACCAAAAAGTACATATAATATAGATGCATAACTTTATTATTATAGAACTGCCACCCAGGTCAAGAAATGGAATTTTGTCAGATCTCCAGAAGACCCACCCCTTCTAGTGCCCCACCACTGCTTCCCAATCATAACATCCTCTCCTCTCCATGACAAGACTGTGGTTCTTGAAGGCAAGTCACAAATCAGATTTATACTTGGGCTCAAACAGCATTTATTATAATATTTGATAACAAATATCATTGAATTAATAAAGAATGAAAAGTCAGTACATTTTACTAACAGCAACTTCTCTACATTTTTTATTTAAGAGATTTAAATTATTGCACAAAACTGTGTTTCTCTTTTGGTTTTTGTTTTGCCCCAATCCACATGAGGTGTATGACACATTTTGATCAATTAATGTCTCACTCTGGGTAGGAGAAGAAACATAATTCTACTACTAATAATAAATGAGCTAGTATTTATTTATTGCATGCTCACCATATGCCTGAAACTGCACCAGGCATTATATCAGTCCATCTTTACTTAATAAGATAGATCTATTTTTATCTATTCCCCCTTTCATTTTTACAAACAGAAGCACTAGACTTACTGAGGGTAAGTAACACCCTTGATCATACAACTAACAAACAGCAGAGACAGGATGTAAAACCAGGTAGTCTGACTCCAGAGACTGCAAAATACAACCCCCAACTCTTCCTAGGTAACTCTGATGCCCAAAAGAACTGAGAGCTGCTCTTACATCTAATGAGAAAAAAGATTCTCACTGCATCCTTGGTGTCTCTCAGATGTTTCTTCAGATGTTCAGAGCCTGGGAGCAGTAAGTGTTCAAAAAATGGTGTTTAAGGTAACCCATTTTTTTTATTGTTAGATGTTGGGCCCATTCTTAATACATTCATATGTCACTTTCTGACTGGGATGTCAGGCTCCCTGGGTGGTAGGACTCCCTCCCACTTTGAGTAACATTCCAAATGTCCCTGCTTTTAGATTTGCTACATTAAGGAAAGCATGTGGTCTTAAAGAAAGAACAAACTGGCTGGGCGCGGTGGCTCATGCCTGTAATCCCAGCACTTTGGGAGGCCAAGGTGGGTGGATCACAAGGTCAGGAGATCGAGACCATCCTGGCTAACATGGTGAAAACCCATCTCTACTAAAAATCAAAAAATTAGCCAGGCGTGGTGGTGTGCACCTGTAGTCCCAGCTACTCAGGAGGCTGAGGCAGGAGAATCACTTGAAGTCGGGAGGCAAAGGTTGTAGTGAGCCAAGATCACGCCACTGCACTCCAGCCTGGGCGACAGAGTGAGACTCCATCTCAAAAAAAAAAAAAAAGAAAGAAAGGAAGAACAAACTAGTCTTTATAAGCAATAGCTATCTTCAGAGCTAGGCAATTCCATAAAAAGACATACATTTTCAGACAAAGGGTAACTCAGAGGTACTTTCTTTCATCAAGAAATTTACCTGTTGTTTTTTGGTATGAAAATAAGTGAGGTTTTATAACAAAAGTGGAGTTGAGTATCGTAAAGTAATCAGACTATTTTATGCATGCCTTTCCTCACAATCTCTCTCTCTCACACACACACACCCCCTAATTTTTGTACCAGCTTTTAATGGGGGTATGATTAAGAGGAATTCACCACTTACATTAATACTTTCTGTTTATGGCATTACTGACAGCTGTCACCTGATCACAGGGTATTTGTCTCATTTATGGCACACAGAGATGAATTAAATTCTGCTTGAAATGTGGCATGCTAAATTGCCCATGGTTGGCTTGGTGGTAATACTCTAACAAAATAATGAATTCAGCCTGAGCCTAGAGAACACATCCTTGGCAAAAGGCTTCTTGGCATTTTCAGCCTCATTCGTTAAGTGGGGGATACATTTTCCAAGGGCTTCATTAGCAGTTGAAGGTAGGGACAATCTATTAGGCCATGTAATTATCCTTTGATAGCCAGGTCAATCCTGTTCCAGAGACTGTTTTGTAAAATGTGGCAATGCAATCACAGCTTTCAGCTCTGTGAAAAACTCTCACCCCATCAAAAAAGGCCATTTTAAAAATTACAATTAGTCTTGTATCTTGATTGTATGTCATTTTTTCTTTTTATTGTTGTATTTTCTTAGTACTTATTTTGTCATCTAAAAGTGCTCCTCTAATTTGAGGTTAATTTTATTTTAGTTTTGACAGTAGCTTGCTTTCCAAGTCCTGTTTTTAAAGAATTGTTCCACAGAGTAGAGTGAATAACATTTTCTATCTCTTGAGAACTGGTTTTCAAGTATCAAATGCTTTGTGGTTTTCAAAGTACTTTCACACACAAAACTCACTTGATTCTCACAGAAACCCTATGAGGTAGACAGAGAGACACAGTATAGTGAATAGCTATGGGTCTGGGGTCAAATCACTTAGTGTATAGGCCTCTTTCCTCAACTTTATGTTAAATGGGGATTATAATAGGACCTACTTCATAGAGGTGTAAGAAATCAGTGAGTTAATGCATATAAAGCATTAAGCTTGGGCATATATTAAGTACTTAAGAGTTAGCTATAATTTTTGTTTAAATTGTTTAAATCTGTCTGTGTATGTCAATGAAGAGTGAAGCTTTAAAGAAGGAGATCTGATATACCAGGTAGAACTTAACTGACCCATTCTTGACATATTTCGTCTTAAATCTCAATCTTCCTTCCTATAAAGCTCTATCTCTTAAAAACTGTCCATTATCTTGTCTTTTCAAATCAAACCCAGCTCTATTCTTTGACTTACCAGACTTTTTTCCTGACCCCAATCCTCTCATCCACCTAGAGTACTACATTAAGACACTGGGAGCTGGGCCTGGTGGCTCACGCCTGTAATCCCAGCACTTTGGGAGGCCAAGGCAGGTCGACTGCCTGAGCTCAGGAGTTTGTGACCAGCCTGGGCAACCCGGTGAAACCCGGTCTCTACTAAAATACAAAAAATTAGCTGGGTGTGGCAGCATGCACCTGACGTCCCAGCTACTCAGGAGGCTGAGGCAGGAGAATTGCTTGAACCTGGGAGGCAGAGGTTGCAGTGAGCTGAGATTGCGCCACTGTACTCCAGCCTGCACAACACAGTGAGACTCTGTCTCAAAAAAAAAAAGACAATTGGGGACAAAAAGAAAAAACAGGAAATGAAACGACTGGGAATTTAAGTGGGGGGACTTAGGTGGCCTTGCTCCTAACAGCTTACTACACATCCCTTAACCTGCAGTCCCTCACTGGCTCCCCATCTTCTAACATCCACATTGCTCAACAGAGGTTGGCCATATCAGTTCTGGAAAGACTTGACTAGGACCTATAGTCAAAACCAAAATTTCCTTAATTTTAAAAATTGAAATGCTTATTAAATGCTCTTTTTTTTTTGAGATGGAGTCTCACTCTGTGGCCTAGGCTGGAGTGCAGTGGTGTGATCTTGGTTCACTGCAATTCCGCCTCCCAGGTTCAAGTAATTCTCCTGCCTCGGCCTCCCGAGTAGCTGGAATTACAAGTGTACACCACCATGTCCGGCTAATTTTTTTTTTTTTTTTTTGGAGATGGAATCTCGCTCTGTCACCCAGGCTGGAGTGCAGTGGCACCATCTCAGCTCACTGCAAGCTGCACCTCCCAGGTTCATGCCATTCTCCTGTTTCAGCCTCCCGAGTAGCTGGGACTACAGTCGCCTGCCACCACGCCTGGCTAATTTTTTTTTGTATTTTTAGTAGAGATGGGGTTTCACCGTGTTGGCCAGGCTGGTATCAAACTCCTGACCTCTGGTGATCCACCTGCCTTGGCCTCCCAAAGTGCTGGAATTACAGGTGTGAGCTACCGCGCCAGGCCATCAAATGCTTTTGATATGGCTATCTGCCTTAACTGAATCACTATTAACAAACAAAACACTGTATCACATTAAACTGAAAATAGCTTTAACAACATAATCTTGCTTAAACTAATGTGTAAATATTTAGATATATGTATATATATTTATATATAATACAATTTTGGCTTTAATTATCATAATAATTATGAATTAACATAATAATTTAAAAATAAACTCATTTATTATAAAAATAATAGCTAAGTGGTAACTACTGAAAGCCCTAAGAGGGAATTATAAAACCTATACAAAAATCCTAGTCAAGAGACAAGGAATTCTATAATTTGTTTGCCCTTTTCAAGAATCCTGCAGAAATGTCTTTGTATATACATGACTGTGTACATTGAGTATTTCTACAAGTTCAAAACCTAAAAGTGGTCTTGTTGGGTTAAAGAAAATGTGAATTTGTAATTCCAACAGATACTGCCAAGATACTCTCTCTGTAGGTACTGTATTAATTTACATTTCTACTAGCAATATGTAGGAATGTCCCCTATATGTAGAATGTTTCCTCTTCCGTCACTCTTGTCAAATCTTGGTCAAGAGGATAGGCAAAAATTAGTTCCAGCCCTTCTGATGAAGTCCTATTACTCTGACTTGTAGTTAACAGCACACTTTCCCAGTGGGCTGAATCTTGTCTTTTAACTCTTAACTGGTCTGGCTCCCAACAGGCTGCTTGCCATTCTATGCCCCTTATGTTAATTCAAATGTCATCTGCTGTCTATATTTCCTTATGTCCCACCTCCTAGAATAATGGAGCTAGTTTAAATCAAGACTGAACTCTTCATTCCCATTTCCAGTATCAGATATTAGAAAGTTTTATGCACTCCTTGGAATCAGCCTTATAACCAAGTCCTTTCTCTGAGTTCTGGTACTAACTTCCCTCAAGCCCAGGCAACTGAGGGCTCAACATGTCTCAAAGGCAACAGAAATTATTGAAGTTATACCCGGGTTTGTGAAAGTTGGGACTACTTATCTTCATCTCAAGTCTTTCCATGCTTCCTCCTTTTCCTCACTTAGTTCCTGAAAGATCACCAATTGCAGTTGCAGTGACTTCACTTGTAAGGGGCTCTCAGACTCTGGTTAGGACTGGCAAAATACATAGGGAGTGATTACCACTAGCCTGGGTCTTTGCTTGCTCTAGACTGTATGTACTTCATTATTTAGCTGTCTCATGTGTGAGTTAGTCCCTCTCACCAGTATTTGCTTAGCCTTCACAGTTCCAAAATCATTCTTTATCCACAACTTAAAGTCAGACAGGACTGGGTTTGAATCCCAGAGGGACCACAAACGCATGCGATTTCAGGCAGCTTATTTCACTTATCTAAGCCTCAGTTTACTCACTGACAAAATGATGACATGGGAGCTGGCTATGGTGGCTCGTGCCTGTAATCTCAGCACTTTAGGAAGCAGAGGCAGGCAGATGGCTTGAGCCCAGGAGTTCAAGAGCAGCCTGGGCAACATGGTGAAACCCCATCTCTACCAAAAATTTTTAAAAAAATTAGCTGGGTCTGATAACATGTACCTGAAATCCCAGCTACTCGGGAGGCTGAGGTGGGAGGATCACTTGAGCCCAGAGGGTTGAGGCTGCAGTGAGTCGTGATTGAGTCACCACACTCCGGCCTGGGTGACAGAGTGAGACCCTGTCTAGAAAAAAAAAAAAAACTTTTCTGGGTTCTGGGGAGGGCCAAGATAATATATATAAAAAGCATCCAGCACAAGGGTTGGCACATAGCATAAATGCAAGAAATATTAGTTTCCTTCACTTACTCCCCCAGCAGAGAAGCAAAATACTATTTTATTAGTATTTTACTTTCTCATAAGCCTATATTTTCATTGCATCTTCAGCCCAAACCTAAACTTATTGCTTCCTTATTTTTTATTTTTGCTAAAATGTAAAATTAAACATGTACAAAAAAGGGATTCCTTTATGGCTCTTAGGATTTGGTTTTTGTCGTTGTTCTTGGTAATTTTGTTTAGTCTGAGTATTTTTTGCCAGGTTTCTATTGATTTGGGACTTAGACTTATTGCTACTATTACAAGGTAAATGTTTTAAATTCTCCCATGATTAAATGCATTATTACATTGAACAAAAGGCTAAAGAATCCAGAAAACAGCAGGGCCCCTACTTCTGCATCAGGTTAAAACGTATTACAGAGTTGGCAGTGACTTGTTACCTGAGGCGTACAGACACTGCTCTTAGTTCCTGAGGAAGTCTATCTACAAGGCAGAAGACATTTGGTTCATACAACAGTTTCTGCAACCAATCTATCTCAGTAATAACAATAAAATCTTACTATGTCTTGAAAATTCACAGGGCAAGTTAGAAAAGAATATAAAAGAGGAAGAAAATGGAGGAGCAGATTCTGTGGGAGAGAGAAAAACAATTTTGCTTTCAGTTTATCTGATTAGGCTGTGATAATGCCCTCTACAGAACTGTCCATCATGGCTTCACTTAGGTCAGACAAGAGTCTGACCCCAATGCCTAGGCAACAAAGGGCAAACAATGCCAAATTCAATTTTAGCTGATTCTTGAAAGATGAAAAAAATATTTTTCAAGAAGCCTGTTGAGAACATCACACCAACCCTACATTTTTCATTTTTGACACATTAACACTTTATAACATAAAGCAGGAAGCAAAGAGGGCAAGATAAAGAAAGCAGAGACCAACAAACACGTAAATGCTGTTCAGGTTCTTGGTTATTGTCCTCAATCCTGGGAATTTAATGTCTTCCCTGGATTCATTTTAAAATTTTATATTTAAAAGTGATACTTTCCCACTAGGGCACAGATGTTTTTCTACAGGAAAACCTAAATCTTAGGCCCTTTATGCATGGCATATTTAGTTTTTCAAAAAGCATTTTCAGTTATTAGGAACAAGTGAAATTATGCTTTCCCAAGGCCCAGCAATCTTATATTTGTCAACAATCTAATAGTCAGTGAGCGTCAGGCTTTTTGCATTGTTACTTGATTTCTGTGTCTGTTTAGGTCCTCAAAGATACAGATGCCAAGGTGGAACCAGATGTGCAAGAGATGTATTAGGAGAAACACCTACAGAGGATAAACAAGTGAGGTATCAGAAATAGGAGAAGAGAGCTCTTTGAACACAATGTGGATCTGACACCTGTGAAAGGGGAGAGAGAAAGCCAGGAGGGAAGGCAGGAGGACTGAGGAAAAGGAGCTTCGGCCTGCAGTGTGATTCTGAGAAAGTCTTGGCCAGGCTGATGGGAAGTCCTGGAGCAAAGATTGCCTACTGTAAGAGGCATCAGGCAGAATGGCATGGCTTTCATACCCCAATATGTTCAGCTATTGGCTAGTAGCAGCCTGGGGTGAGCATGGCCTTGGCATAAACACTGCAGCAGATCCAAAGGTGTAACAGCTGGAAACTGTCTGACAATTATGTTCCTTGAAGCAGTTTCTCCTGAAGTAACATCTGAGCAGTGTACCACCTTGGCTACTACAACTTCTTAGATAAGTGCACACTTTAAATCAGTTTTGGAATAAATAGGTATGCATACATACATATGTAGACATATGCTAGCTCTCCAGATAAACAAATAATGTGGATTAAACTTGCTAATATGATTCAAGTGAAGTTTGACCTTTTTATTGAGAGAAATTAAAGATTCTATATATCCTTGAAGAATTCTATATAATGGTTGTGAATGAATGCTAGTTCAGGCACTCAAAACACCACTGGGGATCAGTAGCCAAAGAGAACATTTATGGTGTTCAGGTGATGTATTAGTCCATTTTCACACTGCTATAAAGAACTACCTGAGATTGGGTAATTTATGAAGAGGTTTAATTGACTTACAGTCCTGCAGGCTCTACAGGAAGCACAGCTGGAAGGCCTTAGGAAACTTACAATCATGGCAAAAGGTGAAGGGGAAGCAAGCACATCTTACCATGGTGGTGCAGGAGAGAGAGAGAAGGTAAAGAGGGAAGTGCTACACACTTTCAAACAACCAGATCTCATGAGAATTCACTCACTATCATGAGAATAGCAAGGGAGAAATCCACCCCCATGATCCAATCACCTCCCATCAGGTTCATCCCCCAACATTGGGGATTACAATAGGACATGAGATTTGGGTGGGGACACAAATCCAAACAATATCATTCCACCCTGCCCCCTCCAAAATCTCATGTCCTTCTCACACTAAAACATAATTATGCCTTCCCAACAGTCCCCCCGAGTTTTAACTCATTCCAGCATTAACTCAAAAGTCCAAGTCCAAAGTCTCATCTGAGACTAGGAAGTCCCTTCTGCCTATGAGCCTATAAAATTAAAAAAAAAAAATTAGTTACTTCCAAGATACAATGGGGTACAGGCATTGGGTAAATGCTCCCTTTCCAAATTGGAGAAATTGGCCAAAACAAAGAAGCTACAGGTCCCATGCAAGTGCGAAACCCAGCAGGGCAGTCATTAAATCTTAAAGCCCCAAAATAATCTCCTTTGACTCCATGTATCACATCCAAGTCATGCTGATGCAAGAGGTGAACTCTCAAGGCCTTAGGTGGCTCCACCCCTGTGGCTCTGCAGGTTATGGCCCCCACAGCTGCTTTCACAGGCTGGTGTTGAGTGACTGTGGCATTTCCGGGTGCACAGTGCAGGCTGTTAGTGGATCTACCATTCTGAGGTATGGAGGACAGTGACTTTCTTCTCACAGCTCTGCTGGGCAGTGCACAAGTGAGGACTCTGTGTGGGGACTCTGATGCCGCATTTCCCTTCTGCACTGCCCTAGTAGAGATTCTCCATAAGGGCTCCGCCCCTGCAGCAGACGTCTACCTGGACATCCAGGAATTTCCATACACACTCTGAACTCTAGGTAGAAGCTTTCAAGCATTAACACTTGCCCTCTGTGCACCCACAGGCCAAACACCATGTAGAAACTGCCAAGGTTTGGGACTTGCAGTCTCTGAAATAATGGCCTGAGCTGTACCCTGACCCCATTTAGCCTTGGCTGGAGCTGGAGCAGCCACAGTGCAAGGTGCCAGGTCCCAAGGCTTCAAAGAGCAGTGGGGCTTTGGACCTGGCCCATGAAACCATTTTCTCCTTCTAGGACTCTAGGCCTGTGATAAGAAGGGCTGATACAAAGGTCTCTCAAATGTCTTGGAGACATTTTCCCCATTGTCTTGGCTATTAACATTGGGCTCCTCCTTACTTATGCAAATTTCCATAGCTGGCTTGAATTCCTTCCCAGAAAATGGGTTTTTCTTTTCTACCACATGATCAGGTTGCAAATTTTCCAATCTTTTATGCTCTGTTTCCATTTTAAATATAAGTTCTAATTTCAGACCATCTCTGTGAACACATATGAGCCTAAGCTGTTAGAAGCAGCCAGGCCACTTCCTGAATGCTTTGCTGCTTAGAAATTTCTTCACCAGATACCCTAAATCATTTCTCTCAAGTTAAGAGTTCCACAGATCTCTAGAGCAGGGGCACAATGCCACCAGCCTCTTTGCTAAAGCATCACAAGAGTGACCTTTACTTCAGTTCCCAATAAGTTGCTCATTTCCATCTGAGACCTCCTCAGCCTGGACTTCATTGTCCATATCACATATCACTATCAGCATTTTGGTCAAAACCATTCACTAAGTCTCTAGGAAGTTCCAAACTTTCTCTCATCTTACTATCTTTTGAGCCCTAAAAACTGTTCCATCCTATGCCCATTACCAAGTTCCAAAGACGATGCCACACTTTCAGGCATCTTTATAGCAATGCCCCCCTTCTCTACCAATTTTCCATATTAGTCCATTCTCGCACTGCTATAAAGAACTACCTGAGTCTGGGTAGTTTATGAAAAGAAGAGGTTAAATTGATCCACAGTTCCACAGGCTACATGGGAAGCATGGCTGGGCGGCCTCAGGAAATTTAAAATCATGGTGGAAGGCAAAAGGGAAGCAAGCATGTCTTACCATGGCAGAGCAGGAGAGGGAGAGAGGGAGAGGGAGAGGGAGATGGAGATGGAGAGGGAAAGGGAGAGGGAGAGGGAGAGGGAGAGGGAGAGAGAGAGGGAGAGGGAGAGGGAGAGAGAGAACAAAGAAGGAAGTGCTACACTTTCAAACAACCAGATCTCATGAGCACTCACTCACTATCATGAGAACAGCAAGGGGAAAATCCACCCCCATAATCCAGTCACCCATAACCAGTCCCTCCCCCAATATTGGGGATTACACTTCAACATGAGATTTGGGTGGGGACACAAATCCAAACCATATCAAGTGGTAAATGAAGTTTGGGCTCGTCTATCTTATAGGATCTACCCTATAGTTATTTCTATAGTTTTAATGTATCATATATGTAGACTATATGTAGACATGCTTTTTTTTTTGAGACTGAGTCTCACTCTGTCACCCAGGCTAGAGTGCAGCAGCATGATCTCAGCTCACTCCAACCTCTGCCTCCTGGGTTCAAGCGATTCTCCTACCTCAGCCTCCCAAGTAGCTGGGACTACAGGTGTGCATTTTTGTATGTTTAGTAGAGACAGGGTTTCACCATGTTGGCCAGGCTGGTCTTGAACTTCTGACCTCAAGTGATCTGCCCATCTTCGCCTCCCAAGGTGCTGAGATTACAGGTGTGAGCCACTGTGCCCAGCCAACATGCTTTAAAAATGATCTAATTTCCACACTGGGATGTAGAGAAAGAGCTAATACTGTAGGAGGGCCAAGTGGAAGCCCTTGGAACTCCTTTTGTCCTATCCTAATGGTAAACTAAAAGCAATTATCACACCCTTGGAAGAACTGTCAAGATTAATGCCACCACCAAAGACTTAAAAGATACAGGTGTGATTCCTAACATTCCCATTTAATTTGGCCTGTGCAGATTTATTCATCTTGGACAGTGAATATGGATTTTTGTAAACTTAATCAAGTAATGCCAATTGCAACTGCTGTTCCAGATGTGATAACTTGAGCAAAGCAATACAAGTATCTCGCATGTAGTACTTAGCTATTGATCTTAACATTTTTTTCCCCTTCAAAAAATTCTCAAGAATTACCATAAGCCTTTTGCTTTCACCTAATGAGGACAACAGCATACCTTCACACTGCTGTCTCAGAACTATGTCAACTCCTGCACTGTCATATTCTTGATCATCTTGACATGCCACAAACTATCATGTGTCTGCTTCATTTAGAATATCATGCAAAATTGCATCTGGTAAGCAGGTAGTAGTAAATATCTTTATACTTATTCTCTGTATTAAATTTCCTCTGCTGAAACAACTAGTGTGAATTCTGTTTCCGTATTCTGACACAACCCCAAATTCTAATTTCCAAACTCTTTATGGACTAAGCCAAAAATTATTGCCAAATATCTATGATTTTCCATGAAAGTCTGAGTTTCTCCATAAAAGTCAGATGTCTTTTATATGATTGATGTGAGTACCACATGAGATATTCAAATAAATTTTACTACTAGACTCACAATTGCCTTTGACTCTTTTGTATGATACTAGAGTCAATCCTGGTCCCTTGGCTAATTTTGCATTATCTGTGGAGTAGAGAGCATTATGTTAGGGGTTGAACTATGTTCTCCCAAAATTCCTATGTTGAAGCCCTAAATCCCAGTGTCTCAGATGTGACTTTTTAGAGATAGGGCTTTTAAAGAGGTGATTAAGTTAAAATAAAGCCATTATGATGTGCCCTAATACAATCTAATTGCTTTTTCTTCTTTTTTTTTTTAAATTTTTTTTATTTGTATTTTTTCGAAACAGGGTCTCACTCCAACACCCAGGCTGGAGTGCAGTGGTGGTGTGATTATGGCTCACTACTGCCTTGACTTCCCAGAATCAGGTGATTCTCCTACCTCAGCTCTCAAGTAACTGGGACTACAGGGGCATACTACCATGCCTGGCTAATTTTTTTTTTTTTTTTTGTAGATACGGGCTTTCACTGTGTTACCCAGGCTGGTCTTGACTCCTGGACTTAAAACTATCCACCAGCCTCAGCCTCCCAAGGTGCTGGGATTACAGGTGTGAGCTACCACTAGTGGCCTCTTCTAAGAGGAAATTTGGATATACAGAGAGACACCAGAGATGTGGGGGCACAGAGGAAAGACCTGCTAGGATACAGTAAGAAGGCAGCCTCTGCAAACTTAGGACAAAGTCCTCAGGAGAAACCAAACCTGCTCACACCTTGATCCTGGACTTCTAGCCTCCAGAACTGTGAAAAAAATATTCTGTTGTTTAAGCTACCCAGTCTGCGGCATTTTGTTTTGCCAGCTCTAATAAACTAATAAACAACCGATGGTGTAAAGATGTAATATGGATTTAAAAACCTTAGATAGTAAGATACATAAAGGTCGCAACGGTGGTAGTGTCTTTGTCTTTTGTCAACACAAAAATGTTGTGTTTGTGCATCTGGCTCTACAGCTTGTGCTTTTAATCACTATGCTATACCAGATTATACATAAGAGGGAAGGATGCCTGTTGATGTAGCCAATCACAAATATGCTGTTTTTACTGAATTGAAGGCAAATGGGGAGACCATTTTATATCTAATGCCTAAGTTAAAGTCATTTTTAAACTTATGTAGCCCTCAACACTTTCCCTTGGGCAAACAATATTAAAAAAGTAATCTCTTTTGATAATGTGTGAAGTTCACACACACATAATCCAGAAGCGATCACATACATACAACTTCTAAATTCAAATATAAAAATTCTGATGATAATAAGAATCATTCCTGGGTAATGTAACAAACATTTTCATATGCATTACCTCTGTTTGATCCTCACAAGAACCTTGTAAATAAGAAGCAGCAGCACATTATCCATACTTTGTAGACGAGGAAACTGAGGCTAGGAAAAACTGAGAAGTAGCAAGGTTGTAAGGCCATTGGCAGGTTATTTTGGTATCAACTGCAGGGCTCCCAGCTCTTTTGTGCCACTCTCGCTGCTTCTCAGAGAAGTCAAGTAAGCTGCAATACTAATGCTAGCATTTTCTGGACTGTTGTAACATTACTTTAGCAAAGGCACCGAGAATCCTGAGGGACAACAATGCAGTTAGGACCAGAAATGTACAGTTTTCTGTGCCTTAGCCTAGACTGCATCATGACTCAGCATTAGTGAAAGGAAAAAGTGACCCATGGCGCCATATCTGGCTGTGCGAGATTTTCCTCTGTTGATTTTTTTTTCTCCGTGTACTGCTCCAACTTGATCCTGTTTCGTGAATGAGGCCTGACGGCAAATCGAAGACTGAATAAAAAGCTCCCTGCCGAAGTGCTGTCACAGCGGCTCAACCTAGGCTCCCTGGAACTTTGGCAAGCGGAAGAATCCTTTGTCTTCAGACTATGACAAGAGGGGGAAAAAATCCCAACTATTCGGCTGTGTAGCATCACTCAAGCATGCCTTAATGGGGAAGGTCTAATGAGGAATGTAGTCTTTGAAAAACCTAGCGTTAAAAACTCCCAAAGCATTCTCACTGTACAATTCTACACAATTATAATTAATAGGATTCAAACTACACATCAGAGATTATGTTACCATTTTACCCAGTTTGATGGCCACGGATGCTTCTTTCCTTTACTGGTTATGTTCAAAGAGATTTGGGCCTGTTATAATCAAATGTAGGAAAAAACATCCCTATTCTTCCTGGATTCTATGGAGGTAGCAGGAATAAGAGAATAAAAGAAAAGCCAATTTTAAACTCCCAAATGAACCGCAGCTGCTCCAGGCCCTTTCCAATCCCCGCCCCCCTGCTGCTGTTGACCTGTTAATAGATTCCTGCTCTTTAGCTTAACTCAACTTTCACAGGGAGCTGGACCTAAAACCAGTTTTGAACAGTTTTTGAAGGTACACAGAGCTCCTGTCCAAATACAGGATGCAGGTTTATGGTAGGTAAAATTCACATATCATTATTCCTCTATAATTTGTCTCCAATAAATTCAAGAACATTCACTTCCAACGTTGTACTTTCTGCCTGGTAAAAATGCTTCCATCAAACAAACAAACAAACTACAAAGAGGGTCACAGAACTTCCAAAGTATGTGTGTGACAGGATAATTGTATGGCATTTGATTTATATCTCAATAAAACTGTTCTTTTCTTAAAAGTATATGTGTAGTTGGGAAGGGGGAAAAAATAAAATTATTAAATGTAGAATTTTCTTGATTTAAAGCTATTATCACTAGAGGAGGGGCAAAGGGGAATTACTGTTTAATGAGTGCAGAGTTTCAGTATGGGAAGATGAAAAAGTTCCGGAACCAGATAGTGGTGATGGTTGCACAACAATGTACTCAACGCTACTGAAAAAGTAATATTATCATTTAACAAAACCATTACTCTAACAAGATTACATGTTCATTGTAGAGACTTCAGAAAAAGATACAAAAGAGGAAAATATGAATCACTTAAAATCCCACTACAAAGACACAATCAGTTTTAATACTTTTATATACATATTCTCCCAAATTTTGTCAAAAATAAATATTTAAACATGTAAGTAAATAAAACTGGGATTGTACTAGGCATGTTACTTGGCAACCTACTTCTCTTACTCAAAAATATATGAATATGAATATATAATATCTTTCCATGTTGTATTAGTCCGTTCTTGCACTGCTATGAAGAAATGTCAGAGACTGAGTAACTTATAAAGAAAAGCCGGGTGCAGCCAGGCGTGGTGACTCATGCCTGTAATCCCAGCACCTGGGGAGGCCCAGGCAGGCGGATCATGAGGTCAGGAGATTGAGACCATCCTGGCTAACACATGAAACCCTGTCTCTACTAAAAATTCAAAAAATGGCCAGACACGGTGGTGGGCACCTGTAATCCCAGCACTTTGGGAGGCCGAGGCAGGAGAATGGCGTGAACCTGGGAGGCGGAGCTTGCAGTGAGCCGAGATCAGGCCACTGCACTCCAGCATGGGCGACAGAGTGAGACTCCCTCTCAAAAAAAAAAAAAAAGAAAAGAAAAGCCAGGCTCGGTGGCTCACGCCTGTTATCCTAGCACTTTGGGAGGCCAAGGCGGGCAGATCCTGAGGTCAGGAGATCGAGGCCATCCTGGCCAACATGGTGAAACCCCGTCTCTACTAAAACTACAAAAATTAGCTGGGCGTGGTGGTGCGTGCCTGTAATCCCAGCTACTCGGGAGGCTGAGGCAGGAGAATCGCTTGAACCCAGGAGGCAGAGGTTTCAGTGAGTCGAGATAGTGCCACTGCTCTCCAGCCTGGAGACAGAGCGAGACTCCATCTCAAAAAAAAAAAAAAATTATAAAGAAAAGAGGTTTAGTTGACTCACGGTTCTGCAGGCTGTACAGGAAGCATAGCAGCTTTTACTTCTGCAGAGGCCTCAGGAAGCTTCTAATCATGGTGGAAAGCAAAGGGGGAATGAGGCATCTTACATGGAAGGAGCAGGAGAAGGAGAGAGTGAGGGAGGAGGTGCTGCACACTTTTAAACAACCAGATCTCACGAGAGCTCACTCACTCGCTATCATGAGAACAGCACCAAGGTAATGGTGCTAAACCATTCATGAGAAATCCATTCCTGTGATCTAACCACCTCCCTCCACTTCCAACAGTGGAGAATACAATTTGACATGAAACTTGGTGGGGACACAGATCCAAACTGTCAGGCCTCTGAGCCCAAGCCAAGCCATCGCATCCCCTGTGATTTGCACGTATACACCCAGATGGCCTGAAGTACCTGAAGATCCACAAAAGAAGTAAAAATAGCCTTAACTGATGACATTCCACCATTGTGATTTGTTTCTGCCCCACCCTAACTGATCAATGTACTTTGTAATCTCCGCCACCCTTAAGAAGGTTCTTTGTAATTCTCCCCACCCTTGAGAATGTACTTTGTGAGATCCACCCCTGCCTGCAAAACACTGCTCTTAACTTCACCGCCTATCCCAAAACCTATAAGAACTAATGATAATCCACCACCCTTTGCTGACTCTCTTTTCGGACTCAGCCCGCCTGCACCCAGGTGATTAAAAGCTTTATTGCTCACCCAAAGCCTATTTGGTGGTCTCTTTACACGGACGCGCATGAAACAAACCATATGACATGTATATCTATAAATCGATAATCTGCATCATTATTTTCAGTGGCCCCATAGTTGATAGACATAGTTGATAGATTTTTCGAAGTTTTTGCTCTTTTAGATATATAGCTAAACATACTTGTACATATCTATTGAGCAATTATTTCCTTAGCATAAACCCAGAGGTATACACAGTATGTTCGTCATGTGCATCAGTCCTGCATCCATGGATTCAACCAACCTCAAATCAAAAATATTCAGAAAAAAATTCCACAAATCTCTGAAAAGCAAAACTTGAATTTGCTGTGTGTACTATGTGTACAAGTACTATGTTGAATCCATGCAAATGAAGTGATGTGCGTGCATTGTATTAGTATCATGAGTAATCTAGAGATGATGTAAAGTATACAAAAGGGCTGGGCACAGTGGCTTATGCCTGTAATCCTAACACTTTGGGAGGCCGAGGCAGGTGGATCATGAGGTCAGGAGATCAAGACCATCCTGGCCAACATGGTGAAACCTGTTCTCTACTAAAAATACAAAAATTAGCCAGGAGTGGTGACACATGCCTGTAATTCCATCTACTCAGGAGGCTGAGGCAGGAGAATCGCTTGAACCAGGGAGTCAGAGGTTGCAGTGAGCCGAGATTGCACCACTGTACTCCAGCCTGCTGACAGAGTGAGACTCTGTCTCAAAAAAAATTAAAAAATAAAAAGTAAAGTGTACAAAAGGATATGTGTAGATTATATGCAAATACTATACCATTTTATATAAGAGACTTAAGCATCCATGGGTTTTGGTACCTGTAGGGTACCAAATGGAACCAATTCCTCACTGATACTGAGGGACAACTACAGTTGCTGGGGATGCACGTTTTCAAGAGTTAATACTTGGTGCCTTCCAAAAAAGACTCAACCAATTTTTATTCCTACTGAAAGGATATGAAATTACTACATTGAGTGAATATTATCACTCTTCCTCATCTTTTTCAGTCTTACAGGTTAAAAAAAATCTAATTTCATTTTTCTTTGTAATCACTAGAGAAGATAAACTCTTTTTCTATATATTCTTTGACCCTTGGTTATTCTTTTTTGTGAATTTCATGCTCATGTCCTTTGCCAATGTAGCTTTTGTGTGTGGATTTTTCCTTATGTATATATAAGAGTTCTTTTTATACAGTATTAAGGATCTTATCCCTATTTATTATATCATTTTAATTAATGAAGTTTTTGCTAGGTAAATATTTTCAATTTTGTACAGAATTAAATCTATCATCTTTTTCTTTCCCTTATAATTTTTGGCTTTGGTTATTAAGATTCTTTTCCCCCAAATGATATAAATGTTTATTTATATTTATGTATAAATACGTAAATATTTATCCATCTTTTGATACTTTCATAGATTTTTTTAAAGTGTGACATAATAGAGATCATATATAAAAAATTCCACACCTATTATCAGACTCAATGGCTAAAAACTAAAAGCTTTTCCTCTGAAATCAGGAATAAGACAAGGATATCCACTTTTACCACTTGTATTCAACATAGAACTGAAAGTTCTAGTCAGAGCAATTGGCAACAAAAAGAAATAAAAGTCATCCAAACTGGAAAGGAAGAAGTAAAATTATCTCCATTGACATTATTTTATATGTAGAAACCTCCAAAGATTCCACCAAAAAAAGCTGTTAGAATTAATAAACAAATTCAGTGATGTTGCAAGATGCGAAATCAACACACAAAAATTAGCATTTCTATACACTAACAATGAACAATTCAAAAAAGAAATAAAAAAAATTCCATATACAATAGCATCAAAAAGAATAAAATGCTTAGTAATAAACTTAACCAAGGAGGCAAAAAGCATGCATGAAAACTGTAAATCATTGCTGAAAGAAAGCAGACACAAACTGAAAGGCACTCTGCATTTATGGATTAGAAGAAAATATTGTTAAGATATCAATAGTAACCAAAACAATCTACAGATTCAATGTAATCTCCATCAAAATCCCAATGACATTTACTGCAGAAATAAAAAAACCTATCTTAAAATTCATGTGGAATCTTAAAGGACCCCAAGTACTAAGAAAAAAACACTTTAAGAAGACAAATGTGTAGGTTTCACACTTCCTTGTTTCAAAATTTACTTAGTACAAAGCTACAGTAATCAAAACAGTGTTATAACGGCATACAGACAGACATTTAGACCAATACAATAGAATAGAGAGAGTCCAGAAATCAACTCTGGCTATAAATGGCTAAAT
Organism: Homo sapiens; assembly: GCF_000001405.40. Classification (NCBI taxonomy): domain Eukaryota; kingdom Metazoa; phylum Chordata; class Mammalia; order Primates; family Hominidae; genus Homo; species Homo sapiens. Next base: position 76,454,458 of record NC_000004.12, on the reverse strand, counting down.
AATTTTCTACAAGAGTGCCAAGATCATTCAGTAGGAAATATGTGTTGAAAAAACTGGATATCCACATACCAAATAATAAAGTTGGACCCTTACCTTATACCATATAAGAAAATTAGGCTGGGTGCAGTGGCTCACACCTGTAATCCCAGCACTTTGTGAGGCCAAGGCGGGTGGATCATCTGAGGTCAGAAGTCCGAGACCAGCGTGGCCAATATGGTGAAACCCTGTCTCTACTAAAAATACAAAAATTAGTCAGGTGTGGTGGTTGACGCCTATAATCCCAGCCACTCAGGAGGCTGAGGCAGGAGAATTGCTTGAACCCAGGAGGCGGAGGTTGCAGTGAGCTGAGACGGTGCCACTGCACTCCAGCCTGAGCAACAAGAGCAAAACTCCATCTCATAAAGAAAACACATGAACACAAAAATTAAAACTAGATCAAAGTCCTAAATGTCAAAGCTAAAACTAGAAAACTCTTAGAAAAAAATAGAGGAAAGTTTCATGACATTGGACTTGGCAATGATTTCTCGAATCTAACATCAAAAGCACAGACAACAAAAGAAAAAGTAGTGTGCTTTATCCAAATTTAAAACTTTCATGCATCAAAAGACACTATCCGCAGAGTAAAAAGGCAGTCCACAGAATGGGAGAGAATATTTGCAAATCACACATCTGATAGGGGGTTAATATCAAGGATACATAAAAAACTACAATACAACAACCAAAAGCAAATATTCCAATTTAAAAAATGAACAAAGGGCTGGAACAGACATTTCACCAAAGAAGATGTATTGATGGCCAATAAGCACAAGAAAAGATACTCAGCAACACTAAATATTAGGGAAATGCAAGTCAAAATCACAAAATGAGATACCACATCATACCTATTAAGAATGCTATTATTTATTGGGCACAGTGGCTCATCCCAGCACTTTGGGAGGATTACTTAAAGCCAGGAGTTCGAGACCAGCCTGGGCAACATAGTGAGACCCCATCACTACAAAAAATGAAAAAAAATAGCCAGGTGTTGTGGCATGCATCTGTAGTCCCAGATACTCTGGAGGCTGAGGCAGGAGGATCACTTGAGCCCAGGAGGTCAAGACTACAATGAACCATGGTCATGTGACACCACTCTAGCCTGGACAATGGAGCAAGACCCTGTCTCTTAAAAAAAAAAGAAGAAAATTAATTAGAGAAAAATTAAGATAGAAAATATCAAGCGTTTGCAAGGATGTGTATAAATTAGAACCCTTGCACATTGCTGGTGGGAAAGTAAAATGGTGCAGCTACTGTGGAAAACAGTAAGGTAGGTCTTTATAAAATTAAACTTAGAATTACCATATGATTCTTCAATGCCACTTCTAGGTATAGACCCCATGGAATTGAAAGAAGGAACTCACCAAAATATCTGTACACACAAGTTCTTATTAAAAACATATATCTAGGCTGGGCACGGTGGCTCACGCCTGTAATCCTAGCACTCTGGGAGGCCGAGGCAGGTGGGTCACCTGAGGTCAAGAGTTTGAGACCAGCCTGGCCAACATGGTGAAAACTTGTCTCTACTAAAAATACAAAAATTAGCTCGGCATGGTGGCAGGCACCTGTAATCCCAGTTACTTGGGAGGCTGAGGCAGGAGAATTGCTTGAACCTGGGAGGCGGAGGTTGCAGTGAGCTGAGATCGTGCCATTGCACTCCAGCCTGGATGACAAGAGTGAAACTCTGTCTCAAAAACAAAAACATATCTATACAAAGACTTAAACTCAAATGTACATAGCTCACTATTCACAATAGCTAAAAGGCAGAAACAACCTACATATCCATCAATGGATAAATGAATAAACAACATATGGTATACAGATACAATGGAATATTATTCACCCTTAAAATAAATGAAGTTCTGACACACGCTACAATGTGAATGAATCTTGAAAACACTGTGCTAAGTAAAATAGGCCAGTCTCAAAAGAACAAATATTGTATGATTCCACTTATATGAAGCACCTAGACTAATCAAGTTTATGAAGACAGAAAGTAGAATGGCGGTTGCCAGGGGCTAAGGGCTAGGGACTGGAAGGAATGGAGAATTGGTTTTTAATGGATACAGAGTTTCAGTTTGGGAAGATGAAAATGTTCTGGAGGTGGATGGTGGTGATAAGTAAGTGCACACAATGTGAATGTACTTGATGCCACTGAACTGTATACTTAAAAATGGCTAAAATGGTTAATTTTATGTTATGTATATTTTACCACAAAAAGTTTAAAATGTATTTGCTATAAAAGTCTCCAAACAATACATAAATATCTGAAGTAAACTTATTTCACTTTTTCTATCTGAATCTTTTATTCATCTGACCTAATTTTGGTGTTAGGAATGAAATGACTCCAGCTTTTATCTTTCCTGATCCCAGTATTGTTATTTAAAAATCCCTTTTTGCCCTCACTGATTTAAAATTTCTGCTAGACATGGTGGCGCACGCCTATAGTCCCAGCTACTCGGAGGCTGAGGCAGGAGGATGGCTTGAGCCCAAGAGTTCGAGGCTGCAGTGTACCATTATTGTGCCTGGGAATAACCTCTGTACTCTAGCCTGGGCAACATAGTGAGACTCTGTTTCTAAAAAAACCTTTAAAAATTCTTCTTTCATCCTATACTAAATTATTATATATCTAATGGGTCCATTTCTAAACTTTCAATTTTGTTTTGTGCTTCCAATAGCCAATTTCTTCCTGTCTCTCACTTTATTTAAGGTATCAGATTTTATTTAAGGCATGACTTACGTGCAGTAAAATGTGCAGATCTTAAGGAAACAGTTCAATGAGTTTTTGACAAATGCATATATCCACATAGCACATATCACTATTAAGATATAGAACATTTCCATCATCCCAGAAATTTACAACTTTCATGCATCAAAAGGGCACTAGCGCACATCATCCCTTGTGCCCTAGTCAGTCTCCAACCACAGAGGCAATGATTGGTCTGATTTCTTTCACCAATGACTGGTTTTAAAAATTTATATAAATGAAATAATTAAGAATATACGTTGTTGTGCCTGCTTTCTTTGATTCTGCACAAATTTTTTGCAGTTTATTGAATGGTGTAAATCACATCTTTATGATTCTTTGAATAATTAGGACTCTGTGACATGCTTTAGAGCTTCATTTTGGTTATTTTCCTCTACTATATTAAATTTCAGTTAATTAAATCAATACTGGCTGAGTGCAGTGGCTCACATCTGTAATCCCAGCACTTTGGGAGGCTGAGGCAGGTGGATCATCTGAGGTCAGGAGTTCAAGACCAGTCTGGCCAACATGGCGAAGCCCCATCTTTACTAAAAATACAAAAATTAGCCAGGCATGGTGGCAGGTGCCTGTAATCCCAGCTACTCAGGAGGCTGAGGCAGGAGAATGGCGTGAACCCAGGGGCAGAGGTTGCTGTGAGCCAAGATTGTGCCACTTCACTCCAGCCTGTGCAAAAGATCTAAACTCCATCTCAAAAAAAAAAAAATCAATACTAAATGGTTAACATGGTGGGTAATAATTTACTTTGTGGTTTACTATAATTTCTGTCTTTTTTTGTTCTTCTAATTTTTGTTACCAGAATAGAAGTAGTGTTTTTCTTTATGATTCATTGATTTTTACTATATTTACAGAGTTGGCAACTATCTACTTTCAGAACACCTAGTTTCAGAACATTTCCATTATTTCAAAAAGAAACCTTGTACCCATTTATAGTCACTCTCTATTCCTATCCATAGCCTTAGGCAATCTTTCATCTACTTTCTGTCCCTTTAGAATTGCCTTTTCTGGGTATCTCATATATGTGGAGTTAAATATGTTCCTTTGTGTCTGGTGTCTTTCACTGAGCATAATATTTTCAAAGTTCATACATGTTGTAACTCAGTTCCTTCTTATTGCCAAATAGTATTCCATTATATGGCTATACCACATTTTGTTTATTCAGTTGATGGGCATTTGGATTTTTTCTATTTATGAAAAATTGTGAACAATGAGGCTATGAACATTTGAGTATGAGTCTCTGTACAGATATATGTTTTTATTTCTGCTGGGTATATACTTCAGAGTAGAACTGTTGGGTGATATGGTAACTCTATGTTTAATATTTTAAGAAATGGCCATCTGTTTCTCCAAAGTGGCTGCACCATTTTACATTCCCACTTGCAATGTATGAAAAAGTATACTTTTAATCTCTCTGAAATGACAGCATAATAGGACAAACCAAGCAATTTTGACAAAAAAGAAAGCATATTTTTCTCTGCTTGGGAGATGGAAGGAGAGGAGATGATTTTCTTCTGTGCTGCTTTTTGAATCTCTTATTTCCTGTTCCACAGCCTCCCTGGAGCTAGAGCAGGCATGAATGTGTTCGGCAATCAATGGAGTTAAAACGAACACTAAGTTGCCAAGGCCTCCCTCATTATGATGAAATACCCCTCCCTGTGCTCACACACACATACAAGCTCAATTTTTAAAACCACTTGTTAATTCTTAATACAAAGAGTAAAACACTTATCTTCCTCACCTTCTATTTTTTAATAGAGCATATGTTTCTCTATTATTCACAGTTCAGACTGCTACAAAAATGCTTTAACTAAAAGAAGGAACAATGCCTTTCACATTATTATATTCAAATATGAATTTAGAAAAGAGAGGACTGGAAGCATATTTAGTTTCTCTTTAACTGCCAATTTCATATAACTGACAACATGAATTATATGACACAAAATCTATTCATTATTCTATCCATTCAAGATCAAGCTGAGGTTTAAAGCAGACTAATGGCTGTCACGTGAAGCTACTGTTTGTCAGTCTTCAGTGAACTCAAGCAAAAAACAAGGAAATTGGAAATGGACAACATAGTGAGTCAAAGAATATTCACATTGTGGGGAAGCAGCCCCTGAAGAAAAGAAGCTTCTTGTGTGGAATTTGGCAGAGGTACAAGTTATTCAAGGAAACGCATGTTAGTGTTAAAAAGTTATTCTGTTATTTCAAGGGCAGGGTAGGTCGGAAACTGTGTCATATTCTATTGCCTGCTTAGGTGTAAAACTTCACACCATTACCACATTATATTGTCAAATATTCTGGACTTAAAAAAACAGTTATGTATCCACTTTTCTTTTTAGTCTATGTTGTAGTATAAGTTGAGTAAGAAAAGAAGCAATATAAATAAAATTCTAGAAAAGAATTTCTCTCCTCAGAGATCCCCAAATGAATAATTTTCTCTATCTATTCTGTTCAAGGGGGTCACATTTTCCTTAACCCTTAACCTATAGAACAAAAGAGAACCTATAGAACAAGAGAGTGGATCCTACTCTCAGACGGGAGGGAGAAAATCTTGATTTCATTCAGAGATGCTTGATTCATTCAGAGAAATGAAGTGATGATAAAAGCAGAATGAGACTTTTCAGTCAATTCTGTGGAGAAAAGAGAAAACACACCCATCCCATGAGAGGGTGAAGACCGAAAGAGAGAACTACAAAATATCCTGTCTAGGGATGGATTTCCACTTTCCTTAGTACCCAAGAAAAGATTAAGTGTAAGATTCTATGGGATTCCTTCCGCTTGAATTCCATAGTACAGTGCAATGCTCCAAAGATCACAGATTTTGGAAACAGATAGATCTACATTAGTCTTTAGGGTCTGGCTATCCCTTAGTAAGCATTCTCTAAATGGTGGTCATCTTAGTTTGGATTTCCTCAGAAACAGACCCTGAGACAAGACTTCAAATGCAAGTAGTTTACCTGGGGGTAAAGAAAGCTGACAAGGAAGTGGGAACATGAGGTAGAAAAGGGAAGGCAGCTGACATAGATGTTTGATCAAGCCAGCTACAACTGTGGGCAACTGGAGTTGGATTCTGAAGAAATTCTAGGTGCTAGTGGAAAACATACACCTTAGAGTCATCCCATCTGAGAGATGAAAGAACTAAGCTGCTTACGTACCAACTCCAGTTGGTCATGGAGGGTTGCTCTTGGTGTCATTACTGTGGCAAAGGGCTTCCAAGCAAAGAATTGCAGATGCTGACAGCTGGAAGTCCAGCCAATGCACACAGAAATGAAGGTGAGGAAATGTGGACGGGTCAGTTGCAGTGGTATAAGAAGAAAAAACGAGAACATGCTCCTTTAGGGTGCAGTGACCTCATCTTCTGTTGTTTCCCAGTGCTGTCAGATTTTAGGCACTCAATAAATGATGTGTTGACTAAATATGATAACTAATGAATGAAATGAGTTAGCTTTAAATCTTGGCTCCATCTTTTATGAAAAACCTCTTTCCTCATATATAAAAACAAATCTCATTCCACAAAATAATAAATAAAAGAATCTAACATAGTACCTGACCCACAGCAGACTGACACATATAAATAATGCTCTATAAATAATTTTATTTATTTAAATATAAATAATGTATTTTTTTCTTTTTTATACCATGGAATCCTCCTCTGTTTATTTTGCCTTCTCTGTTAAAGAAGCAAGGTGGCAGTAGTACTTTGCAGGGCCTGAGTTCAGAAATTTGCAATATGTGTTGGCCCAGTGGAGGGGGTCTACACCAACTGTCCTTCTTAAAGGTCAAATTTATTGACTTACATATGTAGGGGAAACTGTGATAGTAATGCTTTCAAGGGAGTGCCAACAACTGATTTAATTGTAGACTTTGAGCCAAGAGCAACACCATGCAACTATGAATGTAGTCCTAAAGAATAACACTCATTCTCTTAACCTTCCTCCTGCTGCCTTACACTTAGATCAATGGCTGCCTTGTTTTTGCCCTGCTACTCACTAGCTGATACTCAAAAGTAAAAATATAAAAAATAAACAAAAGCAAAAGCAAAGCATGAGAGAAAAGAGTCTATTTTCTGCCTTCTCATTCTCAAAAGTTTGCACACTCTCCTATTCTTTTAATTGTCTATCTCAACGCCCAACATGTATATTTATTTCTGGAATGCAGCCAGATCCTGGGTCTGAATTCCAGAAGCTCATTTCCCAGTTTCCATGAGACAAGGCCTCAAAAATGTGAACCTCTCAGAGGACACATGCAAGATGATAAAAGCTTACATTGTACCCACACAACTTCTTTCATTAAAAATTTTAACTTTTCAAAGGAAAAGAGAAAGGCAATTGATTCTAGAGTCCAATTTTTCTTCTTACCTTCTAGCAAATGTGTGGCTCAGGATACACTTTAATATACAAAGTGCTAAGCACTTTGACTAACCTGAAGAATGCTTATTTCCACTTAAATTGCCTGGGTTTTGACTTCAAATTCATGTCACAATGATTTTTAAATTTTGAGATCTTTAGAATACTAGGATCTGTCTGTACCAGGTTTCCAGGAACCAAGAATGAGTGAGAGATGAGGCCAATTGAACCAAGACCCTAGCAGGTAGCAATGGCTTTGAGGGTAACAACTGTACGTGAAGTTCCCAGGATCGTGCCAAGAGAGTGTACTATTAGGAAAGCCGGCGAGTAGGCCTTGCAGGGAAAGTGAATGCTAGTGACCATCATGAAACCAGAGCAGACAGATTGAGCGTGGACACAGCCAACTCAGCAGTAGATGAAGCTGGATGAGCACAGCAGATGTACTACATTTTGAACTAAGCAAGGGCTAGAAAGGGACAACCAAAATGAGATAAAGTTTGGTGTAAAGAGCACTCCTTCATAAAAGACCATCAGTTGTGGTGCCCAGCTCATAACCGGGGCTCATCAGCATGTCGGGAGGCATGAACCTCATGTGCCCCAGCAGATCATTGTTCTATCAGTTTGCAACTTATGTCTGATTCCCTCTTTTAACTGGTTTCAGTCCCTGTTAGCTTTAAACCATCTAATGTTCGTCTAGTATTTCTCCTTGAGTACCAGGCCTTGGGGGTTGAGGTTTTTTCATGGCCTATCCATGTGATGGGATATACCCCACCCAAACAACCAGAGTGGTCAGAGTCTAGCAGAAGTAAAAAGCAGCAGGAAGCAGCACCTGGGAAGATGCAGAGAGCCCAGTTGAACTCCCAGTGTTAATAGAAGTAGATGTGCATCCCCCACCGCCGCCATTTCACCGAGCAGGGCACCTTAAGGATGCCACCAAGTTGACTGACTGTTGCACACAGTTCATGCATTCCACTTTTTTTTTTTTTTTTTACCAGTTTATCAAGATATGGGGTAACATAGATGGAAGGGTTCTTTGGCATCACAAAGTGACAACGCAGTTTTTACTTTGAAAGAAATTTTTCAGGCTGAAAGTTAAAAAGGTCTTAGATGTGTACCTTAGTAGTTTTATGACCTTCAGCAAGAGTCCAGTCTCTCCACCTATAGGACTTCCCAGAGTTTTGCAATGCTTACATGAGCTAGCATGCCTGTTACAGAGCAGGACCTCAGTCAAGTTACTGACAGTACGGTGATAAAAGCAACCCAGGAAGTCTTGTCAATTGAGAGTGAAAAATAACCCAAGAGATCAAGAGTTATGGGGTGGAGGGGGAAAACTCTCCCAACAGCAAAGAGAGTATTTACTGTTTCTTTGTGCATCATTCCCTAAGTTACTATGATGTTGACAGTTGTCTTTTGGTTAACAGTTGTCTTTTGGAAAGCCCTGTCCTGTTGTAGACCCAGGAAGTACCTTAGAAATGTACATGAGAGGGAGGAAGAAGGTGGCTTTAAGAGCCAGTACTAAAAACCTCCCAGGGTTTAAGTACCTGCCATGGGTCTGTCCATTTCACCATGAATAGAGAAAGACTCTTGGTGCGATCTACCCTCACACCCTGCATTTAGATCCAGTCCAAGGTCCTTTCCACAGCCTGCAAGGCCTTATGTGATCTGACCTCAGCCTACCTTTCCATTTCTCATACTACTCTCTCGCTTACTGTACTCCAATAACACTGACTTTCTTTTTGTTTCTAGAACTTTCTAAGACTCTCCTACCTCAGCCCAACTTATAAACCTCTTTGCATGTCTGGCTTCTTATTTCTTATTAGGTCTTGGCTCAAATGTCATCTCCTCAGAAAACCCTTCTCTAATCACCATGTGGCATACCTCTACCTCACAGACACTATCACTCTGGAACATATCGTATTGGGTATTTTTTTTCTTAATAATACTTACCACACCCTGAAATTAGCATATACAAACATGTTTATTGCCAGTCCCCTTCTGTTGGAATATAAGCTCTATGATGGCAGGGAATAATCTGTTCAGTGTTTCAGTGTGAGGTAGCAACTGCTGGCCATGATACAGAAAATCAGCCAAGTATCATCTTTGGCATATGAGTTGCCTACCTATGCTGGATACCTACAAAGCACTATTGCATAGCTTATACTATGTTGGATACTTATAACAACTTCATTAGGTAAGAATGTTCCTTTTTTTTTTTTTTTTGAGACAATGTCTGGCTCTGTCACCTGGCTACAGTGCAGTAGCACAATCTTGGCTCACTGTAATCTCCACCTCCTGGGCTCAAGCGATCCTCCCACCTCAGCCTCCTGAGTAGCTGGGACCACAGGCATGCACCACCATGCCTGGCAAATTTTTGTATTTTTTGTAGAGACAGGGTTTTGCCATGTTGCCCAAGCTGGTTTTGAACTCCTGGACTCAAATGATCCACCTGACTCATCCTCCCAAAGTGCTAGGATTACAGGTGTGAGCCACCATGCCTGGTGCCTTTGAAAGATGAGAAAACTGGCCAGGCGTGGTGGCTCATGCCTGTAATCCCAGTACTTTGGGAGGCCGAAGCAGGCGGATCACGAAGTCAGGAGTTCAAGACCAGCCTGACCAATATGGTGAAACCCCATCTCTACTAAAAATACAAAAATTAGCCAGGCATGGGGCCCATGCCTGTAGTCCCAGCTACTTGGGAGGCTAAGGCAGGAGAATCGCTTGAACCCGGGAGGTGGAGGTTGCAGTGAGCCAAGATCATCGTGTCACTGCACTCCAGCCTGGGCGACAGAGCAAGACTCCGTCTCAAAAAAAAAAAAAAAAAAAAAAAAAAAGAAAGAAAGAGAGATGAGGAAACTGGAAACTGAGGTTCAAGAAGGCTGTTACTTGCCATGGTCACATAGCCAGTAAAAGCTAGGGTAGAAATAAAACTTGTTTATTCCCACTCAGAGCCCTATATTGTCTGGGATGTAAGCTTTTTTCTATGCTGGAAAACCTCACTTAAAATGAAAATATATATATACATATATACATATATATAACATAGAAATTACAAATATAAATTAATATACATGCACCAAAGAGCATTCAAAAATAAAGGTTTAGGCCAGGCGTGGTGGATCACTCCTGCAATCTCAGCACTTAGGGAGGTTGAGGTGGGCAGATCACTTGAGCTGAGGAGTTTGAGACCAGCCTGGGAAACATAGCAAAACCCCACCTCTACAAAAATTAGCCGGGTGTGGTGGTGTCCACCTTTAATCCCAGCTACTTGGGAGGCTGAGGTAAGAAGCTCACCCCAGGGAGGTCAAGGCTGCAATGAGCTGTGATCATGCCACTGCACTCTAGCCTAGGTGACAGAATGAAGTCTTGTCTCAAAATAAATAAATAATCTCATAAATCTCCAAGAAAAAAATACTGCTGAAAATGGAGAAGAAAACAAATAGATATTGAGGAATGAAAAAATGTAGTTGACATAAGTGCAAATTCAGGTTCAGATGCCCAGGACAGAGTGTTCTGTACATCGGTCTGCCAAATCAGGAAAGCTTCCTCTGAAGGCAGAAAAGAATCACTTCCATTCTACAAACCAAGATCCACAGCGTACCCATGTAGCCTTTGTGGAGAAAGTCATTAGAAGAGGGGGAGAAACAGTGCTTAGATTTAGTAGAGAATCTTTGCCTCATTTTGTTTCATTGAGAAGTGCCTGGGATGTCAGAGCACAAGAGATGGATGGACTCCTGGGATGAACCAAGTGGGAGAACAAGGACTCTGCACTGCAGCCCTTTGGATAAGATGTTCACTGTTTGGAACTACATCAAAGGGAGAGATGTGGAAGAGTCTGTCTATGGATTAGTTAAGATCCAGCATGTCCTTTGAGGTTTTGTTTTTTCAAAAATTGATAGAAAGTCTCTCATTATGCCTCTCCAATCACACTGTGGGCTCACTAAAATGAGATGAATATTTCTTAAAATAAATTGTGTCCCCTGCATAGAAGGCAAAGCCTTGGGAATCTATTAGCTGTGAAAGAAAGCAGAGTTCTTACTGATGCTAAGACCCATTTGGTACAGCATGTCAGCATGCTACTTGAATAAAAGTTATTTCCAACAACATTGATAGGAAATATCAAAATTAATTTGTACTAAAAAATGCGTAAGACTTTAACTAAAATAATAGTTAATTTTTAAAGGTTTAAAAGTTAAAGAAAAACATGAGTTTCCCTTTTTTCTCAATCTAATTCAATTCAACAGACATTTACCAAACATTACATATGTGCATATGAAAGACATGGTCAGACTGAGCCCAACTTAACCTGCTTGCCTTAGTTTTTAAACAGGTTTTTCTAGTAACCTGTGTGCACACTGGCCTAGGTAGCTTCTAACAAAGATTTTTAAGAATATCCTCTCTAATACTTATCTTCCTCTTTATTCATTCACATTTTCATTTTCATAATTGTTACGTATAGTTTAAGCACCACGAATAATAAAAAGAAAAGGAGGAAGGAAAGAAGGGAAGGGGAGAGAGAGAGAGAAAAGGAATCAATGAAGGGTCTTTAGCTTCTGGAAGGTAACAGTCTAACAGGGGAGCTAGGATTCATAGAAAAGTATAAAGGGTGGGGCCGGGCACGGTGACTCACGCCTGTAATCCCAGCACTTTGGGAGGCCGAGGTGGGCGGATCATAAGGTAAGGAGATCGAGACCATCCTGGCTAACACGGTGAAACCCTATCTCTACTAAAAATACAAAAAATTAGCCGTGCGTGGTGGCGGACGCCTATAGTCCCTGCTACTCAGGAGGCTGAGGCAGGAGAATGGCGTGAACCCGGGAGGTGGAGCTTACAGTGACCCGAGATCGCACCACTGCACTCCAGCCTGGGCGACAGAGCAAGACTCTGTCTCCAAAAAAAAAAAAAAAAAAAAAACTATAAAGGGCACAATCAGAGAAAGCAATTACTTCCTTACTAGCTGGGGCTTTACATACACACAGATACACACATACTCTCAATTTGCTAAGACTGAAACCATCTTGGCAACTTTTTTTGCATCTCAGTTTTCTCTCTGTGTACGAAGAAAGTTATTACATGATTGCTAATTTTCCTATAGCTGTACAATCCTGTAAGTCATTTAACATTTATTAAGCATTTGCTATGTGTAAATGAGAAAGATTTTGCTAAGAGAAGAAATATATACAGCATGAGTAAAACCCATCTGGCCTTAACGAGTACAATTTATTGGCAGGACGCCAAATGCAAACAACTACCTTTATAGGACCTTTATATACCTGTATAATAAAAAGCCACTGGGAAGCCGAGTGGGGTGGCTCACGCCTGTAATCTCGGAATTTTGGGAGGCCGAGGTAGGTACATCACTCGAGGTTGGGAGCTTGAGACCAGCCTCACCAACATAGAGAAACCCCGTCTCTACTAAAAATACAAAATTAACTGGGTGTGGTGGCGCATGCCTGTAATCCCAGCTACTTGGGAGGCTGAGGCAGGAGAATCGCTTGAACCCAGGAGGCAGAGGTTGCAGTGAGCCGAGATCGTGCCATTGCACTCCAGCCTGGGCAACAAGAGCGAAACTCTATCTCAAAAACAAAAAATAATAATTAAAATAAAAAATAAAGCCACTGGGGAGATAAGAGGAAAGAAGAATGAATGCAAAGGCAGGACAAAGATAGATTGAACAATAAGGGAAGAAACAAACTAGCTGAAGAGCAGCAGAGAGATGAGGCTACCCTAGTAGGAAGGGCAAAGGATGTTAAAGGAAAAAGCAAGAAAGGGAAAAAGTCAGAAAGGATTGGCTATTTTAAAAGGTCAGAATGACGAGCTGATCTAATGTGGTAGTTGGAAGGAGACGAAAAAGATGACTTTGGGTCCTCAACCAGATCCAGGTCTTGGGGAACTGCCTAAAAATCCATTTCAAATTGAACTCAGGGGCTGGGCGCGGTGGCTCACGCCTGTAATCCCAACACTTTGGGAGGCCGAGGTGGGTGGATCACGAGGTCAGGAGATCGAGTCCATCCTGGCTAACACGGCGAAACCCTGTCTCTACTAAAAATACAAAAAATTAGCCAGGCGTGTGGCAGGCGCCTGTAGTCCCAGCTACTTGGGAGTCTGAGGCAGGAGAATGGCGTGAACCCAGGAGGCGGAGCTTGCAGTGAGCCGAGATCGCGCCACTGCACTGCACTCCAGCCTGGGCGACAGAGTGAGACTCTGTCTCAAAAAAAAAAAAAAAAAAAAACAAATTGAACTCAGGACTGTGGCTGAAGAACTGGTAAAATGAGCCTTAAGCACCTCCCCCTCGCCTCCATAGATAAAGAATGGAAAGCTGTTGATGAAATAGAGTCAGTGAGTCAAGTCTTGGTGGACAAGGAGGCTAAGATTTGGATTGATAGAAAAAAGGTGGTGATATTACAGGTGGAGGAAGCAGTTTTGGAGAAGGAGAGGTGACAGTGTGGAAGATGGAACCAGCAAGATTTATAATGAGATGGCATAGAGATAGTCCAGCTAGAGCACAGATACCTTCCAGGGGAGTAGAAATCAGAAATATAAGCACTGATGGAGGAGTGCTTTGACCAGCACATTGCTGAGTGTTGATGATGTAAGAGACAAAAGAGACCAGGGCAGTGGCCTACCTTTAAATTCTGAAGTCCATGTTTGAAAAGCACAAAGAAATGCCTCTACAGGTGGAGACACCATGAATATATTTGCCAAGAACAGCAGGTGTCCCCTTATTTTATGGGTCTTGAACTACTTAAAGCAGTTGACTGAGCAGTAGTCAGACCTATTTTATGGAATCTTATTGGACTATGTATTTTTTAAAATTCCCCCGAATAGATTTAAAAACTTATATAATGAAATATCAATCCCATACTTCACTCAGATAATAGCTCTAGAATCTAGAGAGAGCCAAATGTTCAGTAGGCAATGGAGACTGAATGGCATAGGGTGTGAGGCGCATGGACTCTGGAACCAGAATGCATGAGTTCAAATCCTGACTGCATCACTTAGTAGCTATGAGAGCTTCAGCAAGTTACTCAAATTAATTCTGGGTGCGTGTCCCACATATAACATTGGGATAAGAGTGTTACCCTCTCTGTGAAGTTGTGGAAATTAAATGGGTGAACACGTAGATCTCTTGGAATAGAGCCTGGAACATCACAAACACTAAATAAGTACCGGCAGTTGCTGCTGTTGTTGTTTATTGTTGTTACTTGGCTTATGAGCCCTGGGAGCAGGTGCATCTCTTCTGCAGGTGGAACTGCTTTTCTGAGCCACAATACAGAGTAAGTGAATCATAATAAAATCATGCCACCAACTTCCTGGACTATTGAATTACCTGAGCATCCACTTACAATGACAATTTTTTAAAAGTTACCCTTTCTTTTTGAAGTTCACAGATTACAGAGGCGCTTTCCACAACCCCACCTTTCCTTTCCAAGGATATTAAATCCCAAAGAAAGCAATTCAAAAATGATTTATTCTATTGTTACCCTTTGTAGATCCTTTACGGCCATTCATTCTCCTGCCTCATTTATATCTAAAGAAAAATGATACTTCATTTATTATATTGCCATCCATAACCTGGCAGTTTATAGCTGCCTTGTATAATGTGTTTGTGCCTTTCATATGTGTGACTCAATGTGTACTATCCCTTCCCTTCCCCTACAATGGAGGGTCACCCTAACTTGGGAGAATAGTAGACATCTGGTTAGCAGTGTATGAGCTAATGTGCATTTTCTTTCATTGTCTTAGAGAGAAGATCTAGTATACGCATGATCAGCCACCACATTTCACTTTAGTCTCATCCCTGGTACTGCCTTAATTACATAGACTTCTACCAATGCTCAAATGCCTGGTGGTAGGCAAAATAATGCCCTGTCTCCCCTAAGATGTCTGCATTCTAATCCCTGAAACCTGTGAATATGTCAGGTTATTTAGTAAGGGTGAATTAAGGTTGCAAATACAATTAAGGCTATTAACCAGCTGATTTTAAAATAGAGAGATTATCCAGGATTATCCTGGTAGGTCCAAGGTACTCACAAGAGGCCTTAAAAGTGAAAGAGAGAGGCAGTCAGAGGTCAGCTGCAGGGTGAGAAGGACTCAACCTGCTGTTGCAGACTTTGAAGATGGAGGAAGGGGACCATGAGCCAGGGAATGTGGGCAGCCTCTAGAAGCTAGACAGGGCAAGAAAACACATCTTCCCCTAGAGCCTCCAGCAAGGAACACAGCCCTGCTGACACACTGACTTTAGCTCAGTGAGATCTGTGTGAGGTGTGTCACCTACAGAACTGTAAGTTGTGTTGTTTTTAAGCCATAAGTTTGTAGTAATTTGTTACAGCAGCAATAGGAAACTAATACATGCCCCACATGGAGGTCTGCCTGGCATCCTCATTGGTTCTGTTTGGTCTTTTGCTTATTAATTCAGTAAAAGTTATTGAGTGCCTACTCTGTGCCAGGCACTGTGCTAGATCCTGAAAATGCAAAATGAGTAAGACACAGCCATGCCCTTTCATATACTCAACAAACATTTGTGTACCTAGGCTCTGATTTAGATGTGATAGAGATGAAAAAAAAAAAATAGTCCCTGCCCTAAAAAGGCTCACAGACTTCTGAGAAGGCAATCAACGAAATAAAATTTTATGATTCAATGTAATACATGCATAATATGGAAGTGTAGAAGGGAGACCACGGAACTCAACTTGGGTGACATCAGGAAAACCTCAGAGAGAAGAAGAAATGGAGCTTTAAAGAGTTTGCCAGACAGACAACATGGGGGAAGATGTTCAAGAGCTTCGGAACAGTACGACTCTTGGAATGCAACAAGTGCAAATGAGGAACATTTAAACAGAGTTTAAAATTTTTTACTTCATTTTAGTTACCTTTAATTGAAATAGAAATAGTCACATGTGACTGTGGGCCACCATATTGGACAGAGCACATTGGACCAGATTGGATCCTTGAAAGAAAGGAGATTGCCTTCTCTTTTCCCTCTTCCCTGCTTCTTACTGACTGGAAAGCAGATGTGGTGGCAAGTCACTTGGACCATGAAGATGAGATATCACTCCAGGATGGAAGTAAGAAAATAGAAGGAACTTGGGTCCCTGACATCATAGAGCCATCTTTTGGTTTGGCTTATGCTCAGACTGTTATGTCAGAGAAATAAATTCCTATATTATTGTTATTTTGGATCTTTTTACAGCAGCCAGACCTGTCTCCTACTACACATGTCTGCTAGAATAATGAAAAGCAATAATCATAATCTTTGCTCCTTCTGTGTACTAGACACTAACCTAAATGCATGGTTGCATTTAAACACAACCCATTAAAGTAGATAGTAGGATAGCCCCATTCTGCAGGTAAAATGGAGGCTTAGAGAAGCTGGCTCATTAGTGGGAGGATTAGACCTTTCTGTCAGCAAACTGTCAGATACTGTAGTGTATAGATACAGAATATTTTATCATTAAGGGACAGGCAAATTGTGTACAACTAGACTTTTTAAATGCCGAGACAATATTTATGTTCATTGCAGAATTATCTGTTATTCAGCAACCATGCCCTCTTTCTTCCTGCAAAAAGAACCTCAAATCATTCAAACAGTGGGCAATGATTCCTTGACTTCAGGAAGAGTAGGTCCTTATTGTAGAAACCTGTGAAAGAAATCCTAATCAGTCTGTATTAATCACTGGCATTTCTTACCAGTGATTGGCCTAAAGACAGGCACAGGGTACAGTTCTGGTTAATGAGATGAAAGCAAAGGTCTAATGAGAAACAAAAAGCCAAAAACCTGTCTGGAATGAAGATGCAATCAATGCTGGAGTTGTGGGATCCATCATGCAACCATGAAGACAAAGCCAACATCATAAGAATGGCAGAGTGGAGAGATAAGTGGGGTCCTTGATCACATTATTGAGCTGCTGCTCCCCTTGCCTGGAAAATCTACCTCCAAACTTCTTGTAATATGAGAAAAACAAACCCCAATTTACTGAGAGCCACTATAAACTCGGTTTTGAATTTTTTTCACAGGGGGAAGCCTTCCTAACTGACACACACATATGCACATCCTTTTGTTTTACTTAAGAAAGTTAAGGAAAAGTCATACAACTTATAATGGTGTCCCGTGCACTCGTGGCTTATCACTGTGAAACCCAGTTCTCCCTGGCTCATCCACAGTAAGAATTACTTCAGTAATTTGAAAAATAACCTTTTGGAATTATTTCTGGGGATATGAAAAGTAACCTGAACCAATAACAGAGCTCAAATGCAATCCATATTACCTTCTTCCCACCCTCAAATTAAAAATTTTTTCTCCCTTAATTACAAATGTTTCTTGATGAATGCACATGTGTGAAAAGCCATTATAATCTATTGTATCAGACTATTAAATACTCTAAAAATTTAAAAGCAATATTATAACAAGTAATGTTAATCTGTAGTTTAAGAGAAAAATAGAAATATTAACCCCAGTACATAAATATTTCATTGGTATGACTACCCACACCAAAAGATAAATGAAGAATTGAGGTATGCTGCAGGATGACTAAGGTTTAAAAAGGGATTCAAATATACAGATAAATAGGAGAGGCAGAAATGTTTTGATCTTGAGTTATGCTGAAAGCTGATTTAATTCTCCTTTCTGAGTGTGGGGAAAAAAAGCAACACATGGTATTTATGCAATCTATTATCCAGAATTATAAGCAAACTTAAAATATTTTTAGATGCTATTTTCAGTTGAAGAGAGAAAAAGCAGATATTTTTGAATGCACAAATATATACCATGCCACCATCTTAACCATGTTATTAATCTTTAATCTGATTTATAACTGAAAAGCTCATGTGGTAACTGATTGTATGCGATTTCATTCACAAAAAGAGAAGATTATCCATCAAACAGGCATATTTTTCTTCGGATTTCATAGAATAAATGAGCTAGACACATTTTTCTTTCAAATCCCAGGCTATCCAAAATATTTCTAGATAATCAGAAAGGCATGAAACAGCAAATTAAGTTATATTAAGGCAGTTCTCATTATTTTGCATTTTTGACAAATCTGACAAGTTGAAAAAAACAATTTGAATAAAGGCAATATTGGAAAAAGAAACATACCTTAGAGATGATTAATGGTTCTCCGTGCTCCAGGCCACCCTTTAGAGTAAAACCCCAGGGAGCTCCTCCCTCCAGGAATGCCTCCAGATAAATGTACCTTCCCTTGGTGGCCGTGTTAGAGTTTAATGTGGCACTAGGCTTGTGGAAGTCTTCAGTGGTCCTCATCATGCCAAACACATGATCCCTCAAGTTAAATTTAAAATGCCTGAAGCAAACTCAGGCAAGCAGTGCTTCTACAGCACAAGTTGTCCCATCCTTCAGGACACACAATGGCCAAAAGAGAGGTTTGGAGAAGCAAATTCTTCCATACGTAAAATGTTCTTCCAAGCTGAACTCCAAGATGCTGAACCAGAAGGAATTTTCACTTCAACATTTCTGAATGTAAATCCTCCTCCAGGAATTCTGGGTTCTCACTGAAGCCCCCAAGTGGTATACATCTCTACTCCGTTCGTCAAAACTTCCTTCAGTGGCGCTCTGAAGATTGCTTTTCTGAGCTTTTATTTCACACATACACACACTAAAACCATTTCTGCCTATTTTACAGAGAAAATTAAAAGCATCTTACAATATAGTAAGAAAATCACAAATACTCAAAGGAATACCTCATTTTTGATTGATTATCAACCCTTTCTTCCTCTCGGAGTGAAATTTACCATTACAATAGCCTCCTCCCTCCCCAGAAGTAGCTTAAAAAGAAAGAAAGCACTTACTATGCTTCGGCTCACTTCAGAATTTTCTAACTTGTCCCGAAGAGACAGAGAAGCTGTGCTAAAACTTTTTACTTCTTTTTTTCAACAATCAGTTCATAGTTTGTTTCTTAGGAGAGAAAAAAACTTTTGCAGGATGTAGAGAAAATGAAAAAGCACGGTAAATTAATCCTCAATGGAAAAAATATGAAGGAGGCAGCTCAGTTCTTTTCTTTGGTATTTTCAGTGATGATCAGCCACTGCTGCGGCCGCCACAGCCACTTGCCTCCTCTTGAGAGAAAGAGTAAGGAAGTTAGAGGAACATGGATTAAGGCAAAGTGAGGCATTGCAACCTTTCTGCACAGTAAGCACTGCCATGCAGAATTCAGCTCACCACAAAGACCTGACAATTCAAACAGTCTTACAGTTAATAACACGTAGGAAGTTAAAAATACTATACAGATGGCTAATTGCCAAGGGATAGAAAATAGTTCCTAGAATAGCCCCGCCTCGTACCAATTAAAGGAGAATTTCAGGGAGTGAGACATAGGCATTTGTGTTTTTAAAAACCCTCCAGGCAATTCTGCTATGCAGCCAAGTTTGAGAAGCAATGCCTAAGTGATTTGGGTAAACGTTTAAGTACATGTCAAGGTGGTGGCACAAGGGCTTTTTTTTTTTCGTTAGAAGAAAATACTACCAGTGTAATATATGAAATGGGACTTTCCAATCAAAGTTCTGCTTGTTTGACTCAATAAAAACAGGAGGTGGGTTTTTTTTTCTAGGTTTTCATTGTTATCTACTCCAAGATTGTTATCCACTCTTTAAATGAAAAGAAATCTACAATGCCTTGTGGGTAAGTACTAGGTACTCGGGAAAGAATGTTGTTCTGATTTCATGTTACCAGTGTCATTTTGTAATAATGTTATATACAAATTTAACATTCATGCTTTGTATTAAAAATTTGAACAGTAGAAGATAACCATATCTAACCCAGAAGCCTCAGCTATTTAGTTATTGGAACAGATTAGAATTACTTCCAGGTAATATATGTACTAAAACTTTTTTCTGTTTAAAAGTATGGGATAATGAGAATTAAGTTGAAAACTGAAGTTAAAAACTACTGTGGGGCTTGATAACAATTATTTTGGTGTTTGTACTTATAATTAATGAAAGGCTGATATGGAAAGGCAGGTATATGATATCAAACTACACGATATTTAATTTACAACACTGGACAGGTATTGTTTGATTTTCAATGGTAACTTCACTTGAAGGGCTCAAAGACAAAAAAAAAAAAAAAAAAGTAAAACCTTATGTAATGGTAGTATGTGAATGGAAACATAAGGAAACCTAAGGTGTACCAAATGAAAGTATGTGGTAAAAATTGGCTGATTCTTAAGGGTAATTTACGCAATTTCTATTGTGGTTTTCTTTTACAGCTTAATTTGTAAGTTAGAATAAATGGAGAAACATTAGCTTTTCTTTCATTTCAAAGAACATATGTATTTTAAATAAAAGTCCTAGGTAAATGAACAGCTTTCTTTCTGAAAAAATTAATTTATGAGGCTCTTATTATGTTACTCCTAATACATTTTGTAAAAACTGGGATTTTACAGAATCCACATTTAATATTAAAAGTAACATAGCTATACAAAATTTCAGTTAGGAGGCATAAGCTCAAGAGATCTATTGTACAGCATGATGACCATAGTTATAACAATGTATTGTATATTTGGAAATTGCTAAGATTAGATTTTAAGTGCTCTCACCACAAAAAAAATTAGTATGTGAGGTAATAGGTTAATTCCTTGATTTAGCCATTTTACAATGCATACTTATATCAAAACATCATGTGGTACACCATAAGTATATATAATTTTTAGTTGTCAATTTAAAAAATAATAAACAAAAAAAGTAATGAAGCTAAAGGCAAAGGAAATAAGGAAAAGATAATATGAACCCAGTGCTTGCAGACTGATGAAATCTCCATTTTAGATTATCACCAAAAATATTGAAGAAACAAACATAGAACCAAAATTGATATGTAATCTGAAAAAAAAATGTAAAACTTCATTTTGTGGACCTTCACTATAGCAGTTGATAGACCAGGTTTGGAAGAACTTTTTTCCTCCATCTTCTGTTGATCAGATTCAAAGAATGTTAAAGCTGCAAGAGACAATCCTCCCACACCCTTGATTTTAGAGGTAAGGACACAGAGGCCACCAGAAGGTTAAATGATCTGACCAGAGTAATCCTGCAAGCAACACAGGCAGGCATGAAATTTAAATCTTCAGACGTTTAGGAATGAAATCCTAGCTTAAGTCAGGTGTTCTGCATAGTTTACGGTGAAAAGACAACTTTCTTTTGGCATAGCACTGCTAATTCGTAAGAAGAACTTCTGTTAGGATATGTGATTTGGATGCAAACTCTTAATTACAGAATGCAATCAGACTCCTCCCCAAGAAGAGAAAGGCAACTCTATTGTCTCAAGGTGCTGACAGTGGAAAGAAAGGTTGGGATTCTAACTGAGAACAGCATAGGACTCAGGCTTTCTAATAGAGGACTTCTTTTATGCCCCATTCATCATCTTTCTAGGGAACCACTTCTTCCTCGATCCTGTGGTGCTGGTGGGCTGCCCCTGTCCCCGGCTCCAGGGTGGACGTAATGACCCAGGAATCAACCAACCCCTGGCTCAAATGATTGATATGTGGATGGGCATGAGACTTAAGTGTGACCAATGTTATAACTAGAAATTTTACTAGTGCTGTCAAAAAATGGCATTTTCTCCTATGGTTTGCTAGGTTGGTAGATAAAATTTTTGAGTTGCTGGAAGTCTTTTTTTATTTTTTATTTTTTTTTTAATTGAGACAGAGTCTAGCTTTGTCGCCCAGGCTGGAATGCAGGGTGTGATGGCGGCCTACTGTAGCCTCAATCTCCCAGGCTCAAGCAGTGCTCCCACCTCAGCCTCGCAAGTAGCTGAGACTACAGGTGCATGTCACCATGCCTGGCCAGTTTTAAAAATTGTTTTGTACAGACAGGGTCTCACTCTGTTGCCCAGGCTGATCTCAAACTCCTGGGCTCAAGTGATCCTTCCGCCTCAGCCTCCCAATGTGCTGAGATTACAAGTGTGAGCTGCCACGCCCCAGCTGGAAGTCATCTTTGATATCACACGCCTGAGAAGGAAACCAGCTCTGAGAAAAGCAGTCTATGATAAGGGGGAGACAGTTCTGGTGATACCATTGAGCCTTGTGCCCAATTGTACCTTACTGAAGCTGGCAATTCTCAAGCTTTTTGGTTTCAGGAACCCTTACATGCTTAAAAATTATTGAAGACTCCAGATAAATTTTATGTGTTTTGTATTGATCAATATTTACTATATTAGAAAATAGAAAAGAACATTTTAAAATACTTATGTATTAATTCATTTAAAAATAATAAATCTTTATATGTTAAAGTAACATATTAATATTTTTATGAAAAATAATTACATTGTCTCAAACAAAAAATATTACCAAGAAGAGTGGCACTGTTTCACATATTTGCAACTCTCTTTAATGGCCAGGTTAGTAGAAGATGGTTGGATTCTACCATCTGCTTCTGTATTCAATTTGTTCAATATCACATGGCATATAGCCACTGGAAGATTCCCCTATACATTTTTGAGAGAGCAAGTGGAAAAGGTACACAATGTCTTAGTATTATTACAAAAGCAGTTTTGACCCTGAAGACCCTTAACTTTCCAAGTTCCTATGGGATCATAAAACTGGTAATTGTAGGAGTGGGGTGGCTTTAGGCCACCATAAGCAGATGCAGCCAGGCCTAAAGCCACCCCACTCCTACAATTACCAGTTTTATGACCCCATAGGTACCTGTTTATTTTTTCCTTAAACCAGCGGGGGTTGAGTTTCTGCTTCTTGCAACTGAAAGAGTTCAGAGTAATACACAAGGAAACCCCTTCGTGGTTTTTCCTGGTTTGGGAGAAAGTTTAGAGAAGCTTAGCACAGTACCAAAAATGAAGCTTCACATTGTGTTTTTCTGTCTATTACTTCTCTCCTTCCTTCTGCCTCTAACTTAGAATTACTCCTGCTTTCTTGATCAGATTCTTCCCTTCATGACAAATAGATCCAATGTAGCTTACAACTTTATTTTCTGTCTCTATACGAAAAATTCCCACTGTGAGTTATTGAGCTCATATTGCTGTCATTGTGAATATGGCCCCAGAACAGAAAAATATATCAGTCATATTGACTCTACCACTTGTTTAGCATCCCTACACCAAACAGTCTGTTAAATGTCATCTTCCTAATCACTGTTTTGACTTTTTAGCAATCACACATCATTGTATTTGTTAACAGCACTGAAGGAAAAATTAAGTTGATCTTTTGAAAATTCCCATTTCTTGATTTTAATTTTTCTTAGTATGCCCTAATGTTTTTCTCTTTATTTTTTGCTAAAACTTTTAATGTGATTGTCAACTTATTGGATTTTTAAAAATGCTTCTAGATGGAATATTTAAGAGATTGAAAAGTCAGTAGGTTATCTCTGAAAATGAAATCAGAGCGACATCTACTGGCTATTCTGGCTCACTAATCGGTAAAGTAAATTAACTGTAGACAATAAATAGGGTTTTTTTTTTTTTTGAGACAGAGTCTCACTTTGTCACCCAGGCTGGAGTGCAATGGCGATCTCGGCTCGGCTCACTGCAACCTCTGCCTCCCGGGTTCAAGTGATTCTCCTGTCACAGCCTCTCGAGTAGCTGGGATTACAGGCACACACTGCCACACCTGACTACTTTTTTTTTGTATTTTAGTAGAGACGGGGTTTCACCCAGTCTGGCAATTCTCAAGCTTTTTGATTGAGACCAGACCAGGCTGGTCTTGACCTCCTCAGCTCAGGCAATCCACCCGCCTCGGCCTCCCAAAGTGCTAGGATTACAGGCGTGAGCCACCGCGCCCGGCCTAATAAATTGTTAAATTATAAGTTGGAAGTTTATTTAGTCTTTCTTAGAAGGCCTCAGAACAATCCTAAATAGACAAAAATCAATCTTATTTTAAAGTTTGTGCAATCTCTCTAGGCAGCCTTTCACAGGCAAAAAGAATCATGTCTTCATGTGTCTCCTTAAGATTGGGGATCAAAGCATGATGTCAGCTGATTTAAAACAAAACAAAACGAAAAAACACCGGGCACGGTGGTTCACACTTGTAATCTCAGCACTTTGGGAGGCTGAAGTGGGTGACTCCTGAAGTCAGGAGTTTGAGACCAGCCTGGCCAACATGGTGAAAACCTGTCTCTACTAAAAATACAAAAAATATTAGCCGGGTGGGGTGGTGCATGCCTGTAGTCCCAGCTACTCGAGAGGCTGAAGCAGAAGAATCGCTTGAACCTGGGAGGCAGAGGTTGCAGTGAGGGAGATGGCGCCACTGCACTCAAGCCTGGGTGACAGAGTGAGACTCTGTCTCAAAGAAAAAAGAAAAGAAAAGAAAAGAAAGATTGAGGAAAACTTTCCCAGCTGATCTTCCCTCATTTCTCAATGCCATGAAGTAGATCAAATGCTTCCTCTGAAAACAGTCACTTGGAAGAGGAATGAAAGCACAAAGATTAGATTTAAACTAATCAAGATCTACCTACTAGAACTTCCCCTGAAGCACAGGGCTCTGTAGAATGTTGTGTTCAACACTGGGGTTCTTGAGAAAGGAGGAAGTG
Organism: Homo sapiens; assembly: GCF_000001405.40. Classification (NCBI taxonomy): domain Eukaryota; kingdom Metazoa; phylum Chordata; class Mammalia; order Primates; family Hominidae; genus Homo; species Homo sapiens. Next base: position 76,429,831 of record NC_000004.12, on the reverse strand, counting down.
GGGATAGATGCTGAATATGCAATTTACAGCATTTGCTTCACCAAATATCATAAGTTGGTGGCAGAACTATCAAAACACAATCAACTCAAATTATTTGGGAATGATCTAAATGCTCCATGTCTTGCTTGAAGCAGTAGTTTCACAGGTGCATATATGTATGCCGAAACTCATCACATGGTACACTTTAAATGTATACAGTTTATTGAATGGAAATTATAGCTCAATAAAATTAGTTTTTAAACAACTGAAGGACTTCATGGACAAATGAATAGGTAGCCCAAATGTAGAATATACATGCAATGAAATACTTTCCAGACTTAAAAATGAATGAAATCTGTGATCTAAATCCTTTTTTATTTAAAAAAATGAATGAAATTCTGATATATGCTGCAACATAGATGAACCCTGAAGACACTATGTTAAATAAGCCAGACACAAAAGGACAAATATTGTATGATTCCATTTATATGAGATACCTAGAGTAGTCAAACTGACAGAAAGCGAAAGTAGTATGGTGCTTTCAGGGGATGAGAGACGAGGGAATAAGGAGTTACTGTTTAATGGGTACAGAGCTTCAGTCTGGAAAAATGAAAAAGTTCTGGAGATGGATGGTGGTAATGGTTACATAACAATATGCCTATGTGAATGCCATGGAATTGTACGATTGAAAATAGTTAAAAAGATAAATTTTATCCTATGTATATTTTACCACAGTAAGTTTAAAAAGTGCTTATAAAAGGTAAAGAAATGTAAAACATGACACTATGATTAATTAGATCATTATTCATCACTTAATCATGGTAAGCATGGTTGTAGTGAAAAGTCAGAAAACTGCCAGATGCATAAAGATCCAAATAATAATAATATCTGATGGCACATACTTGATATTAGATCCCTGACAGAAGTCACAACTGTTATAGAAGTCACTGTAGTAGATTATTATTTAAAAACTGCTAGAATTATATCCGCAAACTTACACTATTTCTTCCTAAATAGAAGTAAAAGATCTTAATAAGAATACGGTGGCGGGCGCCTGTAATCCCAGCTACTTCAGGAGGCTGAGGCAGGAGAATCACTTGAACCTGGGAGGCGGAGGTTGCAGTGAGCCAAAATGGTGCCATTGCACTCCAGCCTGGGTGACAAGAGTGAAACTCTGTCAAAAAAAAGAAAGAAAGAATATATCTCAGCAAAAACAATGGTACTGAGATCTTAAACAAAAGATGGTTATGATAAAGGATTAGTTGGCTTCAAAGATGCTAATGACAATGATCTCAAAGGCAGAAACAAGGCCTAGAGGAGAACAGGCAATCTCCCTTTATTAGCTATCTGACTTCCATCTGTTACTTCTATCCCCTTTTTTCATCAGTCTGTAAAAGAGTTTGTCAATCAAAAAAAAAAAAAGACTTGTATTTGTAAAAACCCATATCAGTGTTGCGGGAGAGAACGACTGCCAAGGAACACAAGGAACTTTCTGGGGAGACAGAAATCTTGACCGAAGTGTTTCGTTACTGGGTATACACATTTCTCAAAACTCACCACTTAAAAGCACACTTAAATTCTCTCTCAGGCTGGGATATCATCTTCTCCTGCCCTGGGACAGGGCCTTTAAATTTAGACTAAATTACAACACCAGCTTTCCTGGGTCATCAGCTTGTAGAGGGCATGTCATGGAATTTAGCCTCCAAAATTGTGTGAGCCAATTCCTATAATAAATCCCCCTTCCCCATCTCTCTGTCTCTGTCTCTCTCTCTGTGTCTTTTTCTCTCTCTCCCCACTCTGTAATAAATACCCTCACCTCTGTCTCTCTCTCACTCAATTTATATATACATAAAATTGAGGGTTTTTCAGACCTTTGAAAGAAACAAACTACAGATTCAAAAAGCCCAATGAATTATAGACAGGACAGTAAAAATAATTACACACTAATACAACACAAAGAAAGAACTTACATATGTTTTCTTGCTTTATTCATCTGTTTATTTTTTGGTTGTTTACTCATTGATTTTCTTGTTATAAAACATGTACTTTGTTTGCTATTGAAGGTTTCCATCATGTTTATACCTCTGCTAATGTTATCTTTATTTAAGCATTCCAAAACAATCTGTGAATCAAAATTTATATGCTGCCAATTTGAATATTTTCCCTTCATAGAAAATAAATGGTTTATCTTACACTACTTCCATTTTCTAAGCCCATATCTAAAAAGGCATTTGGTGGTTTTATCTAGGATTGTAAACTATACCATTGTGATAACAATATAAATGATTTAATTAAAGATTGTTATTATTTATTTATTTTGAGACAGAGTCTCACTCTGACACCCAAGCTGGAGTGCAGTGGCGCAATTTTGGCTCACTGCAACCTCCACCTACTGGGTTCAAGCGATTCTCCTGCCTGAGTAACTGGGATTACAGGCACACGCCACCACGCCCAGCTTATTTTTTGTATTTTTGGTAGAGGTGGGGTTTCACCATGTTGGCCAGGCTGGTCTCGAACTCCTGACCTCAAGTGATCCACCTGCCTCAGCCTCCCAAAGTGCTGGGATTACAGGCGTGAGCCACTGCGCCCAGCCTGTTATTCTTCTTTTAAATTTTTATTTTTAAAAGAAAATAGAGACAGAGTCTCTCTATGTTGCCTGAGCTGGTCTCAAACTCCTAGCCTCAAGCAATCCTCCCGCTTCAGACTCCCAAAGTGTTGGGATTACAGGTGTGAGCCACTAGACCCGGCCAAGATTGTTGATCTTTAGCATTCTATTAAATATTTTGTCATCATATCGACAAGAAAAAAACTTTGATTTTTATGACTTCCACACACAAAAAGCACACTTAAAATGAATGAATTGGCCGGGCACAGTGGCTCATGCCTGTAATCCCAGCACTTCGGGAGGCTGAGGCGGGCAGATCACGAGGTCAGGAGATTGAGACCATCCTGGCTAATATGGGGAAACCCTGTCTCTAATAAAAGTAAAAAAAAAAAAAATTAGCCGGGCATGGTGGCGGGCACCTGTAGTCCCAGCTACTCGGGAAACTGAGGCAGGAGAATGGCATGAACCCGGGAGGCGGAGCTTGCAGTGAGCCAAGATCGCGCCACTGCACTCCAGCCTGGGCAACAGAGCGAGACTCAGTCTCAAAAAAAAAAATTGTATTGGAAATGAAGTATAACTCAAAAAAGTTGATTTTTAAAACCTCAATCAGCTCCAAATAATACAAACATTTCTACTCTTTAAATTAAGATGGCATATGAAAAGTTTCCTTTTAAAACTAATTCAAAAGTAGTCCCAAATTAGAAATTACTTACCCTGCCAAGATGTGTTCCCAGAAATACAATCACAATTCCTCCTGGAAATGCTGTTCCTCTGAGAGCCACATGGCTGCTCCCTGTCTCCTTCAAGGTTCTGCTCACACCTGGAGGGGCTCTTCTCTGCTCTATTTCCATACTGCAACAGCGAAACAGTAAAAGAACTAACATAACTAACTCCATTTTTTATTTAAGGGGATACCCATTCCTGCACATCGGTTAGGATAATTTTAGAGCACTAAGATACAATGCAAAAACTGCAATCATGTAGTCTTGGAAACTAACCCTAGGATTAAAGAAGAAGTATATAAACAACTATGTTTTGTTAAAGATTTACAGGAACAAGGAGGTTTGGCTATCGTTACATGAGAGAACGTTACCCAAGGACAAAGAAGTTTCACAGACTTCCCCTGGACCCTTGTTGGTGCCCAGATGTCTGCGGTTCCCTGTCACTTAAATATAAAAGACAAGGCAAAGCTCGCATAATTCTAAGATGGTTCTTTAGGACATTGGTCTGCTTCTTCTTGGTTTCCTGGCTCCCCAAAATAAAGTCGCTTTCCTTCCTCCACCTCCTTGTCTCTTGACTTATTGACGTGATGTGGCAAGAAGAACAAGTTTGGACTCAGTCACAATCCATCCCACACTTCCTCTTCTCCTTCCCTGCTTCCTTTGTCCCCATGGCATTTACCACCTTCTAGTGCATTAATTTTGTCACGGTGATTATTTATGATCCGTCCCCCACCACTGAAACGTAAGTTCCATGAGGGCAGGGTTTGGGTCCGTTTTGTTCACTGATGTTCCTGATACTCAGTTGGTGCTCAATAAATATTTGTTTATTGAACTCAAGCTTTCTAATTAGATATATTTCTCTCCTTGTGTCGCTGGTGGAGAGAAGAATGTCAGAACATTAACTACATGGTCTTTTAATATTTTATGCTCTATGTACTTGCATACTAATACTATGTATTAGAGATGACTTGCCACTTATCCCCTCCACCACAATATATATTGATGACTTCTATATGTCCAGCTCTGTACTGGGCACTGGGGAAAAGTCGTTGCCCAATAAAATGTACAACAGAAAGTTTTAAACCATAGTCAGGAAAGGAAAATATCTATCCCCCTAATCCAGGCTGCTCTGTAACTCTGCTTTAACACTGTATTTAGTTTTGAAGATCTTTGGCCAAAGAAAAGTTTCAAGGTCTAGATCATAAAGGAAACACAATGGTTAAAGTAATTTCATATAATCTACACCATATGCTAAATTAAAATATGTGGTTTTTCCTAAGTACCACCTGTTTACAAAGCTCGTTGTGTTGGCTGAACCAAGACTTTTTTTGAACTTAGCAAATTGTGAATTAAATTTTAAGTGACCCTGTATATGCATTATGTATATTATGTCTGAAGTACTTTTCTGACACAATTTTAACAAAAGTTTTTGTATTAAGATAAAGTTCTATGCTTTGATTTTATAAAATCATAGGGCTTTTTCTTGTTTTTTTTTTTTCTTCAGTTAGAAAAGCCCCTTCTGATATTTCTACATCTCACATTTTGCAGATGAAAATACTAACGCTTTGTAAGTTCAAATGGCTTGCCCAAGCTAGTGCCAAAGCTCAGATCAGGCCTGGGTTCCATGTTCCTGAGTCTTAACTGCATCCTCACAAACCCCAGCCACCATTTGGATTGACATTAGGAGGGACACAGGTTCCTTGAGGGCAGAAACTGGAGCTTCTTTGCATCTCCCCAGTACCCAGCACAGGGTCTAGTGCAGAGTAAGAACCAGTGAAGGGAGACACAACAACCTTGGACCTATGCATGGACTCTTACTAAAGAGCTCTCGGTGACTTGGGCCCTAAATGACCACAACGCCCCAACCTCTGCTTGTTCATCCACTCTGCTCAGTCCTCACTAGCCTCTGGGTTTTTTCAAACACACCAACCAAATGCCTGAAAAGCTCTGTCCCACAATAACCACACAGATCCCTTCCCCCAGCCCTACAAGTCTCTTTTGAATGTCACTTTATCAATGAGGCCTTTTCAAGACCTCACTATGAAACAGCAGCCCCACACTCCCTAACCTCCTACCTCTGTCTCCACAACACGTATCCCCATCTGGCATATTTGAACTTGTCTATTTGTGCATTGCTCATCTTCCTCTACAAGAATGTAAGCACTACTAGGGTAGGGACTGTATTTGTTCCCAGCTTTCTTTTTTTTTTTTTTTTTTCGATCTTTTTTTTTTTAATTGATCATTCTTGGGTGTTTCTCGCAGAGGGGGATTTGGCAGGGTCATCGGACAATAGTGGAGGGAAGGTCAGCAGATAACCAAGTGAACAAAGAAACAAGTGAACAAAGGTCTCTGGCTTTCCTAGGCAGAGGACCCTGCGGCCTTCCGCAGTGTTTGTGTCCCTGGGTACTTGAGATTAGGGAGTGGTGGTGACTCTTAACGAGCATGCTGCCTTCAAGCATCTGTTTAACAAAGCACATCTTGCACCGCCCTTAATCCATTTAACCCTGAGTGGACACAGCACATGTTTCAGAGAGCACAGGTTTGGGGGTAAGGTCACAGTTCAACAGGATCCCAAGGCAGAAGAATTTTTCTTAGTACAGAACAAAATGAAAAGTCTCCCATGTCTACTTCTTTCCACACAGACACGGCAACCATCCGATTTCTCAATCTTTTCCCCACCTTTCCCCCCTTTCTATTCCACAAAACCACCATTGTCATCATGGCCCGTTCTCAATGAGCTGTTGGGTACACCTCCCAGACGGGGTGGTGGCCAGGCAGAGGGGCTCCTCACTTCCCAGTAGGGGCGGCCGGGCAGAGGCGCCCCTCACCTCCCGGATGGGGTGGCTGGCCGGGCGGGGGGCTGACCCCCCCACCTCCCTCCCGGATGGGGCGGCTGGCCGGGCAGAGGGGCTGACCCCCACCTCCCTCCCGGACGGGGTGGCTGCCGGGCGGAGACGCTCCTCACTTCCCAGACGGGGTGGCTGCCGGGCGGAGGGGCTCCTCACTTCTCAGATGGGGCGGCTGCCAGGCGGAGGGGCTCCTCACTTCTCAGACGGGACAGTTGCCAGGCAGAGGGTCTCCTCACTTCTCAGACGGGGCAGCTGGGCAGAGATGCTCCTCACCTCCCAGACGGGGTCGCGGCCGGGCAGAGGCGCTCCTCACACCGCAGACGGGGCGGCGGGGCAAAGGCGCTCCCCACATCTCAGACGATGAGCGGCCGGGCAGAGACGCTCCTCGCTTCCTAGATGGGATGGCGGCCGGGAAGAGGCACTCCTCACTTTCCAGACTGGGCAGCCAGGCAGAGGGGCTCCTCACATCCCAGAAGATAGGCGGCCAGGCAGAGACGCTCCTCACTTCCCAGACGGGGTGGCGGCCGGGCAGAGGCAGCACTCTCCGCACTTTGGGAGGCCAAGGCAGGCGGCTGGGAGGTGGAGGTTGTAGCGAGCCGAGATCACGCCACTGCACTCCAGCCTGGGCACCATTGAGCACTGAGTGAACCAGACACCGTCTGCAATCCCGGCACCTCCGGAGGCCGAGGCTGGCGGATCACTCGCGGTTAGGAGCTGGAGACCAGCCCGGCCAGCACAGCGAAACCCCGTCTCCACCAGAAAAATACGAAAACCAGTCAGGCGTGGCGGCGCGCGCCTGCAATGGCAGGCACTCCGCAGGCTGAGGCAGGAGAATCAGGCAGGGAGGTTGCAGAGAGCCGACATGGCAGCAGTACAGTCCAGCTTCGGCTGGGCATCAGAGGGAGACCGTGGAAAGAGAGGGAGAGGGAGACCTTGGAGAGGGAAAAGGAGGGGGAGGGGGAGGGGGAGAGGGAGAGGGAGAGGGCCCCAGCTTTATTGTCACAACCTACACATAGCATGTTGTAGGTGCCCTATAAATATGGATGGAATGAATGAATGAATGGAAAAGGACTTTGGATCCCTTTCTTGATCTTTTAATTCTTTATTTAAAAAGCTAAGAAGCTGTTTTTAATACAATATTTAAAAAATGTTGTAAAACCGCAGGACACTTCAAAATGTGATGAATTTTATAGTAAAATCAGGGGCACATAACTTTTCGTACATATATGTGGGTGTAGATAATTTCATGCTACACTAATTAACACACCTTTTAATTAAAGACGTTGAAAAGAAAAAAACCTTTTTGTGTGTGTCCAGGGTACAAGCACAAAATGAGACACCAATGGAAACCATGTATTAGGTATGGAAAATTTTTATGTCATTGAACACTCATGTTTTGATAGAAAAAAGAAAAAATTAGAAATTGCTTTTTGTCCAACCACAAGACCTAAATTATTTACCTTTCTATGTAATACTTATGGTTTCACTTCCTGTTAAAAATGCTCGATTCTATAGCTAATCCTAGATCTCTATAAGCCAATAAATGGATTAACTACAAAGATATGATAAACAATCTTTAATGGCATTTAATCTATTTTTATTAAAATTTGTAGCTACATTATTTAATGTAAGACTTACTAATATTTCTAATCAACTTATACATAAAAAGTTATTTGCTGTAGGTGTCTGCACAATGTGATTGCTAGCAGAATTAAATGCCTCAGGCTGCATCTATCAGACACTGGCCTTTCTGGATGCGTTCCATTTGATCGATAATTTGGGCAGCAAAATCTGATAAATTCTATATTAGAGATAATGACAGAGGGTAACTGTAGCACAGCGGAGGGAACAAGTCTCCAGAGGCAGAAGGGTCAGCTATGCCGAGAACACGTTTGAACTTGAACATTCGGGGACAGAGAAAACAGAGCTGCAAAATGTGAATTCTGTTAACTTGAAATGGTCAAATGGGAATGCCAGGAGTGGGAATGGGAGGGGGGGGTGAGGTGGGGCCGGGTGGGGGTGTCAGAGTAGGAGGCCCGGCGGGCAACTCCAGATTGGGCTTGACTCTTTGGCAGGTAAGAGCTCAGACTGGTGCGGGTCAGTGAGTTATCTGGGAAGACCACGGTGGGGACAGCTACGAGAGTGGCCCGAGGCGCTCGGGTGGGGGCAAGAGTAGGGCCGGAGACCAGTTAGGAGGCTGTGGGAGAAGCGGCAGAGGGCGCCGGGTGCAGGTCCGAACCCAGGGTAGTTTCTGGGGCAGGGCTCCAGGATTTGACTCCGGGCTGGGTACACCCC